>NC_000003.12:143705574-144955574 GCF_000001405.40 Homo sapiens
ACAGTATGTATCTCCAAAAATTAAAAATAAAAAATAAATTTTAAAAAGAGCTTGTATTTTATTGGAGAAGTCAGCTAAAAGGTCTTTTATGATTTGTCATTTTATTTATATTGTGGTTAAGTGCTATGGAAAGAAGTAGAGAAGGCACGCATGCACACTTCCACCAGCTGGGGAACATTGAAGGATGACTTTGTTTTACAGAAATGACCACACATTCAGATTTAGAAATGTTGAGATGAAGGAGCTAGGTGTATAGTAAAGGTATACTTTACTAGGTCCATGAAGAATGCAAAGGTGAATCAGACACATGGTTTCTGTTTTCCAGAAGGAGAGAGAAGTCATCTACATAAGCACAGCACATAGTGGAAAGCGCTAAGTGTCCTACGAGAGGTCAGATCATATCCACAGAAAAACAGCTCTCTTTTACTTGCAGACTTAAGAAAGGCTTTGAGAGGAACACAGCGTATTTACTGAATTTTAAAAATACAGCCAGGTGAGGAGAATTCCAACAATGTTTCATCTATACTTGGGATGGCCCATATTCTGAATTTTTCCCCTGGACTGCAAAATCTGTCCTACCGTAGGTGGTTTCTTTAAATAGTACAAAACCCAACAGACGAAATATGAATAAATAAAAAAGAAACCCTTCTCTAGTAATCCAGGGAACCATCGCCATCTGCTACCCATTACAGAGATCGATCGGGGAGCGGGGGAATGCCTGTCCTGATTGAGCTGTAGCTCTACTTGTGGATTTGCCTTAGGGCCCAGTATGGGCTATTCTTCCCTAAGGAATGTAAGAGGCTCCTGGAGCCCTGTTGTAGATAAAGCAGGTGCTCATATCTCACAATAATACTTCATCCATTTGGCCCACTCTACTTAGACTTTGTTCTTTCTGTTTAATTAGAAAGGTTGTGGAGAAAAAGAGGATGATGCAGTCAATTTGATGGCTTATGGCATGTTAAAGTAAAACAGGGAGCCAAGTGAAGCCCCATTCAGCTCTGCTGTGGTGACAGGTGAGTCCCCGTCCAAATCCTGTATCGGATATCTTGAACAAGGATCCATGAAGACTGCGGATTGCCTGGCCTTAATCCTCTCTCCTCTGTAAGGGGTGGAGGGAGACAGGCTTTAGAGCAAGCTTGTCTAACCCACAGCCCACAGGCCACATACAGCCCAGGATAGCTTTGAATGTGGTCCAACACAAATTCATAAACTTTCTTTAAACATTATAAGATTTTTCTTAGACTTATTTTTAGTTCATCAGCTATTGTTAGTGTTACTGTATTTTATGTATGGCTCAAGATAATCCTTCTTAGAGTGTGTCCCAGGGAAGCCAAAAGATTGGATACCTCTGCATAGAAGGGGAAAGCTGCCTCCAATTTTTGGTCCCCAGTCTGAAAGAGGAGGCTGGTTAGTGAATGGGGTGGGGGCAGTAGGAAGATGGAGAGCAATGCAGGGAAGGTTCATTGTTAGGTGCATAAGTGAGTGTGTTAAGGTTGGGAAATTCTGTGCCAGGACATTTGACCATCCCAAAATTTTGTTTGCAAGGGCCATCGCTCAAACAGCTACAACCCCACAGTTCTCCTTTTCCCTGGCCTCTACTGTCTTCTTAGCTGTCTTCTGTCCTGTAGTTCTCAGGACACTTATCTGTCATTGGATGGGACTTCCAGTATTGGGAATTTAAGAAGACTATGGTATGAATAAAAATATATAGGGAGGGATAGAAGGAACAGACAACTTTTGAGTAACTATTCTGTGTCAAACACCCTATTAGTACATTTTATATATTTTAAAATCTACACACACACACACACACACACACACACACACCCCAGCTGGGAAGCCATCATGATTCCTATTTTATAAACAAGTAAACCCAGCAAGTGATAGAAATTAGATTTAAACAAATGTTTTTCTTCTACTTGTTACTATTTAATTCTAAGTAGAAAATTTAAGATAGCTTTGCCTTTGTTTCCCAAATATAAAGTCAATTACTATGTTCATTGTTCCTGATAAAATGTCTCTGACAGAATATCATAATGAGATGAGCTCTTCAGGCATTAGGGATAATCTATTAGATATTCCCTTTGGACATTTAACTTGGCTGTAAGAGGATATGGAAAACATCGTGTCTTTCACATTTCCCCTGCAAGCCAGTTCAACAGCTGGCTTCATGTGGGTCTAGAAGTGGCCACCAGGTTGTTTTAAGAACAGAAAAGACTGCAGACAGAAGGTTGTGATGAAATAAACTGTCCTT
Organism: Homo sapiens; assembly: GCF_000001405.40. Taxonomy (NCBI): domain Eukaryota; kingdom Metazoa; phylum Chordata; class Mammalia; order Primates; family Hominidae; genus Homo; species Homo sapiens. Next base: position 143,707,829 of record NC_000003.12, read on the forward strand.
TAATCATGGCTGTGGTCCCAGGGTCCAGGACCCTGAGACATTTAGAACAAAGTTAAGTGAGTGCATTTCCCACACATTCTGCTGCCCATCTGCCTCAAACTTGTCACCTTCCTGGGCCTTCCTAGAAGCACTCACTCACCCTTGCATGTTTGGGTCAGTTTCTGCTGCTATAGCAACCCACACAGCTGCCTGCAGGGGATCAAGCCTCCCTTCTGTGAAGTGCTTCAAGGTTCTTGGAGGAAATAAGATATAAATTCCAAGCATGAGTATGGAATGGGCATAAATCACAATGTTGACATGCAGTGGGAGGTAGAGATCTACTCAAAGATGAACTAAATATAGGCAAGAACTTGACTCGGCATCCTGATTGTGTGTCTATCATATCCACTATCTGGGAGCATACCAGCCCATTCAGTTTGAAAGGGGATCCTTTCCACAGAGCACCACTTGGGCCACTCTCTGACTTACCTAAAGCACACCCAGGGGAGAAGAATGAGAGGAGCAATGAAGGCAGTGCGAGACTCGGTCACATTCACTAAAGGCACCATGTACCTCAAATGACAACCTCCTTTGAAGAACTGGCCAGCCTGCACCACCATCCTGGGATGTGTGAACACTGGAATGCTATGAGTTAGCTCCTCACCTTTCTTTCCTCTCTGGGTATCCCACCTTCTTCCATCAGAAAACTATGTTTAATACTCACTGGATATAAGCATTCCTTTCTCACTGCCATCCTTCTCTCAACCTGTATCCCCAGTCTCTATTCACTGACCAGTTTGTAAAGCTCTCTCCTTTATTTCATCTAGGTCCTAAATTCCACGTACACATCATTAAAACCTTAGAAGATGATTCTCAGAATATTCTTATGTGACTAATTTGAGAGACAACACATTTGGGCTATTCTGCCTTCTGTATTTTCTGTTCCCATCTCCATTCCATGTACCCATTACCCAGTCCTGCTAGGTGCTAAGGGGTTCAGAAGATGTGGCTTCTGTCCTCCAGGACTCACAGCTTGGGAGGAGGGATAACAAGCATGTGCAAATAACTGACTACTAAGTGAAAAAATGACAATTCAGTAAGCAAGCTAAGGCTAAAGTGATAAAAGGTTCAGAGGAGGGAAGGAGAACCATGGTCTGGGGAAGAAGACCTTGAAGGTGAGTCTATCCTGATGAGCAGATAGGATCAGACATGAGTTATAGTAGGAGCAGGAGGAACACAGGGAGTCACTACTGGAAAAAGTAACATGGACCACCAAACATAAATGAGTAGTAATTCACAGGCGTGGGCGGCAAAAGTTGGGTAATTTATTGGTGAATTCTTCTACTATGTATTGCTATATTGTATAATTTAGTGATCTCAAATTCGCTGCATATTAGAATCACATAGGGAGTTCAAAATCATGATGCCAAGGCTGTACCCCAGACCAAGTAAATCAGAATCTCTGTAAGTTGGACCCAGGCATCAGTATTTTAAAAAGCTCCTCCATTATTACAAAATGCAGTCAGGGGCCAGAATAAGTGCTCGAAATTAATACCCCTGGGGACTCTAAAGTCCAGACTAAGCACCTGGGGATCAGGAGGTCTGGGGTGGGGCCTGGGATTCTCCATTTCTAATAAGGTTCCAGGTGGTATCATTGTCGCTGGTCCCCAGCCACACTTTGAGTATGAAACTCGAAATGAGGGTGCTGTTTAAGCAAAATAGCTCAGCCATTAGTGTACCCTGATGGCAATTTCCTTAAGGGGCAGCACTTTGAATTCACAAATGGAGCTGCCTGAGATGCAATTAATACAGGTCCACAGATAGATAAGCACTAAATACCCACTGCTTGGTGACTTGGCCTCCCTGCTGATTTGTGGATAAGAGACAATGATTATTGAATAGCATTGTTACTGAACAGTATGTGAGGATTCAAGGCGTTGTTACCTCCTGACTCCAATTTGAAGCTCCTCATAGTAGGAAATGAAAAAACGAGTGGGAGAGGGGGAGTGAAAGAATGTGTCATCCACTGAAATTAACAGACCTCCATTATTCCTTTGATCTGAAGCTCCACAAAGACTTGTTTTTTAAGGACAGAGATCCAACCTTCCCCGACAGTAGAGAAAGAGACAGATGATTGTTTTGGTGTCATCACAGGTTTTGCTCAGCACTGTAATGTCCCACCTAATTTTAAAAAGTGGTAAAGAGAATCTTCAAGTTTCATATCAAATATTTTAAAATCCCAGCAGAAATTGCATATTCATTAAAGAAAAACAAGTTTCTTTGCTTTGGGATGAATTGTATCAACTCAGAAGCTCTAACTGGCAGCACAAACATGGAGTGGTGTGTGTGCATGTGTATAAACACAAACATATACATTTATATACACACACATACATGTACATATAATCTTTCATTAATAACAAGTAAGGAAGCTTTCAAAAGTATCTCAAAGTATAAAATTCAGCCAGGCAAAAGCAGCAAGAGGGGATCCTTCTACCCTGTGCACGCACACGCAGCTATCAGCCATGATTTTTCACCTTAAAACACATGCATGGTTGTGTTTTCTCATCCTTCCTGGAAGGTGAATAAAATTGAGACCCATTATTCTCCTTCCACAGGCCAAGTAACCAGCACAAGGGGTTTAGAGGCTTATTCACAACCCCACAACCCATGTGCTGCCATTTCTCCTCACATATGAAGCTGCAACATTGTTTGGAATCTGTTGTTTAGGTTTGGGGAGAAGCCACTTAGAAATTATTCAGTCCAGAATCACTTGTTTTAAAACTATAGAAACCAAGATCCAACCAGGTTAATGGCTTGGTCACACTGAACCTGGTTTGTATCAGAACAAAGGCTGGAATGTTAGTTTTCTCCTAAAGAGAGTTTACCAGGGCTGGAAATTTTTTGCAGATTCTCTGCTGTCTGAGATTTCAGCAAAGGGAATAAAACTTGTGATTTGAATATAACTTGTCTAATCTATCACTCCAGAAAATTTTCCATCCCTTTTCATATCCCCTCAGGTATATTTATGTTCTTCAGCCATAGCATTTGGAAACAGAAAGCCCACTGCTTGTTGCAATAGAATGTAAATAACAAGAAAATGCAACTCTCTGGATTTTCCCCAATCAGATCAATTTTCTGACAAGTAACAAACTTATAAATAATGTAGATGCTTTAAACATATTTAACTCAAATTAGGATGTTACACTATTTACTCTTTGATTGATGGTTTTAAAATATGTTATTATTAGTGACAAGATAGAATGAACAATTTATCTTGTGAGTGATAAAAATCAAACATCAATTCCTTGCCCTGATTCTTGGTTTTCAACCACATAAATATATTTTTGAAACCTTTTAAATCTAGAACGGAGAGCTTCAACTGGTCTGTTTTGTTTGTGATGCATGTAATACAACTTGTTACTTGAAATTTCTTTGCAGTTGTAAAGTGAACTTTTGTAATATTTTGAATCACTTTTCAGAGTACACAGACTTTTTATAGGCTTCTCTTATAATAATAGGTTTTACTCACCAATCAAATATAGGAGAAACCACCAAAATGCTTTAAAGAACAATAGAAGGTTTACTCTTTTAAAAAAAATTAAAAAGAATTTTTTTCTTAGAGACAGGGTCTCACTCTGTCACTTAGGCTGGAGTGCGGTGGTGCTCGCAGCCTCCTTCTCCTGGGCTCAAGGTCTCCTGCTGTCTTAGCCTCCTGAGTAGCTGGGACTACAGGTGAGTGCCACCACACCTGGCTAATTTAAAAAAAAAATTTTTTTTTTTTTTTTTTTAAAGAAGAGGACTCAGCATCTTGCCCAGGTTGGTCTTGAATTCCTAGGCTCAAGTGACCCTTCCCACTATGGCCTCCTGGCCTCCCAAAGTGCTGGGATTATAGGCATGAGCCACAGCTCCAGGCCAAAACGTTTACTCTTATAATTATTTCCTTATAGATCCTGAGCTTTGAGATCACTACTCCTGTTTCTCACCACTCCAGCAACAGAAGTATCCGTTAAGGAAGGTAATTTGATTTGCTAAGGCTTGTTATTCACAAGTGTCTCTGACATAATACTAACTGACCAAACTCCAGGGCTAGAGCTACATGGGGCTAATTCTGAACAATCTACGGAAATATTTCTGACAATCACCTAGTTATCTGCTCTATTCAATACCAGAGAATTGTTATAACTTACTCTTCATCTATGGCCCTGCAACCTACCCACTAATCCCTATCACCTCGATATATGGACTGGCTTTACACTGTTAGCACTGAACTGAAACGTACACCGTTCTGCAAGTCCCCATTTGATTTGAGTTGAGCAGGCTTTGAATTCAGTTGTAAGGCAGAACTTGGCCTTTATTTACAGATGGTTTCATGAACCATCTGCAAATGAGGGTCAAGAATAATAAATGGCCCAACAGTTGATGATGTGATTTCTTAACAACTCTACTTCTCTGGGGAAAAAAGCACCTGCTATTATCAAGCTTGATTTGATCTTTGAGGATGCAGCACAGAAAGAATAGGTGCCTCTTCCTTTATGAAACTGAGGTTCAGAGGAAGAGGAAAGAATTAAGTTTATTAAGCTATATAATAGACTGTTAATTGAGTGACTAATATATGCCCAGCACCTTGGCCAGTTGCTTGGCATAGAATGAAAAAAGATAACGAGCAATCTACCGGGGGTAACAGAGAAGTAAACAAACTATTACAATCCAGTGTAGAAGGCCATTTTCTAGCTCTTTGACCCTAGGCAAGTTAGCTGTTTCTTCTTTTCCTCCATTTTTTGTCCATAAAATGGGCATAATGTCCTCCTTTAGTATTGTTACCAGATAATCACTACTGAATGACTCAATGGATTCTTTAGTTCTTCCAGCTATTACTTTCTTTGGGAAACACAAAAGATGACTTAGCATTAGCCATCTCCCTCAAAGAACCAGTGAGTTGAGAAAGGCTTCAATGTGGAAGCTGTCAAGAAAAGCCTTTAGTAAGCTGTTTTCAACAAAGAAACATATGTGTGTTTTTTAAAAATCTAATTGCACTACAGAAAATTGCCAAGACCTTGTTGGGAAGAGATTACTCCTTTAAATGGTTCTTTGTATTGGATCTTGGGAATTTATGGGTGGTTTTGTCTCAGGTGTGTATCAAAGTGACCACTTCTCCCAACACCATCCACCACCACATTTAATCTCAGATCCCCCTGAAGAAAGTAGAGGAAGAACCCAAACAGAAGATGGTAAAGGCAAGCTTTCCAGGAAGTCACAAATAGCTCAACAGGTTTAATCCTTCACATCAGAAAATTATTCAAACAACACAAAATCCCCAAGACTCAGTGAAGTGACAAGAGAAGATGAAAAGAGAAGGCAGATTTTTCGCAAAAGGAGTGGTAGGATGGAGGGAAGAGAACTGTATCAATGGAAGCTTATTGTGCAGACCTTGGGACATACTAAATTCAGTGTATTCAACATTGGCCGGATCTCAGCTAACACAGTTTCTTGTTCAAAACACCCTGTTTGGAAAATGCCTCCTAAGATACTGGAGGTTAGAAACATGTTAGGTGGGTAAGAGTTGTAGGGCTGTGTTTGCTGGCTGGGAGAAACCCAAGAAGGAACATGGTATCCAGAGTTTAGAACTGGAGGGTGGTCATAAGGAAGAAAGAAAAAGGATTTAATCTATGTTGCTCTAGAAAGGCAGGGGAACAAAAAGAGGTGGATATTACAAAGAGTCAGAGCAGCTTATTGAAAAATTGTCCAAAGAATGCAGTAGAAATGGATGATTGTGAGAAGTAGTGAGCCTCCTTCCCTGAAGAAATTTAAACATTCCTTAAGTATTCTGTGAAAGGGATATTGATTTGTTCCATATAACAGAAAACAGGTACATGTATTGTTCTTGCCATGGTCAGGGGGAAGTAGGACAAAATAAACAAACAAAAAACACATACAGGTGTACTTGAGGGAGCAAATTTGGGAAATAAAACGAGATAACTTTTAAGGTGATTTCAAACTAAAACTTTATGGTTTTATAAAAAGCTGAAGGAAGAAATAAAAGCAGAGACTGTAAGAGGAAGATGGGAAAATGTATAATTAACAATATTTTCTAGCATTTAGTCAGTTATCAAAGCAAAAATTTTAAAAAGGTTGACAGCACTCAAAATCTGGCACTGGATACTGATTTTGTTAACCAGCACTATTTTTCCAAACTTGACTGTGGCTTCTTCACAAATTCTCAGTTTGCGATTAGAATGACAACAGATGAAGTTATTCTTGTCTGTGTCGAAAAACTCAACCTTCCCAGGACATAGAAGGTGGCATTTGCAAAACTCATTTAACTCCTCCGAATTGGGACACAACTCATTTTGCTTTCCCAGATGACCATACAGAAAGTCTAGCAGCCTCTCTATCACATTTAACACGAAGGATCCTTTTCTGGCTTTGAGGAGGACCTGCAGGTACCTCAAACTCACCACCTGTAAGTCTGAACAAAGGCTCTTATCCAGAACCCTGGCATTATTCCAGTGTCTCTTTTCTTCATGAAGGCACCAATTCCCACCCAGAAAACTGAAGTCATTCTGGACACATCCCTACCTCCTCACCTTATGTGATCCGGTGTTAAACTGCCATTTTACATTTTGAATTGGTTTCAAATTCAGGCATTATCGAGTCCAGTCTAATATATCTCTTCTGGATATTTCTCTAGCTGTTGAAACAGTCTCCCTGTATCTCACTTCCCACCAATGTGTAGCCAGAATGGTTATTTTAAAACACAAATCTGACCATATATTTCCATGCTCAAAACCCTTTTATGACTTCCCATTACTAGTACGTCAAACGCCAAAATACTTAACATGGTTATGCCCTCCAAGATCCATTCTCCACCCTTTCCACCAAAGCATGTGCCCCAAGAGGCTGATCTATATGGGCTCCATCAGTGGATGAACTTGCTCTCTGGCTTTTAGTTAGATTTGATCAATGGAGGTGAAGGGGCACTGGCAAGAGATCAGAGTGGGGAAGAAGAGTCAGGTTGGGGTATGATATGGTTCGGCTGTGTCTCCACCCAAATCTCATCTTGAATTCCCATGTGTTGTGGGAGGGACCCGGTGGGAGGTAATTGAATCATGGGGGCAGGTCTTTCCTATGCGGTTCTCATGATAGTGAATAAGTCTCGTGAGATTTGTTGGTTTTAAAAATGTGAGTCTCCCTGCACAAGCTCTCTTTTTGCCTGCTGTCATCCGTGTAAGACGTGACTTGTTCCTCCTTGCCTTCCACCATGATTGTGAGGTCTCTCCAGCCAAGTGGAACTGCAAGTCCATTAAACCTCTTTCTTTTTTGTAAATTGCCCAGTCTTGGCTAAGTCTTTATCAGCAGTGTGAAAATGGACTAATATAGGTTCTTTATTCTTTTCTTTCAGTTCCCTCTCTTTAGGGTCTGTATGGGCTCCCTTTGTCCTTTGCTCAAAGGCCACTGCTCCAATCAGGTGGTCCTGTCCACACAGCTCTCTTTCCAGGTTTCTAATAATGACTTCATCTCTTTTGACTTCAGATGTTAATGGTATTTCACTCTTACTAGCCCTGGGAAACTGAACTACTTCTTACATTTTTTGCCTTACCCTGCCCACATAGTCTTCAAGCATCACTCTCTTAAGGAAACCATCCTGGACTCTCCTGAAAGAATACGATCTCCTTATTAAAAGCTTTTATAATGCCTATACTTTCATAGCACTCAGCATAGGATAAATGATTAATTATGTAATTGATTGTCTTGTGTCTATCTTTCCTGCTAGGATGAGGGCAGGGAACATCTCTGTCTTAGCCATCTCCAGATCCCTGGATCATGGACACATAGGTGCTCAGAAGCTACTTGTCAAATGAAAGCCATGAAAAGAGTGGGGAGAGGAAGAATTAGAGAGGAAGGCCAAGGCAGGAATGAGACAGCCCTGGTCAGAGAGACAAGAAACATCACAAGCCAAGGGCTCCCACACCGCAAGGTCAAGTGAGGGCAGCATCGAGCGTCCTCTCACTGTCATAGAAAACCTGGGGAGGTATGATAGCAAAACACTGTTTTGTAGGTCTCATTGTCCAAAGAGGTATGATTTGCCAAAGAGAACATCTTCAATTAAATGCACTTTCAAAATGTGAGGTCTATACCCAAAAGAGTAAATTGTTTTCTGTCTTACTACACACCAAGCCACCATCGTCCATAGCAACTTCACTGTATTTCACATAAGTGTTACTTTGAGCCATTTTCAAAAGAGAAATGGTGCTTTTTCTTTGAGACTCAAATGCCATTTTTTTGAGACAGAATCTTACTCTGTTGCCCAGGTTGGATTGCAGTGGCACCACCATGGCTTACTGTAGCCTTGACCTCCTGGGCTCAAGAGATCCTCCTGCCTCAGCCTCCTGAGTAGCTAAGACTACAGATGTGTGCCACCATGCCAGGCTCATTTTTTATTATTTGTAGAGATGGGGTCTCCCTATGTTGTCTGAGCTGGTCTCAGACTCCTGGGCTCAAGCAATTCTCCCACCTCAGCCTCCCAAAATGTTGGGATTACAAGCATAAGCCACTGCACCTGGCTTTTTTTTATGTCAGTATTTTTTTTTTTAAGGAAAATCACATACTTAGTTTCTTATTAAATTTTATCAGTTAATTATCAGTTCACATCAAAGAAGAGATGAGTTAGAGTGTCTTATCCCAGACTCTTGTCAAGTGGAGAAGAGTGGCCAACATTGGTCAGGGAGATTAGGCAGGACTCAGGCAAGTTTCTCCTTTCAGGAGGTTGTGAGAACCAAGAGGAAGAAGGACACTCAGAAAAAGCACACTATGGAAGCAGTAGGTCAAAGTTAGGAAATCAGTCCAGAATAGGGTTACCAGTTCAAAAGATGAGGGACAAAGTATTGACACAAAAACAAAACAAATCAATCCTCAGATAAATAAACAATCAAGATGACGACCACAGGGGAGATGCTGAGTGAGCAAATATGGAGCAGGCAGAGGGAAAGAAAAAAGAGACAATTCCCAAGGGAGAATATAGGATGGTACCAATGCCGTTTATGTGGCTCTTTTGCTGTTGGCTTGCACAACTGAGAGGCCTATGGGAGGCAACAGTAATGTGTTCACTGACCACAACTCGTGAGACCAGGGATGGGCAAAGGAGGAAGGGCAAGGAGACGAGGAATGGAGGGGGAGGAAGGCAAATGAATCACAGCCTTCAGCTGCTTCACAATCAGTAGCTCCTAGAGTTTAAAAAGACTTCCCTGAGAGCCTCCCAGGGTGGGTATGCCATGGCAGAACCCCTTCTGGGATATAAGGGATGTCCTTACACTAAACATAACCTCATACAGATCAGTGCTTTTCCAACCATGATGTGCATATCAATCATTTAGGTATCTGGTTAATATGTAGACTATTATTCAGTAGATCTGTTGGGGAGGCAGGTGCTGAGATTATGAATTCTAATACAGTCCCAGTGATACCATGTTGCTGGTCACTGGACTAGATGTTTTGTGTCAAGGTTGTAAACTAAGGTCAAGGTCATTTCCTAATGAATGGCTCTGACTATGGCTTCTCTCTTTAATTCCTCAGCTACCATAGAAGTTGAAAATTGGTTGTTGAGTGGCAGTGAGTGTTTATGAAATTGTTAGAATTCGTGGCTGACAATAAACAGATTACACATAAAAATTCAGGCTATGAGCTTCTCTTGGAAAATAAGAAGATCTGGCAATGTTGGGCCATTGTTTTCTCATGGAAACAATGGAAACAATCCATTGGAGCTTAGTGGTGGCTGCCTGGCTGCCTCCTTTTGATGGGGACACTTTCTACACTTGCCAGGCTGAACTACCCTTATATCTAAGTGATTTCAATCTTTTACATCACTGGCCTAGTCCCTTTTTGCATTTGTGTTTGTGAATTCTGATATACTAGTTTGAACCAAGATGCACCCCATTTGTTGGAAGGTGTTTTTTCTTCCAGTAAAGTCTTTTTAGTAGTCAATGCAATTCTTCATTTCAGAGAGAGCTATATCACTGGGATTGAGGATAGAAACAAGTCCATACACACAAAAAATCACATTTTCTGTTGCAAATGGCCTTGTCCATTTGCAGATAAGGAAAGGAAAAATGAATTGTTATACAGAGGCAAGGTTAGTAGATCTACACTTCACAATGTGGATGCAATATTCTCAGTGGCAAAAATGAATCAGCTGAACATGTTCAACAACAACTGAAGAATCCAGATGGTTATAGAAAGTTCAAGCCACACAAGTTAAAATCAAATAGGTAATGTGGAGTTAAACAGGAAAAAAAAAAAAGATAGTGCATCCCACCTAAGCCATTTCATACGAATTGGCACATTTATCAGTCTCTGACTTGAAAACATTAAGAACAAAAGGAAACATTCAGAGAGAACAACATAAAGCTGAAATAACCCCTTTTTCCTCTTTGCAATCTTTGGATGTGCAAACTCACCTACTGGTTTGATTTGCACTGTTTACTTACATTTTTCTATTCCTGTTACATATTTCTCTCCCCCACACACAGGATTTTGAGAAGAAACTCAGGGGAAAATGTTTTCTTTGCATACTTGTTTCATGATTTTTTTGAAACAGTATCCATAACACCAACAGCATCCTCACAGAAAGAACATTTCTGCCTTTGTTACAGAATGAAGAGGTTTGAATTAAAGGCACAGACACCAATGTGCCCGCGAGATTGGATCAGGTTCAGCTGTGTCCCAGCCATCCCAGCAGCTCTCACCTGGAGCTGAAACCCTCATGGAGTGAAATGCCTGGGTTCCACCACCTTCCTGGCCCCTTCCCACGTAACAGCTGAACAGGCAGGTTCTGCTATTGCCCTTTAAGCCCTTCATAGCACCTCCCACAGGCTTTTCCGGCTCAGTTCTGCAGCTGCTCACCTGGATCAGCCCACGCAGGCAGTATCTCGTGTATTGAACATTCCCTCTTTTTTCTTCTTTCATCAAAAATTATCAGTCATGAATTCCATTCCTTTAGGGCTTTGATTTCTGAGTTTCGAGGTGACAATTGAATATAAGGTAAAGAGCATTTGACTTGAAATCAGAAACTCGGAGTTTAGCTCTAAGCATTCCTATTTAGTAGCTACTTAATCTAGGACGACTTAGCCCCTCAGTTGTCAGTCTCTTCCTCTGCACAATGAAAACAATACCAACCTAGAGGGCTATTATGCTTACTTCACAGTAGGTAGCTCAATAAATGGTTGTTTAATCTTAAACGGATAAATGGAACGTTAACTTCTTAATGTGTTCTATAAATTTGTATTTGGTTCTTATAGGACACAACACACACTTACTGAGAAGCTTTATCTGTGGGCATTTATGTTCCATGGAAGATAAAGGGCTCAGGTTTTCCTTGTGCGGACAGATCTTTGAAGGTAGTTGAGTGACTTGCCATCTTATAGTCTACAAACTTTGGGGTAGGGCTTGCAGCTTCCTCAACACACCTCCATTTCTACTGGGAAACATGTGGGATGCAGTGGCCCAGGGCACCAAATGCACAGGCAAGAGGCCTGATGATGAAATCAATTGTATATTTAAACCCTGATTTTACTTGGGAAAATGTCCCCTTTTCCTGTGTCTTTAATAAAAATCCATGATGAAAGGCCCCAAGTAGGGCCTTTCAGGGATGGGAGAAATTCATTAAAAGAGTTCTGGATCCTCAGCATTTAGTTGCCTTTGCCCCAATTAATTGAGACACTATTTTATTTGAGGATCTGCTTATTTTCCCTAACAGGGAGATGGTGAGATTCTTTACAATGATGTGGCCCAGGGCAGGTATCATATGTTATTCTTCTTCATATCTTCAACGCCTAGGTCAGTGCCAGGCATGTAACAGGTGCCGAACAATTTCTTTTTAAGAACATTTATAATAAATGAAAAAGAAGCCATACTGCTATAGTAGTACTGAACTATCCCCAATTCTGATCCTGCATAAACTTTCCAATTTAAATATTACCCTTCATCCTTCATTCATCAACCCATATGCAGATCAAACATGTAATACCTTTTGCAGGCCTTTGTGAAGAGGCCTGCAATCAAAGAAATCAATCGGAGTCAGAGGCCTTCATACAGTGAGACCCCTTACAGCTTCCTCCTGGAAAACTGCTCCCACGATTGCTCCCACTATTGAGTAAATGCCCAATCATTATTCAATTTATATAATAAATTTACTTTTTCTCTCATATGTTGCTGTAATTCCTAACCCTAATAGTTGAAATTTTAAAAAGGCTTCCAAATGAATATTCTAAACTAAGCCCCATTTATTTTTGTAAAGATTCTGATACCACATATATAATATATATTATATATGAGATATTACATCTCACATCTTATATAGTATATAAAGTAAATATATGTAGAGTTATATAAGATGCATATATGTACATGTGTACATGTATGTGTCTATATGTATTTTATATATATATATTTTTTTTCACATTTGGGTTCTTTACTGGAATTGTGAGGCACACATTCCAAGATTTCTGTCCATATAACTATACACATGGCAAGTAATCTGAAAAAGCAAAACAGATTTCTACCTAGGTTCAGGGTTGTTCTCTTCTATTCTTTTCCTGCCAATCAAAGTCAGAACTAGGACTATGAGGCTGGGGCCACCTGAGGAGAATACAGTTGGCTGCCAATGCCTCCGGCCTCACTTGCTGAAGAAAGAACAAATGAGCAGGTGCAGAGTTTTATTTTTTCATTCCATCCAGGTGTACCGAGGTGTCAGGAAACCAAGCTTTCTTCCCAGTATAAGCCTCCTTGAAATGTCTCCTAGGCCTGTGGTGTCCTGACACACCCTTTATAATTGCAAAGAGCCAGTATCCCTCCCCCTCTCCACCTTCTGTTACTTCCAGCAATCTCTCTCAGCTGCCCCTCCTAACCTCCCCAGCCACCTGTCCTTAAGGAGTGCCTGTAGTCTTCAGCTGAAACAATGGACAGAGTGCTGGAAAGTGCCTGTCTTAGGTTCTCACATTCAAATCGCTTTTCTGGGTCCAGCCCATATTGGCTGTCTAGGGATGGGAATAACCAATTTACTATTTTAAAGCTATTGCCCATGTGTAGTTCAATTCTTAAGTATTTTCCTTAAGCCTTATATGGTTAAAAGAACAAAGTCCAAGGCCTGCTATCCCAACACTTGGGGAGGCCAAGGTAAGAGGACCACTTGAGCCCTAGAGTTCGAGACCAGCCTAGGCAACATAGTGAGACCTTGTCTCTACAGAAAATAGAAAAAATTAGCCAAGTGTGGTGGTACATTAGTAAATGCCTGTAGTCCCAGCTGCTTGGGAGGCAGAAGTGGGAAGATCCCTCAAGTTTAGGAGGTCAAGGCTGCAGTGAGGCGTGGGCAACAGTGAGCCACTTCCCCCACACCCCCAAAAAAGTCCACATTACCAGGTATAATCTTTGTACCCTAAAGAAGTCCCCTCTTTAAGTGCCTCTTTAAAATCCCCCTGACATCTCCTAACTGCAACCCCAGGCCAGGTCCTCACAGCATGTGGAAGGAAGACATACACATGAACCAAGCCAGAAACCCCTCATGTGGGCAGACAGGAGGAGTTCAACTGGGACTTCCATTTCTTCATCTCTTTTATGCCATGGAATAAACACTTCGAAGTGCTGAGTTTTCCAGTCTGTGCTACTCTGAAATCTCGGTGGTGCCTGCGCAGGTGCAGGTGTAGGTAGGCAGTCTCTGGAGACGTGGTCATCAAGAGTAAAGAGAAAGATCTGGAGGTGAGCCCTGATAGTCCTCCCCTGGGCACTCAGGAGGGTGGTGTATTATTGTGGTGATGCCACAGAGGTGAGAAACCTCTCCTTCAGCTACCTCCCCAGAACTTCCTTGAAGCAGCCACGTCTTTACAGAGTCCCTCACACGAGCCTCGGGCAGAAGTGACGGGTAGATTCAGGAATGCCTTGGTTACAAGGCTCAGCAGTGGTGGAGAGGGAGGAAGGAGAAAAATAGCCACATGGTAACAACTCAGAGCAAGAAGAGAAAGTGGAGAGCCCTTGCTGAGGTGACTTTAATACACTTGTAGTCCAATGGACATCAGACAGAGGTAAATGAGGAAAAGCCTAGCAAACACGTTATTTTTTTAAACAGAAGGTGTTTACATTTCAGCAATCCGACTAGGCAGCATCTAAAACAAAAACATTATTTTAAAGATGGCTTTCAAGAAAAAATTTTAAAAGTAAACACAACTTTTAAAAAGTGAACAAAGGGTAGCAGTCAGTATCTGTTAAATTTCACAGAATTTGATGGATGGGGGAGAAGTGTATCAAACTGCAATTTTGTCAGGTTCAAAACTGGGTAGCACTCCCCGTTCTTCTTAATCCAGTAGTTTTTTTGCAGGTTAAAATAAGTCATCATTGGCCGGGCGCGGTGGCTCACGCCTGTAATCCCAGCACTTCGGGAGGCCGAGGCGGGCGGATCACGAGGTCAGGAGATCGAGACCATCCTGGCTAAAGCGGTGAAACCCCATCTCTACTAAAAATACAAAAAATTAGCCGGGCGTAGTGGCGGGCACCTGTAGTCCCAGTTACCCGAGAGGCTGAGGCAGAAGAATGGCGTGAACCAGGGAGGCGGAGCTTGCAGTGAGCCGAGATCAGGCCACTGCACTCCAGCCTGGGCGACAGAGCGAGACTCCATCTCAAAAAAAAAAAAAAAAAAAAAAAGTCATCATTATCAATAGAAATTGATGGCGCACCCTAAGGAGAAGTCACTGTACCAAAGCCTGGCTTCTCAGAGGCTCACAAAAGCTGCGGAATTCACGTTTGACTTCCCTCCTTTCTACCTAGTCAAAAATCCTCTGGCCTTAATTTTCTTTTCCTGTTGTTTTCCCTTCCTTGTGTCTGGTGACATTTTCTTTTCACTTACCAATTCCTCCCAAATTTTCTTTTCATTCTTAGCCAATTTTGTCTTTTGGAGCCACTAATTGGTCTCTGTGCTACATTTTCCAAGATGATTTTCTATTTATTTACCTGTTCTTTCTACATAAAGCTCAATTATTTCTGATAATTCCTATTTTAATATTTGCTGAGTACAAACAGAGCTCAAGACACCAATAACTTGGCTGTCTCCTAAGTCTCCATTTTATTTAAAAATGAGTTCCTGTGTGGCCCTTATCCCATATCACCAGTTGTAACTTTCGCCAATGCTACCTATTTTTTTCTGTACAACTTTCAAATTGTCATTTTTCCCCTCAGTTTCCTGACTATAGTTTGATAATTACTCTCCACTTCACTCCTCCCTAGTCAACCCAACAGGCTGATTTAGTTCTGGTACCCCTACAGATAAGTAAACCCAACAACACATAAATCTGCTCTGAGTTTCAGCATCTGCCTTCTTTAGGTGATAAAAATAATATGTCTCCCTGGGTATGTGATTGATGGAACAAAGATTGCTTTTAGAAATCAACAAACCAATAAGCAGAAAAAAAAAATGAAACAAAAACAAAGGCCCACGTTTCTGAAAAGCAAGGTCAAGACAAAAATTTGATAAGACTTCTGCACACATGGAGTTAGACACCTTAGAGGCCGGTTTTCCTGGGTGGAGGGATTCAAACCTGCCATTGCCTCAAGTTTAAGTTCACTAAGAGGCCAGGATGGTGATGGATAGCACCTCTAAACCTGGTATACACATCCCCGGGGAGTGGGGACACAAGATGATTTTCATATTTTACATGTTAATTCAAAGGATGACACAGTTTTTAGCCAGAAGGCAAGACTAATGGGTTGTTTGCCCTATCGAAAATGTGTATTTTCAATAACATTTTCAGCACCGTCAGAGCACTGATGTTATACTGGACTCAACTTGCAGGAAGCATATTCCCTGAATATGTGACATTTCTAAACTATATACCTTTTATAATACAAAGAACTTGAAGGAGCATGGTCAGGGGACCAGTTTTCCAGATCAGCCCAGTCCTCTGACATCTTAGCACTGCATTCACCCCTCCAGGTGTGTTCTGTGGTCCAGCAGCATCCTGGTTACCTGAGAGTGTGTTGAAAATGCAGAATCCCAGGTCAGAGTACCAACCAGAATCTGCAGATTAACAAGATTCCCAGGTGATTCGAATTTGAGAATTTAAGTTTAACTCAAAGTTTGAGACGCTTTGCCTATTGAAGGAAAATAAACACCCCTGATGGTCAGAGGTACTAGAACAACATTTAAATAATAGCTCCATTATTTAGTTGGCTTCTGGAGATGGAAGTTCTTTCCTTGTCAGAATTGAAGCCCACTGCAGCGATTGTTTTTCTCATGTTGATATGGTTTGGCTCTGTGTCCCCACCCAAATCTCATGTTGAATTGTAATTCCCAATGTTGGGGAAGGTGATTGGATTATGGAGGTGGATTTCTCCCATGCTGTTCTCATGATAGTGAGTGAGTTCTCACTAGATCTGATGGTTTAAAAGGGTATGGCACTCCCTCATTCACACGCTCTCTCTCCCCTTCCACCATGTCAAGAAGTTCTCTGCTTCCCCTTTGCCTTCCACCATGATTGTTAGTTTCCTGAGACCTCTCAGTCATGCTTCCTGTTAAGCCTGCGGAACTGTGAGTCAATTAAACTTCTTTTCTTCATAAATTACCCAGTCTCAGGTAGTTCTTTATAGCAGTGTGAGAATGGACTAACACACATGTCTTCATTGCCCATTTCATTCCCTGTTTGAGTGTGTCTGGAAATTTAACTTCGTGGAAAGCTCTCTTTGGGTAAAGGTGACCGGCCAACATGGGAAATGATGGACAGTTGAGGACAGCCTCATGTAGTTATTTCCTGGCTGGAAAACACCAATTAACATATTTCTCAAAACTGAAACAAAAAGTAGCTCCTTCAAATTATTTCAAATTATGTAAATAGGCTGAAACAAAACTACAATGATTGCTTCTGATGAGAAGAGTCTAATGTGTTAAACACGAAAACAATTAACTTTTATGAAAATGGATTTGGTGAGAGAAGTCAGACATTTTACCTACCACAGAGTATTTAGAGACTTCCTCATGAATGACATTCCTAGGGACTAGAGCAGTCACCCCTCACATATAACATCAAAGGTAGGATGCCAGGAGAGCCTTTCAGTGTCAGGTGGCTCAAAATCCTCATGATACAGCCATGAAAACCAGGACACAGAGTCAGAAACAGAGTTTACACAAGAGACTAGGCTTCACGTGGCTTGGTCTAAGCCTCCTTCCTGCTCCTGCCCCCAGCCCCCCCACTGCCTGGGCCCCTACATACATCCTCCAGACTTGAGTATATCACTATTTTTCTGTTGAATTTCTTCAGTGTTCATTTTTTTCCTCCTAATATTATTTAAAGGCTTTGAAGACAGGAGAGGCATCTTTTTCTTTATTCTAGCCTGGTGATTGGCACATAGTTCACACCAGTTAGAATGGCAATCATTAAAAAGTCAGGAAACAACAGGTGCTGGAAAGGATGTGGAGAAATAGGAACACTTTTACACTGTTGGTGGGACTGTTAACTAGTTCAACCATTGTGGAAGTCAGTGTGGCGATTCCTCAGGGATCTAGAACTAGAAATACCATTTGACCCAGCCATCCCATTACTGGGTATATACCCAAAGGACTATAAATCATTCTGCTATAAAGACACATGCACACGTATGTTTATTGCGGCACTATTCACAATAGCTAAGACTTGGAACCAACCCAAATGTCCAACAATGATAGACTGGATTAAGAAAATGTGGCACATATACACCATGGAATACTATGCAGCCATAAAAAATGATGAGTTCATGTCCTTTGTAGGGACATGGATGAAATTGGAAATCATCATTCTCAGTAAACTATCGTAAGGACAAAAAACCAAACACCGCATGTTCTCACTCATAGATGGGAATTGAACAATGAGAACACATGGACACAGGAAGGGGAACGTCACACTCTGGGGACTGTTGTGGGGTGGGGGGAGGGGGGAGAGATAGCATTAGGAGATATACCTAATGCTAAATGACAAGTTAATGGGTGCAGCACACCAGCATGGCACATGTATACATATGTAACTAACCTGCACATTGTGCACATGTACCCTAAAACTTAAAGTATAATAATAATAAAAAAAAGAAAAAAATGATCCTTTGTGGAGTAGAAAAAGACTGATATAATTTTATTCAAGTTATATATTTCTATTTTATAAATGAGTCACCTTACCACATAGCCTTATGTATTCACCTATTGTACCTGGTAATGGTGAAATGTATATTTACTGTATAATTTTTACAGTTGTCCTCTAACAATGTTGAAAATAATTTTAATAGCTCATTAAAATTACTTTGAGAAATTAAAAAAAAATACTTAGGTGATAGGTTGGTCTGTGCAGTAAACCACCATGACACACGTTTACCTATGTAACAAACCTGCACATCCTGCACATGCACCCCTGAACTTAAAATAAAAGTTGGAAATAAAAAAAGAAAAAAAAAAAAAAGAAACACAGTTCAGATCAATGGCTGCTGATGGCCAGGGGAAGGGAAACTAACTGCAAATGGGCTCCAAGGAGATTCTGGGCATAATGGGAAGGCTCTATATTTTGATTGACATGGTATTTAAATGAGATATAAGTTTGTTGGAATGCCTCTAACTGTACACTTAAAATGGGTATCTTCTATTGTATGCAAGTTATACCTCAATAAAGTTTGTTTTAAAAGGTAAAAAAAGTAGGGAATACCACCACAGATTACCTTTTTTGTCTCATAATACATCATTAGAATTGTGTTGCCCCTGAGTATTCTGAACACAGTATGTGACACATCCCTTCAAGGGATAAGCTACTTGTCCATGAATAAGCTATAATGTAAGTATTTTTAGAGTAAGAGGTTAGCAGAGGTGAATGTACATTTTGTGGCCAGAGTTCTAAAATGTATTGACCCAGTTAATTAAATAACATCTTCATTGCCTGAAAAAAAAAATCTGTCTCTTGTCTCTTTTCTAAAATGCCTGAGGGAAGAAATCATATTCTGGGAGGATATGGTTGATTGGAAATACAGTGACCAAGAGAGTAGTTATCTTTCCTTAATTCTCAAGCAATCCATCATTGCAAAAGCAGCAGCATAAAGTTTAAAGGACTCATTCCAGTGCCCCTATGACTGAACTTACTGCAACTGTTTTTTAATAATCACTGGAGGATTGAGATGAGTCATAGAAAATGTTGAACAGAAGAGATCCCCACCTCCACAAAAAGTCATTAGTAAATTGAAAAAAAATTAGCTGTAAGAAAAGGAGCCACTTCCCTAATGATAGGACAAAATGATAAAAGCCTAAGTAGCACGACAAAAAGAGAACAAACTTATAATTAACACCATCTGGCACATAGCAGGTATTTAATAATAAATATTCATTGATTGATATCTAGAGATTAAAAAATAGTTTCTCTGAGTACTCTGAGATGAGACAACCATTGAAAACCAAATCTTTTTATTTCTAATCAAAGTAGTGCAAATAGAAGATGAGCTCTGCCAGCCATAAAATTTTGGCAGGATAAAGGCAGGAGCCTTTATCCAAATATAAATGGTGAATGAAGAAAATCTTATAAAACACTTTCTGTAAGAATACTACTTGGAGCATCAATAGAACCCATTCCAATGACCTGGTGCACTGTCCCCTTTGAATTACAAGCATTTCTGTTTCAATATATCCCTATCCATGCTACATTAGCCTATGAGAACCAAAATTTCTCTGACTACTCTTTAGGACCAACACTAGTTTCTTTTACTATGATTAGATTACTCTTTAGTGAATCATATTTTATTCACTACCGAGGGAAACGGCTCCTGCCTTTATCCTGCCAAAGTTTTATGGCTGGCAGAGCTCATCTTCTATAACAAAGTAAATCTTGGCTTCAAGTTTGAATAGCAAAGAAAAAAGACAGCTGAGAAAATAAAACGAATTATTTTACTGAGTACTTTCCCCTCATAGATGAAGAAAATGCTTTTGACAATGACCCATCTATACTTGGGCTATTACTTTTGCTCACCACTGTAGAATCTGCTACTACTGCATTATTTGTCTCTGTCAACTTAATCATTTAGCTAACATTAATGTGTTTGACAAATACTTATTGATGTCTATTTTGTGCCAGACGCTATATAGAGTAGCTACCATGGCCCCATGCCTATTAAGTCACAGTTATGGCTAGGCTTCCCCTCGTTGCCTGCACAGATTTTTATTTCTTCTTTATGTTCTTCTCCTTCGAATATTGTCCCTGATAGCTGTTTTTGGGTGCTAGTTGTTAGTGGGTGGAGGTGTTATTAAACTATTAACAGATGATAACCACATTTCTAAGGACAGCAACTATTCTGGGTGAGGCACTCGAGGCTGAGTGTGAACAAAACAGAAAAGGTGCTGCCCTTTTTGGGAGTTTACAGACCAAGAGAGGAGGCAGTCATGACTTGTGGTGAGGACACTGGAGAAAACGACCTGTCAGTGGTGGAGAAAAAACTGGAGTGAGATGGAGGGAATGGGAGGAGGAATCTAGGAGAGCATCACTGAAGCTGCAATGAGAAGGATAAGAAGGAGAAAGTAATGTGAAGATCTAGGAGAAGAGCATTCCATGCAGGGAGAGTGGATGGACACAGGCCTTGAGGCTAGAAGGAAGATGACATCTTCTGGGATCTGAAAGGAAGTGGAATAAAGTGGGCAAGGGGTGAGAGGGATGGATCAGCACGGAGAGGAAGGCAGTGCCTTGCCAGTGGTGGTAAGGTATTTGGATTTTTTCTGAAATGCAAGAGAAGGCATGGAATTTCAAGCAGCATGGGAAGGTGTGTGGCCTGTTTTTTCAGAAGGTTGCTGTGGCTGCTGAGTGGAAGCGCAGAGGCCACGAAGGAGACCATTGCCGTATTCCAAGAGAAGAATGACAGTGTATTGGCTTCGGGGAGGGAGGCAGCAGTGAGGACGTTAAGGGGAACAGATTAGAAATATATTTGAAGGAAGAAATCTCCTGGAGTCCTGACTCATTGAATTAGGGGGTGGAGGAGATGGAAACAACAAGTATGACCCTCAAGCTCTGGCAACGAGATGGATGGTGGTCCCTGTAACTGATATGGTGGAGATACATTAGAGGGGAGTGGGTGATGATGAAAATGTCCATTGGTTATGTTAGGATTGACAATGTCTGAGCCTCTCCTCATAATCTAAAGGTTGTCGAGCTGCACCCTGCTTCAGCTCATCTTCTACCTTTCCCTGCCTCATAATGAAAGTAAGTGCTTTGCCAACACCCAGTTATCCTACCACCAGGCAGTTCCACCCTCACGCCTTATTCCCTCTGCTTAGAACACCCATTCTTCATCACCTGGCCAACTCCTTCTCATTTTTTAAAACTTAACTTATGCATCAACTCCCTAAGGAAGCCTTCTTTGCCCCCAAGTCTAAGTTAAATACCACCCCATTGAGCTTCCAAATTCTATATCACTGTGTTGGCCCTGGAATCTGATAGACATGAGTTTGAATCCAGACTCTTCTACATTTCAGCCATGAAGTCTTGGAAAAATTACTTGACCTCTCTACACTTCAGTGCCTCATCTGTAAAATGGGCATAATAGTATCTACTTCATTGGCTGATGTAAGGAATAGATGACATGAACTAGGTGGTATGCCAGCACAGATCAGGGGTCTATACAAGCTAGCCCTCCTATTCCTGTCCACATGTCTGTCTCCTCCACTGGGCCAGGCCTCCATGATAGCAGGGACTGTGCCTTGTCTTTTTATATCTGTGGATCCTAACACAGTTCTGGGCATACAGGAGACAAAGCAAATACATAACAAATGAAATCCAGACTCCTTGGGATGGCACAAAATACCTTTACTCTCCCAGGAGCCCTCTCTGTCCTTCATCACCCCAGGCTGCTGTACACTCACTCCTCTGCCCCAACTCACCTTACTGTGACTTCTTACCCCCTAGAAGATTCTCACCTTAGACATCTTCTTCTGGGTTTCCTTATTGTCGTTGTGTCTGCTACTTAAGGCCTTTCCCAGCCTGGCAACCTTTACTGTTACTCGTCTTCCAAAATAAACAAAAATATAACCTACTCTTTGTTCCTGCACAATCTCTCCCTTACTGTATCCCTCAAGGATTTAACCTGGGTAAATATGTTTTATTATAATACTTCCTATTGTATGATAGTTACTTGTTATGTGTGTGCTTTCCCTTGTAGCCTGTCAGCTAAAAAGTACAGAGCCTGATATCCATTTCTATAACTTGTTCTCCAAACCATATCACACAAATAGCAGGTAGTTGTTTAAATAAACACTTGAGAAATTGAAGTGCACATGTCAAGGCCAAGTGAGGTAGAAGTAAATCTGATTCTGACAATCAGAACCAGAGAGGAGGTCCTGAGGATGTCAGGGAGTGTGCCCACTTGTTGGGCCCCTTTGAAAGCGTGGTATTTTGGGGACTTTGGCACGACTGTGAAACTCAAGAGCAAGGATTAGTCTTACAACTCATCTCCCGCTCTTCCTCAAACCCAACTTCTCCTCCTTACAGGATCTAAACAAAGTTAACTCATCTCTTTTTCTGGTTCAGCATTCTCTGGTCTTCCCTTATGATGCAGACAGTACATTTCTACAAGGCCTGCCTCTCTGCATGAATTTATATCTGGGGATGAAGCAGTTGGGATTTCTTTACTCTCCTCTTTGCTTCCACAGTTCCTACTGCCTAGAACATCCTTTCTTCTGGCCAAGTTCTGATCATTCTCTGCATGACCCGTATGACCTAATTCTGACCTGGAGATAAGAACTCATCACTTCTCACTCTTTGTTGCCAAGATATCTTACATATTCCTGTGTTAAATGACTTTTCATATGTTATTATCATCTGTTAACAAGGCATGAATGCTATAAAAGCAGGGTTTATTTCCAATTTATCTTCATAAATTTCGGTGCCTATTGAAATGCCTGGAACATATTGCAAACACTTAGTAAGCAATAGATAAATGGATGGATTGATAATGGATGGATGGGTGAACAGGGAGAATATAAAGCCTTACACCCACACCACTACTAAGTTTTCTAAGAAGTCAGCATGACTTAAAAAAAAAGAAAAAGAAAAAGGTTTATCGCTAAAGAGGCCATAGGCTACAATTGACAAAAAATCTTGGCTCACATTGCTTATTTTTCTGCTCTGCTTTTTTCATTAGATCAACAGACTGATGCCTTTGTGGTCTCAAGATGGCTGCAGCATCTTGTTCCAGCCACTACACAGAGACACAAGAGCCTCCAGAGACTAAAGGGCTATCTCCTCTAGGAGAGAGAAAACCTTTCCCAGAAGCCCTCAAGAGACATCCCCCAAGTCTCATTGGCCAGAACTGGAGTACATGCCTAATCACAATCACTCTCTGGCAAGGGACCAGGTCTCACCAATAGGGATTTACTATTAAATGAGAGAACCATGTGTGTAACAGGTGAATACCTAAACAGTGTAGGAGTTCTGTTAGCAGCAGGGAGGAAGAAAGGTTGCTGAGTAGGCCTCTGATTCCCAAGTCTAAGTTCCCAACCAGTTCACCTAATTCCATATACACACCTAACTAAGGTTGAGTTTGAACTCTACTGCTCCTTCCTAGGCCTCTGTAGGGCCTGTAAAGGGATGGAGATAGTGCTTCTGCTTAGCTATCAGCCCTCACTTCATTTCCTGTGTCTCTCAATTCTCCAGCTCCACAGCTGCTCTCACCATCTTCTCACCAGCAGGCTCAGCCTTCTTATGTGTCCTCAGTCATACTTCTGAGCCAGGAAGTGCTTGGCTGTACCCATCCCTTTCTAATATCATGTATTCTTACTGTCAATATGGTATTGAATGTAGTGCCCCGTGACAAACATGATTCTCTTAAGATGTGACAAAGTGACTCTTGCTACATTCCTGACCCAGGATATGTCCTGAAGGTCATTGCTTGTCCTTTTGAATGTCTAAGGTGCAGTCACCCCTCTGTATCCATTGCTCTTTTCTGAACAAGTCCTACTATATCTTTTTCCTAGGTTATCTTTGAGCCAAATCCTTCCTTTCTGAGTAGTAATATATCCCCATGATCTGTTTGCCTCTATCACTCTCCAACTGTCAACGGATGTGAGACATCACTTGAAATTGTGCTCCAGTGACTCTTTAAGCACTTTTCTTGCCTGCCATCTGTTCAGCTACTGCAATATGTCCAGGAACTGCCTTGATGTCTTAGTCTGGTTCGGTGTCAGCACATGAACTGCCCAACTGAGTTTATTTACATGGCTTCTGTTCCTGAGGATTGGATCTGCTCCAGGAACCCTGTGTTGGTTAGTGACTAGGAGCTGTCACTTGATGTTTATTGGAGCATGTGTCACTGATTCAGAGGATGAACTTGATGACAACAGAAGGCCCAGCTCTCACACCTCAACAGGTAAGCACACTGTGCCATGAATTTTAAATATTTTGCATTGTCTGAAATTTAGTGCCAGCTTATGGGTCTTTGTCAAAAATCCACAAATTCCTTAGTTTAGATTCCCAAGTCCTATTTAGTATTTATTCTGAAATGATCTTACTTTGGGTTTAATCTATGATCTAATCATGGGTAAAGTAGAGAGTCTACCAAGAAAAGTGGAGCAGATCTTCATTACCCTTTCCTCACATGTCAGAGATACCTCAAATACCATTAGCAACCTGTTTCTCACAAATGAAAATGTGTGTTTATGGCCTTAACCTGAAAGAAAGAGCTTTCTACAATGTTGCCTTCAGTTGCGCGTGTGACTGTCTCAATGAGACCCATGAGAATCTCAAGTGTGGATTTGAGGACAACCTCTGACCACTCTGACTTTAACGTCTCATTACAAAGCTATTGCTTAAATGTTTAATGTGCAATTTTACAATAGACAAATCCACCCTTCAGTAGAGTCCATCTAAATACTTTATTAACCTCCTTCCCAGCCACACCTCCTGGGAATCCAAGGCACTGTGGAGCTATCTTTTATAAAGGAGATTTTCTTTCTTGCAGAAAATAATGGTGACCAGTTTGTGAACTCCAGAGAAAGAAAACTTGGATCAGAGAAATAAAAGTGGTAAAATAGAGCATGATTTTCATTAGGGCAAATTCAGTCGCAACATAAGGCTGTCTTACTTTGAATATGCCAAGTGACTCTAACCAGTATTCTGAGTGGTGCAACTAAGGCCAAAAAGTCATCGAAACCATCAATGACCTGAACATCATTAGGTAATAAACATATTTTTTCTTATTCTCTACATGAACTGGCTGTTTGCATTTTTCCCAAGTAATTTCTTTCATGAACTATTATTACTTCTGTTTAGTTTCATCTCAGGTCAGTTTGGGCTTCAAAATTCTCAGATTTTGAACTTTATAATGGACAAAGTTTAGAGAGAAAATGGCTTTTGAGTCTTTTCTCAAAAGCCTAGGTTTTGAGTGTCAAAGCAAAGGCCATAAAGGACCAGGTCACAATGCATAAATACAGAAGAATAAGACTTCAGCCAAGCCAAGTTTTCAAGTCCTCTCACACTCAGGCTCAAGTCCAGATCAGAGGCAGTTTTCCAGGCTAGAAGGGGAGAAGAAATGGGGGTAGGAGGAGGGTGAAGAGAAGATTTTACATATTGGTGTGTCCCTGGGCTGGGGGTTGGGTGTATGAATGGGAAGATAAAGGCCACTCCTCACATAGACTTGGAGCAATTTGAGAGCACAGGACTAATGAATTGTTTTCTAGGTGGACCCCAGCAAGGGAGCCCACCTCATTGAGGTCATAGGTGGGGCCTACCTTGGGAGAAGTAGAGTAGAAAGAGGGGTGTGAGGTGCCCACACAGATGAGCCTGAGGCAACTTTTCCCATACACCCTGGTGTGACTCCTGGTAGAGAGACAGGCAAGATAGCCAGCAGACCCAAGAGGGCTTGCGGTATACAAACCATGAGAACACGGTGGTCATCTGCTTGGATCAAGGATGAGAAAGTATCCAGGATGTAGATCTAGCCTTGAACTGTAGACAGAGGACAATGAGAGAGCACATGCCCCCACTTTCCACCAATACTACCACACCTGGAATGTAGACTATCCCCAAGAAAAGGGAGAGAGAAACACTTTGAACTGACTGAGGATAACTCGAATTGACTAAGAAAACCTTGAGACTGGGCACAGTGGCTAATACCTATAATCCCAGCACTTTGGGACACCAAGGTAGGAGGATTGCTTGAAGCCAGGAGTTCAAGACCAGCCTGGGAAACATAGCAAGACCCTGTGTCTACAAAAAATAGAAAAATTAGTTGGGTGTGGTGGTGCACACCTGTAGTCCCAGCTTCTCAGGAGGCTGAGATGGAAGGATTGCCTGAATTCAGGCATTTGAGGTTATAGTGAGCTATGATTGCACCACTGCACTCCAGCCTGGGCAACAGAGTGAGACCTGTCTGTAAAGAAAATAATAATAAAAGAAAAAAAAAAAGAAAACCTTGAATTGAAACTAAGAAAGATTTTTGGTTTTGCCCCCAGGCATAATGGTGATTTGAGTTGAAAAATAAAGTTACATGGCTTATACACCCAAGTTTGTTGACTGATTTATGTGTGTGCCTGTGTGTGTCTGTGTGTTTATAAAATGTATAGAAAAAAAAGAAATACATAAAAACCCTTTTAAAAATCTGGGTGGGGAGGTGATAGGTAAGTAGACCCTTGGCTGGGTGCAGTGGCTCATGCCTGTAATCCCAGCAGTTTGGGAGGCCGAGGTGGGCGGATCACGAGGTCAGGAGATCGAGACCATCCTGGCCAACATAGTAAAACCCTGTCTCTACTAAAATACAAAAAATTAGCTGGGCGTTGTGGCAAGCACCTGTAGTCCCAGCTACTCGGGAGGCTGAGGCAGGGGAATCACTTGAACCCAGGAGGCGGAGGTTGCAGTGAGCCAAGATCCCGCCACTGCACTCCAGCCTGGCAACAGAGCAAGACTCCATCTCAAAAAAAAAAAAAAAAAAAAGATACGTAGACTCTTCTACAGAGAGATTCATCAATGTGTTCAATGTCACAGAGGTGACAGAGCTGGGAGGTGAACTAAGGTCAAATAACATGACCATGCTGTTTATTCTATCTACTCTTCCTCTCTAGATGGCTAAAGAAAATCCCAGGTAAGTCTCTTGTGGCTAAGGCATAATAAAGACAATCAGACTGTGAATTGTGTTGTCACCTGCACTTTGATTGAGATACATTGATTCAATCTGGCCACAGCCCAGTTGAATCCATTTAAGAAATGAGAATAATTAGCATACTCAGATTCGAACACTTGCCGACTCCTCTGGGACACAGAATGCAATCCCTGACAAAATCAGCATTAATATATGAGACAGCCACACTTCCTGTCCTTTTGGTAAAATAAAAATGAAAATAAATTCTCTTCTTTTTCTCTGTTCCCAAAAGAGAAAGCAATCGTTGAGAATCAGCTACCTAAATGAAAATCTTGCTAATGGTTAAAGCTTCTGCAATCAATAATGTGAAGCAGCAAAGTGAACAATAGACCCCTAAAGTCCTAAAATAAAAAGGACTCCTGTCCTTTGGGGAATTCTAGGAATTACTCAATAAGTAATATTTTGTTCAACCCCAGAATCCTAGATTTAAAAAGCTGTACTATTAGTAAAATTAGATTTGCATTAACACTTCAATGAGCCTAGGAAAAGTAATGTTGGAGATGAAGTCTTTTTTCATGGTCTGCCCAACAAAGCCCAGGGCAACGAGTCCTGTGAGTTAATGTCCAGCACAGTACCTGGCATACACGAGTTCAGGAACTGCTGAATGAATGAATGAATAAATGAATGAAGCAATGAGCCAGATAAAAGCTAGAAGGAAAATAGGATTCTGTAAACTCATTCAAACCATAGGCTTCCTTTTGATTTCATGGTCACCAAATAAGTCTTTGAATGACTAATTTGATTTCTCAGGTATAATAATTCAGTGACTGGATAAATTGAGTGGATGCCTCATAAATACTGCCAACAGTATAACGTTAGTGTGTAAGATTATGGGCTTTAGAGTAATAGAGACATGAGTTCAAGTCCTTGCTCTGCTATTTGCTACCATGTGACATTGAGCAAGCTACTTAGCCTCTCTAAGCGTTAATTTTTTTCAATGGTAATTGTAACTGGGCCATTTTCAGATTTTTTTTCCAGCTTATCTGTTCTTTCCCATGTGCTGTCATTTCCCTATTTGAAAATAATGACATGAAATATCAAACAGTTATGGGTTATGCAAACAACTTCCCATGTTATAGTTAACGGAAAATGCTTTTATAGAAATCCATACCCTTGTATATGTTGTGTTCTTTTTTTGGAACCTCCCATTTGGCTCATTGAACTTCTAACAATTCTTTAAAACCTATGTGTCTCTCTCTCTGGAAAGTTTACTCTGTTCCTAACTCTCTACCTCCTCCTGACACTAAATTTAGTCTCCCCTTGTCCCACATTCTTCTTTGTACCTGCTTGTAATAATTTATCACCTACTTCCTTCTATCTATTTGTTTATTTGTTTATTTCTCTTCTAGAATGGGAGTTTTCTAAAAGTAAGAACCATGTCCTCTTTGCCTTTATACACTAGCATTGTGTCAAGTGTTCGATTATTCATTAAACAAACATTTACTAAGCATCGGCTACATAGCAGTCACTATTTTAGGGATTTGGATTCACAGATGAACAAGATAAAATCCTGACCTCCTAGAATTTATGCTCTAGTGAAAGCAGATGTTTAGTAAACGTTGAACAGGTACAGAGCACACACTCAATAGAGGGCTCTGTGGAAGTAACTACCCCTTCTTTCATTGTTTACCTAAATTTCTGGGGTATTTTTTTAAACAATAGTGAGAAGATTGAAGATGGAGAAATCTCTTTTCTATTTGTTCTTAGTTCTCATAATGTTCAAAATAAATGACTATGGTAGGTAATATCACAAAAGACGAATATCTCACAGTTCTGTGCTTCTGCATATGAAGGCGAGGGTAGTTAATTGGCTCATAATCAGTTCTTGAGCAAAGGGCTAACATGATAATGGGCCAGTAATGAGATGACTCTCCTGAGCTAGGCTGTCAGCTAATCACATCTGGTTTGTAAAGTATTAATCAGCTCTGAGTCAGTGGGTAGGGAACATTAAGAATGCAGTTACTTCCTAAATAAATTATTTCCCACTTTCTCTGACAATCATTACTGGTGTATTTGAAAGAATTATTTTAATACACTAAGTAGAGCAAAGCTCTAATAATATTCTTTGATTAAAATACCAAGTTACAATATTTTATATTATTAAAGATTTATAGTACTAATAACTCAGTAGACTTCATGCCACATTAATAATGTCAAAACAGTCACATGTTAAGATTTGTTCTTCAAGGAGCATGCTTTCTAGATCTCTTTCGTCACGAAAACAACATTTTCTGCTCCAGTATTTTAATTAGTCCTTTAACTGGAATTTTCTCTTTTGGCTCACTGAAAAATTAGCTCCTTTAATTGTTCTATTACTCATTATGTTCCAGGTACATTTAGTGTGCTTCCTGTTAGTCATTTGCCTTTTCCATTTTTTACTATGATGTTCTCACAGGAATTGGAAGCATTTTTATTTTTGGAAGACAGCAGGTAGAATAATTAAGATTGAATCATAGAAATAAAGGCTTGATTCAGAATTCACTCAATACCTAAAATAAGAACCCATGTAATGAGAGTTAAAAAAAAAACCAAAAAAAAAACCCACAAAACTCTCACGAATGGCAGAGCTGGAGAAGACTGTCCTGATAATACGTGTTCATCTTGAGTCTCAAATATGTCCAGAATAAAGCTCTATGTACTTGGTTTGTATAGAAAACATATTTTCCTTATTAGCTTATTAGTTAATATTACAGTTTCTTCTAATGTGCTATCCTATACTAATGTTTTATATGCAGCTACAGAAAACATGACCTTCTAGCATTTCTGTTGGTGGTTTACTTAATTTTCTTTTAAATAAGAATTGTGTTATGGTAGAAAATTCAAAAGTATGAGAAAACTATGAAGTAAGACAGAATACCCAGTCTCAGTCACCCCGGCCCGAGATTTTACCATCAGCAACAGCAGCAGCAGCAGCAAGAACGTATACTCTTACTAAATATGTAAGACGTGTTCACATGCTCTGTTAATATTTTACATGCATTCTCTCATTTAATCCCTATAAAAACCCTATGAGAATGTATGATGGATTTTTAATTTTTTACATAGTAACATTTTATTCCATGCTTTTTGGTGCATTTCCCTTTATTACAGGGGTTGGAAGACCAAAAACTACATTTCCTAGACTCTGTTACCACTGATATGCTGCATGCAATTTATATTTTGCCATCTAGTGAGATGCTCTATTGCTAGACTTGGGAGACAGGAAGAAGTCAGAAGCCATTCTTCCTTCTGCAGTAGCAGATATGTGGGCCTTAACAGAAATTACTCTTACAATGGCCTCTGAATTCCCTTCCAGCCACATGCCACAGGGCTTAGGGCAGTACCGGATAGTCACAAGATTTCCTACAGTCCTTTGCCTCTGGATGGGGTCATTAATTCCCTCACTCTCTGGGACACTGATATAAAATCTAGTGGCCACACCTTGACTTCCCCCTCTAGCCGTTACAACGGTTTTGTAACCTCCTAAATATTATTACATCCTTTTCTGTTTGTGATACCTAGAGTGGATATGTTTCCCTAGTGAAACCCTTATTGTTATAGTTAAATAATAATATTATTCCTGGGCTGTTTTTACTCCAGCAACCAATCCTCCAGTTCTCTGAATACCAACCAGGTATCCAACAATTAAATTCAATTCTGGTACTATCTACCTGGAGTTAGTGTCACATTCCACAAGGTAAAGGACCCAGTCCCATAAGACTGCCTCCATTATAGATGCCAGTTCCAAGACCCAGGACACTTGTAGTTCTGACCCACTGTCTAGAAATTGGAAGTCCCCAAGACCCACTTTTCAGATCAAACATTTTCTGCAATAGCTCACAGAATTTAGGAAAGTACGTTACTTACAATGACTTGTTTATTATAAAAGATGCAGCTCAGGACCAGCCAAATGAAAGAGATGCACAGGAGAAGGCATGTGCAGGTATGCAGCTTTCATATCCCCTCTGGATATACCACCTTCCTAGTACACTGATGTGTCCTTCAGACTGAAGCTCTCTGAACCCCATCTTTTAGGAGTTTTTATGGAGTCTCCAAGTCATAGGCTTGATTGGGTAAATCACTGGCCATTGGTGAATGAACTCAATCTCCAGCCTGTCTCTCTCCCCTCTCCTGGGGTTGAGTGGTATAAGGTAAGTGGTGAAGCTGAAAGTTCCAACCCTCTAATCATGCCTTTGTCTTTCTGAAGACCAGTCCCCACCCTGCAGCTCTCGTGGGGCCCAGCGAGTCACCTCATTACTGTAAATGCAAGTATAGATGAAAGGGGATTGTTATGAATAATAATGAGCTTGTCATCACTCCTGTCAATCAGAAATGATTTTGTCATCACTTCTATCACGCAGAAAATGCCAAGGGTTTTAAGAGTTCTGTGCCAGACACCAGGGAAAAGACCAAGTATATATTTCCCGTTATCCCATAACTTCCATATCATAGTGAAGGACACAAAGGGATTAAAAAACTTAATTAAGACCACCTGGCTAGAAAGTGTTAGCGCTGAGGTTTGTGTTACACATGCTAAAAATCTGAGATACTTTTCTATGAAAGAAAAGAATTACAACAAAGATGATGTTGATAATTGTCACTTATTTACAAAGTTAATACATTCTTACTAGTCTTACTTTATTTTATGATCAATAACCACAATAAAAATAAGGAAGTCCAAGGTCTAAATTTCATTTCATTTCATTTCTCCAAAAATTTTATTTGAAGCTTTTGCCTTCAGGCAATGATATTTTCTATAATAACATATTCAGGGTTAATCTGTCCTTTTGTTTCCCTTAAGCCACTGCCTGAACAACTAGACCAGTGGTTCTCAGTGTGCTCTCTATACCCACAGCTTCAGTATCTCCTGGGAATTTGTTAGAAATGAAAACTCTCAGGCCCCACCCCAGACTTACTGAATTTGAAGTTACTTACTGGAAGTAAGCCTCAACCATTTATGCCTCAATGAACCCTTCAAGTTTGTTTGCTTGTTTTTATCACTGTCCACATCCATGTTGAGATATTTTGGTCCTATCCATGTTCTATCCAAGATGCTATTTCTCAGTCGGGTTTCCATATGGTGAGTCAGAGCAAGAGCATTGCCATCAGGACTGTGTTATTGAAGATGCTGACAAAGTCCAACTTCTACTAAGAGATCCTGGATATCTCTAGATTATGCCATTTAAAGAAGCCGCCAACTTGGTGAGAAGTAGCAAAGTTATGGATTAACTGTTGCTTCATGTAGCATAAAACTGTATGAGACTAAAGGAAGGAGAGAAGCATTGCTACTTTAGACAAAAAAATGAGAGAGAGAGATATATATATAGCCAAATTATTGTTTTGAAATGCCAAGAATGTTGGAGGTTAGGGCTCTGAAGCTGAAGTAGGACTTTCAATGAGCAATGCATTAGGTAGCATGTAAATGGATCCTGTGCATAAATTAATTCTGGATTTCCCAAATTACAGCCATTCCTCTGTTACTGTCAATTTTCATTAATATGGCTCAGTTTTAAAATTAAGCATAGTGATATTTGTCCTAATTAATAATGTTTTTGAAATCATAGTTCAGTAGGCTAGTTATATGTTTCTTCTAGTAAAATTAAAATAAATGCATATTTAATAAAATAAGTCCATTAAAAACATCTTCCATACAATTAGTGATATGCTTTGATAAACACAAGATTAATTTATTTAATAAATGATCATACCTCCCCATTGGGAAATTCCAGGAAAGAATGCAGACTGACAAGAGAATCTAACTGTATTATAAATGTATAAAACACCTCATTAAAGGGGATAGGAGAAAAGCTGACCTAAAAGATTTTGGAAATGCAGTCTGTAAGACTAAAGCCAAAGGGAACTACACATTAAGTACTGTACTGTAGTTGATAAAGTAGTTTTCCACAGAGATACAGGTTAAAAATTCTGATACTACTATTCATGTGTATTGGAGTTAAACAATTAAGTAAATGGCTTCTCACGGTTGCAGTGAAAATTTACAGATCAGCAAGGGGAGGAGGCTAGAATGTAGATTAGATTAGAGTTGGAGACATCAGCAAGAACTCATGTTTAACTTAATATAGGTATAGCTGCTTACATATAGAATGATTTATAGATATGTATATATATGCACATTAGTATACACACATATATTTCTTTCCTATGTCATCTGAGAGGGTCTAAAAGAAACCACCCAAGATCCTGGTTTCTAATCTCATTCTCCAGTAAAAGGAATTAAGCTTCTTTGGAGAAATAGCTGTTCCTAACACTGGGTAGGAAATATATAGCATAAGCCTGGAGTATTTTGTAGTATCAGAAAGTAAGAAAGTGACTCTCCCCCCAAAAAATCACCCCATTATGTCAAAGGGGCACAGAAACCAATAGAAGGAAATACCAACGGCCAAAGCTAAAATAGCTAAAATACCTGGAGCAACAAAATAAATAATATTGGATTATTAATCAAAATATAAAACAAACATCCACAAGTCCACACTGATATAAATAAAGAATTGTATAAATTAATAAATGGATGGTAAGAGACAAATCTCTTTATGCAGAAGATGTTTCTTAAATGCAGATACTCCAGAAGGTTAAGTAGGGGAATGTAACTTGTCACTTTGTAAGTGTGGGTTATGCATAATGACTTCCTTACAAAGAGTACACTATGGAAAGAGGGAAAAATCGTAACTCTACAGTGGAGAAACCTGACAAACACTACCTCAGCCAAGTGATCAAGGTCAACATCAATAGTCATAAATTATGCTGACAGTATGTAGTCTTTGATATGATGTGATGAAAATGGCACTTTACGTCGGTGATCTTCCCCCTAACCCATTGAAACCACCTTTGCAAAATTATGACTGAGACAGTGAAAGAGATCTAACTTAACTGACTCCATCTTTCTTCTAACCTCCAAGCTGCCCTTGTTCATTCCTGGGCGTAGGCTGAGTTAACTTTGGGAGAAACTTAGCTTATAGTTTATAGTTTAAACAAAGATGGTAACAGCCCTTTCTCAAAGCAGACCTCCTTCTTGCCTGGAGACTAGATTGCCTTTGTAGGACTAACATTAGCCACAAGATTAGAAATTATGGTTTAGGAGTCAAGCAGCTAGAGGCTACAAGATTCTGACCCTCCTTAAACTGCTCTTAAGATCAGTGCTGGAGATATTTTGCAGACCCTGCACTTGATGGATCAGCTGGCACCACCCAGATCAATAAACTGGCTCATCTGATCTTGGGGCCCTACCCAGGAACTGACTCAGCTCAAGAAGACAGTTCGAACTCCCTAGGATTTAATCTCTGACCAATCAGCACACCTGGCTCACTGGCTTCCCCCAACCCACCAAGTTATCCTTAAAAAACTCTGTTCCTCCAATGCTCAGGGAGACTGATCTGAGTAATAATAAAACTCCGGTCTCCCACACAGCCGGCTCTGCGTGAATTACTCTTTCTCTACTGCAATTCCCCTGTCTTGATGAATTGGCTCTGTCTAGGCAGTAGGCAAGGTGAACCTCTTGGGTGGTTACACCATAACCCCAGTCTAATCATGAAAAAATATCATATGTATTTCAGTAGAGGGCCAATTTACAATATATCTGACCAGTAGTCCTAAAAGTTATCAAAGTTATCAAAAACAGAAAACGTCTGAGAAACTGTCACAGCTAAGAGGAGTCTAAGGAGAAATGACAGCTAAATATAAGGTGGTGTTCTGAATGGGATCCTGGGACAGAAAAAGAACACTAGGTAAAAACTAGGAAAGTCAAATAAACTATCAATTAATAATATACCAAAATTTAGTTTATAACTAAGTACAATGTTTGTTCATTAGTTATAACAAATGTACAAAATTAGTGTAAGATGTTAATAATCAGTGAAGCTGTGGGGTGTGGGAGGGTGCGATGGGGGGTTTGTTTGTAATGGAAACTCTTTGTACTATGTGCTCAATTTTTCCATAAATCTAAAACTGTTCTAAAACATAAAATATATTATTTAAAAATTAAAATAAATGCATTACACCTCTCCAAGGAAGCCTGCTGCCTTGTTCCTAGAAGGTCCTCTTCAGATCATTTCAATAGGACTGCTGTGGAGGGCTGTGCCAATTTATGCCAGTTTAGGAAAGTGACGAGGTGCTGAAATTTAGACACTACTCCACTTCCAGAACCCATGACCCAGGTAACAGGCTCCACCAGTAGGAAAGGGACATCAGTATTAGTCGGGGTTTTCCACAGAGACAGACCAATAGGAAGGAAGGATGGATGGATAGATGGATAGATGGATGGATGGATGGATGGATGGATGGATGGATGGATAGATAGATAGATAGATAGATAGATAGATAGATAGATAGATAGATAGACAGACAGATAGATAGATGATAGATAGATGAGAGGGGATTTATTAGGGGAACTGGCTCTGTCTGCAAGCTGGAGACCCTGGAATGCCCATATCACAGCTCTGTCCAAGTCCAAAAGCCTCAGAAATGGAAGCCAATAGGCAAAGGATAAAGGCCTTAGAACCCAGCAGGCCACTGGTGTAAGTCCTGCAGTCCAAGGGCCTAACAGCCTGGAGTTTTGATGTCCAAAGGTGGGGGAAGAGTGTTCCAACTTCAGGAGAGAGAGGAAATTGGGTTTCTGTTTTGTTTTGGTTTTTGGTTTTTGGTTCTATCTGGGCCTCTAACTGATTGAATTGTGCCTGCCCACAGTGAGAGTGGCAGTCTTCCCCACTCAGTCCAGTAACTCACATGCAAATCTCCTCTGGAAACACCCTCACAGACAAGCCCTAGAAATAATGCTTTATCTGTTCTCTAGGTATTCCTTAATCCAGTTAAGTTGACACCTAAAATGAATGATACAGAACCTTCGTGTGATTGCTATGTGCTAGTTGTGCACTAGTTTCTCACGGCATGCCTAATTATTTCAAGAATGAAGGCATGAGAGTGAGGAGAAGGATATTTTTTTCTGCTGCACAATTCTTTGGATATGAATGCAAGTGAGAGATTCAGCTTAATAACTCCTGACACTTTTAAGCCCCTAGAGGCAGAAATTTGGAGCAAATGACCAAACTTCTGCTTTTATGATTCTATGGATGCAGGTGACGAGCAGCTAATAGGATTAATAGTATTAATACTAGCTAGCATCAATTAAATATTTACTATGTCCCAGATACTGATAACATAGAATTCAAAGTAATTTTTAGCCTTGAACAGTCCAGAATTTTTAGTGCCCCCCAGCTTTAAAGAATTTTAAAGCACAAAAAAATTCTTGATTTTGCTTTAAAGCCTAACTATGTGCCAGTTGCATCTCTTGCTTCTGGTGTCCTCAGACTTCCACTTTGCTGGTGGAAACCGCTGATACCCCTGTGCTCTTTAGAACCCTGGGCATATGGCCACTTCACGCCCCTGTCAAAGACATCCCTCGTGGTGCCTCTTGATTGGGAGACTGACTCTCAAAGAGGCTCTTAATTTTGGGACTCCAGGCTGTGTTAATTGGAGATGACAGTCACCCACACATAGTTGTTTCCCCTGCAGGTGTCCTTAACTCAAAACCACTTCAGGGCTGAAAACAGGATAATAAAATATCTCTCTCTTCACGGCCCCATCGCTACTCAGCAGCCTGCCTAAGCCCTGCTTGCGATTTTCTCATCAGCGAAAAAGCCTCCTGATTCCTTTTCTCTCTGCCTTATCTAGATACTAACTAGAACTTACCATTCTGTGCTCTAATGGTTTTAACAGGCTTCAAAAATCTCCACTGGTCTAGTAGCTTTTTTAGTTAAAATAATTAAGAGAAAAACAGCTTTAAATGTTTCCTGAATCAGGCAAATGAATAATGATTAAGTCTAATTAAGTGGAGAATCAGAGGAAAGAGGTATGAGCCTGGGATAGTTCTTTATACCAGGTATTTACCAAGCCAACATCCAGAAGTTTTTAATGAGGCAGGCATGAGATGATATTTATCTGAAGTCTGCCCACTAAGAGGACCTGCCTTGGATATGGTAGACAGCCCAGAATGCAGAGGTAGGCATTCATTTTTAAATCAGTCCAAGTCTAATGGCCAATTAACGCGCATTTGTTCAACTTCACCATCCTCTTTTGTTGTTTACTGCTTCAACTTTGAATGCCAGAAGCTTTTTAAAAAGAGCTTGACCTTTACACAAAGGAGCTTTTTCAATTTAACCTCTAATTTAATATGACTGACATATGAAATATACTAGTTTGATGTTCAGGCAATAACTCAAAGAAGAGAGAGATGAGGCTTCCAGACAAAACACAGCATAGAAACTGATAAATGAAAAATACTGATCACTGAGTATTTTTTAAAAACCAAGATGTTTTTATAATAAGCTTCTCTGATTGCAAAGCACTTGCAGATATTTTTATTGATGAAGTACAGCAGAAGGCTCCAGAGAAAGAAGGAAGAGACATGTTTGAATAACTAGTTTAAATTGTCACCACAATTTTATCTCTTGGGCTGTACTCATTTTAAAGCAACACTATTTTTTAAGGTTCATTTTTACTCCTATGTCATAATTCTAGCTCAGCCTAGGAGTCTGGAAAGAACAGAACACTAAAATCATCCTTCATGAAAACTTTACAGCTGTGCACTGTGACCTTTATGGGACTAAACTCTTAAGCCCACTTAAAGTCTCAGGGTGCCAGTGATGTCAATGCCTAGAACATTAGGGCCGCTGTGTATTTTTTGGAAATTCTTTTCATCAAGGTGCCAACCTTGAGCCATATAGGTTTTGAATTTTCATATCATTCCAGGTGCCAAAGTTTACATCTATTGTGTGACAGGCACTTGGAATAAAATGTTGCAGAAGATTAATAAGGTCCTGCCTCAAAGAAATTGCATTTCAATGGAGGATGAAAGAAAATAAAAAGAAAAGATCACTTTGGAAATTGATCATTGCTGTGAATAAAAACATTGACTGGGAAAGCCTTTTGATAGGGTGATCTGATGAGTTCCTTCTACAAGGGGGATACTGGAGCAGCAACCTGGATGAAAAGAAAGAGACAGGTTAGAACAAGGAAAACTACAGGAGTAAAGGCCCTGAGGCAGGAATCAGCTCTGAGTTTCCAGGAAGAGAAAGAAGGCCAGTGTGGCTGGAAAATGGCGAGCATAGGCCAAAGTCAAAAGGTAGGCAGGGTGTAGGTCATGTGCAGCCCAGTAGGC
This sequence comes from Homo sapiens, assembly GCF_000001405.40. Taxonomy (NCBI): domain Eukaryota; kingdom Metazoa; phylum Chordata; class Mammalia; order Primates; family Hominidae; genus Homo; species Homo sapiens. The sequence continues at coordinate 143,746,107 of NC_000003.12, forward strand.
CATGGCTAGTAGACAGAATCTTATTTCCAATATGGTGGAAAACAACTGGAGGCAGAGAATACATGCATGGATCTGGGGACAACAGTGTCAGCTGGGGGACAAGTGTGGAGGCTATTACAGAGGTTCAGGCAAAAGATAATGGCAGCTTAAACTAGAGTTGGGGAAGTTGGGGAGGAAAGGCCGGCAGTTCATTTATTCAAATACTTATTTAGTGTCCCCTGAGTGTCAGATACTTTCCTAGGTTCTCTTTTTTTCTCCATTTGAAAGTTTATCCTGAACATTTCAATCATAACCCTCACACAGCACTTAATACACTGTATTTTCGTTTACTTAATTGTTTGTTTCTATGTCTCTCTCACCTGTTAAATTATGAGCTCTCTGAGAACATGTATAGGATATAATTTATCTATTTCCAAAACCTAGCTCAGTGCCTGGAATCTAGAGGTCTCTCAATCAATGTGTTTTAGAGTTTAGTTGAAAAGATGAATTGAATTCAAGACTTCTATCTCACATCCTCAGGAAAAAAGCCTGTCATCAGGCCCTGCCAATTTGAATACATTTACCTTTTTTTTTAAAGTGCTCAAATAATTTCTTTTCAGGGTGGTGTGGTTTGCTGCCTGCCTATCAAAGATAAAAACAGCATTGATTAATATAAACAAAATTAGAAAAATATTTGGCTAAAATGTCTTGCTTTCTCAGTCATTTGCTATCAGCTTTCCTCCTTAAACATAGAAAAAGGTGACAAAATAAAAACTTTTTTCTCATCACTGATGGTATTCTTTATGATGTCCAAGATGAAGATATTTCTCTCTTCATATTAAACCAGGTAATGAGTTTAATTGTTTTTTCCTTCAAACGCGACATATTTTTAAGCCTTTTTTCCCCCTCAAATGCCGTAATTTAAATCATCAGACAATGACAATGCTGTGGTACGCTGAACAATGGGCCCACAAAGATATGAGGTCCTAATCCCTGGAACCCATAAATGTTACCTTATATAAAATGAGGGACTGTGCAGGCCAGGCAGGGTGGCTCACGCCTGCAATCCCAGCACTTTGGGAGGCTGAGGTGGGCGGATCATGAGGTCAGGAGTTTGAGACCAGCCTGGCCAACATGGTGAAACCCCGTCTCTACTAAAAATACAAAAACCACCTGGGTGTGGTGGCAGGTGCCTGTAATCCCAGCTACTTGGGAGGCTGAGGCAGGAGAATTGCTTGCTACTGGAAGGTGGGGGTTGCAGTGAGCTGAGGTTGCACCTCTGCCCCCCAGCCTGGGCAACAAGAGTGAAACTCCATCTCAAAAAAAAAAAAAAAAAAAAAGAGGGACTTTGCAGATGTGATTAGGTGAAAAATCTTGAGATAAGGAGATGACCCTGAATTATTCAGGTGGACCCTAAATGCAATCACTTCTATCCTTATGATGTACAGGCAGAGAGAGACTTGAATACACCCACAGAGTGGGGGATATGAAGGTGAAGCAAAGAGGGATTTAAGGATGTTGGCTTTGAAGACTAGAGTAATGCAGTCATAACATGAGGAATGCCAGCGGCTGCCAGAAGCTGGAAGAAGAAAACAAGAACAAGTTTTCTCCAACAGCCTCTGGGAAAAAAGAAGCCCTGCTGATACCTTGGTTTGGTGATACTGACTTTGGCCTCCAGAACTGGAAAATCATATATTTCGATTGTTTTAAACTTCCACATTTGTAGTAATTTGTTACAGCAGCTATAAGAAATGAATACAATCATGCTGTATACATTATAGACCTCCTTAGGAACTTTGTCCAGTGGTCCTTTCCCCTCAGGGTAGGGAGCGCTCCCATCTAGGCCACACTCCAGGCACCTGAGACACTGAAATCTGCCCTGATGGTCCCAAGACTGCCCCTGTGTCTCCACGAACCCCTTTCCTAAGTCTGCGATTGAGCCAGAGTGGATTAGCAGCTAGAGATCAGGGCATCTCAATCCCACTGCCTCTAAGTTAGTTGACACTGAACTTAGTTTCAAGAATTCCAAATTGAACTAGCCTTCTTGATCATTATGAACACATATTTGTCAAGACAGATGTATAGAACATGTTTCTTTAGCTGTCTGGTGACTTGCCGTAGAACTTTAGATATTCAGGCCCATGATATGCGGGCTCTGTTTGTGCTCTTATCCGGGACCCCACAAATATAAGAGCCTTGTGGCTAGGTCTGGGCTCAGCCAAGCCAGCAAAACTGATGCCATCACCAAAGACATTCAAATTGCAACCCAGTAAATCTGTCAGCCTGCCACAACTGTCCTCATTAAGATGCTTCAAGCCCAATGTCTGGACCTCAACTGGCTGCCCTCTGGATTTGGAAACTGGGTTTCCAACTATTAATATTTGGTTTTCTTTTTCTTTTCATGAAAATTCCCCTCACTAAATGTCTGGCTGCTGCTCTGACCATCCAGCAAATATCCTCTACTACCAAATGGTTCAGCTGACCCTTCATGAACAAAAGGTAACTGAATGAGAAAATGGACTTACAATGTTCAAAGGAAAGAAGAATGTCATCTCTTCTTTCTTTGAACAGAGGACGGACTGGCAAAGAGTCTCTTTTTGACCAAGCTTTTTTTTTTTTTTTTTTTTTTGAGACGGAGTCTCGCTCTGTCGCCCAGGCCGGACTGCGGACTGCAGTGGCGCAATCTCGGCTCACTGCAAGCTCCGCTTCCTGGGTTCACGCCATTCTCCTGCCTCAGCCTCCCGAGTAGCTGGGACTACAGGCGCCCGCCACCGCGCCCGGCTAATTTTTTGTATTTTTAGTAGAGACGGGGTTTCACCTTGTTAGCCAGGATGGTCTCGATCTCCTGACTTCATGATCCACCCGCCTCGGCCTCCCAAAGTGCTGGGATTACAGGCGTGAGCCACCGCGCCCGGCCTGACCAAGCTTTTTAACTGAACTTCAAGTCTTTTTTTTTCTAGACCTTAATTTTGCTTCATGAATAATACTAATAAAGGTGCAAATATAGACTAGTGAAGAAAATTTAAAGCATGTTTGAAACATTATAAACACATGGTTTATATATTTGCATAATATTTTAAATTATTATTTATAAATGCTTCTCACATCTCTTTGCCTTATTTGGAGCATTGCTATTGTGTTGTTAAGAACAAAAATAGCTACAGTATCATTCTTTATCATACATGATCTAGATGTTTTCTTTCTCTACTCCTGTTTTCCTCCCTTTAGAAAAATGTATCCATGGTTAACATTAAGAAGAAAATTAGCTGTAAAATCAAAAACACAACAATAGTCTAAGAGCCACAACCCACTGGAAAAGGCCACAGCATCGAACAGCTAAGCTAAAAATTCCATGTCTGGATACTTGGTTGAAATTCCCTCGCTCCCACTCAGCAAAGCATCCCCAGATGCCAAAGATTACGCATTCCACTTTATAAGGACTAACGCTGAATGCTTTTTAAATACAAAATTAAAAAGCAAGTCATTCATAAACTTCAGTACTCCATCAGTACCACATCGTTTTGTCATATGTTAACGCTAGAGTTGCGGAGAATGGTTACTTGGGATAAAAGATTTCATCTTTAGTTGATTTCCAGGACGAAGTGGTTCAATAGTTGTTCTGCTTCTTACAATTCTCAGAGAGTTTAAATTGCCCTTGAAATTCTCTTAATTGGTCCATGAGGTACAGTTATCCCGGTTTCAAGAGTATATTCCTATATGGAAATCTTTGTACACACTGAAGTTTGAGAACTGCGGGCTAGACTAAAATCAGGAACAAAAGGAAAGTCTATATGCAGATGCTCAGGCACTTAAATCACTGTGCCTTTCGGATATGATTAAACTCTACCAGTGAGTAGGGGGAGAAATCTAAATTACGCAGGCTCTCCTGCAGATACTACTCCATTTTTTGTTATAAGATTAAGCCTCCATGATCCTTATTTGCGAATAGGTTTATCATTGTAAAAATAAAAGCTCCGGGCAGACACAGAGAAAGAGACAGAGAGAAAGAGACTCTAAAGTCAGCTTCCTGGTTAAATGCATAATGCCGTATTGTCTTGATACAGCAGTTAAAAGTGGCCCTAAATTCCCGTGGAAGAGGAAGACAATGCACCAAAAGGGCCTTACAATTCTAACTTCAGTTAAAATCATTTATTTTGAACTTTGTTCTAACTTTCAGTGGAGGCTTTAATGACTCCAGTAAATGACAATGTGCTTGAATTTTCACTGGCATTTTCTATTGTCACAAGCTTTAAGTTTCTTCAGAGCCCCAATTCTCTTGCATTATATTTTTTAATACCTGTAATCAAGGCCTTAGCCCAGGTCCTAAGCAAAGCTAACAAATAATTATCTTTCACAATAGAGCTAAAAACAGGAACCTAATTAATTAAAGCACTAATTGAACTTCCCATTACTGATACATTTGTTCCTGCTCTGACATAAACATTAATCAAATTCACTGAATAATTCAGCTCTCCATTTCCCTCACCTGTGTAGACAAATCTGCCTGCTGTCCTGTAATGGTGAAAGATGAAAATGTTTTATGATGTCATTTGGTAATATCCTTGTTGAGTACTAATAACTGATAATATTGTATAGTCAAATGGGAAGAGGGTACAGAGTAAAAACAAAATGCTGTTAAATATATATCTATATATATATATATACATATATAATTATATATCTTATATATTTATAACAAATATTTGTCTCTTCTTTTAAAAAACAAACCCATGGAGGAAAGAACCTTTTGAAAAAATTTTAAAGAATTTCGCAAGAACATCTGCATTTTAATGAAGTGGGTTATTTAGATTGCAACTGTATGGGGCAGTAGATTTCCTTTAATTATGTGATTAGATAAATATTTATGTATTTTTTCTCTGTTGAAATCCAAGCTTCCTGTTGAGTCTAAATGCTGGCTCTCCCCTCTCCAGCTGGCAGAACCAGTTTTCAGGGCTGCTGGAGAAGATGCACATCAGATGCTGCTTCAAGGAGATAGGAAGTCATTGTTCATGGGCAGTTCTGTTTTGGAAGCCAGGCTAACTGGGACCATAGTTTGATATTGCAGGGCGAGTCAAGAGTGCAGCTCTTGCTGCTGTCTAAACAGGCTCATGCTGTGTGGAGAAAAGGTTGCAGACTCTCTGAAGGCATCACCTTCTCTAAGTATCTCACCTTAAAACCACCAGGAGGAGGTTACCTGCAGATCCACCTAATTGTTGGTGGTGGATGATATGATGCCTAGCCTTCATCTCCCTTTGAAGATGTAGAATTTATTCCCCCCACTGCGGCAAAGAGGGCCCTTAGCTCTGAGCTCCCTATGGGGATTTCCTTGGTTGAAGGAAGCTATCTTTCCTGGAGGGCATGCTGCTTTCCAGAGACATCCGATGCTATAAACATATGAAGACCTGGTCTCCTGTGCCAGTTTAGACAGCTCTGAAGGGCCATCCTGACTCCAGAGTCCCCACTCCTTGGGGTCAGCTGGGGCTTTGGTGAGGGGCTGCATTGTAGTTCAACTTCCTCTGCACCCTCCTACCTCCCACCGCTTCTTTCCACAGGTCTGATCCCAAAAGCACTCCCTAATCTGTGCACAAGAACCTCTGCTTCAGGGTTGGCTTCCAAGGGAGCCTATCTGTGAGAGGGATGACAGGAAGTAAATAGTATGACACTACTCAAGATCGGGCAGACATGGCATCAACAGGCAAATGCTGAAAGGAAGTGAAAGAAAGCAGCTGGGGGTACAGGGAGAAGCAGACCACAGCGAAGACTCAAATGAAATAGGCAATGTTTGCCTTTCTCCTCAGCACTGCGTTGAGTGGAGTGTGATTCTGGGCCAGGGCCTGGGGCATCCTCAGTGAGGCTGACTGTAAGAAAACCTGTTCAGGCCAACATGGCAGCTGGGGAGAGGGAAGAACCAGGGCTGGGAGGAGAGGACTACTGAAATCGCCTTTCAGACACACATCAAACTCTTCAGAAACAGGTTCAGAGTTACTTCAAAGTAGACTTACTTCAAAGTGATGTTGAGAGATTTTAAAATAAACCACAGAGTTCTCAGAAATCTCCTCAGCTGCAGCAGCAGAGTGCACACCACCCCATCCTTATGTGGAAAGAAAATGAGATTCCAGAGATCTCTCTCATTAGCAGAGAGAACAGCAGTCCACCTTTATCTCTGGTGATATGGAAACAAACTATTCACAGGCTTCTAGAAACATCTGGCCCCCATTCCACCTGTTTTGAATTCTCTTTTTTATCGTATTAGCCACAGGCAGCCTAGTAAGTCTCCAGATGAGACCGTAAGTTTTAGGCACCGTTGCCTGATAAAGCTGAGACGATTTAACACAAGAGATGCTCACTGTGCTTTCCTGACCAGTGAACAAAGAAAAAGCATAGCGGCCTCCATAGGTCTGCCCATCTCAAGGGAGGTAAGGGTGAACATTGCAAGAAAGAAAGAAGGTAGGAGCAGGAGTATGGCGGCAACTTAAAATAATGAGTGTAGTTATAATACTTGGTGTGCTTTTGTCCCCAAAAGCCAGCACAAGTCTGGCTGCCTGCACAGAGCCGCAACTCTTGAAAGGGTACCAGGAGAGCTATGTGAAAAGGTTTTTTTTTTTTTTTTTAAGTTATCCGTTAGATGCTCTGAAAAGGGCTTTGTACTGAGCTTAAGGCAGCTCAGTTTAGCAGTAGGTAGAACATTGTTAAAATGGATAAAAATGGGAGATAAGCTTTGCTCCCATAATCTGCTTCCAATGGATATGGAAAAGAAAAGAAGTGGCTCCTTAGAGACATATTGTTGTTGCACTTATTGGGCTCAAAGGCCTTCCTCTGGAATTAATATTTACCTCCAATTACAGTTTCCTGGCGTAAGGAGTCCCTATTGATGATCCTATTCTGAAAAGCTTTGATTTATTGAGTAAGTAGGCAAATCCACTCACTTAGGTACTCCATCCCAGAAAGCAGCCAATGAAAAGATTAAAATCAGAGCAGGAGGAATGCTTTATTTACACTTATTTGAAGTTCAGACCTTCACTCCTCTCTCCCCACTCCCTTGGAGCAGAATGGCTCCAAGAAGTTTTGCTCTGCTTTTAGAAAGCTCACATCTGCCTCCAGGCTGTAGCTCTGCCTTACTGTATTTTATGACCTTTGGACAGCTTTTCTGCCTCCTTGAAATTGGGATTTGGCCTGCATGAAAAAAAAAGTGTCGATGTATCACTTTGCTCACACTAAATGCATTCAAGTTGGTGAATAGAGGACTAGCTGGACTTTGCAGAGACATCAAACATTGATTAAAAGCTCTGCTTTCTTTTCCCCATCCCCTATTTTTGCAAGGCATACAGAGCTCCAGTCCCTTCTCTGGATGGATGAAAGAACAAGGTGGAATTTTATCTCAAGAGAGGAAAAGAGAGGAAGCCAACAGAGGTCTTTCCCCTTGCCTAATGCTGCACAAGCATTTTGTTCTTTCCTAGGATCCTTTAGGACACTCTGGCTACAGTAATTGAGTTTCAGAGTGGTGGTTATCTAGAGGGTGCTGCAGGGATGAATGCTGTGCTGTGCTGTGCTGTAGCAGGCCAGGATCTGATTACCCCTCACTGTAGATGGATGTGGCTGAGTGACTGAGCATGGAGGGGACTTAGTCCTCTGGAGCTTTAAGCTGTGGCCAGCCCTAGCCTTTCTGGGATCACATGCATTACCAGTGCTTCCCAGAGGGATGTGTAATGCTAATAGATGTAAGAGAATGTCTTCAAATTAATGTTCTAATACTTTATATAAGAAGGTGAAGAAAAAGGGGATAAAGAAAAAAACATTTTTAATAAAGAGAGAAAAAGTTCTTCACATTTAACTCACCAGAGACTGCCTGCCCACAGGGGACGGACCAAAAATATGTGCAATTTTTCCCTACAATCAAGCATGTCTGGACATCTCAGGATTTCTCTTTCTCCTTCTAGAAGCCAGGAGAAGGGCTTGAGGCCCAGCCATCTCTAGAGTTTTGGATCGGCCTTTCAGAGATCACCATCTAAGAGACTCTCCAGACAAAGGTATGGAGAAGAGACAACCAGCTGGTGTGATTAACCACCTGATTCCACAGCAGGGGAGAAGTGAGATAAGAGGGAATGGAAAATATAGCAAAACATAACCATGGCAATGATAAAATAAGGAAAAGTGTTCTTGCAGCCATTCTCTGTTTCAGTAAAAGTCCCAATATGGTAACCCCAGGGTCAGGATATGATGCCTTGGGACTTTTATTCTGCTTTTATCCCTCTGAACAGGAGTCAGGTCTATGGCTGGGAAGCTCCTGTCAGTGAATATTTTCTATTCTTTCTTTGTTATGGTTTTCCTTTTCAAGCTCCCAAACACGATTATTTTGCCAGGAGAGTGTTTTCTTGTATGTGAAAGGTTTCAGAGATTATTTATGAAAAGCATCTGCAGACAATAATTGGGGAATGTGTTAAACCTGCCATCAACTTGCTTTATTGATGTGAGAGCCTAGGTGGGTCCCAGTGCAGAATAGGCTTTTCCCCATGTAAGCGAGCTACTGAAAAGGCTGTGTTGCTGAAAAGGGCAAGTCCAACAGAGGCAGACGCTCAAGAGGAAAGGACAAGGGGAAAGCAGAGGGGTGGAAACTGAGCCAGGAGTCCTGAGACAAAGCCCATGATGATAAAAACAAAAGCTTCTGGAGATGTTCAAAAGGAAAACTGGTTATCACAGAAACTCCTCCAAAACCGATCTTTTCAGGCATTAAGCCACTTTCTCCATGTATGGTGAGGAGAAATGAGAGAGTATGTATATCAAAAGAACCTCATTTGGGTGGCAGGATTCCCATCTGTTTAGTTTTAGTAAAAGTCTCCCCCTGTCGCCTAACATAGCATTTATTTCTGTCGTAGAGAAATCCAACCTTGCTTGACTTGGTTTATAGCACCCGGACAAATGGTAATTATCAGCCTGTAATTCCCTTGAGGGGAGCTGATGTTTCAATAAATTATAAGAGCTGAGCTTGAGTGGTTTATGGCACCATCAAAACCTTGATATGGACATATAATCTTATAACCACAACTTGCTAGGAAATAGGTGTTTGCACAATAGGTGATTTAGGAGTCTCCTGTACCTCTCAGAGAGCAGGAGGCCTGCCAGGATGATCCCCAGCAGCCCCTAAGCCACCTCTCAATGAAATCAAGACACTTCCTCCCTCAAAAGTTTGCCAAGGTTTCTCCAAGTTGAACATATTTGGATCTACACTGGTACACACATCTATAAGACCTGGTGATCCCCCAAAATAGTTATGTGACCATAGGTATTTTCACAAATGCTTAACATGTTCACAGGCATCTCACAGCAAGGAGGAGGTTCACACATCACATCCAAGGACACAGAGAAAGAGGGGGTGCCTAAATCTACAAGCAACCTTGATCACTGTCATTTAATATTAAAATTTATAAGATCTCCTGTTTTCAAAATGTGTTAGAGCCGTATTAGAAGCAAGAGGGAACAAGACATTCCATAGATATTTATTGTGAGGCTCCATTGTGGCCACATAGAATTGTCCAATTAAAAAGTCAGATGAAAGATAGAAATATGGCAGGATTGCTAAAAAGCACTGAAAATGAATATTATTTCTTTAATTTATTTATAACTTATACCCTCTGACTTCCAAAAGGATTTTGAAGTCACTTAGAATACAATGCCATGATATATATAAATGCCAAACATATTGTATTATAAAATATATTCTATTATAGATATGTACAAATGCATGTGTGTGTGTGTGTGTCTGTGTGTGATTTTTCAAATGTGTCAGAGGAAAAGTGGGAGAGAATTATGTTGGCAATCAAAAAGTAAGTTAAAGCAACTTGGCTCTAAATTTCTCCTTAAACTTCTTGGAAAAAGAAAAGAAGATAAACACTACATAATTCTTGGGGAAACAGAGGTTCCAGTAAGAAACTTGCTGTGTCATGCCTTAGGCAATGCAGTGGTGGCTCCAAGGACCTAGTCTCTAAAATACAGGGCCAGGTAAATTGCCATTTGTCACCAGTCAGGTCTTCCACCTGTCTGTACCCACACGATGTCAAACAAATCACTTTCATCCATAGACTGTCTCATACAGAGAAAATATCTAGGGGCGTTTTTGTGCATGTGGTCACAAAACATGAAGGCCACAATCCCATAACTAGACCTCAGGTTTCAGAAAAGAAAAGCTGATCTTCACAACAGTGGTAGTAACTAGGCTTTATAAATCCTTGAAATAAACCAATTACTGCTTTTGACAGGCAAAGGCTTTAGCATGAAAGGAAGGTTACCTACCAGTATCATTTCCACACACTACCTAAATCTAGTGCCATGTTTTTAGTGTCCTTTCTAAAAAGCATCTATGCCCCAAGCTGCTTCACAAACTTTGGCATCAACAGCCATTTCCCTTATAATCTTTGTCCTATGTATATGAAACATCTGAATATCAATGTCCAAAGATTTTCAAAAGTACTTATTTTCAAAAGTATTTATTGGTCTTCCACATCTGTGCATAACTGAATCCAGGGCACTCTGGAGAGAATGTTGTTTTGTTGGATAGATAATCTATTTTTATAGGAATAAATGCAGACTGGCTGAAAGTATTAATAGGAATAGTCACATTATAAAACTTCATACAATAAAATATGTTTAGACTTCAATATCAGCTCAAGAGATCTATCTCACCAAATGTGTATGCTTCTTTTAATTTGACAATAGGAAGTACACAATCCATTCTTTGGTTTATCCAAAGAAGCACAGAGCTGAATCTAACTGAAGTGACAAATTAATCCTGGTAGTTCTACTCCTCTTAATTGATCTCTTAAATGCTTCTGTTTTTATTTTTAATTGTGCTGTTACTGTAAACTGCCTCAAAGCCTTTTAGAAAACGCATAAATCATGTATAAACAAATGTATAAAATACAAATACTTTCTACAGGGGCTTAGATAAATTGTAAGAGGAACCAGTAAATTCATATCAGAGTACAAGAGAAATTGGAGAATTAAAGTTCTTTGCAGTGTCCCAGGAGCTGCCCCTTGTAAACTATGGTAGAGATGATCCATAAAGCCAAACAATTCACAACTCAAACCAATACCAGGGGGAATTCAGGGTTTGCTTTTCATTTCAATAATGTAGATTTGCGACACCTAAATCAAAGTCACCAGGCAGATTCAAATGCCTTCAAGTTCCAAGTGGGTAACATAAATAAGTGATATGATTAATAACAACAGGCAAGTGGGAGCTAGGCATTATGGAGAAATAGAAAATGTGCCTCTCCACTATTTAAATTTAAATTTTTATAAAACATGCTTCAGGCCAAACAAAACACATCTCCTGGCCACAGTCAATGGCTCAATGGCCATTTTGTGACTCCTGATCTAAATAATCAGTCTATTTCACTCCACTAAATTTTTGCAACAGTGGAACTATTGGCATTTGGAGTACAACAAATTTTTTTACTGGGCAGGACTTTCCTGCTCATTGCAAGTCAATGGATGCCTGACTCTCCCAGGTACCAAAAACTATAATATGCTTCAGAAAACTAAAAATGTCGCCTCTTCCAACATCTCAAACGTGTGCCTGCCCCACCTACTTATCCAGGGTAAGAACTAGTGTGTCTAATTCCTTGGCTAACTCATTCTATCTCTTGACATCTTCATGTTTCACCTCGTATTTTTGCTTCCTATGATTTTTAGGATTTAAGGATAGTATATTACCTGACTCTTTCCTTTGTCTTACACTGGATTAGAAAGGGGGGTAGTATGAAGAGGTTGGCAGGAAATGTGAAGATAACGAGATAAGGAGGAGAAGGAAAGATCAAAGGCAAGTCAATGCAGTCACTAGGTAAAGGAAACAGCCGGAAAAGTATGTGGGGAGGGAGGCTGAACCCGTCATCTTTGTTATTGCTACCACCACACAGTTTTCCAAAGTTGTTCTCTTTCATCCTCTTCTATCAGCTTGGAACTTTCCCAGAAAGCCCAATTTGAGAAACTCTACATTTTGTATCTTTGGCCTCTAAATAAAGGTAAAATCCCGTCTTAATGACTATCATTTATAACACTCAGTTCTACATAATGAGGCCATTGCCAACTCATGGTCGATAGCCCACACTAACCCAAGGTTGCTGGTATGGATATAATTAGCTCCCTTAAATGAAAATCTTATGTAGAACAGATGTATTCTAAAGTCCTTGTTCATTTACCAGCCAACCTAGTTAATATGCCTATTATATAGTGTTACACTCAGCAATAGCAATTACTTTAGAATGATCACATGTTATAATATTCTTAGTAAATCTGGCATCAATTCTCAAAATTGGGCTTTTCTTGTTTTCTTTTTTTGCATGGAGAGTTCTTGCTACCTATAGGACTTAATGGCTGTAGACATTCCCCCTGATGGGGCAGTGGCCCTCACATTTTTAAGGAAGGTAGGAAGGTCTCAGAGATTTGAAGACTTGAAGCTGTTTAGAGATAAAGTTGTTAACAGAGAAGAGAAAACAAGCCAAGGTGGGGGTAGTGGTGTGGGAATATGAGTGTCAGACAATTTCAAAATAGAGGATAGTTAGAGATAGGTAAAGCAGAGGAGAAGACTCAGACTGGGGGAAAGTCAGGAAGTGTAAATGATTCTAAGTGTAATGGTTTTGGCAGAAGAGCCAAGACTAGCAGGGCTGAGGGGAACGTGAGGGAGAAAGAGTCCTCTGAACCTTCCTCTAAGTCTTAGTATAAAGTGGGCATTTGAATGTAATGTCTACATTTAATGACAGAAAAGGGAGGATTGCAAAATGAGAGGTTACTAACAAGTTTCTACAGCCTCAGAAATTGACTCAAGGTAACTGGATATTTTCTTTTAAAATATCTGTACCTTTTAATAATGACAGTATCAAAACCAATATTTATTAGTTATGTTCTTGGCACTGTGCTGTCAACTTTACATGGATTTGTTGTTTTCATCTTCTCAACAGTGCTATGGACACCCTCATTTTACAGTGAAGAAACTAAGAAGGTGAGGGTTAAATAACTTGTCTGAAGTCTTGTGAGTACTAAGGGAGAGAGAAAGGATTTACATGAAATTATCTGATCTCATTAGGCTCCCCAGCCTCCTTCCCCATCTAACACTGCTATTTCCTGGATGACAGACCTCTTGAGAGCTACCATGACATCCCCAAGAGTGGGTTCAGAAGCCCTGTGTGTCCTGTCCCCTCCCCAGATCAGAGTTGTTCAAATCAAGATGGGCACATGGCCCCAAGTCAGTCCACTCAGATTTGCCTCCTCAAGAATTTGGGATTAGTATAGAAATAACCGGTCAGTCAGTCTGATTGGTCTTATTTATTTATTTTTTCTTTTTTTGCTGAGAAACTGTCAATGCAGGCACTATGCAATATCTACCTTATTCTCTTCAGGTCTATTGAAAGGCAGAAGGAGAGAAACAAGTGGAAGGACATAGAACAGCAATAGAAAGTGAGCCCTCTCTAAATACTTGATGGGTGTCCAGATCCTTTGAGTCCTGTCTGAGGTCCAGCTCTTTTCCTGTCACCGGATGCAATGAGACCTCCTCTATCCTCATAAGAAATACCCCCGTTTTTTTCAAGCTGCTCTGGGTTGGTTTCCATCACTTACAATGAGAGTCAACTAAAATACCATACAGACCTCCAATGTATGGTTTCTATCTCCCCATATTTATTTTACTATCCTAAGCACTTGTCTCTTTCAACAGCATTTTCTGTTATCTTGCAGTTGAGGGACCCTTTCCTAAATCCCACTGAGATTTAGGCTTAGCATAAAAACAATACTGTACGCACAAGCAGACCTCCATCATCTATTAGAAAGACTGGCAACAAAATAACCCAACCAAGCCCACTGAAAGTTGGATCTCCGCACCCAAATCTCACACGGTTTATTGTGAATATTCATGAGCACTTTCACATAGGAACTGAACAAATGAATAAACTTAGAGCCATACCTTCATTTGAAATTCCCCAAATAGTTTACTATCTTGAGTTTGATAGTGTTATAAATATAGAGAATATAGTAAACATTGGCTTTATGGAAATGGTTAAAAAAATAATAACCGTAAATAGCTCTTATTATTTTGAGATATGTCCCATCAATACCTAATTTATTGAGAGTTTTTGGCATGAAGGGCTGTTGAATTTTGTCAAAGGCCTTTGAATGGGCAAAAACTGGAAGCATTCCCTTTGAAAACTGGCACAAGACAGAGATGCCCTCTCTCACCACTCCTATTCAGCATAGTGTTGGAAGTTCTGGCCAGGGCAATCAGGTAGGAGAAAGAAATAAAGGGTATTCAATTAGGAAAAGAGGAAGTCAAATTGTCCCTGTTTGCGGATGACATGATTGTATAGCTAGAAAACCCCATCGTCTCAGCCCAAAATCTCCTTAAGTTGATAAGCAACTTCAGCAAAGTCTCAGGTACAAAATCAATGTGCAAAAATCACAAGCATTCTTATACACCAGTAACAGACAGAGAGCCAAATCATGAGTGAACTCCCATTCACAACTGCTTCAAAGACAATAAAATACCTAGGAATCCAACTTACAAGGGATGTGAAGGACCTCTTCAAGGAGAACTACAAAACACTGCTCAACAAAATAAAAGAGGACACAAACAAATGGAAGAACATTCCATGCTCACGAATAGGAATCATCAATATCGTGAAAATGGCCATACTGCCCAAGGTAATTTATAGATTCAATGCCATCCCCATCAAGCTACCAATGACTTTCTTCACAGAATTGGAAAAAACTACTTTAAAGTTCATATGGAACCAAAAAGGAGCCCGCATTGCCAAGACAATCCTAAGCCAAAAGAACAAAGCTGGAGGCATCATGCTACCTGACTTCAAACTATACTACAAGGCTACAGTAACCAAAACAGCATGGTATTGGTATCAAAACAGAGACACAGACCAATGGAACAGAACAGAGCCCTCAGAAATAATACCACAGATCTACAACCATCTGATCTTTGACAAACCTGACAAAAACAGGAAATGGGGAAAGGATTCCCTATTTAATAAATGGTGCTGGGAAAACTGGCTAGCCATATGTAGAAAGCTGAAACTGCATCCCTTCCTTACACCTTATACAAAAATTAATTCAAGATGGATTAACGACTTAAATGTTAGACTTAAAACCATAAAAACCCTAGAAGAAAACCTAGGCAATACCATTCAGGACACAGGCAGAGGCAAGGACTTCATGTCTAAAACACCAAAAGCCATGGCAACAAAAGCCAAAATTGGCAAATGGGATCTAGTTAAACTAAAGAGCTTCTGCACAGCAAAAGAAACTATCATCAGAGTGAACAGGCAACCTACAGAATGGGAGAAAATTTTTGCAATCTACTCATCTGACAAAGGGCTAATATCCAGAATCTACAATGAACTCAAACAAATTTACCAGAAAAAAACAAACAACCCCATCAAAAACTGGGCAAAGGACATGAACAGACACTTCTCAAAAGAAGACATTTATGCAGCCAACAGACATGAAAAAATCTTCATCATCACTGGCCATCAGAGAAATGCAAATCAAAACCACAATGAGATACCATCTCATACCAGTTAGAATGGCGATCATTAAAAAGTCAGGAAACAACAGGTGCTAGAGAGGATGTGGAGAAATAGGAACACTTTTACACTGTTGGTGGGACTATAAACTAGTTCAACCATTGTGGAAAACAGTGTGGCGATTCCTCAATGATCTAGAACCAGAAATACCATTTGATCCAGCCATCCCATTGCTGGGTATACACCCAAAGGATTATAAATCATGCTGCTATAAAGACACATGCACACGTATGTTTATTGCAGCACTATTCACAATAGCAAAGACATGGAACCAACCCAAATGTCCATCAATGATAGACTGGATTAAGAAAATGTGGCATATATACACCATGGAATACTATGCAGCCATAAAGAAGGATGGGTTCATGTCCTTTGTAGGGACATGAATGAAGCTGGAAACCATCATTCTCAGCAAACTATTGCAAGGACAAAAAACCAAACACCGCATGTTCTCACTCATAGGTGGGAATTGAACAATGAGAACACTTGGACACAGGAAGGGGAACATCACCCACTGGGGCCTGTCGTGGGGTTGGGGGAGGGGGAAGGGATAGCATTAGGAGATATACCTAATGTAAATGACGAGTTAATGGGTGCAGCACACCAACATGGCACATGTATACATATGTAACAAACCTGCACGTTGTGCACATGTACCCTAGAACTTAAAGTATAAAATAATAATAATAATAACCACCACCATCATACCTAATATCTAAATACATCTTTTCTTTGTAGAATGGTATTTGGGTTATTTTGATGGCCTACCAATTTCATTACAATAGAATTCAACTGGAATCCTTAACAAATAATTAAAATAGCCCCTGATGGAAGATTAACTTCTATATTCCCAAATAAATCTTTGTAATGGGTTGTTTTAGTAGTGTGGTGATCACCAAAGCAATTTCCCCAAGTGAACTATGTTATTTTGAGGGAGACAGAGGCAATAAAACTACCTAGAATTATTTTCTCAAGTTTATCTGAGCTTGCCAGAGCAATTGATACACCTGTGTATGAACACAGCACAAGGAGATTGTCTTCTCCACCCTCCTCAATTTTCAGACGAATATACTGAGGCCTGAAGAACAAGAGTCCCACAATATATGGCCAGTGTGGCACTGTCCTCTGATTCTGCTGGTCTCCCTGATGTAAATCCCTTTACATCCTACCCCTTTGAGAAGGCTGTGTGGCTGACTTTTACAGGTTTCATAACCTTAGAAGTTAAGCTTTTCATGGAAGAACTCAGATCAACTCAGACAAACAGTGGGAAGCAATCAGCGGAATGCCAGGCATTGGGAGGGGAACTTCTGGTCCAGGCTCTGCCATTCACTCAGGTGGGGCCTTTGGACTCCATTTGTGAAAAAGAGGAGGCGATGGAACTATTGGCCATAAGGTCTTCATGACATCCTGGAGAGTCCTTATATGTCTGTAGAAGAGCCAGCTAGCCCCACTGCTTAGGCTTTTGGTGGCAGCTTCTAGTGGCTCTCTTACCCAGTGTGCAGCACTGGAAATGCATATGTTCTTATGACCAAAGGAGTTCATGACCCTCTTCCTTCAGAACCCAGGTGACATGCATGAGAGTCAACCCACAATGGCATTCAAATATCTGTCAGTAATTATAGCAAGAGCCATTTAGTTCACAGCCTTAGAAATTTACATCCCTCTACTTTTTTCATCTTGACTTTATCTTATTTACTAGACTAGGAACAAAGGAATTTTGAGTTGACAGAATCCAATCATCTGAGTTAAGGTAAATGTCATTATAAACAAATCAGTTCAAATAATTGATGTGTTATTTTGTCACTGTGATTTTAAAGAAAAGCACAAGCCCCTTCCAGTTCTCTTTGATAATAAAATACCATCATGGATTTGTACACTCCTGGTTTCTGGTATCAATTCAGCCTCCTGTGATAGGTGTTACTAAAAACCTTTGAAGAACTTGTTTGTACATGCCAGATTTTCTTTAATATACCAACCAGTAAGTAATTCTACTCTGCAGTCTTTCAAAAAAAGCTAGAAAAATGAAGCAAAAAGCAAAATAAAATGTTTGATTTTTTTTTTTTTCACATTTCTTTTTGTCATAAACCATGGAATATGGCTCAGGATCTCCATCTAGTGGAATCTTTAAGGTGAGAACTCTGTTGTAAAATCTCTTAGTCCTGGAAAGTTGGGGATAGGGCCATTAAATAAGACAAATAATTTTTTTTCTACACACATGCATTTATTGAGAGTCTAATATGATAAGTGTGTGTTGCTTCTTTTTAACTAGGAGAATCCATATTTCCTGGGTTACCATTAATAGGTCAGTCTCTACTAAGGTCTCCAAACCATGAAAGACCATCACATGTCATTTTGTTTACAGGGATAACTGGGTTCTTCCTTCTTCTCTTTCCCAAGCTTATATTATAGAATTTCACTTCTTTTTTAAAAAATCCACTCTGACAGGGTAAGGAAAGGGAAAGGAAAAACCTCAGGAAAAGCCATTTTTCTTCTAGTTGTTAATTCTCATCAAGAGTCTGATGGAGAAAGTTGTTGAGGTATATAACATACAATGTGAGCTCTCTCAGTTATGTCAAAGAGTCATAATAAGTCATGCTGTCTATGTCATGCCCCCACCCATCTGCTTCTCAGGGTGAACATACCCTATTTCTGTGCAGCAGACTGGAGAAATTTCAATGATAGCGTATCACTTTCCAGATAGAACACTTCTAATTCTTTCCGTCCTTGGAATGTAATATATGCAATTCAACTTATATTCCCACAAGCAGTGCCAACTGCTGCCCTCAGAGTAACTTTTGGAAAACTATTAGATGCACAGTCACCACCTCATGTGGCCACCCCAGTGATCTAGAAAGGCTAAGAATTCCTTCCCTGAATTTTGTATCTTTTCTTCATTATGTCTGGGTTTGTTTGTTGGTTTTGAGGCAGGGTCTTGCTCTGTTGCCCAGGCTACAGTGCAGTGGTGTGATAATGGCTCATTGTAGCTTTGAACTCAAGTGATTCTCCTATTCAGCCTTCCAAATAACTGGGACTACATCATGCACTACCATACCCAACTATTTTATTTATTTATTTATTTATCTATCTATCTTTTGTAAAGATCGGGTCTCACTATGTAGACCAGACTGGTTTCTAACTCCTGGCCTCAAGAGATCCTCCCACTGTGGCCTTCCAAAATGCTGGGATTATAGGTGCGAGCCACCAGGCCTGGCCATGTCTGGTATTTTGTTTCATGTGTATGAGTCCATCACCAATTAAACCAGGAAACATTTTTCTTTCTTCCTTCCTTCCTTTTTGTTTCTCTTTCTTTCCTTCCTTCCTTCCTTCCTTCCTTCCTTTCTTTCTTTCTCTCTTTCTCTTTCTTTCTCTCTTTCTCTTTCTTTTTCTTTCTTTCTTTCCCTCTTTTTCTCTCTTTCTTTTTCTTTCTCTCTTTCTTTCTTTCCCTCTTTTTCTTTCTTTCTCTCTTTCTTTCTTTTTCTTTCTTTCTCTCTTTCTTTCTTTCCTCCCTCCCTCAGGCCCACCCTTCCTCCCTTTCTCTCTCTCTTTCTTTCTCTCTTTCTTGACAGGGTTTCCCTACGTTGCCCAGGCTGGTCTTGAACTCCTGGGCTCAAGGGATTCTCCTGCCTTGGCCTCCCAAAGTGCTAGGATTACAGGCATGAGCCACTGCACCTGGCCAAGATTCCTATTTTCTAACTTCTTGGGTTCAGATCGTATGAGTGTCACACTGTCGATATGCTACTAGAAAAGATGGGGACCATTTCGAGTGCAGTAGGGATCTCTTGTTATATTTATGCTGCTCAATAGGCTGTTTATTCATTCACTATATGTGGTAAATTAATGTTTATTAAATTGAATTAAATAACACATAATTTATATACTAGTTGTTCTTTATTGCAAAAGAAAGCATCAATTGTCAGATGGTGCTAAAGACTGCTCTCTGTGACAAATATAAATTCGTGATTGTTGATATAAGTGACCAAAATAATCTATGCCTCAAAATCACCTGGGCCCTGTACAGTCAAATTCAATATTACTTTCATTCATAATTAAGTTTTTATTCAGGATATATGGTGAAATGATTGCATTAACAGCCCCACTTCCTCACCCTTCCATCCTTTTGCCATGTACCTTTGCAGTGTCCTCTCTGACTGTAGCCTCAGGCATGTAGCCTGCTTTGTCCAATAGGATGTTAGCAGACTTGGCTTAAGCAGAAGCCTAAAAAAGCCTTGTAAATTTTTGCTGTTTCTGTCACATCTCAGCCAAAACCATGAAAACACATCTGTCCAGGCAAACCTGCTAGAAGATGAGAGGCATGTGGCCCAGTCACTTATGTCATACCAGGCAAATATTAGGCACATGAATGAGACCAACTGATACAAGAAGAATCACCCAGCAGAGCAAAGCCTAAAGCCCTGACCTGCGGACTCTTGAGCTGTTATTGTCTTAAGCTACTGAGTTCTGTGGCAGTATGTCAAGAAGCATTATTGAGGCAATAGATACCTGATAGATGATGCATGCTAAGTTCTGGAATAGCATAGAAGTTCTGTTGGACAACAGTGAACTGTAGACAAAGACAAACTACAATTTAGAATATAGGATAGATGGGAGTCAGAGAAAACAAAGGTGAGAAAGTGCCTCATATTGAGGATAAGTTGATATTTGAAGAAAGAAAATTTAAAAGGATGTAAAGTCAGACAACAAGGCCAGAATAAATATAAACATACTTAGCTAATATGTATGAAAGGAAGAAAGTCCTGATGTTGGAGGATGGCTACCACATAAGATCTGCTGTCATCACACATTTAAATATAGTGGGGGTGATTGCTTTAAACATTAAGGAATTGCAAATGTGACTATTTCTACAACTGGGTATGTTTTCTTAGCTGTAGGTGGAGGGTAGGCTGGAAAAGTTTTTTTTGTTTTTGAGACACAGTCTCACTGTGTCACCCAGACTGGAGAGCAGTGGCCTGATCTTGGGTCACTGCAACCTCTGTCTCCCAGGTTCAAGTGATTCTCCTGCCTCAGCCTTCTGAATAGTTGGAACTACAGGTGCCACCACCTTGCCTGGCTAATTTTTAAAAAATATTTTTAGTAGAGACGGGGTTTCCCTATGTTGGCCAGGCTGGTCTAGAACTCCTGACCTCAGGTAATCTGCCTGCCTTGGCCTCCCAAAGTGCTGGGATTACAAGCATAAGCCACCATGCCCAGCCTTAGACTGCAAGAGTTCTAAAGCTTTTTCCACATGTCCCATAATTCTATCATTTCAGTATACTAGTTATTGTTTTGCAAATTTATTCTTAAAAAGTATGGTAATCATGGCCACAATTGCTGTAAGCAATGGGAAAGCAGTATCTGTATCATTAATACCACTATGATCTGAGTGCGCTTGAGCTAGAATTCATGAGAATTCTGCTAATATTATGGTTATGGTGTTTATAACACGTTTCACTCAGGAGGTATGCTTCTTGCCTGGACCTCTAGATATTTCTGCAGAGGACAGAGTGAAACAACTGAGGTTGGACTAGAGTAACATGTCCAACTTCCTGCATGTTATTCATGCCAGGGTGTCTTTGGGCAGGACCGGGTAACAAGAGCTTAGAAGATGAATTTCCCATACTGAGTAAATTTATTTACCCCTTCCCTATCATATACACAGATGAGATGGCGCTGCCTTTCAGGTGATTTGGTTTGTGAAACAGTAAGTGTCTGTGTATGTGTGTGTGTGTGTGTGTGTGTGTGTGTGTGTGTGTTTACAGAAAATTAACTTCAAGGGCCACATTAACTGTTTGTTTGTTTGGAGGGAGGATAGTTCCACGGACAAATGTCTTGTTAACCTCAACTAGAAAGCTCTCTCTGGCCAGTGACTCACCTCATTCTTATATACCTGTAGCATCACACCTATTGAAAAGAACACCATAGACTCCTTGGTTTCTATTATTTTGTGGTAAGGAACTTTAAGTACAGTCTTGTTTCAATGGAGGTACAACAGTTTAGAATTTCTTTAATAGCAAGTGTGTTTGTCTATCCTTTACAACACAATTTTTTTAAAGTTCAATACATGTTTAAAAATTGCCTATTTCTTTGAAGAAATGGCTATTTAGATGCCTAATTTCCAACCATCTTTATCACTTCACGCATTTCTATGCCCTTTTTCCATCTTATAACCTAATGATTATAAAGAGGAAGTTTAATGATTTAGAATTAACTATACAGGTAGTAATTATGTCTCTCACTTCCTCAGAAGTTTTTTAATAATCAAAATATATTTTCTTGAAGACAGCTGGTGTAAATGCTAATGTTTGCTTTGCTGTTAAATTTTGGACAAGGCAATTAAAGGTAAATAGATGACAGCTATTGAGATGCTTTCCATAACTACTCCCTTTGCCCTTCCAGCTAGACTTTTCCATCTTTCTCACCACTTTCTTTTCCTTCTTATTCTTCACACTACCTCCTCTCCTCACTGTCACACAGGGCTCACTGACTGACTGCCAGACACCCAGGGTACACATATCAGGGGCTCCTCACTCTCATTTATTCTCAGCGAGGGGGAAAATCAGAGAAACATTTCTACCTAAAAATAATGATGATTCCTGTGATAATAAGTAATCAAAAGAATACCACTTGTTAAGGGGGCACTGCATATCTGGCATTATTCTAAGAGTGTCATGTATATTAATTTATTTAATCTTCACAACAACCTACCCTGTATTTTATGCCCAAGTTATAGATGTTGAGAAAGATTCTTCTATTTTGTTTAAGGGATGAAAGTTTCATCTCTTGGTATGAGATGTACCACATTTCCCTGTGCATGTGCTGTAGTGATAGAATACTTCTTACAAGGCATTGGAACTACAGGGGATATATCTCATATAACATAGGAGGAACCTGTTTAAGATATCAAAGAATTATTTTAGAGAAAATAACTCCTAATTACGCATACAATAAGACACATAGATTATGTATAATATGGCTAGAGATGTACAGTGCTATATGCATAATAGGTACCTAACAGGTGTTGAACAAATGACATGGCGTATTAGTGTTCTGTGCATGTGTCTTCATTCAGCAAAATGTGGAGCCCATGAAGGGAAATGGGATTTCTTGGGAAAGTTTCCAATGCTGACATCCTAATGCTATTTAATTGAAAACAAGATTAGACTCTTGCCACTGTGCAACAGTGTGTATAAATGTTTGTATTTTATCACTTTGACAAGATGTTTTATATTGACATATGAAGAGCAAAAATACAATCAGATCTTTTAGTCTGTCATAAAAGGTTAAGCATGGCATAGTGTTTAAAAGCTTGTTTCTACTCAGGTTGCCCCATTTGCATTTGCTATCTTTGTGACTTTGGCCGAGTTATCTTTTCTGTGCCTTAGTTTCCTCACTTGTATGGGGAGAAGAAACAACATGATAGCATTATCAGGATTAAAGGAGATAAACATATGTAAAATACTTGGCAAGTGATACATAGTATTATAGATAGTAAATATTATTACTGCTCATAATTAAAAATGAAATAAGGAGCTGCCAAAGTAGATGCAAATAAAATTGTATTTTGTAATCTTAATAATACAAAAAGGGTTTCTCTAACCCTCATTACAATCTAAACTCGCCTGGGACCCTGCTCTGGGAAAGCAGTATCTGTATTATACGTTTCCTATACCCAGAAATCTAACTTCTCTTTATTCCCCTTGATGGATTCATGTAATCTCTACCCATGTTAACATTAGCCAAAACAAGCCCATATTGAATTCAATCGCATAACCAGTCCAGTCTATTTAATGTTTTATTCTTCTGTCCCTAAAGTATTCCTCTGAAACAAAAGCAAAGCCAGAGGTAAGTACAAGAAAACTTGAGAACTGCTTCTTTTCCACACTGTTATAAATGCTCTCTTTTGCTATTTTCTAAGAGTAGTCCTGTGCCTTCCAAATCTCCAGGAAGCTATGCTAACTTGTAATTCCATGTGAGCTAAAGAATAAAAAGTCCATACAAAAATACAAGAATATAGCAGCAAGTTATGCCCAATACTGACCTGAAACATTAATATCCCAGGAAAAGGTCAATAAAGTACAGCAATTTGTATTAGATAAAGAAGAGCATATGCTCTGGCTGCTATTCAAAACCTTTTCTCCTCAGTGTGACTCAAGGATGGATGATGTTTACATGCAGAATACACTCCCTTAGTGCAGAGATAAAATAGGCCAAGGGTTGTGTGGAATCCCTAGGGAGCTAACTGCAACTGTGGTTACTTTTTCTCTTATTCAAGAGACGTGTATCTGAATGCAATAAGTATGAGTGCTTATAAATAGCCTGAAATTTATTCTAACTATATTAAAAATATGACTAATTCTCTCATGTTGATACTTTATCATTCATAATAAATTGCTTATACCATTTCATATTTCTTGAATAGGAGGACTCAACCTCATAAATATATGAATTCTCCACAAGTTAATCTAGAATGTAATGCAATCCCAATGAAAACACCTAGTTCTAGATGATCTGGGTGAAAGATTGAACAGGTAAATCCTAACTGAATACTGAAAATAAACAAGCAAGAATAGGCAGAAAAATTCTTGGAAAAAAGGAAGAGAAAATAGCAATATTCCTATCGATATTAAAACATATTTTACAGGCACAATAATTAAGATAGTAAGGTACTAGTGCTTAAAAAAAGAAAGACAATCTATAAAATAGAATATAACTTTCACTAATGGACCAAAATAAATGTGTGAAGATGGTATACAGCAGAGATGGTATTTCAAACCAGTGGGTAAGGGATGGATTATTCAACAAGTATTCCTAAAAGAATATCTGGGTAACAATCTTGTGTTGGGAGGAGTCTGGGGGAGGGTAAGGTTAGAGCCTTACATCACAACTATCCTACCAGAAATTGGAGACAGATCAAATAATCCAAACATAAACAAACGGACAGATAAGTACTTGAGGAAAACAAGAGGAAGATGTTTAATTTTGATTCAGACTGGGAGAAGCCTTTCTGAGAAAGATCTAAACCCTGCAAAACAAAGGCTCGATAATGTCAGTTATATGAAAGAAAATATCACTGAAAAAAACTCTCCATAAACAAATGACAAACCAGGAAATATATTTGCAACTCTCATGACAAAAGACTAAACTCATAGACGTAAGATGAGCTCCTGCAACCTAATAGGTAAAGCACAAAAAGACAAAAGATATGGAAAAGGCCATGCACCAAAAGGAAATACAAATAGCTCCTAAACAAGTTTAAAGAAACCTAGATGACAGGTTGAAAGGTGCAGCAAACCACCATGGCACAGTATACCTATGTAACAAACATGCACATTCATGTATCCTGGAACTTAAAGTAAAATAAAAAAAAAAGATGCTCAGCCTTACAGTAAGAGAAATGTAAGTAAAAACTACAATGAGAGATTATTTTCTACCTATCCAAATGACAAAGGTGAGATTAAAAGGTTTGTAGGAGGGAAAATGCCTCCCCTGTAGTGTTCTACTTGGAGCCTTGATTCAGAGCACACAGTAATACGAAGAAGCAAGGGGGCTTCCTAATGGGCCTGAATTGTAGGCTGATGGGACCATCTGCAGGGAACAGGGAGGAGAGTGTTCTCTAAATAGAACCGATGTTCACTGAGTGCCAACTCTTTAAGATGCAGTTATTCATTGTGATATTTATTTTCTTTTTGTGACATTTTGGGCAAGATCATGATTCAACTGTGTATAGTGTATGATGTTAACCGAAGAAGGAAGGTGATGGAGTGCTTAGATTAGATGAAGCCTGCCTTTCCAGATTAATAATATCTTGTTAGTCACACACACCCACACATAGACACACACTCTGAAGTCACAGAGAGAAGGTGCCATGGGAGAAAGGTTAGAATCTCAAGCTCAAGTACAGCTAAAGACGCTGAATGGGGATTTATTCTCTACATTTAACTGTCCTCTTTCAGCCTAACTTGTCATTTAAACTGCAGGAAACACCTTAATTATATCTGGGAATTTTACTGGAATTTGGAGTACACTTGGTTAATAAGACATGATTTCCTCCGTGCTCCTGCTGTTGTCCCTCGTCACCTTTCTTGCTGGGAAAGGAATGGAGCCCTCCCAGGCTCTTTTCTCCTCTTGTCATTACCTGGAGGCAGGAAGCAGAGGACTTCACCTCCTTGTCTCATTTCCCAGGGGGTGGAGAAGGGACCACATCTCATTCTTGAGGGGATGGAGAAGAAGAAGAAGTCCCCTTTCCAGGTCTCCTCCAGGTTGAGCAGGAGGACAGAGGAGGAAATGCTCAGGACGGTCAGAGGGTCTGCTGAGCTGCGGCTGGGCAGATGAGTCCAAGACAGCCTCAGAGCATCCCCAGAATGTGTGTGTGTGTGTGTGTGTGTGTGTGTGTGTGTATTGGACAATGGGAGGGGGGTGAGCAGAATGCTTCCCACTGCCTGAGAGTGGCACAGACATGCCCCAGCCTGCTGGCATCCCTGGTGCTACTTTGCTGCCAGGACAAGCAAGGGTGTAGAAGTGAAGTGTGTGGACACATGCTTGAAATCCAGAGTATATCACCTCTGTGAATCAGCGTACCCAACTAACAACCAAGAGCAGAGGGCTCTGTCTGTGACACCTTCGTGCTCCAAGGCCTCCAGGAATTGGACACGGTCCCAGGGAAAGAGACTTAGTTTCAGTTACCCAGCATAGTAAAGCATCAAAACAGAAAATAATTTTAGTTACAGAAAAAAGTAAAAAAATTTGTTCTAGTACACTCAGGCTTGAGGATTAAAATGTATTCAAGTACAGATATTTGGGAAGGAAGGTTCTAGTTAGAAGTGCCTCAAATTCCAGGTTAAATCATGTGTAATTCATCATGGAAGCCCAGAGACTCCATGGATGTTTCTGAGAATTTTCTCTGCCTAGATGAAGCACAAGCTGGTCCGGGAAGGAACTGTAGCCACTACCATAGCACTTAAACACTCTTAGATAAATACCGCAGATGCCTTTTCACCTTAAAGAAGAGACATGACAGCTATTGTGAGGTGCTGATTAATAAGCTGAGTGGTTGCCCCAAGTCCGGTTTGTGAAAAACAGGTCACAGAGCTGTGATTGGAAACGTTATAGACGCTACTGCCCAAAAGTCCCACCTGGATGATGCCAATTTCAGAAGCGTCATATCAGCTCTCCATTTCCATCTGCAGATTTCAGAGAACACTGACAACTTTAGAAAACATGGAAATTGGGTTGATTTTAACTATGTTAAGGATGAAACTTTAAGTGGTCATGGTTGGACACAGGAGAAAAGAAATAACCAAAATCAGAGCTGAACTGAATGAGATGCAAAATTCTATACAGAAGATCATTGTTGGAAATCATGGTGGAGTTGATAGTTTTGTTCAGCCTTTAAAACATTTTTTTTGATGTATGCATTGTTCAAATTACTGGTCCCATTAGATCAATAATTGTATTTTGCTAGAGGTTGTATATTAATCTTCACTGTAACTAGTGTTGTGGTGCTAAACGTTTAATAAGTGGCTTTTTGGGGGGAAAAGCCCTGATTTGTAGCATTTGTAAATGTCCATGGAGTAAGTACTCACACAATGGCCAATTTCAAGCTAGCAATGAGGTCTCTGGACATGGAGTTGGGAAGAGATGTTCAGTAGCACATTCTTAAGTTGCATTTCCACCATATAGCTACAATACATGTACACAACCTCAAGAGCATGATTAATAATAAAATATAGAAAAAAATTGGGAAGCTATGAGTTTTTAGTATTTGTTAACTTTGTTTTTAATATAATTTATATGTTGGTATGTTTATGTAATCTAATTTTTACTTTTTCTTTTTTTTTTTTTGAAATGGGGTTTTGCTTTTGTTGCCCAGGCTGGAGTGCAATGGCGCGATCTTGGCTCACTGCAACCTCTGCCCCCTGGGTTCAAGCAATTCTCCTGCCTCAGCCTCCCAAGTAGCTGAGATTAAAGGCATGCTCCACCATGCCCAGCTAATTTTGTATGTTTAGTAGAGACGGGGTTTCACCATGCTGGTCAGGCTGGTCTCGAACTCCTGACTTCAGGTGATCTGCCCACCTCGGCCTCCCAAAGTTCTGGGATTATAGGCATAAGCCACCACACCTGGCCCTAATTTTTAACAATGGTTGTGTTTGATGGCTTGTTCACAAAGTTCCTGAAACATTAACCATTAGGTCTCATGAGTGGTACAAGCCATTTCCAGTGTGAGGTTCATTGCATCCCTGTCTCTAGCATGGTGATTGCCACTCAGTAGGGGTTTTACAAATGTTGGTGAATTAATTAGTTCATTAGTTAATGAGTGACTATTACAGCCTAAAAGTTTTTCAAATGCAAATGCAATAACAGATGTGTTTATTTAACATCAAATAAGGGGATAATTTAAAACAAAAAGCCAAAAATGCATATAAGGCAAAATTCTATTTTATTGCCCTCAATAAATAATCAGTGAACTAGTAAACATCTATTTATGTACTTATGCTACTACGTAGCATCCATATAATTGAACAGTTGGATTTTAAACTCAGCAAGATATAATAACTACAGGCCAACCACGTCACCTTTCGGGACTTGACTCAACTAAAAGGGATGTCTGGGAAAGGTGTGTGGGAGCGCCTTTACTGGGCCCAGTGATATATTTTATTTTTGAAGTTGAGTCAGGGCTTTCCAGGAGTTTGATTTATTATTATGCTACCTAACTTCATACCGGCACTGAGTACTGTTTAGGGACACAGGTTGAAGCCAGACGGCTTGGGTTCAAATCCCAGCTCTTCCCATTTGCCATGTGATGTTTGGGATGGCACTTACTCCTTCTGGGCTTCAGTCTCCTCATAGGTAAATTAAAGGCAACAACACTGCCCACTTCTTAGGGTGCGTGTGAGGACTGACTGGATTTGTATATGCAGAGTGCTTAGAGCATAAGACAGAGTAGCCTGGAAGTGTTAGCTCTTACGTTATTATGTGTATCATATACTATAACTTATAACAAGGAAAAAAGTAAGATGATGTTGGAGAATCAAAAGTTGAACTATACATTGTAATATCTTTCAATTCTAAAAAGTTTTATATTATACATATATTCATTGGCCTATTTGGAACCTTTCAAATTGACCTGGCACTATCTCTACAAGCCCACACCACAGCTGGGTGAAAATGACCCAGTGCGCTCCCCTGCCCCTTTGGGACCCTGTCTGCTTCGCCTCAACTGCTCGGTTGCCTCCTCCGTTCATTTTCTCCTCAGCTTTTCTGGCTTCTCTAATCCCACAGTAGTGCTCCACCACGAACCTTTGTCTTCACCTGGCATAGGAATAGGTAGCCTGGAGTTGGATTTCCCAATCCCACTGCTGATTTTTGTAATGGACTCCAGGTCTCAAGCCTAACACTAGAGAGAACCGTACCTGCTGAGATCAGTTAGATTAGAACCCCCTCTCTAAGGGGATCAAAAACCACATACTTAAAGCCTGAATATGCAAGTATCAGTAGACCAAAGATAGAATTTTAGCCCTGGGAAAACCTTAAATTAACAGAAAATGAAGAGGAAAAGGATTAGACTGAAATCAGAATTGATGAGATTAAATGAACCAATGCTTATATAGTGTTTGGCACTTAGTAGGTATTCAGTAATTAATACCTTACCTGGGACACTGGAGAACTGAATAATAAATAGTTTACTTCTTTCATGCCTCATTACTCATTTATTATCTCCAGGAAAAATTAAGAGGTTACATTAGTTAATACCTAAGTCAACTCTGTCTGGAGAAATTGTCATGTACTTTCCCTTAGATTGAAGTTTGATTATACATAAAGCCATATAGCCCTGACATGAGAAACAACAGTCTTACTGAGTCAGTTTAACTGTTAAAATTGTGATTTATAAATTTTCCCACCAGAGGGCATAATATCAAAGCCAATGGCTGCTGAGCTGCAGCTGGTGTACCGTGTACCATTTACCGGGTATAATTGTTTCATTCTGTTGATTTTGGAACGGAACTTTAGCTTCCTAGGTGGTGACACTTGCCCCCTCCTGTTTAACATCCATTTTAATATAATCCACACTTCATTCTTCACATGTTTAGGGTGTGCTTGACTCTGAAATCCGCAAATAATTTTACCAAAATGGCTTTTCACATCTGCTTATTGGAACAGACCTTTTTTTAAAGTTCCAACTTTTCTTTCCAATAGGCAAAGAGATTTTAACTTTGAAACAATCTTGAAATTTAAACTTACAATAACACACCGTGGTGCCTTTAAGCACCGTTAAAATCTAGCTTCAACTCTACGTGGGTGTTAGTGGTTAAAAAGCACTGGGATAATTTTACCAATTTGTTCTGTGCTATGAATCTGGCTTATATGCAAATCCTTGGGACATTGAAGAAATGTACGTGTTCTTATCTTTATCATGTTCTAAATAAAATATATTACCCTCAAAATTTAAAAGTATATATTTATATCTAAAATACCACAATTTTCTGGCCTAATTTATGATTGTTTTCTACTTTCTCCAAATATGTGTTTATTTAAAATATTGGCAGTTTGGCAAGATTTTAATACATATAATAGCAAACTATGTACTATTCCTACTCTGAGAAAGGAATAGATAGAAAGGTCATTATTAACAGTACTCTTAAACTTTGGGCCAACGATAGAATTTTTCCTTCATCTATTCAAATCAAATCTTATTAAGGGCATTTACCCCCAGTACTGTGATGTTCTTGTTAGTGATTTAATGGACTGATACAGTGGAGTTATAAACTAGTGAGAAAATATTAAATCTAAAGAGCAAAGCAGGTTATGAAAACAAACTCTAATGCACTATAAAATCAACACTTTCATTCTGAGAAATATAATTTGTGATATTCTTTCCTCCTTTTTTTGAAAGTGAGAGAGTGGGCAATATGCCATTCAAAATAAAAGCTATTTTTATAACTGTATAGAGAAGGATTTTTATAAATTGTCTAATTGGAGAAAATGACTAAAATTGAAATTAATAAAATGAAAAAGACTCAAATATGATTAGATATTAATTTAAAAATCAAGGAAACTCTATAAAGGCAGGTTATTTTACTAGAACAGAATCTTTTCAACCATAAGTAATGTTCTAAAGCAATATTTTATTTCCCCTTTGACATGAATGTATTTCACATATAATCATGGTTGGAATATTGTTTTGATGGAGGAGAATGTATTCCTACATATAGTTATTTTTAAAAGATTATAAATTGTGAACACTTCCTATCACAACAATTTCATGAATTCAATTAGGGGAATGGTACAATATATTCTCAATATAAAAATTATCTTTTGTGGGGGCAAATAACTTACATTTGGGAGCTGAGTATCTATCTGACGAAAGATATGTTAATTTGGATCTTAGGGAGAACAAATAGGGTCACTAAAGGGCATTTTGTGGCCTCTTCTCTGACCCCATTCTCTCTCAGAAATACCAGTCTGGTGTTGGAGTACCCATCACAGAGATTATGAATGAAACCCCGTTTTACTGGGCTCTTCCTGAAAAATAGCCATTTTTATTTAAAACTGGACAATCAGAGTTACTCGAAGATCAGCTGCCTCAAATAAACTTAGTCCACATGGAAAGCTTAAGACAGGAGGAATGGAGGTAAACCAAATTCTAAGTATCAAACTCTCTCTTCTGCCTGACTCCAGTAAAATAAAATTTTGATCAAAGTTTATCTGAGTCAGAATCCTTTTATGAAAAACTCCCTTCTAGAGAAAAAAATGCCATTCCTTAAAAATGTTTAAGTAGTTTTCTGATTAACTTGCATAGAATTAAGATTTGTTCTGAGAAACTATTTTCTAGTGAACTATTTATCTACCTAGTGATCTATCTAGTGAACTTCAAACTTTTTAAAGCTATAACATAAAAATGATTTTCTAACTATTCTTTTTTCTAAATGAAATGCACCTACCATGAGAAAATCTTTGAATTGGCCTCCCTCAGCACTGTTTCTCAAACTCTCTGTGGTGAAGAGGCATTAATTAGTTTATTAATTAGTATTATTACTTCCAAACTATTGTCACTGATACTTTTTTTTTTTTTTTTGAGGCAGAGTCTCGCTCTGTCACCCAGGCTGGAGTGCAGTGGTGTGATCTCTGCTCACTGCAACCTCAGCCTCCCGGGTTCAAGCAATTCTCCTGTCTTAGCCTCCTAAATACCTGGGATTACAGGCACATGCCACCACACCTGGCTAATTTTTGTATTTTTAGTAGAGACGGGGTTTCACCATGTTGGTCAGGCTGGTCTTGAACTTCTGACCTCATGATCCACCCGCCTTGGCCTCCCAAACTGCTGGGATTACAGGCATGAGCCACCACGCCCGGCCCGTCACTGATACTTTTATAAAATGCAAAAAAAAAAAAAAAGATGCTGAATCAATGGCACTTTTTCATTACAGGATATAAATCCAAATCTTTTATTATTAAATTTAACAGACACTGAATGATTTCAATCACTGTGTATGTTTTTAAATGCTTATTCTCAGGTTTTGTACTTATTCCTCCCAATCTGGGAGCACCGAGCTCACAGATCAGCACTGGTCTACAGACAACACTATCAGTAAGATTGTACTAATGGCCTTTTTCCCTTTATGGCAAGACTGTAACAAAACTTTGATGTATGCTCCTAACTAAATTGTCTGAAGTGTATTAACACTACTCAAAATATGCTTCAACTATCTAAATAGCTATTAACTACTCAAGATTTAACTGAAGTCCCATTTAGTTTTTGGAATTTTAAAACAAATATCGCACAGCAATTTCACTATGGCGAATACTGGAATTCTTTAATACAGGGGCAATGAAAGCAAAGACGGTTTTCAGAACTGTGTATCAGTGCCTAAGTACATCCCTTGTAATCTCATACAACTAGAAGGCAAGGAGGAAGAAAAAAAAGGAGGGTTAGAAATCATCTGGAAACCATGTAAAAAAATATCTTTATAAGTAGCTGTATTTTCCTAATCAGATATATAGAAAATTAGTTAAATTTAGAAGGAAAAAGAGAAAAACCTTCGGGGAGATTTATGTACCTTTTTTTCCAAGAGGAAAACCAATTTCCTTACAAAAAGTTATTCATTGGAAGTAACCAAGCTAAACTGCACACCAATAGAAGTAATAGATCAGTTGAGTCTAAGAAAAGATTAGAGACCCAGCTCCTGAAAAGTATAATTTGGGCTGCAATTGAGTGAGTTAATGCTGGTTGACTTGCATGCTCTGTGTATGTAATTTTCTCTAGAGATTACCCACATTCAATTCTCCAAACTTCTGTGAACAGAGTGCTATTACCAATGTTAGATTCTTTCAATGACATGAATTTATACCTCTAGTGTCCTAAACAATTTCACTGGATTTATAATAATTTCTGGATCTTGCTCCGGGATGTCTTATGGGGAAGCTTTGTATCCCAGCTGGATTAATGGGCAATTGAAATAATCTATGTTTAAAAATTCATATATTATACTGTTATTATTTATCACATCTATCATAAGTCTCAAACTTTACTGTTGTTTTGAATGATTAATAGGACAGTCAGTTTCAAGGGAGGGTAGGCCTCTTAACTAAGTATGAAAAGCATTTGCAGAGATCTAAGAATTAGAATAAATGATATTCTTTTCCATTTGACAAACATTAACTAATAGTATTTGAAAAAGTAATTTAACTTCTTTAATCCTCAGTTTTTTGGGTTTTTTGTTTGTTTGTTTTTTGAGATGGAGTTTTGTTTTGTTGCCCAGGCTGGCGTGAAGTGGCACAATCTCGGCTCACTGCAACCTCCTCCTCCTGGGTTCAAGCAATCCTCCTGCCTCAGCCTCTGGAGTAGCTGGGATTACAAGTATGCACCACATGCCTCGCCAATTTTTGTATTTTTAGTACAGTCGGGGTTTCACCATGTTGGCCAGGCTGCTCTTGAACTTCTGACCTCAGGTGATCCATCCACTTCGGCCTCCCAAAGTGCTGGGATTACAAGTGTGAGCCACCACACTCGGCCTAATCCTCAGTTTTAAAATGCATAAAGTATGATAATTCCTGCCCCTGCCTATCCCACATAGTTGTGAAATGCAAATATGGTGAGCTATGTGAAAACACATTGTGAAGAGGGCAAAGAACTATGAAACTATTATATTTTGCCCATATTTCTAACATTAGAGTAGACGTCCTATGTATGCAGTAAGGTCTTGAAGTGAAATTATTTTCTAAAGCATGTGCCATCCACAATAAACACTCACATTCTTGCAAATGAGTCTCCATTTACTTTGTACTTTTGAGGATAATGTTTACCTTTTCCTACACTCTCGATTTCTCTGTGCTGGGATAATGCTGTAATTGTATTTAACCCTGTGGAGCTCAGTGGATAACCTGTAAAATAATCAGGTTATTGATTTCTGTAGAAGCCTTAAGTTTGTAACCTAGAATAGATACCTTTTTGCTGCAAATTAAAAGTAACACCTTCACAATCATGTAAGCAATTTATCTACATATGTTGGAAGACAGATATTTGCCTGGATAGGGAAGAGCCCAGTGAAGGGATGCCAAATTATAAAAAATCAATAGGAAAAACTAGACACATAAGTAGACCTGAAACAAATAGCATGTAAGACCAGATAGCCCAATTAGTAAAAGGTGATGACGTGGTGGTTAGTATTTGGAGGGAAGAAGACGTTGGCACATTACATGCAACCAAAAAAATAATGAAGATATTATGATCATAACCATGGAGAAAATTAGCTTCAGAAATAGAATTATTGAATCACTGTCAATTGGGGATTGATGATACAAAAGGATCACTCATTAAAAGTTTTTACGCAATCATTGATTTGTTTATAATGTAGTTTGGACACCAAAAGAGGAAAAACAAACCTCAAGAGGGCTAATATTCATTCTGCAAAATGGAAGATATAAGGCTAAACATGGGGAGTTAAGAAAGCATTGTCCTCATAACACATATTCTAAGGGATTGGAAAGGGAGCCACCATATGATGCTAATCAGAGGGAAAGTTTCCCAATGGCTGTCTAGTGTCTGCCTTCTACAGTGTTGGGGATGACTGGTCAACCAAGATGCTGCCACGAAAACTGGCCAAGTGGACAGAGTCCTAGATTCAGAGAGGGACTGAGAATCTTCAATTTTCATCCAGTGTTGGAGCAATAGGGTCATAGGAAATATCTGGTATATACTATTTGCTGTCAAAGAAAGAAATTGTGTACAAAATTTATAACATAAATATTCTTTTTTAAATTAACATACTTTATATTTTTTAGTTGTTTTAGGCTTACAGAAAAATTAAGCAGAAAGTACTCAAAATACATCCCCCTGCCTGAAATTAAGAAGAAAGTATTGAAAATATGTCCCCATATACTCTCTCACCCCATTTCCTCTATTATTAACATCTTGCATTAATTAGTGTGGTACATGTGTTACAATTTATAAGCCAATATTGGTACATTATTACTAATTAAAGGCCATAGTTTACATTAGGGTTCACTATTTGCATTGCACATTCTATGTGGACACTCTTGCTTAAGAATGCTAAGTTTCTAATGTAAATTAACAAAATATTCTATAAGAGTCTATTCTAGTAATAAAAATACCCATAAAAATGCCTTGCTAACCTCTTTAATATTCTAACGAAAAGTTGGGAATTGTTTCAATAAAAGTAAATTGGGGAAATTTAAATCTTTAAATGAGGAGTTAGGGGAGTAAATGAACTCAACGCATGTAAAGGGCCCAGTAGTGGCTGGCACAAAGTAAAGGCACAATAAATACAGGCAATTGTTATTATTGTAGTCAATATTTCTCATACGTTGTAGAACTTATTTGAGGAGGTAATATAATACCCATGACAAGCTGAAGAAAAGATTGAGTAAGCTACTTCACAAACTGCTGCAACAGAGGTTCCAAGAAAAATCCAGTAAAATGAGAACAAATTCACATAGGTGTTGAAATCACGCTTACATTTTTAGAGGAAACACATGCAACCCCAGGGCAAATAGTCAAGAATTAGATGAAAATAAAGATTGTAGGAACCTATATAATCTAGCAGCAATGGCCTTCAAGATTACAATTGTTCATCAATGTTAACGCAATGAGGTCATCATTCATGTTCATGATTCTGTTGATAATGTAGCTTGCCTTTTGGAAACTTTCTTTACAGCTACCTCTCATGGAGTAGGAATGAGTAAGTAAGGGTGAAATAGAGCAATAAAGCATCGCAGAGCTGTAGTTAAGATTGACTTCTATTCCTTTTATTGGGGCCATTTCATGTTAATGACATTAGAGTGTAATTGCTAAATCAGGTTGAACACCTCCCACACTGGAAGCGCTAAAATCCTTAGACCAGAACACTGGACATTTCTCACTGTGATGGTTCTAAGTGCTTAACAGTATTCTACCAATTATCTTCTTTATGATTCACATACAACATTTGACCCAGATATGTGCACAGACACAGCCATATAAATCTTGTGGATATGAATTATACAATTAATTCATTTGGTTTAGTTTCATTGACACCTGGATAATATGGATTAAATGCTGGTTAAAATTATCTTGATTCCTATAGTCTGTCTGTACTAAATCCTAAGTAAGGTATTAAATCTCTCTACTAGGTTGGGAGTGCAGGATAGCAAATTTCAGTGTGCTTAGGAATTACCTAAGGCTCTTGTTAATATGCAGATAAAGATTCAGGAGCTCTGGGGTGAGGCTTGAAACTCTGCATTTCTAACAGGCTCCTGGTGCCACTGATGCTGTTGGTCCAAGGGCGCAATTTAAATTGCAAGAGTAAGTTTAGCTTACAAGTTCTGGAGTCAGTCACACTTTGGAAAAGTTGCCTAAGCAATTTCAGCCTCAGCCTTCTCACTTACAAAAAGGGCACAATAAGAATTATCTCTCTCTACTATTTATTGTGAAGATTAAGTGAGATAATGAATGCTGAATGGTCAGTTTAAGGCCAAGCACACCAAAAAAATGCACCTAAAGAGCTAGCTCTTGTTGTCACTTTTGTTATTTCTACTATCTCTTCGTCAGTGAAAGGATATGCATTTTACAAATCTTTTTATGAACTCATTGATTCATTTGGCAATTAAAAGTTATTGATTAAAAGCAAAGAAATGATAACTAAGAGGCTAAGCCTAGCAGGGAACATACAAAAGGATGGAAAGAAATAGTACATGAGGCCCAAATTGTGATATATTTGACAATCAAAGCCAAAATGAACTTATGGCTGAAGCTAGAAAATTGATAGTTGCCCATGATGGCCTTAATTGCTCTAAATCTGATCCAAAGCCATATTCTGTCAGTTCCATCATTCAAACCGCTCTCAGATCCAACCGAGTAGCATCCAGGTTCAAACTTTCATAACCTCCTAACTGTTATCTTGCTTCCTGCCTTGGCTACCTTATATCTATTTTCATCATCTGGTCAGAACGACCGTTAAAAGCGCATATCCTCTGTTTAGCATCCTACAACCTACAGAGTAGGATGCAGGCTACAGGATGCTAAACAGAGGATATGTGCTTTTGAAAGTCCAAACTGCAGAACACAGGTCTCAAGTACTGAGCTGTCATTGCCCTCCATTCCATCTTTATCTCCTACTCCCTCCTACCCATACTCTGGCCTCCTGGAACAACAGGCAACACTGAGGCTCTACCTCGCTGCTGCCCTCCCCCTTGCCTTCCCTCTGCCTGGATTCCTTCTCTCATATCTTTACCTGGTTCCCTCTTTTTGAAATAAACTTAAGGTCTCAGATGAGGAGTCATTTCCCCAGAGGCGTCTCCTGGCCCCCTAAGTGTGGTCTCGCAGTCCTACCCTGGCACAGCACTTACTGACTTACCACTTGATCAATAGGACAATAGGTAAAGTATGGAATATTCACATATTTGTATGTTATCAACCTAAAATGGATTAACTACAGCTAAAACTATAACATGGATGAATGTTATAAAAATCATAAATGGGGAAAAATGAAATGTAACACTATTTTCATAAAGCTCTAAAGCACATCAAAAAACTGTAATAAAATTCAGAATAAGATTTACTTCTGGGGGTGGAAAGGAAAAGAGAATAGAGAAGAGCAAACAATTATGTTTGACAGTTTTGGTAATATTGTAGTTTATAGTTTGCTGAAAGATTCATGAATTTTCATTTTTAAATTACTCTCCAAGGCCCGGGAAAGGTGTAATAAAGGCCATAGGGCATAGCTTCTTAAACTTACCTCTCTTCAACTGTTTTAGAAAAGTAAATAAGATGCCAATATCAAGCTTTCACCATCCCCAAAGCTCTATCCTTTCCCAAAGCACCAGCACCAGCCAGACACACACAGATGCAAACCAGACTTCACACAATTGCCACTGATAAGAAAAATGCAGCCACGGAAGAGATTCCCTCAGCAGAGATGTTGCTGCAATTACAGCTAATATGGCCACACCTCCACATTCTCTGCATCACTAATGGTAAAAAGACCAACTGAAGTGATCAACTTAAATAAAACTTTCCCGTAGTTCCCCATTCCAGCTGAGCAGGGGTCAAGTTTCCGTGAATACCCTTTGCTTTAGTACCATAAAAACTTAGTGAGTCATCCTATCTCCCTTTCTTGTAGGTTTATGTATTTTCCCACACAAATTTTATACCCAGAGAACATTATAAAATAGTTCTAAATATACCACTTAAGTCAAAACGGGAGGCATTCACTATAAACTGGTTCTGGAATGTCAGTATGTCTAATGGAAGAGGCCAGTGAGTTAGCTCTTCTATGGTCAACTTGATACTCTGGCATGTTTCATTTTTGTAGGCAGAGGTTTCACATCAGGTTCCAAGTCTTATTTTCTTTTCTTTCTTAAAAATTTGTAATTTTTTTTTTTTTTTTGAGAATGGGGGTTTTACCATGTTGCCCTGGCTGGTCTCTAACTCCTGGGCTCAAGTGCTCCACCTGCCTCAGCCTCCCGAAGTGCTGGGATTACAGGCATGAATCACCAAACCCAGTCCTGAGTCATATTTTCTAATGCAAGTTCTTACCTTGATATCTCTGAAGATATTTTATAGTCCCTTCTTATGGTAGATTATTTGCAAAGATGGCTACTGTGATGGAATAAATGCTTGTGTCACCCCAAAATTATACTGAAATCCTAACACCCAAGTTGATTGTATTAGGAGGTAGGACCTTTGGGAAGTAATTAGGTTATAAGCCCTCATGAGTGAGATGAGTGCCCTTATAAAAAGGATGCCAGAGAGCTCTCTCATCTTCTTTCCACCATGTGAAGATACACTAGAAATTGTTCATCTGCAATCGTGAAGAGGGCCCTCACCAGAACCTTACCATACCAGCACCCTGATCTAGGACTTCTAGACTCCAGAGCTGTGAGAAATAAATATCTATTGTTTATAAGACGCCAGTCTATGATACTTTGTTATAGCAGCCTGAATTAAGACAGCTACAATAATCCTTCCCCTCCCTGTATGCCTACCCTTTTGCAATGTGACATTATTATACTTCCCAGCAAGAGGTGAAGCCTATTTCCCTATGTATTGAATCTCAGCTGCCCTTGTGATAATTTGACCAATACAAGGCAGTGAGAGCAATGTTGTCTGGCTTCTGAGACTGGACCTCAAGAGGCCTTGCATTTCTGTCCCCACTCTCTTGGAATGCTGACCTGTGAGCACCATATGAAGAAGCCACTAGGGAATGAGAAGCTACATGGATTAAAACCCCACCTGTGCCCCCCAGAACAATCAGCCAACAGTCAGAACCAATCACCAGACAGGTGAGTGGGCCCATCTTAGACCATCCATCCCAGTCAAGGAACTGGATGAATGTGGTCACATGGGTGACCTCAGATGAGAACCACAGAACTGCCCAGCTGAGCCCAGCCTAAATTGTTGAGCCACAGAATTGTGAGCTATTAAAACAACCGTTGTCTTAAGCCCATTATGTTTTGGGGGTAGTTTGTGACATAGAAATAGGTAACTGATATACTCCCCTGATTTTTTTTTACCTCTTATCTGAATGGAGTTGATGTGTGTGAGCGTGTGTGTGTAGAAGCAGAGTCACATTTACTGTAACTTGGTTGGAGCAAAATCCATCAGATTTTGGTCAAATCAAGAAAAAAATGACTATGTCTGAGGGTACTGAAGAATAAAGGTGAGCTGAGTAATTCTAAGACTTGAATTTTTCTTTTTTTTTTTTTTTTTTTTTTTTTTTTTGAGACGGAGTTTCGCTCTGTCGCCCAGGCTGGAGTGCAGTGGCGCGATCTCGACTCACTGCAAGCTCCGCCTCCCGGGTTCACGCCATTCTCCTGCCTCAGCCTCCCATGTAGCTGGGACTACAGGCACGCGCCACCATGCCCGGCTAATTTTTGTATTTTTAGTAGAGACGGGGTTTCACCGTGTTAGCCAGGATGGTCTCGATCTCCTGACCTCGTGATCCGCCCGTCTCGGCCTCCCAAAGTGCTGGGATTACAGGCGTGAGCCACCGCGCCCGGCCAACTTGAATTTTTCATTTAAAAGGAATCCCATATTTGGAATCCTTAGGATAGGTTGTTTAATAAGAAGACTTCTCAGATAAATTCTCCTTCAGAATAGAGTCCTCTTCAATTATTCTTACACATTTTTCTTATGTTATTAGGCATTTTTCTTTTTTACCACAACAATCTTACATATCATTTTTCAACATTTCCTAATTTGGAGTTAGTATTTGTTCCCCTTTTTTATTCCCTCGGGACTTGCTTCATTTTCTCTCCCCTGTGCTGTTATTCTTACTGCAACATCTTCGAGGTTGTGATAGGCAGCTAGATTGGTGAATGATACACGGGCTCACACAGCTCTGACGGCTTCACCTCTTTCACCTCTAAACTACATCTCTGATGATCTCCACAGTCCTCTCCATTCTACCTTTTGTTTCTTTTTCCCAAAACTTCACTCTCCTCTCTGCTGCCAGAAATACAGCCCGTGCATGCTGTGATATGCATATGAGAAACCACACTGCTATGCAGCTTGGGTTGTACTTGACAGATTAGAGATTATTTTTTCTTATTTGGCTGTGTCAGGGCAGCAGTGTATTTATTTTTCTCTTTGACACCAGTGACAGCTATAACTGTGCCCACTCAGAATCCAGAGAGTAAATGAATGCACAGAGGAAGCATGGGGTCTTCCAGCCTAACTCAACACAGCCTCCCTAAGCTCTGCTGTTTTGCAGCTGGCTGAAAACGGAATCACAGAGAGCAGCAGCCCAGACGTAGGCTCCAGGGGCAGTGAAGAAGACATGGTTTGGAAAGAAGGGAAGGGAGAGGGGAGAAACAAGAGAGAAGGTGAAGACAGCTGGGAAAAGAGAATGAAAATATAGTGGCTCTGCAGCTGATAAGAACTGACCAGGAATACTGGCGACATCACTCTTGGCACTTTTTCCTCTCTGCTGCTGCCTGCCAACCCGAGTTGTTCTTATTAAAACACACAGACAAAAACAACAGAAGAATCAGAGTTTCCCAGAAATGGAAGTAAGCAACATAATCAGAGTTTTA
The DNA here is from genome assembly GCF_000001405.40 of Homo sapiens. Taxonomy (NCBI): domain Eukaryota; kingdom Metazoa; phylum Chordata; class Mammalia; order Primates; family Hominidae; genus Homo; species Homo sapiens. The sequence goes on from NC_000003.12 coordinate 143,787,188, forward strand.
TAAATCTACTAAATAGCTCCCATCATTTGTTGTCTCTCTTATTTTCTTTTTAATATAATTGATACATGCAAGAGAATATATAGACGATATACACAATTATAAATCATCATAATATTTTGAATACCTAGAAACATACCCCAACCCATGAGCCAGAACATTATCAATCATTTGTCTTTATTTGTTTCTTTTCATTCCATTCTTTTGCCTCTCCCCCAGAAATAATCATACCATTGAATTTTGTTTTAATTCCCCTGCTTACTACATACATGCATATATACCTTTACACCTCCATACATGCTTGCATGCTTAAACAAAATTGTTTTTTCTTGGTCATCTGTGAACATTTTGAAAAGATACCATATTACATGTGATATTACAGGACTTGATTTGTTTATTTTACATTGTTTTTGAAATTTATCCATGTCATCATAGATGACTTTATTTCACTGTTTTTCACTGCTGTGTAATATTATGTTATGTGAATTTATTTGCCTATTCTGTTAATAGAATCTGAGTGTTTCCAAGTTTTTGCTATTGTGAAGTGTTGCTACAAATATCCTTATACATGTCTCCTTAGTGCTCATATGTAAGTGGGTCCGTAAGAAAAATACTTAGAAATAGTTATAAGGTATACAAATACAAATGAATTATATAAGAATATATTTATAAATGTAAATATATATACTCATAAATATATATATTGGAGTAAATTTATATGAAACAGTAAAGAACTACAGTAATAACAGACAAGGTACTCCTGAAGAAGAAGATCCTCTCTGTCTTATCCTACAAGATATACAGACTTATTATGAAGTTAAAATAATTGAAAGTATGGTATTGGTGCAGGGATAGATTATAAACCAATAAAATAAAATTAAAAGTCTAGAAACAGACACCACAATATATTATAGAAGAGGTGGTGTAGATCCGGAGAAAAGGCAGGGCCATACAATAAGTGGTATTAGTGTAATTAGTTATCCATTGGAGGAAAAATAATTAATTGGATGTTAACTTTGTATCATATAAAAAATGAGTTCCAGGAAATGAATTCACTGTAAAGGGCACAACTTTAAAACACTTTAGAAGAGAATGTCTTTCTGACTTTGAGGTAGGGGAGGACTTATTAACAAAATACAAAAATTCCAACCACACAGGAAAATATTTATAAATTTGACAGCATTAAAATCAAGAACTTCTATTCACTAAAAGACATCATGTATGAACTGGGCATGGTGGCTCACGCCTGTAATCCCAGCACTTTGGGAGGCCAAGGTGGGTGGATCACCTGAGGTCAGGAGTTAGAGACCAGCCTGGCCAACATGGTTAAACCCCATCTCTACTAAAACTATGAAATTAGCTGGGTGTAGTGGTACATGCCTGTAAATCCCAGCTACTTGGGAAGCTGAGGCAAGAGAATTGCTTGAACCTGGGAGGTGGAGGTTGCAGTGAGGTGAGATCACGCCATTGCACTCCAGCCTGGGCGACAGAGTGAGACTCCATCAAAAAAAAAAAAAAAAAAAAGACATCATCTCTGATGATGTATACTTCATACATGCATAAGCATGTATGAAGTAAAAGTATAAGAGGCAAACTAAGAAAAAATATTTGCAAAATAAATGAGTATAGATTGTTATGAAGAACATATAAAGAACTCTGCCAAATTAATGAAAATATGACAAGACAACTCAATAGAAAAATGGACAAAAAGCTTGAAAAGGTATCATACAAAAATGTAAACAACTTTATTAACAACCAAGGAAATACCAAAGAAGAAAATAAAATGTTATTTCATACTTACTAGATTGGCAAAAATTAAGAGGGAAAATTGATACCAGTACTTTGGAAAACAATTTGGCATATTTTGAAAAAATAAATTCATTTCTCGACTCTAAAACTCAGCACATCCACTGTTAGGTATAGATACAAGACGGCCACCAAGTCTGGGAACACAGATAGGTACATAATAAGTAGTTTATTGTTATTACCTCACAGTACATGGTAAAATCATAGCATGCATATCTCCATACTTTACGGCCACCCTGAGTGCATCCTAGAGAAACCTTTAGTTCTAGCTAAACAAGGAGATATGTAAAATTCTCACCGTCCTGACTTTCTCTTTGCCCAGGCTCTTGAAAAACATACTAATTCTGTGCTTTTGTGGATTGCAGCTTCCTAGAGAATCTGATGAAATGGGATCAATGCAGACTGTCTCCCATGAAAAATTCTCTGCTTCCCTGAAATCCTTCTATGTACCATCTCAGGGTCACTCTTCCCTGGGTTAGAAACCCTGTTCTAAATCATTCTCTTTCCAGGGTTAGAGCTTAAGGAAGGCACTGAGGTACAGATTGGCCTCCATCTATGAAGGACACATCCTCAGGTTTGGGTTCTAGACAAGTAAATGTGTCCTGTCATCCAGGTTTAGAAGTCAGCATTTTGGGGCTACTGAGACTCACCATATCTATCCTAATTAAGAACAGGTTCCAGAACCTGTTCCAAGGGCACTTAGGTCTCAAGGTCCCCAGTTGAGCAGGCACAGTGGCACACAAGAGGGCAGAGGGAGAGTGTCCACACAGCCCCCTCACTCCTATGCCTCATGGACAGATGGGTAGAGGTGTCAGGCACAGTCCTATGCTGTGTATATTCAAGAAGCCCAATGAGAAATCAATACTTCTCAAGAATGTTTATATGAATAATGTAAACAACCTCATAATATTTATAAATCCATGTTTTCCTGAGTGAGTTACCGAGTCCAGCATTCTAGCTGATATGGTTTGGCTGTGTCCCTACCCCAAATCTCATGTTGAATAGTAATCTGAATTATAATCCCCATATGTTAGGGGAGGGACCTTGTGGGAGGTGATTAGATCATGGGGGTGGTACCCCATGCTGTTCTTATGATAGTGAGTGAGTTCTCATTAGATCTGATAGTTTTATAAGGGGCTCTTCCCTGCTTCGCTCTCATTCTCTCTCTTGCCGCCTTGTGAAGAGGTGCCTTCTGCCATGATTGTAAGTTTCCTGAGGCCTCCCCAGCCATGCGGAACTGTGAGTCAATTAAACCTCTTTTCTTTATAAATTACCCAGTCTCAGGTATTTCTTCACTGCAACATGAGAATGGACTAATACATTAAGCAAGTAAAATGGATTCGTACCATTCCTCCAACCACCTTCAGTAAGAAAAGACAGGTTTGAATTCCTGTTTGCAATTATATTCACAGCCAATTCTGAAATATTTAGATTTTTCATGATTTCTAGCCATAATGATAAATGTAAGAATCTGAAATTATTGAGGTCTTAGTCTGTCAGACAGATATAATTACTGATACATACTGCCCATTTCATGCAATACTGCAGGACACATAAAGTGTCATTTTAGGAGGAGGAGAAGGACAAGGAGATTCTAAGAGCATGTGTTCTAGAGTCAGACTGGCTCTGAGTTTACTACCACTTACTGTATAATCTTGGACAAGTCTAAACTACAGCATCTTCATATGTAAAATAATGATAATAACAGTATTTACCTCATAGGGGTAGTATAAGATAAAATGAGATAATACATGTAAAAAGCATAAGTCAGTGTCTGGCACATGGAAAGAAAATTTTTAAATGAGGTATTCTTAAAATTAATTCTCCATTCCTGATCATTCAATGTCCCTTTCTTTAAATATTTTTGAAACTGTGAAATTTGTTTTAATTCCTCATTAACAGAGAAACTAAGAGCATATAATTTTTGTTGCTCTTAAAAAGAAGCATTTCATAGGTACTAATGAGTTCTTAGAACAAAATGTATGTGCTGACAGTGAGCTTCAGCTAGGTTGTCATTGTGATATATTGGCATGGTGTATAGGGTGGAGACATAGAGTCAAAGATCAAAGAATAGTTCCCCAAGATGGAGGACATGAATACAGAAATATTTCAAACACATGGACTTTTCTTCTTAGAAGGAGATGGATTTAAAATACTACTTCTCAAGTGATAAAATGGGAGAGGGTACTAGAGAAGGTAGGTGAATTCTTTCCGAGCAATCTATCATTGAAATAAAAAAAGGTTTCTTCAACTTTCTTGCCAGAAGGAATATTGTTAAACTTTCCCATGCAATATGAAAAACGGTTTACATCTAATTTCTGAAATCATATGAAACTAATAAAACTTAAAGACCTTGTTCATGCAAATAAACCCAATGATCTCCATTCCTGTAAAGCATCTGAGTCCAGCTAAAACCAATATTGCTTAGCTACAGAAGGTCACAGCCCACCAGTAGAGTTTCATTCATGTTCCACAATCTCTCTCCATGGCCTTCATGTTCTCATACACTTTGGATGCTGGACTTCATGGCCTTTTGTCAGCTGACTCTCTAGCATTTTCATTCCCACATTCTCTGGCACTGCTACATGAAACCTACTCTCCATCCTGGAACTTTGCACAACGTTCCTGGCACCCATCATAACTAATGCACTTAATGGCATGGAAAATCTGACTTCTTTATCCTTCTCCACTAAATGTCTGCCCAGGATCCACTTCCTCTATGAAATTATTCTCAAAGAGTTTGATCTAACTTCTATTCTGAATCTCTCCCCCTGCCCATTTCATGCAAATCTGCGTATATCTGCATAAACTCAGGCCATCCCTTAAAAATGTGAATTCCTTTTGGATGGACTTCCCAAATAAAAATCTCCCATGTCTATGAGAACTCCTACTGGGATAATGAAGAAACGTGGTTATGTTGATGAATATTGATTGATTTATACAATTTCATTTTTTTGGTGCTAATATTCAACAAACAGAAGTAAAGCACGTTTTTGGCATTAATTATTTGACTCCGGAGCCAAACAATTTAGTTACTAATCCCAGCTCTATTACTTACCACTGTGTTACTCTTTTTAAACCTCAGTTGTTTCATCTGTTAAATGAGGGTAATAAATAGTATCTACTTAATAGGATTATTTTGAAGATTAGATGGATAATCCATGCAAAGTGCTTTTAAAAAGGGCATGATACGTATCAAGCACTCCATAAATTGTTGTCCTTGTCACCATTTATTTATAAGAAAAATACAGCCAGTCACTTTCTATAGTTTGATTGTATCTCATATAATGGAAGTTACCAAGTTATGAAAGTGTCAGTTTGATCTGAATTTAAGTATGTGCCCTCTTCTTCAGAAGTTCTGAAATTATATATCAAGACTGGCAGCATAAAAGTAAATTCTTGTTTCTTATTATATGGCTCCCAAAACAATTGGACTTGCCAATACTCTTCCCTCATTTTTGCCCATAAGACAAGTGTAAAGTCACCCATTACCTCCTAGGGGTCAAATCCAGTGGTACCACAATTCCTATCCCATTTGACCTCTCCTGTGTTAGGTTCTGTGGACCCTCCCTTTTCCTCTTCCTTTGACTTCCAGAACACATGCCCTGTTGGTTTTCTTCCTGTTTTGGGGGTCCAATACTCCTTGGTGCCTTGTGAGTGTCTCTTCTCTTTCTTCAAAATAGTGATGTTCCCTAGATCTCTTTCCTTCTCACTTCACTTACTTGCCCTGGGTGATGCCATATTCTCCCAAGATTTCACCAAGCTAATGACTCTACATTTACCTTTTCTGCCACTGCCTGAGTCCAGGCCTTTATCATTTCCAATCTGGCCTACGTAAATTACCTCTTAAATGGTACCCATTTTAAAATTTCTCCTTCACGCAGCTACCAAAATGACCTCCCTAAAGTATGAATCTGACTTTTCATCTTCAAGCTAAAACATTTCAATGATTTCCCTTACCTCACTAGATACGATTCTAAAATGTTTAGGCTATCTTTCCCTTCTGTATTTTAATGACCCAAATTAAGAAAGTAACTACAAATTTTTGTTGCTCAGATACCCAGTTCAAACTAAGAACACCGTTCTAAAATTTTTCTTAGGACTACTCTTTTAGTCAAATGACTTTCCATTATAAGTTGTTGGACAACCAACAATTTAAAATCTGTTTTAAAATAAATCAAAATAGGTTCTCAACCCCAGTAAATGAAAACCACTGGATCTCTTAAATTGAAATGTTTTAGATAAAGGCAATTATATACAACACACACACACACACAGTATATATTGGTGCTTTCTAAAAAAATGATATTGAAAGATCTAAGAAAGAATTTAGATTTTTCATGATAGTGAAAGCATATAATATAAATAAATGCACTTAAATATACTTAAAACCAGTTGTACCAAAGAAATGAGGTAACAATAAAAATTTACTATTCTATAATTTGGCAGCATTGTCCAAGAGTTTAGAATTTGGATCCATTATAAATTTCAAGACCCCATATTATAGAACCACTAAAATAAATCTTTACTACTAACCAAGGAACATTTGTTGTGAGTCCACATGTCTCAGAACCCTCTCTCAATGTGTAGAAACAATGTATAGGGATGTTTATGAATTCAAGAGAAATTGCTAAAGGAAGAGAGGGTGAAGGCCTGCTGGATCAGAAGCAGAAGTTCTGAGTTCTGTTTTGACAACGGCCCTGATTCTCAGAGATGGTAAGATTGAGCCAACTATTTATTCAAGATGTCTCATCTTCGAATGAGAGGCTGTAGTTACACAGATCTCTCAGGCCCCTGCAAAGTTTAGAAATGTGAATATTTAGCTATTGCATACTCACAGAACAGAAAAGCCCTCCTAGAACATGCTTTAAGAAGGATCAAGTACCCTGTGTCTCTCAGGTCACCCACAGTTTAAAGACCATTTAAGTGTCCAAACTTAATGGGGCTCCCTAATCTATAGGCTTGCAAACCTCCCTTTTCAGGTGCTAAAATCTTTAATTTTCTCACTGCCTTAAACCATTCTGAATATTTTTATATAACATGGCCTGACTTGTTCTAGGCTCAACTCAAAAGAAATTTAGCAGTGCATTCAACACAAAATCCCTCTGCTTACAGGCACAAGTAAAGACACCGCCTGACACTTCCTTGGCCTCAATTGACACACACTAGAAACTCTGTAAGAGAATGGGTGGAGGCATGAACCGTGTGTATTTTTAGCATCAGTTTCTTGTGCTGGGTTATAACAGCTGTAGACAGTAAAAATCAAGGATAGAGTTGACTGTATCAGATAATTGAAGACATCTGCATCATCACAGTCATAGTACCTGGACATTTTTTTTTTTTCCTGCAGTGGAGCTTTAATGTATTGGACGGGATTATCAGAGGCTGGATTGCCTTCACCATTTGGTACCACATTTTACTTTATGATGAGCTGCAAGCCAGAGTATATAACGTGTGACTTAGGGCTCAGTAGCATAATCAAGAAAATACAATGAAAAAAAGAGTCTGCATTCTACAGGGTATTAACTGAAAAGCTATCCCTGTATTAAGCAACTCTGTTGATATTTGGACATATCTGTTTCAGACTGCTGTCTTGTAAACTTTCCTTTAGAAAGAAAACTCTTGGCATATAGTTACTTTTGCACTCCTGCCAAATACAGGTAAGGTCTCTCAATACAAGACAAAAAAGAATGCAGTGAGCATATCGGCATTACTCAAACTAAAAGAAGAATGCAATGCGCTTCACATAACTCAAGGCAAGTGATCCACATTCCCTAAGTCAGAAGTCCAGAACTCACAGAGAAAGTCCAGCAATCCTCTAGTTTGCTTTGATTTGAAGCCTTGTATTTGTCAGAAGCCGTGGAATTAAGTCAGAAAAAACATACAAATATGTGATATACTAAAAAAAAGACAATTTTCCCAGCCAGCAAGAATCCTGGAAGTGTTAGATCCCTCACACAGATCACAGACCCCACAGCCACCTGCAACTTGAGCTCCGAATGTCACTTACCCTATGACGATGCAGGAGATGGCAGTTCCCAAGAAGGCATACGTTAAAATAGATCCTAAGTTTTGAAAAAAGTGTCTCTGGGGAGAAAAAAAGATATTTAATAGAGTACATCAGAATTTTTTCTTAGTGCAAAAGAAAATAAAAATAAATGTATGCAGTTCACAGACCCCTCACTGTTTAGGCAAATTTTGGTTTTGGAGCCTCGTTCCTGGCCTTATTGTGCTAATAGGGACTTAACTGATTATCATTGCAAAGGACTGGAGGGAAAAGTCAAGAAGCAGAAAAAAAAAAAAAAAAAAACCCACTGGAAGATGAGTAGGTAGGGATGAGAGAGACAACTCCAAGAACTGGCTGGACCTGAGAGGGAAGCAAGGAACTGGGCAATGTCTATGCCAGAATCGGGGCAATAATGGAAGACACAGTTTTCATGAAGTTTTGTTGTAAATGCAATTCCTTTAGCATTAAAACAACAACAACAACAAAACTATTCTAAGAGATTTACGTTGCCTGTTGATTTTACTGGATGTCTGACTTCTCTTTTATATCTTCTGAATGTGATGAAAATAAACTTTAAAAATCTACAACAGCCTGGTGGGTGGCTCACGCCTGTAATTCCAGCAATTTGGGAGGCTGAAGGAAGATTGTTTGAGTACAGGAGGTCGAAGCTGCTGTGAGCCATAATCGTACCATTGTACTGCAGCCTGGGCAAAAGAGGGAGACTGTGTCTCCAAAACAAAACAAAACAAATCCCCCAAACCTACAGCAATTCACTTTATTTTAATGAGTCAGCCACAAAATGATGCTTAGTATTGGGACTGGCAATGAGGAAGGGTTACCTGAACAAATCCAGCCTTCTAAATTTTTTCAACTGCTTGCTTAGGGAAAACCCCATTCCAGTTTTTTGAGTGGGATCTGAGGAGCCAGACCTGACAGCAAGAGGGAGCCTGGAGTACACACAAGAAAATCAGGTCTGTGATGAACAAGCTGCCTGGCTGCTGAAGATGACTGCTCAAGAGGAAGAAAGCCCCAGGAATCTCCTAGAGTGGGAGCTGAGCAGCAGAAGAGCAGCCACATCACCTCTGCATCTCAAAAACCACGTGGGCTGGAGCCTCACTCTGTGGCTCAGGGGATGCCAGTACTTAAACCATTATGTGAATTACTAATGTACAAAATGTGCATAGTCAGGCCGTGCTCAAGTACTGTTAGACAAGTGCATAGAAACTGTAAAACTGGACTTTCCTGTCTATGAGCATCAACAGTAGTCTTGAGTTTTCACTTTAAAGGATAAACTCAATGTTAATTAATAACCAAAGTCTTTGGTTACAATCATCCAGAATAATGCTGTCCAATAGAAATATAATGCAAGCCACATATTTAAAAAATTTTAAATTTTCTAGCAGCTACATTAAAATGTTTTTAAAAGATGAAATAGGTTTTGATAATGTTTTGTTTAATCCAATCTATCCAAAATACTAACATTTCTACACGAAATCAATATAAAACATTATGGAAATATTTACATTATTTGAATAAATACAAAATCTTTAAAATCCAGTGTGTATTTTACACTTAAAGAACATCTCGATTCAGACAAGACGCATTTCAAGAGCTCAATAGTTACATGTGGTTAATGGCCTGTATTCAACAGAACAGGTTTAGAAGAAGTCTAGAATTCTAAGCATGTCAGGTTTGAATCTGCATCACAAATTTAAGATAATGATACTCTTACCAAATAGAGAAGCCCATAAAAATAACAGTTTCTCATTAGTGCTGGTAAAATTCTCTACTTAATGATAAAAGAAGAAAATGATCACTATATATTTACCTTCTTTAGACTATATCCTGCATGAAATATAATTGGTGGCAGTAAAACATTGAAGAAGATTTCTGGATCAAATGTCATCTGCCAGAAAGGAAAAAAAGGATAGTTAGAATGATGCTCCTTTGGGTCATTAAAAAAACATGTTTCAAAAAACAGTTGTAATTGCTTTTGCTAAGCCTTTGTGAGGCATATTAACTATTAACTTGGCAGAGATGAAGGTAGGAAAAAATGAAAATTTGGAAATTCATAAATACAGTATAACTGTAGCTTCTAAAGGTAAAATCTACATACTTCCACACTATAGCTAACAACAACAACAAAAACTCAGTGAAATCTCTCTGAGAAAAATGTCTTTTTATATATATATAAAATATATATGTATATAGGCTTCTTACAAGGATTTATTTAAAGTTTTCCCCAAATAAAATATTTTTGGAAATTGGTTCTTCGCTTTCCCTATTTTGTCCCATTCCAAAATTTAAAACATTTTCCAGACTCCATGGAAGAACACACTTGAACTTGAAAATTGATTTTTCTAGTATTTGTTTATTGGGTTTTACTTAAATGTCAAAATAAACTTGGCCATAAAGCAAGTATGACTTGGTATGAAGTGCAGTGAAATTGTCAGGCCTCTGAGCCCAAGCTAAGCCATCATATCCCCTGTGACCTGCATGGACCAGATGGCCCAAAGCAAGTGAAGAATCACCAAAGAAGTGAAAATGGCCGGTTCCTGCCTTAACTGATGACATTCCACCACAAAAGAAGTGAAAATGGCCTGTTCCTGCCTTAACTGATGACATTCCACCACAAAAGAAGTGAAAATGGCCTGTTCCTGCCTTAACTGATGACATTACCTTGTGAAATTCCTTCTCCTGGCTCATCCTGGCTCAAAAGCTCCCCCACTGAGCACCTTGTGTCCCCCGCCCCTGCCCACCAGAGAACAACCCCCTTTGACTGTAATTTTCCACTACCTACCCAAATCCTATAAAATGTCCCCACCCATATCTCCCTTCACTGACTCTCTTTTGGGACTCAGCCCACCTGCACCCAGGTGATTAAAAAGCTTTATTGCTCACACAAAGCCTGTTTGGTGGTCTCTTCACACAGATGCATGTGAAATTTGGTGCCATGACTCGGATCAGGGGACCACCCTTGGGAGATCAACCCCTGTCCTCCTGCTCTTTGCTCCGTGAGAAAGATCCACCTACGACCTCTGGTCCTCAGACTAACCAGCCCAAGGAACATCTCACCAATTTTAAATCCGGTAAGCGGACTCTCTTTACTCTCTTCTCCAGCCTCTCTCCCTATCCCTCAACCTCTTTCTCCTTTCAATCTTGGCGCCACACTTCAATCTCTCCCTTCTCTTAATTTCAGTTCCTTTCCTTTTCTGGTAGAGACAAAGGAGACACATTTTATCCGTGGACCCCAAAACTCCGGCGCCAGTCACAGACTCGGGAAGACAGTCTTCCCTTGGTGTTTAATCACTGTGGGGATGCCTGCCTGATTATTCACCCACATTCCATTGGTGTGTGATCACCACAGGGACACCTGCCTTGGTCATTCACCCACATTCCCTTGGTGGCAAGTCAATTGCGGGGACGCCTGCTTTGGCTGCCCAGAGCTGCTCCCCACACCCTTCTCCATGTCTCTACCCTTCTCTTTAAATTTGCCTCCTTCACTATAGGCAAGCTTCCACCCTCCATTCCTCCTTCTTCTCCCTTAGCCTGTGTTCTCAAGAACTTAAAACCTCTTCAACTCTCACCTGACCTAAAATCTAAGCATTTTATTTTCTTCTGCAACACCACTTGACCCCAGTAGAAACTCGACAGTGGTTCCAAACAGCCAGAAAACGGCACTTTCAATTTTTCCATCCTACAAGATCTAGATAATTCTTGTCGTAAAATGGGCAAATGGTCTGAGGTGCATGACATCCAGGCACTCTTTTACACATCGGTCCCTCCCTAGTCTCTGTTCCCATGCAACTTGTCCCAAATCTTGCTTCTTTCCCTCCCGCCTGTCCCCTCAGTTCCAACCCCAAGTGTTGCTCAGTCTTTCCAATTTTCCTTTTCTACAGACCCAACTGACCTCTCCCCTCCTCCCCAGGCTGCTCCTTGCCAGGCTGAGCCAGGTCTCAATTCTTCCTCAGCCTCTGCTCCTCCACCCTATAATCCTTTTATCACCTCCCCTCCTCACACCTGGTCTGGCTTACGGTTCTGTTCCACGACTAGTCCTCCCCCACCTGCCCAGCAATTTCCTCTTAAAAAGGTGGCTGGAGCTAAAGGCATAGTCAAGGTTAATGCTCCTTTTTCTTTATCCGACCTCTCCCAAATCAGTTAGCATTTGGGCTCTTTTTCATCAAGTATAAAAACCCAGCCCAGTCCATGGCCCATTTGGCAACAACCCTTAGATGCTTTACTGCCCTAGACCCATAGGGGCCAGAAGGCCATCTTATTCTCAATATGCATTTTATTACCCAATCCTCTCCCAACATTAAGTAAAGCTTCGAAAATTAAATTCCAGCTCTCACACCCCACAACAGGACTTAATTAACCACGCCTTCAAGGTGTACAATAATAGAGTAGAGGCAGCCAAGTAGCAATGTATTTCTGAGTTGCAATTCCTTGCCCCCACTGTGAGACAAACCCCAGCCACATTTCCAGCACACAAGAACTCCAAATTCCTGAACCCCAGCTGCCAGGGGTTCTTCCAGAACCTCCTCATCCAGGAGCTTGCTACAAGTGCCGGAAATCTGGCCACTGGGCCAAGGAATGCCCGCAGACCAGGATTCCTCCTAAGCCATGTCCCATCTGTGTGGGACCCCACTGAAAATCGGACTGTTCAACTCACCTGGCAGCCACTCCCAGAGCCGCTGGAACTCTGGCCCAAGGCTCTCTGACTGACTCCTTCCCAGATCTTCTCAGCTTAGCGGCTGAAGACCGATGCTGCCTGATCACCTCGGAAGCCCCCTAGACCATCACGAACACCGAGCTTCAGGTAACTCTCACAGTGGAGGGTAAGTCTGTACCATTTTTAATCAATACAGAGGCTACCCACTCCACATTATCTTCTTTTCAAGGGCCTGTTTCCTTTGCCTCCATAACTGTTGTGGGTATTGATGGCCAGGCTTCTAAACCTCTTAAAACTCCCAACTCTGGTGCCAACTTAGACAATACTCTTTTAAGCACTCCTTTTTAGTTATCCCCACCTGCCCAGCTCCCTTATTAAGTCGAGACATTTTAACTAAATTATCTGCTTCCCTGACTATTCCTGGGCTACAGCCATACCTCATTGCTGCCTTTTCCCCAGTTCAAAGTCTCCTTCGCATCTTCCCCTTGTATCTTCCTACCTTAATCCACAGGTATGGGACACCTCTGCTCCCTCCTTGGTGACCAATCATGCACCCCTTATCATCCCATTAAAACCTAATCACCCTTACCCTGCTCAATGCCAATATCCCATCCTACAGCACGCTTTAAAAGGAGTAAAGCCTGTTATCACTTGCCTGTTACAGCATGGCCTTTTAAAGCCTACAAATTCTCCTTACAATTCCCCCATTTTACCTGTCCCAAAACCAGACAAGTCTTACAAGTTAGTTCAGGATCTGCGCCTTATGAACCAAATTATTTTACTTATCCACCCCGTGGTGCCAAACCCATATACTCTTTTGTCCTCAATACCTTCCTCCACAACTCACTGTTCCGTTTTTGATCTTAAAGATGCTTTTTTCACTATTCCCCTGCACCACTTATCCCAGTCTCTCTTTGCTTTTACCTGGACTGACCCTGACACCCATCAGTCCCAGCAGTTTACCTGGGCTGTGCTGCCGCAAGGCTTCAGGGACAGCCCTCATTACTTCAGCCAAGCTCTTTCTCATGATTTACTTTCTTTCCACCCCTCCACTTCTCACCTTATTCAATATATTGATGACCTTCTACTTTGTAGTCCCTCCTTTGAGTCTTCCTAACAAGACACCCTCCTGCTCCTTCAACATTTATTCTCCAAAGGATATCGGGTATTCCCCTCCAAAGCTCAAATTTCTTCTCCATCCGTTACCTGTCTTGGCATAATTCTTCATAAAAACACACATGCTCTCCCTGCCGATTGTGTCCAAACTGATCTCTCAAACCCCAACACCTTCTACAAAACAACAACTCCTTTCCTTCCTAGGCATGGTTGGATACTTTCACCTTTGGATACCTGGTTTTGCCATCCTAACAAACCCATTATGTAAATTCACAAAAGGAAACCTAGCTGACCCCATAGATCCTAAATCCTTTCCCCACTCCTCTTTCCATTCCTTGAAGACAGATTTAGAGACTGCTCCCACACTAGCTCTCCCTGACTCATCCCAACCCTTTTGGTTACACACAGCTGAAGTGCAGGGCTGTGCAGTTGGAATTCTTACACAAGTACCGGGACCGCGCCCTGTAGACCTTTTGTCCAAACAACTTGACCTTACTGTTTTAGACTGGCCATGATGTCTCCATGCAGCGGCTGCCACTGCCCTAATACTTTTAGAGGCCCTTAAAATCACACACTATGCTCAACTCACTGTCTACAGCTCTCGTAACTTCCAAAATCTATTTTCTTCCTCACACTTGATGCATATACTTTCTGCTCCCCAGCTCCTTCAGTTATACTCACTCTTTGTTGAGACTCCCACCATTACCATTGTTCCTGGCCCAGACTTCAATCCAGCCTCCCACATTATTCCGGATACCACACCTGACCCCCATGACTGTATCTCTCTGATCCACCTGACATACACCCCATTTCCCCATGTTTCCTTCTTTCCTGTTCCTCACCCTGATCACATTTGGTTTACTGATGGCAGCTCCATCAGGCCTAATCGCCACTCACCAGCAAAGGCAGGCTATGCTATATATCTTCCACATCTATCATTGAGGCTACCGCTCTGCCCTACTCCACTACCTCTCAACAAGCCGAACTCATTGCCTTAACTCGGGCCCTCACTCTTGCAAAGGGATTACATGTCAATATTTATGCTGACTCTAAATATGCCTTCCACATCCTGCACCACCATGCTGTTATATAGGCTGAAAGAGGTTTCCTCACTACACAAGAGTCCTCCATCATTAATGTCTTTTTAATAAAAACTCTTCTCAAGGCCGCTTTACTTCCAAAAGAAGCTGGAGTCATTCACTGCAAAGGCCATCAAAAGGCATCAGATCCCATTGCCCTCGGCAACGCTTATGCTGATAAGGTAGCTAAAGAAGCAGCTAGTGTTCCAACTTCTGTCCCTCACGGCCAGTTTTTCTCCTTCTCATCGGTCACTTCCACCTACTCCCCCACTGAAACTCCCACCTGTCAATCTCTTTCCACATAAGGCAAATGGTTCTTAGACCAAGGAAAGTATCTCCTTCCAGCCTCACAGGCCCATTCTATTGTGTCATCATTTCATAACCTCTTCCATGTAAGTTACAAGCCGCTAGCCCGCCTCTTAGAATCTCTAATTTCCTTTCCATCATGGAAATCTGTCCTCAAGGGAATCACTTCTCAGTGTTTCATCTGCTATTCTACTACCCCTCAGGGATTGTTCAGGCCCCCTCCCTTCCCTACACATCAAGCTCAGGGACTTGCCCCTGCCCAGGATTGGCAAATTGACTTTACTCACATGCCCCGAGTCAGGAAACTAAAATACCTCTTGGTCTGGGTAGACACTTTCACTGGATGGGTAGAGGCCTTTCCCACAGGGTCTGAGAAGGCCACCGTGGTCATTTCTTCCCTTCTGTCAGACATAACTCCTCAGTTTGGCCTTCCCACCTCTATACAGTCCGATAACGGATGAGCCTTTACTAGTTAAATTACCCAAGCAGTTTCTCAGGCTCTTGGTATTCAGTGGAACCTTCAAATCCCTTACCATCCTCAATCTTCAAGAAAGGTAGAATAGACTAATGGTCTTTTAAAGACACACCTCACCAAGCTCAGCCTCCAATTTAAAAAGGACTGGACAGTACTTTTACCTCTTGCCCTTCTCAGAATTAGAGCCTGTCCTCGAGATGCTACAGGGTACAGTCCATTTGAACTTTTATACGGACGCACTTTCTTACTCAGCCCCAACCTTGTCCCAGACACCAGCCCTCTAGGTGACTATCCTCCAGTCCTCCAGCAGGCTAGACAGGAAATTCGCCAGGCTGCTAATCTTCTCTTGCCTACTCCAGATTCTCAACCATATGAACACACCCTAGCTGGACAATCAGTTCTTGTTAAGAATCTGACCCCTCAAACTCTACAACCTCGATGGACTGGACCCTACTTAGTCATCTATAGTACCCCAACTGCCGTCCACCTGCAGGATCCTCCCCACTGGGTTCACCGTTCCAGAGTAAAGCTGTGTCCATCAGTCAGCCAGCCTAATCCCCCCTCTTCCTCCTGGAAGTCACAAGTACTCTCCCCTACTTCCCTTAAACTCACTTGCATTTCTGAAGAACAGTAACAACCCTTATGAGCCTAATACATCCCTTCATTCTATTAGGCCTGTTCATCCTTATCCTACTTTTTGCAACAGGGCTTTATGCAGTCACCCCCACTACTTGGGCAGAGCCCCCAAAACTAGTCATCCCTACTATCTTCTGTCTAGTTTTATTCATCATTCTCTACTACTTATAAATGCCCTACTCTTGTTTACACTGCCGGTTTACACTGTTTCTCCAAGCCATCACAGCTGTTGTCTCCTGGTGCTATCCCCAAACTGCCACTCTTAACTCCCTCTTAGAGTGGATAGAGGATCTTTGCTGGCAGGGCACCCTTCAATACTTTCACCCTGATGAAGTTCTATTCTTTACTTTTATACTCACTGTTATTCTCATTCCCATCCTTATGCCACCCTCTATCTCTCCCCAGCTATCTCCACCACGCTATCAACCTTACTCACTCTCTCCTAGCCATTTCTAATCCCTCCTTAGCAAACAATTGCTGGCTTTGCATTTCCCTTTCTTCCAGCGCCTACACAGCTGTCCCCGCCTTACATACAGACTGGGCGACATCTCCTGTCTCCCTAAACCTGAACTTCCTTTAACAGCCCTCACCTTTACCCTCCTGAAGAACTTCTTTACTTTCTAGACAGGTCCAGCAAGACCTCCCCAGACATTTCACATCAGCAAGCTGCCGTCCTCCTCCACACTTACTTAAAAAACCTTTCTCCTTATATTAACTCTACTCCCCCCTTATGTGGACCCCTCACAACACAAACTACTATTCCTGTGGCCGCTCCTTTACGTATCTCTCAGCAAAGACCCACTGGAATTCCCCTGGGTAACCTTTCACCTTCTCGATGTTCCTTCACTCTTCATCTCCAAAGCCCAACTACACACATCACTGAAACAATTGGAGCCTTCCAGCTCCATATTACAGATAAGCCCTCTATCAATACTGACAAACTTAAAAACATTAGCAGTAATTATTGCTTAGGAAGACACTTACCCTGTATTTCACTCCATCCTTGGCTACCTTCCCCTTGCTCATCAGACTCTCCTCCCAGGCCCTCTTCTTGTTTACTTACCCCTAGCCCCGTAAATAACAGTGAAAGGTTACTCGTAGACACTCAACGTTTTCTCCTACACCATGAAAATCAAACCTCCCCCTCTAAGCAGTTACCCCATCAGTCCCCATTACAACCTCTGATGGCTGCCGCCCTAGCTGGATCCCTAGGATTCTGGGTACAAGACACCCCTTTCAGCACTCCTTCTCATCTTTTTACTTTGCATCTCCAGTTTTGCCTTGCACAAGGTCTCTTCTTGCTCTGTGGATCCTCTACCTACGTGTGTCTACCTGCTAACTGGACAGGCACATGCTCACTAGTTTTCCTTACTCCCAAAATTCAATTTGCAAATGGGACCAAAGAGCTCCCTGTTCCCCTCATGACACCAACACGACAAAAAAGAGTTATTCCACTAATTCCCTTGCTGGTCGGTTTAGGACTTTCCACCTCCACTATTGCTCTAGGTACTGGAATAGCAGGCATTTCAACCTCTGTCACGACCTTCCGTAGCCTGTCTAATGACTTCTCTGCTAGCATCACAGACATATCACAAACTTTATCAGTCCTCCAGGCCCAAGTTGACTGTTTAGCTGCAGTTGTCCCCCAGAACCGCTGAGGCCTTGACTTACTGCTGAAAAAGGAGGACTCTGTATATTTTTAAATGAAGAGTATTGTTTTTACCTAAATCAATCTGGCCTGGTGTATGACAACATAAAAAAACTCAAGGACAGAGCCCAAAAACTTGCCAACCAAGCAAGTAATTACGCTGAACCCCTTTGGGCACTCTCTAATTGGATGTCCTGGGTCCTCCCAATTCTTAGTCCTTTAATACCTATTTTTCTCCTTTATTTGGACCTTGTATCTTCCATTTAGTTTCTCAATTCATCCAAAACCGTATCCAGGCCATCACCAATCATTCTATGTGACAAATCCTCCTTCTAACAACCCCACAATATCACCCCTTACCACAAAATCCTCCTTCAACTTGACCTCTTTCACTCTAGGTTCCCACACTGCCCCTAATCCTGCTGGAAGCAGCCCTGAGAAACATCGCCCATTATCTCTCCATGCCACCCCCCAAAAAAATTTTTGCTGCCCCAACACTTCAATACTATTTTATGTTATTTTTCTTATTAATATAAGAAGGCAGGAATGTCAGGCCTCTGAGCCCAAGCTAAGCCATCTTATCCCCTGTGACCTTCACTTATACGTCCAGATGGCCCGAAGCAAGTGAAGAATCACAAAAGAAGTGAAAATGGCTGGTTCCTGCCTTAACTGATGACATACCACCACAAAAGAGGTGAAAATGGCCCATTCCTGCCTTAACTGATGACATTACCTTGTGAAATTCCTTCTCCTGGCTCATCCTGGCTCAAAAGCTCCCCCACTGAGCACCTTGTGTACCCCGCTCCTGCCTGCCAGAGAACAACCCCCTTTGACTGTAATTTTCCATTACCTACCCAAATCCTATAAAACGGCCCCACCCCTATCTCCCTTCGCTAACTCTCTTTTCGGACTCAGCCCGCCTGCACTCAGGTGATTAAAAAGCTTTATTGCTCACACAAAGCCTGTTTGGTGGTCTCTTCACAGAGACTCGAGTGAAAGAAATGATGTAGAAATTCTTGAATCCAATATCTATCTGCTCTTTGCTGGGTAATCTGAAAATAAAAACTCACTGATCTCTAAAACTTTCCTGGACTTATTATCTTATTTCTCTACTTCTCTTTATCCTTTATTCTTTTCCCCCCCACCTCTTCCCACATCCCCTACCCCCCGTCCCCCACCCACACACACAGGCATTCATTATTTTACCACTAAGAGCTTCTCACCATTAGACTCCTCATCAAAATCAAATGTATGGGTTTCACAACTCTAATTTACAATTTTCTTCCCCTTTTATGCCTGAATTCTTACTCATCTTTCAAGCTGCCTCTCAAAAGTTACTTCCCTGTGATATCTGCCCGATTTGCCATTCCAAACCGGCCACTCTCTGTTCTGTGATTTTTAGCATTTTGGCCCCTCTTTTGTGGCATCTGTGTTTCATTGCATACTTTGATGATTATTGGTTTATATTTGACTGTTTCTCCTATTAAATTGGGATCGTATCAAGGATCACAGTGATGCCTTAGTCTGCATTGCCTTCTCCTCTGCCAGTGCCTAGCAAATTGCTCAATATATATTTGCTCAACTGGAAAAAAAAACTTACTTTTGAGAGTCAAATGTATTAAAATGGAATGAATTATACCCACATCACAGGTAAGGATTTTTTAATTAAAAATTTTAAAAAGCCAAAAGACAAATTTTGCATATTTTTACTCATTCTATAGCTAAAAATTGAAACAATTGAACTCATGGAGAGAAAGAGTAAGTAGAATGATGGTTACCAGAGGCTGGGAAGGGTATTATGTGGTGGTGGGGGGGGCAAGTGGGGATTGTGAATGGGCACAAAACATAGTTACATAGAATGAATAAGATCTAGTATTTGAGAGCACAACAAGGTATGTATAGTCAACAATAACTTACTGTACATTTAAAATTAACTAAAAGTATGATTGGAATGTGTATAGCACAAAGAAATAATAAATGCTTGAGGAGATGGATACCTTCACCACTAAAATTTTTAAAAGCCTCTCTTGGCTTCATGTTTTACTCTGGGCCTGTTTGGGCATTGTCAGAACCTCCCTTCACCCTTCCTCATACTGGCTCTCCGAGGAAGTGAAATTAGAGCTGAGATCCAAAGGCAGAAATGTGACCGAAACAGGAGATGAGTGGAGGAAACAGGATCCCAGCCAGAGCATAACACGCACAGAGATCTGAGGTAGAAAACAGTTGTGTGTAGGCTGGGCACAGTGGCTCATGCCTGTAATCCCAGCACTTTGGGAGGCTAAGGAGTGTGGATCACTTGAGGTCAGAAGTTCAAGACCAGCCTGGCCAAATTGGTGAAACATTGGTTTTAAATATAGGATGAGCAGATCATCATTTTCAGCTTCTGAGTTGATTGTTGCAGTCCAAAAAGTTTTTTTACTCAGATTTCTGAATGAGCCAGTATAACAAAAGAAATGGTGGAGTGGGCAAAGGCCATAGTGTGGGGCCTCACTGACCTCTGGCTTTTAATATATGAAAACTGAGGCACTAAGGAGAAAAACAAACCATTTTATTTCATGATCTATGTTCCTTCTATTATATAAATTACTTGGAGTAGTGTTTAAGGGCATGGACACTCAGAGCCAAGCTTCCTGGGTTCAAATCCGTTTCTACTAAAAATACAAAAATTAGCTGGGCATGGTGGCTCATGCCTGTAATCCCAGCTACTTGGGAGGCTGAGGCAGGAGAATCGCTTGATCCTGGGAGGCGGAGGTTGCAGTAAGCCGAGATGGCGCCATTGCACTGCAGCCTGGGCAATAGAATGAGACTCTGTCTTTAAAAAAGAAAAAAGAAAAGAAAAGGCAACAGCTGTGTGTGTTCAGAAACCCAAAGGCCAGAGGGGCTGGGTGGAGTGGGCAAAGGCCATAGCATGGGCAGATGGGGTTGAAGAAGACCCAGGTGGAATTGGGCAGTGCTGGGAGGTGATCCCAAATGGAGAAGGTGCCGGTAGAGGGCTGGGCGGGGATGAGAGACCATCTCGATGCTTTAAGAAAGTCACTTGGGTGGCTTCTGCAGAATCCCGGTGAGAGAGGATGGTGGCCGGGAGTTGGGGAGAGAAGGCAGTACCCAAGTATACTGGGGAGGCAGAATGAGCAGTCAACAAGTTAGGTGTTGAGGGTAACAGGAAAGGGAGAAATCACTTCTAGGTTTTTTGCTTAGGTAGTAAGAAAGCCTAAGGTCAAATGCCTGCTAAATCATAGCTGCTCATCAAACGTTGGTTTCCTCTCACTAGCACATATTCC
Organism: Homo sapiens; assembly: GCF_000001405.40. Classification (NCBI taxonomy): domain Eukaryota; kingdom Metazoa; phylum Chordata; class Mammalia; order Primates; family Hominidae; genus Homo; species Homo sapiens. The sequence continues at coordinate 143,808,211 of NC_000003.12, forward strand.
ACATGTCTAGAAAAATTGTTTTACTTACATTTATGAATCAGACATGATTAAACTCCAGCCATTTCTTTTGTTATACTTGCTCATTCAGAAACCTGAGTAAAAAAGCTTTTTGGACTGCCACAATCAACTCAGAAGCTGAAAACGATGATCTGCTCATCCTATATTTAAAACCAATGTATTACATTAATTTATTTTCAGAAAATCAATCTAATTCTACTAGGTTTTGTATTTTATAATTGATTCTGGGCTCTTAGTACATTTGACTTTTGGTGTACAAAGCTTGGCTTGTAATTATCTTTTGAAGAGAAGCACCAATGTTTTGATTCTGTTTTTACCTCACTGACCTCTGGCTTTTAATATATGAAAACTGAGGCACTGAGGAGAAAAACAAATCATTTTATTTCATGATCTAGGTTCCTTCTGTTATATAAACTATTTGGAGTAGTGTTTAAGGGCATGGACACTCAGAGCCAAATTTCCTGGGTTCACATCCTAAGCTCCTTGACTTGGACAGCTATTTAACCTCTCTGTCCTTCAGTTTTCTCATCTTTACAATGGACATAATAGTGTGGTACCTAATTCTAAGATGGTTATAAGAATTAAATGAATTAATATTTGTAAAGCCCTCAAAGCATTGCCTGACATCTAGTAAGCACATTTTATTTATTACAAAAGAAAATAAAATATTTGAACGAATATTTTCAAATCATAGCATTTGAAGAAACTGCCTATTGTCAGAAACTCCTAAAGGTTACACAACTGTGCAAAATTTGAGGAAAGATCTTAATTTTTCATTTAAGTTTGTTCCCTTTCTAAGAGTATCAGGAACACCATTATTGATCTATTTTTATGAGGCTTCTTTGAGAATATATCAATGCATATTTGAAAGTTTTTAGCATAGAGATGTATTTCTGAATGCTTGAGGGATGAAGCAGTGCAGCTGTGATCATCTGGAAGAGAGAAACACAGTGGTACAACCTCCTGGACAGAAAATCCCTTGCCTCAGCAGTTTTTCTGCAAAAATCGGGTTAATCACTCAACCAGAACATTTCAATAATGAAAATGCCCCATTCCCTGCATGCAGGTTAACTAATATCCTATTGAATTATATTTTCTGGAGCAGCCAGATGAAACTGGCAGGCTGAGAATGGCATGCAGCATGCAAGGATTTATTTGTGTATACAAAACAGATTTGTGTTCTTTTCAGACTTGCTGTAAGCTTACGAACTGCTAAATCAGAGTTCTGGGAGTAACTCCAAACCCAGACAATTTCTCAGAAATGGCTGGATCTGCTGCTGTACTAACCTCCAGATGGGAATTCCACATGTCATTCTCCCCAGACTTTGTGTTCAAATCGTGGCCTTGGAGGTGGGGCTGTTTTTAAGGCCCAAACAGTTAAAAAGAAATTATTGTAACATGAGGAGAAAAAATCCAAGCGAGGGATGGGTGAGAAGAGCAGAAAGCTAAAAATGTTCCCGCTTAAGCCTTTCATTAGTCTTTTAAGATACAAATCTTATGGACAAGCACTGCCTAATAGAACTTTTTGTGATGGTGGAAATGTTCTTTCCTTGTACTATACAATATGGTGGCCACTAGCCACATGAGCCATTGAACACTTGAACAGTAGCTAGTGCAACTGAGGGACTGAATTTTTAATTTTAACACTGGTAGCTAGTGGCAATTGGAGAGTACATTTATAGATGGTTACTAGAATTTAAAATTTATACTATTTCCTTTTTAGATGTTCTGTCATACTACAAAAGGTGTGACTAATTTGGAGCAACAGACCTCCAACTCTGAGATGGAAACATTACGTATGTCTTATGAAAACAGTGAGATTTTTAAATATTAAAATTCAATTCTTAAAGATAAAATGGGAGAGAGAAAAATATCAATATGTTCACGAGGATGCAGCAAATTTTAAATATTATCTCATATGTGCACCAGTATTTGGCTAGCAATGGCCCAGACATATATTTACAGAGATAATCAACTTGAACACTTCCCAGAGTGGAAAGGATATGTACCAAGTTAATTTCCAAGTTCATCAGAAGGTTACAGATATAAAATTCTGTTTGGGTCTGAGTATTAAGGAATCCATTGACTCAATATGACTTATCTGGGAAGAAATATCAGTGTTCCACTGAACTACTAAATAAATAATCACTAAAACAACCATCCTAGTGAGGGATTGTGATTTATGTAGTACATTCCTTCCAAAGAGGTCTTTTAAAAACATTGTTTCATCAATTCTGACAACATTCTCAAGTGGTAGCTGGCAAATGCAATTATCCCCATTTTCCAGAGACAGGAGAATAAATTAATGGCTTACCCAGGGTCAATCAATAAGACAGGACTATCACTGGGAATTGGATATATATGCATGGGCAAATGAAATGTGTGCTTTCCAAGGAAACATGAGGCTAACATAACCATTTTAAGCAAGATTTAGGAGTGTTTAAGAGAAGTTGGAACTAAGAAGTAGGCTCTTGCTGTTTTGCAATTGCTGATTTTTTTTTAAGTGGTTAACAATAATGTGTTAATCATCTTCAATGCTTTATTCATTAGAAATTTAACAACCCTCTTTTTGCTGCGAAGCACTTGAAGATATATTATAGAGAGACTGACTCCATGAAGGTTATAGTCCAAGAAAGGGAAGACGCTGTATAATTGCATCTAAGGTGCTGGGATAAGCTGTAATTCAGAGTTTTCTATGACAGGGACACCATTCTGGGCTTGCTGATCCCCCAGGAAATTTTGATGTTGAAGCAGCATATGAGTTGGATTTTGAAGAATGGGTAAGAGTCTATTTGTGGGGCATTGACATGCAGAACCATGCTCTCCTGCCTCCCCCGGGGGCAGTGGACCAGAGTTCCCCAAACCACAGAGAACACCGGTAGCTTCCTGGGGTTTCAGTTACAGTTGGTAGCAAGGAATTTAAAATATTAAAATAAATGCAGATATATGAAAAAGTGAAACTAAAAATCTGTATCTGTTTTTAATACAAATAGGAGACTTCAAAGGAAACATCATGGCTCAGGCAGCTTTGGGTCACACCTAGGGACAGCTCAAGTGTGTGCATTTCTTTTCCTCTGCCTTAAGTTATGCTTTGGTTTGAGAAGCACCAGAGTGAGAGAAAAAAGAATACTCTCAGAATACCTAATGAAAATATACCACCTAGTAGTTAGATGACCTTGGTCTATTTACTTAACCTCTCTGAGCCTCAGTTTCCTTATTCGTACTATGGGCATGAAAATGCCTGCTTCCTAGAGTTGCTTCTGAGGATTATATGTAATAATGAATTTAAAGGGTTCTGCTTGGTACCCAGCCCTATTTTTCAAGAAGTGTTCACTGGCCCGGCACAGTGGCTCACACCTATAATCCCAGTACTTTGGGAGGCCGACGTGGGTGGATCATTTGAGGCCAGGAGTTTGAGACCAGCCCAGCCAACATGGCAAAAAATGGTCTCCAGTTAAAAAACAAAAACAAAAAAACAAAAAAATTAGCCACGCACAGTGGCACACGCCTGTAATCCCAGCTACTCTGGAGTCTAAGGCACGAGAATCGCATGAACCCGGGAGGCAGAGGTTGCAGTGAGCCAGGATTGCATCACCACACTCCAGGCTGGGTGACAGAGAGAGATCTTGTCTAAAAAGAAAAAAAAAAAAGAAAAAGAAAAGAAAAACAAGAAGTGTTCACTAGATCTGAATCTAAATGAAATAAAATATTGAAGCAATGGTTTGAGAATATGAGGCACAAGGAACACCTGGGGAACAGAAATAGACAACGTTGGGTTCCTAAGGAATAGAGGGGAAGGTAAAGTCCAACAGGAGGATACAACCAAGATTGTGGGCCTCTCTCAGATCCACTGGATTTAAACTATGTTTACTCAAACCTGTTGAGCTATTTTACACAAGCAGAATTAAATAATAAAATGGCTACTGGAAATATACTTTGTATTACTCCTAAGAAGGGTAATTTGGTAATAGCTATCAAAATGTTAACTGTTGATACCATTTGATTCAGCAACACCTCACCGGAGAATTTATCCTGCAGATATGCTTGCACATGTGTGGAATAATATAATTACAAGAGTATTTATTGCAGATGAAATAATAGAAAAAACAAATCATTGAGGATGATTGGACCATGGACTAGTTAAATAAATTATGATATAATTCATAAAACGCGCCTGTTAAAAAAGCTGAGGAAACTGCTCGCCTATGAAATAATGTGGCTGTGCTCAAAAATGTATTGTCAAGTCAAAAGAGCAAGGTGCAGAATGGCATGTCTGGCATGTGTAACAGAAATCTCTATGGCCTCACAACACCCATTTCCTTTTTGTCCTGGTCAGACATGTAGACTACATTTCCTTGTAGTCAGGTGGGACCATATGACTGAGTTCAGGCCAACTGAATATGGACGGAAATAATATTTATCACTTCCTAGTCCCTAAAAATCCCCCAGATTTTCCATGCTTTCTCTCCTTCCTTCCTTTTTCAGCTTATGTAGAGCATTCGGCAGCGGTTATGAATCCCTAGAGACTAACAGAGAGACTAGATTAAAGGAAGTCAGAGCCATTAATGGCTCCAGGAGAGGAACCCAGTGCCCCATCATTGACCTAAAAAGCCACACTGGATTGAGACATGCACAAGAAATAAACATTTACTACATTAAGCCGCTGAGATGTGATGGTATTTTATTAAAGCATTTGGCATATGTTGTGATTTGTGTTGTATTTTTTTAAAGAAGGACATGAAATATTTACCTGTGTATAGAAAGAGTAACTATTGGTTGCTTTGGGGAAGACAGGGGAGAACTTGGTGGCAGGAAGAAGGGCATTTGGCATAAGAATTTTCTGTGTACCGAGTAAGGGACTAGGGGTGACCTTCTCGGTGCTGGTTTCATATCTGTAAATACAGAGGTGACCACTGCTTAGAGCAGTACATGCCAGAATTTTCCCCAATATGATACAAACAGAAAATGATAATATTGGGTCAATGAGGCTAAATTGGAAGGAAATTAGGGTTCTGATGAAGGTGCTCATGGCTGAAGACAAGTCTGGGGCTCTGCTTATCCTCGGTCCAAGGATGAAAAGATCCATATCTCGTGACACACCTGTGATCCATTAACACACCAGCCGGGGAGTACTGGAAAGGCTTTAACCCCCTGATCCTGATCCCAACTTTAATTCACCCCCTTTTAGGGAATAGAGAGTGACTAGTCTGATTGGTGAATTGGAGAAGAGGAATTAAGTGTGTACCTCTCAGCCTCCTCCTCTGTTCACATTGGAATTAGCCTGCTTGATGAGTGAATCCCCTCTCTCTTCCTCCCGCTCCCAAACTTTGTAAGAGCAGAGCCCAGCATGGAGGCCAATTCTGTCCAGTTGGGTCTCTCTGGGTGTGTAAGTCTTTCTAATTCTGGTGTAAAGGTGAGCAAGGCAGCCCGCAGACCAAGCCCCATTATTTTGCATAGTTTTTGCTCTCCATCTTTCTGATTCCTGTATCTATTTATCCGCTGGCTACAACATGAGGTAGGCAAAAGAGACAATGAATTAACCCTTCAAGATTCTCATATACTCTTTTGTACCTTTTGAACATCAGGCCATGTGAATGTATTACCTAGTCAAAAATATATACATTTTTAAAGAAGATGTCTGTGCAGATTAGTTTGCAGAGACCTCAAGATTGTCCTGGATGAAGGGAAACCATTGCCAGGCTGCAGTTACCAGAATGAGCTCAAGGTAATGATAGTGGGAATGAAGGTGGTTGCGATAGAATGGAAAGAAAGAAACAAGACCAGGAGACATCCATTCACTCAACATGTGTTTCCTTAAAATAAGCCAGGCATATGGCAGGGAGGACTAGCAGGGTTTGTGGGTAAAATAGAGGTAAAAATAGAAAACTCCATAAGGAACCTATGTTTCTGCACCTGGGTGAGTGACTGAGAGAATATGGCTGAGGAGGAGCTGACTCAGCAGGAGTAAGAGGGGTCAGAAAGGCTGAGGGCTCATGGAGGCTTCTGCTCACTAAGTTGGAGGTGCCTGTACGTCACTCAGAAATATGTGCCTGGTGGCAAAGTCAGGGCCAAGGAGAAATGATCCAGAATCATCAGTATGGAAAAAATGAGTTGATGAGCATAGATGGGGTATCTGGGAAATGAGTGCCACAAAAAAGAGCCAAGGATCAAGGACAGAATGCTGGAAGGGGATGCAGTGGCCCTACCAGGGAGAGAGACAACAATCAGAGAGAGGAGGAGAATGAAACCCAGGGCTGCAGAAAGCCAGAGAGAGGTGGAGGATGAGAAGGAGCTGCCACTCCTTCATGCAGGGCTGCCAGGTTTAGCAATCCAAACACAGGATGCTGAGTGAAATTGAAACTTCGGATAAACATCACTTTTTCAGAATAATTTCGTAATATTGCATTTGAGACATAATTTTCCCCAGTCATTGACTATGTATCTGAAATTCAATAAACAGAAAGAGATGTAAGAAGGCAAACCCCAAAAGTGGACCTGGCTGAGAGAATGGCTGGGGAGGAGCCGACTCTACCTTCCCTACTCTGATGTCAGCTGCTGAAAAAAGGAGTTTAAGGACCAAGGGGAAATCCTTTGGGTTTCATAATTAGGAAGTGGTTTTTGATCATTTCTGACTGCCTTACACCAAGAAGTGGGTACAGGAGGTTAAGGAAAAAATGAGTGATGGCAAGGTAGGAACAGTGGGCTCTGGGCCTTTCACAGGGCAGGCTGAGCAGTGGCTTTTTCAGGAATCTGATAAATGGCTCTTGGATGAACAGGAGGAACAAAGGAGAGGGAGAATAAAAGGACAAAGGCCACAAAAGGGAAGGAAGGAGGCAGGAGAGGACATCAGGAAACAGAGTGGTAAGGGCCAAAATAATGAAGATGTGCTAAGTTAAAAAAATTAAAGAAGTGATAAGAGCAGCAAAATTAATAAATTAATGCTTTTAAAATGGGGAGAAATTTTACTCAAAGACATTCAAATCTGTGGACTGGCCAAATTAGGGGATGGTTTTCATAGTAAAAAAATTAAAAAAGCACTCTTCCATTTCTCCAGGTGTTTACCAAAGAGCCCTTGTACATGGCAGGCACTTGTCAAAGAAATGGGTCAGACTAACAGCTTAGTGCCATTGACAGTTAGGCCATCAAAGGGAGAAGCTGCCTTAGAGGCCACTAGTTGGGGAGAAGCGTGGCAGTAATGGAAAGTGGGGACTATTGCCCCCTCCTTCCTGTCTTAGCAGTTTTGACTTCACCTGTTTGACACACTGTGAAGCCCCTTTTTTGTTAGATTTTCTTTGAATGAAGGGCTTTTTGCTATTTTAAAAAAAAAAAAAGGTTTAAAACCCTGACCTAATATCCGCCGGGCGCAGTGGCTCACACCTGTAATCCCAGCTCTTTGGGAGGCTGAGGTGGACGGATCACGAGGTCAAGAGATGGAGACCATCCTGGCCAACATGGTGAAATCCTGTCTCTACTAAAAATACAAAAAAATTAGCTGGGCATGGTGGTGTGCATCTGTAGTCCCAGCTATTCAGGAGGCTGAGACAGGAGAATCGCTTGAACCTGGGAGGTGGAGGTTACAGTGAGCCGGGATCGTGCCACTGCACTCCAGCCTGGTGACAGAGCAAGATTCCATCTCAAAAAAACAAACAAACAAACAAACAAAAACAACAAAACAAAAACCTGACCTAATATAATCCTCCAGAGAGATCGAGAGACATGTGCAAGGTCAAATTTGTTCAGAGGCAGCACCAAGCTTGGAAATCTAAACCAGAGATGTTTTTCTCTTATTTTATGTATGTGCTTGACTTCACCTCAAACAAGTTTTAAATGATATGCTAGAGTTGAAGTTTCTCCTCTTCTCACCCAGCCCCAGAAATAATCAATGCCCTGAAGTCAGTGCCCTTTCCTTCCATTACTGTATTTATGTATTTCATATATGTGTAGTCGTAAACCATAGTTAGTATTGCTTGTATATTTTTACTTTATTATATTCGAGACAGGGTCTTGCTTTGTTGCCCAGGCTGGAGTACAGTGGTGTGGTCATAGCTCACTGTAACCTTGAACTCGTGGGCTCAAGTGATCTTTCCATCTAAGCCTCCCAAGTAGCTAGGACCCCAGGTGCATACCACCACAACCACCTAATTTTAAAATACTTTTGTATATTTGTATGTTTTAAAATTGTATCCTAAATACCGTTTTACGTTTATTGAATATAAAAGGCATCCTCTTGCCTTTCACATTCAACATAGTTTTTGAGATTTATGTATATTAATATACAAGTGATCTCATCCATTCACTTAAACTGCTGTGTAATGTTCTATGGGATGAACATATCATGATTTGATTTTTTTCCCTTCTCTTGTTACCATTACTAAAAATGCTGCAATGTATATTCTTGTACTTAAGTCTGTGTATACATGTGAGAGTTTCTCCAGAAGTGAAAAATACCTAGAAGTGGGCCTGCTGGGGTATGAGGTATATAAACCTTCAACTTTAGTAGGTATCACCAAATTAGAGGGGCTACCCAATTTACACTCCCATAGTAAAGTGTAAGAGTATTTCCCCAGATTTTAGCCAATACTTAGTATTGACAAATTTCTAATTTTTGGCAATCTGGTAAGCATGAAATGATATCACATGATCATTATCTTAAAGTTTTTCATTACTAATTAAAAGAACATACACTCCTCATTTATTGGCCTTTGTGGTATCTCTTTAGTGAATTTTCTGATCTCTTTTACTCAGTATTAGTTTTTCTTATTGATTAGTTCTTAATGTAATCTGGTTACTATTCTGCTTTGGTTATTTAGATTTCAAATACTTTCTTCTATTCTCATGATCTCCTTAAGCTTTTAGACTTTGACTTTTAACTTTGTTGATGGTGTCTTTTTCATGCAAAAGTTTATTTTTTTTTTTATTTTTTTTTTTTTTGAGACGGAGTCTCGCTCTGTCGCCCAGGCCGGACTGCGGACTGCAGTGGTGCAATCTCGGCTCACTGCAAGCTCCGCTTCCCAGGTTCACGCCATTCTCCTGCCTCAGCCTCCCGAGTAGCTGGGACTACAGGCGCCCGCCACCGCGCCCGGCTAATTTTTTGTATTTTTAGTAGAGACGGGGTTTCACCTTGTTAGCCAGGATGGTCTCGATCTCCTGACCTCATGATCCACCCGCCTCGGCCTCCCAAAGTGCTGGGATTACAGGCGTGAGCCACCGCGCCCGGCCAAAAGTTTATTTTATTGTAGTAAAATTTATTCCATTTTTATATTATTATTTGTGCTTTTGGTGATATCTTTAAAAAATATTTTCCTATCCTGATGTCATAAATATATTTTCTCCTAAAGTTATATAGTTTGATTCTTACTTAAGTCTCTAATCCATCTCGGATTTATTTGTGATAAGATGTGAGATAGGGATCTAATTCTTTTTCTTCCATATTGATAGCCAATTGTCCTAGGAAAATTCATAGGTATTTGGTAATTAATCCTTTTCCCATTTATTTCAGTTGGCTCTTCTGCCATTTTCCAGTGCTTTTTCAAAGACCCAGAAGACATTTACTCTAACAAATATTTTATATCTGTTATCTGATAGCCTATTTAATGTTTCAAAATACAGGAAAAGCTTTATACAGATAGGTATTCACTGAAGCATTATTTATATTAGTGAAAATTTAGAAACAACTAAAAAATCAAGCACATTTCTATCCATTACAGTTAATTTTTAAAAGTCTGACAGAAGGCTTAGGTTATGATAATAAGTAAGTAAAGCAAGTTACAAAGCTTTAGAGACCATCTGATTTAAGCTACACAGAAAAAAAAATATGTAAATGACTGGAAATTTACCAAAATTTATAGTGGTTGCATAATATTGTGGGATTATTTTAATTATTTCAGATAAAATACTTTCTTGTCACTCTAAATGAATATCTTGTAAAGTTACCATTTATGAAGTTATTCTACAAGTGTAATGGAATCAGTAATGAAAATCACATATATTTTTTAAATTATCTTTTAAAGATCAAGGGATAATAAAAGCTGAAAAATGGAAGATAAGAAAAAGTTAAGAACTGGGGACTCAGACTTGTTATATATATATATTTTTTGAAACAGAGTCTTGCTCTGTTGCCCAGGCTGGAGTTCAATGTCTCAATCTCAGCTCACTGCAGCCTCCACCTCCCGGCATCAAATTATTCTCTTACCTCAGCCTCCTGAGTAGCTGGAATTACAGGGATGCACCGCCACGCCCAGCTGATTTTTGTATTTTCAGTAGAGACTGGGTTTCACCATGTTGGCCAGGCTCGTCATGAACTCCTGACCTCAAGTGATCCACCGGCCTCAGCCTCCCAAAGTGCTGGGATTACAGGTGTGAGCCACTGCATGCCTGGCCATGATTTTTAAGTGTGGTAAAATATCTGAAAAGGACTAATACAGAATCAGGCAGGTGAGCAATAAGCCCTCATTGAATGTCCAAACCTATTGAGTTTTTTCACTTTTCAAAAATTACTGGAAGTCGGCAGCAAATCCCTCCAACTAGAAAACTTAGTATTATGAATGTTAACGGTTAAAAACTGGAGGATCGGCCAGGCGCGGTGGCTCATGCCTGTAATCCCAGCATTTTGGGAGGCCGAGGTGGGTGGATCACCTGAGGTTGGGAGTTCAAGACCAGCCTGACCAACATAGAGAAACTCTGTCTCTACTAAAAATACAAAAAATTAGCTGGGCATGGTTGTGCATGCCTGTAATCCCAGCTACTCAGGAGGCTGAGGTAGGGAATCGCTTGAACCCGGGAGGTGGAGGTTGCAGTGAGCCAAGATCGCACCGTTGCACTCCAGCCTGGGCAACAAGAGTGAAACTCTGTCTCAAAAAAAAGGAGGATCACTGAAATATATACATTTTCATTGAAATTCAGAGAAGCAAAACTAAATTACAGAGAAACAGTGAAGGGAGAACAATGTAGAGAAAAATAACAAGTTATCATTGAGAATTTGTGAGACTAGAATACCATAAAGCTATAATTACTTTTCAAGTCTTTAAAATGCTAGAAGTTAGAAATGTCCCATTGTGAACATTATACATACAAAATTGACAGATAGAAACACTGTTATTTCACTGGAGGTAGGTAGTGCCTATGACTCCAGGCAAAATTAAGTGGTGAATTAAGACCAAAACATCTACATAATTCTAAACATTTAACTTGGCAGCATGGAGTTGTAGAAAGGACATTGAACTTGGAGTCAGAAGCCCTGGTCCTAATTGTAGTTCTGTTGTAAATCAAACTTGACCAAGTCACTTAAGCTTCCAGAACTTTGGTTCCTCCTCTGTAGCGTGGGTCATATTTGTTTGTCTTATGGAATAATGGTGAGATTGAATGGACAATGCAACAGGAGAAGCCTTTGTAAATAAAAAAAAAATTTCCATGGAAAAGAAAATACACTGTCATTATTATAATTTGGGTGGGGCTGAAGTTTAGGATTTGACTTCCTCACATATAACCTGGTACATTTACTATTTGCCAATTAGTCATAATAGTAAGTAATTAAAAACAAACTTTCCATAAGGCTGTTACAGTTTTAAAGTTTCCTTCATACACAGTGTCTCATTTATTTCTTTACAACACCCTTTGAGTTAAGTATTTGTGCACACCTCATTTTTACAGAGGTGGAACCAAGGCTCAGAGTTAAGGCCTTAGCTATTTACAAGGCATGTTACTTGCCTTAAGTCACCTACCTTGTAAATAGCCAAGGCCTCGACTCAAATCATAGCTTCTAATTGCAAGTCCATTGCTTTGTTGATAACAACAATAGCAAGTAACACTTAATATACTTTGAGCACTTACTATGAGCCAGACACTATTCTAAGTGCTTCACATGAATTTTCTCATTTGCAATTCACAATAGTCCTACAAAGTAGTTAGGAATTTGAAGCATAGGATGGTTAATTATCTCACCTAAGATCACACAGCTTGTAAGTGGCATTTGATCCAAGTTATATGGCTCTAGAGATTGGCCTTTTAACTTCAATATCCCATCTCCTACTCATAAGTGGGTTCAGGTCACCCACTCAGCTGCTGAATTTGTTCTCATTGAATGCAAATACATCAAGGACAACTAAGTTTTCTAGATCATTGCCATGGCAACAAACCACCAATGGCTAGAAACTCTTCTATGTTTTGCGTAAGATTCTTGATGCACAAACTCACCTTTGCTATCTTTGTGACTTTTTGCTAAGGTCAATATCGTACATCCTGGGTTTCCTACCCCTGGACCTAGATGCCCAAACTCCAGGCCTTCTCATTTTCTGCACACTTGGATTGGCTGCTGCTGGTCCCTTGTGGGCCTGCCATTCATGTGGGGGTTGCCCTACTACCCCTCACTAGCTGTGGTATTGACATAATCATGTGACTTCAGTCTAAGACTGACATGATACCAGCAGGAGAAGAGAAAATAACAGGTGCAAGTGAGAAGAGCCTGGTCCTGCGTCTCACCAAGAGCTACTCATTCCTCAGGAGTCACGAGCCATGCATCCAAAACAATTAAAACTTTGCACATCAACAATGATTTCTTTCTTTTTTCCAATCTAGAATAGATCTTAATATTGGCTATTTTTTTTATTACAGGCAAAAGAAACTGCTTTCTATCACTTCAGAATATACAGGAGCATCTCAATCCTAGTCTTTCTTTGTCTTATTTTTTTTTTTTTTGAGTTTGCATTATCTTTTTCAGACCTTAGCTTTGAGGTGTGTATGCAGCTTCCCCCATCACATGACCTCACCAGGGAGCAACTGGCCTGGGGAAGCTGGACTGGGAAGGGCTGAGTCAGCAAGGACCACAGTCACAGCAGGCACCCTTGAGGGGACTGGGGTGAGCAGGAAGCTGTGTGTGCTGAAATCAGCAGAAAGCATGATTTAAAATTAAATTGGTGCATATTTTTAAATGCATTTAAGCACCACTTTAAATGGTACAATAAAAAGCAACACCAATCTTTCTCCATCACACGCTCCTCAGACTTCTTACTCCAAGGGGAAATCCATGCCCATTAAGGGCAGATGTTATGGAAGGAGAAAAGGAAGTAGACTAATATTTATAACTTGCCTAACTTTAAACATAACTTTTCTCTTTAGTTCTGAAAGTAACTCTCTAAAATATGCTCAGAGAAATTAACCCACCAAAGGTAAATCTCATCTCAGAGATGAGATTCAATTAGATCTAATCATAGAACTTTATGCACTTCGCCATGTGATCTTAGAGGCAGAGTTTGAGCTGAAAATGTGATGCTCTAACAGTAAAATTTCAAGACAATTGTCAAGTAGGAAAGGACTTTTTGGGGACGTGAAAAATGAAGTGTTTAGATATTTCCAATTCTCCTAAAAATGAAATTAGGTAAGCCTGTATTTAGTGATGGGCTTGTAAACCATCTTTCTGGAGAAAAACAAAAACAAAACCTCACAAGCCCTGATTTGTACCTTTTGCCAATTTCTGTGGTATAAATACTCCTATTATGGCCCATTTCAAGTTTTCAACAGGCTCACAAAGTTGTTGAATATTTAATAATCAGTTCTCAAAAGCTGGGACAAGCCTGCTCCAGCACTCCACTGCAGTCATTTTACTCCAACTATGTGTTAACTCATCATCTAGGTACTGTTCTCAGGTTTAAAATCTAGACAAAGCTTCCCAGCCTATGCGGGGGTCAGTGTGCCCGGCACTGTGCTGTGCCACTCTGACTCCCCTTCAATGAAGGCTGTGTTGTCCTTGCTGCAGCAAGCGCTGTCAGTCCCTTTAGGGATTGCCAAGACTGCAGAGAAGCACCTCACCCAACGTCATGCACTTTCCAGAGTGACCCACATCAAAGAACAGAGCAATTTGGTGTTTTAGAGGCCTAGCCTTCTGAATCCAACTGAGAATGACTCTGAGGGCTCATTCTAGCTCCACAGCTTCCCAAGGAGGCAGCCACAATTGTTGGGCCTGCATCTCAGCTTCATTTCTCTCTCTACCCACTCAGGCTTCCTTCCTCTTCTACTGAAAGGTGTCAATCTCAAGGGCACTTGATGAACTTCCTGCTCACTACACACTACCTGAGGGTCCACCACTTTTCTGGGAACCCATCATATGACAGTTAGAAAGAAAGATGAAGACCACTCGAATTTGCAGGACATTCTTGCTCCACACACCCCAACCTGGGGCAGAACTCGATAAATCAGAGCCCACTTAGTCCTGTGATCAGAAATGGATGTGAAGGGAGCAGCTGGGAGACTCCATAACTCCAGGCAAGCTTAAAAGGCAACAAGAGACAACCAGCTGAATGTGCAGCTTCGTTAGGTCCCCTCCCCTCCTGTGCCCAGCTGTCTGTGGAGCCTACCTCAGGCTGTATCTGTTACTAAACAGGAGCTTCCTAATGACCTCAGGAGAGAACAGGGAAATGCAGCTGGGTGGAACTTTAAATAACTACTCGCTGGAGACCAGCAATGATAAATGTGCACTCTTGCCACAGTTTAATATTTTAGAAGGAACAAAGCAATGGGGAAAAGAATTGAAAGATCCATTGTAAATATTATTTACTCAGACTTAAAGTACAATGGGAAATCTCTTTTTTCCCTTCCACTCTCTCTCTGTTTTCTGTTCTTTGCTCAGGCTCCTTTTCTCTCCCTCTCTCCCTGCCTTGAATCTCTCTCTGCCTCCTTCCATCCCTACGCAATTATTTGGAGAGCAGACTTTTTAGCAGTTCAGTCCTCTGAGTAGTAAACAACCATCACAGAGCACACATAATTCACCCTGAGGAGAAATCTGAGGTTAGATGCTTGGTTACAAAATAGCCAGCAATTAAGACAGGACAGAGTAGCAGTAAAAAGGAGCTACTGACAAGCAGAGAATGATAGATACCTGGTTACATCATCCATTCATTTATCAAGATCCACAGAGAATTCACCATTTGCCAGGAATCATGGAATGAATGTGACCACTAAACAGACCTAGTCTCTGCCCTCCTGGAGCCCACAGTCTAGTGAGACTGTAGACAAGTGACATTGAGAAGACAGACATGAATCAAAACATTATAGAAGTAAATATTAACTTACAACTCAGCTAAAATGCAGTGGGGGAATGTCAGGTGGAGCTATGAGACTGCAGACCTATGAGACAAAAGACCTGGATACTGTAGTAGAGTAGCATGGGGACATTCGGGGTGAAGATGAGTGTTCTCCCAGAGGTAATCAGCCCCTAAGAACATCCTCATGTCAGGCCAACAGCCCATGCACATACTGGTGCCGCAAGACTCAGAATACAGAATTTAAGATTTCAGAAAAGACACAAAGGATAAATGCTTGAGGGGATGGCTTTCCCATTCTCCATTATGTGATTATTTCACATTGCATGCCTGTATCAAAACATTTTATGTAACCCATAAATATATATACCTACTATGTACCCACAAAAATAAAAAATAAAAAAATTAAAAAATAAATTAAAAATTAAACATTAAAAAAGATTTCAGAAAAGAGTGGAATTTTTAAAGGTAGATGTTATCAAAAATATTTAATAGTTACAATAAAAATAAAATTTTAATAAAATATAAGATATTATATTGTTCTCTAAGATGAGGTGTCCATATCTTAGAGAATGGAAAGGATGATTTTGGTGTGCAAAGGACATACTGGAACTTCTGTTTATATTTCATTTTATCTCATCCTTTTAAAAAATTCTAGTTTGATATCTGCTTTATAATGTATAGAGTATATTGATACAGTAGTCCTTACATCCAACTTGTAAATAAAAAGGTATATGGATATATTCTCAAACGCATTTCACTGGTGGGTGCATAATCAAAAGTTTGGAAGTTAGTATTTGCGTGGTGCATTCTGAAGGCAAGCTTTCAAAAGTGGCCATGGTACCTCATGGCACTTCCTGCCCCTAGGAGCAGAGTGTCCCTGTGTTTCTAGATTTCCAATCCCTATTCCAAGATGATCTCTCTCTTCTTCTCTGCCCTTCTCTACTTTAAAAAATATTTTTTTCTAAAACTTTTTATATATACAAAATGATCTTAGAATATTCATGAATAAAATGGCAAAGAGCTGGCAGGAAAAAAAAACCAAAAAACCAAAAACAAAAAACTGCCTTCCAGAAAGCAGCAGGCACTTACTGTTACTTAGTTTTGTCCTCTGCTTTGAAATTCCCTTCTTCCAGATTTCTGCATGGCATAGTCCCCACTTCATTAGGACTCAGCTCCGATTCACCTCAGTGAGGCCTTCTCTGCAGGACATATCTAAAGACCCTTCACTCCGAACCTTCTAATTTTGCTAACTTCTCTTCATAGCACTTGCCTCCACTTGGCTCTGGATTACAAATGCTTGTGCTGAACTTCCTTTGTCTATCCCCCTCCAGGAAGTTAAACCCCATGAGCACAAGGACTTCGTTTTGTTCACTACCATACTTGCAGCACCTAAAACCAATGCCTGGCAAGTGGCAAGTGCTCAATAAATAAATATTTTTTGAATGACTGAAGGAATGAAGAAAATCTGTGTTGTTCAATGATGAAATCAAAACCAAATGGAATATTTAGAGTCTTTAAATACATTTCTGAGGTCATCTCACAGGCCAACTTTTTGCCAAAAATGTTGAATGAAAGTGGAAGAAAACAGCTAAAGCAAACAAATTTTTAGTTTCTTTAGTAACAGCAGATCTCTTAAATAAGGTTTAGGATGAAAGGAGCTGCATCCGCCCAAACAGCCTCATCCCATTTACTGCCAAACTTGACATTCTCTGGAACCATCTCACGTGGTAGGAGCCAAGAATTGTCATGATAGAGAAACACAAATCATGGAGCCCTATTCTCTGTTGAAAGGAAGAATAATTGATAGTATCCTACAAATGCTTCTCCACACCCCCAATGCTGATTTATCATCATGAAGCTTGCTTTCTCTCAGTGTGCCTAGAAAAGTTTCTTAAAAAATTTCTTTTCAGTCCTTTGTTTATCCTCCCCAAGAGTGTCCTAGTGTTAACTGTACATATTTATCTCATGGCCCAATGACTCTCTCTGCTCAAGCGATTCCTGTTACAGGAAGAGGTTTGCCCCTGGCCTTATTGAAGCTCAAGTAAAGGAAAAGACTAGAAATGCAAATGTAGTTTACAAATAAATATATGAGAATTAAAACTCTGAATGATGAAAAATCAAAATCACCATTAGGAAAAGTTGGATGGTGAGAAAAAAAAAAGGACTTTGATTTATTTATTTAAAGCTACAAAAAATTAATTATTTAATTCTTCAAAAACAAAATTACTTTTAAAAGTCTTATGGTTAGTTGTTTCTATAAGGGCTTCCTTAAAGTAGCTCTAAAATATGTAGTATTATCAACACAATTGAAACGAGCTCTGATGACCTATTTGCAGCTTGGCAATTCTCTTTATTGAAAGAATAGAAAGGACAGATTGCTCAGCAGTGTAACTCACTTCAAAGTAACTTCCTTTACCAAGCGATAGTGTCTACTTGTCACACAGGAAGTGAAGACTTGGCAAAATTTTCGCTGGGTAGTTTCCTTTGACTTTTTGCATTACAGTCAACTTATCTATGAGTGATAGGAAGTGTAAATTTAACTGTACTGACAACTTTTTGATAATCTACTGTATCTGCAAGACTTTTCCAGCCAAATGGCCCACTGACCCTTCCAACTGAGTATTATAAACACCTAACATGCTAAATCAATGATGAATAAATTAATGATGAAATAGATTGATTCATTCATTCATCAGTTTAAAACCACATTTGTGACCAGGCACTGTGGCTCACACCTATAATCCCAGCATTTTGGGAGGCTGAGGCAGGCAGATCACTGGAGGTCAGGAGTTTGAGACCAGCCTGGACAACATGGTGAAACTCCATCTCTACTAAGAATACGAAAAGTAGCTGGGCGTGGTGGCACATACCTGTAGTCCCAGCTACTTGGGAGGCTAGGGCATGAGAATTGCTTGAACCTAGGAGGCAGAGGTTGCAGTGAGCTGGAATCGTACCACTGTACTGCAGCCTGGGCGACAGAGCAAGACTCTGTCTTGAAAAAAAAAAAAAACCACCATATTTGTGATTTGTGATTTTCTCCTACAAATCAACTCCTTCTTCTAACTTTTAACTTCCACATTTTTGCCTCACCACCCTTCTGTGAACCCACATGACCAGGGTAGCAGAGGAAGCTGTTTTTCCTCTTCTTCTGACTAGTTGGGCCAAGCCCTTCACAGCCTTCCTTCCTCGTTTTTCTTGCATCTACCTCTTGGTTACCATCCAAGTCTAGGCTTCATCTGTCTCTTTGCTTTCACTCTCTACCCTGTACACAGCAGGCACACTATCCTTTTGCTTTTGTCAACATTACACTGTTCCTCTGACTACAAATAGAGAGGGCATTACTCAGCCTGGCATTCAGGGGCTTCCAAATCAAGGTCTGCCTTCATTTTCAGCTCTAGGTTTCACTGGTCTTCCACACTTCAACAAATTGGAAATGCTTTTTCTTTCCTGGAATATTGTCTACCCCTTTTCCCACATCCATATCATGCTTTTCCTTCTGCATGGAATTCCTCCCCTCTGTCCCCCCAACACCACACATACCCCTATCATCAGAGTCAATCAACTGCCCTTCTTAGAAATCTTTCCTATTACCCTTAATAAGAGACCATACTGTCCTGTTCTGGACGCCTGTGGTTCTTGTCCCACTTTTTTGATACGTGCCTTTAGTGTTACTCATTCATTTATTCATATGCTATGTTTTTCTCTGATTTACTACTAAACTCCTTGGGACCACATCTTGTTTCAGAATTGAAATTGATAGGACTCAGTTCATTTGTGTTGAAAGAATAAATGAATGAAAGTATGAAACAGAAAGTTATTTTATCATCTTCTCTTCAAAACAGGTTTTGAACTTCCTATTGACATAAAATGCAGAAATATTTGGTAGACATTTTGGTATTCCTAAATATTACATAACAAACTTATGTTTGCAAAGCTATCATGTAATAGGATGTAGGCCCTAAAGGGTTACAACCAGTTGCAGGTATCTTGTATACACAGAACAATTTGACAAATGGTGGTGGAAACATTGGCTGAACAGATACAGAGCAACATGGTCTTGTTTTATCCTCTTAGAAGGTTGTTTTGAGTTCATCGTCTGCTCATAACATATAGAAGAATACTGTTTTCACCAATCTTTAAGTGAAAATATTTTTTTTCTTTTCTACACTTTTATCTGTGTTGAGCATGAACAAAACAAGTTTGGCATATGGTGTTTCCTGAAATTTTTATATGTTTAAACATGGCATAAAATCACAGTACATTGCTGTTTATATAAATGCCAACAGCTCTCATATTTTCCAGTTTTATACCTTCTTATTGGAAGGAACTCACAGAGCCATCAAACCAGTTCTGTCTCTAAGCACGTCAATGCCTAACCATCCCAGAAATACACGTGCTCTTATAAAATCTTCTAAGAGGCCATTACATAGCACAAGAATTCATTCCAGCCTCTCCAAATCCTGAAGTCAGAAATTTCATCCAAGACACTAAACTATATTTTTCTAAGAGTAAAACCCATTTTCAAATCATGTAACTTTTAGAAACAAAGGCAAAATACTCCCTTTAAAATATATCACAAAGGAAAAGGACCCAGTGGGGCCACACTAATGGCTTCTGTGACTCTGCTGAGCCGGACTTCTTCCTCAACTCTGACCTCCCTGCACTCTTTCTAGCACTGGTCATCTCCTTCTGCCTGTCTAACTGTGAAACGCTCTAGGTCTTAGCCCCAGGTGCCCTGCCCTTCTCTGTCCATGTGGCCTCTCAGAGAGCCTGTCCAGTAGTGTGGGGTATAATAATTTACTCAGGTCTCAGAATTAAGTGCTATAGTCCAAGTTCTATCTCTTCTCTAACCAGTAGTGGGACCCTGAACTCACCATGTATTTTCTCTGGACATTAATGTATTATCCATATATGCACAGCTAAGATTAAAGAATGTCTCAGGTGTCTACAAACATTAAGCATCCAGGACACTACAATTCTACCAACTCCAAGAATGATAATTTCTAAATACTGTATGTTTCTCTAGCCATATGTGCTCTGCCAAGATCTCAGACTCATCAATTATTTATTCATTCATTCATTGTTTAGCAGCTATTAGGCATGGGGCACCAGGATAGGCTTTGGGGATACATTGGTCAGTAAAAAAGGTATGGTCCCTGCCTTTGTGAAGTTTACAGTCTAATGGACAATAAGCAATGTAAGAATGCTAATAAACAAAAAGCAAGCAAATACATGTATAATTTCAGATGATGTCAAGTACTATGAAATAAGAGAGAAAGAAACAAGCACATACCTACCCCAACACACACACACACACACAGAGAGAGAGAGAGAGAAGAGAAGGGAGGGAGGATACAGTGTGAGAAAATGGGTAAGCCCTCTCTGAAAAGATGGTACTTCAAGCCAAAACTCTAGTAATGTGAAGGAGGCTGAT
This sequence comes from Homo sapiens, assembly GCF_000001405.40. Classification (NCBI taxonomy): domain Eukaryota; kingdom Metazoa; phylum Chordata; class Mammalia; order Primates; family Hominidae; genus Homo; species Homo sapiens. Next base: position 143,828,698 of record NC_000003.12, read on the forward strand.
ATTCAAAGGGTAGACGTGAGGCCATTTTAGGTGAAAGGAATGACAGGTACAGAGGTCCTGAAGAAAAAAGTTCTTGTTGTGTTGAGTGAACAAAATAAGGGGCTGGTAGATCTGCAGCAGTGGATGTGAAGTAAAGAAGAACAAACGCAGCATCTCTCTCCTCACCATTTCACCTGAACTCGAAGTAGGACTAAAATCCCTAACTCATTTGCCCATTAGCGTCACCTTGGTGATCTTCTAAAAATTCCAAAACCCTTGATACTCCCTAAATCAGTCAAATCACAAACCCAGAGGCAGAACACAGTCACACAGTCATCAGTATGTTTTGAAGCTTCCCAATGATTCCAAAGTGCAGAGAGTTTGGGAACCACTGACTTAAATTGATTTTAGTGCTTAATTTCTTGTTTTGCCCATCTATGAAATGATGAGGTTCAATTTAATGAGGTCGGGTCTCTTTCTTGCTCTAAATTAGGTGATACGTATATGCAGATCCAGGGCATTTGCACCCACCCCTTCCTCAAGTCTTCTTTCCTCCCCAAACTTTTACCCTACAAACTTCATATTCTTTTATCCGGGCTTAAAATCCTGGAAACTTAGACTCTTCTCTTCACACTGTTCCTACAAATCAGGCAGGCTCTGTTGATCCAAAGCATCCAGGTTTTTCATGAAGCCCTCTTCAATTCTTACCTGGATACTCACTTACTGCAGTCTCACCTTCCAGTCCACCCTGCCCTGATGGCCATTCTGAGTTCAATCCCTACTGCCTACCCAAAGCCCTTCTCAAGTGCCATCTCCCCAAGAAGCTTATGTAACCAGCTCAAGTACCTATGACAACTAGTCTGTAAAGTTTCACAGTCCTCATAATTCATATGATACAATTTAGGACTGAATTATATACAAGTATCCATTATACGTTGGTCTTATCTCCCCAAATGAGTGTTAAATAAATTAATAAAAGAAATACACATTTTATTAATTCCTGGCATATATTAAGCATTCAAACATTATCTAATAGTAGCAATGGTAGCGTTATTTTTGGAAGTAGTGGAAGTGGCAATGACATTGGCAGTGGTAGTGCAGTGGCAATAGTACTAGTAGTAGTAGTGGTGGTAGTAACAATGGTACAATGTGAAGGCCCCATGTTAGCCAGGCACTTTATACACATCATCTCATTTGAACATTAAAACAATCCTGCAGAATAGGTTTTAAGCTCCTCACTTCACAAATAAGAAAGTTAGGGATTAGGAAGCTTAAGAAACTCAAAGAAGGGGGATGGAAGATCTATCTAATCCTAACTTTGTTTAAACATTACTCAATGTTACCTCCTTATAAGCCTCCCAAAGGAGAATTCTCAGTAAGGAAGACAGGCTACAGGTTGTTCAGTTTTGCAGATTAACTAGTGTCCCCCAGGATTGCCACATAAGCAACAAATATGTATAGTGACATACTCCAGGTATTTATAAACAAAATCTTTTCCCCTTAAAGCCATGTAATACAGTAAGTATGCTAGTAGATGCCCCTTTCTATACCAGCAATGAGAGGAGGACTTAGTCAGGTTGCTGAGTCACCTGTTCCCATCTCCAGATGCCATGATTGACAAGTTCATCTAGAAACTACTTGAGCCACTCAAGGTCAAGTAAACATTTTATGTACCGAACTTGCAGAGCTCATAATCCACTCACTGAAAACACCAAGAGGGCTCCAGCAACTTAGACGTTTTCTCCATCTCTTGCCCTAATTTTTCAAAAGCAAACATTTGGCTCTGGATGCTGATGAAGGAATAAATATGTGAATAATTCAATAACAAAATTTCTGGTCAGGCATTTATTGGCAATCCTGTTCAAGAATATAATTGCTACAGCAACAAGGATAATTATCAGCATTTGGTGGGAGGAGAGGTGTCAACCTGTTTGAAGAAATAGTGCTGTATAGAAATGCAGATAAAAATGTGTAGGAGAGTGAAGAGAGAAATAATTCATGTCCAGGTACTAACCAAAGGTAAAACTCAAGAATGTATTTTAATTTAAATCCTATGTTGCTAACAAGTTTAAAAAATATTTATTTTAAAAGAGATAATTTATTATTATCATATAAACAAAAAGAAACACATGGAAGAGATAATCCAAAACAGATAATCCAAAAGCAGTGGCAGATCTAGAAGTTGCTCCTCTTTATTTCAGAAATACATTATCTAATTTGCTTTTTTTGTGCTTCAGTTTACTTTCCCAAGTCTGATTTAGGCTAATATTATAATTAGTTTGACTTTCCTGAGCCCTTACCAAGTGCTAGGAGGAAGTTAATCTAAAAATGTGCTAGTGGAAGATAATATGAAAACAATTATTATAAATTAGTCATCTTGACTGAGGAAAAATGGCAGACCAAGTACCTCCCCTTCTGTTCCAAACCTCTTAAAATGGAAAAAAAAAGGTGTGTTTTAACATAAAAACTAAGTACATATGGGATAAAAGTGAAACAATGGACTTCCACAGTGTCAGAAAATTCTCAGCTCTGACCTGAAAAAAAATCTCAAATAAGTGATGTGAGATCCTGGTTCTTAGTACACACTTGTTAAACAGGAATTCATTTATTCCAAAGACTGATCCAGGGTTTACAAGGCACCACAAAAGATAACCTAACCTGATTTCTGACCCAGATTCCTGAAAGCAGAAGAAAGTTTTCCTTCCAGTAACTGAAGCCGTTCACAAATCTGCAATTATGAAACTATTTTTAAAAGATGACTCATTTCACAATTTTTTTCTACCTAAATTCCTTAACCAAACTGATAGTCACGATTTCTTGACACTGACTGCATGTCAGTGTATTTATACATAGCCAAGTGGCCAGTGTTTTGTGTTGGTAGCCAAAAGCCAGTCATCCTAGGTTTCCAGGTTTGCAAGTGAAAATGTTTTTATTCTACTCCATTTTCCCTTTGGCTTAAGAAAGATTTGAACTGCACTTTCAGCTGGCATTATATACAACGGTGCTGAAAGCACATGTGTGAAAACTTGAATCAAGTATCAGGAAAGGCAGAGTTGATAAATGTTTTTTTCTTTTAACCAAATATAACTGTGGCTTGCAGAAAAACAAAAAAGAAAACCTTTCTTTCCTAACTTCTAGGAAAAAAAAATACAGGCAACTCAGCTTGTAATAAGGGTATAACTCAGGGTTTGACTCCTTAGTCAATTAACGTCTCCAAAAGAGTGGTGTTAAAATAGGCATATATGTGTGTGTGAATGCATTATATAAAAAGTATAAAGGCTCAAATATGATACAATTATTTATACTGTAAAACAAATATATAATACCAGACAGGATCCTTACCTTTTCAAGTATAGCATTTCCTTGATGAGGATTGATGTTGTGCTGACTTATTTCTCTTTTGTATTTATATTCATAAACTTGGTCAGTGATATTAACCAGCAGAGTTGATGGACTGAAAGTTAGTTTTACACAGTCATAGACAGTTCCACTTTCAATATCAGTTGGTGCTGTAGCATATCGTAAAATTAGTCCCATTATAAGGCCTAAAAAAAAAAGAATAAATAATGGTACTGGAGGAAGGCAATCTAAAATGCCACTATTGGAAACCTATATGATTTGGAACCTTCAGAAGTGACAGGATAAAGTGTTGGGTTATTGCCTGGTCTAGAAAAGTGTTCACTTTTGCATGGATACCAGTTCAACATAATATAGTGTTAAAATATTTGTAGTGAGCACCATTGCTTCAATACTCAGCAAATCTTCCCATTTTTTTTCTCCCTAGTGGACCTACTAATTTTGGAGAGAAAAGATACCTAACTCCTTCTATCCATCCAAATACTTTAAGAAAACCTTTGCTCTGTGATAGACACTGAGTCATCTAATCAGGAGATGGAATTCCCCTGGGAGTGTTTCTGGTCCACAGATTAGCACAAATCTCAGTTATCCCCATCAGACTTTATTATGTCACACCCCATGGTTGGGGTGAGAGGTGTTCTTGTTCTCTCTCTCAGGACATGACTAAGGCAATATAGTTCTTTTTTTTTTTTTTGCTGGCAGGTTATCTGTGACCATAAGTAGATCCAGTCCAAGAATGCAGCCAATATACTGAGGAGGGTAGGACTAAGATAGTAGCAGAAGACAGAACCTAGGTGTTGAAGGACATCACAGAGCCACTAGATCAACCAGCCTGCCCTAGAGCTACCCTAACTCTAAACTTCTTGCTGTGTAATATAATACATTCTCTAATTTTTCCGTTTTGAATCTAGTTTCTGGTTACTTGTAGCCAAATGCATTCTAATGACACCACATTCCTTTTCATAAACAATTCAACCTAAGTGACAATCCTTGAATTTTTACGTTTTTAAACTCTGTGAAGATGCTCATGGCAATCTGATAACTGTGGGCTTTTTAAATGTAGATTTATTAACAAGCAACAGAGAAACATCAGAAGCCTAAACTCTGTCAATTTAAAATTAGGACTGATGTATGTGTTTTGGGATAAATGATCCAGAGTTCACTCTTTAAAACTTCTAATTTTGGAGATTTTACCTCTCTTATGAATCTGGTCATCTAATAACCTTTTATTTCTTTAGTAAAACATTTTTGGGGTGCATATTGTGTACCAGACATTTATAGGTATAAAATTAGAATACAGGCCCAGTCTTACAGGAGCTCGTTTGTATAAGTGAAGATTCATGAACAAACAATTATAATAAAACATGACATGTGCTATGACCGCTGGGAAGCACTCTGTGATACATGAGTATAGACAGGGGGTATTCCGAAGCCCTTTGAATTATGCAAAGCTTGAAATAAATCTTAAAAGGTCACATAGATTTGTCCAGAAGAGCTGAATCAGAATGAGTTGGGATCCAGTTTGCACATATGGGTAGCAGCACGTAAGAGCAGAGACAGCTGGGATGCTCTCCCTGTGTGTAGACCAGGATCTATGCTCTCCCTGTATGTAGACCAGGATCTACGCTCTCCCTGTGTGTAGAGTTGCTATTGGCAAGTGGCTGCTCAGCCAGGTGCTATGCTTCCTGATTGTCTTGCATCTGGCTGGTTCTTACCAGTGGAAGAATGTTGGGATACTGTGTAAGAAATCACTAGTGATAACCTTACTAACACAATGCATATATACAGAAAGACATAAGAAATCTGGTGCATTTAGGGAGTCACTAGTGGTGTAAAAAGAGAATAAATAGAGAGAAAGAGAGACAGAGAGAGACTCTAGACCTAGACCATAGGCAGAGCCAGGTCAGAAAGAGGCTCCTCTCTCATGCTGAGAGGTTTTGATTTTTAACCCAATGGTAATGTAGAACTATTGAAAGATTTTAGGCAGGGGAGTAAACCAATCATGCTTTCATGTGAGAACCATCACTTTGGCAACAATGTTGAGAACTAATCAGAGTGAGGATGAGAATGCAAGCAGATTTCTTTCAAGAATATTTTTATTTTATTATTCCTGCTTCAGTGTTTGGCTGACTCCTCCAGAGTAATTAGAAAAATTGTATCCAAATCTCTGGGAGCAAGAGAAAATAAGTTATAGATACGTAACCCTCACTGAGTGCTTGATCCACCACAGCACAGTAGGCAACCTTCCATGCTCAGTGTTGAATGACGACAATAAAACTAGTCAGGAGCAAGAAGGGAACATAGATCATCTACACTCTACGTGGCTTAGGGTGCTTGCATAAGAACATCATTTTTTCAACACACGTTGCTTAGAAAGGATTTAATTCCTAAAAGTTATTCAGCAAGTACCATGAATGACACCATTACTATTCTTTCTACTTCTACAAAGACGGGAAGCACAAGATACTATCTGCATGGGGCCTAAATGGAAAGAATCCATATTAATGTCATTTGTAATTCCTAGTGGGCGAGGCACTCTTTTTTTTTTTTTTTTTTTTTACAAAATGCTTTCAATGAAACAACAAGAAATAAACATGAAGTGTCCACTATTAGTTCCCAAGCAGAGAAAGCAAGTCTTTGTCATAATAGTGATGGCCTGGTGCCTAGTGTGGTTAAATTCATACAAGACCTCCAAACCTAAATGGCCCTGACTATCCCTCTGCACTAGCTCTGGCCTCATTGTTCGAGAAGAAGCACATTGAAGTGAACAGAGGAAGCTGCTTGCTGCCATTGTGGCAGAGGTGACCAGATGTAATATCCATGAAAATGTACCTCTCAGATAGATGAAAATGTACCTCCCACTCTGAGGAGGCAATTGACCAGTGGTCTCAGCTTCTCTGCTCTGGAATCCATCACCACTTTCACACTGAGGTCAGGCTCCCAGCCGATGACTGAACACAGCAGGGATACTAAGGCAAGCAGATGGGGACTCCTCTGAAGGGCAACCATGGCTCAGGGACCCATCATTAATCTTGCCAAACTTTTCCTAGAATTGCACCACAGCCTAAAGATTTCCTACCCAGCTTTCCTTCCTTCTCTCTCTTCACAGGATCAGGCCTGCATCAAAACCTGACAGCTGTCCTGGCATCCTCATGCTCACTCCCCACATTCTCTAAAGGAATGAAAATCTTTTGTGCAATGAATCTCTTTCTAGCATCTGCTTCTTGGAGGACCCAAATTAACACACTCACCAAAAGGCTTCAGCCCTCCTTTTCCCCAAACCCCAAGGGTTGAGAAGAAACAACATCTTGCTAGATGGTAAGAGCCAGTGTGAAAAATCTCAGCCTCCTAACACATCTGGTTAAAAAACCCATGCACTCATTTGTGCACTCTTGCTGCAGCAGCGGCAGCTGGAAAATCCTTATTTGTCAGAGGCTACTTACCCATAGAGCCTCATAATGCTTTTTATAGTGAAACATCGACTCAGTGTTTTAGCCATATGCTGACAGAAATATGGAGTGTTGAATTAATGTACACTGACACAATATCATATATGAGTAGGTGACAGATAAAGTAGGATGGCTAGTAGAAAGAAAATGTTAATGAGAGTAGGTTGTTTTTATACCATTCAAAGATACAAGATTAAGAAAGCAGAAATCACTTGTTCACAGAAGAAGGAAAGAGGAGACTGGCTGCCACGGCTTATGAACAGCACAAAAGCACCACTCTTGTTGGTAAACCATGAAACCAGGCCCCTTCTTGCTGGAGGAGGAAAGAAGAGAGCCTGCCCCTGCAAAGGGATACCCACCCAGTCCATGTGCAAACAGCCCTGGCCCCAGGTTGAGGTTCCTGCATACACAACACTTCTCTGAGATCTGTCCCCTGGCCAGTTGGCAGCATCTCCTTCTCTAGGAAGGAACTCTAGTCTAGATGTATCCCCTGCTTCTTCAAGTCTGGGCGTCTGGGTACCTAGGATGACAGCAGAGTGTACCTGCACTTTAATGAACCCTGACTTCTCTCCACAGCCTACAAGTACCACAGAAAGCATGGACAATGGACTTCATTCCTAAAGCACTCACTATCCTAAAATGTCCCTCTTAAGTCCCACCCGTGGGCACCAGAACCCTGATAAAGTCTGTGCTCATTGAACTCCTTCATCTTTGCATTCTGATAGCATTTATTGTTTGAACCACACACTTTAGAAACCAGTTTTATAAAGACATATTATTCAGTGCTTCTTTACAGATCTTGGCTTTTCTCCTCAACCAGACAATGAGACTGTTTAGGGCAGAGGCTCTGTGCTATTCTTTATCTCTTTTCCTCTAGAAAAGCCAATCACTTTGGGCAGAATTGTAGCCCAACTTTCTCCAAGTCCACAAGCTCCCTGGAGTCAAGAAGAAAAGGTCCTCCGAGTTTATGTAGTCAGTCAGTTACCAACATTTTAAAGTGTCACAAATAAGGAACATCACACCAAATGCTGTGAAGTCCCTGTCCTTGCAGAGTGTTCAACATAACTCTTATATAGCACATGCATGGCATACAGTTGATAGCATGATGTTTGTGAGAGAAGAAAGAAGAGAGGGGACAGAAGGAAGGAGGAAACAGCCTCAGGAGTACTCAAACCAAGGAACATTAGAAAGATGAGCCTTACCTTCCTGAACTGATTCTCATTTTATTATCCACATTGAAAATAAGAGAAAACTCCAGTCCCTTACTCTATTACTCCCTTATTATGTGTTCATGCCACAGACACCTAAGGCATTGCTCTAGGACTTGTAGGAGTTATTATAAAGATAAATAAAATATGATTTTGCCCTTAAAATATTAAAATATCTTAACCTACCAGCCCCTTCCCTTCTGCCAAATCCTGCCATCTTAATTTCCAGTAAGAATAAGGTATAACAAGTATTTACTAAATTTTTTATATGAAGTCTGCATTTCATAACCAATTTCCCTTGCATCTTACTGATGGTCATTCCACATGAGGCTGAAGCATTTTCTTAAAGTGGCTTTTCTTAGAGAAATAAAAAATAGGGACTTACTTTTTTAAAAAGCTTAAATAAAGCAGATTTCAGAATGTTTTTTAAAACACAAAAGTGTTTTAAAGGAGATTTTAATCTCTTTGGCTGTGTTCAACACTATAATTGTGTCCAGACACCATCACACAGAGTTCCCTGCTGCTTGGCACAACTCTGGCCAGATCGCTTTAGACTCCATTCCTATAGGAGCAGAGCTTCCCCAGAGTTGCACAATGCAGCAAGCACAGCTATATACATATGCCTAATTAGACTATTACAAAGGTCTATATTTAAGTGCTACATGATGTTGGAAGAATTTAGGAGTCTAAAGCAAATGTAGTTACCACATGAAGATTGTAGGAGAACTGAGTTTTGCAGTTCTTTCACTCTCACTGCATTGAGTGGCTACCAAGAATAATCTAGATTCATGAGGCATCGCCAATTCTCTAAAATAAGAAGATATAGCCTCAAACCATGTAATATTATATAATATCATATTTCAAACTGGTAAGTGTATCAGGTCCTATTGATCGCCAGCCCAATGTCTATCCTTGTTTACCCCACAAAGCTCTGGTTTATTTGCTGTCCACCCCTCCACACATAGCCATATGCTCAGGGGAAGTTGAACTCACTCCAGCTCCGGGGATGTTCTCACTCTCCCTGCTGATAACCGGTTTGGAATGGGTATGTGACCCTATTCCTGTCAATAAGAAGTGAAGGGAATTTGCTAGGGAGCTTCTTAGAAAGGTTTTCACATCCTACAGGAGAGACACAGAAGAGATGAGCTCTCTTCTTTTCCAGCATATTAATGGGCCCGGTTAGGACACCAGGCACTGGCATAGCCACTTCACTGCCAGCCTGATGTTGAAGTCAGCACTGAAGGTAGCAGAACAGAGAAAAGGAAAGAACCTTGGTTTTTGATGACAACAGTAGGTGCTGAATCAAATAGAGTTGAAGACTACTCTTCTCTGGACTTCCAGTTATGGGAGATAATAAATGTCTTTATTGCTTAATTCTGTTTCTGTCAGGGTTTCTGTTACTTGCAACTGAATGCATCTTAACAGATAGAAAAGCCATTGGTTTTCCTGTCACAAAGCAATGTACAAAGTTTTAAGGGACCCTAAAGAAAAGACCAACTAACCCCACTCCCTACAGTATTGGAAAAACTTAATAGAAGAGGTTCTCAAGGATGTGTAAGAGTTCACCAAGTAGAGAAGAGGACATGTTGTTTTAGGGAGAGGTATACAGAAATCAAGGAGCCCAGCGTCAATGACGCACATCAAGCAGTTTGCGATGGGCACTTAGGGCAGTGCAGGCAAAGGGCTTTGGCACAGCAGAGGACTGGAGAGTGTTCAGGAGGGAGAGGGTGTTGGCAAGGTGGTCGGCAAGGTGGTCTCGAGGAAGAATCGAGCGAGTTCCTTGTTGGGAGGCAGATTTGCTCTGTTTTAGAGCAGAGGAAACAGCATTTAGAGATAATTATTTGAAGACAGAAAAGAGAATTGAGGGACAGAGAGGACATGGAGAGGAAGTTAACATCATATTTAGTCTATATTTACATAAGGGACAATTTAGAACATCTGAGTTCAGGAATTCCAAGATGAAAGGAATAACGTTCAAGGAAGAATGTTCTTTACCATCATTAGAACTTTGTACAATGCAAGACTTTAAGGCAGGGAATCTGTGACATTATTATTTCAGTCACTCAGATTAAAAAATTATGAACTAGGGATTCAAATGTGAGCATAAAGAAGAAGGAAATAGTCTGAATAATAATTTAAGGAAACCAAATCAGTGAATAACATTTAACTGTAAGATAGTATTCACAAAGATCAGATTTTAACTGCATCTACAAAATTTTTAACTTTTTATTTGATATTTATCCCTTCCCATTTTATAAAAGTCTCTTTTAGAACATGAATTTAGAGAGATAATATGGGTTTGAACTTCAAATATCTAAATGCATTTCCTAACGTTTTCCCTTTTAGCAATTTAGTTTTGCTCTGAGAATAGTCAGAGATGGAACAAAAAGTAAAAACATGATGTAGTAACAACGTACAATGCCTTCTGTTTTTGGTGGGGGAGTTTGTTCTTTCTCTGTTCTCCCACCAACCTTTTAAATTAAAAAAACTAAGGAAACTATAGGTCTTGCTAAAAAGTCACAATTTATTGCTCCATACTAGCTCACCATCAACTTGTTTTGGTGAAGAGTCCCAGAATGATTTCAGAACAGGTCTGGGACACCTGCCAATTAAGAGAACCTCATTAAATTCCAAAGTGGAAAGTAGTCCATGAAGCTAATTAACCTTGTGATGCCTTGTTCAAAGTTTCCCTCTTCTCACAGGATAGAGTCATATGAAAACTGCCAGAAAGTCCCAAACATCAGATCCTCCATCAGAGTGGGGTGTCTAATGTCCACAATCCATCCTTGGTTCCCAACAAACAACACACATACACACACACACACACACACACACACATCACAAGCGCACACATGCACACACATATAGCACATATGTAAACATACATGCACATACATAGACACAACACACATGCAAGCACATACAAACACAACACATACACATATACACAATGTACACACTTCACAAAACTCTGGGATTTCTAACAGTATAATAGATAACTTTTCTTTAGAAACTATCTCAGCCATCAGCTTATATATAGCTAACATCCTTCCTTGCAATCATCTTAGGAAGTTGACAGAAGAAACATAGAAATAGAGATGTCTAACTAGACGTATACTGAATAAACAAATGGTTTCTTACTTTGTAATGTTTATACAACACACTTTATTTTTTTCTCGAACCAGAGATGGAGACATTACAAAGTGTTATAGACGGTGAAAGAAGGACTCTTTAGTAAAGGGAGATGGTCTTCCAACCCTCCCCCTTTCACCATAGGAGAGTAATGGGATAAGAAAGAAATAAGAGAAAACAGAGGAAATGAAACTAGGCACTATATTTCAAGTTTATTTTCCTAGCAAAGTATTTCTCAAACTTCAGTGCATCAGAACCTCCTGGAAAGTTTGTTAAAACACAGTTTACCGGGCCGCACCCACCCCAGAGTTTCTGATTCCCTAGGTCTGGGCTGTGAACTACATATTTGCATTTCTAACAAGCTGCTGATGGTGCTGGTCAGGAAACACACTGAGAAGCATTGTCATATAAGATAGTAGTTCCTACCAACATAAGTCCTCACAGTCTTGAAATTCCATCAAAACCCATACCATCTTGGGCTCATGCACACAGATTTCAGAACTTGGAAAACCCAGAAGCATAGTTAATGGTTCTACCTTCAGTATCTTCCAAAAATTAAATTCAGTTTAACTAACATATGATGAAAGCCTATTTTGCATGATTCATATAAATTCACAGTCCCTTCTCAAACTATTTATAGTACCTGTCCCACCCATTGTTTCAACCATAGGCATTTAAAACCAGAAAGACCATGAACTTGCAACATGACTATCCCTCAAGCTGGGACAATGTTTCCAGGTAGGCTTGGAATATTTCAACTCCAGCTACTTAATATGGATGTATTTTCATAGTTTTGCCCCCATTCTGTTTCCCACAGTGGGCTTTTTGCTATAGACAGTGGAACATTTCAGAGGCTTCAAGGTAGAGAAGAAACTTAACTACTTTTACCTTCAATCATTCCCTACCCTGACTTCATGGGACAGTTGCATATCAAGAGCAGACTTGGATGAGAGAACGACTGCAGCCAGAATTTGAGAGTGCACGCTTTCAAAAGAGTGTTCTTGCCAATTATTCTGGGCAGAGTTGGTTAAGTCATAAGTTTTCTGAGTTTCTGTTTCCTTATATGCAAACTAAAGATGATCTTGCCTATTTAGCATGGTTGTTGTGAGGATTAGTGATAATGCATATAGTTACATATCTCAATCTCTACCTCTCTTCTGTAAACTTCCTAAGGTACCATCATCTGGCACGGAGCGAACAGTTAATTAAAAAACAGCAATTATTCTAGGACTACATAAGCGATAGAGGTGAAAGAACAGAGGTTATATAGTCCTGAAGTTGAGTACAGCCCTGTTGATTATCAGCAAGTTACCTTCTCTCTCTCAGTGTTGGTTTCCTTATCTGTAATATGAAAATGATAACACACCCCCTACACATACACACACGCACACACACACACAAACACACCTACGTTTAAGATAGCAGATGACCACATGAAGCCAAACTGCTAAGGTTTGAGACCTAGCCCTGGCATTTAGTACATGTGCAACTTCAGGCAAGTTACTTAATGTTTTATTACCTCAGTTTTCCTACCTAAAAAATGGTTGTTGTGAGGATTAAATGCGTTAATATATGTAAAGTGCTTATAATAGCATAGTTTATATCAGGAATGCTATTTGTGTTAGCTATTTTTATTTTTGTATATCAACTTTTTGACATAATAGATGTTTAACAAACATCAGCTCTCCATATCCCCACTTCATTAACTATGTAACATTAATTCAATGTAGATGGTATATGATATCTACATAAATAATTTGAATCATAAATCTATTTTCTTGATATGCACATTCATTAGCCTTTCAAACACTGAGGGGGGAGTCCTTCGAGGCACCACAGTAGTTTGCAGTAAAGTTTCATCTATAGCTTCTTTGAGATTCAGAATATAGTTTATTCATTTATTTAGTTTACTTATCCAAAATATAGAGGCTCTTTTCTTTATTTTTCTTTTTTGATACAGTCTTCCCGTCACCTAGGTTGGAGTGCAGTGGTGCAATCTCGGCTCACTGCAACCTCCGCATCCTGAGTTCAAGCAATTCTCCTGCCTCGGCCTCCCGAGTAGCTCGGATTACAGGCATCCGCCACTATACCTGGCTAATTTTTGTATTTTTTAGTAAAGACAGAGTTTCATCATGTTGGTCAGGCTGCTCTCGAACTCCTGACCTCAGGTGATCCACTTGCCTCGGCCTCCCAAAGTGCTGGGATTACAGGAGTGAGCCATCATGCCTGGCCCGGCTATTTTCTTAAAATCAACTTTTAAAAACATACAGAGTGCAGGCCGGGCGCGGTGGCTCACGCCTGTAATCCCAGCACTTTGGGAGGCTGAGGCAGGCAGATCACGAGGTCAGGAGATCAAGACCATCCTGGCTAACACAGTGAAACCCCATCTCTACTAAAAACACAAAAAAGTTAGCCAGGCGTGGTGGTGGGCGCCTGTAGTCCCAACTACTCAGGAGGCTGAGGCAGGAGAATGGCGTGAACCTGGGAGGCGGAGGTGGCAGTGAGCCGAGATTGTGCCACTGTACTCTAGCCTGGGTGACAGAGCGAGACTCCGTCTCAAAAAAGCAAACAAACAAACAAAAACCCCCAAAAACATAAAAAAACATACAGAGTGCAGTATGACTTTCATTCTTCCATTATTTTCCCTGTCTCTGGCAAATGTATTAACACATGGAAAACATTGTACAACTCTCTGAAGTTCCTTAAAAATCAAGTTTTTTACACCAAAAGGGAGAAGAAGTTTAGTATGCTGGGCTCCTAACCGTGATTACCTTTCCTGCAGATCCCTTAAAATTAAACCAGAGCTACTCTTGTTTTCATAAAAAATGCTTCTGCAAACTGTGGAATACATAGCCAGTCCTCACTATTAACTTGTTCTCCTCACCTTTCTGACAGGAATTCAACAGAATTTACTGAGCACTCCTTGCAAAATCAGAGCAGAAGCAGGAAGTACTAACAGTGCTGAAATAACACTAACTAAAATCTTGTCTGAGAGAACAGACTGGATATCATTATAGGCTGCCATGTTCTGGAAGGAAAGCTTCTGGTTTGGGCTGGAGTGGCTGAAAGATGCCTGATGGTTGAACTCAGTCTTGGCCTGAATTTTGAAGGACTTTTGCAGCTGGAAGGGAGACATGTGATATCTGTTCCTTTCTTCCCCATTTTATAGATGAGAAAAATAAGGCCAGATGTAACATCACTTGCCCAAAATAATGCATCTAGCTACTGAAAAAAAAATCATCAAGATTAAGAAACTTAAATCTCCAGGGGAGCACATCAATATTTTCTCTATAAAAAAAGCCACAGTGGAATAAGTAGAGCCTTGGAAGGACCTTCAGCCAGCGGGAAGGGGGTGAAGTAGTAGGAAGCATCTCCCATAGGCCTGGCAGTCAGGGAGGCTGGGCTGTCCTGGAGGAGGGTAAAATGGATCAGGAGGGTGTAGCCAACATGTCCAACAACCCAATTTAATCCTGAGGAACCTGCAGGGAGTGCTAGGAAGAAATTAATGCCTGCAGAAGATTTTTCAGAAAAGATAATTTTTCAATCCTTGATGATTCACTATGTAACTGTATTTTCTTTAAATCTTGAAAAACTTGGTGTTGAGTGAATTAAATTTGTCCTACTTAACTGTTAAGCACATTCTTAAAGAATCTGAAAACGCTTTAATATGATATAGTTTAATGAATTCAAAATGTAAACTTAGTGCCTTGAAATTTGTTATGTGCCCACTAAACAGTGGCCACAATTTTTACATGAATTCAGACTAACTTCTATGGGAAGGCCAGGAAGTCAAAGGCAGAATTCTAAGAGGTTTAAATTGCTCTGTCCCTAAGCTCAGATCCCAGCCCTCAAATGCACAGGATTATAAATGTCCTGTAAAGTATGGCAGCCCCCAGTGATATATAATGGAATTCTTAATGCTGTCAGGGAGCAAGGAGCAAATTTCTTTTATGAGCACTGAACAGGGGATACAGGCCCTAAGTGAGTGGTACTAAGTGCACCAGCTGCTGTCAATCAATACTTTAACCGCTAATTGTCATTTATGCTTCCAGTCCAATTTAAATGAGTATCATTATGGCTTATATTTTAAACCAGTTATGGATTCTAATCCTTCAATTTTGAAATGAGAACCATCGAATATCATAATAGATTACCCATTACTGTTCCTGGTGAAGCAAAAATATGGTTATAAAGCTGCCACTAATTTTTATAAGCTTCCTATGACCCTTAATAATAAGAAAAACCTATTTTTTATATAATGGATTATTTATACTATTTGGAGTATCATATGAATCTCTGATTGACACAGAGTCTAGCCAAATGCCACACAATTTTTCTTGGTCTCTACAAGTGTTCATATGATATTTTAAGATTAGCAACTTGAAAATTATTTCTAACAAGAAATATAAAAGAACATTAAACATTCTGCTTGATCACTTTTCTCTGCATTTTTTAAACTGCTTGTTTTCTAAGCCCCTGTTCTCTAGAATTTTTAAATTGGACTCTCAGGTACATTGATAAAATAGACTCAACATCTATCGAGTCTTCTAAAGAACATTTGACACATGTCAAAGGAATACTGGCAGAAAAGCAGATGGCAGAATAGGCTGAAGTATTATAGGAAATTTGATGCTGGGGAAAAACATTTATCATTCTTGATACAGGACAAGTAATACATTATACAAATAGTGAGAGCAAGAACAGTACTCGGTGGAGTAGGGGAGTTGCTAGCCAAATTCATTGATAAGCATTAGGTGCAGGTCCACTAAATCTTAAAATATATTTCATTACAAGCATATGTGTCTGTAGCACGGAGATGACTGTTACAGTCTACTCTCAAATGTTCACTTCCTTAAGAACAAGAAATTTTAAAAGTTTAACTTTCTTTCTCTTTCTTTCTTTCTTTCTTTCTTTCTTTCTTTCTTTCTTTCTTTCTTTCTTTCTTTCTTTCTTTCTTTCTTTCTTTCTGACACAGTCTCACTCTGTCACCTAGGCTCGAGTGAAGGCTGGAGTGAAGTGGCACAATCATAGCTCAAAAAGCTTAAGTTTTAAACATAGTTTTGTTTCTTTTCTTCCCCATTAGTTATCACCATGCCCCCCTGCTCTTGCAAAAGCTAAGAGTTTAATCCTTTAATGGAAAGGGGGATAGTACAATGTGGGATGCTGAAAATTCACTCTTTTAGACCTCCTGGAAAAGAGAATCTGGCTAATCCTGAAAGCTTAACCATATGAGGATGCATCTAGATCCCACAGACACATCCTTTCTCCAGGAAAATTATTGCAATAATTTACTTATTTTTAAATATCTTAGCATCTCTTATTAAAGAGATGGAGGTTGAATCCCACCTCAACAGCTAACTAATTACACGACTTTTATCTCTCTAAGTCTTCATTTGTTTGTCTGCAAAATGAGAATGCTGGATTTATGATCTTTAAGGCTCCTTCCCCATCTATGATTCCAAGTTCATTTATAGCTGTTGGACAATTAATTCACTTGGCATCTCCTTTCCCCTATCATTAAAAAGTGTTTACTACAGTATCCCATCATGTTCCTCTGGTGTAGTTTCAGACTATTTTATTACATTACTGATAGAAAGTTCCTAATAAGCATTTAAGATATAACATTTAGGACATCCCTGAAGAAGAAATGTGACAAGTCATGAATGCCACCCATATGGAGTACTTTCAGAAAACACAGGGAGAGTTCTTTCAGGTGAACGTGAACCTTAGTAAGACATGCAGATGAGTGAAAGCACATGGACCAGTCATGAGTGGCTATTCAGTTTTGGAAAGTCCCTTCACTTCTCTGGGATTCAGCTTCTGCCTCTCTAAAATAAAGGGGATAGAGAAGATAACCTCTAAAATTCTTTGACATCCTAACAATTATGATTCTATGCCAAGAAAAAGTTAAACATCACTAAAATATGTCTTTTCATTGATCTATATAGTTCAAGATAACTGAAAGATACTCAAAATTTCTAGTAAGAGAATACATATATATGCATATCTCCATAATTTTTATAATCCTTTTACATTGCACTGGTTCAGAATTTGCTTTCAATAACTTTTACTTTAAAAAACTCATGAAAGAAGAATAGGAATCAGAGAACCCAACTTAATTCCACTCATAAACTTTAAGCCTTTATCTGCCTTAAGAACAGCAATTTAGAGAAATGCTACCTCAATAGCAGTGGTCAATGAACTACTATTTTATTATTTCAAGCACAATTTAAAAATATTTCAGAGAGTTTTGCAGGATTAAAGGTAACCTGGAATTTTTCAGATTCAAAAGTAAGAGTTACTGTATGTATTGTGAATGCAAAACATGACTGAATTTTAGTAGGTTATCAAAACTTTTACGAAAACAATATCCCCACCATTGAACTTGGTAAATGAGTCATAGTTCAATCAAATTCAGGGATGTGAAGAAATCTTTCCCTCTAATAAAGGTTGGCAATCTATTAAATCTGGGTAGTTTTGCTAAAGCACATATGTCCCTTTAATATGATATCAAGAATTACATTGTTTCTGGCTTCTCAGATTCTATTCCATATCCTTGCAGATTACTTATTAGTCAAGTCAAGAGAAAAATTCTGTTCATGATGGAGATAGGCAAATGACAGGAACCTAGGGCTTCACATCTGATGGCATCCCCTCCTTTTTGTTTGGCTATTTCTCTCCCACCTGATTGTGATTTTTTTTTTCTCTTAAATGAGAGTTTTCTTGTGCCCGTTAAGACCCTCAATACTGGCTGGGAATGGTGGCTCATGCCCGTAATGCCAGCATTTTGGGAGGCCAAGGTCAGTGGATCTCTTTAGGCCAGGAGTTGGAGACCAGCCTGGGCAACATAGTGAGACCCTGTCTCCACTAAATTTTAAAAAATAAATAAAACAATACAGCAAAAAAAGGTTTTTTTTTTTTTTGCATTTGGGTTATGTTTTTTTTCTTTTTTTAATTATACTTTAAGTTTTAGGGTACATGTGCACAACGTGCAGGTTAGTTACATATGTATACATGTGCCATGTTGGTGTGCTGCACCCATTAACTCGTCATTTAACATCAGGTATATCTCCTAATGCTGTCCCTCCCCACTCCCAAGCAAAAAATTTTTAAAAGACCCTCAGTACCAAGGAATTTAACTCTGTGCTCTGAATGGATCAGCATATCAGCCTCCTGAGCCTGAAACTTCCGCCTTATAGCTCAAGTATCTCACAGTGGGATCCACTTAAGGCTTAGGATTCCTTAGGTTCTGAAATCACAACTATACACTGTTAATATCAGGACACCACAGGATTAGCATATACAATGTGCATTGATCTGTACCCTGAATCTCAGGCTTAGGAAAGGGTTTCAGGATTTCCAAAATGAGGAAACCCCAAATATAAAAGTATGTTATTTGCTATAAATTATAGCAATGCCTTGCCTGTTGCCATTGTGTTCAAACTTCCTATCCATTATCAGGCTGAGATAAGAGCAGTGAAGTAAACTATTTCATCAGTAACACCAGTAAAAACTGGTGTCTTTCATTTTACTTTAAAAGATGAGAGTACAGACAGATAATCTCTGTCAGACTTTATTAAACTTTCTGAAAGGAATGATACGGTAAGTTGCCCAGAAAGAGCAATACTGCAGGTGTTAAATATTTTTCCACACCTTGGCCTCCAATACATAAATAGGAGATACATAACAAATAACACTAGCAATGATCATTATAAATTAGAACATCTGAAATCAGGCTAAGAAGTAAAAAGTACTGCATAAAGAAACTCTCGTTTATTTATAACTTTTTATTATAAGAAAATAAGACACTGTTCGTATAAATAAAAAGGACTTGGACACAATATTCTCTTAAGAGGGGTGGGGTTAGTTTCTGCAAGTTTTCTTCTTGAAATTAGTTGATATAAGAGGAATTACTCCAGGCATTTTGAAGTGATGTTTTTTCTAGAACTTCGTAATGTTCATCGGTGCAGCCAGTGAGAGAAGGCTGCTCTTTGTGACTGCAGAGCCATCACTTCCCAACATCATTACAAAAACAAACAGCTCGCCCTCGACTCCCCACATGACAATGGACCCGCATCTGTCAACAGACTTGCATTATGTGCCGTGTGAGAACATGACTGTGACATTTGCTCTCGTGACATGGCAAATTTCGGCGGCTTGTCTGTAAAGAGATTAGCATTCGTTACGCTGCAGCACCTTTCATCAAACTAATGACATTTCAATCAGCACATTTTCTCCAGTTTCGGTACTTTGCTATCTGAGCACAAGTCTCTAATTACGCTCAAGCAACAAGTTTCACATCAATCTCACAATTTATGCACTCACCATACACCATTGCTCCTCCAGTTTCATGCAAGAAGCGGAATCGATGATTTTTAAATAACCAGATTGTCAAAATGGTAAGGATGAGCAAAAAATTGAAGACAAGCAGCTCCACCGCTCCCTGATGTTGAAACTGATACTCATCCTTTTCTGACATAACCCTTGACTGTCTCTCCATTCCCCAGTCTTCTTGGGATTCCTTAGATAAAAACCTGGATAAAGGCTATTTTATCAAGATTTGCCTAAGACAGTCTGACTGCCTGAGAATTTCAGAAGAAACACTGCCACTTTAGTTGCTACTTCACAAGCATTCTGCCCTGGCTTAGTATTCAGATGGCTTCTAGTTACAACTTCCTGTTTCTCTCTTAAAGCAGCCCTGTCTCTTTTCAAACTCGAGAGTGTGTGGTTTCATCACTGACTCTTAATGTCTTTAAGTGATTCATCTCATGAAAATATCTTTCATACTGGACAAATCTGCAAGCAATGATGCTAAGATCTTGAATCACGGTCTTATTATTCCAAATAAGTCTTCTTAAGCTGCATAAATATGAACTGTAGATTAATAATAAAAAAGGTAGCCTTACACTAGCAACGTTTTCTAAGTTCAAAAAGCCAATTCCTGACTCAACTTCACCTAAATGCAAGATCTTTCCTCTCTAACCAAGACCTGCCAAAGTGATGGGGATTGATAGCACAGTTATCAATCAGCCTCTGTGCTCTAAATGGATCAGCATATTAGCCTCCTGAAAAGATATTACACTGCTTAGCCTGAAACTTCCGCCTCATAGCTCAAGTATCTCACAATGGGATTCACTTAAGGCATAGGGTTTCTTATAGGGTTTCTTATGCTCTCAAATCATGACTGTACATTGGTTAAGCAAACCTAAAGTGATTTCACAGGATTTTTTTTTTTTTTTTTTAGTTGAGAAGCAAGAAAGGATTTAGTATATGACTCTATTTGGCTTTATATAATTGATAGTTGCAGAGCAGCCTTTAAACTCTAAATCAATTGTTTTTCTTTTAACAAGAGAAAACAATGAAAGCAAAAGACAAATAAAATTCCATCCCCATCTCTACAACTGTACTGTTTGGATACGTTGAGACAAAAAAGAAAAAAAACAAAACACATTACTTCGAAAGAGAAACTCACGCAGCCATCCTCAGCAACGCCACATGCATGGATTTCTCTTTGTAGGGTTCCTGGTCTCGGCATCCAGGACCCACAGAAATCTGCAATAGATCACAACCTCCTCTGTCCTATGGCAAAACAATGTTGCTCACTGAGAAATGGTTCTGCCACCAGAAATGAAAGCTCTGTATTCACAGGATTCTGATCATAAGAGTGATGATTCTTCAGATCATCTTCCATGTGGCAGGTTGCTCCTGTCTGATTTCATATTTTTCTACTTTAAAATAGTTCAAGATAATACCATGGGTTCTGCAGCTTTTTTTTCCTTTTCTTTCTTTTTTCTTAGCAAATATTATGACCTGCTTGCTTTTAACACTTGATCCTATAACACATTTGGGTATATCCTGGGGTTAGCTGATTTTTTTTTTCATTTTACCATATCATTGTAATTTGGGAGTATTAATCACTTATGATCCCCATTTTGACACAATTAATGCTCAATTTATACAATGTGATTTCTTATTGAGTAGGCTGAGCCCAAATGCGTCCTGAAACAATTTTTGTCACTAAAAGCTAAAGGTCAAGCATGTAATATTATTGGGAGCTAACTACCTCCTCAACAAACAGTTTCACCATGAGAGCAAGTCTATCAACCCCTTAATACAAAGCTCTGCTGTTTCAGCATCTTTGCTTTGTGCAACTTTGGAAGCTTATTTCCTCTCTGAGTTTAACTTAGCAGAGGGTATTTATGTGTGCTGCAGATGTTCTTCTGACACGCTACCCTTTTTGGCAGGAATATCTGTGATGACTAATATTCATACTGTTTTGAAACCTATCAGCTAATGCTTGCAAGCATTTCATGGAGCTTTGCTAGCAGGTTCTACCTTTATGATTTTGCAACTCCACAGGTTCAGTCGAGTTGTCAGATATACAAGATAACACAAATTCAGAAACTTCCTGTCCTTTTGTTTTTTGTCATTATTGAATTACTTTGGTTTTCTTTTATCACAATTATTCCATCTGAGTAGAATAAACATTCTCTGGTTGATCCGTGACATCCAGTTTCACTCTTTTAACCAATGAAGCAACTTGACAAAAGATTAATGGCCCATAGAATGTTTTGATTGGCTTACACGTCTTTTTAAAAAGTTTTAGGTTTGATGTCAACACATTCAAATCAGTATATTTAACATTTAAAAAATCATATGGCTTTTTGCAAGAAAAACTTGTAAGATCTGGCACACTGGGCCCTTCTTACATGGCCACAATCTGTTGGGGCTGAGTGGTTGCCTGCTGCATTTGCAACCAGCTTGCCACAAGTCCATTCATCCCTCTTCTTTCATTCATGGTCCCCGTGTGGCCCCTGCAGATGTTTGAATGTATGACCCCTGCTTTATTCCAGGAATGGAGTACATTCACTATTCCATTGTTCATTCCTGATGCTGCTTCACATTGGGGGGAAAAGCTTGAAGAAAAGGGGCTCAGGAAACATCTCCAATTCCTCCATCCAGAAAAGGAATTCAATTCTTCCTATTTTGTGTTTTCTTTTTAGAATATCATTTTTTATTTTGCTGTACCAACGTAAGTGAGAAAATAAAATGGAAACATGTAACAATAGAGAGTCTACTATGGACCAGAAAATATGCCAAGGAATTTAACTTAGTCTAATTTAATGTGCAGAAAATACTCACCCTTCTCCTGGTGAGTAATTTAAGGCTCAGGGAGATTTGGCAACATAGCCAAGGTCACACAGCCAGTAGGAGTTAAATTGCATGTGGGGTGTATTGGCCTTTAGATGGCTTTTCAGCCAGGGTGATCAACTCATCCTAGCTTATCAGGGACTTTCCTGGTTTACTACTGAAAGTTGTGTGTCCCAGGAAACCCCCTCACTCACAGACAAACAAGCAAACTTGGTCACTCTAACAGCCAAAGTTCCTCAAATTCTCAAATCCTGTACTGTCAGTAATCACTATTTTTCATGAGATTCCTGAAGGAGATATTCACACAAGAAACAATATCAGTTAAAAATTACATGCTGTTTTGTGACCTGGTAACCAGGATCATTAGTTCCAGGTTCTCAGATAAAATTGGGATGGACTCAAAACTTAGGCACAAGGACCAAAGAGGAATTCTTGACTGTCCCTAAATCTCAATATTAATACCTGCTGGCTACTGCAAGATGCGACACGCAAGTGAGAAGCAGCAAAGAGAAAGAACAGGATGGCCCAGCCTGTTGCAGTCAGTGTGCCCTGTCTCAGCTTGCCCATCCAGCCACAATGAAAGAAAGAACTGAAGAGTGGAACCTCCCAGGCCAGTGTAACTTTGCATGGTGCGGTAATCTCACCCATTAGTGAATGGGATCCAATCAGCTTTACAGAATCTAACCAATCACTTGAGAGCTCCTCATTCTTGTAAGAGGTCATTGAAGATTGTGGGGTCAGGGTGTCGAGAAGCTAAGTTTGCTTTGGGTAGGGAGACATACTGAGAAGTCCCCTCTCCATCTCCCTGGAGCTCCACAATGCCCAGTCTTAGTTCTCTCTCAGCCCCTAGTGTTAACAGAGAATACTTCAGACAACACAGGCCCTGGGTTATAGGAAAATTCCACCGTCTCATTCATGTGGCCTTTCCCTTGCTATTTATCCCTCTCTGAGACCAGTGAAATGGAAGTTTCATATTTTGCCCCACCCTACTCCAAGCTTCTGAAATGGGCCAGGACAGGACTGTAATTAAGTTTGCTTGAAAGCCACACGATGTCCTCATCCCAAAATTCATCCCCTATCCTATTTTCAAGCTCACCATAGACCTATCTTAGCTGTCCCCACCTGAAAAAAGTCACATGTTAGCATAAGTTGCCCCTAAATTTGAATAATATGGACCCCTCCCATTAGTATATTTCCATAGAGAAATGAAAGTTCAAAAATTTCACGGGTAATTAAATCCCATAGTAAACACTTGGACAATATTAAGCCCACCCCAAATTCACTGTTCAATGCTTGGTTTCTTTCCTTCAGCCTTTACAAAGTCTGGTCTGTGGGATCCAGGGCCATGAACCCAGGATGTGACCCCAACTCCATGTTCTTTCCACTGCTCTTCATTATAGTGGGAAGGTGAGATTAAAAATCACTGAAAACGAGTTAAATTAGAGAATTTGAATCATTTTATTAACAATGCAAGTGTAGAAATGTGTGTGGCATGGATAGGGGATCCTTTCCTTCTTCTACCCAACAAGTGCATTCCAGCCATTCTCTGAGGAGGGAAAAATGGGTGCAGACCTCACTGTTTCCCTCTGTGAACTGTTATCTCTGTGTTGATTCTTGATGCTCAGAAGTCCATCACTCAGTGACGACCAGAGAAAAGGGGAATCTTCTTCCACCTGCACTAGAGGCTATTTGGCTGGCCTTGGCCCACCCAATGCGTACTGGATGTTATTTAGGTATTTTTTTCATTGAAGAGTCCCAAAACTGTATACAGCCAGGTTGAAGCAAATCTGACACAATGCCTGTGATCCAGTCATGTCATCCCTATGTCATCAAAGGGGGGACAATCTTACAGCTGAAGCCTGGGGAATAAGGAGGGTCCCAGATGCAAATCCCTTGATTCCCAACTCAGGCCCTCTTCACCCTGTTTCCTGCAATCCCCTGCTTTTGTCCTCAGCTTTCTGTCCACAGCACATCATCTCTTTTCTTTTAGAAAGGACACCTCTTCAATAGAAATAATAAACTTCAGTCTATAGGTCCCCTCTTCTGTCTTGCACATCTTGGAGGGCCCATCATGAGAAAAAAAATTCACTCACGGGCTTCTTGTTTTATTCAGTCTCTGCTGGTTCTGCATAAGGCAGAGGTAATGCGGGCTCATCACAGTGGCTGGAACCTACTCCTAACCCAAGATAAAGACTTCATGGGTGAAAAGAAGTGAGCTCTGGAGCCAAGGCCAAGAAGGAAAAGATGGAGACATGCTATTCCATGCTGCAACTTGTTTTAGCACAAAATTTCTGAAATAAGAGCTGAGAAAATTCATTTCTTTGATCTCCCATTAAGTGTCCACTTGATAAATTTGCATTCTTCTTAGAATATAACTGCTACTCTGTATCTCACCAAGTAATAATTCTGACCTCACTAGCTAAAAGACACTATGTGTTAAATTATAAAATTTTTGTAAAAACTAACAAAGAAAGGCATCATGCCCCTCACCTCTCCCGGATCTCTACATTTTTCTCTAAAGAGAAAAAGAGACTTAGGAGAGAAGACAAAGCTCCAGACTAGGAGAAGCTGAATACGCTTGGAAATATTTTCTGAAATGAAGTATGTCAAAATCAAGCAGATTTGGATAGTTTCACCCCTTAGTTTTTCCCATATCAATTCAAAATCTAGCCTTTGAGGCAGCCTTTGTTAGAGGGTGTCTCTATGTGAGTTCCCTCAAAGCAGACCTTGAGACAAGGACTTGCAGGTAGTTTATTTAGGAGAGGATCCAAGGAATCCCAAGTGAAGAAGTTTGCACAAAGACTAGAAAATACCATTTTTCAAAAATAAAATTTTAATTTGCATTGAAGCCTCATTCATTCCTCATTTCATTCAATTCTGTATATGGTTTGTGAACTTTGAAACTTTAATAATTTATAGCTATGCTCAAAGCAATCCTTAAGTAGCACCTAAGATGAATTTTATTTACACTTAAGCCAACTAAATTACATAATAAATTCTATGACAAACACTATGGTTCTCTTAGATAAGAAGGTAAATCATGTTCCATGGCCAGCAGAGTTAAAACTACATGTCACCTGTGCAGAGAAAATTCAATTTACTTTGAAATACAATTTTCTGATGTTAACACTATATCTAAAGTAAAAGTTTTAAGTTAAAAGTTTAAAACTACTCTGAGACTCTTTGAAGACTGTGACTTGGTGTATCACACACAAACACATACACTGTGCCCCACCCTATCACCCAAGGTCTTCCTACAAATGAATTTTAAATCAACAACAGGTGGTTACATATTCATTTAAATCCAGACCAACAGGTTTTAATGGATGTCATAGGACAATGTGATTTTATTTCTATAAAAATGTCCTGCGTTACTGTGGGGAAAAAAAATAAATTCACAAAGAAAGATGGAGCATACAATGACAATTTTTTGGTTACATCATATGTAGCTTCAAGAATGTTTCTTTGTTGGCTAGGATAAATATGAATTCACAAATAATGACACTTCTACTATCCAGTCAGAAGCTCCAGTATCTAAGTAACTGACAGTCATTTCTAAACTCTAGGTGTGGAAAAGAACTGTTTCTCAGAATATAATCAGAACCTATAAATCTCAATTAAACCTGTAACAGAAACATTGTGTTCTAGCAGCTGTTGGAGAGGCTCTTCGAGATTCCCAGGTTCCTCAACAAAATCACTAAAAAGACTATGAATTATGAATATTTGCTTACCTTTTGAATCCTTGCTAAAAGGGTAATTTTAAAAGTTTTTCAGCAGGGTATTTGGGCTTCAAAATTGAGGGACTATAAATAACATACAGTTTTTAAATGTTAAAGGAATATTCTTTCTGTAAAAAAAAAAAACAAAAAACAAAAAATGTCTTCCTAGCTTCTTACTTAAGCCATGTCCTTTATGACACTATAATCTTGAGAATTGTTGAAATGGGAAAAAGCAGAACCAATTAATTATCAGGAATTTAAGATTCAAACAGTATTGGATTCCACCAAAATCTACTCTTAAAACTAGATTTATTTCTAAGTGAAAAACAAAATTGTTCTGTTAGAGATTCAATAGCCAAAACCTCAGGCCTTTCCTTTCCACCATGATAACCAAAAGAGAATACACACAAAATAGACAGCTGACAAGAACAGGGTACACCAAGAATGTAAGGCTTTTGGTGAACTTTGTTTGATAATGCGGCTTAGACCAGAGGCTTCCCACATCTCACTTCAAATCTACAGGAAAGCCGAGGACAGCATACTCTGAGACACACTTGCTGGGGTAAAATCTATCTGCACAGTAGAATCTACTTCCAAGTACTCAACCTCTCTATAGAGGGGAAGAAGGGTTGCCTTTTGCAGAGACAGCAGCCAGAAAGAGGATCTTAGGGCTACATCCACCACCCCTCAAGCTTCTGCGCTCATTTTGACTGATCAGATAAAGAGATAAAAGGCTCAACCTTCTCTGCACCTCAGCACAGGAAACTTACTTCTAGTAAGGCATGGCCCAGCCAATGCGGTGCTTGGATCACCCACTGACCATCCCTGATCCAAGGGATTAAGAGTGGGATATGCTTTCTATGACTCTTTCAGGAGGTCAGAAGTGGAGGTAGAAGTTTCCTCCTTCGTGGACCACTGTGGAAATGTAGGGATAGAAGCAGAAGGGCTCCCTGTTTTTTCAGTTTTTTGTGGGGGAGGGGGTTTTGTTTTGTTTTATTTGCTGTTGTCCCAGGATTATTGAAAATATTACAGCATTGCAGACAGCTTCAAAGAGCTCCCCGAGGCATTTTGAAATTTATCTCAACTGTAGGTCGAGTGACCTGCAGGTTGGACAGACTGACAAAGTCCAAAAGCTCCAGCATTTCCTTAGTGTCAGGATCTACTTCAACGGTCTCCTGATCCAGGACTGAGATCTCGGGAACATAATTGTCTCTGTTTTCTCTCTCCTCCTCCTGCAGCTTGATGGAGATACCTCTCACTGGGCCCTTCCGAATCCGCTTCATCAGATGCTTGACATAGCCTACTATCTTGTTGCGGAGCTTCTTGCTGAGGATAATGGCGATCTCGCACACACATTTGTTCGTGTAGAAGTCGTTGCCTAGGCGCGTGCAGTACTTTTCTATGATGACCTGGGTGGCCTTCTTCGTGATTTTGGTACAAATGTGGCCATGTGAGTGAAGGGCTCCCTGTTAACTCTCCCCAGGTCTTTTTTCTTTAAACCTGTTGGAGCAGGGCTGGTCCACTCGGGAGAGCAAGCCTGCATTGTGTCTGAGCAGGTCTGCTCCTGCGTTCATGTGGTTGCGTGTTTTGTATCCTCCTAGGGCTAGTGTGTAAAGTGGCCTAACTGCTGCACTTGAAGGCTGTAGGGAGAATAGGAACTCAGCGAAATTGCCTTAACTTCACCCCACACCAAAGGATTAACATTTCCTCCTATACAATTTTTTTTTAATTGTGTTGACGACAAGTTGTGTTTAACCACGTCAGCAAAAAAGTATGCCATTTAAAAAAATACTCAAAAAATACATTGCGGATACACTATTCAAACACCTGAATTTGAATGTTATTTGATTATTAAATTGTGAGAAAAAGCCCTAAAGTTTGAAATCAAATTCCCCTTCCTTCTGTAAGCTAAATTTGAACTTTTTCTGACTTTGCTTTCTAATTTTGTTGGATTGGGCTCAGTCTCGTGGTGCCAGATTTTCTTCACCAGCTGTGATGTTTGGGGCCATCTCTGGAGCACTAGAATGTCTATAGACTCTTCAGCAACGACAAAGTTGAACGAACCCAACTACAGATTACTCATGCTGAGCCAAAAAACAGGAAGCATGAGCAAATCCCATGCTCCTAGAGCAGCTGTCCTAAACCAGATTTTCTGTCCCTAGTTTTGTAAATAGTACAATTTGGGGAAAGGCAGGAACATGAAGAAATGCAAAGTTATAGATATAATATTTTTTGTTTCAGGCTAACCAATATAGACATCAACAGGGCATTTGGTCCAGAGGTCATTATGAGAGAATTTAAATCCACGTGAGAAATTGCCCATTTATTGTAACATTGAGCTCCCCGCACCAATGGGGAAATCACTTGTATACACTGTCTTGCCAATAGACAGTGGCACTTAAAATACTTTCTTCTAAAATTTTGAAATGTGCCAGCTTGATACTTCTCCAGTTTTATGCAAGGCTTTGCCAGTCCTCTCTGTGTTCATCTAGTGTGTTTAAAGCCTTTTCATTATTTATTGGTGAAATGATATGACACCTGGACCTTTAACATATACCTTCATAAAATCTTATGAGATAAAGTTAAAACGGAAGTAATGACAATTTTATGGTTGCTGGGGCTACATGATGGGAACGTATGGTATTTTTCTCTCTACTTTTGTGAGTGGTTGAAATTTTTCATAATACAATTTTTTTATGTATTCTTATTTCCCTCTTGATTGTCACATTTGGGGGATCCAATTCCTCCCTGGGCTTGAATGCTGCCTAGTAATGTATCTTCCATTCCCTCTTTAAGCACATTCATGATATGCGTTCTGTGAAATCCCACCCTCTTTACCTTCTCTATTGCTCCATGTTGAGTAGAATTCCAAGAGGGTTTTAGCCTTGCACTGCAGCAGCTTTGGTCCTGGAGTTCTTTTCATCTGGGAACTCTGTTTTATGGATAAAGTTCTCTCCCATTACCCTAGTGGCCTCATTTGGAGGATTACCCTCAGCAAAGCCCTAACTAAAGCCACTGCAGATATTTCTAAGTAGGAATCATTATGCTCTTTTTCTGTTTATCTTTTTTATTTCATTGTTTTCTCTACCCATATATTTTTCTATATTATCATTTACATAATTCAAACTTTTTTTATTTCAATAGTTTGAGATACAGGTGATTTTGGTTACATGGATAAGTTCTTTAGTCCATTATATCATCTTTACGCCTTTACGTCCTCATAGCTTAGCTCCCACTTACAAGTGAGAATATATAATATTTGGTTTTCCATTCCTGAGTTACTTCACTTAAAATAATGGCCTCCAGCTCCATCTGAGTTGCTGCAAAAGACATTATTTCATTTTGCTTTATGGCTGAGAAGTATTCCATGGTGTATATATATTACATTTTCTTTATCCATTTGTTGGTTGATGGGCACTCAGTTTGGTTCCACATCTTTGCAATTGAGAATTGTGCTGCTATAAACATGCATGTGCATGTATCTTTTTTGTACGATGACTTCTTTTCCATTGGGTAGACACCCAGTAGTGGGATTGCTGGATCGAATGGTAGAGCTTCTTTTAATTCTTTAAGGAATCTTCACACTGTTTTCAATAGTGGTTGTACTAATTTACACTAATACAATGTAAATTATACCAGCAGTATAAAAGTGTTCCCTTTTCACCACAACCATACCAACATCTATTGTTTTTTGACTTTTTAATAATGGCTATTCTTGCAGGAATCAGGTGGTATCTCATTGTGATTTTAATTTACATTTCCCTGAGGGTTAGTACTGTTGAGCATTTTTGTATATATTTGTTAGCTGTTTGTATGTCTTCTTTTGAGAAATGTCTATTTATATCCTTTGCTCACTTCTTGATGGGATTATTTGTTTTATTCCTTGCTAATTTGTTTGAGTTCTTTGTAGATTCTGGATACTAGTCCTTTTTTGGATGCCTAGTTTGCAAATATTTTCTCTCACACTGTGGGCTGTCTGTTTGCTCTGTCGGTTATTTCTTTTGCTGTGTAGAAGCTTGTTAGTTTAATTAGGTCACAGTTATTTATTTTTGTTTTTGTTGCATTTGCTTTTGGGGTTTTAGTCATAAATTGTTTGTCCAAGCCAATGTCCAGAAAAGTTTTTCCAATGTTTCCAGAATTTGTATGATTTCAGGTCTTAGATTTGTCTTTGATCTAGCTTGAATTGATTTTTGCATAAGATGAAAGATGGGGATCCAGTTTCATCCTTCCATATGTGGCTTGCCAGTTTTCCCAGCACCATTCATTGAATAGGATGTCCTTTTCCGAATTTATGTTTGTGTATGCTTTGTCAAAGATCAGTTGGCTGCACATTTTTGGCTTTATTTCTGGGTTCTGTATTCTGTTCTATTGGTCTATGTGACTATTTTTATACTAGTACCATGGTGTTTTAGTAACTATAGCCTTGTAGTATAGCTTGAAGACGGGTAATGTGATGCTTCCAGATTTGTTCTTTTTGCTTTGTATAGCTTTGGCTATGTGGCTCTTTTTTGGTTCCATGTGAATTTTAGGATTATTTTTTCTAGGTCTGTGAAGAATTATGACAAAAACAAAAATAAATAAATGTGACAGTATTTTGATGGGAATTGCATTGAATCTGTAGATTGCCTTAGGAAATACGATCATTTTCACCATATTGATTCTTCCCATCTATGCGTAGGGGATGTGTTTCCATTTGTTTGTGTCATCTATGATTTCTTTCAGCAGTGTTTTGTGGTTTTCCTTGTAGAGATCTTTCACCTACTCGATTAAGTATATTCCTAAATATTTTATTTTTTTGCAGCCATTGTAAAAGGGATTGAGTTCTTGATTTGATTCTCAGCTTGGTCATTGTTGGTGTATGGCAGTGCTACTGATTTGTGTGCACTAATTTTGTATCCTGAAACTTTATCGAATTCGTTTATCAGATCTAGGAGCCTTTTGGGTGAGTCTTTAGGGTTTTCTAGGTATATGGTCATATCATCGGTGAACAGTGACAGTTTGACTTCCTCTTTTCCAATTTGGATGCCCTTTATTTTCTCTTGTCTGATTGTTCTGGCTAGGACTTTCAGTACTGTGTTGAATAGAAGTGGTAAAAGTGGAAATCCTTGTCTTATTCCAGTTCTCAGGGGGAATGCTTTCAGCATTCCCCTTTCAGTATGATATTGGCTGTGGATTTGTCATATATGGCTTTTATTATTACTTTGAGGTAAGTCTCTTCTATGCCTATTTTGCTTAGGGTTTTTATCATAAAGCAATGCTGAATTTTATCAAGTGCTTTTTCTGTGTCTATTGAGATAATCATATGGTTTTTGTTTTCAATTCTCTTTATGTGATGTATGACATTTATTGATTTGTGTATGTTAAACCATCCCTGCATTCCTAGGATGAAACCCACTTGATCATGGTGTATTATCATTTTGATGTGCTGTTGGATGTGGTTAACTAGTATTCTGTTGAGGATTTTTGCATCTATGTTCATCAGTGATATTGATCTATAGTTTTTTTTTTTTTTTTTTTTTTTTTGAGACAGAGTCTTGCTCTGTCACCCAGGCTGGATTGCAGTGGTGTGACCTTGGCTCACTGCAATCTCTGCCTCTTGGGTTCAAGTGATTCTCCTGGCTCAGCCTTCCAATTAGCTGGGTGACAGGCACCCACCACCACACCTGGCTAATTTTTATATTTTTAGTAGAGACAGGGTTTCACCATGTTGTCCAGGCTGGTCTTGAACTTCTGACCTCAGGTGATCCACCTGCCCCAGCCTTCAAAAGTGCTGAGATTATAGGCATGAGCCACCGTATCTGGCTGGTCTGCAGTTTTCTTTTTTTTTTTTTTTTGTTATGTCATTTATTGGTTTTGGTATTAGGGTGATATTGGCTTCATAGAATAATTTAGAGAGAATATACTCTTTCTCTATTTTCTGGAATAGTTTCAGTAGGACTGATACCAATTCTTCATTGAATGTCTGGTAGAAATCAGCTGTGAATCCATCTGGTCCTGAACATTTTTGTTGACAATTTTTTAAATTACTGATTTAGTCTTGCTGCTTGTTATTGGTCTGTTCAGGGTTTCTATTTCTTTCTGAAAATCTAGGAGAGTTGTATATTTCCAGGAATTTATCCATTTCATTTAGATTTTCTAGTTTCTGTGCATAAAGGTGTTTATAGTAGCCTTGAATTATTATATTGTTTGTATTTCTGTGGTATTGGTTGTAACATCTTCAGTTTCATTTCTAATTGAGCTTGTTTGGACCTTCCATTATGCTTTCTTTCATGTGCTTTTCCCCAAAACTTTTCCTTTTCCTGACTTTTGAATTTCCAAGCCTTGAGAACCTTTTTCTCACATCATCAGCAGTAGAACTATTCTCTCAGCTACATGTTTTCCTGTGGCAATGGAATATGCCCTAATGTTCCATTTCCTTCTGCTCTTCCACAGATTCTGCAGGATCAGCAGAGCCTTGCTTTCTTCCTCCCCCTCCTGTGTAGCAATGATTGCTGGACCAGAATTCCTCTCCTCTTTTTTCTTTAGAACCAGACAGTTTTCCTGGAGTCTCCCATATGAAATCATTGAGTTCTGAGTCAGTCAATTGCATTAATTGTTCAAATACATCCAGTCACCATCACCAACCCAAGTTGGAAAATTCTATCTATAAGCTACCCTCCATCAGCCCAACAGCTAACCCTGGCCTGGAATTGATCTCCTTTGCACCCACTGTGCTACCCTTTACTGAGCTTCATCTTCCCTAAACCTTTGCACAGAGTCCTAACTCTATGTGTTTCCTGGAAATCTTCCCCCAAACCATGGCCATAGAAGTTTTGCCACCTGAAATGACTGTGTCACCTTCAAACTCATCTAAGGATGTTTAATATATTCTCTGCTAATCTTCTCAGCCCTTCTATAACAAATGTCCAATGTTTCTGAAATCACCCCATGCAGTTTTTCCAAGAAGTTTTCCAACTGTTCTCTTATTCTTGCAACTCTAAGAGGACACCTCTCAGAATGCTAGAAAACAAATGACAAAATTTCCTCAACAAATAAATTAGAAAAAGAAAAGGGGGAGCTGGAGGCAGTTAATAAATAAAAAGAAGTTTAAGGGACATATCAACCAAATACAATGTGGGAGCTTTCTTTCTGATCTTGATTCAAACAAACCATATATTTATATGGTATTTATAAACAATGCTGAAATTACAGTTGGGTGGTGAGCACACTAAAAGCTCAGACTCTACCACTGCATAATAGATGAATATAAGAAATCTGCACTTGTACCCCCAAATCTACAAAAATTAAAAAGAGAATATGTTATTTTTAAAATGGTGAAATTAGAAAACTAGCTAGATATATAATATGAAGAGATATTATTAATATTTTAGATGTAAAATATTGTGGTTAAACTTTTAAAAATTCTTATTTCTTTGAGATAATATAGATGAAATTATATAATGCCTAGGATTAATTGTAAAATACTCCAGCAGGTGCTGGGATTTGGAGGAGGAGTGGGGAGGTACACAGGAAATGAGAATAACCATATGTTGATAACTGCTGGAGTGGAGAGATGGGCACTTGGAGAGTCATTATATTCTCTCTTCTTTTGTGCATGTTTGGAAATTTCCATAATAAAAAAGTTTTTGAAAAATAAGAAGAATAAAATAAAAGACAAACACCCCCTCTCAATAGTTTCCTCTCTCTCTGAGCTCTCACTGGAGGAATTAACCTAGTGAGCTCTCATGATCTTGCCTTCTTTATTTGATTTTCATAAGCCCCCCTGCCCTAACACTCCTTAAAAAGATAACAGCTAAAATATTTCTCATTTTTTAGTCGCATCTTTTTTTTTAATTTAATCTGTCTCTAGAGGAGAAAGCTGTTTATCCACCCCATCTTATTTCTTAATGTGTATGCTTTTATTTTGCTTTCATTTTTTCTCATTGCTGTTCTGATTGCAAGACCAAATCTTTTTTTCAGAATTTTCTTTCCCTGATATGTCACTATGCAAACCAAATTCTTAATGACAGGGAGTTTCCAATGGAAAATCTTAAATGGTCCCTCTAAACCTTTGTTCCATAATGAGAGTGGGTTGGTTTGCTTCTGCTTAAAAATTGTGTCATATGCCCTATACGAGAAAATCTGTATTGTTGTTTATCTATTCCCTTACCCTTCTGCGGTTGAAGCTTCAGTAGGGGTCTCTAAAATTCGCACCCATGAGCAGACTTTACAACATACACAGTTTAGAACCAATTTAAGACTTGGTGATAGAAGCAGAGTATTTCCAGGACCCTATGTAGGAGCCTCCCAAGCCCAAGATACTATTTAGATCTTGATGTCATTTACAGAATGATAAAGAAGTCTGAATTTTGGATTAACTAATCTGGAGATGCTGCTTCAGCCTGACCCTGACAACCTGAAGGTCAGCATGAACACAGAGTATTCCGTGCCCCATGGGAAACTCAATTCCCTTTGCGGGTCTGGCTGAGAAGCACTGTATGGGGAAAAAGACACTATGGAAGTAATAATTATTCTTTTCACAAAACCCTAAAAAAGCTTTATGTAGTGAAGTCCATCTGTTTTGAGGTGGCACTTAACTGGAGTCTTTCTGCGCTCTGATGTACCAGCTGTGTCTATGTTACAAGCCACCGTGAGCCGCCCCAGCCCAAGCTGGCCTATATCAAGATCCTCATTCTCCCTGGGTTGCCCTTTGCTGCCCAAGTGTCCATCTTATGATTTCCCAGCCTGCATTTTAGAGATCTAGCAGCTCTAAAATTCTCTCCCACTTCTTTCCAAGATGTTGACTGATGAAGTAAACACCCGAAGGACAGATAGCCAACTGCGTCAATGGCTTAGTGGCGCTTCTGCTAAAGAATGGAGAATGCCGCTTAGACACAAAGTTTTTTAGA
Source organism: Homo sapiens (assembly GCF_000001405.40). NCBI lineage: Eukaryota > Metazoa > Chordata > Mammalia > Primates > Hominidae > Homo > Homo sapiens. Next base: position 143,863,581 of record NC_000003.12, read on the forward strand.
TCCAGAATCTGCACATTCACACTGGGTGTATATCCAAGCCCGCATATAAGACTCTGAGTCCACTCATCCAGCTGGTTACACAGACTTACTGTACTCTGTCTTCAGCAGGGATTTCTGACTATGGAAGAACATTGTCCAGGTGGATTTACTTCATGATGACAAAAGTGGAGACAAGCCTGTTCGTACCTAAAAGCTCAGGGAGTCAAAGAAAAAGAAAAAGATGGCACCTTCCACTGTTATGAGCATAGTCCTCTAGTGTACACCATGGCCCAAAAGTAGCACACTCTGTTCAGAGGGGATGGGAGAGAGGCACAAGCTTCCTCGCCAGGACTATTCCAGGAGGACAGAAGTGTTGGTGAATGTGTCCTTCTCTCTGGGCCAAGCTGGGATCATGTGAAGAAGAGAAAACATTTTTCTCTACAACTCTTAAGTTGGAGGTTTCAAAATTGGAGATACTACATTGAAAAGTTTAGAACTTCAACCAGGTCATCTTATTATAGAAAGTTATAAATTTCAGAAGTTTTTCCTTCAAAACGCCATATAACTCTTTGATTTTACTATGGATATAGTAGATCACTTTGTATATTAATGCTTCTAATAATTTTTTCTGAACTCTAAAAACTTTATCCTTGAAATACAGTTTTATATTTAAACACATCTGCAATAATAGTATTTACACATAGCAGAAAACACTATTGTTTTTCAAACATTGTTCTTCTCAAAGTGAGGTCTCTGGATCGGCAACATCAGCCTCACCTGGAAACCTGTTAAAATGCAGATTCTTTCACCCCAGACCCACTGTATCAGAAGCTCTAGTGGTGTAGAGACTAGAAATCTGTGTTTAACAAGTCCTCTGGATGATCCTGATGCTCATTAAAGTTTGAGGACTGCTTGCCTAAGAGATGACTAGATAGATGTCTCAATCGATACAGCAATAAATAACTCATGTCATAAAGTAAATGGAGCCAATACACAAACAAAAAAGTACTAAAGGCTGGTTTAAAAATAAATAGTGTTAAAAGATAAACTTTAGTACATTAAACTTAAATAATTTATTTGAGCTGATGGGAAATCATCAATTGGGCAGCACCAAACAGAGCGGTTTAGGCTCCACCAAAGTGGCTTAAGGTGAAAGCTTTTTTCCTTTTTTCTTTTTTTTTTTTTTTTTGAGATGGAGTCTCACTCTGTCACCCAGGTTGGAGAGCAGTTTTGCGATCTTGGCTCGCTGCAACTTCTGCCTCCTGGGTTCAAGTGATTCTCCTGTCTCAGCCTCCAGAGTAGCTGGGATTACAGGCACATGCCATCATGCCTGGCTAATTTTTTGTATTTTTAGTAGAGATGGTATTTCACCATGTTAGCCAGGATGGCGTCGATCTTCTGACCTCATGATCCGCCCATCTCGGCCTCCCAAAGTGCTGGGATTACAGGCGTGAGCCACCACGCCCAGCCAAGGTGAAAGCTTTTATAAGGTGTTCCCATAAGGAAGACAATGAAAATGTTTGGTTAATGTGCAAAGTCCCTAGTTAGAGGTTAGTTGGCAGTTTCTGATTGGTTAAGCTTAAGTTTCATTTTATTGTTTACATTGAGTTCCTTTCAGGTTGTTTATGTAGGAACCCAAGGCACTGAAGTTGTCTCAGCCTAATGGATTCCCAATTTTTTTTTAACAATAGTAAAATAACTGGTACATAATGTCACATGCAAATAACTACTATACATACCAAAATCTCAAGATGACAATTAATTAACTCAGTGATCAATTAATCAGATTCCAGTGTATTCTTCTTTAAGAAAGAGTTGTGTGTAGCCAGTGCCATATTTTTTCTGTTTTCTTTCTTTTCCTTTCCTTTTTTTTTTTTTTTTCCATGCAGAAAGACAGTAAACATCCTGCTCACTCTTACAGGCATTGCATCACTTCTATTCCCAAGGGTTCAGCATCAACCTGTCTCTGCAGTATCCAACAAGACTGGCCTCTTCTCTCCTCCTTCATAGTTTATCCGATTTCTCCCTCCCCTTCATATCCTCCTCAAAGGGCATCACTGTTTTGAAATAATATTGATTGTGGTTCTGCCCACAGTGCCACTAAAAGCTTTGATGCAAAGACACAAAGATGATTATTATCCAGACATTTAGAATAACAAATAGCATTTTTAATCCTCTATCTTTTCTTTTCTCCTATCTCTTTTATTCTCAGAAGCTCCTCTAAGATACATTTCTTTCTTCCTTCCTGTATCCAGTTCTAGCACAGCAATCTGATCCCAGGTCCCTACTGAAGTCTTTCGAATCCTGTGCTTATCCCATTCTCATCTTTCTTCCCTGTATTTTATCTTATTTTCTTCCTGATTTTATTTTCTGCTTCCCTTCCCCTAGATTTTTTTTCTCACTCCTCTGTACACTCCATCAGATCCTTTTCTTTTCCATGATGCTTTCTCTTCTTCACCCTTCTTTCAACTTATTTCCTCTTTCAACTCAGTTTCAGTCAACAGAGGCTGAGTGGATCTGCAGTTGAGCCACCTGGAAGGCAAATGCACACATTAAGGAGGTCTTGGGACATGGAGGACGCTTGGCACCCTAAGGGTGAAAGACCCAAACTTTCACTGGCTACTCCTGGCAATACAATATTTAGAAGCCAGGATTGGTCTGACATTTATGTTCTGTGCATGTTTCTTCAGGAGTTTGCCCAGTTTGACTCTGCTAGTTTCAAGTTCTCGGTTTCTCTGGCCTCATTTTCCGCCTGCCTCACCCCCACAGCCCTCATGGAATATCTGCTATATGGAACAGGCAAGATTGTAAACCCCGTTGCAATTGTAACCTTCACTCTCTTGTTCTTACCAGTATAACAACAGAGCAGAAGAGATAATAAATAAAATAGGTGTATACAACAACCTTTAAATCCCCAGGTGACAGAGGTTTAAACATCTCACAAAATTCTCATTCTCCCAAGGTGTGCACTGTTCCCATATACTTATCGGCTCCAGCTAGAAATCCAGAGGGCAGGTCAGAATTCTACTTTTCCAGTTTTCTGGAAAGCACATTTCAGGGCAGCTGTCTGCTCCTTGTGACAAATAAGAATTTCTCAAAAATTTCTTCCCCCTTTACGGTGGATTTCTGTTCAGGAACACCCTTGTTTTTTGCTAAGCACCACCCTCTTTAGCTCTCAAATTCAGTTGTGCCCCCTTTAATATCCAGTGACCATTGTTGCCCTTAATATCAGACCAGACCCAAGCATGCTCTTGGTTATTTCTTAAGGGTCTTCCCGTAGTATTTTACAAAATGTACTTGAAATAGGCCCGCCAGGCACTTGCTAACAAGTCAAGAGAAAAGAGCTAAGCAATAATCATTTAAATCCCAGCAGAAGCTGGTGGAGCAGTACTATCCTGAAAGTCAAATCCCCTTTACTGCCACTCCAATCAGGTTAGATGTTCAGACGGCTTTTATAGTATTTACCTCATGTGCCATCTCTTAGTTGTGTCCAGTGTTTTACGGCTTTTTCAGACCATAATAATGACTAACATTGTTGGTGTTGCACTCCATTCAATTTGCCCAACCACCCAATTTAGTGGGCATTATTATCGTGCCCATTTACTACATAAGGAAACTAGACGTAGAGAGAGGAGGTAATTGGTTAAGGAACCATGGGTAGGAAGTAGTAGAGCTGGCATAGGAAATCTTTATATTGGCCTTTTCTGGATTTGAAAATAAAAATAGTAATAATATAGTCTAATTAAGAGATTTTTGTATTTCTGTTTCAGCTGCTTTTTCTTTTTTCTCTCATTGATTTCATATCATGTAAATCTTATTCAGAATTTAGATAAAAGGCTTGGAAATGTATAAATTTTTAAAAAATAACATCATTAATTAAAGGCCAAATTTCTGTTTCATCAAGTACATGATCAAAATTGAGAGAACATTTTCCTGGGTTGAAGGTGAAGGAAGATTCTGAGCACCACACTTCTAAATAAAGTTTTGGTTATAAATAAATCTTTGCTTCCTTTTTAAAGAGTGATCATGAACCTACTTCCTGTTTAGGTAGGTAGATATTTCCCTCTTTCTCATTCTCTCCTTTTTTTTTTTTGAGATGCAGTCTCGCTCTGTCTCCCAGTGTGGAGTGCAGTGACGCGATCTCGGCTCACTGCAATCTCCACCTCCCGAGTTCAAGTGATTCTTCTTCCTCAGCCTCCCAAGTAGCTGGGATTACAGAAATGCCCAAGCATGCCTGGCTAATTTTTGTATTTTTAGTAGAGATGGGGTTTCACCATGTTGGCCAGGCTGGTCTTGAACTCCCGACCTCGCGATCCTCCTGCCTCGGCCTCCCAAAGTGCTGGGATTACAGGCATGAGCTATCGTGCCTGGCCTGGTATTTCTCTTTACTTTTGCTTCTGTTTCAGACCTACTCTTTTACTGCTTATTACCAGATACATCCGTAAAATAAGAGTTAATCTGACATGATTTATTTTATGCCAGGATTGGGTGAGATTCTTGGTGTACAAATAGACAAGTTCACTAATGATAGAATATATTCTTTCCTTGTCCACTTCTAATGTTGGGCATAAAGGCATTTTGTTCACATAAGGAATCCTATATGGTTAGCTTGACTTTATTTTGAATATACATGTAAGGTAAAATTTTAAAAAAATTCTTAGAGCTTCTGTGGGCTGTGTCATGCCCTGCATATCAAATTTACATGAGAAAGCCAATTACACACTGGACTGTTCAATTCTTTGATTTTTAGTTCTGAGTCTGCCACAGGCATATGGTGTCTCAAAGAGAGTTTTTGAAAAACCTTGTTTTCACTTCTTCCCTTGTAAAATGAGATTTTACATTCTTCTAGGGAAATTCTGAGGATTAAGTATCAAATGATGGCAAGGCACTTTGAAAGTACTAAATGGGGTTATTAATAATTTAAGAAAGAAGCAAGCCTTCATCTGAGTTGTTGAAAGGAATATGTGGCATATTTATTTCAACCATTTATCATTTCATTGAAACTTCCTCTACCTTAAGCTTGAACGACTAAGAAAAACATCTGATTCCTTTTAAAACAGAACTTTAAAACGAGTTCTCTTTTTATAGTATTCAAAGTACTTTCATGCCAGTTATCTTGTTGGGTTCCTACAAAAATTCTGGGAGATATAAATAACATATTTTGTGGGAATGAGGCTGCAAGAAATAGAATACCTTACAAACACTTGCTTAAACAAACAGGGGTTTATTATTCTCACTTAAAGAAGAGTCCGGGGCAGAGTCTCAGGGGTGTCATCAAAGATCCAGTCTCCTATCTCTTCCCTCTCCTTTTTTTTTTTTTTTTTTTTTTTTTTGAGATGGAGTCTCGCTCTGTTGCCCAGGCTGGAGTGCAGTGGTGTGATCTCGGCTTACTGCAAGCTCCACCTCCCGGGTTCACGCCATTCTCCTGCCTCAGCCTCCCCCAAGTAGCTGGGACTACAGGCGCCCGCCACCATGCCCAGCTAATTTTTTATATTTTTAATAGAGACGGGGTTTCACCGTGTTAAACAGGATGGTCTCAATCTCCCGACCTCGTGATCCGCCCACCTGGGCCTCCCAAAGTGCTGGGATTACAGGCGTGAGGCACCGCGCCCGGCTTCGCTTCCCTCTGCTTTCTTTAGTGAATGGGCATGTTATCTCATGTTATCAAAATGGCTTCTAGAGCTCCAGATATCATATTTATTTTCAAGGTAGGAGGAATGGAAGGAGAGAAACTCCACTAACCACATCTATTCCTTTATAAGGAAAACAAAACTTTTTCCAGAAGTTACCTCAAGCAGAATTCCTCTAAAACTGGATCATATGACCAAGGCAAAAGAACTGAGGGCAGTGAGTGTATGGCCTTCTAGGCTCTGTGGAGGAAGGTGGCAAGAAAAAACATGGTTGTTGAACAGCTTTGGAGAAGCCCAGTGCTACTGCTGATGATGGATGAGAGGCACTAAAAAGTCAGTTTTTCAAGGTGCATAGCAGAGGACATTAAACCGGATCTGAATCTCTTTGATCAAGCAGAAATATCAAACAGTAACTCATAAAATCTACTGATATTTTTAAGGAGTGACCATACTGAGGGCTAGTCTGGGTGCTCTTACCAGATGACTCCATTGCACCCCCATAACAATGCTACAGCAAAAGAGTGGCTTTCCCCCTTACAGACATGATAAGCCCTGTTTGCTATTGCTTTTAAGGAAACATTCTTTATCAGCATTCTAACACCTCAGCTTGCTCCTTCCATTCTTATTCTACTGCACTATATAAAGAGAAGCTCTGGAAGTTCACACTGAATAAATTGGAAAAACGAGTCACTTGACAAAGGACTGCCATGAGGAAGACAACTTTTGTGACTCCCTGTTTGAATCAGACAGAATTTGGGTACAAAAAAAAATTAAAAAGAGCTGAAAGGATGGAATTCAGGGAATTGGGTGCTTAGGCAATTGCTGGAGGGGCTGGATGCGTGGAGTCCAGAAATGATTCCCAGTCACCATCAGAGAACAGGTCTGCCAAGGAAGCTGCTACCTTTGACATATTCACACGTGTAGGATTTCAGGAGATACATTTTTGGTTGGTTGACATCAAAACGACTATTAATGCTTATGATCCAGGGATCAGGGAGCTGCAGCCACTGCCTTCACACCCCATCACAGCTGCCTCTTCAACACACAAAAAATTAGTGAACTGGGCTTCTGCTCTAGAAAAACTCAAAGTCCTGACAATCATGTTTGCCAGTAGGAAGAGTCAAAACAACAGGAAAATGGCCCCACCACACATCTACCTTAAATACTCTGTATAAATGCATCTGATTGGAAAACCAACTGTGTATTCAGAACACTAGCTTCATGGGAGTTTGAGCAAGCTAGGTTTTATTTAGTTCACCAGCCTTTGCAGGATTCTAGGCACACTTGCAGGAGGTTGGAAGTGATGCTGAGTGCATCTACAATTTACATAACATTTCTGTCTCTTTCAAATATGGACAGAAACAGGAACCAAAGTGTTAGCAATAGAAAGGAGTTCTCCATTAGCATATAGCTTTTGGCGGACTTGCTTGCAATGTCTGAATTTACCTTGGCTATAAATTCTAGGGGCAAAAGCTAAATTTAGAATAAATCTCACAGGATATCAGATCTGGTGTTTGGTATACAAAAATAACAGTCATTGTTCTCTGAAGACTTCTTGTGTGCCAGACACTAATATTAGTGTTTTGAATGTAATTTATTAAAACTCACAATAACCCTATATGACAGGAACTGTTATTAGAGCCAATGTTCAGACGAGGAAATTGAGGCACAGAACTATAATTTGCTCAACATCATGAAGATACCAGTGGTGGAGCCACATTTAACAGTCTGGCTCCAAAGTCCAGGCTCCTAACACTTACAGCATATTGCTTCTCCACAAAATCAGTTCAAACATAAAGCCACTGGACGAATTTGCCCTTCACAATTTTTCTTTCAGTTTACTATTAATGTCCTTGGTAGTGTCATAATTAATGGAACTTGATGACTTTTATAGGAATAATCTGATATGATACTGTTATAAAAATTTTGTTCAACTAATTCTATTTGACACTAATTTCTAAATATTCAGATTAAAAAATAAAATTAAAGCTGCATTTTGCTTGACAATCTCCTTGAGATTTAAATTTACACCAAAAGCAATTTATTATTTTGGTAAAAGTTCCTTCAAAGTTAAAAGTGGAGACTAATCGTTTTATAATTTCCCCTTCCCACAAAATAGCACCAATTCTCAGGGGGAGCTCCCGGGGGCCAAGGGAGAAGGATTGGAAAGAAACAGATGGAGGGAGAGCAAGTCCTGCAAATGACAAACTGAAGATTCTAGCTGGGCCCAGCTGCATCCCTGCCTCTACTTTATTTCAGCAAGGCATCCCTGGGATCTTCTCAAAACATCCAAAATTTTTTCTTTGGTCTAGTTATTTGTCACTGTATAAGAACGAACCGTCATAAAACATAGTGGCTTAAAACAACATATCATTTATTTTGTTTATAAATCTGTAGTTTGGGCAGAGCTAGGAAAGGATGGATCATTTCTGCTCTGGTCAGCACCAGCTGAGTGGCCTGAAAGTTATGTGTGTGAAGGCTGGTTCATTCCCAAGTCTGGTGGTTGATGCTAGCTGTCGGCTGGGGCCTAAGCTGGGGTGGTGCAGGAGCACCTACCCCAAATCTTTCAGTGAGGCTGCATGGCTTCCTCACAACATGGTAGCTGAGTTCCAAGGACAAGAAGTTTGAGGGCAGGTGAGAGGAAGACAGTTGGGGCAGCTATGTTACTTGTAATGACTTTACCCTTGAAATTCAAATAGTCACTTCCACACGGTCCCAAGCCTAGCCAGATTTAAGGGGAGTGTCAGTGTCACCTTGTAAGAAGAACATGTGGGATGTGATATATTGATATAGTTATCTTTGGAAAATTTGATCTGCCATACTCTGTTTAAGGAGATACAAATTGTGTTTCCTAAAAATGAAAATGTCTGCTCCCAGATTCAAGGGGAGTGTCAGTGTCACCTTGTAAGAAGAGCATGTGGGATGTGATATATTGATATAGTTATCTTTGGAAAATTTGATCTGCCATACTCTGTTTAAGGAGATACAAATTGTGTTTCCTAAAAATGAAAATGTCTGCTCCTTACAAACAAGAGTGTTTTTAAGTTTTTAAATGGATAATACATTTGTAGTTCAAAATTCAAACATATACATAAGTGTGTGCATATGTGTGTGTGTGTGTGTGTGTGTGTGTAGATAGATAGAAATATAATGGAAAGTTTCACTCCCTCCTTATCCCCAGTTCTTCAGTTCCCCTCTGTGAGAGAGGCATATACTATCAGTTTCTTGCGTGTCCTTCCAGAGGTAGTTTTTGCTTCAATAAGCAAATACTGTGCATATACATAGACCTCTCCTCTATCCATTCTATGTAAATGGTATCCTTCCCTTTGGTATTTTATTTTTCACTTACAATTAGAAATCATCATATCTATCTATCATCTATCCATCTCTTCAGTCTTTTTAAGGCTGCTACATATTCCCCATATGGTACATATGGGGATGTACCATAATTTAGTAACTTATCAATAAACATTTAAGGCTGTTTCCAATAAAGTGCTATAACAAACAATACTGCAGTAAATAATGTTCCACATCTGCCACTTGGCACGTGTGTGAATATATTTATAGGATAAATTTCCTGGAAGCGTAACTTATAGGTCAACAACTATATGCATGGGCAATTTTGTTCAATTTTTCCAAATCTCAGCATTAATTTTGATAGTGTCTGTTTTGCAACATGTTCCCTAGCACAATGGGTTATCAGACTTTTTGATCTTTGTCAGTGTGCTGGGTGAAAAAAAAATGGTTTACCGAGGTAATGTGCATTTCTCTTATGAATGGTGCTGAGCATCTGTGTTGAGACCTTTATATTTCATTTTTTTTGAAATGTCTGCTCATATTCTTTGCCCTTTAAAGAGTTATTTGACTAGCAAGGACTTCATTTTTTATCATTATTAACAATATCATTATTATTTTGCTTTTTTGCAATGAACAGGTTCTGGCCCACTATCAGACATTTGCAACCACTGCTCTATGCATCTCTCAGTGCAGAAGTCAGAAGGAAGGACAGAGAAAGGACCTACGATGGGAATGACTTTACAACAATGGACATCAGAGTAGAAGAAATATCTTTGAGAGAGTTTTTTTAAAAAACGTATTTCATGATTCAATTGTTAAAATGCTTAAAATGCCTCTGAGTGAGCCATTCACTCAGAGTGGCATAGGGAAAGTGGTTCTTTATTTTTAGTAACTTCAATAAAGTAGATATCAAATACATGCCATATATTCAAAGGAGAAAGAAGACTATTAAATGCTAACTTAGATGAACTTTTGTAGGGACCAAATAATTTAATTTTAATTAAATTATTAAATTTAAATGGGGCTTAGCAGGTGTTCTCCCTGTGTGCGGACATGAGAGATTGTAATAAATAAAGACACAAGACAAAGAGATAAAGAGAAAACAGCTGGGCCCGGGGGACCACTACCACCAAGACATGGAGACTGGTAGTGGCCCCGAATGTCTGGGTGCACTGATATTTATTGTATACAAGACAATGGGGGCAGGGTAAGGAGGGTGAATCTTCTAAGTGATTGATAAGGTGAAGCAAGTCACGTGATCATAGGACGGGGGGCCCTTCCATTTTAGGTAGCCGAAGCAGAGAGAGAAGGCAGCATATGTCAGCATATTATGTGCTTATAAGAAAGATTAAAGACTTTAAGACTTTCACTTTTTTTTTTACCATTATCTACTATGAACTTCAAAGAGGAACCAGGAGTACAGGAGGAACATGAAAGTGGACAAGGAGCATGACCATTGAAGCACAGCACCACAGGGAGGGGTGTAGGCCTCCAGATGACTGCAGGCAGGCCTGGATAATATCCAGTCTTCCACAAGAAGTTGGTGGAGTAGAGTGTTTCCTGACTCCTCCAAGGAAAGGAGACTCCCTTTTGTGGTCTGCTAAGTAATGGGTGTCTTCCCAGACACTGGCATTACCGCTTGACCAAGGAGCCCTCAAGCTGCCCTTGTGCGGGTGTGACAGAGGGCTCACCTCTTGCCTTCTATGTCACTTCTCACAATGTCCCTTCAGTACCTGACCTTATACCTGCTGATTGTTCCTAGGTTATATTAGTAGTGCAACAAAGAGTATTATTAAAAGTTAATGATTAATAGTGTTTATAATAATGACTGATAATTGTCCATGATCATCTCTATATCTAATTCGCATTATGACTATTTTTATTTTAACTATTTTCTTTATTATATTGAAACAGTTTGTGCCTTCAGTCTTTTGCCTCAGCACCTAGGTAATCTTTCGCCCACACACTTCCAAACTCTAGAACTTTGTATCTCGGAAAAATGAGATTTCTTGAGGGGTTGTTCCTCCCCTTAGTTGAGGCTTTCCAGGTAAGGCAGAAATGGATCGTGGATTGTCTGTTGATACAGAGGCATGGATTTTCTGTTGACTCAACTTTTAGGCAAAATTGTTTTGATTAAAATTATAAGGGTAACAATACCTGACTGAAAATGATTCTTCTGGTTATTTTTTTCTATTGTAAACACCATCTGTGGGTTTTTGTTTGTTTGCTTGTTCATTTTTATTCACCTTAGAATGTTCCCAAGCTAAAAATATGTTACTTAACTATAGAATAGGGCCAGGCACAGTGGCTCATGCCTGTAATTGTAATCCCAACACTTTGGGAGGCTGAGGGGGCGGATCACTTGAGTCCAGGAGTTCAAGACCAGCCTGGCCAACATGATGAAACCCCGTCTCTACTAAAAATATAAAGAAATTAGGTAGGCTGAGCACAGTGAATCATGCTTGTAATCCCAGCATTTTGGGAGACCAAGGTGGGTGGATCACCTGAGGTCAGGAGTTCGAGACCAGCCTGGCAAACATATAGTGAAACCCCATCTCTACTAAAAATACAAAAAATTATCCAGGCATGGTGGCGGGTGCCTGTAGTCCCAGCTACTCAGGAGGCTGAGGCAGGAGAATCGCTTGAACCCAGGAGGCAGAGGTTGCAGTGAGCCTAGATCATGCCACTGCACTCCAGCCTGGGCAACAGAACGAGATTCCGTCTCAACAACAACAACAATAAAAATTACCTGGGCATGGTGGCATAAGCCTGTAGTTCCAGCTACTCGGGAGGTTGAGGCACAAGAATCATTTGAACCCAGGAGGCGGAGGCTGCAGTGAGCCGAGATTGAGCCACTGCACTCCAGCCTGGGTGACAGAGCAGGATTCTGTCTCAAAATAATAATAATCATTATTATAGAATGAGATTCTCTGGGTTTCTAATCATCTGCTAAATATCTAGTGTGGCATGGGGGTCTCATCCAGCTGCAGTTTGGGGGATGCCTTGTGGCAATGAACCTGAACATGGGAGGAAAAGGGGAAGGTTATTGTCAACTAAGACCAAAGAGCTGGTAAGGTTCATGTTACCAGGCTGTGATGCAACTGCTTTGGATGTGGCCAACTTTGGATTTTCCTGATACTGGGGACAGTGGGACAGACTAGGAAGTGGACTCCATGGCAAACACAAAGAGAAAAAAAAGAGCATTTTTCCCATTATCTCAAGCCTTTCCTGTTGACCTTATAAATAGCCCAGTAACTAACTGAACTCCCTCCCCCTTCCTTGCTCTGCCATGTTCTGAGGAAGTGCTTACAAGGCAGAGATACCCAAATAAACCTCAAACTGGGTTGTCTATATTTGCCTGTGTTTGTGTTTTATAATCTTGCTGCTCCAGTTGCCTAGGGGTGGTGGAGGGTAGGAGAAACCCAACCTTCTTGTATATGTCTTAGTCTGCAAATAGAAATAAAAGCATAGAGTTTTTACAGAGTTCATAATGTGAGTCTGAACCCTTTGATATAAAAAGAAAGTGTTGATTATTTCTCTGTACATGAGGAAAACATTCTCTGGATCTAGATACACAGACAAAATGAAAGATAGCAAGTAAGACTCATTATTATCTCTATATAGCCTCCTGACTCCCGCAGATAAACTAAACTGCAAGTATTTTTCTGCATGCCACATAACACAACATTCTTTTGGGGTAATGAGAACATTCCTATTAGAAATAAGAGGTTCATTTCTGGGGAAAATGCTGATGCTGTCACTGGCCCTCTATGGGCTCCCTTTCTGGGTTCTTCCTCCCACACTCACTTGTAACACACAAGCTAACTGTAGCTACAATGTCAGCTTTTGATACTTAAGCCTTTACTTCCACCAGTGTGGAGTTTATATAAGGACACTTTGAAACTCAAGACCCTTCCAAATGCCAACTTTGAACATGAAAACTTAGGCACCCATAGTTCTGGAGTGCGTGTTGGCAGGGCCTGGGAGAGGAAAGCCCTGAGACAGGAAGGGGTGCTACCAGATGGGGACGGCTCCCTGCCAGCACCAATCAGTCAGGGTTAAAGAGTGTAAGGATCCGGAAAACGTGATGAAATACCACCAGTGTTCTTTCTGTGTAATTCAGGTGGCTTTTCTTCTTCTTCAGCTGCATACCGTAAAGACCAATCCAGGAAAGCAAAACATTGGTAACATCTGAAGTTAAGAAGACTTGTTTGGACTTTTCCCCAAGTTCCTAGCAAGACAATTTTTCTCCTCATAACTAACTTGTGTTGTCAAAGATTTTCTTGATTATCCCAAAGCTGTGTTTTTACACATTAAGGTCCAAAGCTTGAAGATCAAACGGAGAGGACAGAGCTCTTTCAGGGGATAGAGGGATAGAACTCAAAGAGCCTCCTGAAAGTCTTAGGGAGAGCAATATAACAAAATACCATAAACTGGGTGGCTTCAACAACAGAAATGTATTTCTCACTGTTCTAGAGGCTGGGACTTCCAAGATCAAGGTGACAAGAGATTTGGTGTCTGGTGAGGGCGTGCTTCCTGGTGCACAAATAGTCATCTTTGCTATGTGTCCTCATGTGGCCTTTCCATGGTGTGTGCTCATGGAAAGCGGTCTCCTCCTCCTTTTCCTCCCCCTCCTCCCCCTCCCCACACCTTCTCCTTTTCCTCCCCCTCCTCCTCCTCCATCTTGAGGGCCTCAGCCTTATGACCTAATATAAACCTAATTACCTCCCAAAGACCCCACCTCCAAGTATTGTCACACTGGGGCTAGAACTGTAACATATGAATTTGGGGGGAATGTGAACATTCAGCTCATGGTAAGAAGGCTCTGGAAAGTTTGGGTCATTGTGACAAGTTCCCTTGTTTCCCTGTAAGAAGCCTGGGAAAACTGCAAGCCTCTCATTCCTGCTATCAACCCAGCCTGGGAAAGGCCAAATAGCCATGGGTGGGGAGCCTAGGTACAGGTAGGTGAGAACACACTCACAGGGTCTGATCACTCCAGTAGCCTGTGGAGAAGCTGCCAAGAGTTCCTGGACCCTTGAGGAAGAGATCCAGAGGAGACTGGGGCTCAAATGAGAAGGCTTGGGGGTCTTGACAACTGGGGGCAGTAGCAAGATCCATGGACATTCTGGCCTTGAAACTTACAGGCTGTGGACAAGATACTTGGACTTTCTAAGTCTCCATTTTCTTATCTATACTTGCCTCACAGAGCTGGCATGAGAATTACATGAGCTAGGACACCTCAGGGTGTTAGAACGATGCTCTTGCACATAGCATGTGCTCAATGAAAGCTAGTTGTTATAAACATCAATTGCAAATACTGCCCCAAACACCAAGTGAGATGAGGCTCACTCCCATGGTTCACAGAGCAGGACCCAAGTGACCAAGGGGCCAAGAGACACTGTGGCTGATGTGGCAAGTGGCAAAATGAAGTGACATAGGTAACCAGGGCCAGCAAAAACCAAATGGCACTTCTCTGGAGCCAACTTGTAAATGATGTTCACCTGATTTATGTCAAGCAGAGAAAGAAGAGATGGAAAAACCAAAAGTAACACAAAGGAATTACCCCAACATACTATTTTAAGCTACACCAGATAGAGACACCTTTAGTTGACAAATCAAGCATTTTCTGTCAACTGGTATGAGAAAAGGTAGTGTGAAATGGGACCCATCATGGTAAATAAAGAAAGTTCCTTTTTACACACATCTGAGCCATAGAAATGAACTTAAATCTTGCTAAATGGATATCTGGCCTTGCTTTGTAAGGCAATGAATTGAATTTTACGCATGTTTGATTCCTGTTCATCCATCTGTTGGTCCACATCTGTCAGTGGAAGTGCTAATGACTGAGCGGAAGTTTCCCTGTCAACTACAATGAGTTTTAAGATAAATTATATATACTTTTCTGATTCTAAAGACAATAAAAATGTGATATTTAAATAAAATATAAAGATGAAAATTTAAATCACCACTTATCCTACCAACCAGAATTTTAACCACAGTTAACATTGTAAGGATTTACTGTTTTTATTTATGCATACATTTTATAAATTATAATCATATTATATCTAAGATATTGCATTTTCCTTTTCTACTTAGCATTGTATCATGCACATTTTTCTAGGACTTAAAGTAAAAATTGGTTTGAACTCATTGTTTTAATTTTTAATTTTTTAAATTGACATATAACAATTGTACATATTTACAGGGTTCATAGTGATGCTTCAATATATATAATGTACAGTGAACAGATCAGGGCAATTAGCATATTCATCATCTCAAACATTTATCATTTCTTTGTCTTGGGAACATTCAATATCCTCCGTCTATGTAAAACTATATAATATTGTTAAATATAGTCAACTGACAGTTGTATAGAACAGTAGAACTTACTCTTCCTACCCAGCTGTAATTTTATAACCATTAACAAATATCTTCCTATCCTCCCCCTTCTCCCTCCCCTTGTCAGCCTTTAGTATCCTCTGTTCTACTATTTTTTTTTTTTTTTTGAGACAGAGTCTCGCTCTGTTGCCCAGGCTGGAGTGCAGTGGTACGATCTCAGTTCACTACAAACTCCACCTCCCAGGTTCATGCCATTCTCCTGCCTCAGCCTACCAAGTAGCTGAGACTACAGGCACCTGCCACCACTCCTTGATAATTTTTTGCATTTTTAGTAGAGACAGGGTTTAACCATGTTAGCCAGGATGGTCTGGATCTCCTGACCTCGTGACCTGCCCACCTCGGCCTCCCAAAGTGCTAGGATTACAGGCGTGAGTCCTCTGTTCTACTCTTTACTGGAACTGTATGTTAAGTGGAATAAGCCAGGAAAAGAAAGTTAAACACAACATGTTCTCATCTGAATGTGGAAGATAAAAAAGTTGATCACATGGAAAGCATTTTAATGCCTGTTTAATATTCCATTATGTGAGTAAATCAAAATTTATTAAACTTTCCTCTATTAAAATGTAAAATTTGAACTCCTGACCTCGTGATCCACTCACCTCAGGCAATCCCAGCTATTCAGGAGGCTGAGGCAGAGAACTGCTTGAACCCAAGAGGCGGAGATTGCAGTGAGCCGAGATCATACCACTGCACTCCAGCCTGGGTGACAGAGTGAGACTCTGTCTCAAAGAAAAAAAAAAAAAAAGTAAAATTTATTACACTATTTCCCTAAGTGTTAGACATTTAGATTGTTTTCAGTTTTTTATTATGATTAATAACGCTGTAATAAACACCTTTTAGTTATATCAATTGGCAGGTCATATTCTGGATTTCTAGAATTGAAAGTACTAAGTTTTAAAAAGATATGAACTTCACATATTTTACTCTTAATTTCAAATTGTTTCCCAAAAATGTTGACTAAATTTATACTTCTTCAAGAGTATGAGAATGTCCTTATCAACTAGCCAGTGATGAATATTATCCTTTCTTTAAAAAAAAACAAAACTCTCAGCTGGGCGTGGTGGCTCACACACCTGTAATCCCAGCACTTTGGGAGGCCAACGTGGGCGGGTCACCTGAGCTCAGGAGTTTGAGACCAGCCTGACCAGTATGGCAAAACCCCATATCTACTAAAAATACAAAAATAGCCAGGCATGGTGGTGGGCGCCTGTATTCCCAGCTACTCAGGAGGCTGAGGCAGGAGAATCACTTGAACCCAGGAGGCGGAAGTTGCAGTGAGCCGAGATCGTGCCACTGCACTCCAGCCTGAGCAACACAGTGAGACGCCATCTCAAAAAAAAAAAAAAAAAAAAAAAAAAAAAAGGCAGTCATCCATTCATCCATCCACTAATTCATTTATTCAACTAAAACTTAACACATGCCTATTCTGTGCTAGGCACAGTTCTAAGTGTGGGGTTATAACCAAAAACAGAGCCCTTGCCCTCACAAAGGAACAGGATACAAGTAAAGTCAGAAATACCACTGGCACCAGATGGGATGAGGCTTTCTGTGCCAGGGTGTGTAGGGACTTCAATTTTACTCTAAATGTAACAAAAATCCATAAAGAAAGCCCAAATAGAGCAATGGCATGATCTTGTTTACATTTTTAAAGGATCATTCTAACTGTTGGGTGGTGAGTAGAACATAGGAAGGCAAAAGAAGTGTCCATTATTCTAAATCCCTATGCTTCCAGGACAGAAAGTGGAGAGGTGGAGGGGCAGACAGTGAGATGTGGATTCTAGATTATTATTTGCAAAAGTATTTTTAAATATAATTATGTTTATTAGCCTCTTATTTTGTTGGAAATATATTTCTAGTCTTTTTACTTCTATATTTGCATATAATTTTTGACATACAGAAATCTAACTTTTCTACAATATGTATCAAATCTATTATTTTCATGTTCGTAATCCTCTTTTGCCTAGAAATTTTCTTTGTTGTCGTTTTATGAAACATGCTATTAAAACTCTAATACTTTCTGTCACAGTGTTTTCTGAGACCTGAAAAAGCTGTGATTTTTTTAAAGGTGGCAAGTACTCCCACATCCAAAGAGGGGTGCCTCAGCAGCACCAGAGAAGGAGTAACAGACACCTCCGTGTGGCACATAGAAAAAGGCCTAAAAATATTGACTACAAAAAAGCCAAGGGACAGTGGGTTTCTCTGAAGAGAGTTGTTGTGGTGGGCCCCACACTACACTGAAGGGAGGATTCGGGGGCTCTTCCCCCTCACCTGCAGCCCAGCTGAGGGCTTCCAGAAGGCCACTGTGGGAGCATGGTGTATGTTTTCATGGGCTAATGTGCACCATGTCTGACTCAAGCCACCCCTCAGTAGTCTTTGGGGACAGAGTGGCGGAAGTGACCCATGGCAGGAGAGGGCTGCAATCAGGAAATGACAGTGAGTCAGAGTGCTTATTTCTCAGGGACCAGATATGGACAGGAGTAGTGGTGAGGAGGTCAGACTTGTGTTGTTTAAAAGGGACCTTCTATGGTGACCAGCCGTCCTGGTTGCCCAGAACTCTCCCAGTTTTCATCTGAAAGGCTCACATCCTGGGAAACTCTTCAGTCTCAGACAAACCAGGGTGGTTCGCCATCCTATACCTTGTGGGAGAAGCTGAGCAAAAAGAGGCAGGGCAACCCTTAGGAGAAAGAGGCTGAGGCAAGAGGCAAGAACCAGCCTATGGAAAAGCTCTGCCCCTCAAGGGATCTGCAATGGAAGGGGCCTGGTAGGGAAATCTTAGGGTACCCCTACCGCCAATGAACCCCTGCATAATAGCCAGCTTTAAACATCTGTGACAGCCAGGGGAGCCAAAGCCAAGACACATCAGTGCCTGTCAGTTACGTCTTTCTGCCCCTTACCACTCCTACTTTTATGACTAAATAAAATAAATAAATGTGACTGAAGGGACTTTTATTATCTAGAAATGGCTAAATGTTGGGACCTACCTTCCAGAACAGTACCCAAGTACACAAAAGAAAGGAGCCAACATGGCAGGTTTGCAGAGATGGCCATGAGAAAGCATGGAAAGGACTGACTCCCCTGCATCTTTCGATGCCACAGTCACAGTGTGATGCAGGGAATATGAAGGTTTCTTCCCCAGGAGCCAGTTTTCATGGGTCCATTTGCCGAGTTTTAACCCTTCTTTTCTAAGTTTGCATATTAAGTTCTGTTTAGGGTTACCTTTCATTCTCTGTTGATTCCTCTGGAAAGATTCCATTTTCGTTATTGGAGTTCTCTACTGTGTGGTTACATGTTTACTCTTCAAGATACCCTTTAGAAAAATTTCAAAAATTCTCAAGGCTAAGTCCATTAGGGTTTCTATTGAGATAATATTAAAATACATTAATCTGAGGAGACTCAACATTTTAAAAAGTCTTTCCAGACTGTCTGGGTTGGAATGATGGCTTTGCCACTTGCAAGCTATGTGGCCACAGGCAAGCTATGTAACTTTAAGGCTCAGTTTACTCATTTATAAAATGAGGTGAATAGCCATACTTATTTCAGAGGGCTGTGATGAGGATTAAAATGAGTTAATAAATGTAAAACACTTGGAGCGTGTCTAGCATGTCATAAATGCTATGCATTTTTTCTTATTTATTGGCCAGAGACATGTTATATATTTATGTATGGTTGCTTTATACAGGATCGGTTTATCTCAGGCAGAACTATGCTTCTCAGATTTTCCTCCTCTGTATGGTTCTGGTTAGGGTTGGTCACAGGAGAAATTTATGCAAGATTTGGAGGGTGGAAATGAAGCAGTGGCTGGATTCACAGCTACTCTAGTTCATGCAGAATCTCCTCCTTCAGCTTCTCCAAATCTAGGGTGGGTTCATGTGGTGCATTCCCCATGGTGAAGGGTGCCAGTTTATCCTGCATCTCATCTGTGTCATTGAGGCTGCAGGTGATGAAAGATGCAGGTTCCATTTTGTCCCTATTCTCCCCAACTTAAGACCATCTTTCTTTTCAATTTTCCAGTTCCACTGACATGACACCAGCACCAGATGCAGAAACGACAAGCATTGACTTCTCTGCTGGGTTTCCACAATTGGATAAATCTCTTACTCTACAGCACTCAATGGTTCTCCTTCACTGACAGAACCCTGACTGATATTATGTGTCTCTCCATTTATTCCATTTTTAAAATACCTCTTAGTAAGATTTACAGTTTTTATCACGTATGCTCTGCACATTTCTTGATAGGATAATTAGCTATTTTATGTCTTTTATAGACATTGGAAAATGTATTCTTTGTGTCAGATCTTCTAATAGGTAAACGTAGAAAAATTATTCACTTTGATATATTTTATCTTGTATCTGACCATTGTAGCAAACTCTCTTATCAATTCTGGAAGTTTTTCAGGTGCTCTTTACACCACTTAGGAAGGGAAAAAGTACTGGAAGTGCAATGCCGCAGCCCTTCCCTTTGCTTAGGCATGTCTCAGCCTGCCCCATAACAAGCCATTTTTGCTCCCCTTCCATTCTTCCTTCCTTTCCACCCTGGCAGTTTTGGATGCCAGGAAGTGTTTCTCTCTTCTTGGTTCTTCAGCAAAATCTTCAAGCTTTTCTCAGTTGTCTTTTGAAAGACGGTGTTTGTGAAACTCATCCATACCAATCTACTGCTGAGAAATAAAAAGAAAACAACTGTTCTCCCGACTCCCAATTTCTCCCCGCTTTACCATAGCCTTCAGGATGGGTTATCCAGCTCAGCCCACATGATAGTAAAGCTCTTGATGTTTCACCTCAACCAGTGATGATCAGATCAAATTGCAGACTGGAAATGTAAATAACCCGGAATCTGAATGAACTCGCCTCTGGTGAAATTTCAGCCCCGCAGAAAATTGGGTCTGGCTTCACTCTGAAAATCTAGCCAGAGTCAACAGAAGCTAAGAAAACTGAAAGAGAAGGCCAAGATTAAGTAAGCAAATCATAAACACTTAGAAAAGGAATAATTTTCCCCAGTCCATGAGACTATTAAAAATTCACTTCTTAATGATCAGAACATAACATCATTGCTTACATATAAAGGATTATTTTTCATCCACAATTCTTAGCTGAATCACTGGTATTTAACACACAACACAAATTATACTTTAAAATGCTGTAAGTAAAAAAATATATAATTTTGCTTAATGAAAATACCATGCTTGCTCTAAAATAGAAGAAAAAAAGCTTTCCGTTCACTAGGATCTTGGGCCAAATCTGATATTGTATGGGCTATAGGCTAAGAATGTTTTCATATTTCTAAATCTTTGAAAAAAATCAAATGAAAAATAATACTTTGTGACTTATGAAAATTAGGTGAAATTCAAATTTTAATGTCCATAAATAAAATTTTGTTAGAACACAGCCACCTTTTTTATTTATATTGTCTGTGTCTGGTTTCACATCACCGGTTGAGTAATTGCAACAGAGAGCGTCCTAAAATACTTAATCATCAGCTGGGCATGGTGCTGCACACCTGTAGTCCCAGCTACTCAAGAGGCTAAGGCAGGAGGATCACTTGAGCCCAGGAGTTGAAGTCCAGCATGGGCAACATAGCAACTCCTTGTCTCTAAGATAAAAAAAATAAATAAAATACTACTTGGACCATTGCAAAAAACAGTTTGCTAACCTCTGGGTAAATCAGAGTGTTTCAACCCTGATACTATCAATATTTTGGACCACTCTCTACTCCTCCCCTTATAAAATATGTCTCCAGACACTGCCAAATATCTCCTGGGGAGCACAAGTCCTCATAATTGAGGCTATGAGGACAATTCAGGTTGCTACAGGGTGAGAAAAGAAGAGGGGAACTGAAGAGGGGACGGGGGAAGGGGAGGAAAAGGAGGATATGGGTCCTGGGCCTTATTTCTTTAGGTTCCAGATAGCTCTACGCTGAAAGAGGATTCACCCCGTGAAGAAGCTTTTTTCCTCAGTGTTTTCTCTGGTTTAATCTTTTGAAACTCTCCTGACCTCAGCATTCCTGACTTTATGCTTGATTTGATCCTGAAGACCAGCTTCCCAGCTGTCTCTAGGATTCCCAGCTCGAGTTTAGTCTGGGATGCAGATACGTCCTGTATTTCTGGAAGTTGTAGGTGGGCTCAGTAGCAGCGAGTTGGCCTGAGCTTCCTGAGGGAGAACTTATTCTGAGAGAAATAGGTGCCAAACCCATGAGCTCAGCCCAGGAACATCTGAAAGGAGAGAAGGCTATGAGTACAGTGAGCTGTCTGCCATGTACATTTGTCTCTAGACCCAGTCCCATTGAGGCTGGGACTCATGCCACTAAAATAAACCTGGAAGAGCTATTGATCTAAAACACCATAAGACAGCAAGCATTTTTTCTATTAAAAAAAAAATGTTAAACATTGAAAAGTGTTTAATTTTCTGTTTCGATTTCCAGAAAGTTAAAGATACAACTCTCATACAAATATAGTGAGCATGTGTCAAATATTTATCTGATTTAGTGATGAAGGAAGCAACAGAATGAGAAGCTAGTTCAAAACAGACTATGAAAAACTAATACAGCTGATCCTTATTATTTATAGATTTTGTGCTTCAGAAGTTACTCCATGTTTGTATCTTCTCGCTAAAATACATTTGTAAACCCAAAATCAAGACTCACAGCACTTTCCCAGTCACATGCAGAGTTCCTGCAGACCTGCATAAGTCATGTGCAGAGCAGCAAAATATTTGGGTCACCCAACACACAAGTTCCCAGCTGGATGAATAAGATAATGAGCATTGACTCTATATACATTCAGAGAAAACAAGAATGATGGGATAAAATTGCAAAGCTAGATTTTTTTAAAGCTGGCCAATGATTATTAGGGCAATAAAACTTTTGTACTAGACAGAACTTATTAGCTGCCTATCAATCTTCTGTAAGTTTGCATCCCACTTTGCAGAGTCTAAGGCATAATCAATGTAAAGTCAAAGTTAAAATTACATAGCGCATCAGATGACCCTTAATCAGGCTTGGTAGACAATGCTGTAGTACAGGGCTTCTCAATTTTGGTAGTATTGACATTTGGGGCCAGTAACTCTGTTGTGGGGGGCTGTCCTATATGTTGTTATGATATTCTCTGCAGCAACCCTGGCCTCTATCCACTAGGTGTCAGTAGCACCACCTCTCCCAATTGTAACAAATACAGACAAATGACCTCTGCAAGACAAAATTGCCCCTGTTTGAGAACCACTGGTCTAGTGTGATTTTAAAAGAAGTTTTTGATGATTTTTCTTGATTTACTCAGGTCTGTTCTGGCTGTTATAACAAAATACCATAAACAAGATCACACATAAAAAAACAAATTTATTTCTCACAGTTCTGGAGGCTGGGAAGTCCAAGATTAAGGTGTCAGCAGATTTGGCATCACTGAGGGCTCATTTCCTGATTCATAGATGGCACCTTCTAGCTGTGTCCTCACATGGAAGAAACATTAAGGCAGCTTTCTGGAGTCCCTTTTATATAGAATGGAGCACTAATCCCATTCTTGAGAACATTATCCTCATAATCAATCACTTCTGAAAGGTCCCAACTCCTAATACCATCACAATGGGGATGAGTTTTCAACATATGAATTTGGTGAGGGGGACACAAACATTCAAAGGATAGCATTCTGAAAAATGGAAAGAAAGGTATGCTTTTCCCACATTTGCAAGCACATAGGTTTGAAACCTTCTGCACATGTATCATAATTTGTAGTTATATATATGTGTGTGTATATATATGTCTGTGTGTGTGTATATATATATATATATGTATATATACTTCACTTGTTTATTTTATGTCTTATCCACAGTGGGAGAACAAAGCACAGTGCCAGGAACACAGAAGGCACTCAATAATCATTTCCAGTAGGAAGTCATAAAGCTTGACAGCTTCAGAATCGCAGCCTAAGGTGAAGTGTGGGGACTGGGGAGGTCAGCTGCCCGATGACAGACTGTCCTGCTGAAGCTGACTTATTGCTGCCCACAGGTGACATCTCCCTGTCATCTGCCAGAAGGACTGGGGGGCTGCAATTTATAAGGGATGAGACCCTGAGTGAGAAGGAAAGGAGAGATCCAGTTGGAACCCTGTCTCCATTTGTACGCATGGGCTGCTAAGGTCTGGGGAATTAGGTGATACTGACATCAGCCAGTGAGGAATTGTCCCAAGGGTGGCTCAGTGAAGATAGCCTGGCCATTAAGGAACAAGAAGGTGGAGGCAGAACAGGCACAACTCCTGACTCCTCCATTGATTAGCTGAACCTCTCTGAGCCTCAGTTTCTCTACCTATAAAATGGGGATAACAATAGTATGAACCTCAAAGCACTATTGTGGTGATTAAATGAGAAATATATGTACAACTCCTAGCACAGTGTCTAAGAACACCCTACATTTTAACCAAAAAGGCAGAACCTGAAACCACCGTGAATAGAGGCTGACTGTTCAGCTGACTTGGAAGTCCCTCGAGTACACTGTATTCTTTTTCTGCTGCTAAGAGTTTGGGGGTCCAGTGATACGTTTACAGCAGCAAAATCTGCTACTTTCACTAGTTTATTTTGAAATGTGAAGCAATACCAGTACCCAATATGCAGTTACATTCAGAAATTTGATTATTTTAATAGTTACTAAAAATGTATTGAACCCAATCTAAGAAAGTAGATAAACAATAATACAATGTTGCCTTTTTGAAGAGGTCCTGCATGTTGTATTTCTTTTATGTCATACCTAATACAGCCATACAGTGTGTGTCCTAAAAGAGTTCATATATGTGCAGAAACTGAGGAGTTGTGGTCTCCACATAGGTAACATAAAGCTTAGCCCGAGACTAATCTTCTCTGGTCTTATATCAGATAGTCACGTGGTCTGTATACAGCAGGATATAAATTAATGGTCCAACATGAAAACCGTACTTTTATAATGGAGACATTTTCCACTTTCATTCACAGTGGTTACTCCCACTGTCAATACCTGATAAGTATTTAAACCTTATTTATATCATCTTTTTCCATTGCCAACTCCTCTAAATATAATGACCATCTCTTTCCATGTTCTGTGAAAAATGACCAGAAAACACACTTGGCTACACTTAGAGTTTCAGTCAATAAAGAGCCAACCAAAGCCAAAATGAAGTGTAATTTTGAAAGGCACAGGCAAAAGCATTATATGCCACACTCCAGATATTTTGATTTCCCTGACACATACTTTCCAAAAAACACTTTATTTGGGTATGTGCATGGAAACTGGAAAGATTTCTTTGTTTATGATGTTTGGATAGAAAATATTTCTGATTTAGAACATTTGTTTTGAAAATATTTTAATACGTCCTTTTGTTTGGGAGATTTAGGGAACAGTAATAATTTTTGCAGAAGATTTCTCTCTGTTGCTTAAATGTCAAAGTGTCTGTGGAAGTGCTAATGCAGCAGAGTGTAGTCCTGAGATTCACAGCAAATGGAGCTCTGCTGAAGCAGAGTGCAAACCATCTCCGTGGTAACCTCAGGACATCAGTGCATGCTGGGTTCAGATGGGAAGAGGGTCAGGGTCATGAGCACAGCTTCTGGAAAAAGTTCCTTCTGCCCCAGTGTTCTTCCAGATCTAAATCATGTGGCTACAAAAATGTCCTTTGAAGGTACTTTAAAATAATTTACAGGTATACAGAAGGGTTAATGCCTGGCTAGCAATGTGTGAAGCACATAGAAAGTTTACCCTACAGACTCAGGTGTGCAAGAATGTCATGTTTATTTAAAACAATTCAACTTTAGTTTATGTCTTGATTTGTCAGAGTTGTTGGGAAATTCAATCTCAGGATTATTAGGCTTTCCTATCAGGTCCGGGGTGGTTCTGGCAATCTTATAGAGAGAAGAATGGTTCAAAGGTGTAAGAAGCATTCAGGAGTTTGATCCCTCTGTGTTACTTACATGCATTAGCAAAAGCTATATGGTTGCTGAAAGTCAGGGGTGCTGCTCTTGGCTTGGGCCAAGGTATGAGATTCTGATGACATTCATTTTCTGATATCTCCCAGGACACCGAAGAGGCCTCAGGTCCTCATAGATCTCTGCCCATTTCTCCTCTGGAGAGATCATTTTGCTTTCTTAGGCTGCTTCTGAAGTACCCTCAGAACACTCTTGCCCTGAGGAGCCATTATCACAGTGGTTTTCTTAAGAGTGATCCTGAGCCCAGCAGCAGCAGCACCTGGGAGCTTTTTAGAAATGTAAATCATCAAGCACTACCCCTGACCGACTAAATCAGAATCTCTAAGTGCCCAGCAATAAATGTTTTAACAAACCCTCTACATCTAATGCAAAGCTAAATTTTGAGAAAAACTGACCTATCACAATCCTGTCAATTAACTCAGAGTTTTGAAGACGAAAGTATTAGGCAACTTCTGTTTTCAGCGTTCAATATATCACTCTCAGCCCTACTCAAGGCAAGGGAAAGAAGAGGCCTGGCTGTATTCAGAAAATAGACACTAAAGATAAAACATAAGCATGTTTCATTCTTTCTGACTTTTCTATAACAGGAAAACAAAAACACACATTAATATCTCAATAAATATTTTAATAAATTGTCCTACCACATAAGGTTTTTACCTTTTTACCAATAATAGGTTTCTGAAATAGCAAGTTCCAAGCATGAGATGTGGTAGCAGTGTGCTGGCTTGGGATTAGGGGTTAGGAATGAGACTGGGAAAGCAGGATAAAAGGTGAAAGAAAGGTGCTACATCAAGTATAGGGAAGAAAGATGAGGTTTCCCTGGACCAGCGTGAACTCTTAGAGGAGCTGGACATCCTAACTTTTGTCTCCAAAAGTGAGGTCTCAGAATGGTTTTGAAGTGGTGATTGTAAAAATGTGCTGACCTACTCTTTTGAACCAACCAAAGTGTGAAGCATACGGAGCCCTGATTGCCCTGAGATGCTGTGACAGAGCCCTAGTTGTCTGTGGGTTTTCCTCTTTCCTTTTCTCCAAGAGAGTAGAGTTTTACCTGGTCATGTGGCCACTTAGCTACAGACTACCATTTCCTAGGCCCCTTTGCATCTAGATGTAACAAGTGGAGTGTGAACAGAAGTCGTGTGCATGTCACTTCCAGGCCTGAACCTTAAAACACTGCACACGCAGCCTTCTTTGCACTTTTCCTCCTATGAGCTGGAAGAGTGAGGTGCTTGTGACCCACCTTTGACCATACAAATGAGGGCCACAACCTAGAGTTGAAGCAAGAGAAAGGGAACCGGGGTCTCTGAATGGCATGTGAGGCAGAGGAGCCCACCAACCTGTCCTGGACCATTAGGTGAGAGACATAATCTTCCTTAATCTACTGATTTGTTGAGTTCTTTGTTATAGTAACATATTTTCATGTAACCAATACAAAAACCAAGGACCCATGTGGGGAATCAAAGCCATGCTTATAATTCACTGAAGCCCAAATAGCACCAAAGCCCCACAGCGCCTGGCACTCAGGAGGTGCTCCATAAATATTAAATAGTTACTAAATGAATGAGTATGGCGCCACTAGGAACTGATGAGGCAAGAGAAACCCCACTGTTTCATAAAATAATCTGCCTGAAACTACATCGGGTAGCGAGTTACCGTTTACCATGAGAAGAGCAAGGAGCTCACTGATAGTGACAATGGGTTAAAATCAAATGGGAATTTTTGTGTGTACAGTGTAGAAATGATTGTTAATTACAGAGCAGTCATTTTAGTGCTTTGCGGATGGTAATCACAGTCACCATCATTTTCTAAAACAAAAGACTTACACATGCACAGACATATGCAGACAGGTAAATTCTTTTTTTAACAAATTTGAAGAGACATCATGATTGCTATGTTGTACATTGTCCATAAGAAACTGAAAGCCCATTGCTATAACATGCAGAATGAATACAAAGTAGCTTTTCACTTAATCTGTAAAAGGCATTTTTTTTTTTTTGCTACGTATGGCATGACTCCAACTCCATTTGCTAAACATTTTTGAGGGCCTACTATGTGAGAGGTGTTGTATTAAATACAATGAGGAATTCAAAGATACCAACAAAAAATATGAATAAAGATGTAGGAGGGATAGGGTGTTACAAAACACAGATGTTTAGATTTCCAAGAAATGGCTATTAATTGTATTTGTACCGTCCTGGCTCTGTTGAAACTCTCTGTGGTGTCTCTTTTTAATGCCTATTGCATATGTTGTTCTGAGGTTTAAATGAAATAACATACATAAAGCACATGGTACATTGAGTAACCCCCAGCAAATGCTAGCTTCTTTGTTCATACTCTGTAATGAACAAAACAGCAAAACACATTTTTCCCAGTGTTTTAAAATTTTGAAATAATTTTCAAACGTTTTCACTGATGATTTATTCTGGAGCCGTAAAAATTTTTTTTTGTCTGTCACAAGCCCCTATATATACATAAATGTTCTCACACAGAACCTCATCCAAAGCAAGCAAAGAGTATTATTGCATTTTGCAAGCCAAAGGATAATGGGCTATGAAAGTGATCAATTCTATTCTAGTTACTTAAGCTGAAAGCTGGTTTATTGGAAAGAAGACCAGTAGTTTACAGAGTCCATGGAGAACTAAAAAATAAACACTCATTTCCATCTTCCCCTAGCTATGGGGGCAATTGTTACAATGTCACTGCTGGCATGGTCACCCTGGAATACCAGATGTGTGCTTAAAAATCTTCCTTGGTTTCCGTGACTATCTGTTAGTACCAGACCCTATTTCTGCACCAACTCAGAGCCGCTGAACCCTCATACCTTCAGGCTTGTGCCACGTGCCTGGCTTTCCAGGCAGGCAGTTCAAGAGAGATGGCTCATGGTGTGAAAAGCTCCACTGCAAACATTATCATATCTTTTATTTTATCAATCTCCCACTTCACCTGTGAAGTAGGAGATCAGGCACCCCCCTTGGATGGGGTTGGGTTTTGCATGGTCAATGTCTTGTCACTATGGCTTCTTTGTCAAAAAGCCAAAGCAGCTTGAGGGCTAGTCCAACCTGTTTATAGATACACAGAGCCTTGCCCAGAAGCTGCCCCTAAGACAGTTTCCATGCTCTCGATAGGGACCGTCTCACATAACTAAGCCAGCAAGTTGTGTCTTCTTGAGAGCTGTGGGTAGCCTAATGGTGCATCACTTTGTATTTTCCTTCTCCCCTTTCCTTCCCTTTTCTTCCCTCTGTCTCACTTTCCTTTTCCCTCTCACTTTTGCTTCCTTGGAATTGCACCTCCTCGATAAAAACATGGCATCTGAGCTTTTTTGCCCAGGCTTTGTTTCCTAGGGAACCTGTGCTAAGTTAGCATGACACCCCTAAATTTTAAACTTCTGGGCTGGAGCAGTCAGTTGGCTGATACTGGGCTACATCCCACATCCTTGCTGCCAGGGAACTGGGAAAAGGAACATCTGCCTCACTTATGATGCTATGATGAGAGGCGGAGTCCTGCCTCTCGTCTATTTGGATTAACCTCAAGTAAGAACAGTGTTTGGATTTTGAACAGGCACAATGGTGACAAATGTTCCCTCCGAACCCACTTGGCCTTAGCAGCTCTCTTCCTGCTCCTGGGTTTCTCTGGGTAGAGTGTCGCCCTCTATGCCGTGTCACCCCAGGGTATTTCCTCCACTTCCATCTCCTAACCCTGCCAAGTCAGTCTTCATCTGTTATAGACCCTTTGTTCTGGTGTGCTTGTTTTTCCCACGTTTCCCATTAGACCACATGTCCCATATTGCCCCATTCTTCCTAGCATCCCCATCCCAGAATGCAAAATTTAATTCTCTTTTGCATTTCACAGTCCACAGGCCAACCAGCCAACTGTCACACTTAGCCCTCACACTGGTCCCTTGTGTGGTTTAGCATTCCAGTTCTTTGCTTCCTGCAAAGTAAGAGGGGATAGTTTCAGATATAAACAGAAAATGCTGGATATTTTACATCTTTTAAGTAGAGAAAGATTAAGTCAGAACCAGCAGGAATCCAATTCTTTGGATTTGAACAAAGTGACTAGACATCTCGGCCTTTCTTTTGTAAAGAAGTATCTGGGGAAAGGTCTTGGACTGGCTTCAAAGGGGATTTTCCTGTAATTGTAGATGCCCTGAACTATAGCTATAGCAGACTATTTTGCAGCCTAGTCTGGGGAAAATGTACACATTATGCAATTGTTTAAAGATATCATTCATTCAGGTAAACAGAAGTGATAATGTTCTTGGTCAGCCCTCACCTGCCATGATTAGCAGGCTCACTCTCAAATAGTACTCAGGATCTTCAGGACGTGTTAATGTTTTGCATTTTGTCTCTCTCATTAACACAGATGCTGTGTCTGGCTATGCAGATTCTGTAATGCACAAGGGCACCACATATAAGGGGCATCATTTTCATTATAGACATCATAGATTTATTGTAACAGTTTTCTGGCAGATGGGAGTTAAGGGTTTTGTTTTAACAAATTAATATACCAAATCCATTTCCTGGCAGAGGCAAGTAAAGAGTTACCTTTGAAGAAGAATGGGCACGTTTCCTAGTTCTTATAAGGATGTTGTAAGAGGTAGAAAGAGCTCTTTTTGTCACTCCTTCAGCCCAGATGAGTGGACATCATGAGATGCCCTGACTGCTCCTAAGCTGCTTTGTCCTGAGAGTAGACAATGTTATTCACATATTTCCCCAAAGCTCAACTGAAACCAGCTAGAGTGCTTAATGCAACTGAAGGCTTGGAGCTTACAGAGGGAAATAAAAATATAGGAAAGGAAAAAGCAAATATCTTTATATTTCAACTCTTTCCTTCCCTTGGTCAGGTCTGCTGCCCATTTGTCTCTTTAGCCCAAGGGGATGACATGTTTTAGAGATCAGCTTACTGCCTGTAGCTGTAAGTGTCTTTGACCATGTCACAAGGGAGGGGAACATTATATCCTTATCCCAACCTATCTCTAGCGTGATGCCCCTTGAATGCCATGATAATCTCTGCAAAAATGCCACTCTGACAAAAATGAAGAGACTCTACTGCACTTGCTAATGTAGCTCAGCTTAGCTTTTTTGTGTCCTGGCTTGGACATTCTGAAATTTAATTTGTCTTTACCTTTGCTTAACAAAAGGGCCATTAATATATTTTTCACAAAATTAAATTTAGGCTACTTCTTAGCTAAAACAACAAATAATTGTCTACATCTCTAGCAGTCACTCCTTCAGAATCACTGGGGTTCAGTCCTTGAAGCCTCTTACTACATATTTAACCAGTATTTAAGGAGCTCCTTTTAGGGCCAGACCCTGGGCTAAGCACTAAGAATATCAGTCAGAAGCAGGTGTGGCCCAGATTACCTTCCAGCTTGGAGAAAGCAGCAGGTAGATAAATAGGTTCAAGAAACTGGCAAAGGGGTGACCATACAAGTATGTACAGGTTATAGTTGTAGCATGAGGAAATGGTTCTTTTCAACGGGTTGGAAGCAAAGGATTATAAAAGCTTCAAAACGGAGGAAGTTACAAGCAGTTGGCATGGTAAATAACAGGCAAAGGGTATTCCTGTTAGAAGAGCATATGCAGATATTGTCAGAAAACCCCAAGCAGCTAGGAATGTCTGAGTATAGAAAGGTGGGGAAGTGTCTACCAAGAGATAGAACGAAAACCCTAAGATGTTTCCAGATCAGAACGGGCCTTTTATGTTGTACCAAGAAGTTTTGACCTCAAAAGAACTGAGATGAAATATTTGAATCATAAGAGAGCTATGATTTTATCCCTGCTATTTGAAGAATTGATAAGGTCAAGGCACCAATTCCTAGACTGTCATGGTGGTCCAGGTGAAAAATTACAACTTCACGGAGCAGCCCCAGAGCATTTCAGAAGCCGAAATAAATGGATACGGAACATGTTAAGAATTGGGGATCAACAGAATTTGATGACTGGTGGTCCAAGTGAAGCAGAAGGAGATGTGAATATGGTAACATCCTGGGTTTGTGGGGAGCGGAGGGCTTTTTTGTAGTATTTTTCTGAGAGAGGAAACATAGAGAAGCTATGCATGGAGTGGGGTTTGTGGGGAGCTTTAGGTAAAATTAGAGCAGTTCAGGTTCTAAAAGTTTTATCATTTCCATGTCTTATGCACCTGAATCCCTCTGGGCATGCCACATTTTCTGCCTAAGGAACCCTCAAAACCTTCACAAGGGCTTGGGAGTTGGGACAGGGAATTGTTCCAGCCTTTACCTTTCCACTTCAGGCAGGACAACACCCATGCATTTATTGCTCCAATTCCAGATTCTCTTGCTTGTTGTCTTCACTGGCCCACCTCACCACAAGAGACTGACTGGAAATCCAGTTTCCATCCTTTACATCCACACACTCCCAATATATCACCAGGAAAATCCCAGTAAAGAGCGAATATGCAGTACTGAACTTTGGAATAAATCAAGTCACATAGTAGAGAAAGTGTAAGTGATATGGATCCATCTGACTGTGAACCTCTGGTTTTCACTTTGGGGTCAATTACCACCTCCGCAGATATGTCAAGACAGGCAGATAACAGCTAGAACCTATTGTTACTCAAGCTTGGAGATCAAAAGAAAATAAGCAGAGAAAAACATATCAAAGAAAACCCCAAAATCTCCCCTGCTGTGGAAATTTTCTTGTGGAGAGGTTAAAAATTTCCTCTGTCGGCCGGGCGCGGTGGCTCACGCCTGTAGTAATCCCAGCACTTTGGGAGGCCGAGGCGGGCGGATCACGAGGTCAGGAGATTGAGATCATCCTGGCTAACACGGTGAAACTCTACTAAAAAGACAAAAATTAGCTGGGCGTGGCGGCGGGCGCCTATAGTCCCAGCTACTCGGGAGGCTGAGGCAGGAGAATGGCGTGAACTCGGGAGGCGGAGCTTGCAGTGAGCCGAGATCGTGCCACTGCACTCCAGCCTGGGCCACAGAGCGAGATTCCATCTCAAAAAAAAAAAAAAAAAAAAATTCCTTTGTCTTGGGGTAAAATGTATTCAGAAATTTTATCTTACAGCTTGCAGAGTCATCGCTATTTCTCTTTTGTGTTTTTTTTTTTTTTTTAACTTTTAAGTTCAGGTGTACCTGTGCATTTCTTTAACAATACAGTTCATCTGAGTTGGTTTAGACATTCTAATTAAAAAAAAAAAAAAAAAGTTCCAGCAGGGGTCTCTCTTTGCACATGGTACAAAAAATTCTTAACAGTCACAGTGCAATATTTTTTATTTTGCTTATCCATCTTACAATGTAAATGAATGTGACTGCAAAATATGTCAAACTCTTTTCTTATATTATTAGAAAATCACTGAAAAGACATTAAGTTTCATATTATGATCTGGGAGGTGATTAAACATGTGTGTTCCCTATGTGATAATTCAACAAGTAGCAAATTTATAATTTAGGTACTTTTATGTTTACACATTATGCTTTTAAAAAGCTTGTTTTTAAGGGTACAATTCCTAATTTTACTCCTAATCATGTTTCTTTGATTTTTTATTTCACTTCTCATGTATCTAGAACATTTAGAATTTTGGTCATTTATGTATTTCATTGAATTTTATACATATTTTACAAATGATGCTTGGTGTGTATGTTTGTAGAGAAATAGAAAAAAATTCAAAAACATAGCTGCAATATTTTTTAAAAACCCATATTTTAAACTGAGGATTATCCAGTAAAAAGGTTTGTATTGGTTTTTGAATCATGAACTCTCAGAAAGAGGCAGTCATTGTTGGCACCCAAGCTTATGGGATGGATCCCAAAGGTCAGATAGATGATGGTTCTGTGATGTGATCTGTGACTTGGTCTGTACTTCTGATGAAGGCATGTCAGCAGGGCCTCCGCCTGAATACTTGGGCCTTCCTAAAGAGGTTTCCTCATCCTGGCTGTCAACCAGTGGACTTATTCTTAGCTGAAGAAACAATGACCACAAACCACCCCTTGCCATTTTAGCAAATCACACCCAAAATACCGTGAAAGAAATGCCTGTCATTTTTTTAAAAAAAAAATCCTATTATAGGCCGGGTGCAGTGTGGCTCATGCCTGTAATCCCAGCGCTTTGGGAAGCCGAGGCAGGCGGATCACGAGGTCAGGAGACCGAGACCATCCTAGCTAACACGGTGAAACCCCGTCTCTACTGAAAATACAAAACAGAAAAACAAACAAACAAAAAAATTGTCTGGGCATGGTGGCGGCCGCCTGTAGTCCCAGCTACTCGGGAGGCTGAGGCAGGAGAATGGCGTGAACCCAAGAGGCGGAGCTAGCAGTCAGCAGAGATCGCGCCACTGCACTCCAGCCTGGGCGACAGAGCGAGACTCCGTCTAAAAAAAAAAAATCCTATTAGAATCTGTGGGACCAGATTTCTGCAAAGCACCCAGACTGCTGGTTTTATTTCTATGTTTTAATCTCAAACTTGTGTTATTTTTCTCTTGACTATTTATGACTGCACCTATAATTTCTATTTTCATTCCTTTTTTAATGTCTTACTTATGAAAATCATTTCTTAATTCTACAAATGAAGTATTGACATTTTAGTGGCATCTTTTATAAAAAATATATTTTCCCTTCCCAAAAAGTTAATATTGGGCCATAAAAACCTTCAGTCCTGTCTGATAATAAAATATAGAAAATATCAATTGAAGATGTTTTATTCCAAATGACATTGCCACGTACTTTTTAATAGTATTAGAGTAATTCCCTTAATTGTTTCATGGAAAAAAATCCATTAAGATCCTTTAATGAAGAAAACATATATTTGTAATGGACCAAATGGCAATGTGCCCTTGTCTGAAGCAATTACACTGTCCAATAAAGGAAGACTCACATTCAAATGTGGTACCTTTGAACACCAAATATTACAAGAATTCCTAGTCAGCAGGATGCTATGCCAAAAGCACTCCACAAATGGTTTTCCCCTTTCTTACTATCTCGTGGCCTCATTCTAAAGATCTCTTCAATACTTCTATTAGCATACTAGAGAGTTTCAACATAGACTTTAACATTCCATGCTTATCTGACCCTGGGCTATTAAAATTGGTAAACATTATGAATCTTCTCATTTGAACATGGCTTTGACTATCTTATGTTTCTGCGTTTCTTCCTGCCTTGCTCTTTCTTAATGCGAGCCACGTCTCTGCCCTCTGTTTTGCTTATTGTTTCCCTTCTCTCTTGTTTGTTCAGCTTCTGTACAATCATTTCTCTTTGCTCTGGCCCTTGCTCTAGCCTCATGTTCATTTCAGCCTCCGCCTTTTTTCCTTTTCAAACGTCTTTGATTCCAGTTGACAGTTTAAGATTTTTTTTTTCTTTTACTTCCCAGAGGCTCCTGTTGCCATAGTGATACTTGATTACGAAGGCCATGACTGCTTCCATTGACACTCTGGTTGCTATAACAATGCCAGTTAGCCAAGAATTCTGTGGAAACTTGTGAGAAGGATGCTAGTTCACACCTTTCTGTGGGACAGCTTGCCAGGAAATGCTTCTTATTTAATGGTTGTTCCTAGTACTAAAACTTAAGTCCGTAAACTTAAGGGCAGCTCATTCTTCAGTAACTAAAAAACAGAGACACAAATATTTACTCTTCACACCATGTAAAATTCCTCTTCTTCCCTGACTTTGCTTGCCCTCTATTCCTAATCTATTAATTCTTTGGTATTAAAAATATGTTTGCTATGGGCTGAATTGTGTCCTCCCAAAATTCATATGTTTAAGCCTTAACCCTCAATGTGACTGTTTTTGAAGATAGGGCTTTTAGGAAGCAATTAAGGTTAGATGAAGCCATTAGGGTAGGGTTCTAATCTGATAGGCTTCGTGGCCTTATAAGAGGACACATGTTTTCAGTTATAAGTGGGAGCTAAATACTGAGTACACACGGACACAAAGAAGGGAGCAATACACATCTAGGCCTACTTGAGAGTAGAGGGCAGGAGGATGGAAAAACTACCTATTGGGTACTATGCTTATTACCTGTGTGACAAGATAATGTGTACACCAGCCCCCCACAGCACATGATTTATTTGTAGAACCAGTTTGCACATGTACCCCTGAAACTAACATAAAAGTGAAACAAAAAAGAGGGCACTGCAAGAAAGCAGCCACCTGCAAGCCAGGAAGAAAACCCTAACTAGGAACCGAATCAGACGGCATCTTGGTCTTGGATTTCCCAGGCTTCAAAAGTATGAGGAAATACGTTTCTGTTGTTTAAGCCACCTATTCTATGGTATTTATGACAGCACAAAGTGACTAACATGACACCCTAATATTATTTAACATCAATACCTCCTAAGTGCTTTTGATTTTAAAGACATCAATTTCTGGGAATATACCCAAGTAAGAGAATCACAGAATATTGCGATGTGCATTGTCAGTCTTTTGTCTTTGAATACTAGATGAACCAGGTGATAAAAATGGACACATTTGGCCAGGCGCGGTGGCTCATGCCTGTAATCCCAGCACTTTGGGAGGTCGAGGTGGGCGTATCACCTGAGGTCGGGAGTTCAAGACCAGCCTGACCAACATGGAGAAACCCCATCTCGACTAAAATACAAAATTAGCCGGGCTTGGTGGCATATGCCTGTAATCCCAGCTACCCGGGAGGCTGAGGCAGGAGAATTGCTTGAACGCAGGAGGCGGAGGTTGTGGTGAGCCGAGACCACCCCAACACAGTCCATCCTAGGCAACAACAGTGAAACTCCGTTTCAAAAAACAAAAAACAAAAACAAAAACAAAAAAAAACAACAACAAAAAACACACCAATGGACACATTTATTGCATTTTTGTGATCCTTTTTGTTGTTGTTACAGCTTTTTTAGTCTCAAAAATATAAAGAAATATGTAACTATTTCCATCTTTATAGATACTATAACTCACCCAAGAAAAGCTGTACAAAATGTTTCTTTTGTTGCAATTGTGTTACCTCCCTAGATTGTTAAGTTAGACAGCTTGCAATCATTCACACTGGTCCTCCCATTTGCGCCACTCACATGAAGAAAGGGAGCAGCCACAGCATCAAAGCTTGCTCAGGACTAACATATAAAGACCTTTTTAGTGACACATGTTCTATTATACAAAGTGCCAGATGAAGGTCAGTAACTGACCATGCACAACCAGAAAGGAGGAATACAAACTTGACATGTTTCAAAGTGTGTTAAAGTAAAAGATATAAAAACACAGAATTTTGCTAACGATGTGTTATCGGGTCAATTTATTCATTGGCTCCTACATTTGCCTCCACCAAAGGTGTCAATCAAGATAACATTAATTTATTGGAGCAGATGTGAGGCACTACAATATTTTTTTTAAAAAGTGTCAATATTCTATATTCTCAGGGCATACTTTTCCAGAAAATTGAAGATGTAAACATTCTGGAATTGTTTAATGATTCCTAGAGAATTTCAAGCAAAACGATGTTGCCTGTAGAGTGATATGAAAAGTAGTTTGTGGTTATTATTCTAATTATTCTAATTGTGCTACAAAACTAGTTTCTTTTTCTTATCATAGAACAAGAGCCCCTCTGTTATTACTGTTAATAACAATAACAACTTCCTATTATGTACCAGGCACTACATTAAGTACTTGATACCTATTATCTTCCTCCCCCACCCTCCACCGAGAGGGAGTCTTGCTCTGTCACCCAGGCTGGAATGCAGTGGTGCGATCTCAGCTCACTACAACCTCCACCTTCTGGGTCCAAGCGATTCTTCCACCTCACCTCCTGAGTAGCTGGGACTATGAGTGTGCACCACCACACCCGGCTAATTTTTGTATTTTTAGTAGAGACGTGGTTTCACGATGTTGGCCAGGCTAGTCTCGAACTCCTGACCTCAGATGATCTGCCCGCCTCAGCCTCCCAAAGTGCTGGGATTACAGGTGTGAGCCACCACACCCGGCCAGATACCTATTATCTTTAATTCTCACTATAGACTTGAAAGCTAAGAAACTAGCACATGGGGAAACTGAAGTTCTGAGAAGTAACGTAACTTGCCTAACTTGCTCACATTTTGAATATTTCCCTTCAGGCTCAGGAAAGTAAACTGACATCACAGCCCAAAACATGATCAGTCAAAGCAGCATACCAGGAACCCTAAGGTTGGCCCTATATTCAGTTGCATACATTTTGGAATCACAATAACTAAATCCAACTAACTGAACAATGGTTACAAATTAACATTATCTTTAATTTGGCTTGTTGGTTTATTTCTTATACTATCTAGGCATCAACCCCCAAGCACTTTTCTTCACCATCATCCCCCACTTAATGAACCAGGTAGAATGTAGCTGAAGAATGCAAATAAGATTCATGAAACATTAAGTGAGTTTTAGATTAGGTTTAATTATTTAAGGAAACTTCAAACTGGAAATGTAGAAACTTTGATCTCTAAACTGCTGCAGCTTTGAGTGACTGAATTGCTGAAAGTGTGTTTGTATGTGTGTGTGTGTGTAGAGAAAAAATAGCAAATGAGCAAGAATAGGAGCAGAGTGACTCAGAGGAATCAGATCTGTTGCTGTATTTTGTAATTTCATTAGTCATTTTATGAGTAATGGATTAGAAATTATTGCAATATATAACCACAACCAATTTTAGGACATCTGCATATTACTAATTGACATATAATATAAATAAATTGCCCTTCTGAGTATTGTGACTTTGCATACACTTTGGTTCCTGGGAATCCCAAGGTATAAATGATTCTGTCTAATACTTGGGTTTCTCAGACCAAACCTTTCATGTCTCTTAAGGGGGAAAAAAACCCTCATCAATAAAATATTCTTCAAAGAACTGTCTTCTCTTTGAACATGCTCATGTCATACTGAGTTTCTCCATAGAAACAAGAGGATTCTCAAATTTCTAAGAGATGCTCTCACTAAAAGGATGCTAGAGATTAGAATTTTAGAGATAATAGGGAGAAGGGCCAGACTAATCCAGTGGGAAATTAAGCAATGGCTTGTAGATTATCAGGCTATTCATCACCTGGTCATTGTTCCCTCTGCTGTAGCTACTTTCATGAACTAACCCCAGAAAGCAAGAAACAGAGGGTGTCTTCCTAGTGCTTAAGTCTTGGGTCATCCAGAGTGCATCCCTCAGGTTACTGTTTAGAATACAAGACAACTTGCAATAAGAAGCAATAACCCTCCTTGAATTATCCATAGAAATTAGCAAATTGGGAAGTGCTATGGGTATGGTGTGGTAAGAAAAGGAATAGGTGAAGAATCAAGAAACCTGCTTTCTTATCCCAGCTTTCTCATTCTAGGAACAATTTTGAGCCAACTAGTTATTATTTCTGGGCTTTAGTTCCTTCTAAAAATGTAGGGGTGCTTCAGGTAAAGCTTTGACAGTGTCTCCATCACTAATATTATGGCCACTAAACTGAGAAATGAACAGTCTACATTTTAGTAGACTTCTAGTCTACTAAAAATGTAGGAGTGCTTCCGGTTCCTTCTAAAAATGTAGGGGTGCTTCCGGTTCCTTCTAAAAATGTAGGGGTGCTTCAGGTAAAGCTTTGACAGTGTCTCCATCACTAATATTATGGCCACTAAACTGAGAAATGAACAGTCTACATTTCTGCTCCTCAGACAAGGATGATACACAGTTGTCCCCTGGGGACATGAAACTATAAAGCATTCAAGGGAGGAATGGCAAGTGACTGCGTAAATGAGCTTCTGGTTCCTTGACTACAGGATCCTGATGCTTTAGACTGTTAAAGATCTTTCTTAATAGCTTGTTTACACCCCCTTGTTGCAAAAAGTATTTGAGGTGACTTAGATAACTAGCAAATTAAAATAATTTGAAGTAATTGGACTAAAAGGAAAATGAGCTTAGTCCAAGACCAGCACATCAAATATAAAGAGGTGGAAAATTGGATTCTAATCTTCCTGTAGGTAAATTATAAAGAATAGTCAACTACAAAATTCACTGTATCTCTAAGTACCGTGTGTGGTAATGCTGGCTGTAGTATAAGTAGAGGTGAGGTGCTTTGCTTAGGACAGTTATTCCTACAATTGAAGTAAGAGATTGTATTAGTTAATTCCCACATTGCTATACATAAATACAGGAGACTAGGGAATTTATTTTAAAAAGAGGTTTAATTGGCTCATGGTTCTGCAGGCTGTGCAAGAAGCATAGTGGTATCTGCTTCTGGGGAAGCCTCAGAAAGCTTCCAATCTTGGTGGAAGGCATAGGGTGAGCAGGCATCTCACATGGTGGGAGCAGGAGCAAGGGAGTGAGAGGGGAAGTGCTACACTTTTACATGACCAGATCTCATAAGAACTCACGTACTATCATGAGGACAATACCAAGAGGGATGATGCTAAACCATTCATGAGAAATCCACCCCCACGATCTAATCACTTCACACCAGATCCCACCTCCATCATTGGGAATTACAATTCAACATGAGATTTGAATGGGGACACATATCCAAACTATATCAGAGATGTTTCTCATGGTTTCTTACAAAGGAGAGATATGTGATATGTCATAGTGGTTTTCAATTGGGATATGAATAGAAGAGGTCCTTGTTAATATACAGAATTATATGTTAGCATATAGAATCATAATCCTAAGTGACAATCTCAGGCTTATGATTAAGTAGCTTTGCATGCGTGCATTTGACAAGAGCCTCAGATTCTTTCTTTTTTTTTTTGAGACAGAGTCTCACTCTGTTGCCCAGGCTTGAGTGCAATGGCGCGATCTCCACTCACTGCAAACTCTGCCTCCCAGGTTCAAGCGATTCTCATGCTTCAGCCTCCCAAATAGCTGGGACTACAGGAGCATGCCACCACGCCCAGCTAATTTTTGTATTTTTAAGAGAGACGGGGTTTTGCCATGTTGGCCAGGCTGGTCTCAAACCCCTGGCCTCAAGTGATCTTCCCACCTTGGCCTCCCAAAGTGTTGGGATTACAGGCGTGAGCCACCATGCTTTGCCAAGAACTTCAGATGCTTTTGATGTACTCAAGTCCATGGACATGCTTTAGAGAAACCACTCCTCCAATGAAGATGATGTTGACTTTCAAGGGATATTTTTTCAATGGATTCTTCAAAAGAAGCAGATGACATAGGGGCAAAAAACCAAATTAAATAAACTTTATGTGGTCAAAAAGAATATACAGTCTGGGTACACAGCTCTCTCAGGTTCATGTTTGATTCTATGTTAAAATATAAAACATCAAGAAGGATTAAAATAGAGGTCACTCCTTATAGTGAGTTTAAAGGTACTCCCTTCATAATAAAAGGAGGCTGGTAGCAAACAACTGCATTGTTAGACAGAGTTCGTTGAACATCATATGCAAAACTGTCTTTTATTTTGGTTCAGGTTGATTAATCCAAACCCTACATACTTCACAGAGGAATTGAGATTTAGGATTGGCTTCTTGACTCTCAATTGTCTGCAGTTCCTTAAAAACTTGAAGCCAAATTTTTAAATTGTCGAAGTATCTCCATGTGGCCACCCCTCTGAGGTTGGAATTTGGCAAGCAAACTCTTTGTTTTTGATTCTTTCTCTTGGTCCTCCCCCTTCCTGCCATCCCTTGGTCATTTGATCATTTTCACTGTCGGTTTGCCTCAATTACCTCTTTTTTTTGTGGCAACTTTATTGAGGTATAATTTACATGCCCTAAAGTCCACCTGTTTAAAGTATACAATACTTTTTTTTTTTTTTTTTTGGAGACAGAGTCCTGCTCTGTCTCCCAGGCTGGGGTGCAGTGGCATGATCTTGGCTCACTGCAACCTGACGGGGGTCTCACCATGTTGCCCAGGCTGGTCTCAAACTCCTGAGCTCAGGCCATCTGCCCACCTCGGCCTCCCAAAGTGCTAGGATTACAGGCATGAACCACCACACCCTGCCTAAAACATACATTTGTATGGCTTTTAGTATATTCAGACTTGTGCAACCATTGCTACAATAAATTTTAGAACATTTTCATCACTTCAACTCCTCCTAAAACCTATATACTTCTCAGCTGTCACAATTGGTTAACTGCCCCTTCCCTCCAATCCCAGGGCACCACTAGTTTATTTTCTGCCTCTGCAAGTCTGCATATTCTTGACATTGCATATAAATGGGATCATATAATATGGACTTCACTTTCTTTTGTGGAGTATCCCTTCTTCTAACTCTTGTTCAGCCTCTGGTGCTAGTTGGTCTTTTAAAAATTTATTTATTTGTATATATTCATAGGGTACGAGTGCAATTTTGCTACATTGATATATTGCATTGTGATGAAATCACCACCTTCAGCACATCCATCATTGGAGCAACAGACATTGCAGCACTAGGCAGCTAGTTTATCTTAAATTAAAAAGAGCACTAGGAATGGACAAAGTTTCCAATCCTATTTTAGGAGATACCTGAAAGGTAATTACATTCTCTGTTTAGAAATTTTTTTTTTTTTTTTTTTTTTTTTGAGACGGAGTCTCGCTCTGTCGCCCAGGCCGGACTGCGGACTGCAGTGGCGCAATCTCGGCTCACTGCAAGCTCCGCTTCCTGGGTTCACACCATTCTCCTGCCTCAGCCTCCCGAGTAGCTGGGACTACAGGCGCCCACCACCGCGCCCGGCTAATTTTTTGTATTTTTAGTAGAGACGGGGTTTCACCTTGTTAGCCAGGATGGTCTCGA
Organism: Homo sapiens; assembly: GCF_000001405.40. Taxonomy (NCBI): domain Eukaryota; kingdom Metazoa; phylum Chordata; class Mammalia; order Primates; family Hominidae; genus Homo; species Homo sapiens. Next base: position 143,905,435 of record NC_000003.12, read on the forward strand.
TCTCCTGACCTCATGATCCACCCGCCTCGGTCTCCCAAAGTGCTGGGATTACAGGCGTGAGCCACTGCGCCCGGCCAGAAATTTTATTTTTCCTTCTTTTTGCATTTCTTTTAGTCTGTTTTATTAAAAGGCCATATCTATCATTATCACCTCAGGAAGTGACTGGGTTCAGGGAAGGTAATGAAGGCACAGGAGGAAAACATAAAACCTCTGTGTCACAGGGATGATGATGATGATAATTAATGAATAAATTGTATTCTTTAGAGAAGCTTTAGGTTTAGAGGAAAATTGAGCAGAAGGTATGGCGATTTCCCTTATAGCCCCTGTCCCCACACATGTACAACCTTCCCCACTACCTATATCCTGCTCCACAGTGGTGGTGCAATTTATACAATTGATGAACTTACCTTAACACATCATTATCACCCAAAATCCATAGTTGAAATTTCAGTTCATTCTTGATATTGTACATTCTATGGGTTTTGGCAAATGTACAGTGGCATGTATCGACCATTGTAGCATAATAAGGTAGCATACAGAATAGATTCATTGCCCTTTCTCACAGCAGAAGTTTTTAATTTTAATGAAGTCCAGCTCAATTATTTCTTTCATGAATCATGCCTTTGGTGTTTTATATAAGAAGCCATTGCCATACTCAAGGTTACTTGGGTTTTCTTCTGTTATTTTCTAAAAGTTTTATAGTTTTGTGTTTTACATTTATGTCTATGAACCATTTTGAGGTGTTTTTTTTTTGTAAAGAATATAAATTCTGTGTCTAGAGTAATTTTTTTTTTGCATGTGTATATCCAGTTGTTCTATCATCATTTTTAAAAAGACTATTTTTGGTCTATTGTACTGCTTTCACTCTTTGCCAAAGATCAGTTGGTGATACTTATATGGGTCTATTTCTGGGCTTTCTGTTCCATTTGATCTGTTCTATTGATCTAGCTGTCTATTCTTTCACTAATACCACATTATCTTGCTTACTGTAGCTTTATAGTAAGTCTTGAAGTTGGATAGTGTCAGTCCTCTGACTTTGTTTTTTGACTTCAATATTAAGTTGGCTTTCTGGGTTTTTGTTTTTGCCCCTCCATATAAACTTTAGAATCAGTTTGTTAATATCTACAAAATAACTTACCAGAATTTTGATGGGATTAAATTGAATGTATAGATCAAGTTGAAAAGAATTGATAACTTGGCAATGTTACATCTTTCTATCCATGAACATGGAGTATCTCTCCACTTATTTAATTCTTCTTTAATATCTTTCATCAGAGGTTTAGAGTTTTTCATATGTAATTATACAATTATAAATATAAATAAGTATAACATGCAACTTATAATTTAAAAATAATTAATATAATTATAAAATAATATATATTTAATTATTCTGTTGGATTACACCTAAGTATAAATTTTTGGGTGCTAATGTAAATGATATTGTGTATTGAGTTTCAAATTCCACTTGTATTTTTTGCCCATAAATAGAAAAGCAATTGACTTTAATATGTTAACTTTTATCCTGCAACCTTGCTATAATTGCTTATTAGTTCCAAGAGTTTTTTACAGATTCCTTCAGATTTCCCATAGATGATCATGTAATCTACAAACAAGATGGTTGTGCTTCTCCCTTCCCAATCTGAATACTTTTTAGTTCCTTTTCTTGTATTACTGAATTAGCTAGTACTTCCAGTATGATGTTGAAAACAAAAAACAAAAAACAAAAACAAAAAAACCCCAAAACAAAAACTTTGTTTTGTTTCTGATCTTACAGAAAAGCTTCAAGTTTCTCATCCTTACATATGATGTTAGCAGTAGTTTTTTAGTTTTTTTGTAGTTTTTAGGTTTTTTTCTTTATTTTTTCTTTTTTTTTTGTAGATGTTCTTTATCAAGTTGAGGAATTCCCCTTTAACCTAATTTGCTGAAACTTTTTGTCATAAATGGGTGTGGATTTTGATAGATGCTTTTTCTGCATCTATTTATATTGTCAAATGGTTCTTCTTTAGCCTGTTAATGTGATGAATTAAATTAATTGATTTGTCAATGTTGAAACAGCCTTGCATACCTAGGGAAAAATAAATCCCACTTGGCTGTTATGTATAATGTTTTATATTCATTTTAGGTCAATGTACTAATTAGTCAATGTACTAATATTTTGTTGGGGATTTTTGCATTTATGTTCCAGAGAGATATTAGTCTTTAGTTTTCATTTCTTATAATACCTTTGGTTTTGGTAGTAGGTTAATGCTGCCCCAGAGAATGAATTAGAAAGTATTTCCTTTGTTTCTCTGTTCTGAAGGAGATTGTAGAGAATTTGGTGCAATTTTAAAAAGTATTTCCTTTGTTTCTCTGTTCTGAAGGAGATTGTAGAGAAATTGGTGTAACTTTTTCTTAAATTTTTGGTAGAAATCACTGGTGAAACCATCTGGACCAAATTTTTTCAGTTTTGGAAGGTTATTAATTATTGATTCAATGTCTTTAACAGATATAGAGCTATTCAGATTATCTATTTCTGCTTGTGTGAGTTTTCACAATTGTATCTTGCAAGGAATTGGTCCATTTAATCTAGGCTATCAAATTTGTAGGCATAGAGTTGTTCATAATATTCCTTCATTATCCTTTTAGTGTCTATGAGGTCTGTAGTGATATCTCCTATTTATAATGTTTGTAATTTGTGTCATCTCTTTTTTTTTTTTCGGTTAGCCTGGCTAGAGGCTTATGAATTTTATTTATCTTTTCAAGAAACTATCTTTTATTTTGTTGATATTCCTAATTGATATCCTCTTTTCAATTTTATTCATTTCTGCTCTAATTTTTATTACTTCTTCTCTGCTTACCTTGAATTGAATTTGCTCTTCTTTTTCTGGTTCCCTAAGGTAGAAGCCAAGATTATGGATTTTAAATTTTCCTTCTTTTCTAACACATACATTTAATGATAAACATTTCCCTGCAAACACTACTTTCATTGCATATTTCAAATTTTGATGAGTTGTGTTTTCATTTTCATTTATTTCAAAATATTTTAAAAATTTATCCTGAGATTTGACCAATGTGTTATTTAGAAGTGTGTAGCTTAACCCCCGAGTACTTTTCTATTTTTCAGCTATTACTCTGTTACTGAATTCTAGTTTAATGTCACTGTAGGCTGAGAGCAAACATTGTATCATTTGATTAATATCTACCATTTTTATTGTTTCTATTAGTTTTTCTTATTTTTCTACTTTGTCTTTCAGACTTTTTCTGCCTTTTGTTGGTTTTATTAGGCATATTATATGATTCCTTTTTTTTCTTTTTTTACATGTCAATTATGTCCTTTTTAAAGTAGTTGCCCTAGAGTTTGTAATAAAAATGTACAACTAATCCAAGTTCACTTTCAAATAATATTATAACATTTCACCGATAGTGCAAATAACTTGTAATTACAAAATATTCCTAATTCTTCTCTCCTGTCTCCTCTTTGTTGCTATTCATTTTACTTACACATAAGCATACAAAATTGAATACATTGTTGCTATTTTTTGCTATTATTTTTAAAAAAACTAATTTGTTAGTTCAATCAAGAATAAAAACAATTAATGTATTGCATTCATTTTACCTTCACTTGTTCATTCTCCAGTGCTCTTCCTTTCTTAATATAGATTTGAGTTTCTGACCTATATTATTTTCCTTCTCTCTGAAGAACTTACTTTAGCATTTCTTGCAAGGCAGGTCTATTAGCAACAAATTGGCTCAATTTTTGTTTGTCTGAGTCTTTATTTTCTCTTCACTTTTGAAGAAAAATTCTGCAGCTACAGAAACTTTGGTGGATGGTTTTCTTCTCTCAATGCTTTTAAATATTTCACTTTCATACAGATGATTTATTCTACATTCCTTTTGCTTCTGTAGTTTCTGGGGAGAAGTCTAATGTAATTCTTATCTTTTTTCCTCTATAGGTAAGGTTTTTCCCCCTCTGGCTTCTTTCAAGATTTTTTTTTTTTTTTGGAGGTGTGGAGCAAGATAGCAGAATAGAAGTCTACACCGTTCATCCCCACTGCTGGAACACCAAATGTAACAACTATGTGCACACAGAAAAGCACTGTCACAAGACCCAAATATCAGGTGAGCAAACACAGTACCTGCTTTTAACATTTTTATTATTTTTTATTTATTTATTTATTTATTTTTTGAGATGGAGTCTCACTCTGTCACCCAGGCTGGAGTGCAATGGCATGATCTTGGCTTACTGCAAATTCCGCCTCCCAGGTTCAAGCGATTCTCCTGCCTCAGCCTCCTGAGTAGCTGGGATTACAGGCATGCGCCACCATGCCTGACTAATTTTTGTATGTTTAGTAGAGATGGGGTTTCACCATGTTGGTCAGGCTGGTCTCAAACTCCTGACCTCGTGATCTGCCTTCTCAACCTCCCAAACCTTTTAATTTTCTATTGTGGAAAGAGACATCAAGAAGGGCAGGAGACACTCTTGAATTGCCGATGCAAGGAGGACTTTATCTTGCATCTTGGATACCAACTCAACCACAGTAGGATAGGGTATTGGGCAGAGTCATGACCCCCTGATTCCAGGTCCTAGCTCCTGGATATATTTTACACACACCCTGGGCCAAAAGGGAACCTGCTGTTTTGAAGGGAAGGACCTAGTCCTGGCAGGATTCATCACTTGCTGACTAAAGAGCCCTTGGGCATTGAATAGCCATCAGCAGTACCCAGGGAGTATGCCATGGGCCTTGGTCTCTGAGAAATGCTGGCTTCAGGAGAAACCCAGTACATTCTCAGCTGTGGTGGCTATGATGAAAGACTCCTTTTGCTTGAGAAAAGCAGAAGGAAAAGTAAAGGGGACTTTGTCCTGCATCCTAGGTACCAACTAGGCCACAGTGGGGTAGAGCTACACACAGGCTCTCGGGGTTGCCAAGTCCAGGCCTAGGCTTTGGGACAGCATTGCTGGACATGCCATGGGAAGAGGGGAGCACACAGCACTAAAGGGTGAGTCCCAGGCTTAGCAACATTCACGACAAGCCACATGAATATTGGCAGTGGCCTGGCAGAACTTCCTGTCGACGAGTGGTGGCCACAGGGAGAGGCTTTTCTACCTGTGGTAAGGGAAGGGAAGAGCGGGAAGGTCTTTATATGGTGATTTGAGTGCCAGATAAGCTGCTGTAGAACAGAACATTAGGTAAATTGCTAAGGTTTTTTTACTCCAACCCTGCCACCCAGGCAGCGTCTCTGGAGATGCCCAGGGCCTGGGGGAGCTCACCACCCTAAAGGGAAGGGCTTTGGAAAAGGGTCAGTGCTGCGCTAACCCAGCAAGCTCCCAGTGGTGGTGGCCACAGGGTGTCTGCATCACCATACCCTCAGTTCCAGGTGGCTCAGCACAGAGAGAGGGACTCCATATGATTAAGAAAAAGAACAAGAGTCTCTGCCTGGCAATCTAAAGAATTCTTCCAGATCTTATCCAAGACCATGAAGGCAGTACCTCTATGCATCTGCAAAAGCCACAGCATTATTGGGCTTGGAGCCCAAGTCCCTTTGAATACCTGGAAAGCCTTCCAAAGAAGGGCAGGCACAAACAAGCCCAGACTGTGAAGACTGCAATAAAGTAACCCTTTGATGCCCAGACACTGAAGAACATTTACAAACATGAATACCATTCAGGAAAACATGAAATCACCAAATGAACTAAATAAGTCACTGGGGACCAATCCTGGAGAAACAGGGATATATGACCTTTCAGACAGATGATTCAAAATAGCTCTGTTGAAGAAACTCAAAGAAATTCAAAATAACAGAGATGGAATTCAGAATTTGATCAGATAAATTTAACAAAAATATTGAAATAATTAAAAAGAATTAAGCAGAAATTCTAGAGTTGAAAATGTAATTGATGTGCTAAAGAATGCAACAGAGTCTCTTAGGAGCAGAAATGATTAAGCCAAAGAATTACTGAGCTCAAAGACAGGCTATCTGAAAATACATCATTAGAGGAGACAAAATAAAAAATAATATAAAACAATAAGGCATACCTACAAGATCTAGAAAATAGCCTCAAAAGCACAAATCTAAGAGTTATTGGCCTTAAGGAGGAGGTAAAGAAGGAGATAGGGGTGGAAAGTTTATTCAAAGGGATAATAACTTCCCAAACCTAGAGAAAGATATCAACATTCAAGTACAGAAAGATTATAGAACACCAAGCAGATTTAACCCAAAGAAGACTACCTTTAGGTTTTCAGTAATCAAATTCCTAAAGGTTAAGGATAAAGAAAGGACCCTGAAAGCAGCAAGAGAAAAGAAACAAATAACATAAAATGGAACTCCCATACATCTGGCAGCAGACTTCTCATTGGAAACGTTACAGACTAGGAGAGTGACATGACATATTTAAATTGCTGAAAGAAAAAACTGTTACCCTAGAACAGTATATCTGGCAAAAATATTCTTTAAGTATGAAGGAGAAATAAAGACTTTCCTAGACAAACAAAAGCTGAGGGATTTCATCAACCCCAGACCTGTCTTAGAAGAAATCCTAAAGGAAGTACTTCAATCTGAAAGAAAAGGACTCTAATGAGCAAGAATAAATCATCTAAAGATACGAACCTCATTGGTAATAGCATGCATGCAGCAAAACACAAATTAGTATAACACTGTAATTGTGGTGTATAAACATCTTTTGACTTCAGTAGAAATACTAAGAGATGAACCCATCAAAAATAATAATTACAACAACTTTCTAAGACATAAATAGTACAATAAGACAAACAACAAAAAGATAAAAATCAGTGGAAGAACTTAAAGTATAGAGTTTTTATTAGTTTTCTTTTTGCATATTTGTTTACATAATCAGTGGTAAGTTGTCATCAGTTTAAAATAATGAGTAATAAGATTGTATTTGCCAGCCTCATGGTAATCTAAAACTGAAAAACATTAATGGATACACAAAAAATAAAAAGCAAAAAATTAAAGCACACTATCAAAGAAAATCGCCTTCACTAAAAGGAAGACAGGAAGAAAGGAAAGACTGCAAAATAGCAAGAAAACAGATAACAAAATAAAAGGAGCAAGCCCCTACTTATCCATAATAACGTTGAATGTAAATGGACTAAAGTCTTCAATCAAAAGATATAGAATGGCTGAATAGACAAAAAACAAAACCCAAGGATCTCTTGCCTACAAGAAACACCCTTCACCATATAAAGATATACAGATAATGAAAATAAAGAGATGGAAAAAGATATTCCATGCCAATGAAAACCAAAAAAGAGCAGGAATAGCTCTACTTCTATCAGAAAATAATAGATTTCAAGAAAAACTGTAAGAAGAGACAAAGGACAAAGAAGGTCATTGACAAAGGGGTCAATTCAGCCAGAGGATATAATGATTGTAAATACATATGCACCCAACACTAGAGTACCCAGATATACAAAGCAAATATTATTAGAACTAAAGAGGGAGATAAGCTCCAATATAATAATAGCTGGAGACTTCAGCAGCCCACTTTTAGCATGGGATAGATTTCCCAGATAGAAAATCAACAAAGAAATGTAGGACTTAATCTGCATTATAAACTAAGTGGACCTAATAAATATTTACAGAACATTTTATCCAATGACTGCAGAGTACACATTTGTCTCCTCAGCACATGAATCATTCTCAAAAATAGACCATATGTTAGGTCACAAAACAAGTCTTAAAACACTCAAAAGTTGAAATCATATCAAATATCTTCTCTGACCAAAATGGGACAAAACTAGAAATCAATAATAAGAGGAATTTTGGAAAATATACCAACATATGAAAATTAAATAATATGCTCCTTAATGACCAGTGGGGCAATGAAGAAATTAATAAAAAATTGAAGAAATTCTTGAAATAAATGATAATGGAAACACAATATACCCAACTCTATGGGGTACAGCAAAAGTAGTAATAAGATAGAAATTTATAGCTATAAGTGACTACATCAAAAAAGTAAACCTTCAAATAAATAACCTAATGATGCATTTCAATAGTCTAGAAAAGCAAGAGCAAACTCAACCCAAAATTAGAAGAAAAGAAATAATAAAGATCAGAGCAGAAACAAATGAATTTGAAATGAAAAAAAAAAAGATCAATGAAACAAAAAGTTGGTTTTTGAAATGATAAAGAAAATTGACAAACCTTTAACCAGATTAAGAAAAAAAGAGAGAAGGCCCAAATAAATAAAATCAGAGATGAAAAAGGAGACTTTATAACTGATAACTACAGAAATTCATAGAATCATTAGTGGCTACTATGAGCAATTGTATGCCAATAAATTGGAAAATCCAGAAGAAATGGATAAAATCCTGGATGCATACAACCTACCAAAACTGAACCATGAAGAAATTCAAAACCTGAACAGAACAATAACAAATAATGAGATTGAAGCTGTAATAAAAAGTCTTCCAGCAAAGAAAAGCCAAGGACCCAGTGGCTTTACTGTTGAATTCTATCAAAAACTTAAAGAAGTAATACCAATGTATTCAAACTATTCTGAAAAACAGAGGAGGAGGGAATACTTCCAAACCCATTCTCTGAGGCCAGTATTACCTTGGTACTAAAACCAAAGATGCATCAAAGAAAGAAAATTACAGGCCAATATCTCTAATGTATATTGTGGCAAAAATCTTCAACAAAACACTAGCAAACCAAATTCAGAAATACATTAAAAAGATATTTCATCATGACCAAGTGGGATTTATCCCAAGGATGAAAGGTTGATTCAACATATGCAAATCAATCAATGTGATATATCATGTCAACAGAATGAAGGACAAAAACCGTATGATTATTTCAATTGATTTCAAGAAAGCATTTAATAAAGTTTAATATCTCTTCATAATAAAATCCTCAAAAAACTGTGTATAGAATAAACCTATCTCAACAGAATAAAAGCCATATATGACAGACACACAGCTAGTATCACACTGAATGGAAAAACTGAAAGCCTATCCTCTAGATCTGGAGTATGGCAAGGATGACCACTTTTACCACTGTTATTCAACATAGCACTGGAAGTCCTAGCTAGAGTAAGCAGACAAGAGGAAATGAGGAAGTCAAATTATGCTTGTTTTCAGACGATATAATCTTATATTTGAAAAAACCTAAAGACTCCACACAAAAAACGATTAGAACTGATAAACAAATTCAGTAAAGTTACAGGATACAAAATCAACATACAAAAATCAGCAGAATTTTATGTGATAACAGTGAACAATCTGAAAATAATCCCATTTACAATAGCCACACATAAAATTAAATACCTAGGAATCAACTTAGCCAAAGAAGTGAAAGATCTCTACAGTGAAAACTATGAAACACTGAAGAAATGGAGGAGGCCACTAAAACATGGAAAAATATTCCATGTTCATTGATTAGAAGAATCAATATTGCTAAAATGTCCATACCACCCAAGGCAACATACAGATTCAATGCAACTCCTATCAAAATACCAATGACATCTTCAGAGAATTTTTTTAATCCTAAAATTTATACAGAGTCACAAAAAAACCAGAATAGCCAAAGCTATCTTGAGCAAAAAGAACAAAACTGGAAGAATCTTACTATCTGACTTTAAATTATGCTACAGAACTATAGTAACCAAAATAGCATGGTGCTGGCATAAAGAAAGATACATAGGCCAATGGAACAAAGTAGAGAATCCAGAAGAAAAATTCACACACCTACAGTGAATTCATTTTCAACAAAGGTGTCAAGGACATACACTGGGGGAAAAGATAATCTCTTCGATAACTGGGGCTGGGAAAACTGGATATCCATATGTAGGAGAATGAAACTAGAGTACTATCTCTCACCTTATACAAAAATCAAATCAAAATGGATTAAAGATTTAAATCTGAGACCTCAAACTATGAAACTATTACAAGAAAGCACTGGGAAAACTCTCCAGGACGTTGGTCTGGGCAAAAATTTCTTGAGTAATACCCCACGAGCACAGGCAACAAAAGCAAAATTTGACAGATGGCATCACAGCAAGTTAAAAAGCTTCTGTTTAGCAAAGGAAACAATCAACAAAGTAAACTCATCAAACTACTCATCTGACAAGGAATTAATAACCAGAATATATAAAGAGCTCAAACAACTGTACAGGAAAAAAATCTGATAATTGGATTTAAAAATGGGCAAAAGATTTAAATAGATATTTCTCAAAAGAAGACATACAAATGGCAAACAGGCATATGAAAAGGTCCTCAATATCATTGATCATCATAGAAATGAACATCAAAACTAAAATAAGATATCATTTCACCCTCATTAGAATATCTTTTATCCAAAAGACAGGCAATAACAAATGCTGGTGAGTATATGAAGAAAATGGAATACTGTTGGTGGGAATGTAAATTATAAAAGCACTATAAAGAAAAGTTAGGTGGTTCCTCAAAAAAACGAAAAACAGAGCTACCATGTGTTCCAGCAATCCCACTGCTGGGTATACACCCAAAATAAAGGAAATCAGTATGTCAAAAGAGATATTTGCACTCCCATGTTTATTGCAGCACTGTTCACAATAGCTAAGATTTGGAAGCAACCTAAGTGTCCATCAACAGATGAATGGATAAAGAAAATGTGGTATATACACAATGGAATACTGTTCAGCCATAAAAAGAATGAGATCCTGTCATTTGCAACAACATGGATTTACCTGGAGGTCATTATGTCAAGCGGAATAAGTCAGGCACAGAAAACAAACATCACATGTTCTCACTTATTTGTGGGATCTAAAAATCAAAACAATAAAACATATGGAGATAGAGAGTAGAAGAATGGTTACCAGAGGCGGGGAAGAATAGTGGAGGAAGGGGGCTGGAAAGATGCTGGGATGGTTAATGGGTTTAAAAGTTAAAAAGAATAGTAAGATTTAGTATTTAGTAGCACGAGAGGGTGACTACGTCAATAATAATTTAATTGTATATTCTATTTTACTTTTTGAGACAGGGTCTTGCTCTGTTGCCCAGGCTAGAGTGCAGTGACATGATCACGGCTGCCATTTCAAGCTCCCAGGCTCAAGCCATCCTCCTACCTCAGTCTCCCAATTAGATGGGACCACAGGCATGTGCCACCATGCCCATCTAATTTTTGTATTTTTTTGTAGAGATGTGGTCTTGCTATGTGGCCCAGCCTGGTCTTGAACTCCTGGGCTCAAATGATCTGCCTGCCTCAGCCTCCCAAAGTTCTGAGACTACAGGTGTGATAAACCACACCTAGCCTAACTGTACATTTAAAAAAGCAACTAAAAGTCTTGAGGGGATGGATACCCAATTTTCCATGATGTGATTATTATGCATTGCATGCCTGTAACAAAATATCTCAAGTACCTTGTAAGTATACACACCTACTATGTACCCACAAAATTTTAAGAAATATTAAAAATTTTTTGGCTTCGATTTTCTGAAATTTGTATAAGACTAACAAATGCATTTTTGTCTTTGTTCCTTTGTTCATTTGCATTTATCCTATTTGGTGTTCTCTGCGCTTCCTGGATCTGTAGTTTGTTGTCTGACATTAATTTGAGGAAATTCTCAGTAATTATTTCATCTCCTTCTTGTATTCCCGTTACACATAGGCTACGTCTTTTGTAGTTGTTCCACTGTTCTTGGATATTCTGTTCTAGTTTTTTTTTCCCCCAGTCTTTTTTCTCCATGGATATTGTTTCGGGTTCTTTTTTCAGTCTTTTTTTTTCCCCCAATTTTTGAGTTTCTATTGTTGTATCCTCAAGTTCTGAATAGTTTTTCCTTAGCCATGCCCAGTTAACTAATGTAATCATGAAAATAATTAATTTCTATTCATGCTTTTTCTTTTGCTCTCAAGCATTTTTTTATTCTTAGAATTTTCATCTAATTACATTATTCATCTGTTCTTGTATGATGTCCACCTCTTCCATCAAAGCCCTTAGTATACTAATCATAGTTTAAAAAATATATGGACGAATAATTCTAACATTCCTGTCAGATCTGACTGTGGTTTTGATGCTTGTTTAGTCTCTCTGAAGTGTGTACTTTTGCCTTGTAGTATGCTTTATATATTTTCATTGAAAGGTAGACATGATATACTAGGTGAAAGGAATGGGCATAAATAGGCCTTTAGTGATGTAGTGGTGGGACATTTGTTGGAGGGGAAATGTTCTATTGTCCTATCATTAGGTCTCACTCTTTTGGTGAGCTTGTCTCTGGACCATGAACTTCACCAGTACTTCTCGGTTTTTTCCCACCTTAGAGGGGACAGGAGTTTCATCTTTTCCTTCCCCTTCCTCAGGTTATACTCTGATAAAACCTCAGCAAGTGTGGCTCTGGTAACATTAGTTCTCCTAAGGGCAGCTCTTCTTAAGAACAGACTGTTGTGGCATATCTCAAAATTGTTACTTTTCCCTTCTTGCCAAACCATGAGGATACTTTTCTTCAATATTTACTGTGAGAACCTGGTGGAGCTCCTAGGAGTAAAACTCACAGAAATGTGGGGCCCCTGAAGTCTTTCTCTGTCAGACTTGTCCGCACCAAGCTTCCAGTAATGCATCAATTACGGCTTAAGTTTTTCTACACCAGCACTGGTTCCTGTGGCGGTTTCTGCTCAGGGGTTTCTGCTTTGGTGTGTTGTGATTCTCTACATCTGCCTCTCTCTCTCCCCAATTCTGAGAGCAGCAATCTGCCCTGTGACCTCACTTCTCTGATTGGTCTAAGAAGAGTTGCTGATTTTTTCAGTTTGTTTAGGTTTTCGTTGTTGTCGGGACAAAGTAGCAACTTTTAAGTTCTTTACATGTTGGACTAGAAGTTGGAAGTCCCTGGTGAAATTTCTTAGAAATACATTTTTAATAAGGGCTGAGCCACAAAATTCAAGGTTATATGGCCAAAGTGGTACTTCATTGGCAGTATCTGTACTCCTAAATACTCATTTATTCAACATATATCTATTGAGTCCCCACTGAGTTGTGTACTGAGGCTCTGCAATTGCTGGAGTTACTGGGCATATGGCAGAGAACCAGATACGATCATCAAACTCAAGGAGTTAGAGGGAGGCAAAATAGAAGAAAACATGTAATTTCTATTTGAAAAAGAGCAAGTCATTCCAAACCTGATCTGATCAAGAATATATCTAGAATAATGTAACTCATGACATTCTTTTGAGGACTGATTAATGCTTAAATAATTTCCTTATAAATTTTAATTGATAAAAATTTGTTCTGGGAAAGTAAGTGATTTGCCACCCGGATGACTGTCCGTTAAGAGCAAGGTGATCTTTAAACAAATATTCTTTTCTTTTTGTATCTGCTTCAACAATAATTATCTAACCATTCTTGGTAACAATACAATTTCTTAACAAGAAAGAATCTTTATTGCCCTACTCTGTCAAGACCTTGTTTTCCTGGAAGCAAAGTTATAATGAAATTTTGACATATGCTCATAACAAAATTGGCTGAAAGCCCTTTTTTAACATTGCAATGGAAATTACTGAGTTGTGATAAAAGTTAGTAAAATGATATGGGGAGTACTTGAGTTTCAGAAGTATGGTGGGTAGGTGTGGAGGTGGGGAGGTATTCCTCTAGAAGTGACATCTAAGCTGAGTAGAATGAGTAGAAGAAAGGGCAGTGAGGGATGAGGTGGGAGGAGTCTGAAGAAATAGGGAGTGGCAAAGAAAAACCACCTACAAGAGGAAAGGCAATACATGTGTAGCAGGCCTGTGGCGAACTTTCCCAGGTCCCCTGGAGCCTGAAATCTTCCTTGTTCTTCAGCAGTGCACTTCCACCTGCCTGCATCTGCCTCTCTACTGGAGGGCTTTCCCCAGGTGGCAGAGGCCACTTTCCTTCTCCTGTGAAATGCTGGTAAAATGCATGAGAGAAATGACACCCTAAGAATAGCCCTCAACCCCTGCCTGGTATAGTTGATTTGTAAATGCCCAGGTCCTTTTCCCCACATGTGGGAAAATTCTGAGTGAGTTTTATGTTTCCCACTGTTTCCCTACAGGATTTAGGGCCAGCCACCCACTGTGAGTTCTGACTTTCTCTTCCTATGTCACGTCACCACTTCCTACCAGTGTTTTCCGTGCTTCCCAAATAAAGTACTTGCACTCCAGTCCTTCACAGGGTCTGCTCTGGGGAGCCCAGGCTGAGCAGCCTACTGGGGGGATCGCAAGCAGCTAAGTAACAGAGTGAACCTGTAGTGTGCAAAGAGGGAAAAAGTTAGGTTGGGCCAGAATATGCAGGGCCCTGATTTGCCAGATTTAGCACATAAAAATACAGAATGCCCAGTTAATTTATTTTCAGATAAAAAAATAAATTTTTAATATATGTGTCCCATGTAATACTTGGGATATACTTATACTAAAAAAAAATCCTTATTTATCTACAATTTAAATTTAACTGCATGTCCTGTATTTTATTTGTGTCAAATAAAATACAAGACATGCATTTTATTTTTATTTTTATTTCTAGGACTTACTTTTTTTTTTATTTCTAGCTCTTATTTTAAGAGACCTCGAAAGAATATGGGGCTTTATCTGTAGGACAGTTTGGCTCCAGGATGAAACATAGATTTGAGCAAGGTAGAGAGACCCATGAGGAGGTGTTACCATTGCCCAGAGGCAAGGCCTGGGCCTGGGGCAGGCAGGAGGATGGGAGAAGTGGATGGAAGGGATAAAGGCATTTGGAAAGCTATCTGCAGCTCTCAGACTAGCTGCCAAGGCAACAGAACTATCTCATTGGATAGAATGGTAGGAGGCTGCCAGAAATGAGTTCAAGATGTCCTGAAAATGCAAGATGGTTTAAAGACACCAAATCTAGCAGTGAAGGTCCTCCCTTTCCCCATCTCCACAATGCGCTCACGGTCATGGAGTGAAGCACACTTTCTTAGGCCCAAACATCTAGCACCCTGAATCAGGCTGCAGGACTGGCTTTGAATCTGAATACTCCTCCCGAGCTGCTCTGGTGTCTTGTGTTACAATGAGCTCAGCTCAGCCTTGTCCCCACATGGGCCCCTCACCAAAGCCTCTGAAAGGGCAGACATGGTGTTTGATGAATTACCAGCTGTGCATGGCAAGGGGCACTAGGAAAAGCAAATTCTCTTGTAGTTCACTTTTTGTCTTCCTTTTCTTTTCGCCTGAGATGGACTTTGCCCTATTAGTCTCCATCTATGATATGTTAGAGTTCTTTAGAGGGACAAAATGGAATATATATATATATATACACACATACATGTACACACACACACACACACACACACACACATATATATATATATACATGAGTTTATTAAGTATTAACTCATACAATCACAAGGTCCCATAATAGGGCATCTGCAGGCTGAGGAGCAAGGAGAACCAGCCTGAATTCCAAAACTGAAGAACGCAGAATCTGATGTTTGAAGTATCCGGCATGGGAGGAAGATGTAGGCTGGGAGGCTAGGCCAGTCTAACCTTTTCACATTTTTCTGTCTGCTTTATATTTGCTGGCAGTTGATTAGACAGTAACCATCCAGATTAAGGGTGAGTCTGCCTTCCCCAGCCCACTGACTCAAATGTTAATCTCCTTTGGCAACACTTTCACAGATACACCCAGGATTAATACTTTGCATCCTTCAATCTAATCAAGTTGACACTCAGTATTAACCATCACAAGCCTACCCCTTGTCAACTTGAATCCATACACATCTTCTGAGATCATACATAATCTTCAAATAAAGACAACTATAATGTCATAATTATGCCTAACATAATACAACTATCCCTTGTACAACCAGAAACGCACCAATCCCCAACCCAAATACTATTACATAAAGTTAACAATACTTAAATGCTGATATGAAGTCAATAAATCTTATTGTCACATGATAAAGGAAAAAGGAAATAAAATGAAGATATTTTCTTAGTGCAAGTATATACATGCACAAACATGTTTTTAACAAAAGAGGAAGTACTCATGACAATTACAGTCCCTGTTCCTGCAGCTAGTCATGTGGTTGTAGCTGGTATTGATGACTACCTTCTTCTACTACCCATTCTGTATTTCCTTTGCCTTCAGCAAGCACCTCAGCAGGTCCTGTTTTTTTTCCTGGTGGAATGATCCAAACCTTTATTCCTGAAGGGTCTGGGCTATGTGTAGTCCTGCCTGGATTGGGCTGTTGTAGTTTCCCATTTACTTTAATCACAGGGCATGGTAATACTAAGAGATGCCCTAATGGATCTCCTGTATTCCATGCATACTCTTCCTTACCTCCGTTGTGGAGTAGTGGACTGATTTCATCTTGTTAGTCTGGGTCAATCACCCCAGCGAACACTAACTCCCTTTTTAGCCTGTTAACTTAAAGGTAGGAGGAACCGAAAGTGTCCAGGTGGCAATCTTAACTTCCAGCTTAATGGAATCATTGTTCTGTCTCCTGGTGGCAGCGTTCCTCCCTCTAGAACTAAGACCTCTATGCCAGCAGAACGTAATGTCATGGGAACAGTAAGCAAAAATTTTGCTAGTGGATCACTTCCACTTCCACCTCTTGATTCTTGGACCTGTGAATTCTGGCTACGGGAGAAACAGTACCATATATTGGATGCTGATTCAGAGCATACATGGCCTTCTGGAGAACTTTGCCCCAGACTTGCAAAGTATTGTCACTTAGTTGGCACTGTAATTGTGACTTCAAAAGGCTATTCCACCATTCTATCAATCCAGCTGCTGCAGGATGATGGGGAACATGGTAAGACCAGTGATTTACATGAGCATGAACTCACTGCCACACTTCTTTAGCTGTAAAGTGGGGGCCTTGGTCAGAGGCAATGTTATATGGAATACTGTGACGGTGGATAAGGCATTCATGAGTCCACAGATGGTACTCTTGGCAGAATCACTGCCTGCAGGATAGGCAAACCCATATCTGAAGTAAGTGTCTATTCTAGTGGGGACAACCCTTTGCCCTTTCTGTGATGGAAGAGGTCTAATATAATCAACCTGCCACCGGGTAGCTGGCTGATCACCCCAGGGAATGGTGCCATATCGAGGGCTCAGTGTTGGTCTCTGCTGCTGGCAAATTGGGCACTGAGAAGTGGCTGTAGCCAGGTCAGGCTTGGTGAGTGGAAGTCCATGTTGCCGAGCCCATGAGTATCCTCCATCCCTGCTACCATGGCCACTTTGCTCAGGGGCTCATTGGGTGATGATGGGGGTGGCTGGGGAAAGAGGCTGAGTGGTGTCCACAGAATGGGTCATCCTATACACTTGATTATTAAAATCCTCCTCTGTGAGGTCACCTGTTGGTGCGCCCTCACATGGAATACAAATATCTTCACAGTTTTTGACCACTCAGAGAGGTCCATCCACATACCTGTTCCCCAAATTTCTTTGTCCCCAATTTTCCACTCATGCTTCTTTCAAGTCCCTGACCATCTGGCCAAACCATTGGCTATAGCCCATGAGTCAGTACATAATCACACATCTGGCCATTTCTCCTTCCATGCAAAGTGCACAACCACATGCACTGCTCAAAGTTCTGCCCACTGGGAAGATTTCCCTTCCCTGCTGTCCTTCATGAATGTCCTAGAAAGAGGCTGTAGTGCTGCAGCTGTCCACTTTCGGGTGGTGCCTGCATATCATGCAGAACCATCTGTGAACCAGCCCCTAGTCCTATGTTCCTCTGTTGACCGGTCATAGGGAACTCTCCATGAGGCCACTGGTGCAGGCTGAGGGAGAGAAGGCAGGGTAGAAGGAGTGGAGACATGGGCATTTGAACCACTTCCTCATGTAAGTTACTTGTGCCTGCAGGACCTGCTCGAGCCTGATCATGTATATACCACTTCCACTTGATGATGGAATGCTGCTGTGCATAACCCACTTTATGGCTAGATGGGTCAGAAAGCACCCAGTTCATGATAGGCAGTTCAGGTCGCATGGTGACTTGATGACCCATATTCAAACATTCAGTTTCCACCAAAGCCCAGTAACAGGCCAAGATCTGTCTCTCAAAAGGAGAGTAGTTATCTGCAGAAGATGGCAGAGCCTTGCTCCAAAATCCTAGAGGCTTCTGCTATGATTCACCTATGAGGGCCTGCCAAAGACTCCAAACAGGATCCCTATCTGCCACTCACACTTCAAGCATCACTGGATTTGCTGGGTCATATGGCCCAAGTGGCAGAGCAGCTTGCACAGCAGCCTGGACCTGTTGCAGAGCCTTCTGTTGTTCTGGACCCCACTCAAAACTGGCAGCCTTTTGGGTCAGTTGATAAATGGGCTGGAATAACACACCCAAATGAGGAATGTGTTGCCTCCAATATCCAAATAGGCCCACTAGTTGTTGTGCCTCTTTCTTGGTTATAGGAGGGGCCAAATGCAGCAACTTATCTTTCACCTCAGAAGGAACATCTCTGCAGGCCCCACACCACTGGACCCCTAGAAATTTTACTGAGGTAGAAAGTCCCTGAATTTTAGTTGGATTTATTTCCCATCCTCTGGCACACAAATGTCTCACCAATAAGTCCAATGTATTTGCTACTTCTTGCTCACTGGATCTAATCAGCATAATGTCATCAATGTAATGGACCAGTGTGATATCCTGCAGAAGTGAAAAGTGCTCAAGGTCTCTCCGAATAAGATTATGACACAAAAAGAGTTGATATACACCTGAGGCAGGACAGTAAAGGTATATTGCTGGCCTTGCCAGCTGAAGGCACATTGCTTATGCTTATGGACAGGAATGGAGAAAAAGGCATTTGCTAAGTCAATGGCTGCCTACCAGCTACCAGGAGATATGTAAATTTGCCCAAGCAATGAAACCATATCTGGTACAGCAGCTGCAATTGGAGTCACCACTTGGTTAAGCTTATGATAAATCCACTATCATTCTCCAAGATCCATTTGTTTTTTGCACAGGCCAAATGGCAGAGTTGAATGGGGATGTGGTGTGAATCACCACCCCTGAGTCTTTCAAGTCCTTAAAGGTGGCGCTAATCTCCGCAATCCCTTATGGATGCGATATTGTATTTGACGTACTATTTTTCTAGGTAGAGGCAGCCCCAATGGCTTCCATTTGGCCTCTCCCACCATAGTAGCCCTAACTCTACCAGTCAGCCAATGTGGGGCTTCTGCCAGCTGCTAAATATGTCTATGTCAATTACGCATTCTGGCACCGGGGATATGACCATAGGATGTGTCCAGGTACCTGCTGGACCCACTGTAAGTCGGACCTGAGCCAAATTCCTCAGAGCGATATCACCAAAAATCCATTCTCATCATGGAGATGAAATAGAAAGCATGTTTGGTATCACACGGCCTTCTCTCTATGAAGAGCTCTTCAGTTTCATTTCAACTTTCATGAAGGAAATTCTATACCTGTGGGAATCCACTTCAAAAACAACAGACTAAAAAAGAAAGAAGAAAAATGAAATCCATTATACCAATGGTAGCTTCTCTCTTCTGTTTTGCTCTGTTTCTTCAATTTGTAAAATTCATGCCAAAGACCATTAGGGAACATAATTTGAATTGCTTCATTCCAAAGTTAAAGGGTTGAGAGAAAAAAAAAAGAGAAAAACTGCCGCAAAATGGAAACAGGCCTTCTTTCATTTTCTAACACATGAAATTGACTCTCACTTTCATTTCTGAAGTTGTATTAAGCTTTTTCCTCAAATTAAATTATAAATACTTGTATCTGACGCTAAAAAGGAACATGCACGAGTGGTTATCTAGAAATGCCATGTTTCCTGCCCACATTCACATACACACACAGGCACAGTGGTGTGTTTGGCTGTGAAAGCCATGCTTTGGACCACACATCCAGCACCGTTGCAGTGGTCAAGTGGGCACCCCAGGGTCTATGAGTCTACTCTGTGCCAAGGATCATTTTGGTTATTTACATATAGTAAATAACCAACTTTCAAATGTGGGAGGACAGAACAATGGTACAGACTTCTGGCCACAGAAGCTTTGGGATCTACTCCCTGTATTTAAATGCTTCTTTCTGTGACTGTTTCCCATACCAATGTTGCATACCAAGTATGAGTACCTAGGAGTACTCTTCTTCTCACCCTTGCTCTTACTGAATATATAAAAATTGGACTGACCTAAAATGTTAATGCTGAAAAGCTGAGGTGGCCCTCACTGACAGCCAGCAGCCTTTGTGTGTTGGTATTGGTAAGTTGGCCAGAACTGGCATCTATAGTCATAATTCCTATAATCGTATACTCTATACACTCAATATTTTCCTCAAGCAATTCATTATATTTCAGCTGCCTGTGGGCTCTGCACACTGCTAAGATGTCAAATATCACCAGAAAACTTATGAATATTATAATGAACAGCCAGATGCCATCTGAACCAGTCTCACCTGATGAGGAAAGTTCTATACTTCTATCTCTAAAGAGTGTCAACCACCCCTTCTTCAATGCTATAGTGTCAGGAATTTTGCTGCTTTGTGAAAGAAACTACTATGTTGTTACATGGCTCTGAACAAGGATGTTTCTATTTGTTTCTTTTGTTTTCTACACTGAGCTAAAATCTGTCCTATAACATCTAGGCTCTCCTCTCGTTCCACCATCCTGGATAGAATCCAATAAGTGAGTCTGCTGATGAAAACTTGCGCAGAGAAAGTAGTTCTCAAAGTGTGCCTCTCAGAGGGTACACCACCTCTCCCTAAAGTCATCTCTCTCCTCTCTCTGGATACAGCATCCCCATCTGCTCTTCACATTGAGATCCTATGTGAGATTTCATTTTCAGAATGGGCTCTTGTGTTCCATTCAAAGAGACCCCTGCCTAATCCCATAAGGCACACAGAGACTGTCCCACCCTGGGCAACCTGTGGACACATGCTGTGAGTGCTCACTCTTCAGGAAGACTGATGTGGTAAGCTTAACCTGGTCTATTCCCACAAGCTAACTTACATAAATTAAATCAAGAGAAAGAGAACAAAAGCGTAAGATGCTTTATAGCTTCCTTTTTGTTGGGTAATTGACCTTCCATGCGTGTGACTTTGTAAATCTGACAGAGAGTAAAGGAAGCTGGCCTGTCATTGCCCAAGATGAGAACAGGAAAGTAGGGCATGAAGTCCTCATTTTCAGTTATCCATTTTGCTTATAAAGAGACAGCTCACCTCAAGGGGAAAGAAAAAGTGACCAGGTTGTGTTGCAGAGTCTGACCATGGATGACTCTCTTTGAGTATCTCCTTCCTAAGAAGGGTTTTTGTTCATTCTTGAAATACATAAAGTAAGATCTCACCTGTCAGGGCTGAGAAACCAGTACAGGTAATATCTGTTACCTCAGTTTTTCTTGAGTAGAAAATGAAGCAACTTTATTCAGAAACTTGACTAATAACTATCTCTTGGCATTTTGAATGTTTTATTCACTACTGTATAAAAAGAATCTATTCATTTAGTTAAGGCCTGGAAGAAAATAAAGTCTTCTATTCTGCTAATATATTCTAGAAGAAGGAGAAGAAGAAAAAGCATGAGAAGAGGAGAAGTAGGGGGAAGAAGAGAAGGAAAAAGATGGAGAAAGCAGACAGGGAAGGCGAGGGACAGGGGATTGGAAAAGAAGGGAAAATTTCCAGCTCTTTGGATCTGACGGCTAAACCACTTCAGTTGCCTATTAGGGGTGAGTGGTCTGTTTGACTGTAGCCCTGCCTAGATAATGAGCAAATAACAATATTACTCATATCTACCCTTCGTGTCTCATGATGTCTGCTACATTCTGGGGCTTCACTATCCTTGGGATGGGTCCCTCTAGGCTTTGTAGCCTTCCACTGTGGGATTTCTTAGAGGGTCTCAGTGAGGAAGTAAGCCAGGGCCTGATCTCTATGTGTCCTCAGCCAGACCTCAAAGCTGGATCTCACTTCTTTTTCTTGACCCTTTAGCTAAACTCAATCTCTTGGCACCACTTGGCTCAGAATCTAATATGGTGCCCCCTAGTATTATTAAGAACTACACTAATCAGCCTGGCTCCTCTTGGGCCAGAACTCCCTGCATCTCCCTGGTATAATAAAAATAAATGCTGCTCCTCTGTGCCTGGGTTCAGATTTGCTGACATGACTGCCAGCCCTTCTAAGCCAGGAGTTCAAGACACACAGTTGTTATGCATTAAATATGTCCCTCCCAAATTCATAGGTTGAATTCCTAACCCCTATGTGACAGTGACTGTATTTGGAGATAAGTCCTTTATAAAACTAAGGTTAAATAAAGTGATACATAAGGATCTATCCTGATCCAGTAGAGTTAGTTTCCTTAAAAGATGAGACAGAGAAATTTTCTTGCTCTCTCCCCATGACGTGAGGACACGGTAAGAAGGCGACCATCTGCAGGCCAGAAAGAATTCTCACTAGAGACTGAAGCTGCCAGATCCTGATCTTTGACTTTCCAGCTTCCAGGACTATGAGAAAATAATTTTCTGTCATTTAAACTATGTAATCTACAGTATTTTGTTATGGCAGCCCAAACAGGGTAAGACAATAGATGAATAAAAAATGTGCTTGTCTCGCAGTTTTCCAAGAAACATAAAAATAACGTTGGCTTCCAAGTGTCTATCAATGGACACTTTATAAATGGTTTTCACACCCAATTATTAAATTAGATCCTAACTGCAGATCCAAGTGGTACATTAAGGTATTAATTTTACAAAGGGAAAAAATGGAAGGTGATTTGCACAGTATCATCCTGGGAGTCAAAGTCTGAGCTTGTACCCAGATCATGTTCTTTGCATAACACTAAGCTGCTCTCACAAGTCAACCTTCACATTGTGATGTCTTCTGCAAATCTGATAAGGTTTCAATGTCTTCACACAAACATCTACCAAAGTGTTTAAAAGGGGAATTTTTAGTCATGCTTTCTAACCTAAAGGTGACAGATGGGTTTCATCTTGTAGTGACTGCTTGGCATTGGCTGCCAATCCTTTGTATTGAAAAAGATTCTGAGGTCATGCAACAAACAGTACCTAGATCAACTAACAATGTCTGCCATAAGCCCAGGAAGTAGAGTGTGCAGCTTGAGAACTTCGGATTACTGATGCTACTCCAACCCTCAGGATGAAATGGGATGTTTGTGGGTGAACAAACGAACCTTCCAGTGTGAGGAATAAAAATATTATAAATAAGGTTGGTCAAGGAGAATTTTTTTCTCTCTTAGAATTCTTATTTAATTCTCTCTGGTAGCATCTCTGTCTTTTCATTCTTCTCTGTTGCTGTGAAAAGTTAGGACCTCAAAACCAAATTCCAGAAGAAATTCCTCCCATGAAGCTTTATATAGAAGATAATGAGTATTTGAGGGAACAAAGACTTTAAGATTTTTACTGTAAATGCAGCAGCAGATTTCATGAAGGACTGATAAGGGGAAAAACTGGTTCTCAAGAACATTCCCAGCAACTGTTTCATAACTGTAGAACAATTGCACGTGTAATCAGAGAGTATACAACTTTGATTACAGTGGATTATACCAAGATACATAATAATTCTACTTTGATTATATGTCAGCAGTTAGGCCTCAAAGGCTTTTTTTAGATAATAATGACTACAAGTTTTACAGGAATAGATCCACGATAACAAGAGACATAAGGAACACGGCAAAAACCCTTTGTGACTGAGGAAGTGGTATCCTGCCCCTCTCCACTCCTCCATTTTAAATGGAGACAAATTCTTTGCAGAGGACAGTAAACCACAAAGCACATTCAGCTTTGAATTTGAATTCTTATCATTCAGTCTTGCATAAACTAGACTCATGCTTTCAAAACAGATACATCCCTAAAATTATTTAAGATGTAAAGTAGCTTAAATAAGACTGGCTAATTTGGCAATAGTTACTGGCAGACAAAACTTCACATAACTGCTTTTCTTACCTAAAGCTTATAAAATGCCACTTTCATTTACCAAAAATGGTGAAGGCTTTCTTATTATGGAAACCATATAGATAGATAGATAGATAGATAGATAGATAGATAGATAGATAGATAGATATAGATATAAATAGATATATAGATACATAGATATAGATAGATATATGGATATATATAGATAGCTATATAGATAGATATATAGAGATAGATAGATATAGATAGATATACATAGATAGATATAGATAGATATAGATATATAGATAGACATGTAACATCTTTTATGATACAATTAGAATGTTTTAATTTCTCATGCTTTTTTTTAAAGTTATGATTCTAGAAGTTAATGCTTTTTCCATTAACTTCTAAAGGCAATTTTCCTAAAGATCTTGCCTGAGCCGCCTTCTACCTGGGTGCTGTGATCCACATGTTCTTTACACCTAATATTTATGTTCCTGAGAAAGGCTCCCTGGTAAAGTAAATAATGCAGTTGAATTTCTAATATGGCTCTCTTAAAATGAAGGTAATAACTGTAAAATTGTGCACAAAGAAATTTAGCAAGCTTGTGGCTCTAGCATAAGCATGGAGATTTCATGTAAAAATGAAGTAAGGAAGATTCAAACCAATTGTTATCTCAGTGACAGGTTTCTCTTCACTAAAAACATGATGCTTTACCCTTATTTCATAAAATACTCATTTTGAAATAAACAATTGGTTTCTCAAATATTCCTTATTTGAAAATAGGGCTCAAAAAAGATAAGACAGAATTAATCTGAATTATAAAATTACACAAATGCCTCAAATTAATTTTTTAAAAGTCATAGAATTGGACACAAAATACTCCATTGTACTTATAGCAGATGTCAAGTTTTTGATGCAAGTTATCAGATTGAGAATAATACTATCTTAACTTTATAAGACACTTTAGTGCTCCCAACACCCACCTGCTTGTGGCCCAAGAGTCCAAAAGCTGAAGAACACGGAGTCTGATGTTTGAGAGCGGAAAGCATCCAGCGTGGGAGAAAGACGAAAGCCAGAAGACTCAGCAAGTCTGCTCTTCCCAACTTCTGCCTGCTTTATTCTATTGCATCGGCAGCTGATTAGATGGTACCCACCCAGATTGAGAGTGGGTCTGCGTCTCCCAGTCATGGACTCAAATGTTAATCTCCTTTGGCAACACACTCACAGACACACCCAGGAACAATACTTTGCATCCTTCAATCCAATCAAGTTGACACTCAATATTAACCATCACACACATCAAGTTAATTTCTAACTAGTTCCAAGTATAGCATTTTTAATCCAATCAGCCTGCTTTTACTGAAATTTTATCCAACGCCAAAATGAAAACGTGTTATTTATGTTCTCCATGATGTAACCACTTATTGCTTTTTCAAGTGACTTTTAAGTTTTATTTTCTGTGACATTCAACACTTGCAATTGAATGGTTGTGGTGGGGGAATAATGACTATAGCTGGGTTAAATTTATTTGCCTCCTTTCTTGTAACCAATTATCTTGCGTAACATTTATAAACAACTGAAACTAACATTGATTGAGGCTGTTTCAGGAATCTTTCCCAAATCTTCCCCAAACAGTTTTTCTGTTGTTCAACATGAAACTATTAAAAGAATGTCCTATAACATGAGACTTTAAGATTGCTATTTTTTTGAGGAATAAATAATTCTTTTATTATTATTATTACACTTTAAGTTTTAGGGTACATGTGCACAATGTGCAGGTTAGTTACATATGTATACGTGTGCCATGCTGGTGTGCTGCACCCATTAACTCGTCATTTAGCATTAGGTATATCTCCTAATGCTATCTCTCCCCCCTCCCCCCACCCCACAACAGTCCCCAGAGTGTGATGTTCCCCTTCCTGTGTCCATGTATTCTCATTGTTCAATTCCCACCCATGATCGAGAACATGTGGTGTTTGGTTTTTTGTCCTTGCGATAGTTTGCTGAGAATGATGGTTTGCGGTTTCATCCATGTCCCTACAAAGGACATGAACTCATTATTTTTATGGCTGCATAGTATTCCATGGTGTATATGTGCCACATTTTCTTAATCCAGTCTATCATTGTTGGACATTTGGGTTGGTTCCAAGTCTTTGCTATTGTGAATAGTGCCGCAATAAACATATGTGTGCATGTGTCTTTATAGCAGCATGATTTATAATCCTTTGGGTATATACCCAGTAATGGGATGGCTGGGTCAAATGGTATTTCTAGTTCTAGATCCCTGAGGAATCGCCTCACTGACTTCCACAATGGTTGAACTAGTTTACAGTCCCACCAACAGTGTAAAAGTGTTCCTATTTCTCCACATCCTCTCCAGCACCTGTTGTTCCCGGACATTTTAATGATCGCCATTCTAACTGGTGTGAGATGGTATCTCATTGTGGTTTTGATTTGCATTTCTCTGATGGCCAGTGATGGTGAGCATATTTTCATGTTTTTTTGGCTGCATAAATGTCTTCTTTTGAGAAGTGTCTGATCATATCCTTCGCCCACTTTTTGTTGGCGTTGGTTTTTTCTTGTAAATTTGTTTGAGTTCATTGTAGATTCTGGATACTAGCCCTTTGTCAGATGAGTAGGTTGCAAAATTTTCTCCCATTCTGTAGGTTGCCTGTTCACTCTGATGGTGCTTTCTTTTGCTGTGCAGAAGCTGTTTAGTTTAATTAGATCCCATTTGTCAATTTTGGCTTTTGTTGCCATTGCTTTTGGTGTTTTAGAAATGAAGTCCTTGCCCATGCCCATGTCTTGAATGGTATTGCCTAGGTTTTCTTCTAGGGTTTTTATGGTTTTAGGTCTAACATGTAAGTCTTTAATCCTGAATGACTACTGGGTACATAACAAAATGAAGGCAGAAATAAAGATGTTTGTTGAAACCAACGAGAACAAAGACACAACATACCAGAATCTCTGGGACACATTCAAAGCAGTGTGTGAGGGAAATTTATAGCACTAAATGCCCACAAGAGAAAGCAGGAAAGATCTAAAATTGACACCCTAACATCACAATTAAAAGAACTAGAGAAGCAAGAGCAAACACATTCAAAAGCTAGTAGAAGGCAAGAAATAACTAAGATCAGAGCACAACTGAAGGAAATAGAGACACAAAAAACCCTTCAAAAAATCAATGAATCCAGGAGCTGGTTTTTTGAAAAGATCAACAAAATTGATAGACCGCTAGCAAGACTAATAAAGAAGAAAAGAGAAGAATCAAATAGATACAATAAAAAATGATAAAGGGGATATCACCATCGATCCCACAGAAATACAAACTACCATCAGAGAATACTATAAACACCTCTACGCAAATAAACTAGAAAATCTAGAAGAAATGGATAAATTCTTCGACACATACACTCTCCCAAGACCAAACCAGGAAGAAGTTGAATCTCTGAATAAACCAATAACAGGCTCTGAAATTGAGGCAATATTTAATAGCTTACCAACCAAAAAAAGTCCAGGACCAGACGGAATCACAGTCGAATTCTACCAGAGGTACAAGGAGGAGCTGGTACCATTCCTTCTGAAACTATTCCAATCAATAGAAAAAGAGGGAATCCTCCGTAACTTATTTTATGAGGCCAACATCATCCTGATACCAAAGCCTGGCAGAGACACAACAAAAAAAGAGAATTTTAGACCAATATCCTTGATGAACATTGATTTAAAAATCCTCAGTAAAATACTGGCAAACCGAATCCAGCAACACATCAAAAAGCTTATCCACCATGATCAAGTGGGCTTCATCCCTGGGATGCAAGGCTGGTTCAACATACGAAAATCAATAAATGTAATCCACCATATAAACAGAACCAAAGACAAAAACCACATAATTATCTCAATAGATGCAGAAAAGGCCTTTGACAAAATTCAACAACCATTCATGCTAAAAACTCTCAATAAATTAGGTATTGATGGGACATATCTCAAAATAATAAGAGCTATCTATGACAAACTCACAGCCAATATCATACTGAATGGACAAAAACTGGAAGCATTCCCTTTGAAAACTGGTACAAGACAGGGATGCCCTCTCTCACCACTCCTATTCAACATAGTGTTGGAAGATCTGGCCAGGGCAATCAGGCAGGAGAAAGAAATAAAGGGTATTCAATTAGGAAAAGAGGAAGTCAAATTGTCCCTGTTTGCAGATGACATGATTGTATATTTAGAAAACCCCATTGTCTCAGCCCAAAATCTCCTTAAGCTGATAAGTAATTTCAGCAAAGTCTCAGGATACAAAATCAAAGTGCAAAAATCACAATCATTCTTATACACCAATAATAGACAAACAGAGAGCCAAATCATGGTGAACTCCGATTCACAATTGCTTCAAAGAGAATAAAATACCTAGGAATCCAACTTACAAGGGATGTGAAGGACCTCTTCAAGGAGAACTACAAACCACTGCTCAATGAAATAAAAGAAGATACAAACAAATGGAAGAACATTCCATGCTCATAGGTAGTAAGAATCAATATTGTGAAAATGGCCATACTGCCCAAGGTAATTTAGAGATTCAATGCCATCCCCATCAAGCTACCAATGACTTTCTTCATAGAATGGGAAAAAACTACTTTAAAGTTTGTATGGAACAAAAAAAGAGCCCGCATTGCCCAGTCAATCCTAAGCCAAAAGAACAAACCTGGAGGCATCAGGCTACCTGACTTCAAACTATACTACAAGGCTACAGTAACCAAAACAGCATGGTACTGGTACCAAAACAGAGATATAGACCAATGGAACAGAACAGAGCCCTCAGAAATAATACCACACATCTACAACCATCTGATCTTTGACAAACCTGACAAAAATAAAGCTGAAACTGGATCCCTTCCTTACACCTTATACAAAAATTAATTCAAGAGGAATAAATAATTTTAAGGAAGAAACTGAAATTCACATGTTATGTTCTAGCATATAGGCAATTGTCCCTTAACTTTCTTACTAGGGTGAGTTGTGATGTCAGTTGTTAAAATTTTTCTTATTACACATATAAAATTATACCATTTATTCTTAATAACAGTACAAATATTAACCCTATGTTACAGGTGGAAAAACTAAAGTTCCAAGAAATGAAATGACTTGGCTAGCATCATATCACCAGGAAATAAAAGAATTGCATCAATTCCAGCCTAATGAGTTTCCTTAGAATAAAATAAAAGCAAAATACAATAACCTGAGAAATGATCTGAGATTAAGAAGAGTGTTATCTAGCAATCAACTCTGTAATGCCAAAAATAAATTCAATTCTAAATATTATTTCATTACCAAACATTTTCAAATATCCATTGGAATTCTTTTCAAAGCCTTTCCCTTTCTACCTGTGATAGAGTAATTTACTATCAAACAAGGGTTTAAATAATCATTTTCTCTCAATATGTTATTTTTATATTTAAATAATTTGTGCCTATGCTAAAATAAAAAAACACTCATTCCATACTTACTTTTTAAAACAAAAATGATACATCATTTCCAAGACTTTCTAAGGCTGTTTTTGTTCCTACAACTATATACTAAGGTAGAAGATTTTATTCTCCAGAATCTCAGGGGGACTGTTTACTAAGAGAACACTCAGAAACAACTGCTTTTCTCAGAGGGAGTGTAGGTCAGAATTCGGGTAGATTTTTAAAGTGGTAGAACCTGAGCTAAACACTGTGAAATGCAAGGGGTGTGGATGACAGGATCAGTTGCAAAAACATGGGGGTGACGAGACAGACTGACTTTAAAACAGCTGTTTTAAGTGTGAGAACTTGGAGCACTGCTGTATGTTGATGTTGTATGACGCAGTCTGAGATTACTGTGCCACTCCTTTAGGAAGTTGCAAAGCAAATTTCCACCTTGTTCTTCAAGTCTTTTGTGGTTTATTTGGTTGTTATTTTGTGCAGAGGTAGATGTTTGACTTTGTGTTTTGTGTAAAAATTCTTTCTGGGTTAACAGAGAACATAGAAGTAGCTACCTAGGTTCTTGAAGTGGAGGCTGGCTGGAGCTCACTGAACCGCCAAATCCTGGCTTTTGGTCAACATTTTAATATTGAAAAATGCTTTCAATATTAAACCTTTTTATATTGAAACCTTTTAATGTTGAAAAATGAGGACTTTGCTTCTGTCTTCATAAGGAGTGATAAGATCTGAGCAAGTTTCTTGGTTCCTAAAGTGAATCTCAGCTAGAAAACACCGGAATGTTAACAAGAATTCTGCCTCATGGTTTGGAATGCCTACATTTCTACTATGGTCATGTTCTCAGCCTGAATCCAGTCATCATCAGAAGCCACTTGATTAGTTCACCTGAAGAACCATTATCAAGGGAATCAGAAAGGACCTAAGCTCGTTTAATTAGTACATGTGCCCATGTAAGCAACCAAATCAGGAGGAGGCCCTTGTTGGGATGGAACCCTATCAAGCAGAGACACTAACTTAAACTTCCCAGTAAGAATGGTCTTGATTAAAACAAAAACCAAAACCAAAAAACCCTTAAAAGTCCATTGGTTACACTCCCTGCATCTGTAGATATACCAGAAGTCATCTGAAATGAAATACTCTGAAGTCCAACTACTACATAGGTGCTCTTTGACTGAGCAGCACTCAAAGATATTGGCATAATCTTTCCTTGGCCATGATGATTCAATCAGGCTCGGCATTGCCAAGATGATTCTCTTTCCAGTGATTTCACATACCTATGGGATTATACTGTCTGCTTTGATCTTCAAGTTTATCAGCAAACAATCTTATATCCTTCATTTCCTACAGCTTGCTGAGACCCAAACTGCAGGTTTCTGAGAAAATACTACAATTCCTTCCAAAATAACAGGGCTATAATTTCTGTATGAGAAGCTATGCAGTTATTCATTCCTTTTAAAAAAGAATTCCACCTAAATTTTTATTTCTCCTTATTGCTTAATTTTAATTTTAGAAACCTAGGTAAACTTAGAGATATACAGTCTTGTAAAAAAAAGTAAAATGACATTTATTCTTGAAAGCTGAGGTTCTGAACATTAGTAGTAAAAGATATGTCTTCATAAGTCTTCCTGTAACACCTCCTTTTGCTCCCTTTCAACATTTTTAGATTTGATAGTAAATTTTTTCCTAACCTCTTCATTAAGTCCAAATGGAATTCAAGCATATCAACTTGTACTTATATCGTTTATTTTTTGTTTTTATTTTTGTTTTTGTTCTACACTAAAGCTAAAAAAAAATAGGGGAATGCATTTCAGAAGGCTCTGTACTTCCTGAGATAATCCAGTATTACAGCAAACACTAAGTTTACATGTCTAAACAAACAAACAAACAAACAAAAAAAACAGGTGTAGGAAACATCGACTCTATTTCTGAATTGGGTCTATTTCTGCAGCATTCTAAAATGTAAATAATGCATGGAGTCCTTCTCTATCCATTCTTATTAATTATTCATTCACAAGTATTTACTGAGCATCTCTATTCTGTCTAGCACCATATTACATACCAGCCGCACAAGAGAGAACAAGCTTATAGTTAGAGTTAAATGTTTACAAATCTACAAACTTTTTTTTTTTTTTTTACATTTAACATTAGTTTACTAAGAGTTGCATGACAATCAACAAGACATATGATACGGAGAATTATATTGTACTCAGAATGTAATTTGACTAAATATTGTTTTCATTTTTAGTTATATATTATTTTAATATTATTGGGCTTACTTCTTATGTTTACTATTAATTAGGTTACAATTTGACACTTTTATCACTTCCTGATCAAGGCTAGAATCTTACTTTTTTCAATTTTAGTCAGTACAGAAGGATTTACTAGTATTTATGAGACCTGAGCACTGAGATAAACATTGTTGGAGAAATGAGTCGCAGTCACTACCCTCAAGGAACTAAGACACCAAGCTGTAAGCTGTGGCCAATTAAATATGCCAAGTTAAACCCTCACGTTTATCTTTTTTGATAAAACTACAGATCTTTACCGAAAAACATTAAAAAATAGAAAGACATATGCTTATCATAGATAAGAAAATGTCACTTCTCCCAAAATTGCTGTTATGACTTCAAAGCAATTCCTATCAAAATTCCAACAGGCTTTGTTGCTGCTGTTTTAATTTTTTTCAACTTTATTGCGGTATAATTGACAAATAGGAATTGTACACATTTTCTTTTTCTTCTTTGAGACAGAGTCTCACTCTGTCACCAGGCTGGAGTGCAGTGGTGCGATGTCGACTCACTGCAACCTCCACCTCTGTTTCAAGCGATTCTCCTGCCTTACCCTCCCAAGTAGCTGGGACTACAGGCACGCACCACCATGCCCAGATAATTTTTGTATTTTTAGTAGATACGGGGTTTCACCATGTTGGCCAGGATGGTCTCGATCTCTTGACCTCATGATCCGCCCGCCTCAGCCTCCCAAAGTGCTGGGATTATAGGCGTGAGCCACCACATCCAGCCAGGAATTATATACATTTAAGATACACACTTGCTGCTGTGATATATTGTGAAATGAACACCATAATCAAGCTGATTAACAAATTTATGATCCTCATATAACAACTATTTTTCTTTCTTTCTTCCTTCCTTTCTCTCCCTCTCTTTTTTCTCTCTCCCTTTTTCTTCCCTTTTCAGTGAGAACACTTATGATCTACTCTCTAGCTAATTTCATGTATACAATACAGTACTGTTCACTGTAGTCACCATGCTGTATATTAGCTATCCAGAACCCATTCATCTTGCACAACCAAAACTTTGTACCCTTTGAGCAACATCTCCCTATGTTCCCCTACACAACCACTATGGAGGACAGTTTGCAGGTTCCTTAAGAAACTAAAAATTGAGCTGCCACGTGATATTCCACATTTTCCTTATTCATTCATCTATCGGTGGGTATTTAGGTTGCTTCCATATCTTGGCAATTATGAATAATGCTGCAATGAACATAGAAATGCAACTATCTCTTTGAAATACTGAGTGGGAGAAAATTTTGCCATCTGTCCCTCTGACAAAGGTATAATATCCAGAATCTACAAGGAACTTAAACAAATGTACAAGAAAAAACCAACCTACCCCATTTAAAAGTAGGCAAAGGACATAAACAGACTCTTCTGAAAAGACATTCATGCGGCCAACAAACATATGAAAAAAAGCTCAACATCACTAATCATTAGAGAAATGCAAATCAAAACCACAATGAGATACCATCTCATGCCAGTCAGAATGGCCATTATTAAAAAGTCAAGAAACAAGAGTTGCTGGTGAGGTTGTAGAGAAATAGGAATGCTTTTACACTGCTGGTGGGAATGTAAATTAGCACAACCATTGTGAAAGACAGTGTGGCAATTCTTCAAAGATCTAGAACCCGAAATACCCTTTGAACCAGCAATCCCATTACTGGGTATACATGCAAAGGAATATAAATCATTCTATTACAAAGATGCATGCATGCATATGTTCACTGCAGCACTATTCACAATAGCAAAGACATGGAATCAACCCAAATGCCCATCAAAGATATGGTACATATACACCATGGAATACTATGCAGCCATAAAAAGGAACAAGACCATGTCCTTTGCAGGGACATGGGTGGAGCTGGAAGCTGTTATCCTCACCAAAGTAACAGAAAACCAAACAGCTCATGTTCTCACTTATAAGTGGGAGCTGAACAATGAGAACACATGGACAGAGGGAGAAGAACAACACACACTGGGTCCTGTCAGGGGATGGGGATGGGGAAGGGAGAGCATTCGAAAAAATAGCTAATGCATGCTGAGCTTAATACCTAGGTGATGGGTTGGTAGGTGCAACAAACCACTATGGCACACTTTTACCTATGTAACAAACCTGTATATCCTGTACATGTACCCCAGAACTTAAAATAGAAATAAAAATTTTAAAAAAAGAAATACTGATTTCATTTCCTTTGGGTACATACCCAAAAGTGGGATTGCTGGATTATATGGAAATGAAAAAAATTAATAAATATGTGGGAGCTAAACCACATAATCTTGAAGGACCTTTGGGTCGAGGAGGATATCAAAAGGATTTTTAAAAAAATCTCAAGAAAAATGAGAAAACAAAAATACCGTATACCAAAAGTAATGCGTTGCAGCAAAAGCAGCACCAAGAAGGATGCTTATAACCATAAATACTTACATTAAAAAAGAAGGAAGATCTCAAATAAGCAAACCAATTTACAAGGTTCAGTTCTTTGCACCTCAAGTAACTGAAAAGTCTAAAATTATCAGAAAAAAAGAAACAGAAAATAGAGCGGAAATAAAAAAATAGAAAATAAGAAAAAAAATCAACAAAATTAGGAGTTTTTTTAAACAACAAATCTTTAGCTAGAGAGAAGACTCAAGTAAAATCAAAAATGAAAGAGGAGACATTACAATGAATGCCTCAGAAATTAAACGGATCATAAAGGACTATTATGAACACTTACATGGAAACAAATTAGATAACCTAGAATAAGTGGATAATTTCCTAGAAACACAAAACCTACCATAATTCAGTCAAGAAGAAATAGAAAGCCTGAACAGACCACTAACAAATATGGAGATTGAATCAATAATAAAAATTTCCCAAAGAAAATCCCAGAACTAGACATCTTTATGGGTGAATTCCATCAAACATTTCAAAAAGAATTAATCCAATCCTTTTTAAACTCCAAAACTCCTCCAAAAAATAGGAGGGATATTTCCAAACTCATTTTATGAAGTTAGCATTATCCTGATACCAAAGTCAGATAAAGTTACCATAAGAAAAAGAAAAACCCTACAGGTTAATATCCCTATGAACATAGATACAAAAAACTTAAATAAAATACTAGCAAAATTAATTTGACAGCACACTAAAAGGATTATACACCATGACCAAGTATAATTTATCCCTGGGATGCAACGATGGTTTAATATATTCAAATCAATCAATGTGGTACATTAAGAGAATAAAAGATAAAAACCAGGTGAACATATTAATAGATTTGACAAATCTATTTGACAGAAACATTTGACAAAATTTAATACCCATTCATGATTAAAATACAACAAAACAGGTATAGAAGAAACTAACTTTAACATAGTAAAGGTCATATATGAAATAACTGCAGCTACCATCATAATCAATGGGGGAAAAGTAAAGCTTTTCCTCTAAGATCTGGTACAGGGCAAAGATGCCCACTCTAGCCGCTTCTATTCAGCATAGTACTGAGAGTCCTAGCCAGAACAAATTAGAGATGAAAAAGAAATAAAATTCATCCAAATAAAGAAGGAAGTAAAATTATCTGTTTGCAGATGATATGATCATATGTGCAGAAAACCTTAAAGACTCAACAATACATCAAAATATTAGAACAAATGAATTCATTGAAGTTTTAGGATACAAAAATCAACATACAAAAATCAGTGATATTTCTATATACTAACAACGAGCCATCTGAAAACAAAATTAAGAAAACAATCCCATTTACAACAGCAACAAAACGAATGAAATATTTAGAAGTTAAAGACGTGTATACTGAAAACTAAAACATTGATGCACGAAACTGAAGATGACACAGATAAATGAAAAAACATCATGTGTTCATAGATTAGAAGAATTAATCTGGGAGTGATGGCTTGTGCCTGTAATCCCAGCTATTCAGGAGGCTAAAGCAGCAAGATGCTTGAGGCCAGGAGTTCTGGGTAAGCTTGGGCAACATAGCAAGATCCCATCTCAATAACACTAAATTAAAAAATTAGCTGGTCATTGTGGCGTTTGCCTTTATTTCCAGCTGCTAGGAAGGCTGAGGTAGAAACATCATGTGAGCCCAGGAATTCAAGACTGTAATCTAAAAACAAGAAATGAAAAAAGGATTAATATTACAAAAATGTCCATACTACCCAAAGTGATCCACAGATTGAATGCAATACCTATCAAAGTCCTAGTGGCATTCTTTATAGTAAGAAAAAAAATTAAAGTTCATATGGAACTACAAAATACCTCAAAGAGCCAAAGCCATTTTAAGCAAGAACAAGGCTAGAAATATCACACTTTCTGATTTCAAAATACATTACAAAGCTACAAAACAGTATACTGGCTTAAAAACAGACATATAGTCCAATGGAATAGAATAGAGCTCAGAAATAAATCCATATATTTATAGTGAACTGATCTTTGATAAAGATGCCAAGAAATGCATAATCGAGGAAAGGACAGTTCCTTCAATAAATGGTATTGGGAAATCTAGATATCCACATGTAAAAGAATGACATTGGACCCTTATCTGCTATCATATACAAAAATCAACTCAAAATGTATTAAAGTCTGTAAGACCTGAAACTGCAAAACTAGAAGAAAAGATAGGGGAAAATCTTCTTGGCACTGCTCTTGACAATTTTTTGGTTATGTTACCAAAAGCACAAGCAACCAAAGCAAAAATAGACCAGTGGGATTGCAACAAACTGAAAATCTTTTGTAGAGCAAAGGAAGCAATCAAGTGAAAAGTCAAGCCACAGAATGAAGGAACGTATTTGCAAACCATGTATCTGATAAAGGGTTAATATCCAAAATATGCAAAAGACTCAACTAAATAGCAAAAGAACAAATAATCCAATTAAAAAATGGACAAAGGATTGGAGTAAACATTTCTAAGAAGACATACAAATGACCGACAGATATTTTAAAAGGAGCTAAACATTGCTAATCATCAGGAATACGCACAACTAAAACCACCGTTAGATATCACATTATATTTTGTAGAATTACTATCATCAAAAATACAAAAATAATTGTTTATTAGAATGTGGGGAAAAGGGAATGCTTGTACACTGTTGATAGGAATGTAAATTGGTACAGCCATTATGAAAAATACTATAAAGTTTCCTCAAAGTTTAAAATAGATCTGCAGTTTTTAAATTGTGCAATGCTATTAGGAAATTCAATTGTGCACCAGCATACCCATTAAATATAACTTACTTACAAATTACATACATGTATTTCTATACTAATATCTTACATATTATAGGAATTCATAAAAATAGCCATTTTAAATGAGTGAACTTTAAAAAAATTAACGAGAAACATATGTTCTAATATTTTCTTCCCGCATCATACTAAATCCATTTGCATAGCAACTAAGGTGTGTGCACAGTACTTCGAAGACTACTAAACCTGTTCACCAATGTTTAATGCATTTGACCTTAATATTTAAATAATGAATTTGTAAAGTGAAAGCATGCTCATTGAGCTATTTTACCGATGAATAAATATTTTTCAAAATGCATTGTGAATTTAATAAATACATGTCCATGTAGGAAAACAACTTAAGAAATGTGTTTTTCCTCAAACTTTTTCAATTTCCCTGAAACAAAATTATGTTATGATTTTAGATTGGTAATTGAAATAATATATGGCATGAAATAAGCATCCACGTTTGGTATTTTAATGGAGAATATAAATATTTTATCTAATAGCTCTAGTTCTTTACTTTTGTACTAATCAATATGAATTAAACTTGATGACATGCCAATATACATAGACTACAGTCATTAAATAGTGTCTACAGTTAATAAAATATTGACTAATTGTGATTATTTACTAATTTTTTCTTTAAAAGTAATGAATGTCTTATTGTTTAGTGTTATAATTCATCTTATTGCTACAATAATTCTTTTAAAAACTTTTGAACAAAAAGGGCAACAGCAACAGACCCAGTTGCTGAAGATGTGTTGTATATAAAAAATGTCCTATCATTTTAAAATCTTTTATTTTAAAACATAGATATCTGTAAATAAATGTATATGTGTGTATGTTTATATCTGTAAACCATAGGGTTTGCAAAAAGAAGGAAGTGATTCCACACAGGAAATTCTTGTAGTAGGTGCTCAAATCTTCAAGATTAAGGATGAAAAGAAAATATTTGAGGTCAAAAGGGAGAAAACAGCTTAAGATACCTCACTAATTATTCCCCAGAGCCTTCAAAAGCCTTACTTTAGATCTAATGCAGAATAAGAATATATTAAATGGAAAAAGGAAAAAATTGCCTCAAGTAAAAATCATTAGCTAGAACATTTTAAAAAGTAGGGATGCCTGGGCCGGGCGCGGTGGCTCACGCCTGTGGTCCCAGCACTTTGGGAGGCCGAGACGGGCGGATCACGAGGTCAGGAGATCGAGACCATCCTGGCTAGCGCGGTGAAACCCCGTCTCTACTAAAAATGCAGAGAAATTAGCTGGGCGTGGTGGTGAGCACCTGTGGTCCCAGCTGCTCGGAAGGGAATGGCGTGAACCCGGGAGGCGGAGCTTGCAGTGAGCCGAGATCGTGCCACTGCACTCCAGCCTGGGTGACAGAGCGAGACTCCGTCTCAAGAAAAGTAGGCATGCCTGTATTTGAGATATCTTGACAAAAGTACTGAACTTCACATCCTTATGAATGGAGAAAAATGATACGAAGAGTTGGGTCATTGATATTTATCTTATGAATATGGTCCCAATCAGAAGGGATGAACATTTTGGTCGATTTCTTTTCCATATAGAATGTGGCTGAATAGATGGTGCTAAATGGCCAAGTTGCTGTAATTTTTGACTGGAGAGAATTTTGTCATTACCAGCCCAGGATTTTCTTTTCTCAACCTTTTCCTGCTGCACAGTTTTTTTTTTTTTTCCTACTTCCCTCCTCCATACCTTTGTATTTTTCGTTTTATACCATCACAACCTTCTCAGAGAAGGACCTGCTCAGTTCATTCACAATGAGGTATAAATGGTTACTAAAGATGATTGTGCTTTGTTTTAGGAGAAATTGCATTGAAGATGAAGAAATAAATCTCTAAAGGTAAAATTTCAATTGTCAATCCATATCTGAGGGAGACATTTTGGCAAGTCTTTCTCAGCTACCACATTTCCTTATCCCTGATATCTTGCCATGTATGAAGTTAACTATTTGGCAGAGGGTAAGAGTGATCCATGAGTAGGTTTTATGAAAGCACTTTGGTAAGTGTAACTCACCATAAAATTGTAATTTGGGGAAATAATTATTACTGGGCTACTACACTTTTTTCACCAAATGCCTTTGCTTATAATTTTTATCTAATAGCACACTTATTTTGGTTTTATGTAATCTCATAACATCTCTATAGTTCTGGAAGGAAATTTTTAAACTTGCAAGTGCTATTTCAAAGTCAAGGTGTTCAGTGTTATCTGTTTAAAGACACTGCGAAGTTATAATAGTTGAATTACACTAAATACAGTTCTCATGAATATCTGTGACAACTTCTACTCAATCAGCTGCTGCTCTCTTCCAACAATCTCCTTTTTCTAGCAATTGCCTCTCTTCCATCAGTTCATTCCCTAGTTCTTCCAGAAGGTTTATTGTTTCTACATGAGTCTGCCTTCCTGACCACAGCTCCAGGCAGGGCCAATAATACCTCTCTGAGATATTTTAAATCTTCAGCCTGGCTGTCACTGAGGTGTACAAATCAGTACTTTGTCGGGGTTATATTTTCTATGAGGACAGAAATAAAGACAGAGAAGGAGCTGTGGTGACATTTATTTAGCAGCTTTTGAGTTGTTCCTGTGGCCTCACTGTGATTTTATTGTCCTGAGGCTTGGGGATTGGACACTTCAGTATCCAAGCAGTAGTACCATTTATTAATAAAGTTAATTTGAACTGGATTTCTGTCAACTGAAGTGCTTCTCATAGAACAGTTCCAGGATCAAGCACACCAAAATCATCAAATTTTTAAATATGCAGATTTGAGACCTAGTTAATAAGAATCACTGGAATTCTGCAGATTAATCTAATTATGACTATTAAACATTTAATAACTGAGAGGAGTGACAGACCAAAAATAGGGGGCTTACAAAGAAGAGCCAGGATACGAGCAGGCTTAGCAACAATGTTTACTTTTAATATGTTTGAGTCTAAAATATCCTTGCCATCTAGCCAGCATTTGGGTATATGTTTTCCCAGGGAAGGGAAAGGGGAGTTGATGGGAAGAGAATGTTAAGGTTAAGGAATGAGTGGTTCGTAACTGTACCTACTTTGTTTTCTTTCTGGCAACACAGTTGAACTCTACAAATATTTAGAAAAAACATAGGTAGCAAATAGTTTTTTTCCCCAAGTAAAATGGTAATATAAATTCCTTAGATTTTGACTAAAAGATTTGATTATTGTAATTTTACATTGAAATTAGATGGCTAAGTGAGCCACTTACATATAGATGATCCAATGAATGTAATAAATATTGACCAAGTTTTGGTTGCTTGAAGTACTTTTCTATAAAAGCCATTTCCTATTTCTGTACCCTTGTTCAAACAAATAAAAGTAATTAATTGGGAAACATTTTTAGTTTTGAGTGTACTCAGAAAGTCAATGATTCATCACATTCAATAAAAGGCCATTTTGGAGTCTGTGCTTTGAAGTAAAACAGGAGACTGAATGAAAATCAGGTAATCCGGTTAGAGAAAATAGTAAGACAACAGAGAAAATTATTGTACACCTCCTCCAAGCCCCTTACAATGGCTTAAATTTGCCATACCAAATTTGAGTGAAATAACTCTATATGATTGCAATTAATCCTTAAGGCAACACCGAAGGATCAAAAAAAATGCTTAAGGGGGGAAAAAGCTTGACTTTTTGTGTTTCTACAGTGCCTCATTGCATACAAATGTTACTATGGACGTTGCTTTTTATAACAATATCTCAGAACTTTTGATGTTGGATGTAAGAGAAAACTAAACTGTGTCACAGGTTACTGCTGTCCTCCTAAATCTACTTTCTCCTTCTTCCTTAGTAAACAAGTTTTAGCTGGGCATGAAGTTAGACTATATTTTCTTTGTGTATGGACAAAAACTTGTATTGAAATTCTGCAGGAACATCACATTCCATACAATTAATTAGTTTATTAGGGTAATTACTATCCCTGGAAATTAATGATTTCTTAAGGTAAATTTAAAAAAAAATGAAAAGTTAGAGGAATTCTGTAACTCCACCTCATTTTGCTGCAGTTTTTTTGGCACTAAAAGTATATCTTTTTAGTCCAACTATAACAAAATCCTATATCTCAGAATTTATAATTTTGTGGCTATGTTTATGTCACTGATTTTCACACAACTGTTTCAATATATAGAAAGTTTGAGAATATAATAGTAGAAGAGAAAAGTAATACATGGTATAATCTTTATATTATATATAATATAATCTTATCTTTATAAGTTCTGGTATAAATTCAGTGTTGGGAGTCAACTCAAAACACTTTGTTGCATTTTTCACTTTTTTTTTTTGACTCTCCATCAGCACCCGCTGCTCAAAACACAGAGACTATTTAAGATGTCAACCCCTTCACATACAATTATTGTGTGTCTATAAATTCCTAGGCACTGAGGCAATTAAAATAAAAGTATCAGCCTTTTCCCCAGAGACTTTGCAATCTAAATGAGGAGACTAGACCACTTATTTTCTAAAAATGTAAAACACTTAAACATTATTTCATTATTAAATTATCTAATGAAAAAATAAGAGAATACATAATATATATTATATAGAAAATATATGCATACTATATATGTGATAATCACATATAGTGGTATGCTGGTAAATGTTTAACAACTGATGCACTAGGAAAAAGAAAAGTCTTGTATCTTTTGCCAATTTCTGTAATGTAAATACTTTTATCATGGCGCAACATCAAGGTACTAATGTGAAATCAACTGGCTTACAAAATTCCTTAAATTTTAAAAACCTGCTCTCATGATCTGGTACACGCCAGTTCCAGAACACCACCACTCAAATGTCTAGTGAGATTAGAAATTATTTCTATAGAATTTGCAGAATAATTCACTTTATTAAGCATCTACTAAAAGCAAGTACTGTGTTCAACATTAGAAACAAAAAGATGATTATCGTCTGCCTTCAGATTTTATAGTGTAGTAGGAATGCAATTGGAAAAGTAAATCACTAACTTTAAACACTACCATTAAGCGTTGCAATAAGGGAAACACAAAGGAGGTAGCAAGTCACTAGGTAATGGATTCAAAAAGCTTCCCAGTGGTGATACCCGAGTCTGGTGTTGGACACGGGTAGGAAGTACTTATTGTCAAGCAGTATTGGTGACCTGACTTTAGCAGCCCTAACACTTAAGGTTAGGCCAAGGCTGTGTTTACAGACATTTTGGAGAATGTCTTATTATTATTGTTTCCTTATAAATCTTTTCAAAGACAAACATTTAAAGTAACAAGTATCCATATTCAAATCAATTGATAAATGCCAAAAAATTGAGTGAAATAGTGACTTTTTTGCTAGTGATCAAAATCTAACATCTTAATACCTTATGCCAGCATGTATTAGTCTGTTGTCATGCTGCTAATAAAGACATATCTGAGACTGGGTAATTTATAAAGAAAAGAGGTTTAGCTGACTCACAGTTCCACATGGCTGGGGAGTCCTCAAAATCAAGGCAGAAGGCGAATGAGGAGCAAAGTCACATCTTACATGGTGGCAGGCAAGAGGGCTTGTGCAGCGGAACTCCCATTTATAAAACCACCAGATCTCGTGAGACTTATTCACTACCATGAGAATAGTATGGGGGAAACTGCCCCCATGATTCAATTATCTCCACCTGGCCCCATCCTTGACACATGGGGATTATTACAATTCAAGGTGAGATCTGGGTAGGGACACAGCCAAACCATATCACATCATATACCAAAGAAACTTCCATGGAATGTTAATATCACATTCAAATCAAGATTTCTTGGGCAAGTAAACTTGAAAGTATTTAGTGAGGAAAGTCAATAGGCTACTGCAATTCTTTCCAGGGCATTTAATCTGCTCCTGTGCGTTGTGATCTTTTCAGAGCAGGCTATATGTCCAAGATCTTCTACAGAGACTCAGAATTAGTGTTCTAAGAAGCAAACTTCAGGAAGAAGTCCAAATGGCTCATTAACATAATTTTAAAATATATTTTTTTCAAAAGCAGTCTTTGTAGACACACAGCTAGTCAAACCAGTAACGTCTGTAATTGCCTTTAAGAAAACATGAAACAAAATCACTACACCTGAGTTCCATTTTATAATTTCTCAATTATATCATGGGTAATGTAACACCTGAGAATCCAGAGAAATTTTAAAATTTCTCTAGAACACTAAAGTATTATCAAACATGAGCAGACATTATACCACTTATTTTTGAAGCTATAATGCTGTTTGGTAAGGGAATAAAACAAAATCGTGCCCCAAATCTTGGTTCACTGACAGCATCAAGGTTGACTTTAAGGACAATTATCTCCATGGTAAGAGTCTCCAGAATGGCTCTTCTGCCCTCACTTTCTGCAGAACAGCTTTATGTACCACCTTTATAAATTCTTTCCTTACTTTTTAAGGCATTTCTTGAAGGCTCCTAAAAAAAGAAAGTTCTACCCTGAGGATTAGTTAACAGTAGACTTATCAGATGTTTTCTAAATGAGAATCAGCAGGCAACTTGTCCTGGAGAAATAGATGGAGAAGCAATAAGTTTTAGTTTGGAAGAGAGGAGAAAGGTTTGTGCACAGTACAAGATTCCCTTAGGAGACAGCAGTCCAGTTTTGGCAAGCA
This sequence comes from Homo sapiens, assembly GCF_000001405.40. NCBI lineage: Eukaryota > Metazoa > Chordata > Mammalia > Primates > Hominidae > Homo > Homo sapiens. The sequence continues at coordinate 143,948,784 of NC_000003.12, forward strand.
GTGAAGAATCTGTGTCTGGATAAGGCATCCTCAAATTTGAAGTTTCTCTATCCTCCTGGCTTCTCATCTCCTACTGATGCCAACCAAAACTCAAGGATGATACAGTCTGTTAAGGTCAGCCTTCCAGGAGACAGTGGGGAGTAAAAAAGGAAGAGTAGGGAGGAAGGAGCAAATGAAGCATAAGCAGCATGTCTTCAAAGTCAATTAGATTGTGATTGATGCCACCATTTTGAAATTTTCTCTCCCTTATAGATTATGGCAAATGTTTACTTATTACCCAAAATAAAGTGTGTCTGGTATCTTCAGTATTTTATACTGGGCCAAACAAATGCAGCTTATGACTGGCTGCTTGCTTTTGTAAATGAAGTTTTATTGGCATCCAGCCACACCTGTCTACTCTACAAAGGTAAAGTTGAGTAGTTTCAAGAATGACCATGTGTCCTACAAAGTCTAAAATATTTGCTGTCTTGTCTTTGACAGAAAATGATTGCTAACCCCTGGTTTAGACAGACTTTCGTTTTTGTTCCATTCTAATTTACCAGAATGTTTTCAAAGTGACTTAAAGTTTATATTTTTTGAACTGGATTTGCTCTGTGAAACAATTCAGATTATTTTACACTAAAAATCAAATTATTGTTAAGTTTGTAATAGTGAGGCTAGCACATGCAGCTGAAAAGTGGCAAAATAAAGTGTTTGTTTTGAAAATATCTTTTTTTAAGACCACAAACATCTGGATGTTTCCCCAGACATATAGAACACCACCTGATTAAATCATTTATATTTAGGCAGGTGCATTTTGTAAACACTTTACCTAAAAACAAAGCCTTAGAGGTAGAAATAATAATTTCAAGTATCATCTTTGTAAAAAATATTTCTAATTTAAAATGTAAGCTTTCTTGCACTTTTAAAGTGCACCAAGAGGTACAAACAAGTATACAACTCTGTCAGAGATTTTGGAAAATTTAAAGAATTTGATATTATCTTTTTTCTTTTCTTTCTTTGGTGACGCAATCTTTGCATTTTAATTATGTGAATGATAGAAGAAATGGTTGTGATGTTTTACACAAGGTCTCAAAACTCAGAATGAACAATGTATTTTTCATTTATTATATAGTAGAGTATCAACCAAGTGGTATGAGAAGTGTTCCGAGTACTTAAGTTGAAATAAAACATATTTCTTGGTCCTTCAATGTCAGTTCTCTTAATTTCAGAATGGTGTTTGGTTCAACATATCATTAGAGCCAAATAGATTATCTTGAAAGGATCTGGGACTTTGGACCCAACTGGAGGCTTGACTGTTGGTCCAACTACTTTCTAGCTTGTCTGAACCTAAATTTCCACCGAATAAAATGGAGATAATATTGGATAATACTTTTCTTGGAGACGTGGTATGTATAGTGCCTGAAAAAGAATAATGAAATAATAGCTCTTATTTATCGACTATGTGCCAGCCACTAAGCTCAGTGTCATATACTTTACTGTTATTATATCTAATTCACAGATGAGTTAGTTGAAGTGTTAACTTCCAGTTTACAAAGAGCAGCCACTGATCATCTAGTGCCTACTACATGCTGGGGTAAGGGAAATTGTACATATTTTCTCATATAGTGTGCAGTGCCAGGAGGTAGATGTTATTATCAACTCCAGTTTACAAATGAGAAAATTAAGATTTAAAGAGGTTAAATAGTCTGTCAACGTTACACAGCTAGTAAGAGGCAGAACTAGGATCAGAATCCAGGAAGACAAATTCCCAGGGCCTTTGCCTTTAACTTTTACTATACTGCCTCAGCAAGGCGTAGGTATTATTATTATTGCTATTGCCATAGGTATTACTTAAATAAAAATCAATGCACTAAAAACCACAGTGAAGTATATGTCTGAAATTTGACAAACATATTTAGGGAACCAAATAATTTTAAGTATAATCTCTAGAGTTGAGAGCATCCAACTTGGTACTGAATTGCAAAGTAGATATGAAGACAACTTCTAAAAGTCAAAATATAACTAAACACTCCAGCCCTGGATCCACTTCCCTAAGCCTTCAAGGAACAAAATTTGAAATTTTTTATTCCAAAGTTATGTTTGCATTCACATCAAACATTTTAAATAGTATGTGCTGCTGGGAACTGACAAACCCCAAAGCTATTATGGGCCTTGTCAATTTTCAAGCGCTGAAAAAGTAAGGTGTAGTAATGTTTATGAAAGAACATGATGCCAGATGTACTTAATGTCAGAAAAATCAGTTTGAGTTCCTGTGTTCTTGTAACCTCACTGCAGATTGTCAGCCCAAGTGATATGCAGAAAATATATAGCTTGCCTGACTGCCTTTACCCAAAGAGTCGATATTATGGAATAGATGGATTAGAATTTCTATTTGAATAGACATTTTTTTCTCTTCTGATTTTTTGTTCATTTGCATGGCTGCTAAAATTTCTGCAAACAAATTACATATAACAGGGAAACTGCTGAAGAACTTTGGTTTTTATTACATTTGAACAAGTTTTGAAGAAAATGTCTTCTAACAATAAAATACAGTGTTCAAATAAAATCAAATACTTGTTGACCCATTCTAAGCAAGCCACTTTGCAAATTCTGCAGGAAGCATAAGACTAGTCCATACCTTGCAACCTGGAAAGAAAATGCTAGAAGTGCAAATAGTTAAGGACTAGTCCTTCTTTTTTGTTTTGCATTCTCATGATTCCATTCTTTCTATACTCATGATGTACCATAATTGACCCTTTGTGTCACCCACTCATTGGAGAATTTCTGAACATGTGAGCATGCCACCTGGTGGTGGATAGATGTTTACCAGGCATTTGCAAAGGATTGATTGAAACTTTTTGGGTCCTTTAAGAAAAAAGCAGTATCCTGAGGCTTCTGATTGCATTATTAATTATTCAACTGATTTGTTCCAATAGTTTTGTTTTTCCAGCATTACAGTCAGATCTTATTCATTATTACCATGAGAATGTTTTAGTAGGTCAGTATAATGAGCCTAAAATAACTAAGGTAAAGTTCTATAGTCTGAGGGATTCCTGTCTTTCTCACATTGCCTAGGAGCGTAATGAGAATTGAAGATATAGTATCAATAATGCAGTTCCTGATTCAGAGGTCATGTTGAGAGTGGATTTCATAGGTCTTAAAAACACTGAATTTTCCTTCTTTTTTTTTTGCCATTCTAGGGTGTTAGATTTGACAATTCAAAACCAGATTCTGAAGAATTTAAATTCCAAATTAATCTGGAAAATTTATAATGCACAAAGAACTCATTTTTATGATTACTACATTAAAAGCTTTAAAAGGCAAAATTAAATTTATTCCTAAGCATAGACTGTTTTTATAGTAGCTTTGTATTGTTGAAGATAGAAGAGAATAAATTAATACTTCTACAATACACCTCAGTATATTGTTTAAAATTTATAATAACATGCTGATTTTTGGAAGAGAACCTTAACTGTTCCCTCATCAGTATGTGGAGTTGCCAGATAAAATACAGAATGTCCAGTCAAATTTTAATCACAGACAAATAGTATCGTTTTTAGTATAAGTATGTCCCATGAAATATTTGAGATATATGTTACTAAAGAGAGTTCCTTGTTTATTTAAATTCCAGATTTACCTGGGAGTCTTGTATTTTTATTTGCTAAATCTGGCAACCGCATCAGTAGGCTAATGTCTTTGAATGGTTTTTCAGATAGTGCTCATGAGGTCAACTGGCCATCAACACTTTTTACATTCATTCACTCACTCATTAATTCATTTAACAGGTATTTGAATACCTTCCATACTGGTGTTAGCATCAGGAATAGTTTTCCACAAACCCCATACCTCATAGAACACATCCGTGATTCTCAATCTTGTAATCTCAGTATTCTCAATCTATTGTAATCAGTTGGGAAACTTAAAAAAAAAAAAGTTAATGATGTCCCAATTGGATCCCTCAAATATTCTGAATTACTTGTTCTCGAGTTTTGCCTACTCATCAGAATTTTATAACCTCCCCAGGTGATTATAATGTGTGGCCCCAGTTGCAAGCTGCTTGCTGTAGATGAAGACAAATTAGGTTTTCTTAGGCCTTATCTTTGCAATGCCTGCACCTGCCACCAGATGTGCCAATTAATGCTTGTTTCACTGAGCAGATCGACTCTTTTCAGAGAAGCAAATTGGCTTACAATTTTAGCTGATTGAAATTTTTCCAAAGCAAAATAACTCTTTATTAAGCTAGCATTACACATTTTAAAATTAAACCATTTTGCCTCAATTTTAGAACTACGAATTATTTAAATAAATGCATTCATCCATTTACTCAAAAATGTTTATTTCTATCTAAGCACTGGGCACTGTACCAGGCACTGGGGATGGAGCCATGAAAAAGACAAAGCTCCTATTCCTGTAGGAGGGACAATTCATATGAAAACAGAAAATAAATACTTGCAAGGAAAAAAATGAATAAAGGGGTAAAAAGGAATTGAGTGGTGGAGAGCATTGCAATTTAAATAAAGCAATCAGAAAAAAGCTTCATAGAGGACATTTGACAGATACATGAATGAGGTGAAGAACTGAATCATGCAAACATCTCTGGAGACAGGTGAAAGAAATAGCAAGTGGAAAAGCCTTGAGACTTGAGCCAGCTTGGTGTGTTCCTAGTAAGAGTTGGAAGGACAGCATGACTAGGCCAGTGTTAAGGGGACAGCAGTATAAGATGAAGCCAGAATGGTATGTAGGCCCTTAGGCCAAGGTAAGGACATTGAGCCATATTCCAGATGTGATGGGAAACCATTCAAAAGTTTTGGGCTGTGGAGTAACAGGTATGTTCCAATTTACATAATAAATATATCACTCTGGCTTCCATCTAGAGACTGAGTGATAGGTAATGGTTGGGTAAAAGCAGACAGGCATTTAGGAGACAACTTCAATAGGTCAGGTGAGAGATAACAGTAACTTGGATTAGGGTGGTAGCAGTCAAGGTTTCAACAAGTGTCTGGACTTAGAATAGACTTTGAAAGTGTCCAGCAGTACTTGCTGATAGGCTGAATGTGGATGTGAAGGAAAGAAGAAATAAGAATGTTTTAATTTTATCCATCTTCCAAGATGGAGATAACAAGCTGACACATAAGTTCTAGTAGGGCTATGTTAAATTAAAGGTGCCTAATGATCATCCTAGTGGGCGGGACCATTTGGCAGATATGTACATCTGGAGTTCACAGAAGCAGTCAGGGCTGCAGAAATAAATTTAGATCATCAGCTATACTGAGAGGAGTGGTTTTTTTCCCCTCAAGTTTAACATATTGGACTGTTTTTAAACAAAGTGGGGCAGTCATTTCCTTTCACAGTGAATTACCTTCTCTAGGAGTTATACCTGTGACCTCTAAATTATACTAGCACTTGATAATGTAATTACAATTATTTACTACAGAAAATGTACCTAAGAGAAAACTTGCCCCCTACAAATTTTAAAATGTTCTTGGCAGGCACGTGTAAAGCAACCATGAAAAGTATATTGGATGATGCATGAGGTCTTTTTAGACTATAATGAGAAAGGTCTTCTTATGACAAAGAAATGATCATTTTCAGCTATAACTGTGTTTTCTCTTAAAATGGTTTTATCCTGTATTTTAATTTTCAAACAATCCAAAAGTATTTTTAGTAAGTAAATTATGAATAAAAATTTATTTTTATGCTATTGTATTTTAAAAATTAGTTAATAAAGTTAGCATTATTTTTGATAGCTTCCACGGAGAATTTTAATACATCAAGTACATTCTATTATAATAGTCACAAGAGGATATTCAGTTTGTAAAATTGTTGAAAAGCTGAGTTATAGTAGAAAAAACCAGAACTTTAATTTTCAAATTTGCCACTAAACTGTTGTGTGATTGAAGACAAATTGTTTAACTGCCCTGAACCTCAACTTCCTTATTTGTAAAAAAGGCAATCTATCTCAAAAGTCTCCTGTGTTGATAAGCGAAATACTCTTGTAAAGGTATTTTATAAACAACAACATTATATATGAAAGAAAAATACAATAAATCAAGGAATACTATCCCTATTCTTTTAGTAAATGTCATGTATCTCATACTCAAGAACTCATGGCAAATGGCAATGATGCTACCCTCACTAGGACACATTTGTGGAAAGTATTTTAAACTAAAGGGCATGAAGTCTAAAAGTCTTACCTGTTTTCTTTTTTGTACTTGTTTCTCTGATGATGTTTATTATTTATTTTTGAGCTGTTAATGTGGTTTGTTTTATCCTTTTTTCCTCTCTCATGGAGACATAACATATGTATTTGAGGTGGACAGACTAAATCTGTTAGGAAACTTACAAAAAGTTTTAAGTTTTGTTTTCCACTGACTGATGGGAGAAATAAAATAACTGTAAAGACATCCAATAAGGCACAAATAAACTGCAACTCAAGTCTCCTTTAAATTCAAGTGTTAACAACCAAATTATATATTTATATTAGTAACTATGATATATTTATGGCTGACAGGTTTTTTTTATGAGAGTTAATTTTAAATAGTCAGCAAAACTCTATTGTTGGTCAACATTTAGAATATGGAAACAGTTGCATTAAACAGCAATAGCATTAATTCCTATTTCTACCCCTTGTTTCCTGGAACTGTGAATCCTGGCTATGGAAGAAAAAGACACCATGTATTGGACAGATTTAGATATAAATACCCTCCTAGAGAACAGGGGAGTGGCACCAGTTACTTCTAGTGATACACTAGCAAAATTTTTGCTTCCCTTTCTGCAGTAGACCATTTGTGTTGCTGTAGCAGAATACTACTGACTGGGTAATTTACAAAGAATAGATATTTATATCTCACAGTTCTGGAAGCTGAGAAGTCCAAGATCAGCGCACGGGCAGGTTCAGTTGTCTGGTAAGGGCTGCTTTCTGTTTTCATGATGACACCATGTTGCTGCATTTTCTGGAGGGGAGGAACACTGTGTTCTGACATAGCAGAAGGTGGAAGAGCAAGAGGGACAAACTCCCTTCTTCAAGCTCTTTCACACAGGCACCTAATCCTATTTATGAGGGAGGAGCCCTCATCGCCCAATTACCTCTTAAAGACCCCACCACCTAATACTATCACTTGGCAATGGCTGAATTTTGGAAGGGACACATTAAAAGCATAACATTTCTGCACCTTATGCTTTGCTGGTCCAGAGTTTTGAGTTTCAAAGGGAGGAATGCTTCTAACAGGAGACACAAGGAGAGAACCACGTGAAGACACAGACAACTGGAGTGATGCATCTACAAGCCAAAGAATGCCAAAGATTGCTGACAAATCACCAAAAGCTAGGAAGAGGTAAGAGAGGATTTCCCAACAAGTTTCAGAAAGAGAGTGGAGGCCTGCCAACACCTTGGTTTTAGGTGTCTCCAAAACTCTGAGAAAATAGATTTCTGGGTAATTTTTTAAAGGCACCTAGTTTGTGATATTTTATTAAGCCAGCCTAGGAAATGAATGTAGATACTATTTCAATAAACTCCCCAGATGTAAACAAGGCATAGTATTTGTTTAGGAAGATTTACTGTTTGTGGGGATTTGTTGGATAAGGGGCTATGTCTCCTGTCTTCCAGAAGACGTTAGGAGGGGCAGAAAAGTAAATATGAATCAGATAGTACAATGTTTAAGTAAAAAAATGTTTATGCTCTCCACAATAAAGCACATTTTTTCCATTTTAAGAGAACAATAGGGTGATTCTAGATAGAGAATTATATAGACACATAAACCTGGAGAATATGAGCCAGTGTTACAAGTGTAACAAGGGATGCTTTAACATCCAATAAGGTACTTTCAAACTTTACCAGAGCCACAGGCCTAAAAGACAAAGGAGGTCATTATGTTACCCAAACTCCTAAAACAATATTTGATTTGGGTCAAGGTAGTACAGGCACTCCAGACAGATGGGGGAGGAGGCAGGGAGAATTTTAAATAATCCCATAAGGAAACTCTTAAAGAAGTATAACATCCATCATTTTGTCAACAGTGATTTGGTTAAGTCTGAGATTTTAGAGCAGTTCAATAGAATTTTGAAATCTAAAATGTGGTGTTATTTAACTGCTTAGGGCACATTTTAATACATCGATATAATTCAGCACTTTATCACTAGTTACAACAACCAATCTGAAAAAAATATATATATATAAATGCCACAGCCACAAATTCTTTAGATGTTTAAGAGAAAAACCACAAAACCCCATTTTATTAAAAAAAAAAACAACTATGTCAAAAGTGGTTTCAAGAAACAAGTGAGATATATTTAGTAACAGAAAGTGGTAACCAGGAGTTAGCAACCAGTTTATAATTAAAATACCATGAGGATGCAAAGATTAGCTGTGTTTTTATCCAGAAGAACAAGAAACAATAACCCTTTGTCAAGAGCCAGTACACAGTATTGAAAAAGAAATTGTCCAAAGGGACAAGATTGGAATGAAATTATCATCAAATGATTGGGCTGACTTAAAAATATTAATAGTTGGAAGGTGTTGATGATTCAGGATTACTACATGGTAGAAGGTAGGTGAATGAAAATGTTTTCTATTTGAACTACCCAGCAATACTTCAGTATTACCTTTTACCTGCAGTTTAAGGATATATAAGTGGGATTTGACCATACTCAGGCCTCAGAAAGTAGAAAATTACCCCTGAAGAAGCTACCTTCTGGTATAAAAGGCTATGCCCTCTAGAGGAATAAATATAAGCTATCACCTAGATATATTCATATTTAGAAAATAACAGATTAGTTCAAGCTATCTCCTATGGTCTCTCAGAAATTTTTGTATACTGATTTTAGCTTGTCAAGAAAGTGGAAGATCTCATGAAACATTTTATTGCCAGAACTGGAAGTGGGTATATCACTTCTACCACATTACTTTGGCCAGAATCCAGTAACAAGAACATATTCTTATTGCAATTTTGGGAGCTAGTGTTGCTGTTTGCTACTGTTTGGTGATTTTTTTTTCTTTTAGGATTTTATAAATTATAAATTCTTTTCTAGGATTGTAGAAATTTTTTTTCTACAGGGCTTTTACTTCTTTTATTTTACATCTGTATCTCCTCTCTTCCACACTGAGAATCCTGGTTCTCAAGGTCACAGAAAATGATATATTTAGAATACAATTATTCATTTGCTTTATCCCATTTTATAATACAACAGTCTTAAAATAACACTATTAATAGCATAACTACTAATTATGATTACTGAATGTTAAACAAAAATAGTTTTGCATATGTTTTAGCTATTCTTCACCACTCCTCCAGTTAAAAAATATTCTCTACTCTTTCAGATCACATAGCTATTACGTACTATAATCTCTCCTTTTACCTTTTATTTCTTCTTACTTCTAAAGTAACTGTATTTTTAATGCTCTTTTCCAGTCCTTGGATTGCTCTGTCAAGTCATTTCGGATGTCTAAGTCTTGCTGTCTGGCAGATTACCTAGGAAGTGCTCATGGGAAAAATGGTTTCTGAGTTCATGCTCTACAGTTTGACTCTGCCATTTATACTTGAGATTAGTTTTGCATGATATAAAATCCTTGGCTAAAATTTTCTTTTGTTGAGTATCTTAAGAAAATTAAGACTATTTGATAATATTGATGTCCTTGTATAACATGTGCTATTTTCCTCTGGATTCCTAAAGAATTTTTTCTTTAAAGTCTAGTAATTTTTCTAGGATATGTATTGGTTCTGTTTTTTTCTGGATTGTTATTCTCAGAGAAGAGTGTGATCTTTTAATGTGCATTTCACAATGGTATTTTCAGCAAGTTTTAAATAATTGTTTTACTCCCTAGATTTTTTTGGGGGGGAGGGTGGGGACTCCTATATAGGTACATTGTATTTTCTTACCTTCAATCTTTGTCATTCTCTCTCAAATCCTTTTTGCTTCTTCATCTTGTGTTTGGTTTTTAAAAATCCCCCCTTTTATTATTCCTTATAAGGAATTATTTGTTGTGTTTGGGGAACATACGTGTGTGCACATATGTTTTGTTTTATATTTTTTCTGGTTTATTCATTAATTCTTTCTTTTGTGAGCTGTAATCAGCTCATTTCTGAATTTTTCTAATTCTGATTTATGTTGTTTTTAACGTCTCATATTGTTTTCTTAACATCATTTAGTTCATTTTAAAATGATTTGCATATGTTGAGTATGTCTTTCTAGTGTGGTTTCATTGTCTACAGGATTATTTTGTTTTTATAGCCATCTTTTCTTGTAGTTACTTGCATGGTATTTCACTTCAGTAGTTTTTCTGTGTTCATTTTTATGTGCATTTAAAAGAACCACATAGCATTTTTAGAATTGGAAAATACTTATCTGAAATGAAAAATATACTGAATAGTACTAACAGCAGAATAGATACTACAGAAGAAAAGACTGGTGAATGTGAAGACACAGCAATACAATCTATCCAAAATGAAACATAAAAATAGATTGAGAAAAAAACATCAACAGTGCTAGTGGCTTGTGGGAAAATTTCAAAAAGGCTCTGTTATGTGTAATTGGAGTCACAGGAAGAGATGGAGGAAAATATTTAAAGAAATGTTGGGTAAAAAATGTCCAAATTTGACAAAAGTAGAAACCTACATATTCAAGCAGCTCAATACCTCCCAAATAGAAGTATAAAGAAAACCACACCAAAACACATAATAATCATATTGCTGAAAACCAGTAATAAAGAAAAAAATTTTAATGCAGCGAAACAAGGCACATAACATACAGAGGAATAAAGCTAGGAATGACAGCAGACTTCTCAGAAACCATGCAGGGCAGAAGACAATGAAACAAAATATTTTTTTTGAAAAAAGTCAACCTACAATTTTACTTCTAGAGAAAATATCTTTCAAAACTTGAGGTGATATACTTTATCAGACTAAAAACTTGACAAATAGCATCATTAATAGGCTGCAGTACCAGAAATTGTAAAGAAAGAAATGCAAAAGAAAAATGGCACAAGATGGACACTTGAATGAGGAGCATGGGAAATAGATGGATCATTGATTTAAAAAGGGAGATTAGAAGAATTGCTGTTTCAACCTGCATCTGCATCATGTCTAATGGCGCCAAAAAAAAAAAAAAAGTAAAATTCAGACATAAGAGAGTCCTCTGACTCATGGAAGGAAGTAATCTACTCAAATAAACTGAGTATAATGTAAATAAGAAATAAAAAATATGAGAAAAGCTATATTTTCCTTGCCCCTATAGATGTTAATAAGTTATCTTATTGTGTCTCATGTAACAAAACCTTTTCAGATAAGTTATACTTTCATTTTGAGATCATAGTTTTATGAAAAAGAAATTGAATATTTAAACAGAGATAAGCTCCTTAAAGCCAAAAATTATTATGGCATTTGAAATTACAAGTGATAAAGCTACTGAAACATTTTACAGGATGAATTATTGTATAGCATTGGCTAGAGTGCAACAAAACACTAAGCCATACAAAATACTAAGCCATATACAGATTGCATTGTTGAATGCCTGCTGGATGAAAAGTCACTAAAAGTAATCATGAAAGCTCCATTTTCCAAACATAGTAACTTTTTGAATGAAAGATTTAATTACAAAAAGGAAGACTGGATTGATGTCTACAGAATTGTAATGATTTTGCTGGACTTGCTCTTTTGCTTGTATTTGTCTAATATCAGCACCAAGTAATCATCAAAGATCTTTTATTTGAATATTTGGCATTAAATGCAAGTTGCACTAAAATATTAAAATGTTAAAAAAATATTTTGAACACCATAATTTATTTCAGAACTCCTGCGTTGACATTTGCATCAATGGTTCAAAAACAATAGTGAGTAAAACTGCTAGCATGAATCAAGTCATTGTATTTTTCCTTGAACATACATTTAAAAATGAAAAACAGTTTAATTTGAAAATGCCTTTTAAAAGCTTACTAAGATCTACTGGTCATGCACAGTGGCTAATGCCTGCAATCCCAACACTTTGGGAGGCTGATGGGGGAGGATTCCTTGAGGCCAGGAGTTCAAGACCAGCCTTGGCAACATAGCAAGACCCTGTCTCTAAAAAAAAATTAAAAAAAAAATAAAAGAAAGAAAAAAAAGAAATAGCCTGGTATGGTGTTCCACGCCTACAATTCCAGCTACTGAGGAGACTGAGGTGGGAGAATCACTTGAGCTCAGGAGTTTGAGGCTGCAGTGAGCCATGATTGTAGCACTGTACTCAAGCTTAGGGGACAGAATGAGACACAGAAAAATAAATACTCATTTTATTGAGTGTACATTCTTTTAACATTTTGTGTGAATGGGAAATATGAATAATACTGAAGTACAATATCTTTAGGAAAAGCATTTGTGTAATTCTTTGAGTTGCAATCTCAAATAGGGGCTTTTTTCATAGTTTTAGTTGGAACAATAAGTATGATTATTTATTCTGAGTATTTAAAAAAATTTTCTTGAACAGAAATGAAGTATATTACTGTAAGGAAAATAATGAAAATAACTTGATGATAGTGTTAAAAAATCAAACCACATCTAACTCTTCTCTTTAGAGATCTAGATTTGCCAGACCTGAAATTTACACCATGCGTGTGTATGTGTGTAGAGGGGAGGATGGTGGTGGTGGTTCATATTTAAGAAAAAGAATACAAAATAAATACAAAATTAGGTTTAAAGTGAGTATTTATTTAGAATGAGAAAACATCAGTGAGGTAATTCAGATACCTTTCTTCTGAGGTCTCCTTAGGCAATTTAACCAGGCATGTTTACACAGAAATGCTTCTGACTGAAACCTGGCTTCCACTCTGTACCTAGGACTCATTACTATTCCCAGAAACTCCCTGCACTTACAGGGTCTCATGAAAGTGAGGGGAACTGAAACTTAAATTTTTATCAGGTGCAGAGTAAGTCACTCCAACTGTTTCCATTAGAATATGTTTCTCATGATATTATCTGATAGATGTAAATTTAACTAATGAAGTTTTTAAAACCTGTGAACTGCTGAATTTTTACAAACTGAAAACACCTGTATAACCAATATAATGCTCGAGAAGCAGAACTTGAATGGGATCCCAGAAACTCTTTGTGCACCCTCCACTCACTACATGCCTCCTGTATTGCCAAAGATAACTGCTATCCTTATTTCAAATTACCGATTTTGTACTTTATATAAATGGAATCATAAGGTATTCTATTGTGTCTGACTTTTTCTTAACATGTTGAGATTCATCCATATTTTATAGTGGTAGACCATTTTCATTGTATTGTATTCCACTGTGTGGAATTTTGGTGTCTTTATTAATGAACTTTAATGAACATTTGAATAGTCTTCAGTTTTTTGCTATTATGAATAGTGTTCTATGAACATTCTAATTTATGTCTGCTGGTAAATGAATGCATGCATTTTCTTGTGGATAAACACTTAGAAGTGGAATTGCTGAGCCATGGGGTATGAATATGTTCATCTTTAGTAGATACTGCCAAACAGCTGTCCAAAGTGGTTGTACCAATTCAGACTCCCACCAGCAATGTATGAGAGGTGTGATTGCTCCATATCTCTGTCTACTCTGTTACTGTCCATCTATTTCATTTTAGCCAGTTTGCTAGGTACACCGTAGTATTACATTATGGTTTTAATTTACATTAGGCTGATAACTAAAGAGGTTGAGACTTGGATATCTTCTTTTTTGAAGTGACTTTAAAAATCTTTCACCTGTTGTTTACTTCCTGGACCCTCTAATTGGGCTTCTTATTAATTTGTATTAGTGTTTTATATAGTCTGAATAGATACCAGTCCTTTGTCAAATATATGTATTGGAAATACTTTCTTTCACTCTGTGAGTTGTCTAATCATTCTTTTAATGAATAAAGGTTAATACAGGCCAGTTGCTCATTTTAAAAATCTTTACGGTTAGAGTATTTTGTCTTTGCCTACATATAGTAAAGGATTGAGCTTGTTCAAAGCAAGCTATGGCCCTTACCCCTGGCAGGTAATCTGTAAACCCTTGGAATGTCCTGCTTCATGAGAGTAACTTTGTTTACCTGGATGCCTTAGGCCATGCCAGTTGTTAGTTCATTCTTGCACTGCTATAAAGAAATAACTGAGACTCAGTAATTTATAAAGATGAGAGATTTAATTGGCTTACGGTTCTGCAGGCTCTACAAGAAGCATGATGCTGACATCTGCTCAGCTTCTGGTGAAGCCTCAGGGAGATTTCAATCATGGTAGAAGGAGAAGAGGGAACAGAACTATCACAGGGGAACACAGGAGCAAGCAAGCGAGAGTGGGGGTGGGGAGTGCCACACACTTTTAAATGACCAGATCTTGCGAGAACTATCGCGAAGACAGCACCTAGCCATGAGGGATCTGCCCCCTTGACTAAACACCTCCCATCAGGCTCACCTCCAGCACTGAGGATTACAATTCAACATGAGATTTGGGTAGGGACAAATACTCAAACTGCATCACCAGTTTATGCTAACACTGTTATTTATGGTTGGGACCTTGGGTCATGTGGTATCACATTGACCTCTGGAGAGGCTGGCAACTCCAAGGTCAGCAATGTGAGAAGTGAGCCATAATTACGCCATTGATACCCTCCCCACTCCCACCTCCAGTCCTCTAAAAACAATGGACACCAAGGCTTGGTTGAGCTTCCCTGGTTCCATTGCCACAAGGTTCCATTACATCTTTGCTATAAGTAAGCACTGTCCACACAACTCCACTGGGAGAAGACAACTGGAAGCTCTGTCTGGTCTCTCCTGGACCTTGCCCTATGTGCTTCCTTCTATTTAATTTTAATCTATAAGCTTTTGATATAGCAAACTATGAGTATAATAACTCTGCTGAGTTCTGTTTGTCTAGTGAATTACTAAACCTGAGGGGGGTTTTGGGGAACTGCTGCCTATCAAAGGTCATGCAAATGTCCTCTTGTTTTAAGGCTTTGTTTTTATGCACATTTGGTTACGCCACCACTCTAGAATCACTCTTTGTGCACAGTGTGGTATGTGAATTACTAGTCAAGATACATTTTTTTCCTATGTGACATTCACTTCACCTTGCATCATTCATTGAAAAGACCACCTTTTCTCACTGCATTGATGTCACTTTTGCCATAAGTCAGCTGATCTGTATGTTTTTATATTATTTTCTATTCTGTTCCATTAGTTCATCTCACTGTTTTGAACAAATATGTCTCAATTACTAATTCTTTATGATGGTACTTCGAATCCATTGAATCCTCCAGCTTTGCTCTCCTTCAAAATTGGCTTGGCTATTTGTGGCCTTTTGTATATCTACGTGAACTTTAAGCTTGTCTTTTTTTTTTTTTTTTTTTTTTTTTTAGACCAAGTCATGCTTTGTCACCCAGGCTGGAGTGCATGGCGCAATTCTGGCTCACTGCAATCTCTGCCTCCCAGGGTCAAGCAATCGTTCCACATCAGCCTCCTGAGTAGCTGGGACTACAGGCAGGTGCCACTACCCCTTGCTATTTTATTTTTTTTTCTAGATACTGCGTCTCACTATGTTGCCCAAGCTGGTCTTGAACTCCTGAGCTCAAGTGATCTGCCCACCTCGGCCTCCCAAAGTGCTGGGATTACAGGTGTGAGCCATTGTGCCCAGCCAGCTTGTCAATATATGTATTTTAATTTGCTGGAATTTTGATGAGGGTTATATTGAATTATAAATTAACATTTTTACATCTGTTATCTTTACAGTATTAAATCCAGTAATCCTTGAACACATTATATACTTTTATTTATTTAGATATTTAATTTCGCTCAATATTGACTTGTAGTTTTCAGTGTAGAGACGTACATCCTTCCTTCAATTTATGCCTAGGTATTTGAAAGGTTTAAAAATGATGCTATTATAATTTATATAACATTTGTATGGAAAACCCAAAAGAAACTACTGCAGTAGTTAATGGTGATGACTATTAGCAATTTTCCTAATTGCAAAGACAATATTAAAAAAGCAATTTTATTTCTATATGCCAACAATAGAAAAATTATAAAAAACATAGGCTAATGTTTTATTTGAAAAATATTTTTCTTTTAATACTGACTTAGAAAAATCTGTGGAATCTGAAAGTAATTTTTTCTTTGAGGTAGGGTCTTGCTCTGTCACCTAGAGTACGGTGGTAGGAACATGGCTCACTTGCAGTCTCGACCTCCTGAGCTCAAGTGATCCTCCCATCTCAACCTCCCAAGTTGCTGGGACTACTGGTGCGCGCCATCATGCCTGGCTAGTGTGTGTGTGTGAGTGTGTGTGTGTGTGTATTTATTGTTGAGACAGGGTTTCATCACATTGCCCAGGCTGGTCTTAAACTCCTGGGCTCAAGTGATCTGCCTGCTTTGGCCTCCCAAAGAGCTGGGATTATAGGCATCAGGCACCATGACTGGAGGAAAGTAATTTTTAAAATAATTATTTTCTTAGAATTTTCCCTGAAATGTCCTTTGCAATCTATTTCCAGTGTTATGTGGAAAAACAATGTAAAAATGCAATTCATTGGTAGTCATTTTGGTAGGATGATACATTCCAAAAAAATGGATAGACATACACGTTAACTATCGAATGATGTAATGATTTTTACAGAGTTTAACATTCCTTTTAGAACTCCAATAACTGTATTTATTTAACCTGCATACTGATGACTGCAATTAGGGGTCACTTTATCTTAGAATAATTAAATATATCATGATATCCTAGTTTAATCCATTAAATTGTTACTTTCAGTTTGCCAACAAGTTCTTATGGTCTGGTTATCTTATGATTAAATCAGCACAAAATATATTTCACTTATTTATAATTTTTCAAGTTTTATTTTCTAAGTAGCAGGCAAATTCTTCAAGGAAACCTAATTATAACAAAACAGTATGTCATATTTCTATTTCATTTGATGTAATTTAAATTTTAATTCCTGATTTGTCAAAAAATAATTAGAACTTTACCATTTCCCAAATATAAAAGAAAAATGTCCTGGATATCAATCTACAGAAAGGCATGAAGCTGCAAAGGACAGAGGAGAAGGTGATGATGTGTCAAATCAGATAGACCAGTGTATCAATTATAGTTCAAAGATGGAGACTCTCTTGGGTGAACCCATAATTCTACTGGCCATACTCCTTGATTAGACTACACTGGATAATAAGACATCTCTATAGTTAGTTCCCCAAAATTAGATATCTTAATTATTTGCCTATAGAGTTTTATAAGTCCTTTTGTAAGAAGAAAACAAAATGGACATTTCTGGACTATATCATTTTGAACATTAAATACACATTATATTTGATACCCAAGTGTAACACTTACCTGGCCTCTCTCTCCCAGCTGTGGCTGACCTTTAAAACTGGCACGGCCATTAGATTGAAGACTATAGCAGGTCTTTTACCTATACAAGTGGTTTCTACAAAAGGAGCCTGGTAAAGAAAACTGAGTCAGAAAGAAGGTGGCACTTTTGTTATCCGGATGAATGCTTTTGCTCTGAACAGGCAGTTGCTGTTCTCCAAGATCTCTGGCATGCTTGCCCAGAGAGAAGAGCTGTGTAGCCTCCATCATCCATAGAGGTGGCAGGAACACCATTTGCACAAGTCAGAATGAGGAAAGGTAGGAGACTTAGGATGTGAGGCTTGAGAGAAAAACAGTTGACAAAGCAGCAGCAAAATTCTCCTAGTGTACACAGCCTATTCTCCTGAGGGGAGTCATATAAGTGCAAATATAACATCTATAGCTACAGGAATTTTTTGTTTGTGCTCTTTTAATATTTATTTTATCTATTTGTCACAAACATGTAATGAATGTTGGTATGCATGTATCTGCCTCCTCCACTGGACTCTGAGAAACCACACACCCAGAATCTTGTACATGGTTGGAACTAAATAAACCACACTGTTAGAATGCATGCCAATCTTTAAAATAGACTATTGTAATGTTAATTTATACCTACATACATGACTTAATTTTCAAAAGATCTTAACAAGTGGGTACATAAGTCCCCTCTCAGTGATGTGTTAATTTTTTAAATATTTGTAAATATTGTGTTCTGTGCTGAAACAAACTGGAAAAAAACAAGTTTTAAAAATGTACTGAGCAAAAGGAAAATGTGCCTCTCTATTAACCTAGTCAATGTGGAAAACTATAACACTGCATAATATTTTGAATTAATATAAATCATGAATTATAATGTTACAGTTGCATTTGGGCTAATTTGTATTATTCTGACAAGGTCAGAAAATTATGTGATTCAATTATTTCAAGCAAAATCATGGTTTTAGTATGTATGTTTGACAATTCTATTTTTACAACCAATGAAGCCAACTGTTTGATACAGAATCTGTCCTAGAAAATACCTATGTAGAGAGTTATGGATTTAAAATACAATAAGATGTTTTAAAAATTCGGTTAAAATGCTAAACAGATTAAAAAAAAAACCCTTTAACAAAACTGGTCCTTAAGGTACCTCTCCTAACACACATAAATCAGGTAATTGAAACATAAATGGACACTGAAGAATAT
This sequence comes from Homo sapiens, assembly GCF_000001405.40. Taxonomy (NCBI): domain Eukaryota; kingdom Metazoa; phylum Chordata; class Mammalia; order Primates; family Hominidae; genus Homo; species Homo sapiens. The sequence continues at coordinate 143,967,270 of NC_000003.12, forward strand.
GGACACGTGAACTGTACTTGCATCTTCCTCATCCTTTTCCTCTCAGTCTCCCTCATCTCAGTACATGGTGCTAGGATCTGAATGGTTGTGTCAGTTGCACCCCCACCCCCTTGTGCCATAATTCATATGTTGAGCCCTAATCCTCAATGTGATGGTATCTGGAGGTGGGTCCTTTGGGAGGTGACTTGTATTCTTATAAAAGAGACCCCAGAGTGATTCCCTTGTCCCTTCTGCCATGCGAAGACACAGCAGAAACATTTATGAATGAGGAAAACACCCAACACAAAATTTGCAAGCACTTTGATCATGGACTTGCCCCCAAAACTGTGAGAAAGAAATTTCTGTTGTTTATAAGCCACTAGTCTAAGATATTTTTGTTCCAGCAGCCCCAAAGGGCTTAGACAAATGGTAATTCTTACAATAGTTTAAGACAAAAACCATGCCATAATACCTGATGCTTGCCTTTCTCTCACATTAAAATCTTGAGTAAACTTTGTTAGCTCTACGTTCACAATATATCCAGAATGTGCTAGCTTTTTTTTTTTTTTTTTTTTAACCAGCTAATACCCATCATTTCTAGTTTGGATTATTACAATAATACTGAAAGTGTTTATTCCTTCAATTGTTAATCCACCTACTACTGGAACAAACCACTTAAACCAGACACTGTTCTGGGTTCTTTAGTATACAGGAAATTATCTTTTTGGACTTTACAAAACGAATACCTCTTATCCACCCTGAATCTTACTATAGTGCACTGTCTCAGGACATGACTGCCAGAGCACTGAATATAGTCAATATGATAAAATAATTCTAATACCCAAGTAAAAAAATCATTTTCCAGGATGGGCTTCCAATGCTTTGCTTCTAAATCCAACTAACTTGGAAAACCTAATTGGTATGTCATTCAGAATATTCTGATGATAGATCACTATCGGTAAATGATTCTAGTCAAAAGGAATAAAAAGAAATGAATGAAATTGCTATATAAACATTCTTTTTATTTTTAAACATAAATGAAGATGTTTTGGCCCTTACATCTCTAAAAGCGAAGAAGAGAGAAAACTGATGTTAGACTTCGTCTGATTCTAGCAATAAATAATATTTGTTCATGGAAACCTAATTTTAAAAAAATGCCCAAGCTAATTAAGAAATACATTTCAATAAAATGTTACTTTTTATATTTATTCAAATTGGGATATTTGTTATTTTGATCAGCTGAACACTAATTATAGTTGTAATCATACAAAAAATTCCTATGTTAGCATTTAGGAGATTATGATCACAGGATATACACAAAATTTAAATACAGTTGTCTGTTGGTATATACCTGGGATTGGTTCCAGGACCCCCGGTATACCAAAATCCTCTCATACACAAGTTCTGCAGCTAGTCCTGCAGAACCTGCTTACAGTAAAAGTCAGCTGTCCTTGGGTTTCATATACAGCATATACTATATTTTTGATCCTCATTTGGTTGAAAAAAATCTATGTATGAGTACAATTCAAACCTGTGTTGTTCAAGGGACAACGGTATACACATATTTTTTGCTGCAGGAAAGGATAACCAATAAGGCTTATGCCTAAAACCGTACTATATAGAATTCTTGTTAGTCAGGGTTTCTCAACAGCACACTATTGAGATGTTGAGTGGGTTAATTTCTTGTTGTTGGGGGTTGTCTTTTGCAATGTAGGATATTTTGCAGCATCCTTGGCATGTTCCCACTAGACAACAGTAGTACCCCACTCCCTAGTTTATGAAATCAAAAATGTCTCCAGACATTGCCAACTGGCCCCTGGGAGGCAACAGTCCCTTGCTGAGAACCACTGCAGTAGAGAATAGAATAGTAATACAATGTAAAACTTTGACTATCAAAATGGATGTTAGTATCAAACTACTATGGTATTTAATTCCATCTGATAATATTTAAAACAGTGATAGTTACTGTAAAATGACATTTTACAATGCACTGGAAATTACATTATTTGCCATTACTTAAAATAATGGTCAAGAACTTTAAATGATCCACTGGTTGAAAGCATCCTGTAGTTTATAGGAAAGGTGAGTAATGCACATTAACCTTCACTTAGAGTTTTTTTTTTTGGAAACGGAGTTTTTGCTCTGTCGCCAAGGCTGGAGTGCAGTGGCGCCATCTCGGCTCACTGCAGCCTCCGCTTCCTGGGTTCAAGCAATTCTCCAGCCTCAGCCTCCCGAGTAGGTGGGACTACAGGCGTGCGCCGCCATGCCTGGCTAATTTTTGTATTTTTAGTAGAGACAGGGTTTCACCGTGTTGGCCAGGATGGTCTTGATCTCCTGACCTCGTGATCCGCCTGCCTCGGCCTCCCAAAGTGCTGGGATTACGGGGGTGAGCCACCGTGCCTGGCCCCAATTAAGAGATATTTTGCAAACCTTAATATGGCACTTTGGAACACTATATGTTTATCTTGTATAGTTCTAAGACTTTTTTCCTTTTGATGAATGTATTAAGTTCTTGAAAACTATCTCTCCTGATAAACATCTAGAAAATTTAACTGAAAAGATCAGAGCTTTTAAACAAATGTAAACTACTTAGATGCAGAGCAAATGTTTTTCAAAATTCAAATTGTGTAGACTAGTAACCGTGTTTTATTTCCATGTTTCAAATGATGCCTATACAATTCCAAGCATCTGGAGGCTGAGAATAGTTTAAGAACTCCAAAGACCTATTCGATACAAAGAAGCAGTACAGGTACCTCCTTAATCCTGTTACTAGTTACCTAAATAGTCTCACTATGCCCCGGTTCTCTCAGCTTAATCAGTTTAATGGCAACTTATGTAGTACTTTTATTGTTTTAAACCAATTCTAAATAGATTGTCTACTATTAATCGAACAAATTTATGAGGCATATAGAAAAGATGTCAGAAAGAAGAAATTTGTAGTTAAGTAATAACTTGCTTTGTTTACAATTCAGCAGCAGCAGCAGCCTCACAGCTGAACTACAGCACAGGTCTCCAGAACCATCACACCAAACTCCTTTTCCTAAGAAAATCTCACTTGAGCTTTTAACTCTATATTATATGGAGTTTGGGGATATTTGAAAGCAAGTTAAATAAAATTCCCACCAAAGGCGGCATAAGGCACTAGGCAGAAGTAGCCAAACTTAAGTACAGTAAGTCAATTTCTAGAAAGCTTTGAATATTATTTCAATTTGTCTGTCCGTATTCAATGCAAATCGTTACAAAATCACGTCTATTTTGAATTTATTAAATTTCTCAAAGTTTTTTTTTCAAAATCTGAGTTCTTATAAGAATTTGTAACAAATACCTGTTACAATTAAACAATACTGAAAGTATTGTTACTTTTGATAACCTGGTATAGATGTTTCTTATTAACCCGCTGTAGAGTTGATCTACACATGCCAGTTACCATGGTCTTCTAAAAGCACTGTTCAAGCCCTAAAATTAACTCAGTTAAGACTCAGTTGTTTAATAACGTATCAGGAACCACCTGTCCCTCAGACTAAAAATCACTTCTCATTTTAACTACTCTAGCACTAAAAGTGAATAGCATAATAATGTATCTACTAGCGCTACTGCTAAACAGTCCGGGTCCCCTGAAACTTATCCCTAAACACAGTGCTTTCGTGCGGCATCTGCGCCTTACTTTTGCAGTCTGGGGTGACTGAGTCAACGTGACCGTGCGGAGCACCAAGCAGCCCCGGGTCCCCATGGCTACCGCCAGGGCAACGCTTCGCGGCCCGCTCCTCAGGGACCCTCAGGGGCGGCACCGGGAAATCAGCTTTGCGGAGAGGAACCGCAGGGCTCCGGGGACGGGCTAGGGCAGCCGGCGGGCAGCAGAGGCAAGCCTGGCAAACTCTTCCCGGCTTCTTCGCGGCGCTTGGGGCAGACGTCCTGGCGACACCAGGCCGCGTCGGTTCCCCTTCATCCTATTTTCCCTTTAACACGGTGGCTTGAGAACTTTATTTTGTGCTCACTCAAGAAAATTTTAAATGATTTTACAGATACAACCCCAAAGATGAAGCTCCAACAAACCCGCCACTACTCGAGCCTTTCTCACCGTCTTCCTCACAGGCCCCACCCCCTACCGCGAGGAGCACGAGCTGAGGGGAACACAAGCCCCCGTCGGGCACTCCCCGGCCTCGCCCCACCCCCCAGGCGCGCACCCAACCCATATAAGGCGAGGGGAGGCAATCGCGCCAGCTCTGCCTCCGCCTCGCGCGCCGTCCAGAGGGAAGGATTTGCAATAGACTTCCTCAGTTCATTTCTTCTTATTCCCTCCTCCCTTAAAGGGCCGTTTCCACAATAGTGAAAGGAACGCACCAGTAAACCACAATAATCATAAAAGATGACTGTAATTAAGACTCTTTCTGAAACCAGAAACCGCGAGTTCATGCCCCCACCTCAAGAGCCCGAGCTTCCCCCTCTCTGAACCGCCCCCACACCCGCTCCCGCGAGCTCCCGCTTACGCTTTCCGGGCGGCGCGCGACGCGCTCGCTCCGCCCCTCTGGCCCCGCCCCCGGCTCCCCTTCTTGGTCTCAGGAGAGCCAGCGCGCACAAGCAAGGGTGTGCGGCTCTGAGACGTGCGTTGCTGCTTGTGGGTGTGAGACATCCTAGCTCCTCTTCCCCTTCCGTGAGTCCCTCCTTTCCTCGCAGACCCCACTTGTCGTGGCTGGCTGCCGCCGCAGCTCTTGTGCGAAGCCAGCAGTGCGCGTGCGCGCGGGCACGGGCGCGCGACCGTCGGGTCCCCGCGCTCCCTCCCCCTCCCGCTCCTCTATAACTTGGCTGGCGTGGAGGAGGCGCCGCCGGAGTCGGAGGGCGGGGAGCTAGGAGGAGGGAGCTCGAGAGTTGTGGAGACTAGTGACTGGGAGAAGTCGCAGCCCGCTCAGGCCCGCGCCTTCCCGCTCCCCGTCTTCCTCTCTCACACACCTACTCCGCCCTCCGCCCCAGCCCGCGCGCTAGCTCCTTCTCTCGCCCGGGGTTCCTGCCGGTAGCTCTCCGGGTCTTGGCGCGGCGGGGGCGCCCCGGGGGTGCCCTCGCCCTCCCGTTGCGGGCGGGCGGGCGGTATGTGGCGCCTGGTGCCCCCGAAGCTGGGCCGCCTGTCCCGCTCGCTGAAGCTGGCGGCGCTGGGCAGCCTGTTGGTGCTGATGGTGCTGCACTCGCCGTCGCTGCTCGCCTCTTGGCAGCGCAACGAACTGACCGACCGGCGCTTCCTGCAGCTCAATAAGTGCCCGGCGTGCTTCGGCACGAGCTGGTGCCGCCGCTTCCTCAACGGGCAGGTGGTATTCGAGGCGTGGGGCCGCTTGCGCCTGCTGGACTTCCTCAACGTGAAGAACGTGTACTTCGCGCAGTACGGCGAGCCCCGCGAGGGCGGCCGCCGCCGAGTGGTGCTCAAGCGCCTCGGCTCGCAGCGCGAGCTGGCGCAGCTCGACCAGAGCATCTGCAAGCGGGCCACCGGCCGGCCCCGCTGCGACCTGCTGCAGGCCATGCCCCGGACCGAGTTCGCGCGCCTCAACGGCGACGTGCGTCTGCTCACGCCCGAGGCGGTGGAGGGCTGGTCGGACCTGGTGCACTGCCCCTCGCAGCGCCTTCTCGACCGCCTGGTGCGCCGCTACGCGGAGACCAAGGACTCGGGCAGCTTCCTGCTTCGCAACCTCAAGGACTCGGAGCGCATGCAGCTGCTGCTGACCCTGGCCTTCAACCCCGAGCCGCTGGTGCTACAGGTAGGCGCGGAGCCAGGGCAGGGGGCGTCCTGGGAGGGGCCGCGCGTGGGAATCAGAGTCGGGAGAAGTGGCTCAGCCAGCGCTTGCCGCCAGTTCGGACTCGGCCGGGCTGGGCCAGGCTGCAGGCGTGGGAAGGGGCGTCTCCGGGGGAGCCCCGGGGCTGTGCAGGGAGGCCGAGGGCGACCCCGCTGATGGAGAGTCTGCTCTTGTTACCTAGATTCGGGCGCATTTCGGATTTGACTGTGGATCTTTCAACGCCAGAGGGAGTGCGTCTCTTAACACTCCCCAAAATGTCTCTACTGCGAGTTTCCTTCCGCTCTCTACCCTGCCTTTCTGCTTTTATCTGCCGGGGCTTGCAGGTCCGCGGCGCAGACTGTTCACGAGCCCTTGGACCTTTCCTAGTTCTTCTGAAGTGTTCTACACCGCGTTCGCTCTTCCTTTTCTGGCGCTGGTGGCTGGCCTAACTTCGGTCTCAGAGTCTTTGTTTTCGCTCATTTACCTGGCAGTCATTTGGACACCTAATTCGAGGACAAGTTGGGGAGGATGAAGTCGGAGAACGGGACAGTGGTCGGGGTGGGTTTAATCTGTGAGCCGAGCTTTGGGTGGGATTAGAATCAGAAACAGGAAAAGTAAGGCAGCGTTGGACTTGGGGCTGGGAGGGCTTAAGGCCAGACAGACGTTTTCATCCTGATCCTGTGACCTGCCCTATTCATCTGGTAATCTAGTTGAAGGGAGATGAAATATTAGGCCAGGGCGAGTATCAGGGAAGGAGATTCTTGCCTTTCGCCAGTTGCGTTGTTTGCTCTCGTCTGACTGTTTTGAAAAGTAATGTGCCTTTTAGGGGAATAGGATGGAATCTTTACTGGTGACATCAAAAAGAGAACAAAAAACAAAAACACTGTTTACTTTCGGAGTATTTGCTTGTTTCTGCACATTCCCACCCAGCTTCAGTGCGGTGTCCTTGAACAGTGATTACAACTGTGGGGTTGTGGTTTCTCCTTCTGTCTGCAGGAAAAGTTACCGTGCTCCTTTCCATGACAAGAGAAAAAAATGACTTAAAAGTTCACAAGTAATTTTGGTATACTTCACATTCTTTCTGGGTTGCTGTCACTGAGGGCTGGAGGTACAGGGTTTTTTTTTTTTTTATTTTTCTAAAATGCATGAATAGGAAAGTGCAGATTTCTTTATATTATTTTCTTTTCTCAAGCTCTACACTGCCCATTTTAGCTTTAAAAGAAACCAGCTTCGTTTGATTAGTTCAGCCAAATAATGTAACACAAATATTTGGCTTCAGATGAAACTTTAGTGTGGGTCTTAGTAAATTTTAGGACATCAGAGGCTATGTGTATTGGGTTAATTTTAAAGTCAGAGTGTGTTTTAAATACTGCTGTATCACCTAACTGAATGGATGCATAAAACTGGTTAAACTTTCCTTGAAGAAATTTTCTTTATTCAGTAGTTCCCAAACTAGTCAGTCTCTAAAGGTTTAGCCTGTATTTATGATGTACATACACTTGAACTGAAGTTTCTCATTAAGCTATCTTTAAAAGAGAACCTTGTTTGTATTAGCAAGGTTGGTTCTTGGAGATCGTGTTAGCATTTTGCTGAAGTAGATACCCGGACAAATTCTCTGAGACCCAGAAATTTAGCAAGGAGCTGTCTTAGTAATATACATTTACTGTACTTAAAATGCTGGCGTCCCTACCGAAAGATTTTTTTTTTTTAGGTAATTTTGAATAGTGATGTATTAGTAACAACTAACAGTAGAATTGATATTTTAAGAACATTATGTGGCCAGTTCTTTTTAAGTGTAGTCATAGCATTGAATTTGAGAAACTTTGGCATCTGATTTACACTAAGGTAAATTTGTGCTTTGTGCAGGAAGGTTTTATATTTTTTTAAGTTTGAACTTCTCATGGCATTCTCAGTTTACTTTGTAGTTGAGATAGTCAAGTGTGCGTGTATCTTGTTTTCTGTTTAACTTTTCCCTCAAACTTACTCTTTATCTGTTCTCATCTTTAGTGATGAAACAGCCTTTTTTGAAAAAGCACAATTATTTTCTTATATATGACACATAATGACACAGCTACTTTGAGTGGGTAAACACATGGGCCATAGGATAAGAATTTGTTTTTAGTATGTGATGAAACATGTCTCCACGTTTTAGAGTGAGGTTTGTAAATTACATTTTTAATTTACACAACCCAGTTCCCAGGAATAGTACTAATACTAATATATGTATTATAATTATAGCTGAGTACATACTGTGTAATATAATTTTGGGGTCTTTAGTACCAGCCAGTCATATAGGCATGTAATTTTTTTAAAACCTGATTAACAAGCAAGTAGAGGAAGAAGATATTTTTAAGTAAGAGTTTTCAGAGAGCCGCTGCTTTCTTTGTAGAATCACTTGATCTTTGGAAAAAGCTAGTGAATTTACAAGTCTGAACAATATACTTGAGGTTTGATGATTGTATAAAACCACCAAAATGAAAGGTATCTCAACATTCTGTGATCAAGTACAAAAGTTGCTGTACAGTAAGTCAAACCATGATGTTCATTACCTTTGTTAGCTAGGAAACTACATTTTTAGTATTTATACAGGTTTTTATAAAACTGTTTATAGCTGTTTACAGTAATACTGGGATATTAATTGATACAGAAAAACTCAGATTTGGCTGTCTATTGCTTCATGTATTAAAAAATATATTTTTAAGAGTACAAGTGTTTTAACAGCTTGAAGAGGAACTCACTTTTTTCCTCCAGGAGAGGGAGCTACTTGTCGAATTTTTGGACAGCTGGTGACAAACTAGATTTTTCTTATATTGTCCAAAAATTAACAACTTCAGGGAAAAAAAAGTCTTTGAACTGACTTCATCCAAGTATTCTTAACAAAACTTCCAGTATCGTAAGCATGCTTCAAAATAAGCATGTAAAAATTTCTTTTGATAAGGTGTTTAAGAACTGAAAAATACTTACGAATTTAATCCATTAAACTCACCTCTTCTGATTTGAAAAAACAGTAAAAAATTGAAGTTGCTATTATTCCTTGAAAGGAGAGGTGAAAGACATTAAGTGTCTAAGATGTTTACACACATACCTTATCTATGTAAGGCTGTAAAGATTTGTGATATAAATTTCCCCATATGAAATGGCATGAGAGTATGGCTTTCTTCTTATTGTTGGATAGTTTCACTAGTTTACAACAGTTTACCCATAGAATTATTATCTTCTAAAAAATGTTTATAAACATCAAGCAACAAGATAATGCTAGTAGTACCTTTATCTTCTACTCTGATACCCTTTCCTCGTCGTCACATTTTTACTTCACTAAGATGTGTGTATTTTAGTGCCAGGTATACTGTAATCCTATGAAAAAAAAAATGGAGGAGAGGAACTATGTTGACTTTTATATTGTGTAAATAGGAATCTTGAAGTATTCAAAAATTGAGTTGTTGAAGTAATTGGCAAGATCACAAGTTATTGTTGATAAATTTTCCATCGTATTTGTATTTAACCTATTGAATTTACAGAAAGGGAGAGTGTGTGTGTGTGTGTGTGTGTGTGAGAGAGAGAGAGAGAGAGAGAGAGAGAGATGCTGTCTGGATTTGTTGAAGTTCAGACAGAATCTCTGACTTTATAACCTGGAAGTAGTGAAGATGGTCTTGTTTGTAGGAAATGGAGAAAGCTCTTTGTTGTTTAGGGGGACGAGCTGGGAATGTTACTATTTGTGGAACTTCATTTGCCTTAAATTTTCTGAATCATGGTTTTAATAGGATTTACTTTATTTTTATAGTATATGACTATCATTAAGCTATGGTTTTTAAGCTTGCTTTTCTATTCTTATAAATGATATAATACATGCAAAGCACTTCACGTAGTATCTGGTAAATTGTAAGCATTCAATAAATGTTAGATATTGAATAAAGTAAAGGTAACTTTAACTGCCTGGTGCATTTGATCAGCTGTTTTGAAGCTCATTTGGGGTATGGATCACCTTAAAAATAATGGTGATTTTGAATATCAACCATACTTTAGTTATACTGATTTTTTTCCATTATTACTTTGATATAATTTTTTGTAGAAAACTTTCAGTGAATGTTGTTTTTGCCTTTAAAAGTAATTTATATAGGGAACAACATATTTTTTAAGTTCACTGGTGAAAATGTAGTTTTTGAAGTAAACAAAAGATTATTTAGCTAACGGTACTTTAGAAAAGTTGATAGATTTTTACTATTGGACTCACTTCCTTCTTTATAAAATGAAGCTATTGGATTAGATCCTTTTCAGCTCCAACATTCTGGGGCTTTCAAACTCTTGAGAAATTTGGTTTTTATTGTTGTTGTTGTTGTTGTTGTTTTCTTTTGAACTTTAACGAGTGGGTTTAATTAAGCTCTTCTGAAAGGGGATTGGGAGTGGGATGCTCTCTTTCAAGCCTTTCTTCCTACCCCCAAATTTTTACACACATGAAATAAAACAAAAACCAAAACCTTCCTTTAAGGGGAAATATGTGGAGTTAAGGGTAGCCAAGGATCTTGTGAGGCAATAGTGTGCAAAACGATGTTCCAGACTTTGTTTCAGGAGTTTCTTTTCAAACAACAGTTTAAGGAACCACCTACTTCTCCTTTACTGGCTGTTTCTTTAGTAACTGTCTTCCTAGATTTCGGCTTCAGAACACATTAGAGATGGTTCTTAGTAGAGCAGTTTTTAATCTAATAAATTTTGTAAGTTTTTGAACTTTTTGTGGCTTTTCATCTGAGAGTCCATTGACACTTTTGATTGCTCTTCAAGATAATCAAACAAAAATAATAAAACAATTTTGGATACCTCAAGTCCAAAAAGGGGGTGGGGACTTTTATTTTAGAAAGACCCTAGAAACAGACAATCGCCCTTAAGAAAGCATCACTTCAGAATCAGTAGAGCAAAGTCATTTGACATCCTGGACTAGTTTCTGGACATATCCATATCTTTTGACCATTTTGAATTTTGTCCTTTGTATACTTTTGTCTAGTCTTTGAACTATTCTTTATATTTCCATTGCATAGGTTAGCACATATTCTCACACATGTTGGGAAATAGAAAGCTTGTTTTTATAGGTCTTCTGGACATGGGTGTCCAGCTTCTCAGGGGATTGTCAGACTGGTTTTTATTCTGTTTTTTTGGTTTGTGGGCTCTGGCTTACTTCCTATTTTTCTGTCATTGCTGCTGACTCTTCACAGAATGCTATTTTTTTCTTTCTTCAGCTTTCACTCATTACCCATATGTTAAATTATGGCCTTATAATTTAAATCCTGCATTTTTCTAATACATTTGATGAACTTTAGTAAATGGTTGTAACATGACTGAAAATTATTAGTGTAAGGTGAGGTTAGTATAAGGTGATAGGAAGTTGTCTGTGAAATTCTTGAGAGCTCTTTGAATTTATAACCAAAAGAACTGAATTTGTCTGTTCATTTTACAATCTGTTACAAGGCATTTGGATTGAAAGGATGGAAAGATGGCCGTAGGAAACAAGTAGCTTACTATGTAGGAGGTAGGTACACAAATAACTAATTATTATACAATCCATTTAATAAGCCCTGTACAAAAGGTATCTATATCTATCTATCTATCTATATATATATATCTATATCTATATATATATATATATCTATATATATATATATATATCTATATATAGATATATATATATCTATATATATATATATATATACTGTCACATGACTCAGGGAGGGACATCTCATTGTATATTGATAGGAATGGTACCAGGGAAAGTTTCAGAGATTTTGCCAATAGATGGGGGTGGAGAGTGGGAGGAAGGGTGGAGGGGGCAGTATTGATAGAGCATCCATTTCACATTCTGTATTACCACAAAGTTGTTGGATGGTATTGAGCAAGTCACTTAATGTTTCCGATTCTAAGTTTTTTTAATCAGTAAAATGGGGTTGTTAATACTTACCTAACAGGATTGTTTTAAAGATTAAAGAAGAAAGGATTATTCAAGTAATATCTGTTAAATGTTTTCAGTTGTAAAGCTTTTTACAGTGTATTATTTCTTTGAAAATCAGCTTATTCCATTTTTAGACAGCTATAGTAGTTAAAAGTTCTTTAGTACATTATGCTGATGTCTGTCTTAGAAATGTAAAAATCCTACTTTTCTTATTGCAGACATTCAAATGTCACTGTCCTTACATATACGTAAATCATATGTACCTATTCAGGCTATAGTTTTTTAAAAATAGTAGTTTAAAAGGGGATTAGGGATTTGTCTCATATGAAGTGTAATGAATAGAATGAATATGGTAGGAAAGACGGTTTAGATAAGGATTAAGAAGTAAAAGGCAAATAGTTTCTTTTTTTCTCTGTAAATCATTATTATAGTTTAGTAATTCTATTTAGTACATTGGTAAATGGTAGTACAAAAAAACAGGTTAAGTCTAGACCTTAGACTCTGAGACAGAATCTTAAAAGATTTGTAATCTGAAGTAAGTATGATGCTTCAGTGTCTTCGTATTTTTTCTTTCTAATGCTTTTTTGGGGGTTAACTCTGAAATGAAAAGATCTGACAGTAATTATGTGGAATTGGTCAATAGTGCCAGGAACTGATCTGTATATACCCCTGGGACACAGTAAGGGTCAGTTGAGACTAGTAAACTTATGCATATTTAAAACTTGTGAACAAGTGAAGTGTTTTTTGTTTTGTGTTTTTTTTTGGTGGGGGCAGCATTTCTTAAGCAATTTATTCTAAAAGATAATCTATTTCTATTAAATTTAGTTTTTAAAATGTGTTTTGACATCAGTTTCCAATTTTAGATACAGCTGTTGGACATGATATTCAGTAAAATAACACAACCTTACTATTTTCAAGGCATTGTTTAATATTGTTGGAATTTGAGGTGGGTGGAAAATGGCATTCAGAAAATTATTTCATGAAATAAATGGGACATATGCTAGGACTTAAAAATCTTGAAATTGTTAAGCTTCTACAGTATTTGCAATGGATTTTGGCTGCTATTTAGCAGTATAAATTAAGAAGCTAAGATCTTAGAGAAATTTTAGCAAAAATTCAGTAACCATTAAATCATCCCCGTAATTTTACTATATCTCCCCTCCAGACAGTTCACCAAACTGTGAACACATTAGTCTGTCACCAGTACAGTTGACTAATCTTTATGAACAGCTGTTATAACATGCGTTACTACAATGGGATTTCATTCAAATTTGGGCTTTAAAAAATAATTTTAAAACTTAAGTTAGCTCTTTCTTTCTTTTCTTTCTTATGTGTCTGTCTGTCTTTATTTTGATGGAGTCTCTGTCATCCAGGCCGGAGTGCAGTGGCGTGATCTCAGTTCACTGTAACCTCTGCCTCCCGGGTTCAAGCAATTCTCCTGCCTCAGCCTCCCGAGTAGCTGGGATTACAGGTGCTCACCACCACGCCTGGCTAATTTTTGTGTTTTTAGTAGAGACGAGTTTCACCATGTTGGCCAGGCTGGTCTCAAACTCCTGACCTTAGGTGATCTGCCCACTTAGGCCTCCCAAAGTGCTGGGATTATAGGTGTGAAGCCACCGCGCCTGGCCCCTTTAAGCATTTTCTATGCTTTTGATGACATATACTTTCTAAGAGTGTTTTCAAGCTTAAACTTTTTTTTTTTTTGTAGAAATGCCAGTTATGTAGAAAATCGATATTCACATTTTAGATTGTATGTTTTATTAATAGTTTTTTTGAAGTTAGTTTGTTTATACTAAGAACTTTCAAGTTTAACAAAAATCAGTCTTGCATGGTAACACATCTCTTGGTCTGTACTTATTTTCTCTCTTAAGGCAAACTGCAAAGCTATGTTCCTTTTAATGGAATATTATGAGGTAATGAAGTATTATAAAATATTTTATATTGTATAAAAGGAATTTTGATCTTTTAAATTTAGTATACAATATTTTTGGTCATGTAGGAGAAAAAAGAATACAAGCACTTTTAAGTAGACTCTATTTTAATCTATTAGTCTCATGTCATTTATTTTTTGTAAGTAAATAAACAATACCAAAATGTATTCTTTTATGTATCTTTACTCATATATTCCATGTCCACCCTTTTCATGACTGTGTTATGGCATGATAGAATGAAATGGCCTTATTAACCTGGCAGGATGGTGGATATTGATCAAAGGGTTATCGTGATATTTTAAAGGCTTGTTTTTTAGAATAAGGTAAATATACCATAGCATACTGTTTGATTTCAGTATGTAAGATAATCCTGAACATCAAGATTTTGACATGTATTTGTTTTTGCATGGCATACATATAGATGATGCTATAAAGACTGAGTTGAAGATTTCTGTTTGATTCTATAAGTCCCAACATGATCTGGTCCTTGCTTCACTCTCCAGATTCCCTTACCGCAAGTCATTTCCCCATTCATTTCACTGCAGCTGCTTTGGTCTTTTATTCATTTCTGAGAAGATACTTTCAGGCTTTTCATGTGCCTGAACTGCCCCATCTCCAGTCTGCTTAATATTAAACTCATCCTTTAGGTCTCAGCCTGGGTGGAGATCACTTAGGTTAAATAATCAATCTTAACATTATTTTTCCAGCATAATGTTGGCTTCTGGAATGCTCTTATGTAATATATAAACCGTTACCTTTATAAAATCTGAAAAATTCTTAAACAGATGATAAATAAGCAAAAACAAAAACAGAAACAAAAACAAAACAAAAAATAAACCCAAAAAAACCACCCCAAACTAATAAAGTTTAACTTCAACAAAAGGATATTGGCTTGAGGGAGGTTGTGTTAATCTATCTTTTGAATTCATTTTGACTGTTGTAAAGATAATTATAGCTTGGCCTAAATTTGCTTCTTACTACCTGTGTGACTTTAGGTAAATCGTTTAACACTGTACTAATAAGATTGAACTGGATTTACAATTGAGGTACAGTTAAACTCTAAATTTCTTGGATTTTACATTTCCTTTATTGATCACATAAAATATTTGATTTTGATCTAGGTAGATTATTAGGTTATTTCAGCATTTGGAATTTGTTTTGTGCTTATCAGTAATAAAAAACAAGTTAAAATACTGTGTTTTTGTGTGTACACGTTTCCAATTTTTAAGTTTCTTGCATTTTTAGTGCTTGTGGATGCTCTCTACGTTTCTTATAGCATCAGTGCTTTTAAGAGTTTAGTGACTAGTCTATATATTTCATTATGAATTAGAAATTACTAGAGGTCAGTAAAGATGTTTCTCTAATTTAGTGGTTCTTCACTCTATTTGGAAGGGGGTTCATTATTTGTAGATGCCGTTTTAGTAGGTGTTTAGGAGGTGCATGAAGATAAGCATATCTTTTGATGAATGTCTGGAATTGTTACTTAAAATTTTTAAATAGAGAAAGCCCATCAGACTAACAGCAGATCTCTCTGCAGAAACCCTGTAAGCCAGAAGAGAGTGGGGACCAATATTCAACATTCTTAAAGGAAAGAATTTTCAACCTAGAATTTCATATCCAGCCAAATTAAGCTTCATAAGCGAAGGAGAAATAAAATCCTTTCCAGACAAGCAAATGCTGAGAGATTTTGTCACCACCAGGCCTGCCTTACAAGACCTCCTGAAGGAAGCCCTGAATATGGAAAGGAAAAAACAGTACAAGCCATTGCAAAAACATACCAATTGTAAAGATGATTGACACTATGAAGAAACAGCATCAACTAATGAGCAAAATAACCAGCTAGCATCATAATGACAGGATCAAATTCACACATAACAATATTAACCTTAAATGTAAATTGGCTAAATGTCCCAATTAAAAGACACAGACTGGCAAATTGGATAGTTAGAACCCACCAGTGTGCTGTATTCAGGAGACCCATCTCACATGCAAAGACACACATGAAACATTTACCAAGCAAATGGAAAGCAAAAAAAACACAAAAAAAACAAAAGGGGTTGCAATCCTAGTCTCTGATAAAACAGACTTTAAACCAACAAAGATCATAAAAGACAAGGGCATTACATAATGGTAAACGGATCAATGCAACAAGAAGAGCTAACTATATATACATGCTCCCAGGATCAGGAACACCCAGTTTCATAAAGTAAGTTCTTAGAGACCTACAAAGAGACTTAGACTCCCACACAATAATAGTGGGAGACTTTAACACCCCATTGTCAATATTAGACAAACGAGACAGAAAATTAGCAAAGATATTCAGGACTTGAACTCAGCTCTGGACCAAGTGGACCTAATAGACATCTACAGAACTCTCCACCCCAAATCAACAGAATACACATTCTTCTCAGCATCATATTGCACTTATTCTAAAATAGTAAAACACTCCTCAGCAAATGCAAAAGAAAATCATAACAGTCTCTCAGACCACAATTCTAATTGCAGTCAAATTAGAATTCAGAATTAAGAAACTCACTCAAAATTGCACAACTACATGGAAACTGAACAGCCTGCTCCAGAATGACTACTGGGTAAATGATAAAATTAAGGCAGAAGTAAATAAGTTATTTGAAACCAATGAGAACAAAGACACAACATATCAGAATCTATGGGACACAGCTAAAGCTGTGTTTAGAGGAAAATCTATAGCATTAAATGCCCACAGGAGAAAACGAGAAAGGTGTAAAATCGACATCCTAACATCACAATTAAAAGAACTGGAGAAGCAACAACAAACAAATTCTAAAGCTAGCAGAAGACAAGAAATAACTAAAATCAGAGCAGAACTGAAGGAGATAGAGACACGAAAAACCCTTAAAAAAATCAATGAATCCAGGAGCTGGTTTTTTGAAAAGATTAGAAAAACCAGACCACTAGCAATACAAACTGTTTTGTATTGGGAAGGCTGTTTCATCTACATTTTGTATTGGGAAGGCTGTTTCATCTACATTTTGTATTGGGAAGGCTGTTTCATCTACATTGAAAATCTGTTGATTAGTCACTTCCATTAATTATCTTAGCTAGATCTTCTGGATAATTTGCTATGGTTTCTGTATCAGCACTTGCTGCTTCTCCTTGCGCTTTTATCTTACGGTGATGAATTCATTCCTTAAACTGCATTAACCAGCCTCTGCTAGCTTCAAACTTTTCTTCTGAACTCTGAGCCTTCATAGAATTGAGGAGAGTTGGGTTCTTGTTCTGGATTGGGTATTGGCTTAAGGGAATGTTGTGACTGATTTGATCTTTTATCCAGATCACTAAAACATTCTCCCTATTAGCAGTAAGGCTGTTTTGCTTTCTTAACATTTGTGTGTTCACTGGCGTAGCACTTCTGATTTCTTTTGATAATATTTCCCTTGCATTCACAGCTTGGCTGTTTGGGTTAAGAAGCCTAGCTTTCTGCCTATCTCGGTTTTAGATGTGCCTTCCTCACTATGCCTACCTATTGTTTCTAGCTTTTGATTTCAAATGAGATACCTGTAACTGTTTTCATTTGCACACTTAGAGGCCATAGTAGGATTAATAGGCTTAATTTCAGTATTGTTGTGTCTCAGGGAACAGGGAGGCCTGAGGAGAGGCCTCCCTGTTCCCTGGGGATGGCTAGTTGGTGGAGCAGTCAGAACACACACATTTATTGATTCCTTTTTTTCTCTAATGTTCATTTTCTAGTTACATATTTTAGCAGTGGAAGGTATCTTAGATAAAGCCTGTTATTTTACTTAAGGTGAAAATGAGTGTTCATGGTCATGGAACACGTTTTTTTTTGATTTAGGATGATAATCCTGCCAGTAGTTTTAAAATCCATTAGAAAACCTTGCTAAGATAAGAGTAATTTTGAGGCTAGGCCAAGGAGAACAGAAAATATGGCTGGGAAAGGGAAACAAGATGAACTTGGACCAGATGTGCTCAGAGTGGAGGTTGCATTAATAGGATATCAGTTTGTCCCTTCCCAACCTTTGGATGTAGGGTAAAAGACATCTCTCAAGAATCTTTCCCTGAATTCCACCCCATCTGCTTCCTGACTAGGAAAGGCCCCTACTAAATGATCCCCTGGGACCTGCACCACTGCTTAGTAACTAACACTTTTCATATTCATAATTATTTGTTTGGTGACTGCATGCTCTTCTAAAATAAAAGCCCATGGCTAAATGGAGACTGTTTGGTTCACCCTTAATTGCCACCGTAACACAGTGCCTGTTGCCTGGTAAATAACTGCTGGTTAATAGGCTGCAGTGCTATCAGTTTAAATAAAAGGATTGGTTGATTACATTTACACAAGTGAAGAAGATAAGGGAAAGCATAAATACTTTTAGATTTGGTAATAAAGACAGTGTCTTCCCTCTTATTGATCATTTTGGTTCTTAGATTTTGATAAGCAAGACTTGTCATCCTATTTTAGCTTTATAATGTAAAGTTCTCTATTTAAATTTTTTTCAGGTCCATAGTACTGGTATGAGTTAGGAAAAAATGAAGTTAATCTCTAATAAACTGTTGAATGTAATAAGAAAATCCAAAGTCATTCCTAGTAGCAATCTCTACTGAAAGGATCTGAGGATAGACCTAGGATATTTTCATCAGAATCTCTTGTAATATTAAGATAATTCTTTTGTAGAGTTTTCCGTCTGATGAAGGTTGGCCATTTGCAAAGTATCTTGGAGCTTGTGGAAGAATGGTGGCTGTAAATTATGTTGGAGAAGAACTGTGGAGTTACTTTAATGCGCCATGGGAAAAACGAGTTGACCTCGCTTGGCAATTAATGGAAATAGCAGAACAGCTTACAAACAATGACTTTGAATTTGCACTCTACCTCCTGGACGTCAGCTTTGACAATTTTGCAGTTGGTCCTAGAGATGGGAAGGTAATCATTGTGGATGCTGAAAATGTTTTGGTTGCTGACAAAAGATTAATTAGACAAAGTAAGTATATAATTTTAGATTTTTTTCTACTCATTTTTTCCTATGTCAAAATAATGTTTATACTTGTATGAAATGAGCCTTGAATTTCCTCCTTAGATGGCAACTTTAAGCGTCTTTCTTTGCTTTATATGACCACTGTCAATAAACAAATACAGATACTCTTTGACTTACTGGGGGTTACATCTTGATAAACCCGGTGTCAGTTGAAAATATTGTTATTTGAAATATATCTAACCTACGGGACATCATAGCTTAGTCTTGCCTACCTTAGACATACTCAGAACACTTACATTAGTCTAAAGTTGGGGGAAATTGTGTAAAACAAAGCCTATTTATAATAAACTGTTGAATATAATTATATTCATGTAATATATTGAATTCTGTACTGAAAGTGAAAAACAGAATGGTTGTATGGGTTCTTGAAATATGGTTTGTACTTTATTTTTAACCATTTTGATGATCCCTGGCACTGCAGCTCTGAGTTTGGTTTGACATTCTGATTATTACATCTCACCCAAAACTTTGCTCTCCATTTACTTTTGAGTTCTTCATGGGATAGATGAGTAGTGTCTGAAGTGTTTTGAAAATTAAATGCCGGCCGGGTGCGGTGGCTTACGCCTGTAATCCCAGCACTTTGGGAGGCCGAGGCGGGCGGATCACGAGGTCAGGAGATCGAGACCATCCTGGCTAACACGGTGAAACCCCGTCTCTACTAAAAATACAAAAAATTAGCCGGGCGAGGTGGCGGGCGCCTGTAGTCCTAGCTACTCGGGAGGCTGAGGCAGGAGAATGGCGTGAACCCCAGGGGGCGGAGCCTGCAGTGAGCCGAGATTGCGCCACTGCACTCCAGCCTGGGCAACAGCGAGACTCCGTCTCAAAAAAAAAAAAAAAAAAAGAAAATTAAAGAAAATTAAATGCCATAGAAGTTGTAAAGCATCAAGAACAAAGCCTGTAGGTCTAGAACCAATTCAGTTAGCAAAACCAAAGGGTTGTTGCTCCATGGTGAGGGTTTTATATTTTTTAATCCCCTCTTTCCCCCTGATAAAAGTAATATGAGTATCTTTTGACAAACAAAGGCTGAAAATTTACGGCACCTGGGGAAAAGTTTATGTGACAGCCATATATTAGGTTGACATTTACTTTTTGCATGATCTTGGCATGATCCTATTAAATACTTGATTTTTCCCACTCCCTTTTTCAGATTTTATACTTACCAGACCACTTTTCTGATTATTTCTTGACTTGCCATGTAGATCCTCCTACAGGAAGTGAACACCCTGCTGGAGTATTCTACTCTCTATTTACCTCTTCCTACATCTGTGAATATTGTAGCAGCGTATACTATTCTTTCTTTTTTAAAGTGTACACAAGCAGGTGGTTTTTAGTATATTCATAGAGTTGTGCAATTTTCCTAAGCTTAAAAAAATTATTTCAGTGTTTATAACAATAATTTTTTATAATTCATTTTATGCAGACATTCCTGGAATAATTATTACTAATTCCTGACCTTAGATGAATCCAGCCATATAGCTTCTGTATTCTTCCATTTCATACAGTGAGCATTGCTCTAGTGCTGCTTTAACTGTGGTCATTTCTTTTCAAATGTCTCATGGGTCCTCTAAATAGTCACTTTGCAAAAGTCTCTGTCTGTTCATTTACTCTCTTTTCTTTCCACTTTCTAGTAAATGACCTTTATTTTATTTCTTCACAGGGAAATTGAGATTTTGCTGTGGCAACTCCCCCAGTGTCCTTTATCATCTAAACCTCATTAAAACAGCAACAGATAGATTCTTCTTTGAGAACTTGTTACATCAGTTATCTTCTTCAGTGTCCCACCTCCTTCCTTTAATATCCAACTTCTCTTGCCTTCCTATAAAAAGTATATATAAGACTCTCTTCTGCTTCTCCTTGCTTGTCCACTGTTTTTAAAAGTATTTATTGCCTTTCTGCTTCCTCAGCCTCTATTCATTCCTTAGTCCATTAAAACCTGACGTAGACCTCTGCCTTGCCATTAGCAACCACCTAATTGGCAAATTTGTGAAGTGATTGTGACTAGTATCAACTTCTCGAAGTTGTTTCCTCCTTTGGAATAGTAACCTTCCTTCTTTTGGAATAGTAACCTTCAAAAAACATTAACTTACTACTCCTTTGCTTAAATGGTTCTAATGACTTCCCATTGTTCTGGAAGTAAAATCCAAACACCTTAAAGCCAGGGCATAATCTGTAATCTGTGTGACTTGGCCCTCTTCTGATCCTTTTTTTTTTTTCTTTTTTGAGACAGGGTCTCTGTCACCCAGGCTGGAGTGCAGTGGTGTGATCACGGCTCACTGCAGCCTTGACCTCCCTGGCTCAAGTGATCTTCCTGCCTCAGCATCCCAAGTAGCTGGGACTACAGGCACATACCACCATGCCTGGCTAATTTTTAAATTTTTTGTAGAGGGTGGGATCTCGCTGTGTTGCCTAGACTGGTCTCAAACTTGTGGGCTTAAGCAGTCCTCCCACCTTGGCCTCTCAAAGTGCTGGGATTACAGATGTGAGCCACCCCGCCCAGCCTGTGTATATATGTGTTTTTCGAGTGCTTCATTTTTAATACCCCTCCATCTATTGCCCTTGGTGCTTCTGCTACAATGGCCTCTTGTTTTCCTGAATGAATCGGCCCACTTCTGGGCATTCCCAGTTTCCTCTTCCAAAAATGTCTCTTCCTTCTTCCCTATACAGCTAGCTATTTGTTTTTCAAGCCTTGACTCCTTCAAGTACATGTGTGCTTATGTGTTCTCAATTTGCCTAATATCCCTCTTACCTCAAAATCATAAGTTTCAAGTCTAGTTCTAGTTGTACATATGACATGCCCACCTAATACCTTATAGCTCCTTTATATTTATTTTGTTTATATATAAAATATTGACACTATTATGGCAATTGTACATACCTTGTCATCCAATTAGAACCTTAAACTTTACCCATATACTTAATTATTTTTGCCTGAAATGTTTCTCCAATCTAGCTTTTCATTCTGGGCCATCTATAGTTGCTCTCATGATCTTAATCCTTCCAATCTTCAGCCCAGAGTTATCTTTCTATAAAATAAATTATGGTCGTGATTACACAAGTTACGACCTATTTTTCTAGCGTCACCTGTATCTCCTTGCCAACTACGTTTCTCACACTCTAGCCACAGTGAACTTATTGCTTCGTGAACCAAATGGAGCAATCCCTTATGTCCATGTCTTTGCATATACTGTGTCCTGAACCTAGAATGCTATTTTTTCCTAGTTTCTTTTCAGATTTGTTTTCTTTTAAGACCTAAATCAGATGTTCTCCTTTTTGCAGCCTTCTACAGCCCCAGGGACAAGTGCTAATTTAATTCCCCACTATTCCTGTAGCATTGTGTCATATTTCTTTATGGCACTTTCTGTGTATGATGGAAAGTCGCTAGACTAAACCTGTAAGTGGTAGAGACCTTTCTGAATCTTTCTGCCTAGCGTTAGTGGGCTCCCAGTGAATGTTTGTATGAATTTATATATTTAAATGTTTATGGTTATAATATACTTTTACCTAAAAGTGTAGAACAAATACTATTAATTAGTGAAATATTCTATTTTTGGAAGCAATGAAAACTATTTAAAAAATTTTTTTCTACTTCTGCTTTTCCTCCTTTCACAGATAAACCTGAAAATTGGGATGTATGGTATGAAAGCAAGTTTGATGACTGTGATAAGGAGGCTTGCTTATCATTTTCAAAAGAAATTCTTTGTGCTCGTGCCACTGTGGACCACAATTACTATGCTGTTTGTCAGAACCTCTTATCCAGACATGCCACCTGGCGTGGCACTTCTGGAGGACTCCTTCATGATCCACCAAGTGAAATTGCCAAAGATGGCCGGCTCGAGGCCTTGCTGGATGAGTGTGCCAACCCAAAGAAGCGCTATGGCAGATTCCAGGCTGCAAAAGAACTGCGTGAATACCTAGCACAATTAAGTAACAACGTGAGGTAGTCTATGGTGAACTTTTCTTTTTTTCTCCATTTAAACAGCACTGGCTAAAACTAAACCACCAAAAAACGATCTGAAAAAATGAAATTTGGAAGTGTTACATTCAGAGGATGATAAACTTGCACTGATAGATCTTAATGTTAACATCCATCAAAATAAGACATTACTTCAAAAATCACATGATGCTTCTGCAAATAAGTATGTTCTTATACTTTGGAGGCTTGAGCTGTCATCAGCTGCTCCCCACTACCCCGGAATGCTTGAGTGGATTAATGAATATTGTTAAGCTATTGGAAATGAGTCTGATAGTACATTGGCTTGTGTATCAAAGGGTACTTGGTACTTAGTTTGCATTTACTATCATGATTTTGTGAATCTCTTGCATTTACTTTGAATGTCAAGTCAGATTGGTCTGTTTTATAGGCCGCTTTTTCCTTCTGATGTGTAGGGTTTTTTCCCCCTTTTTTTTTTTAATTAAATTTTGAAAATTCAGGTTACTGTAGGTGTTCATTTAAATTTTTAATAGTTGTCATTCAGTGCTATTTGGTACATATTTACTGTTAGGGCAGGATTCCCAGGTTTACTGTGTTTTTTTTTTTTTTTTTTAAAGAAAGCTAAATATTACATTATGTAAATACTTCTTTTCACCAACTTCTGTAGTTTCACCATTGCATGGTGTCATTTCAGGTTATTTAACAGTTATATCCCTCTATGCCAATAATTAGAAGTGTACACTAAACATGAAGTTTGGCATATGTTGCAAAATGTCATTTTATCTTTTCTAAAGGCTTTAAGAAGAATATACTAGAATCTATATATTGATGTTAATTTTGATTCAGAAAAAAAATACAACCCAGTATCTAAAAAGTGTTAACTAGTCCAAGATAGTAATGCATATGCCAAAGAAATATTACACCTAATCTCATGTTTAGAATTTAAAATAGAATTGGTCAGCTACTTATTCTTACCACCCTACTTCCAGTATTTTAGCTCTGTCATTATTAAATTCAGATCTTCCTGATTATTTTTTCTGTTGAAAGTTAAACTACTGCTTTCAAGTAATTTAAAGTTATCCTACCTTTTATTCATGGGTAGTTTTGCAAAATTAACATGGTAGCCATTGTTTGAATTTAATCGGGCATCATAACTTTTCATTTATTGAGGAACTAATCATTATTACTATAAAGCATACAAATTAGCCAGTCAGCACACTTTGGTCTTCTTTACCTAAGGGTTAAACATCAGAACATCAAATTTAATTATTTGCATAGAAATGTGTGGGCTCTTTATATAAGTTGACTATCACTAACAGGTAATATTTTTCTGTTTGAAGTTGTTACTTTTGTTTACAGCAAAGTTTGATGTAGTGTGCAGTAGTGAGCTCTAGACTGATCTTTTTCTAAATCAGAAAGTGATTAAAGTATGCACAACCAAAGGCAGGTTTTTCTTTTTCATTTATTCAGCAACTATTTATTAAGCATCAACTCTGTGCCAGGCACGTTACTAGCTGCTACATACTGTCTGAACATGACATACGGTTAAGTAACTTTACAATTATTATCAAATACTTCAATGTAGATATTTCTTAAGTTGAAATAGCATTAACTAGGATAATGCTTTCATGTTATTTTATTGTCTTGTGATAGAAATTCAACTTGTACCATCTAAAACTAGGTTGCTATAAAAATAGGAGGATGAAGTCAATAAAGTTTATGCCAGTTTAAAAACTGGAAGGAAAAGGTAAGAGCTCTCCATTATAAAATAGTTGCATTCGGTTAATTTTTACACATTAGTGCATTGCGTATATCAACTGGCCCTCAATGAAGCATTTAAGTGCTTGGAATTTTACTAAACTGACTTTTTTGCAACTTTGGGAGATTTTTGAGGGGAGTGTTGAAAATTGCCAAACACTCACCTCTTACTCAAAACTTCAAATAAAATACACATTTTCAAGAGGGAGCACCTTTTATATTTGATAAGTTTTCATTATAAACCTTATAATACCAGTCACAAAGAGGTTGTCTGTCTATGGTTTAGCAAACATTTGCTTTTCTTTTTGGAAGTGTGATTGCAATTGCAGAACAGAAAGTGAGAAAACACTGCCAGCGGTGATTGCTACTTGAGGTAGTTTTTTACAACTACCATTTCCCCTCCATGAAATTATGTGAAATTTATTTTATCTTTGGGAAAAGTTGAGAAGATAGTAAAAGAATTAGGAATTTAAAATTACAGGGAAAAATATGTAAGTGAAAAGCAATAAATATTTTGTTCACTTTGCTATCAAGATGTTCACTATCAGATATTTATTATATGGCAGCAATTTATATTTTTAATCATTGCCCATTAATAGACGCAGTAAAATATTTTTGAATCAGACATTTGGGGTTTGTATGTGCATTAAAATTGTCTTTTGTACTGTAAGTTACTGTTAATTTGAATATTTTATTGAACTGTCTCCCTGTGCCTTTATAATATAAAGTTGTTTCTACAACTTTTAATGATCTTAATAAAGAATACTTTAAGAATCACACTTTTCAGACTATTTCTTAACTTCAGATATCCACATTTTTCTTGAGTGGAAAGTGAGTTTGAGTAGATAAGTTACTAGTTTCCTCTTGCATGCACTTTAATTAGAATTTTGAGGGAACTATCTGATTGGGTGTGCACCAGGCTTTAAGGTTATGTGTGTTTTCTTTTTCTGTAGTAGTGAGTTTTTAAAAAACTTTTACCACTAAAATGGAATTAAAAGAAAAACTTCATTATGGAAATTTTCAAATGTATGCAAGAGAATAACATAATGAACAGTAGTATATCATTACACTAACTTCAAAAGTTAACAACATGTGGCAAAACTAGTTTCATCTCTAAACTACTTGCTTCCAGCTTATTTTGAAGCAAATCTGAGATGTATCATTACATCTCAGATTTATATTACGCATTTTCTCCTAGTAAAACACAATACTTTTTTTTTTTTTTTTTTTGAAACTGATTCTCGCTCTGTCACCCAGGCAGGAGTACAGTGGCACGATCTCGGCTCAGTGCAACCTCTGCCTCCCGGGGTCAAGCGATTCTTGTGCCTCAGCCTCCCGAGTAGCTGGGATTGCAGGTGTGCCCACCACCACGCTCGGCTAATTTTTATATTTTTTGTAGACACGGGGTTTCTCCATGTTGGCCAGGCTGGTCTCAAACTCCGTACCTCAAGTGATCCGCCTGCCTAGGCCTCTCAAAGTGCTGGGATTATAGGCATGAGCCACCGCGCCTGGCCTCACAATACTATTTTTACATCTAAAAAATTACAATAAAAACTCAGTATCACCAAAGCAGGAAAACTTAAACACCATTGTTTTTCTCAGAAACTCTGGATCCAACTGCAGGGATTCTGAACCACTGGCTGTATACATGGAGCAATTTCATGATCAGTAAGACTAATAACTGAAATTGATTCTAACATGTTGTTATAAATATGTAAACCTATGCATTCAAAATGCTACTAAAACCAGCAACCAAAAACAACAAACTACCTTGGTAACCTTCGAAAGGATATTGAAAAAATCATTCTGAAAACTGCTAAATCGGAGAAAAAGAAACATTTATCTTGCCTTACCTCAGGATGATCAAATTATGAAGGGAAAATTTTGTTGACTACGTAGAATTATTTCAATTAACAAATGCAGAAGAAGTGTTAGAATATCGCTGTTTTTCAATTCCCATTAATTTGACAAATCTAAGCAATGATCATCAATGGCTTCAGAGGCTATTAGTTGAAAAACTGATAAAAAACCTTGTAAGGATAGATGAGAATGGCAACACCGGAACCCACTGGTCAATCTTACAGTAGTGTGCCTTCTGATAAGACTCAGCAGGTACCCAGCACTACCTATGAAGTGTTCGGCCAAAAGACAAAAACCCTGAATCGAATCAAGCTCCTACACCTATCTGTAAATGGAGAGTGAACAGCACAAAGGAACACATTAAAGAACACCATGGGGGCGCAGCCAACAAAATTCTGAACAGGCGATTCTACAGGATAAATAACTTAGTTTTCTTTAACAAGTTGTAGGGAAAAGGAGGAGGGACCATTAAAAGATTTAAGAAACACAAAAATGCAAGTGTTACCTTTGTATACTGATTTGAATAAATCAACTTTTTGAAAAAGTTGAAATTTGAACAACTGAACAATAAGGTGAATGTCTTGGGTAAGCTCATCCATTTTAATTTTGCATCTCGTCATGTAAAAAAAACCACAAAGTAGCTACTTTATATTAAGTCATAGTTTACTAATTTATATTGTTAACTGTAAGTTTAAATTTTTGATAAGAATATTTAGTAGGGTTCCTTTTTTTTTTTTTTCCCCCAAAGATTATTTGCCTCTAGTCACAAAAATAGGTAGTGGTAGAGCTGGTGTTCAGTGTTCTGATTGATTTTTTGATTGACTTCACCAATTTTTCTACTGCCCGAGTTCTTCAGCTTGAAGTCCCAGAAGTATATAGTTGAAGGTAAAATCGTATAATTGTAAAGAAAAAAAATCATTTCTTCAATTATTATAAAGTAGGGGAAGGGAAGATTTGGGAAGGCAAGGAGAGGTAGAAGAATCTCAGGTGACATACAAGATAAAAAAGGGTTAGAGGAGGGTTGAAGAGGGTAGAAAATGAGAGAACTAACATCTCATGAAAGGGTAAGATCTTGTTCCCTTTGACCTCAAAACTTGAGGCTTCTCACATATGTATACAAATGATTTAGATTACTCTTCTCAACATGGATCTACTAATGTATTCTATCTCTAGGGATCTACCTCGGCCTTTTCTTTCCCCTTATCTATGAATATTGTTGAAACTGCAGGCCATGCCTTGTACCCTAAGTTCTAAGAGTATAGACTTGTAAAAAAACAAAACAATACAAAAACTACCTCTTAAGGTGACAGATGATTAAAAATATGCTTGACAGTTATTCAATCAGGCTTGTTATTTTGTTAATTTTAGCCTTCTTTTTCTATCTGTATGTCAGATGTCTATGTAACTTAGTATATTGAAAGAGGTCACCTATAGGTTATTAGATGAAGATAGGAGTAGCAGATGCAGTGCTCTTTTAGTATTTCATTTTAATCCTGGAACAAAACCAATGGTGCTCCAGTATCATTAAGTGAACTAATTTATTTATTTATTTTTTGTACTTGAAGTCATTGATTACTGGTTTTAGTTTCTTGTCATATGTCTTCATTTTTTTTTTTAAAGCTACTCTAACTATACTCAACAGTATCCTAAGGACTCCATGTAAATTGTTTTTCCATTTTTTGAAGAATCACTTAGTAATATTTTTGGGTGGGGAGGAGTGGTAAGGAAAACATACCCACTCTCATTTATTTTCTGAGACTTACCTTAAAAGGTGTGTTTTCAATAGTGCCATCAGCAATTCGGAAAGGCAACTTTTTAGAGTTGCTTTTTACAACAATGCCTATATATTTATAGTAATACCATGGATTGAGTTTCTTTGATTTTTTTGTCTCATTGGGACACTATGTATATTTCTGTGGTTTTTTAATATTATGACTTCCTGACAAATTAATTTCAAATATTTGGGGAAGGAGAATCGGATTACAGGCAGGTTTTGGTCATACAAACCTAAATAGATCGGTGTACTTTTTGTGAGATGTAATGCAGTTTTGAGGATATTTCTCTATCTCCCTCTAGCAGTATTTTTTAAAGTCATTGCTGTCATTAAAACCATAAATAGAAATCTCAAACAGTTGGCACTCATTTGTTTTCAAGAGAGAGAATATTTCTCTGATGCCATTTAATAAAAGGCAGTTAAAAAGAGGAAACAGACATCTTTGAACTACTTAAAATGAATGCTTAGATGTTTCTGAGAGGGAGAGTTTGAATCTCTTCTTTGACACTTGCCACCTGTGGCCCTAGACAAATCATTTAACATCTGTGAGACAGTTGTCCACACACAGAATTTCCTCTTTGACCCTACTACAGGGTCACTGGACAGATGGGGTAATGTATAGGAAAACACTTTGTAAGCTGTGAAGTGCTATACAAGAATAGTTTAATAATAAATAAACATTGATGGTTTGCCCGGAGAAAAAGAAGGGACTTCATTCAAGGATTAAATAATTGGTTTCTTGCTAGCTGGCAGGGCACAGCCACCAATGACTTTTACCTCTTTATAATTCAAGACTGTAAACTAGTTGTATCAGGGGAGAGGCATTCAGCAGATACTTTTAGAAAACTTCCTGTGATTTAGATGAATTTGCCAAAGATATGATTTGGTGTGAAGATTTTAAGTTTCCAATTCTTAGCATTTCATAGGATAAGCATTTATAATTAGCTGGGGGAAAAATCATGCGTTTTGAGGGGAGGAGGACTGTTGAAGACTATTAGTATTGTCAAATTATTCTTGAAGTTAACATCTTTTGTTGAAATATCAAAAGTAAGGAAAAATGTTACCATAAGTAACAATATTTATGGTATTATAAATTTATATACATATTAAGTATATATAAATTCATAAGTTATACTTAAGTATATAGTTATATTAAGTAAGTTATAGTATATGAAACCAGTAAGTCTAACTTAAATGTTAACATCCTCAAAAGAAAAAACACAATAGAAACTAACATGGCAAAATGTGCAAGCTCATTAAAAATCAAATAATGGGTCACTCCATTTCTACCCTCATTGGAAGGAAACAGTACCAGTAAAAATGGTAGAGAATCAGATTGAGTTTTCCTCCTTGGCTTAGCAGAACGTGTGTCTTCGGCAAGGAGGTGGTGGAGGGACCAGGGGTGCTATAAGGCAAAGAGAGAAATCCTAGGGTGGATCCAGACACTTCTTTGCCCTTTTAGATGCCTATACTAAACAAAACTCCAAAAGAAAAACAGGCTGGAGTTGGCCTGTGGGTCATAATTTGCCAACCTACATTCTAAATTATTGCATAGTATTTGTGCATAAAAATATGACATACTTCATTTAATCATTTCTCTGGTTTATGTCCAACTTTTAAGTATTAAACATGCTGTTATGAATATCATTATGCAAATAACCCTGCACATGTATGAGTACTTCTGCAAGAAGTGAGAGGTCAAGTACATGTATGAGTACTGCAAGAAGTGCAGGTCAAAATGTGCATTTTTTTTCAGATTTTTATTTTGAGTTTAGGAGTATGCGTGCAGGTTTGTTATATAGGTAAACTTGTGTCACAGGGGTTTCTTGCACATATTATTTTGTGACCCAGGTACTAAATGTATACCCAATGGTTATTTTTTCTGCTCCTCTTTCACCCTTCTCCCTCAGGTAAGCCCCAGTGTCTCTTGTTCCCCCCTTTGTCCATGTGTTCTCATAATTTAGCTCCCACTTTTAAGTGAGAACATGCAGTATTTGGTTTTCTGTTCCTGCGTTAGTTTGCTAAGGATAACAGCCTCCAGCTCCATCCATGTTCCTGCAAAGGACATGATTTCATTCTTTTTTATGACTGCATAGTATTACATGTGTGTACCACATTTTCTTTATCCGGTCTACCATTGATGGACATTTAGGTTGATTCCATGTCTTGCCTATTTTGAATAGTGCTGCAGTGAACATACACATGCATGTGTCTTTATGATAAAATGGTTTATATTCCTGCAGGTATATATCCAGTAATGGGATCGCTGAGTTGAACAGTAGTTTTGTTTTCAGCTCTTTCAGGAACTGCCACACTGCTTTCCACAATGGTTGAACCAGTGTACACTCTCACCAACAGTGTGTAAGCATTCCCTTTGCTTTGCAACCTCATCAGCATCTGTTATTTTTTGACTTTTTAGTAATAGGCATTCTGACTGGTGTGAAATGGTATCTCCTTGTGGTTTTGATTTGCATTTCTCCAATGATAAGTGATATTGAGCTTTCTAAAATATGCTTCTTGGCTGCATGTATTTCTTCTTTTGAAAAGTGTTCATGTCCTTTGCCCGCTTTTTAATTTTTTTTATTTTCTTGTAAATTTAAGTTCCTTATAGATGCTGGATATTAGACTTTTGTCAGATGCATAGTTTGCAAAAGTGTTCTCACATTCTGTAGGTTGTTGTTTTTACTGTGTTGATAGTTTCTTTTGCTGTGCAGAAACCCTTTCATTTAGTTAGATCCCATTTGTCAATTTTTGCTTTAGTTGCAATTAGGCCTGCATATTTAATCATGTAAGTTACTTCCAAATTCTCCTCCAAAGATCTTTGCCAACTTAGACTTCCAAAACAGTGTATGAGAATGGGCTTCTTATAGGCTGTGCCAATACTGGCTATTGTTGGTTTATTTTTATAAATATTACCAATATTACCTGTAAAACAGGTAACCTTGCAACTGCTTAGTTTGCAATTGCTTAATTTGTTCATGAGGTTCGAAAGAACTAATAACATCCACTTACTTTCCTCCTTGATTTAGAATAAGAAACGGATGTAGGAATTAAGAAGCTAGGGAATATCGTCTATGCTGTTGTTAAAGCTGTTATTGTGGTTTATATCCAAGGTAACGATAGTTTTCTTAATACTGTGTCCCAGAATTAATCGTCTCCACTTTTGTCAGAGTGGGGAAACCACAGACCTTCTGCCATTGGCAATCTCCCCTTGAGAAATATACATGAAGAAGCAGAGAATTTGTGATTCATGAGACAGTCATCCTAAAAGGGAAGCGAAAGTGACCGACTGCATGTGCCCAGTTCCTTTCCTCAAATTCACCCATTAGATAAGTCATTGGTGAAAGGGAAAATACAGATTGGGAGTCCTACTTGTAGGAAGTCCTTCCACTCGAAAACTTGAGAAGTAGAAAGTCATTATCTTCCCCTAATCTTAGCTCCAAACTTCATGAGGCTCACCATCTCTCCCATGAGTTTGATCGCCATGTAATTTTTTTGTGAACTGCTTGTTTTATCTGTTTCCCATCCTAAAAGCAGTTGTGGTGAGTTCTTATCACTTAGAATTTTTATTTTATACTTACTAAAAGAGCTAATTTAAACTCTTTTGTTTATCTAAAAGGGAAAATATAAGCGAAAACAAAATGGTTAAAGTATTTGCAAAACATTCTATGTTGAGTTCACCTACTCTCTTGACTCACTTTTAGGTTTTCTGTCTCACGTAATGATGTTGCCATTATGGCAAAAACAGCAATTACTTTTGCGCCAACCTAATACAATGAGGGGGCATCAATTACGTTCACAATGTTGTGTAACCATCACCACTATCTATTTCCAATATGTTTTATCATCCCAAACAGAAACTCTGTACCCAGTAAGCAATAATTCCCCATTTTTCCTTTTTCTAGCACCTGATAATTTCTAATCTACTTTCTGTCTCTATGAGTTTGCCTAGTCTAGATATTTCACGTGAGTGAACTCATACAACACTTTTCCTTTTGTGCCTGGCTTCTCTTGTTGAGCATAATGTACCATATTTTGTTTATCTGCTTATCTGTTAATAGATACTTGGTTTGTTTCTACCTTTAGGCTATTGTGAACAATGCCACAGTGAATCCTGGTGTATAGGTTATCTGTTTGAGTCCCTGTTTTCAATTCCTTGGGAGTGGAATTGCTAGGTTGTATGATAATAATACATTTAACTTTTTGAGGAACCCCTAAACTGTCACACATCTTTTATCTCTAACATATGATTAACACTGTGGGGATGAGAAGGAATTTGTCCACCCTTGCTGCAGTGCTAGTAAGGAAGTGGCACTGACTATGAGCGAATTGGGAGTGATCCATCTCTCAACAGTATACATGCAGGTTTGTCTTATTTGTCTTACAGTTGCAAGAGCTGCCAGAGGTTATTCAATTACATCTTTAGAAACAAAGACACTGTTGTAAGTAAATCTAAGGAGTAGGCCTATGCCCAGAGATACTGAACAATTCATTTTTTAAAGGTTTGAAATGGTAGGTGGGAAAGCATTAAATGACTACTTGAGGAAGGGAGAGAGATTGAGAAACCACAGGCATCATTTGGGGCTTGTAAAGGGAAGAGGCTAGTATGAGGAGGTGGAGAGAGAAGAAACAATTACTTTAGATGTATAAGCATCCATATACCCATATAACAAACCTGCACATTTAACCTCAAATCTAAAATAAAAGTTGAAATTATGAAAAATAAAGAATACCACTCCTCACAAAGCACACTCTAAGTGACAGACATTGTGCTACATAATTTAAAGCAAGATAGGTATGCTATTTTCACTTTACATATAAAGAAACTATGGACCTAGAGATTAAGTGACTTGTCCAAGGCTGCAGAGCCAGTAAGCTGCCAAGATGGTATTCGAATTCAGGGTTCTCTGGTTCTTCATGCCCCCAAGCCCTTTTTACAATGCCACACAAACCCTACAAGTTCCAGTAATGGAATTTGTTTTTGACCACCACTCTGTGTGCAGTTGTTTTGGGAAGAGTGAGTCCTCTCTTTTCCCTTTCAGGTTTGCACTGGGACTGGCCATTGCTCTGCTGTGAGACTGCCCAGAGTGTGTTACTCCTTTAGTGTGTCCGGTGTCTGGTTAGTGAAGCACAAAGCTTCATTCCCAAGCTCAAACTGAGCCCTTGCATTGCTGTTATTTTGCTTTCTTCTAACCTTCTCTGTCTACTTTCGGCATGGTTCAATGTATGAAGTATGTCTGCTGAGCTTGGAAGTTCTCCCTCATCAAAAAAACTGCAACTCTGCTTCACAAGGAGGCCCTGTGTTTTCACTGGAAGAAAAAAAAAAAAAGGTGGCATACAGGGGTGCCTTCCCAAAGTGCCAATATACCCCACCCCTACCCTCTCAACAGATTCCCCATTTCCCATTTTAAATAAATTTTGTCTCCTAGGAGCCATATCAAGGGGACCTCTGTCTCTGGGTTGCAACTATAACTACAGGGGTCTGCAGATCTGTTACTGTTTTCTCTTTTCCCTGCTACTCTGAGAGTTACATTTGCACAGTGCCAACACCCTATTACTTATTTATTGATAAATTGATTGTCATAACATTCTACAATACACTGCTCCCTCACAATGATTTCTACTCAAGAACCTGCATTTATTTTCTACTATCCCAAATTTACTCTCAGTTCTTCCCTCAAGACTTTTAGAAGTCAGGAGCACCAGGGTGAGGAGCAGTAGCAAGGAGCCCGGACTGAGTGCACACTCACAGGGCTTTAGGACACAGAGAGAGTGTCTCAGAGGATGCTAACTCAACAACCAGGCTGAGGTGCTGGGTAATAGTCCACAGAATTAGAAAACTTAAACATCTGTCTAAGGGATTGATTGAAAAAAAAAAGGATGGTCCCTTCATGCAGTAAAATACTATGTTACTGTTTGCCACTTAAAATGATAATGCAGATATATATTTATTCACTTAGAAACAGGAGTGTATACAGGTTTTGTGGGGCCTGAAGTTTACATAATTTAGAAACTAAGAAAAAAATAGGTTCAGATACTTGGAAAAAGCCTATGCCAATGTGGGGCTTTGAAGATAAAGCTTCATAAATATGCTTCATGAAGAAAGTAGTTTCCTGAACAGCATGTAAAATTTTGTTCTTAGTTTTTTTCTGTTCGAGATCGCAGTGGCACGATCTTGGCTCACTGCAACCTCTGCCCTCTCCAGGATCAATGAGTCTCCTGCCTCAGCCTCCCAAGTAGCTGGGATTACAGGCACGTGCCACCACGCCTAGCTAATTTTTGTATTTTTAGTAGAGATGGGGTTTCACCATGTGGGGCAGGCTGGTCTTAAACTCCTGACCTCAGGTGATCCACCCACTTTGGCCTCCCAAAGTGCTAGGATTGCAGGTGTGAGCCACCACACCTGTCCCCTGTTCTTAGTTTTAAATGCATACAAAAATAAAATGTATGTATTTATATCAGAAGAGCCTAATTGGCTATGTAGAGGACTGTTAGCCAAGGTTATCTATTGTATTTTTAATTTTGGTGTATTTATTTTCATTTTGTCTGTCTGCAATGTAGTGATTATACATGTGTATTATGTTTATGTGTCTGTTTGCATTTTGAATGTGCTTACCAACCTAACTACAGTGTTTATGGACATTTAGTCTTTAGTCTTACAGTTTCCAGTCAAAATAGTACTTTCCAAGGTGACTTACATCAGCACCTTTTCTTTAAATGCCAGTTGCTATTATCGGGAGTTGGCACTCCAGATATGACTGAGGAAACATACACTAAAGACATAATAGTTGATTGTAAAGATAGAAGGCCCAATAATTCCTCGCATCTTATGTTATACACAGGTTCCTTTGCAATGTGACTGTTCTCCTCACATCAAGAGGTAGATTCAGTTTTCTCACCCCTTGAATCTGAGACTGGATTTGTTGCTTGCTTGGGCAGATGGAATGTGCCAGAATGGTGAGACTTGTGGACCTAAGCCTCCAGAAGCCTGGCAGTTTTTGCTCTTGCCTGCTTGGCACACTGCTGCCCCTAAGAAGGAGCCTGAGGACACTCCCTGGAGACATGTGGCTCAGCCAACAGGCAACATCTACTGCCAGATATGTCCGTGAGGCCATTGTAGACCATCCTGTGTTAGCTGAACCACCTAATACCTGCAGCCACGTGACTGACCCCAGGCAAAACCCACAGAACTGCCCAGCTGAGGCAGCCTAAATTGCTAACCCACTGAACCGTGAGCATATAAAATGGTGGTTGATTTATGCTTCTATCTCTGTCTTTAAGGTTTGGTGTAGCAGTATATAAATGATCCTGGCACTAACCCAGCCTGGGCATTTTTTCATGTTCAAGGAAGTTCTTATAACTTACCCCACACAAGTTTTTAGAATATTTCCAATAAGGCTATAATCAGCTAACTTAAAACTCTTGCAGGTCACATGATAAACAATGCTACTATTTATACAAATATGAAGTCAAACAATTTTGAAAATTTCATGTTGAATGTATTTCAAATATGAATTTCAAGCAGATTTATATTTGAAAGTATTTTGTTTAATTTTACCCATTTTATTTTGTTGAGACATTTAAATCTTACATGATTTTCATAAAGATTCCTGATGCTGGATCTTTAGAATATCGGAAGATAGCCAGAGGTTCCATTTGTAAGTAAGTGGCTAGATAGAACTTCCACCTCGTAGCATTTCCTCAACCATCATGACCCCTGTTCGGCTTTTTTGCAAATTTAATTTTAATTTTTTGGTTCAGCTTTAAAATTGGAAACTTTCTGGCTGCGTGTGGTGGCTCACCCCAAAGTGCTGTAATTGCAGCACTTTGGGAGGCTGAAGTGAGCAGATCACTTGAGCCCAGGGTTCCAGATCAGCCTGGGCAACATGGTGAAACCCCATCTCTACAGGAAATATAAAAATTAGCTGGGCATGGTGGCACACACCTCTAGTCCCAGCACCTCCTCAGGAGTCTGAGGTGGGAGGGATTATCTGAGCCCAGGAGGTCCAGGCTGCAGTGAGCTCTGATGGTTCCACTGCATTCCAGCCTGGGCGACAGAGCATGACACTGTCTCTAAAAAAATTAATTGAATAAAAAAAAAAAGGAAACTTTCTACACTTCCTGATTACCCTCATCTGTGTGTGTGTGTGTGTGTGTGTGTGTGTGTATATATATATATGTACATATTTTGCTTTCTCTTGTCTCAATTTGTATCTGGGTTATTATGTATTTTTTTCTGCATGTTTTCACTTGATGGTTTTGCTCTTTTTCTCCAGTATCAGCCTGGTCAGCTGAGACCCACTATGTCAGGTGAGCTAGGACAGTGCTGACACAGAACTTCTAAGAAAGGCATCCCCTTCTCTCCAGTCTTGGGGATTATCTTTTGGTACTAAAATCACATTCTCTGACACATAGACTGCCCCTGTGTATGAAGGAGCACCAAAATCCAGGCAATACTTGGATTAAGAACAATACTCAAACCCATGGCAAGGCAGCCATAGAAAGAAATGGGTATGTTACTCTTTAGTGGAGATGATTCAATAACATTGAGGGATTACAGCAGAAACTTTTAAAAATACATAACTAATTCTGCTCTTTTCAAAGTTAGAACTGGAAAAGGATGTGAGAAGTTTAGTCCAATAGTTTTTGAAATTATTATGGGCAGAGGGAAATTTGTATGCAAACAAAAACTACTGTGAATTCCCAATAGATATGGCAGATAAATACAGACCTACTCTGACTGATTGGTAGCCATCACCTCGTGCGCCACTAGGGTGGGCCCCAAAATAGGCACTTTCTCAGAACTCTATTACTCTGAAAGACAGTTTAAAAAAAAATCACTGAATCTGGTTCTTCATTTGGTACCTAAGAAAGCAGATCAGGAATGGTGAAGGTCAGTCTACTCAGGCAATTGGGGCAGTTGATGGTAGTACCTGGCCTTGAACCTTGAAGCCCTGCTTCAGTTCAGGGCTTCTTTCACATACATCCTATTTCTCATTCAATCTCCTTTCACTCAGTAATATTTCATAATTTAAATCTTATTACCAATATTTGAGGACCTCTTCTTTTACCCATTTTGTTTTGTTAAGATTTATTTAAAATGGATATGCTTTATATATCTATCATAGTAGGATAATGGATATTAAAAAGGTATAGTAAATAAAAGAAGTGGGTGAGGAAATACTTAAAACTGTAAATATTGAATTTATCTTTTTTTTTTTTGAGTTGGAGTCTCACTCTGTTGCTCAGGCTGGAGTGTAGTGGCATGATCTCAGCTCACTAAAACCTCTGCCTCCCAGGTTCAAGCAATTTTCCTGCCTCAGTTTCCCAAGTAGCTGGGACTACAGGTGCCCACCACCATACCCAGCTAATTTTTGTATTTTTAGTAGAGATGGGGTTTCGCCATGTTACCTAGCCTGGCCTCGAACTCCTGGCCTCAGGTAATCCACCCGCCTCAGCCTCCCAAAGTGCTGGGATTACAGGCATGAGCCACCGTGCCTGGCCAGATTTATCTTGTTTTTAATGGTAGCCACAATAAAAGATCTAAGTTGGAAGGTATTAAATTTCTCACTTGATTCTTTTCTTGGGATGCATACTTTTCTCAAGTACAGATATTTCAGTGAGAAATGATTTGTCCATTCTTAACTGGATTCATAAAGCTAAGTTCTGAATTATAAGTATGCTGTTACATATTGAAAATTTAGATGAATCTTGGCAATCATGGGGAACATTGTTAAGCTCTGTAGATATTCAGCAATGCTTTAGTTCCAAAAAGCTATCCAGGCTGTCAAAAACATATCTAGGTAATTTGGTCCCTGAAGAAAAAGTAATTCGTGTCATGTCTTTGGAAGAAGAAACCCTTTCCTTTGCTGTTAAGTGAACAGTTTCTTGTTTGATCCCACTTAAAATTCCCAGAAATTCTTTCTTTAAAGTATTTTTACCAAACTAATACTGTGTGGGTTAAGAAGCATTTACTTGCTGCCTTTTTTGGTGTGTTGTATGGGAATAAAAAACTATGAATTCAAGCAGTCAGTTTTTTTTTTATATTCTTCACGTATGATTTTAATAAAAATTCTAAATCTGAAGTTTGCCAACAGCTAAAAGTAATGGTCATATCTGTTTCATGTTTCTATTTAAAATACTCTTAAGTCACCTATTAGGAAATAACTCATCTTGATGAGATTACCTTGAGTTTACATGTCCCCTCATATTCAGTGCTACTTGCAAAAAATTTTATGCCTGTAGATTTTTTAGCTTTGTTCAAATTTTTGGCAAGATTTCTTTTCTGTGTGTGATTTTTGTTTTTTCTTGACAAGTTTCTGACAACCTGATGTTTAAAAAAATATATGTCTGTGATGTGATCTTCAATACTTGCCTTCACCATTTTATGTTTTGACGCTAAAAAGTTAGCTTGTACCAGGCCTTGAGCTAAACAAAATGTGTTCTCATGCATGTTGCCACATTTTGAGAGGCTGATCTCTCTTTGTAAGGCATTTCTATTTGTGGCTGAATGTACCTAGAGTTACATATGCTAGATACAGAGAAAAGGAGTTGTGGCCACAGGAACTCATCCTTCATCTACTTACCACCTGTCTTCAACAAGACCAAGAAGAAATGTTCAGCCTGTGACCAAATAAGAGACTGTTGAAAAATCATTCTTAAAAGAGGAAAAAGCGTAATCTGAAAATGTGAGACATAGTCATTAATTTTTTTGTCTGTTTACATTTCAAGTCCTCAGGAAACCAAGTTCACTTTTACCACTATAAAGTGATTTGTACTGTCTTATCATAGCTAACCATTAGTCCATTAGTTAACGATAAATTTTAGGTGGAATTTCCTAATTGTTGAGCTCTTTTCTGAAGAGTATAGGAGTGTATTTCATAACACTTCAAATGCCTCATATACTTGTTCCCTTGCATTGGCACTAGTATCAAGTGATTATATAGATTGCATTGTCCAGTATGGAAGCCATTAGCCACATGAGGCTAATTAAAATTACTTAAAATTAAATAAATAAAAAATTCAGTGCTTCAGTTACTCTAGCCACATTTTAAATGCTCAGTAGCCACAGTGGCTTGTGGCTACTGTATTGAATACTGCAGATGTAGAACATATGTCCATGTTATTTTCCTGACATGGTTGAGTAATTAAGTAAAATATATTTTAGAAGAAAGCAGTTTTGTACTTTTAAGTATAATACATTTAGATCTCTGCTTGGAAACTCTGTTTCCCTCTGTAACTTGAAAAATATTTAATACAAAGGGCCTGACAGATATGGGTATCTTTAAACAAAACTTTAGGTGAGCTAATCTTTCATAAACGTAGCCTTTCCTTTTCTTTGATTTGCTACTG
This sequence comes from Homo sapiens, assembly GCF_000001405.40. Lineage (NCBI taxonomy): Eukaryota > Metazoa > Chordata > Mammalia > Primates > Hominidae > Homo > Homo sapiens. Next base: position 144,006,576 of record NC_000003.12, read on the forward strand.
AAAGTATTTTTCCATCTAAAATGTGTTTTAATCACATTATTAAAAGTTTGAAGAAATGCTTGGATTTCCCCCTTTCTCCTCTGAGCAGCCGCCTTATAAATAAGTATGCATCTCTGGTCAGTAGTGAGATTGGTTGAATGAAAGAGAATGTTTAGGACATTTCTGTGATTTCTATTAAGAAAAAAACATTTGTGTGCTTTTCTCTGCAAAATGCAAGGATTTTGTCAAATCTTCGATAAAAATCTCTACTGTAATTTCCATATGTACTCTATGGCCTTAAAAGAACTCCTTCTCATCTTTTGCTTTATACAGTAATGTTCCACATTTAAGTACCATCTGTACCCACCTTTTAGCTCCTTTGCTTCTACTCCAAAGCTGAGTCACCATCAATATTCTTGTCGTCTTTGAGGCTAGGTCAAGCCTGGAGGACAGTATAAGAAAGATGACCAGGCTTCAGGAAGAAGCGAAGCCAGGAGTTGGAAAGCATCAGTTTCTTTCTCTCCATTTCTTGTTTCAACTTCTTGCAAGTGTACTTTTAACACAGAGCTAACTCCTGGCTGGGAAGACACCCAAAGGCAATTTCTACATAGACTTAGAGGATAAAGCTAATGGAGTTCATAGAGTGTTGGTTACTAGCAGAAGGTTGGGCCTGGGGTGGGGATCTCTTCTAATAAGAAACCTTAGGCCTTGTACTCAATACAGCAGGTCAGAAAGTCGGTGTCCATGAAATCTGATGTCTAGGAGGCCAGAGGCTTCAGGAAGGAATCGGAGGAGTATAGCACCTTACTTTCACCTTACTTCTCTTTTAATTGGGAGAAGATTTTTACCTGGGCTCCTTGTATGGCTTGTATTCAATGTCAGCTCAACTGTCACATACTCAGAGAGGCCTTTTATGACCTATTTAAAGCAACCCCCATATCACATATAAAGCACTCTGTCAAAATTACTCTGTTTTGTCTCCTTTACAAGCATTTATTTTTCTGGAATTATCTGGTTGGTTTACTTATTATTTGCTCTCTCTTTCCTCTGCCTTTCATGATGTCAGAAGTCTTTTCCAACTTGTTTTTTTTTTTGTCTCTAATAGCTAGCACAATGCCTAGCAAATTTCAGGAACACAATAAATATCTGTTCAGTGGATGACTAGGAGCACAGATTACTATTGTAGAATTGGACCTAAGATCAGTAAGTAATTCCAGGACTTAGGAAATTGCATGGTGCCTTGATGCTCTAGAACTGAGTGAAAATTTTTCTAGTCCTATCATAGGGAGAATCTCCCCTGCCATGTTTCTGGGGCCTAAAAGTACTTAATTATTACATCTGTGTTTCAGTGAAGTTGGGAAATCAAGACTTAGCCAGTTTATGATCAAATCTCAATATAGAACAGGGGAGTATGTGCTCAGAATATAGAGGGCCCTTGGGCACATCTATGCTCTATAAAGAAGGGCTCAGCTGTCTCTGACAGATTATTGTTTCACATCTATTGACTGCCTCCCAGATTCAAGGGAAGACAAATGGGACTATTGGTTAAGGAAGAAGTGGCTGCAGCTATTGTACTAGGTTTCCAATAGGGATTTTTTTTTGTCATTGTTGGTCATGGTAGTTAATGAAACAGAAATTTAAGTCATCTCTCTATATTTGAAGGATTCTATGAACAGGCAGTATATCTGCCTTTAAGCCTGAGTGTTGGTATTAGGACATAATTTTTTTCTCGTAAAGTTTGTCAACATTTCTGATGTCATGAAAGTCAAACAAGGTAATATATAGTTTTTTTTTCTTCCTTTTGGGCTTTCTGAGGAATTAACTTTATAGAAAGATAGAAATGAATCTTCATTTAAACAGAGATGTTTCTTCAAGAAGAAAGATGAAGTTTGGAAGAAGTCAGAGAAGCTGGTTAGTTGTGAGCATTAACATTTTTACTAGAACTTCAAAGCAAATGATACGTTCTGGTAACACTGCATTGGAAATGCACTGCAACCTGTAGTCCCAGCTATTCAGGAGGCTGAGATGGCAGAATCACCTGAACCCAGGAGGCGGAGGTTGCAGTGAGCCAAGATCATGCCACTACGCTCCAGCAGGGGTGACAGAGTGAGACTCCGTCTCAAAGCCACTACACTCCAGCAGGGGTGACAGAGTGAGACTCAGTCTCAAAGCCACTACACTCCAGCAGGGGTGACAGAGTGAGACTCCATCTCAAAAAAAAAAAAAAAAAAAAAAAAGAAAAGAAAAAGAAAAAGAAATGCATCAGTCTATATAACCTGAAAGTCATTTTTTTTTTCTGGAATAGTCATTTCTTTGTTTTGCTCTAAGAATAAACTTGTTTTTACAGAGCCAGAATGCATTGCTCTCTAAAGATCAAGTTTTAGCAATCTTAGACTAAACAAATGAGCTTAACTTAAGAACTTGTGGCTTTCACCACAGCTTCTTCTCCCTGTACTTATGAGTTCATTATTTATACTCTATTCTGGGGAAAATTAAGTAATGCAAGTAAGGACTGCTTATTCTAGAATATATTAGGAAAGGGGAGATTTTAGCATGTGTTCCTCCTAAGTCCTCTTAGAAGAATTTGCACTTTAGGATCATGCACACTTCCCAGGGCTGGTGTGAAAACACACTCAAAACGTTCAGGTCTTCACAGAGATATGTCAGGTACTAATCTCAGCTCTACACCCTCAGTTCCAAAGTTCTATTGAAACTGTGCTGGGTGAATCTCATTGACCTTTTAGAAAAGCCCAATGCTTATACAGAGAAGTAGGATGTAAGTATCCTAGACCCCTTTTCCTAATAATACCTTTCACTAAGGTTGAGGTATTCTGCTAGTTGGTTGATGACGGGGACTAAAGAGGCAAGACAGTTCATCGGTGGTGATTGCTAGAATGCCAGATCCAACTGAAGGGAGAGAGGAATAGGCAGAGCTGGGTTTCTTCTCTCCTGACTATACAATTTCTACATTTGGTTTCCTTCAATATCTTTTCACCAGCTTTCCACTTCCAGCTAAGATAGAATAATAGAGATTGAACTTACCCTCTTGTCAAAAACAAACAAGAAAACAAAGCAAAATATATGAAACAATGGTTTTTAAGACACTGGACATCAGGCAATGACCCAACTGTGCTGAAAAAGAAAGCTTAAGAATATTTATAGGAATACAAAAATATACAGACCCCCAAAATATAAAATTCACAATATTTGGCATCCAATCAACAACTAGCAGTCATTCCAAGAAACAAGAAGATATGAGTCATAATGAGAAAAATAATCAATGGAAACTGACCCAAAATTGGGTCAAGATAAGTACATCAAAACAGTTATTATAACTATATTCCATATCTTCAAAAAGCTAAGTAGAGTATCTTTAAAAGAATCAAATCAGACTTCAGGAGAGGAGAGCTATAATGGCTAAAATATTAAAATATAATAAATAGGATAAATAACAGATTAGACATTACAGAAAAAAAAAGATCAGTATACTTGAAGACATATAATAAAAGTCACCCAAAGTGAACGATAGAGAAAAATTAAAAAGAGCATAAGTGAAGTTGGGACAACTTCATGCAGCTTTATATGCATGTAATTAGAGTCTCTAAAGGGAGGGTAGAAAAATATCTAAATAAATAATGGCTAAAAATTTTCCGTATTTGTTGACATTTTAAACCCACAGATACAGTAAACACAATGAATTCCATACACAGGAAACCTGGAGAACAGTACAGCAAGGCTCATCATAATTAAATTACCTAAAAGGAGTGATTAAAGAAATACTTCAAAAGCAACCAAAGGAAAAAGAAAAAAATGCCATAGATGAATAAAAATAAATGGACAACAGATTCATTAATGTAACAGATTTATTTATGTAAGAATCAATGCAAAATATGTATGTCTGTTCCAGTATGGAGGGTTTTGCTGGCTTTGCTTCCTGCTTTGCCTTCTTTGACACTACTCCAAAGAGGATGTTGGAGCACCTCATTACCGCCTCACAAAGCAGGATGTCCAGGCTCCCTACTTAACTTTTGCTGGCATGGCAAAGTTTTTTTGTTTGTTTGTTGTTGTTTTTGTTTTTGTTTCCGTGGTGTTTGGGTGGAGCATAGTGATAGTTGTCTAAAGTGTTCTGTCTTGCCAGGTTCCTCCCCTCCCGATCCTTTGGGTGAAGAAGGCAGGCTTTTTGTTTGTTTGCACCCATTGGTGTTTCCGGATCACTGGTTCTTCAAACTCCACGTTTGTGATATATAGAAAAAAAGAAAACATTTAGAACTCACCAATTTATCGTTCTTTGGGTCCTGAGTTCCCTAGGCAGCCTGCCTTCTCTTCACCTTTCAGGGTCTTTTATATTTGCTTTATATAAAATGCACAGGGTTTTTAGCTGTATGTCATTGGACAAACATGAAAGATACATTTACTTCATTTTCTAGAAGCAAAAGTCTTGACAACTCATTGTTAACAAAATTGCAAACTTAAATCAGTGAAGAAAAAATAGTCTCTTCCAAAATGTTGCTGGAACATTTGGGAGTCCACATGCAAAAAAATAAACTCGATCCATAACTCACATCACATAATAAAATTATCTGGAAATGTAGATTAAAGTGTAAAACCTAAAACTATAAATTTTTAGCAGAATACATAAGAGAAAATATATATGGCCTAGGCTATTTAAAAAGTTTTTAGATATAATATCGAAAGCACAATCCAGGAAAGAACAGACTGATAAATTGTACTTCTTAAAACTTTTTCTTTTCAAAAGTTACTGTCATGAGGAAAAAAAAAAGACAAGCCACAGAAATAGACAAAATATTTGTACAGCACATATATGGTAAAGGACTTTTATCCAAAACATGTAAAAAATGCTCAAAACTCTATAAGAGAACAAGCAAATCAAAAAAAAAGGGCAAAAGATTGGAAAAGATGATTCACAAAGGAAACATACAAATGAAAAATAAGCACATAAAAAGGTACTTGTCATCATTATTCATTGGGAAAATAAGAATTAAATTGCAATGAATACTACTATGTATATATGAGACTGGTTAAAATTAAAAAGACTGACCACAGCAATTGTTGATGAGAAACTGGAACTCTCATATACCTTATGTTCACTATATAAAATTGTACAATCACTTTGGCAAACAGTGATAATTTTTTATAAAGTTAAATATGTTGTATGATTCAACTCTTCCACGTCTATGTACGTACTTAAGAGAAATAAGGCTTATGTGAATACAAACACGTGTACACAAATGCTTATAGCAACTTTATTTGTAATAGTCAAAAATGGAAAACTACTCAAATATCCACTAACAAATGAATTGATAAATTGTGGTGTATCCATACAATGGAATAGCACTCTGCTATGAAAGGAATAAACTAAAACATGCAACAAAATGGGTAAATCTTAAAATAATTTCATAGTTGCAGAAGCCAGCAAAAGAAAAAAAATACTGTTGATACAGTTGTGGGTTGAATTGTGTTTCCCAAAAAAAGATGCTGAAGTTCTGATCCCATTACATGTGAATATGACCTTACTTTGTAATAGCATCTTTGCAGTTTTATTAATAATTAAGTTAAAACTATGTCATGATAGGTTAGAATGGGCCCTAAGTCTAATGACTATTATCTTTATAGGAAGAGGGAGATTTGAAGATACAGAGGAGATAGAAGGGAAAAGGCTGTGTGAAGACAGAGTCTGTAATTAGAGTTAGGCTGCCATAAGGCAAGGAATGCCAAGGATTACTGGCAACTACCAGAAGCCAGAAGAGGCAAGGAAGGATAGATACTTCTCTAGAGCCTTTAGAGGTAGCAGAGTCCTGCTGACACCTTTCCTTCAGACTTCTAGCCTCCAGAAGAGTGAGAGAGTACATTTCTGTTGTTTCAATTCACCCAACTTGTGGTACTTTTAAAACCCTAGCCCCAGGAAACCATTGCAAGTACCTACCATATGATTCCATTTATAGACAATTTTTAGGCAATGACTGAAAGCAGATTAGTGGTTGCCTGGGGGCAGGGGTGAGGAGAGGCAGGTAGGGAGCAGAAGGAGAGATTTCAAAAGCGCATGAAGAAACATGATGTTCATGGATATATTTATTATATCTTGCTTGTGATGATGGTTTCATAGGTGTATACACATCAAAACTTAACAAACTTTATACTTCAGGTAGGTGCAGTTTATTGTATGCTGATTGTACTGTGATTAAAAAGAAAAAGATCTCATTGCTGTGATTTTCAGGACAGCCTTTTTCTTTTTCTGACTGTCTTATAGAAGTTAGTCATGAATTCTCATAGATGGCAGAGTATACATAAGGGGTTGTAAAGTAATGTCATGTAAGCTAGATTTGGCATGAAGTCCTATTGGCTGGCCCTATTGTATTTTAAAAATCAGGGGCCAGGCGTGGTGGCTTATGCCTGGGGCTTTGGGAGGCCCAGGTGAGAGGATCACTTGAGGCCAAGAATTTGAGACTGCACTGAGCTATGATCGTGCCACTGCACTACATCCTAGGTTACAGAGCAAGAACTTGTCTGTAAAAAATAAATACATAAATAAAATCAGGAGATTACACATAAAATTTTATTATTCTTGATGCTTTAAAAAAAGTAATTAACTCTAACCACACTGAGTCCTCCTTCCTGTATGGCAACAATTGGCTGTTGCTGGGTAGCAGTTGCCACTTTAGATTGTGCATGCATTTTCCAGTTTTCCTTAGTCCCTGCCTGTTACCTGCCTCTCCTTATAGATATTTGAGTTATATGACTGCTTTCTGCTCCAAGTTCGTAAGGAGAAAGAAACTGATTTTCATTTACCAGGCTGCTTCGGTCACTGTACAGTTTGTATTACACATTGTTATTTAGAGTAGTGTCAGTTTCTTTACTCCTTTCTTGCCCTTCCTTCAGACCCAACTTTCAAAACAGGTACCCTTGTGTCAGCTTGCATAGCTACACATGGTCCTCAGTGACTTTGAAATGATCAGTTGTAAGGGCTTGATTGAATACTTCTTTTTCCATAGGGGATCCTTATCTCTCTCTCTATCCATCATAATAAAAAGAACAATCTAAAATAAGCTCTATAAATAAAAATTCATATAAGTGTTAAGCATAATTCATCGAATTTAAATTAAACCCCTAAAATTGTACTGAAAATGGAATTTATTGTATGTCTCTTTGTTTAAAAATTACTATCTTGACTCGTATTGGACATTAAGCCCTCAATGGAATTTATGATTTGGAATTAATGGTATTGCTCTCTAGTGCTGCAGTTATCATACCCTTCGCCTTCCCACAGGAGCACAGGACCTAAAGCCTTTGAGGATAAGTTTCTTGCATTTGCTTTGCAGTCTTTTTTTTTTCTTTATATGTTCACTGTAAAATATGTGCCAAGAACGGACAATATAAGAATATGTAATTCTTGGAAAATAATTCCCCTTTGTCATTTTAATTTGGCATTGAGACTTTCATTTCTATCAGCTGGAAAAAGTGAAAACTAATCTTTATTAATAATGTTCTTCAAATTGCATTTTTGTAATGTTTCAACAGTTTCACTTGTATCAAGCTATCCATATTAATCATTTGTAAAACTTTTATATAAATTCTCTAATAAAATATTAACTGCAAATTTCTATTTCTAAAACATTTTACTTTTTATTTAGAGAATTTGTTATGTCCCTGGGAAACTCCATTCAGAAGAAAAGGCTACAGTAAATCTTTGTAGTCACTGTTGTAGTTCTAAGGGATTTGTTGGGGGTTTAAAGTGACTGAAAATCGTAGTGGCTTTGAAAGCTTAGATTCACATAAAAACCTGCACATGGATGTTTTCAGCAATTTTATTCATAATTACCCAAACTTGGAAGAAACAAAGATGTCCTTCAGTAGGAGAATGAATACATAAATGGTGGCACATTCAGACAATGGAATATTACTCAGTGCTAAAAGGAAATGAGCTATTATCCCATGAGAAGAGAAGGAAACTTAAATGCATACTACTAAGTGAAATAAGCGTATCTGAAAAGGCTACATGTTATGATTCCAACTATATAACATTCTGGGAAAGGTAAAACTATGGACACAGTAAAAATATCAGTGGTTGCCAGCGGTTAAGAGGATGGGAAAGATGAACAGGCAGAGCACAGAGGATTTTTAGGGAAGTAAAAATACTCTATGATACTACAATAGTGGATACATGTCATTTGCCATTTGTCCAAACCCACAGAATGTACAACACCAAGAGTGAACCCTAATGTAAACTACGGCCTTTGGGTTATAATGATGTTGATGTAGGTTCATCGATTTTAACAAATGTACCATTGTGTTGTGGGATGTTAATAGCTTCGGAGGCTGTGCAAGTGTAGAGACAGGGGTATATAGGAACTTTGTAGTTTCTGCTCAGTTTCACTGCAAATCTAAAATTGATCTAAAGATAAAGTTTATTAATTAAAAAATATTGCTGGTAAGCACTTGGGATTGAGAAACTATTTGACATATTGAAATTAACATGGCTTTTGGAATAAGACATTATTTGAATCTTGACTCCACCAATTTTTAGTCTAACAACTATGAAATTTAAATTTGCTGGGCCTCAGTTTTCTCATGAATAAATGAGTGAGTAATAGTCACCTTGCAGGATTGTTATGAGGAATAAACTGAGATAACTTCCAATAAACTCAACAAATGGCAGCAGTTATTATTTATAATACATTTCAAGTCTGGGGCCAGGAGAGCGATCCTCCATATCAGTGGGAGAAGAAGGACATATGCCCATTGCGGTCTGACCCCCAGGGGTTGGAGCCTTATGGAGTGAATAGATAAAACTACACACTTTTCAGAAGCAGTGTACAGCAGACAGGTAAAAGATTAAAGCTGGCTAGTGTCAAGTATACTGTTTTAAATTTTTTACTCTAGCAGTGAAAACGTGAGATCACCTTAGATAAATTGATGCTATTTAAAGAAATGCCACACATACCCCCACCCCTGAAAAAGCATTGGAAATTATACGTGGAAAGCCTTTATTTCTTAATGAATTTTCCCTTCAAATATTAGAAAGTTTACTAATATTTCCAAAACTAGAGGAAAGAAAAATACATACGTGAAAAAAGTTACCGGAGGCCCCAGTATGTTAGACCCTGATCACTAATCTTACCGAGAAATTAAAACTTGCAAGTAGGCATATAAATGGAAAGCAATGACAGGGAAAATATTCTGAGAAATATAAAAAGAGAAAAACGAAGGCAATCGTGGGAGTAGGTAACCATAAGAACTGTCAAATAGCTTCTTTTCCATTTTCTCCATTACTCCACACCAAAGTTTCCCACTTAAAAACCAAAAATAATATCAAGTGGCAGAGCTTGTTAGTCGGCCATAGTATCCATTCTTTCCTTTCCTCTTTGTAGCAGGCCCCTTCCTCCCCCACTGCTTCTCCTTTTTTGTTATTATATTCTCTTTCCCCCTCGTAGCCCATGGACTTAAGGAAAATTCTAGGCATTGATATCACAGACCTAAGATAATTCCTGTTTGGGCCAATGAGACATGAGAGAAGGTTTGCTAAGGGCTTCTGAGAAAGAAATTTTCATGCTCTGAAGAAAGACCCACTGAAGGAGACACTCTCTCTTCATCTAGCCTCCATGGAGTTGCAGATGAAAAGCTCAGAACTTCCACAGTTACTTTTGCACCATAGGAAAGTTAATCTATGAACAAAATTAATACACAGTGGAGGACTTAGTGGAGGGACTTACAGAAAAACTGGACTAGAGTTATTGGCTTGTTCAAAGCCTACATTATGCCCTCCTCTGGATTTCTAGATAAATGAGCCAATACAGATTCTCCTCTGATTCAGCTGAAATCAGTTTATTATTTGCAGCTGAAAGCTAATATCAACCAACTAATGAACCATTAAAAAATGGTTATTTCTGACATGTTGGCTTTTATCGACATTGTTTACAAAAATGTTAAGAAAGATATGGGAAGACCTTTAGGATCATGGCACAGAATAAAAGAAAATCAGGAATTTGATACCCTGGGAAAAATGTTCTATAGAGGCAGCTGACTTGCCATGTGAAGCTAACACTGGATGATTAAGCCCTTACACTAATGTCCTTTTAATTTACTTTTTATTTGTACAGTTTAGTGAATTGTTATGTTACCTTATACCCATCTGGGTTAGAGACATAGCAGAAACACCACAAATAACTATGTAAGAGAGCTGGAATACACTCAGTGGAACTTAATCATATCATGGATAATGGAAGCTGAGTAATATTGACAATTATAGCAAAGTTGATGGCAGATAATTTGGTATAAATAGGTTTACTGCAATGTCGAATCTAGATGCAATTGCATTTTAAGACCAGGCTTATTAACAGGTATTTTTAAAAGGATGGAATATGTTATGAAATTGTGGAGATAGAATCACATTGATATTTTCCGTGGTGTGAAAACAACCTGTCTTGATTTTTCAATATACAAGTAATTTCCAGCGTACAGGAGACGGCACACATTCCCTAATTATCCTGAATTGACTTTAGCCTGCTTTGAATTTTACTTGTCAATCTTCTTAATGGGAATAGGATTAGAATATCATTGATGTAGAATCAATGTAATACGTCATTCATGATGAAATAAGTATATATCTGTTGAATAAATAAAAGAATAAATTAATTAATGAAGATTATATTCAACCCTATTTCAATGATTACTTAAGCTACTATTTAAGGAGCATCTAGATAGTTAAGATGGTAGATTCTACAAACCGCTCATGAAACTCTTCACATTTCTTTATTTTCGACTTCACTCTACACTTTATTTCTGAGTTCATCTTTCCAGGTACTTATAGAACATTTTCATATGCATGCCCCACAATCAGCGCAAACGTAAATATCCCAAATTAAACCTACTTGTCATTGTGATCTTCTTCCCATCTCTTCACTCCACTTTTCAGTTGGTGGTATAACTTTCTCCCAGTCACCAAGGAATACGTTCTTCATCGTCATTGACTTTTTCACCTTTACCATGTGTCTTAGCCATGGAGTCCTACTTATTCTTCTTTACAGTGCTCCTCCTTCCTAGTCTCATGGCTATAGCTATCAGCTCACTCGTTGTAGACATGTAACCCTTTTTTCAGATTCTATTTACCCCCAATTTAAACCACCCTACATATTTTCCCATACTTTAATCTTTCTAAAACATTGTTTTCACTATTGCTTTCTTTGGCTTGAGGACTCACAGTAATTGGATATTGCTTGAAGTTTGAAATCCAGTTGTATTAGACTAGTATTCAAGTCTTTTATTATTGGTCTAATATTACATACAAAAGTTGACTTTTAAATATTATCAGAATAAACTTTCTGCTATAAAACTAGATTGGTTTCTGTCATGTACAGACATATTCCCAGTGCCACACCTTTGCTTAGGTTGTCTCTGCCAGAGATGCTCATTTTCAAACCCTTATACAATTCAATCCTTTCCGTTGTTATTTTATCTTTACCCTAACTCTTAACCCAGATACCCATGCCATGCTTTCTTTCAGGCCCAGCTAAGTCTTATCTCTGTGTATATTTCTGACTATCTCAGTTCATAATTATTCCTCTCTGAAGGAGCATACTCCCAAGCCTAAATTGTTTGGTGATGTCTCAAGTTGTTCGAAGTTATAAAATTAGATGTCGATATTATGCAGCTTTAACAGGAATGAGCCTTTGGTCCCATCTCTGGCTGGGCCCAAGCAGTGGGGAGCCCTGAAGGCATGATTCCAGTTGTAATATAGCTTAGTGTTTATCTACTAACTGTGATTTTCCTCTTTGTGGCTTCCCCAGTAGGGATTTCTCTAATGGAAAATGGTAATTAAATATTGACTTAAAAAATCCTTTCTTATGCTTAAGTGCATTGTAGTTGTATAATCTACTCTGTGGTTGGAAAATTCTTTAAGACAATTTAATAATATTTAAAAAAATAGTACTATGTGGACTCTATTATAACCTGTAAAAAACAATACAAATTCATATATAATAATTTTGAGTATGTAAAAACATATGTACTCAAAAAAAGACTGGAATATCAATATTAGCAGTGGTCATTTTGGGTGGTAATAGTATTAGTGACTTGCTATCATATAAAATACGTTTTAGTGCTTCTCAAATTCTCTGCAATAAACAAGAATTACTTTTATAGTCAGAATAAAAAGTAAATTTAATTTTTGAATACATATTTTAAGTTATCTCCCCATTTTTAGCCCATGGCTAGGGCCATAACTAGGTAGAAGGCTTTATCTTATTATGCAAAGCATGTTGGGTCCCTCTTTCTTTGACCTCACACTTCAAAAAGAGGTTCTCCCACAGCCTTGTATCCCAAGATGACTACCCCTGGCTACATAAGAACATAGCCTATGACTTTCAAACTATTGCTTTTCTTCCTTCTTTTTCTTGTTTCTTTTTTTTCTAGATAGAGACTCTTGCTCTGTCACCAGGCTGGAATGCAGTTGTGCAGTCATAGCTCACCACAGCCTTGAACTCCTGGGTAGCTGTAGGACTACAGGCATCAGCCACTGTGCCCAGCTATATTAGTCCATTCTCATGCTGCTAATAAAGACACACCGGAGACTGAGAAGAAAAGGAGGTTTAATTAGACTTACAGTTCCATGTGGCTGGGGATATGTCAGAATCATGGTGGGAGGCAAAAGGCACTTCTTACATGGTAGTGGCAAGAGAAAAATGAGGAAGAAGCAAAATTGGAAACCCCCAATAAACCTGTCAGATCTTGTAAGACTTATTCACTATCATGCGAATAGCATGGGAAAGACTGGCCCCTTGATTCAATTACCTCCCGCTGCGTCCCTCCCTCAACACATGGGAATTCTGGAAGATACAATTGAAGTTGAGATTTGGGTGGGGACACAGCCAAACCATGTCATTCCACCCCTGGACCCTCCAAATCAAATGTCCTCACATTTCAAAACCAATCATGTCTTTTCAACAGTCCCCTGAAGTCTTAACTCATGTCAGCATTAACCTAAAAGTCCACGGTCCAAAGTCTCATCTGAATCAAGGCAAGCCCCTTCCACCTATGAGCCTGTAAAATCAAAAGCAAGTTAGTTACTTTCCAGATACAATGGGGATACAGGTATTAGGTAAATACAGCCATTCAAAATGGCAGAAATTGGCCAAAACAAAGGGGTGACAGGGCCCAAGCAAGTCTGAAATCCAGTGGGGCAGTCAAACTTTAAAGCTCCCAAATGATCTCCTTTGACTCCAGGTCTCACATCCAGGTCATGCCGATGCAAAAGGTGGGTTTCCATGGTCTTGGGCAGCTCTGCCTTTGTGGCTTTAGAGGGTACAGTCTTCCACCTGGCTGCTATCATGGGCTGGCGTTGAGTGTCTGTACCTTTTCCAGGCTCTCAGCGCAAGCTGTCAGTGGATCTACCATTCCGGGGTCTGGAGGATGGTGGCTTTTTTCTCACAGTTCCACTAGGCAGTGCCCCAGTAGGGACTCTGTGTGCAGGTTCCAACCCCACTTTTCCCTTCCTCACTGCCCTAGCAGAGGTTCCCCATGAGTGCTCTGCTCCTGCAGCAAACTTTCGCCTGGACATCCAGGAGTTTCCATACATCCTTTGAAATCTAGGTGGACGTTCCTAAACCTCCATTCTTGACTTCTGTGCACCTGCAGGCTCAACACCACGTGGAAGCTGCCAAGGTTTGGGGCTTACACCCTCTGAAATCATGGGCCAAACTGTACCTTGGTCCCTTTTAGCAATGGCTGGAGCAGCCGGGGTGCAGGGCACCAAGTCCCTGTGCTGCACACAGCATGGGTACCCTGGGCCTGGCCCATGAAACCACTTTTTCCTCCTAGGCTTCCAGGTCTGTGATGGGAAGGGCCACTATGAAGACCTATGACATGCCCTGGAAGCATTTTCCCCATTGTCTTGGGGATTAACATTGGGGTTCTTGTTACTTATGCAAATTTTTGCAGCAAGCTTGAATTTCTCCTAAAAAAAATGGATTTTTCTTTTCTACTGCATTGTTAGGCTGCAAATTTTCTGAACTTTTATGCTCTATTTCCCTTTTAAAATGGAATGCTTTTAACAGCACCGAAGTCAACTTTGGAATGCTTTGCTGCTTAGAAATTTCTTCAGCCCGGTACCCTAAATCATCTCTTGAGTTCAAAAAGTTTCACAGATCTCTAAGGTAGGGGCAAAATGCTGCCAGTCTCTTTGCTAAAACATAACAAGAGTTACCTTTGCTCCAGTTCCCAGCAAGTTCCTCATCTTCATCTGTGACCACCTTGGCCTGGACCTTATTGTTAATATCACTATTAGCATTTTTATAACACCCATTCAACAAGTCTCTAGGAGGTTCCAAAGTTTCCCACATCTTCCTGTAGCCCTTTAAACTCTTCTAAGCTCTGCCTGATACCCAGTTCCAAAGTTGCTTCCACATTTTTGGGTATCTTTTCAGCAACACTACAATATACTGTATTAATCCATTTTCACACTGCTGATAAAGACATACCTGAGCCTGGGAAGAAAAAGAGGTTTAATTGAACTTACAGTTCTACATGACTGGGGAGGCCTCAGAATTATGGTGGGAGGCAAAAAACACTTCTTACATGGTGGCAGCAAGAGAAAAATGAGGAAGAAGCAAAAGCAGAAACCCCTGATAAACCCATCAGATCTCATGAGACTTACTCACTATTACAAGAATAGCACAGGAAAGACTGGCCCCATGATTCAATTACCTCCCCCTAGGTCCCTCCCACAACACGTGGGCATTCTGGGAGATAAAATTGAAGTTGAGATTTGCGTGGGGACACAGCCAAACCCCAGTCTAATTTTTTTTAAAAATTGTTTTTTTACATTTGCTGAGGAGTGCTTTACTTCCAACTATGTGGTCAATTTTGGAATAAGCGCGATGTGGTTCTGAGAAGAATGTATATTCTGTAGATTTGGGGTGGAGAGTTCTGTAGATGTCTGTTAGGTCTGCTTGGTGCAGAGCTGAGTTCAATTCCTGGATATCCTTTTTAACTTTCTGTCTCATTGATCTGTCTAATGTTGACAGTGGGGTGTTAAAGTCTCCCATTATTATTGATTGTGTGGGAGTCTAAGTCTCTTTGTAGGTCTCTAAGGACTTGGTTTATGAATCTGGGTGCTCCTGTATTGGGTGCATGTATATTTAGGATAGTTAGCTCTTCTTGTTGAATTGATCCCTTTACCATTATGTAATGGCCTTCTTTGTCTCTTTTGATCTTTGTTGGTTTAAAGTCTGTTTTATCAGAGACTAGGATTGCAACCCCTGCCTTTTTTTGTTTCCCATTTGCTTGGTAGATCTTCCTCCATCCCTTTATTTTGAGCCTATATGTGTCTCTGCACGTGAGATGGGTTTCCTGAATACAGCACACTGATGGGTCTTGACTCTTTATCCAGTTTGCCAGTTGTCTTTTAATTGGAGTATTTAGCCCATTTACATTTAAGGTTAATATTGTTATGTGTGAATTTGATCCTGTCATTATAATGTTAGCTGGTTATTTTGCTCGTTAGTTGATGCAGTTTCTTCCTAGCATCGATGGTCTTTACAATTTGGCATGTTTTTGCAGTGGTTGTTACTGGTTGTTCCTTTCCATGTTTAGTGCTTTCTTCAGGAGCTCTTATAGGGCAGGCCTGCTGGTGACAAAATCTCTCAGCATTTACTTGTCTGTAAAGGATTTTATTTCTCCTTCACTTATGAAGCTTAATTTGGCTGGATATGAAATTCTGGGTTGATAATTCTTTTCTTTAAGAATGTTGAATATTGGCCCCCACTCTCTTCTGGCTTGTAGAGTTTCTGCCAAGAGATCCGCTGTTAGTCTGATGGGCTTCCTTTTGTGGGTAACCCGACCTTTCTCTCTGGCTGCCCTTAACATTTTTTCCTTCATTTCAACTTTGGTGAATCTGACAATTATGTGTCTTGGAGTTGCTCTTCTCAAGGAGTATCTTTGTGGCATTCTCTGTATTTCCTGAATTTGAATGTTGGCCTGCTTTGCTAGGTTGGGGAAGTTCTCCTGGATAATATCCTGCAGAGTGTTTTCCAACTTGTTTCTATTCTCCCCATCACTTTCAGGTACACCAATCAGACATAGATTTGGTCTTTTCACATAGTCCCATATCTCTTGGAGGCTTTGTTTATTTCTTTTTACTCTTTTTTCTCTAAACTTCTGTTCTCGCTTCATTTCATTCATTTGATCTTCCATCACTGATACCCTTTCTTCCATGTTGATCGAATTGGCTACTGAAGCTTGTGCATTCGTCACATAGTTCTCATGGCATGGTTTTCAGCTCCATCAGGTCATTCAAGGACTTCTCTACACTGTTTATTCTAGTTAGCTATTTGTCTAATCTTTTTTCAAGGTTTTTAGCTTCTTTACAATGGGTTCAAACTTCCTCCTTTAGCTCAGAGAAGTTTGATTGTCTGAAGCCTTCTTCTCTCAACTCGTCAAAGTCATTCTCCATCCAGCTTTTTTCCATTGCTGGCAAGGAGCTGTGTTCCTTTGGAGGGGGAGAGGTGCTCTGATTTTTATAATTTTCAGCTTTTCTGCTCTGTTTTTCCCCCATCTTTGTGGTTTTATCTACCTTTGGTCTTTGATATGGGGTTTTGGTGTGGATGTCCTTTCTGTTTGTTAGTTTTTCTTCTAACAGTCAGGACCCTCAGCTGCAGGTCTGTTGGAGTTTGCTGGAGGTCCACTCCAGGCCCTGTTTGCCTGGGTATCAACAGCGGAGGCTGCAGAACAGCAAATATTGCTGAACAGCAAATGTTGCTTCCTGATTGTTGCTCCGGAAGCTTCATCTCAGAGGGTACCCGGCAGTGTGAGGTGTCAGTATGCCCTTCCTGGGGGGTGCCTCCCAGTTAGGCTACTCGGGGGTCAGGGACCCACTTGAGGAAGCAGTCTGTCCATTCTCAGATCTCAAACTCTGTGCTGGGAGAACCACTACTCTCTTCAAAGCTGTCAGACAGGGACATTTAAGTCTGCAGAGGTTTCTGCTGCCTTTTGTTCAGCTATGCCCTGCCCCCAGAGGTGGAGTCTACAGAGGCAGGCAGGCCTCCTTGAGCTGTGGTGGGCTCCACCCAGTTCGAGCTTTCCTGCCGCTTTGTTTACCTACTCAAGCCTCAGCAATTGCGGGCGCCCCTCCCCCAGCCTCACTGCTGCCTTGCAGTTCAATATCAGACTGCTGTGCTAGCAATGAGCGAGGCTCCGTAGGTTTGGGACCCTCCGAGCCAGGCACGGGGTATAATCTCCTGGTGTGCCATTTGCTAAGACCATTGGAAAAGGGCAGTATTTGGGTGGGAGTGACCTGATTTTCCAGGTGCCGTCTGTCACAGCTTCCCTTGGCTAGGAAAGGGAATTCCCTGACCCTTTGCGCTTCCTGGGTGAGGCGATGCCTCGCCCTGCTTCGGCTCATGCTCGATGGGCTGCACCCACTGTCCTGCACCCACTGTCTGACAAGCCCCAGTGAGATGAACCCGGCACCTCAGTTGGAAATGCAGAAATCACCCGTCTTCTGCGTCGCTCACCCTGGGAGCTGTAGACTGGAGCTGTTGCGTTTGGACATCTTGGAATCTTTCAGACCACAGGGCAATCAAACTAGAACTCAGGATTAAGAAACTCATACAAAACTGCTCAATTACATGGAAACTGAACAGCCTGCTCCTGAGTGACTACTGGGTACATAACAAAATGAAGGTGGAAATAAAGATGTTTTTTGAAACCAACGAGAACAAAGACACAACATACCAGAATCTCTGGGACACATTTAAAGCAGTGTGTAGAGGGAAATTTATAGCACTAAATTTATAGCATTTGCCCACAAGAGAAAGCAGGAAAGATCTAAAATTCACACCCTAACATCACAATCAAAAGAACTAGGGAAGCAAGAGCAAACACATTCAAAAGCTAGCAGAAGGCCAGAAATAACTAAGATCAGAGCAGAACTGAAGGAAATGGAGACACAAAAAACCCTTCAAAAAATCAATGAATCCAGGAGCTGTTTTTTTGAAAAGATCAACAAAATTGATAGACTGCTAGCAAGACTAATAAAGAAGAAAAGAGAGAAGAATCAAATACACGCAATAAAAAATGATAAAGGGGATATCACCACTAATCCCACAGAAATACAAACTACCATCAGAGAATACTATAAACACCTCTACACAAATAAACTAGAAAATCTAGAAGAAATGGTTAAATTCCTGGACACATACATCCTCCCAAGACTAAACCAGGAAGAAGTTGAATCCCTGAATAGACCAATAACAGGCTCTGAAACTGAGGCAATAATTAATAGCCTACCAACCAAAAAAAGTCCAGGACCAGACGGAATCACAGTCGAATTCTACCAGAGGTACAAGGAGGAGCTGGTACCATTCCTTCTGAAACTATTCCTATCAATAGAAAAAGAGGGAATCCTCCCTAACTCATTTTATGAGGCTAGCATCATCCTGATACCAAAGCCTGGCAGAGACACAACAAAAAAAGAGAATTTTAGACCAATATCCCATATGAACATCGATGCAAAAATCCTCAATAAAATACCGGCAAACTGAATCCAGCAGCACATCAAAAAGCTTATCCACCATGATCAAGTGGGCTTCATCCCTGGGATGAAAGGCTGGTTCAACATACACAAATCAATAAACATAACCCAGCATATAAACAGAACCAAAGACAAAAACCACATGATTATCTCAATAGGTGCAGAAAAGGCCTTTGACAAAATTCAACAACCATTCATGCTAAAAACTCTCAATAAATTAGGTATTGATGGGACGTATTTCAAAATAATAAGAGCTATTTATGACAAACCCACAGCCAATATCGTACTTCATGGGCAAAAACTGGCACAGGACAGGGATGACCTCTCTCACCACTCCTATTCAACATAGTGTTGGAAGTTCTGGCCAGGGCAATCAGGCAGGAGAAAGAAATAAAGGGTATTCAATTAGGAAAAGAGGAAGTCAAATTGTCCCTGTTTGCAGATGACATGACTGTATATTTTAAAAACCCCATTGTCTCAGCCCAAAATCTCCTTAAGCTGATAAGCAACTTCAGCAAAGTCTCAGGATACAAAATCAATGTGCAAAAATTACAAGCATTCTTATACACCAATAACAGACAAACAGAGAGCCAAATCATGAGTGAACTCCCATTCACAATTGCTTCAAAGAGAATAAAATATGTAGGAATCCAACTTACAAGGGATGTGAAGGACCTCTTCAAGGAGAACTACAAACCACTGCTCAATGAAATAAAAGAGGATACAAACAAATGGAAGAACATTCCATGCTCATGAATAGGAAGAATCAATATTGTGAAAATGGCCATACTGCCCAAGGTAATTTAGAGATTCAATGCCATCCCCATCAAGCTACCAATGACTTTCTTCACAGAATTGGAAAAAACTACTTTAAAGTTCGTATGGAACAAAAAAAGAGCCTGCATTGCCAAGACAATCCTAAGCCAAAAGAACAAAGCTGGAGGCATCACGCTACCTGACTTCAAACTATGCTATAAGGCTACAGTAACCAAAACAGCATGGTACTGGTACCAAAACAGAGATATAGACCAATGGAACAGAACAGAGCCCTCAGAAATAATACCACAGATCTACAACCATCTGATCTTTGACAAACCTGAGAAAAACAAGAAATGGGGAAAGGATTCCCTATTTAATAAATGGTGCTGGGAAAACTGGCAGCTATATATAGAAAGCTGAAACTGGATCCCTTCCTTACAAAATTAATTCAAAATTATACAAAAATTAATTCAAGATGGATTAAAGACTTAAATGTTAGACCTAAAACCATAAAAATCCTAGAAAAAAACCTAGACAATACCATTCAGGCACAGGCATGGGCAAGGATTTCATGTCTAAAACACCAAAAGCAATGGCAACAAAAGCCAAAATTGACAAATGGGATCTAATTAAACTAAAGAGCCTCTGCACAGCAAAAGAAACTACCATCAAAGTGAACAGGCAACCTACAGAATGGGAGAAAATTTTTGCAGTCTACTCATCTGACAAAGGGCTAATATCCAGAATCTACAAAGAACTCAAACAAATTTACAAGAATAAAACAACCCCATGAAAAAGTGGGCAAAGGATGTGAACAGACACTTCTCAAAAGAAGACATTTATGCAGCCAAAAGACACATGAAAAAATGCTCGTCATCACTGGCCATCAGAGAAATGCAAATCAAAACCACAATGAGATACCATCTCACACCAGTTAGAATGGCAATCATTAAAAAGTCAGGAAACAATAGGTGCTGGAGAGGGTGTGGAGAAATAGGAACACTTTTATTCTGTTGACAGGACTGTAAACTGGTTCAACCATTGTGGAAGACAGTGTGGCGATTCCTTAGGGATCTAGGACTAGAAATACCATTTGACCCAGCCATCCCATTACTGGGTATATAACCAAAGGGTTATAAATCATGCTACTATAACATATGTTTATTGTGGCACTATTCACAACAGCAAAGACTTGGAACAAAACCAAATGTCCATCAATGATAGACTGGATTAATAAAATGTGGCACATATACATCATGGAATACTATGCAGCCATAAAAAATGAGTTCATATCCTTTGTAGGGACATGGATGAAGCTGGAAACCATCATTCTCAGCAAACTATCGCAAGGACAAAAAACCAGACACCGCATGTTCTCACTCATAGGTGGGAATTGAACAATGAGAACACTTGGACACAGGGTGGGGAACATCACACACTGGGGCCTGTCGTGGTGTGTAGGGAGTGGGGAGGGACAGCATTAGGGGCTATACCTAATGTAAATGACGAGTTAATGGGTGCAGCACACCAACATGGCACATGTATACATATGTAACAAACCTGCACGTTGTGTATATGTACCCTAGAACTTAAAGTATAAAAAAAAATTTTTTTTTTTTTTTTTTTTTAGAGACAGGATCTTGCAATGTTGTGCAGTTAGGTCTCAAACTCCTAGCCCCAATTGATCCCCCACCTCAGCCTTCCAAAGTTCTGGGATTTCAGATGTAAGCCACCTGCCCTGGTCTATTGCTGTTCTTTATCTTGGGTTCTTAGGTAACCCAGCAATCTCACTTCTAAGAATCTACCTCAAAGATTCACAGGTAAAAAGTTAAAAGACATGTACATGCTATTTATTGCAAGATTATGTGCAGTAAATGACTAGGAAAAAATGGCAATGTCCATCAACTGGGACTGATTGACAGAACTATATTATATTCATACAAAAAATCCTGTTCAATTGTTTAAGGAAAGGAGGAATACCTGTGTGTACTTCTGTGTAGCAATCTTTGGGATATATTGTTCACTTAAAAAAAACATAATGCAGACAAAGCCATGCTTAATATCAGCTATTTATACAAGAAAGCAGCGTGAAAATAATCTTTCCTCCTTCATTCATTCAACAAATATACATTTATTTGTATCACTAATGACATAGTACATGTATTTTACACCAATGACATTCTTATCAGATTCCCATTAGGAAGATTTATAAGTGAAATTCAAAGACTTGGTGTTATCTTTGATTTTTCTTTTTTTCCTTGCCAGCCCTTTTATAAGTTGAATCCATAGGCAAAAATTCTGTCAATCCTATATGCGAAATACATTCCAAATCCTGTGACTTCTCACCATCTTCTCAACTATCCTCCCACCTGTTATCTCTCGTCTAAGTATAGCAAAACCTGTTTTCCACTTCTTATGTCCACTCTTGCATCATGAAAGCCTATTCTCTATAGAAGAGTCAACATGGTCATTTTAATCCAACTTCTTAAAATCTCCAATGGTTACATAACCCATTTAGAATAAAATCTAAACTCCTGACTATGGCCTATGAGACTTGCTCTGAGTCCTCTTATTCTATCACTTATATCTTTATTAACTATAATTAGGCTACAAAATCTGGTCCTGCAATCTGGCAAGCTATCTTGCTCAGAAACTTTGCTGTTCCCTCTGCTTAGAATTCTCTCCTCTTAGATCTTCACTGGATTGATTCCTTATCATTCCCATATTGCTTAAATGTCCTTTCCTCAGCAGGGCTTCTCTAACCACCTTATATTAAATATCCTTGATCTTTTTTCAGTTCTGCTGAGTCCCTTTTCTGTTTTTTTTTTTTCCAGACTGATTTTTCCGTCTCTGAAGTGATGCTAAATTACTAAATTATATTTGTCTCCCTAACTAGAAGGTATGCTTCTGGAGAGCCAACAGGGTCTTTCTCTTGCTGATCACCAAACTCCTGGTCCCTAGCATGTGATAGAAACTCAGTAAATATTTGCTGAGAGAATGAATGTATCTTTATAAAATGAGACTGAGTAACTTACAGATGCTAAATGGGGAAGTGGGAAAGGGGAAATGGAGTGAAAGTGAGAAGTGGTACTGCCACGTAAATTTTCACAGCTGAGAGTAATAGTGAACATCATTGTGTTGTTTTACATCACCACCATCTGGATTTGCCAGAAATATTGCTCTCTGGAGCCCATGTCATTTTTCCTGTGTTTACGGAATGCTCCCAGGGTGTGTGTGTGTGTGTGTGTGTGTGTGTGTGTGCGTGCATGTGCATGCATGAGCATGTGTGTGTAGGCAGGCTTCTCCAATAGACATGAAGAATAAAGGACTGACAGTTTTTAGTACTGCTGCTTCCCTTTCCACCAGTAAGATGTTAGTGGCTAAACCCAGTACTCCATTCATTAACACCACAGAGGCTCAGCAACAGGAGATGGGCAGAGTGGTGCTGGGTCCAGTTTTGGGCCCAACAGCAGGGTCTGAGAGCTGGTTGAATGGCCTGTGTGACTTGTAACTCATTCCATGCTTCATCGTTCCATGTCAACAATGGTCCAGGCAGTATGCCCTCAGGTACTACTGAGTGTCCCCCAACTTCTTAACAACTTTTTTTTTTTTTTTGACAGAGTCTCACTCTGTACCCAGGCTGGAGTGCAGTGGTGTGATCTCGGCTCACTGCAACCTCCATTTCCTGGGTTAAAGTGATTCTTGTGCCTCAGTCTCCCAAGTAGCTCGTACCACCACACCAGGCTAATTTTTGTGTTTTACGTAGAGACGAGGTTTCTCCATGTTACCCAGGCTGGTCTCGAACTCTTGGCCTCAAGTGCTCTACCTGTGTCAGCCTCCCAAAGTGCTGGAATTACAGTCGTGATTTACCATGCCCAGCCTTTATCAACTTTTATTCCTCTTATTCTGATATTATATCCATGAGGAAATTGTGGAAATGTATCTCTATCTGTCTATCTATCTGTCTATCTATCTATCCATCCATCCATCTATCACCTATCTAGATATGTATCTATCTACCTATATATCTATCTATGATTCCTATATCTATCTATGTCTATCTACCTAATCTATCTAATAGGTTGATGATATAGGCATAAGGCCTATCTAGACAGATAGAGAGATAGATGATAGATAGATAGATAGATAGATAGATAGATAGATAGATAGAAAGATATATAGATAGAGGGATAAGGCACGTATTTGGGACTTTAATAAAAGAAGCACTCCGAATCTTAAAGATTATGGTGTTTAGACACAAACTCTGAATATCAGTGTGATCACTTCATTCTTTCTAGCTGAGTGGTTGTATCACATGCAAGATCAAAATGCTGTGACCTAAACTGTTTTCTTCTCTGCTGCATTGGAGAATTTTCCACGCCCCTGCTCCTCACCTCGCTCCTTTCCTTTCTCCACACCTGTTGTAGCTTATGTCAACAGGAGTACTTAAATGCAACTAGTTATAAGTCTCATTTTATTTGAGAGACTGTTCACATTTGATATCAAAAAAATACAAAATGTTTTGATATGTTACATAAAAGTCACCATGACTAGGCCCAAATGAAAATTTCATATACAAATTTTGCAATAGCAATAATTATTATTATATTTTCAATCACAATTACCCTGAAAATAACTCTGAATATTTTTATGTAAATAATGAGCTCAAAAAAATCAAGGAAGTCATGCATTTGAAATCCCAAACACATTTGATCAGATCGTATTTGCTTTAAAACGTTTTTTAAAATAAAATTCATATAGTATTTTTATCTAGATTTCAGTGGAGTGGAAAAAAATATATTCCTAAGTGTTCTACAAAAGTTATTGAATTAAGGCCCAGATACCTGCTTTTTTGAAAACAATTAAAAAATAGGAATAAATGGAAGATCAAAAGTTATTCATTAGGATTTATCAAACAGGAAGACAATTAAATGCAATAAATATTATTTTGCTTTGAATAAGTAAAGTTTAAAAAGGATGCAACAGAAACAACTTTAAAAAAATTAGTAGCTTGTTTTGTTTATATTATTAAAATTTAAAACATATAAAAAGTAGAGGGAATACTACAAAAAACTCCTGTGTATCTACCAGTTAGATTTATAGTTATTAAAACTTTTACCATATTTGCTTCATCTATTTTTTCTGAAGTTTTAAAAAATAAATTATGGACATCATGACATTTTATCTCTAAATTCTTCAGAGACCATCTCTTTAAAAATAAGGACAGTTTTCCAAATAACTATAATTCTATTATCACAATTAAAAATATAATAATAATTGCCTTATTCTCTCTACTGAGCTCATAGTCAAATTTTCTATGTTATTCAAAAATCTCTTCTACAATTATAGTTATTAGAATCAGGATCCTCATGAGGGACACACATTGCATTTATTTGTGATGTCTCCTGTATGTTTTAATTTAGAACACTCCCTTTTCCTCCCTTCCTCTTTTTTCAATCTTAATGATATTAACTTGCTAATGTGACTGGTCCAATTGTGTTGTAGAACAGCTTGCTTTTTGAATTTGTTTGTTTCCTGGTGGTGCTGTTTTAACTTGTTCTATCATATTTTTCTATAAACCAGAAGCTCAGTCTTTAAGAGTGATTATATTCAGGTTGAATATTTGTGGGGTTAATGCTTTATGAGTAATGTCACCTACTTTGTGTGGCATCCTATTCCGAGATGCATGATGTATGGCTCTCTCTCCACTGTTATGCCAAGACTGACCCCTGATTCAAGGTGGTCCCAGCCAGATACTTCTCAAAGCCACATTCTTCCCCTCCAATCAACAGTCTCTACAGCGATGCTGTGGCACCACTCATTAGCTAGATTTTAAGAATGATTGCTTTTTTGAAAATAGACATCTTTATATAAGCTCATATTTAAATATACTTAATTTTGAAAAGCCCCTAGAGTATGTGAAAAAAGTCCTTGATTTTGTAATACGGCCATCTAACATCAACTTTCTTTAGAGAGTAATAGAAACACTGTCTTAGACTAATCACTTTAACAAATTAATTTTTCCTGAAGTATAAGCTCAAAATTCTTTTAAAACTTTCTTTGGTGTTCCACTAAATACAAATACTGACATGTTTCATTCATGCTGCAAAAACTATGATAGCTTTTGCTGTGTAGGCACTCAGGGGTCCTTACACTGTATCTTTTCTGGGACTCTCAGGATGTGGAACACAAGTGTGCTTTGTGTGCTTTGCTGCGCTTCTCAAACTGTGCCTTCTGCCAGCCAAAACTGACCGCTCCTGCTGTGCCAGGCTCTCGCGTCAGTTCCTGGGCTTTTGCCCATCCCTAAACCTGGCAATAGGACTTGTGTTACAAACTTTGTGTTGCTACACTTCCTGCTCATTTTTAAATCCTGGACAAATGCATTGCTCTTTAATGTTTCTTTGGGAGGGTACTTAAACATTTCTTTTGAATTTTGGACTCTGGGCACGTGGACTTTCTGATGTATTTTTATAAAAGCTGATATAATTTATGCAATTTAAATAAAGATTTAAATAAGTGATTTTAATCAAAATTGTGCATTTGCTATGTTTGTCATTGGGCATCATTTGTCTATTTAACGGAATATACACTAGATTCATTGGTAGTTTAGCAACATTTCAGAATGGAATCTAGAATGTGGCTCTTGAATTTCATAACACTTTTAGTGACATTATTCTTGGAAATTGTTATATACTTAGAGTAAGCGAGAGAGTAGATCGATCACTTAGTATTTAACTTAGTAGATATAAATCTCAGGATACTTCGTCCTTGTGTTATTTTTGTATTAGGGAAAATATGCTGTTTTAAAGATAGATTATTGAAAAAATGCAAGAGTTAGAAATACTAAAAAGGTGGACAAAGGAGTAGGTAGAAATAGAAACTGATTTATTTTTCACAGTTATGAGTAATCTGCTTTCATTTTTAGTTGCCGCCTTTGACTAGAAAAGATGATATAGTGTATGTTCTCCAAACTGTTATGTAAAGTTTTATTTTTTTCCATGAGTTCTTAAGCTAGAAGCCAAAACAATGTTTTTCTGGGCCTAAGTGCATTGCTTGATCTTCCAAAGCCTATTTCATGGTCTGCTAGATTCTAATGGAGGTGGTTGGTAATGAGATAATATTTATTTATATAGAAAATAAATTTACACAGAGTGCAAAAAGCATGTAAACAAGCAGTACCAGCTTTTAAAAATTCATAGCGAAACCATATGAATGCTTCTAGTTTCTCCAAGAGAACACTTTCTCCACACACACTATAAATTCTTCAGGCACATACCTATAAACATATATATGTTCCAAACTCATGGGGACATGAGTACTTCAGGGTTTCCTGGTGGTTGTTTCCTGCCATCTAATTAAAGCTGTAGCATTCTTATTATCCCCAGATCTATTCATCAGCTCGCTGCCTTTCTTGAAATAAAGAGGAAATGTTCAATTTTTCTTTGCTTAAAGTAAGTCTTATGTACCAGTTAAGTGATTTATACATCTCACCATCTAAGAGCAGTAAAAGGAACTTCTGTAGTGTTTTTTGGTGACCTTGAGAGCTGATGTCTTAACATTTCCAACTGACAATGTGCAGCAGGCTTCTTGCTCAAAGCTCTACAGTAATTTATTGCTGCATTGCAGATTACAGTTTAATTCCTTAAAAAAATCAGCATTCTGGAGTCCTTGATAATGTTTGGGCTATAGAATCCAAAGCCACAGTCTGCTGCATCTAGGAAGAATCATTCATATAGAGAGAACTTAATGTGATTCATAAATATGCTTTATGCCAGAAAACATATAGTGTGTTACCTTGATTAGTGAAAACTCTGGGAATTAATCTCCTTTATAATGAAGTTGGTAGTGTTAAAACTGTGGGAAGCAAAGCTTTGTATGTGGCTAGGCTTGACAAGCGTCTCTACACAGCTTCTACTTGTTCTGCTTAAATAGGGCTGCAATTAGTAAAATTGTAAGGCTTTCAAAATCTACCTCACCTCTTTTTGCCTTATCCACCTTAGGCTAGTGCCTCCTTATTCTCTTCTAGAAGAGATTCTAGTAACTCCTAGATGACTACTGGGAGAGAGAATCCTCTTTGGTGAGCAGGTCAGAAAGCAATAATCTGTGCCCTGCATTTGCTGTGTTTGGGCAGCAAAATTGTTTTGTTTGCTCACACCTTGTTTTTTTGTTTGCTTGCTTTAATAAAGTACTTACCAACATTTGAAAAAAAAGGTTTTTACATGAAAATTGAGATCAACATCCGTTTTGAAATATATGAAGCTCTTGCAATATTTGTAATGATCCAGACTTTTCCTTGGCCATGCTCAGCTGAAGCTGGGTAATGTTCTGTCCCCTGCAGACAAGGCATGTCCTCTACAGTTACACATCTCTTCCTTTCTTCCCTCCTCAGTGGCTTCACTCATTTTTGTTGCTGGCTAGCCCCTGTGAGCATTTGAGGTTTTGACTGTTGAGTGAGATTTTGGCTCTTGAGTGTGTCTAATAAATGTCTTACCCTGAAAAGCACTATGTCTTACAAACTTAAGTTTTATACCTGTTCATTTCAATTGTGAAGGGAAAGATTTGGTTTTCTCTTAAAATAATATCAGAACTTGGGAAGGAAGTGTGGAAGAGAAGCTCTCAAGGCCGGGAAAGTGAAATTGAGTTACTGCTATTAAAAATGAGAGGGGAAAGATGACGCATCAATTTTTTTCCCCAGCATATTCCTCCAACACACCCTCCATACCTCTGTGTCCCTGATGGCAACTATAGGAGTGGCTGGAGCTACATCAAACTGTGTCCATCATTTGAGTGTCTTACTGAAACCTATGCTGCCCTGCCCTTCAACAGGTCAGTTGGTGAGCCTTCTCCAACCAACCACTATTCAAACCTTCCACCTTGACTGTAGAGTTAATATTGTATTTCTTTGCTAATATCCTTTAGTGTGGTTTCTCCTCATTTACTTCTATGCTAAATCTTAAGAGGCCTATTTTATGTTTTCCAGCAGATTTGATGCTATTTCCTTTAGTATTTTGTCGTATTTTCATGCCATATGTCATACTTTTTTTACTCTCCTACATGGAGTTCTGAGGCTAACACCTCAATCTTTTGTATTTTTTCTGTCTTGCTTATGAAATGCCTGATGGATAAGTGTGTCACATTCTCTTCATTAATAGAGGTATTACAGCAAGTGAGTGTTAATGTCCCACTGGAAATAAGCCTGCAGAAATGCTCATATTTTCAACAGGCTTTATTTGCTGAATTTCTCCCTAGTGCATTCTTTCAGAGTAAAGTAAGAAAAATGCATTTCTTATGCCTGACATTTGGGTCTTATTGTTTTTACTCACAGTTGTATACGCTGCTACCTAAGGCTGCTTTGTAACATTTCTTGTACTAGAAACCTGTTGGTCATAAAGTGCTCACTCTGGGCACCTCCATTTGGCCTCAAGTTGGGCCTGCTGGCTGAACAATAGAGATGGACAGGGACCAACCCTGGTGCATTTCTTCAGCTCTAATCAAGGTAGAATCCTCTATGGTGTTTTTCATTTTACCCCATCTGGGGCTTGTGGTAATGGGATTTTACTATCAAAAATTTCTTGGGGGTGTTGGCGGTATAAAAATAATGTCCAGAGAGGGAGAATATTTCTTTTTCATGTGATCTTAGAGACAAAGGCTTAGTTATTGAAGTATGTCCAGATGAGCATACAGATACATTCAGCGACTGGAATGTAAACAGAGATCAGGGAAGAGTGAGCCACCAGAGAGAGGGCATTGGATGAGGACAGAGGAATAGTATGAGCTTTAAGCAAAAATCTTGATGGAAGTTCAAGGGGGTGTTCTTTTAATGAATCCACTTTTCCTTCTTATTTTACCTACTTCCTATGTGTGTAAGCATTTCCAAGCACTCTATCCACAACAACACCTTTAGTGGAGAACTGATCCGGCCAGAGCATTTGGCCCCAAGGGTTCTGAGGGATCCACTTGAATAAAATTTTCAATGTATGGATTGCAGCCATTAAATATACAATTACATTTAGAAGTCATTATGACACTAATACAAATGCAACAAAGTAAAATTTAATTTTTTGACTGAATTTCCTTAAACTGTGGATACAGTATTATATTCTTGGTACAGTATTATTATAGCTAACAAAGAAATTAACTTCTGAAATCAGCATAAAGGCAGCATTTCAGTCAAAATTGCCTTTCAACATCCTTTAAATGTCTGTAAAATAAAGTATATATAGCTTTGTATGTCTAGGACTGTACACTAATTCTTATGCATACCGAGTTTGAAACTCTCTGAGTTAGATTACATGAAAAAATAAAAGGAACTTCTATATGGAAATATCTGAACCTTAAAACTACTCGGGTTTTACACTAAATCTAAAGTTCCTATAAGTGAATTAGAGATAGGGGAGACTTTAAACAGTTCCTATTTGCCTGCAGATTTACTTCATTCTGCTTTAACATCACATATCTGTAATAGATCATATTTTAAAAGACTTGCCATAGGCGTGACGATTAAGTGAAATAATATGTGTACAAGCAATTGAACTTCTTTTCCACTTTGGATATCTGGTGCCTCATCCAGCCCTGACTCCTCTTTAAGATTATATTTAGGATTACATTTCAGGCTTCCAGGACATATCTAGTTCTGGCCCCACATTTCAATTACTGATTAGGTATTTACTTGGTGGTTCCCTGACTGCCCCTCAAATCCCCACATTGGCCACCTCTTCCTGTCCTCTCCCACCTCCCCTTTTGAGCTTCTCCATGTTTAACCACCATGTCACTGAATGACAATGCTACCCTCTCAGACTCACACATGGTACATCTTCTAGAAAGGAAGGAGAGGGGGTTCCTCTGACCTCTTCCTCTCTCATCTCTTCAGGCACTTGATTAGTCACTAGACTGGATATTACCTGCTTAAACTGGTCTTCCTGCATGCAAGATCTTCTCACTTTAGCCCACTGTTCTGTTGCCAGAGCCCAGGTAATCCTTTACCCGGAAGCCTTTAATTGCTCTCACCATCTGCAGCATAGAGATGTCAGCATGGCATCCAAGGCCTCCTTTGATATACTAGTATAATATATTAATGCTAGTATTAATATTTATAATCATATCACTAATATTAACATTAATACTAATAATTATACTAATACTAGTATATATTATATTGTATATATTGTATTATATTTATATTAATACTAATGATTATATTATATACTAGTATTAACATATTAATCTCATTATATACAATCATGCACTACCTAACAACGTTTTGGTCATCAACAGACTGCATATACTATGGTGGTCCCATAAGATTATAATACTGTATTTTTACTGTACCTTTTCTATATTTAGATACACAAATACTTATCATTGTGTTACAACTGCCTACAGTATTCAGCACAGTAACATGCTGTACAGGTTTGTAGCCTCAGCGCAATTGGCTATACCATATAGCCTAGGTTTATAGTAGGTTATACCATCTAGGTTTGTATAAGTACACTTTATCATGTTTGCCTGACAATGGCATTGCCTACGAATGCATTTTTCAGAATAAATCCCTGTTGTCAAGCAACACATGACTGTATATAAAACTATATTTAAAATATATGTATGTAATCTCACAAAAATTACGTGTTTGTTTATATATATGTGTAGGGGACAGAGAGAGAGAGGACTGACGTATGTTGTTTATGTTTTTATGTTTTGCAGTGCTCAGCACAGTGTCTTAAGCATAATTGATGCTCAATAAATGTTTTTAAAGTTATAGATCTCTGGAAATGCATCTTGTCAAAAGAATTAACTTGACACCTTAAACATGAGGAAGAAGGAAAAAATGTTTTTGGCAGAAAATTTAGAATTTGACTTATGGAAATGTGGTAGTTTAAAGTAAATCAGGAAGAAAATATAAATTTCAAAGCAGTCGAAACAATACCATGTTCAATGCGAGAGTCAAGAAATAAGGAAAAACCAGGAATGAAAATATTTGTGCCCGTCAGGGTCTGATTGTCTCAGTAACTCTCAACATACACGTATTTTAGTTTAAGGAAATCCATCAATTTGTGCAATATAATTTAAGCACTGTAATCTCATCTATCATCACAGGCATAATGAATATTTGTCCAAAATGAAAGAAAAAACATGATTACAGTATCATATATATCCAGTATGGGAAAGAATAGAAAATATAATCTAGATAAGCAAAAAAGTTTCAAAAAATTTTCTCAGAATTATACCACCCACATGTAGTCACTACTATGTTGGCATTTTGTTTCCAATCATATTTTCACACACCACATACACACACACACACACACACACACACACACACACACATTTGGAGGAAGAAGTCTGATGCCAAAATTCTCCCGCTTATGTAATATCAAGGTTCAGAAAATGCAAGTGCTCAGGCTCTGCATTGATGTTAAAAAGTTTTTATGATGAAAATTTCAAAATATATGCAAGAGCAATCAGAATTGTTTTAGAAATCCCTTACCCATCTTCAACAGCTGTCATCTCATGGCCAATCTTCTTTCATTTGTGTCCTCACCCATTCTTTCATCTTGTGTGTTATTTTAAAACAAATCTTAGTATGTGTTTCCAAGAAATAAGAATTATTTTCTTAAAAATATAACCACATTACCAAAAAAATTAATAATATTCCTTCTTGTCATCAAAATCCAGTCAGTGTTTAAATTTCCAAGTGTCTCATAAATCACAATTTTTAATGTTTATTTAAAATTTTATTTGAATTTACTTAAATTATTTGAATCAGGTCCACACATGATGATTAATATGACATTAAGCCTCTTTTAATCTATGGGTTTCATAATTTTTACTTTTTTTCTTTATTATTCGTTGAAGAAACCACATAATCTGTTCTGTACTTTCCCACAGCAAATTCTTTATTAATTTTGATTTAGATAAAGCCTCAGGAATTACAGCTACCTCTGACTTAACATGAGAAGAAAACACGTTAGAAATTATGGACAGATATATAGTTAGCCAGGAATGTACAGTGTCTGAAGAATAGCGTTTTGTATTGAAATTTCTTTGGCGTTAAAATCATACATGTATGATTATAAAATTTTCAACACAAATACATGAGCTTTTTTGGAAATTGATTTCTAAGAGGGTCTGTCCTTTGGATGGGTAACGTGTACTAGTATATCAAATCTCTAGAAGTGCTTGCTAAGTAAATTATTCAATGCCATGGGCTTAAATAATATGAGGGTTTAAATGTCTTATTTTTTGTGGCAAGCTTGTAGAAAAACCAAATAAAACAGTAAAAAACATGCAAAATAAAATAAATAAGTTGCTATTTGAAAAGTATAATTGCTCTGAAACTCTCAAAGGCGTTACACATTGTGCTCTTGTTCATTTGTTTTTTTCAAGAAACAGGGATGTGCTCATGCTGATTCAAGTCATCTGGGTTTGTTGTTAAGATACATGGGAAAGAGCAGAGGAATAGAGGGCTCTCTGTACAGTCCTGGAAGACCTGTAACAGCCATGTGGTCAGGACTCGTTGGGGGAACAGCGGTTGTCCTGCAATTAACCAACAGTACTCCTGCTGACCCAGTATCCACTCTAGAAGCTGTACCCTTTGGAGCCAGCATCCTGACTCTGGAGGGGCTCCACATGAGAGTGACCCACTGAGCATCGTCTCTGCTTCTATTGTTTTTGCCTTGACCGGTGGACTTCTCTTCACTCTCGTTTTGTCATGGTTTTGATGCCCTGTGTCTTCTACCACCTTATGACTTCTACAGGATCATAGCTCTTTCTTACTGCTGTTATTCTGAGTATCTCTCCGCTTCTGATGATGCTACCTACTCCTGTCTCCCTGTGCACTTTGCACTCAAACACCCCCTTCAGAGACTCTGTTTCAGTTATTTCCCATTGTTTTTCTTCTTGCAGAGCATGGGGATCAGGTATGCTTTTTTCAGTGTCTACTTTCTGAGTAAATCTATTTGTATACTCCCTAGCTTAACTAGTGGTGTCAATTATCCAAACCACAAACCTGTGAGTCATCCTTTTTCTCATCTCAACTAACCTGATGGCCACTGACTCTTATTGATTCTACATCATGAAGAGTTCCTAAATCCACCTTCCTGATGTCCTTGGCTACTCCCTCATTATCTTCCACTAGAATTATTGTATAACACTCCCCAACAAGCTTTTCTGTCTCCAATTTCTTCTTTTACTCTAACCTTGACACTGCAACCAGAGTGATATTCTAAAACTATAATTTTTTATGTTATTTGGCTTGCTTTTAAACTTAAAAACATACACATATACACACAACAACAACAGCTCCTATTTGCCTGTGGGATAAAATATAAACTCCTTAAAATGCCTGACAAGGTCCTTCACGAGTCGTCTACATGCGCCTCTCGGGCCTCATTCCCTACCAGCCTCTTCCCCTGAGTGCTGTTCTCCAGCCACTAAGAATTATCATCAGTTCCACAAACAAATTACTGCCTTTCATTCATCTCTGCCCTTTCTTGTGCTGTTCTTCCTCCTTGCAATATCGACACCTTCTGCCACCCTTCTCCACCTATTAAAATTCTACTGCCCTTCAAGGCAAAAGTAAAGGTCATCTCATCAGTGATTCCTCAGGATGATGGAGCTGTTCACCTGCAGTGTTTCCACAATATTTTATATGCCCATATCAGCCCACGAATGACACTGTTCTGTTGTTATTTACTCCTATGACTGTTTCCATTGCCGCTGTGAAACCTCTTTTAGGATGTGGTCTTTGGCTTGTCATGGTGTCTCCTGATGAGTGCAGGGCCTGGCACTCAGTAGGCATTCACTAACATGCATGTTTGCTGTGTAATAATAACTGTGAAATTATGCTTTGTTGTTGCTGAGTGTTTAAAACTCATGTTTCTGTTACGGATGCAAGACTGTTGAGATGTCATTTCTGAAAAATTACCTTGCTGAAATATGCATAAAATGAGATTGCTGCTAGTGGCAATTCTAGCCGAAGAGGAAATCCATCGGTACTAAATTTCGCTAAACATCTGACCGGCAGGTACCACTAGAACTGCTGCATGGGAACAAGGGTTTCATTTTATTTTTTACGAGTGAAAAGTTACTGCTTTCTGATTAAGAAGAAGAAGGGAAAATAAGCCACAGGAATTTTATCATCTGAGAAGCATTACTCTGTTCTCTGCCCTTTTTTTTCCTTTTTCTCCCTTGTGGAACAGATAGATGAGATGCTCTAGGGGAACTTGAACCTGTGGGAAATGATTCAGTGGCAGGTCTTGAACAAGGAAAATCACAAAAATTATTCTTTGACCGTAACACTCATGACCAATAATTACAAGATCTTTCGAAAATTTTGGTGATAAATTGTTGTGAAGTTTAATTCCAGAATCTTTCCTCTTTGCCTTTGTGTCATATGCCTCTCAAGTGATTGTTTCATTATTATTAGCTGAAGGGGAGCTGTTTTAAAATCTTGCAATTTAAGAAAAGGTTTAAACTTTAAGTAGAGTTTCTTTGTTTCCATGAAAAATGACACTTTGGAGTCCTCAAGTAGTTGATGTCAACCCTCATGTGACTTTGCTTATTTAGCTGCTACAATCTCAAAAACAAGCAATAAACAGAAACTACAACAATAATTCACTTTATTTTCATTAGAGACAGCTTCTTGTAGTAGTTGTGGAGCCAT
This sequence comes from Homo sapiens, assembly GCF_000001405.40. NCBI lineage: Eukaryota > Metazoa > Chordata > Mammalia > Primates > Hominidae > Homo > Homo sapiens. The sequence goes on from NC_000003.12 coordinate 144,041,516, forward strand.
AGTGCTAGACTTGAATTTTAGATCTGCAATTCAACTATCTGTATGACCTTGGACAAGCCATGTGACCTCTCCATGCCTCAGTTTCTCATCTGTAAAATAGGAATTATAAAGATAGATATTTCATAGGGAGTTGTGGATTAAATGAATTGTTATTTACTAATTGCTAAGAACAGTGTCCGGAACATAGTAAGTGCTGTGTTCATAAAATATATAAATATTCCTATAGGAGTAGACAGTGTATGTAAATGTCATCTGTTACGTGAACTTTTGTAGAAAAAAAAAGTTTGAGAAGTGTAGCCTTATTAGTTTTTAACTTTTTGAAGCACTATCATATATGTTTTCTTGTTTGATCTTATCACAATACTCTGAGGAAAGAGAATGAGAGTTAAAAGTGTTAAAATCAGAATGACTTGTGCAAGGTACTACAGATAATTATAGCACTGAGAGAAGTTACACTAGATCTCTTGGCTCTCCAAGGGCATATGCATTTTTAAAAAGTTATACTATATGATTAGAAATCAACCCATGGTAAGTTTAAAAATATTTTATTGTTAAAATGACAAACTTAGCCTGCTTATTTTTAAAATGCATACAAAGGTAGGTAAAGAAACATTTTTGTCCAACTTTATTGTGCAAAGTGCAAAGTCTGAGTCTGATTATTGATTAATTTTGGTCTAGTCTATAAGAATATTAATATTTAACATAGTGAAATAACCTTGTGCTATGACTAGAGCTGTTCAGCAATTGTTAGATTCTTTCAATAAATATCAAGAGCTTTTGGTTATTCACACTCTTTGTACCAGGGGTATGTTACAATGAAAGGAAGATCTATGCCAAATTCTACGAAGTGAACCATTACTTATTAACAAAGAGATACTATGGAACCTATTAGGTCTGAGGGAAATGCTCCACACTGTGTCTTCAAACACTTGTTCAATGGGATACTAGGTTTTATTTCCAGACTCTTCCATGGACAAAAGTATAGATTACATTTGGAATCTATTAGCTTTTGGAAACATGGCTGTCATTATTTATTTAAAATCTTCATGCAGGAGGAAAGAAAGAAGGAAGCATATATCAGAAGTAAGACACCTTAATTCTTAGGACTTCAGTTTCAAAGTGGTTCAAATAAATATTTTGAAAATGGGAATATTAACAATAAATTAGACCAAATATGATTTTTAAAAAAATTCAAATGTATATTCAAAACCCAGGGAAACATCATAAAGTAAATATAGATGTCAAAATAACTGTAGATATACTTTGAAAACAATTGGAGTTGTTATTATTTGGAAGAACAAAGAGTAATATGACTTTGAAGGGCTCATGAAGTGTGTTACATAGAGTAAAAGTTAAGGACTTTAAAAAATTTAATTGAGATTTTAAATTTTAGAACATATATTGCAAGTTTATTTTGATTATAGGGGGACTAATCTTATCATCATATTCTTTCCTCTTTGTATATGAAAACATACATATTTACACTGTTACATTATTTAGCCTTACCTCTGCCTTTTAATGTACTATCATTGTTCACTCTAAGAGACACTGGAGAAGATGTACATGATGAGAAGTGAGTAAGAAGGATCTTTTTGGTAGGCAGCAGCAAACTACAACTGCAAGTGAGGGCAAGATGGAATGAATCCTGTAGCCACTGTTAGCCCAATAGTTTTTCCAATTTACGCCAGCGTCCTGAAGTTATTTGTCCTGTGCCTCCATGCAGTTCTTCCAGGCTTACATGTTGTGGTGTATACTGTTGTACACTACACATATGCTCATTTTAAAAATGTGCTGAATCCCATTTGCAGTAATTATGCCAATTATTCTGTAACTTCAGGAGAGTGGTGAAACCTCTGGCCCTGAAATTGCATTATTTTTATAGCCGAATTCTTTTTATCAATTGTAGGAGTCTGCAGTTTCCACCTAAATCAATCTCCTCCTCACTCCTGAGAAATGTAGTCTGGGGATCTGACGAAGTCTTGCATTCTTCTCTATTCTTCAGCTCATACCATTCCTTTAAAATATTTATTATTTTAATTACCTTTTTTTATATTTTATGTGGCTTTGTCTGACTCCAGGTCATGCCTTATGGAATCTTGCTAATGATATTTCCCTTGAATCAGAAAACAACTTCTAATTGATATATTTACATTTACTTATTTGTATATTCATCATAATAAATGATTCAATAATATCATCTTGATTTAATACAAAACGAAATAGAAATACATTTTTTCTCTTCTTCCTTCTTAGGTTATTTTATGTTAGCTTTTTCTTTTCCATGCATAATTGTGGATTTATGGCTTTTCAGATTTGATGTATGGCAGTCAACGTCAGCCAATTTTGTCTTTTTGATGCTCAGTGATCACAACTTTGGCCAATGGAAGCCCCATTTAGATTGACTTTCTTGTAATTTTGACATGATCTCGTAAACTTTGAAAGCTTTCTAGTTTTTTGGCACAATAAGATCATCTTCATTCGTTTTATACCTTCTTGCCTCAAATACAGCATCAGTCATGTGTCTAAGAAGCCTGGAAAAAATTTATTGGAGGCCAGAACCTGGTATAAGGGTGCTTTGTGAGGGTGGCATTATTTCTGGGATATTCAGTCTACAAAGCTAAAAAACAAGTTTTTTCTTTGTTTTATTTTGTTAAGATTCTCTGTAAAGACATGAGATAATCTTGCTTCATAGGCATATTTCTTATGGGAAATTTCTAATCTCAATCTATCAGTTCAAATTTTAATTCTTGATTTTAAAATACTACCTTCTTTATTTTCTCCTATATGATATATAGTATATGATATATCTTATGGGGCTCTAGGTTCCCAACAAAGTCAATATAAATAGTTATTTACTTCACTAAATGTGTAATAATAATTATTAATATTTGCTAGTAACACCATAGTGCCAAGATAAAAATACGACATTAATAAAAACAATAAAACTACTAGAATGAAGTCCAAACATTTCTAAGTATTTCCTTTTGTTTATAAACTGCATTACTGTAAGGACTTGCAACCAGATTACTTTGTTCTAGAAGGTATATAGTCTTTGTGTGGCTACATAATTACTTAGTGATGGATAGTTTGGTTTAGTTATTTTCATTAGCTTTCAATTTGAGGGCTTTGGCATTCTTACAGCTAATTATATAAATTCTAAGAGTAGAAGCTGTTAGCTACTAGTCTTTTCTTGGTGGCTATCGTCAACTACTAGGAGAGAGAAGAAATTGCTCTGCCATATGATAAAATAAAATGCAAATAGTTTGGTCTTCAAAATTTTGTACATTATAGTAATACCAGTATCTTTAATAAAAACATAATCATGACTGCATATACATTATATCTTAATATATAAGTATTACTGACTTTTTAGTAATATCAGTATCTGTGTATTTTATACATTCAATTAAATAGATTTTAAACTCTGCCAAATAATATCTGTATCTTCCAAGCTTTTAAATTTATTTTCTTTCCTTTTCTGAGCTAAATTAAAAGAAAATTTTCTAATGTATATCCCCTCAAGAGCTCAACAACTCATGACTTAAATTGATATACCAAGTTTACAGTATAGAAATCCAGATCTCACAATTAAGATCATATTAATTCAGTACAAGTCAATCTTTAATTTTGCACCTGGGATCTCAAGGCAATACCTCATATATTACAATTCATGTAATTATCAAAGAACAAAAGATGGATATATAGGTACTTAGATTTGCCTAGAATTATGGGTCAAAAACAAACCTACTGCATATATATAATTGATATCTTTAGTTTAATGAAAGGTCTAATGTACAATGCCATTTTTTCAGAAGCTTTTTGATAAACACAAGTAGATACCTTATTACCTTAGGACTAATGAATTCACATTCTAAAATCTAAGAATATTATAAAACATATCAAAGGCATATCAAAATAGAATGCAATTGGTTTAAAAATAACTAGAAAATGTGGAAGATTTTATACTCGAGAAATTCAGGTGGAAACATTTCTATGGATTAATGTAATTTTTAGAATATCTGGGACCTGTTAGAATGATATTTGTAAAGGACACCCACGTTTACAATTATAACACATTTCAATTGCAATTAATTTCAAAGGAAAGGAAATATCATCTTTTACATGATATTGACACAAAGCATTAATTGGCTCTTTAGTTTTGGTACAGAACTTCAAATTCTTGTCTGGAAACAAATATGCTGTGCCTGAGATTTCCAATTTCATATCCTGTACTAATTACATTTGTAACTATAGAGTATAATGTAAAATTATATTCTTTAAAATTAATGTAAACCAATAGAAATTTTATTCTTACTATACAATATTTTTAAATCATTGTTTGAAATTTAATGTCAAAATATAATACTCAAATTGTTAACATAATTCTTGCATAAATATGTAGTGAGTCAAAGATTTATTTAACTCATCAGTGAGGGAGCCACCAGGATGACAAAGCTGGGGTCAAAGGAAGTTTCAGAAAAGAATGCTGAAATAAGAGCACGAAATTAGGTGAAAAACAGGAAAACAAAGTCTTAACCTTTAGGTTTATATTTTCTGCAGAGCAGAAATTATTTACATCCCTACCAAACAAAAATCATTTGCAACTTATCAATTGTCTACAAGTTAATAACTAGCTTTACAAAGTCTGGACTTCAATCAATAGTAAATAGTCAACAAAGGTACATTCCTCAAATCAGCTGACTTTTTAATTTTTATTTCATTTTAATTTAATTGAATTAATTTTTTGAGACAAGGTCTCACTCTGTTGCCCACGCTAGAGTACAGTGGCTGATTACGGCTCACCACAGCCTTGACCTCCCGGGCTGAAGTGATCCTCCCACCTCAGGGTCCAGAGTAGCTGGTACTACAGGCATGTACCACGATGCCCAGCTAATTTAATTTTTTTTTCTAGAGATGAAATTTTGCCATGTTGCTCACACTGGCCTTGAACTCCTGGACTCAAATGATCCACCCACCTCGGCCTCTCAAAGTGCTGGTATAACAGGTGTGAGCCACTGTGCCAGACCCGATGACTTTTTAGACTGTGTTCCAGTATGACAACGAAAGAACACACAGCCATCCTTTTTCTTTATTTCTATTTCTATGTATTGGATAATTTTTCTTTTCTTTTTTTTTGTTGACAGAGTCTCACTCTGTCGCCCAGGCTGGAGTGCATTGGCGTGATCTCGGCTCACTGCAACCTCCGTCTCCCGGGTTCAAGTGATTCTCCTGCCTCAGCCTCTCGAGTAGCTGGGATTACAGGCACCCAACACCACACCCGGCTAATTTTTGTATTTTTAGTAGAGATGAGGTTTCACCATGTTGGCTAGGCTGGTCTTGAACTCCTGACCTCAGGTGATCCACCTACCTCGGCCTCCCAAAGTGTTGGGATTACGGGCGTGAGCCATCATGCCCGGCTTGATAAATTTTTTTCTAACAAAGGCGTTTAACTAAAACAAGACACAAACCCCCTCCTAATTGCAATGAATGTTTTGGAAATAAAATAAGATAAAATTGAATATTTTATTAAAGAAGAAAGAGGTAATTAGGTTGCCTCCTTTCCCAGTTTTCTAGAACTGAAGTTTTTGCTGTTTGTAGATGTTAAACTGACACTATTTCTTCCTCCCTCCTCCTTTTTACTCAATTTCAGAGCCTGACTTCAGGCTCTAATCTATAATCCATCCCTTAACTGTAGCTGGGCTTTATCAGACCAAAGATAGTAACTGTTTTTTTAAATTTATTTATTTATTTTTTTGAGCTTAAGACTCTGCTAGGAAACAAATGAGAATTATTTTATATATGTTTTAGTTTCATACACAGACTTTCAGTGTCTTTGTGGTTAAAAAAATCAACTGTTAAACAAAATATTCTATAAGATTCAACACATTTAATACTTTTTAACTATATACATTTTTAAAATAGAAATTTTGTAAGGTAATGAATTTGGAGTGCCACTTTCCAGACAATTCATAAAAGTCTTAAGAAATTCTCAACATCATCTGTAATTCAACAGGTTTATAATATGTTTATAATTGTTCAAGTAGGTTCTTTATTTTATTTTTTAGGATAATACAGTCTTTCTTCAATATAAAAGAGATGTTACCTTACAACTGAAAGCAGTGCCGCTCACAACTATACCTGTTTGGATTTATTTAAGCATTTGCTCACTGTTTTCTACTATACTAATCATTTTTTCTATTCCACTGTCCTTTGTAATTTAGGCTTACTTGAGGAGAGAGTTTATTTTGATTTACTTCCAATTATTTAAAAGTGAAGGAATGGACAGCAGATCATTTTAATTTCTGAAAAACAGACTTTTCCTGGGGATCAGTCTTTGTTCCATTTACTATAAGTGAGGTTGCCAGTCTTGGCTATTATTTCTAAGGGAGTGACCCCCTTAGGGTTTAGAAACTTCAATAATTATGTTTTGAATATTTGAATATTTAATCTTATATTGAAGTGATTTCACAGAACCTTTCTTGGCATCCCTGAGGAGGGAAATCTGGAAGCTTGTAGGGACTCACCGCAAGTGTGGTTATAAGTCTAGAAACAAAGCACAAAGGTTACTGAGGTAGCTGGGCAGTGATTTATTAATGCCAGGTTTCACAGGAGTCCATGTTCCCTAACATAGTCTGGTGAAGGGACCTGAGTCTCCTCCAAGATACGAGGATTAGGACTTTTGCCCCTGGGGGCTTTTTAGATACCTTTGCAAGTTTGTCTCTAAATTCTCTCTTTTTCTTTGTCTATCTATTTCTGTCTCTGTTTCTCTGTCTCACTCTATACTTAGTGAGGCTTGCAGCCTCTCCCTGTCATTTGAGTGGGAGTCAATTACGAGTTAGCTTTCTTTTGTATACATTTTCCCATAGATACCAGGTTCCATTTGGCCATAATGGAATTTTTCTATTAAGAAAAAAAACTTCTCTTAGCTGATTCAGGTTGTGATGTTTCTAAAAGCCATCAAGAGAATACCTTGGCTCATCCCTGGTACACCAAATTAATGCCGAATGGGGTCCATTTGATTGAAAGTAACTGCACACGGCAAGAACACTCTATCTTCTTGATTGTTGGACATGGGAACATCTGTAAAAGGTGAATCTTGAGTAAGGATAAAAATAGGCTGCTTAGAAAAAAATTATTTATGAAACTTCACAGAAATTATGACAAGTGGTGGAGACAGATAACAGAGAAGAAGCAAGTCAGAAGAACAAGCAAACACAGAGGTTGGCCTTGGTATGATTCTACCTAAAATGATGAAAGCATGTGAACTGAAAACTGTTCAGGGGAGACTTTCTGGAAGGTAAGACATTATGCGTTTTTCCACCTGTAGATGGTCTATGTCTTGTAGCCTACCTCTTGTTTTTCAGGACCAGCTCTGTTTCAGGTTATGCCAAGACTACACCAATGTGTGGTGGGCAAAGATGAAGCATGGCATTTGTCACTTTGGGGGAGGAAGTGATGGGACTGACCACCACCAGCCAGAGTCCAGTGACTATGACAAAATTGTTTTTAACACACAACCTTGAAATTAATGGAAATGTTCATTTCACAAATTTAGGAGACCACAGTGAAAAAGTCAAATACGCATTTGAAAGGAGACTTAAATAAACATTTGAAAAACAAGGGCATCACAGCAAACATTTGAAATATAAGGACGTCAAATATTCCTTTAGAAGAACAAAGGAGAGTATGACATTGAAGGAGTCATTTCATGAAGTTTATTCAAGGCAGTAAACACCTGACGGTTATTTTTGTTGTTGGAATGTTTAACTGTTAGAATACAGGACATAATTAAGTTCTGTGGGTTAAGGAGAGCTTCTTTCATTATCAGCAAATTGAGTGACCTCTCTAAGACTCGATTTTTTCACGTGTAATATATAGTTCTGAGTTTCTAATAGAATCGAGAGAGACTGCATTAGCTTCTATGTGTATGAAGCTTACTTAGCACAGTGCCTGACACACAATAAAGATCAGTAAATGACTATTTAAAGGTTCCCTCTGATGTGGACACAAACGGTGTTCTGCACCCTGGTGAACCAGCCTACACTCTAGTGCGGTCAGAGGACAGGGTTGTCTGGGAAGTGGGGAGGACTCAGAGTCCAGTGGAGCAGTAGGCTTAGAGTGTTTGGCTTGCTGAATTTTTACTACCTAGTTCATTCAAGGGTGGCGGAGTCTGTAAAATAATTTTAGTCCAGGTCAACCATCATTGAGCAACATTTTTTCACCAATGAAAGTTATTTTCTAAACCTCTCCTATGTTGATTAGCAAATATTCTGGTGCAGATGTCAAGAATGGCATTTGAAGTGCTTATTAGGTATCTCTGAAGTGTAGATTTCTGATTGGGTCTTTCAACCACTAATAAGCCACCACTGAAATAAAAATTTAAATGAATTTACATTTACATATCATACTGTTTATATTTAAAGTAAATTACCACACAAATAATTTAACCTCTTAGTACATATTGAGTGAAGTTTAGGCTCAAAATAAATTCTGATCCCGGGATTACTTGAGACATTCCTCTGTCACACCAGACTCTTTATAACATTCTAGTATTATAAAATATTATACAGGGCCTGTATAATATTTTTATCATTTTTTCTCTTTACCAAGATTGATTGGAAAAGCTGCATTGATTTAACTTAGGCATCAGGGTGGTATTCATAAAGTAAAATATTATTACGGAATATAGTTTCTGTGATAGGAAATCAATCATGTGAGCCCTACAAAGAATTTTAAATCTCATTATATCAAAGTTACAATTTTTCATATTTGTGCAGAGAACTCTCTTAAAGGAGACTGCTAAGGACAGATTGAAGAAAATAGTGGCTTGATGCATATTATTTTTCTTGAGAAAGGAGAATTTGAGACTTAAGAATGCAGTTTTGAAAATATACAAGCATAAATTCACAGAATCTGCCTTCCTCACTTAAAACACTTTATGAAGGTGAAACATAAATAATGAAAACTTTTAAAGAAATTGAAGTGAAAAAATAATGATGCAAAAGTAGAGAATCTTAAACCTAAGAAAATTTTGTTTAATGTTATTTTAAAACAATTTTAGATTTACAGAAAAATTACAAAGTTAGAAGAGTTCTAATATACCCACACTCAGTTTAGCCCATTATTATCTTATACTATCATGATATATTTTTATGATAATAAACCAATTTTAATATGTTATTGTAATAAAAGTCCATACTTGATTCAGAATTGGTTTTAGCCGAGTGTCCTTTTTCTGTTCCAGGAAACCACATTACATTTAGTTGTCATGTTTCTCTAGGCTTGCTTCTCTTGGATGTGACTGTCTCATGATTTTCCTTGCTATGGATGACCTTGATAATTTTGAGGAATACAGGTCAGATTTTTTGTAGAGCGCTCCTTAATTGGAATTTGTTTGATGTTTTTCTCACGACTAGATTTGGGGTTATGTGTTTTTGAAAGGAAGAGTACAGAGATAAATTGCCTTTTTCATTACAGCATATCAAGGACACATGCTATTAACATGTCATCACTGTTGATGTTGACCTTGATCACCTGGCTGAGGTAGTAGTGTTTTTCAGGTTTCTCTACTTTTTCCCGCCAATTTTCCATACTGTACTCTTTGGAATAAAATCATTATACGCAGCCTACACATTTAAGAAATGGGGAGGAATTCTTAAACTTTAAAAACTGTAAAAGTAATGCAGAAAACCAGGAAAATGTGCACACAGAAAAAAAATGCCTGTATATACCATTTAGTAACTTACTTTTTTTCACCTATGAATATATTGTAAAACTATTTTCATGCCAATAAATATGTTTCTACAACACAATGGCAACAGCTGCAGATATTCCATGCTGCTTGCTAATGTACTACCACACATTCAGCTGTCCATTGTTGACCATATTAATACAGAATCTCAGAACACTAAAGCCCAAGGACACAGGTGTGCAGTCTTCACAACCAAAGGCTTAGTGCAGAAGAACTTGGGAGAAGGTTGTTTGTTATCATTGCTTTTTTTGAGTCTCTATTGTGCTATGATGCAGGGAAGGTCATTATTTCCTAATCATATTCTCTACTTTTATGGGAAAAAATACAAGACAGCAAGGTGATATTTAACTTAGTATCTTTCAAGATGTCTCAGAGATGCAGGACAGACATAGGCTAATTTCCAATATTGTCAGAAAAATTATTTGAAACTGGGAAATAGGTCAAAGAAATTGCAGGGTGTTCTTTCAGTGCCGTGCTGGGCTTCTACTGACTGGGACATGTACAATAGGACAAAAGTAAACTTGCAGATTTTTGTCAAGTAGAGACGCAAATAATGTCTGCCCAGTGGAACAGATAACCTTAGTTTATGCCCCTGTTGGGCCTTAGCCAGTTTAAATCTAACCCAGTAATCTTATTCTAACATTTCTTTGTTAAATTGCCTACCTTTTCAAATGCTCTTTGGGCCAGTTTTGGCATTTACCACTTTTCTCATTAAATCATGAGTTAATAAAATCTTTAACATGCATTCATTCTATATTTGCTTGAGAGCCATAATTTGGCTTTTGGAAAATTATATTTTAACAATAGTATATAATGAAAGTTGTTTATACTTGTATTTCAGCACAACTTTAAGATCCTGAAATGTACTTTGCTTATGATGTTTTAGCAGAATATTATTTGCTCTTAATAGAATTTTCTGTATAATCTAATAACACAGTATTATATTGCAATTTCTAGTTTAATGAATGCTTATTAATTGAAAAAACTGTTAACCTGATTATATAAGAATTTTTTCATTCCCTGTATATTTATGAAAATATTAGTTTAGTGTAATTACAAAATGGAATAGGAATAAACCTCAAATATTGAAGTTTTAAAGTAAATCTTGACATCATTGTTGGACCTGATTTCTATACTGAGGTTTGGCTTTACTCAGGGCTTAAGAAACTGTGGCCTGTGAGTCAAATCTGGCCTGTCATCTGTTTTAGTTAATAAAGTTTTATTAGCTCACAGCCATGTTCATTTTTTAAATGTATTGTCTGTGGTTGCTTTTCTGCTACAAATGCAGAGTTGAACAGTTATGGCCATTGAGTAGTTATGGCCAGTTTAGTAGAAGCCATATGGCCCACAAGGCCTAAAATATTTACTATCTGCCTTCTAACAGAAAAAAGTGTGTTGACTTTGGCTTTACCTGTAAAAGGGTATGGCTTTTTGTATAATGGGGTAATATTCTACTTTACTAACAAATAGAAAACATTGGCCGAGAGTGGTGGCTCACGCCTGTAATCCCAGCACTTTGGGAGGCCGAGGCAGGTGGGTCACTTGAGGCCAGGAGTTCAAGACCAGCCTGGTCAACATGGCAAAACCCCGTCTCTACTAAAAATACAAAAATTAGCTGGGCATGGTGGTGCGTGCCTGTAGTCCCAGCTACTCGGGAGGCTGAGGCAGGAGAAGTGCTTGAACCCGGAAGGTGGAGGTTGCAGTGAGCCAAGATCACGCCACTGTACTCCAGCCTGGTGACAGAGCAAGACTCTGCCTAAAAAAAAAAAAAAATAAGTAAGAGAACACATTAAGCAGAAAAATACCCTATAATAATAATAATAGCTATTTTTGTTTTTTGTAACAGAAATAGTTTTAAAAACTTAACCTACCTTTAATATTTTACTGATCAACATATTTATATTTATTAAATAAATAAACTGAACTTTTCATTCATCAGCTACTCTAATGTAAATAAGCTTTCTAAAATATTTGTATTATAATGTTGACAACTGGTTCTGAGTCATAAGATATTTTAATAGTTCAGTCTGGCAACTAATTGCTTGCCTTGGGCATTATAATGGCTCTTGCTGAGTGAGGAGTAAAGAATGCTTCTATCATTTTATTCTCAGCCCACTTTCTGGTGAAGTGATGTAAGGTAATAAATATTTGGTAATATTTTTAAAGCTGCATATTGGTAAGTGTCTTTTGGAACAGAAAAGACCAGATTTCGTGTTAGTGCAAAAATAGAAGAGAAATGTAAGTTTTCAAATATTGCATAAAAACATTATTTTCTTGAGTTGGCCATTTTCAGAAGGGAAAACCTTGGGCATTATGTTATTTAAGGAAGGAAATTTTTGAAAATGCCACGTCTTTAAAATCCAGCTAATACTGACGGGAGCTTGATTAGTTTCCAAACTCACTAAGCCAACCTCTGTCTACAATTCTTTCTTCTAATTTTTTAAACATTCATAAGTGATTCTGTTGGCTCTTGTCCTTTAATCTATTGAAATGCTCCCATTCTCTGTTCTGGGCTGTGTGCCTTCTCAACAGATGCTCACCAAGAGTTTCTTTGGGGCCAAAGGGTTCAGTGGCATTTATAGATAAAGTAAACAAAAGGATAATAAGGAAATGATCTTGCCATACTCATCTTTCTGTCTGACCATAACCCTGAACATGACAAAAACCTAACACACACTTATTGAGGATGATGGAGGACACCTGCAAGGCAACTCATGCTCAGGAGAGGTGGCTCCATGACTCCAGGATTATGTTTCCTAGCTGCTGATCAATCTCTGAGTGCAGGCTTCCAGGGCTCTCCACCCAGAGCTGTCTCTCCAGCTTCCAAGGTCACCAATAGAATTCGAACTTGCATTAGCTTCTCTATTCTTCCTTTTTTCACACCTCACAGAGGATGCTGGTGGGAGACCATGACGCCATCCTGGGATTCCAGCTCTAAATCTGTGATTTAGGGAGTTAGTTGGGTATATATAACTTGCAGCACATGCTTGCTGTGTGATGTTCCATAACTAATCATTTCCAGCCTGATCCTTTCAAGTCAGAGGCTTGGAGTTGTCTGGGGATCATCTTGATAACTCAAAGTTTCATAGGTGACTAGGGTTTTGTGAGACTGAATATGCCAGCTTTTAAGACTGGTCAGTTTTAGGCCGGTGCGGTGGCTCATGCCTGTAATTCCAGCACTTTGGGAGGCCGAGGCAGGCAGATCACTTGAGATCAGGAGTTCGAGACCAGCCTGGCCAACATGGTGAAATCCTGTCTCTAATAAAAACACAAAAATTAGTTGGGCATGGTGGCAGGTGCCTGTAATTCCAGCTACTAAGGAGGCTGAGGCACGAGAATCTCTTGAACCCAGGAGGCGGAGGTTGCAGTGAGCTGAGATCACACCAGTGCACTCTAGCCTGGGCAACAGAGTGAGACTCTGTCAGAAAAAAAAAAAAAAAAAAAAAGGACTGGTCAGCTTTTGACTCACAACTCAGTTACAGGAGCACCTTCACTTTGCTCTATCTTGCCCATTATGTGCTGTTTAATATGGAGGTTTCAAATTCAAAAATTTAAGCCTGAGATTTTTAATCTCTATTTTTTCTTGTACTGATGGAAAAGGAAATGATGAGTTCTAAAACATGAAATGCTAGGAAGCACTTCATGTGCCTTTAGATGTTCAGGAGTGGAGACACTGGGTCTGTGGTTGTCAATACATTGCTCTGCTAACCCTGGGATGTGGCTGAGTTCATTCAGTTAGTGTTGCAAAATCAGAGCCTATTTTTGTTTTGCCTAATTGGGAAAATAAGGCAATCAATGCTTTTCTAAGTAAACTAAGTTAAAAAAATCATTAAGATAATTAAGGTAATCTTTGTTTAAAGAAGAAAAGTTTGGAGCTATAATCAGAATCCTGCTAGTGGGTTAAGAAGAAAATTCTAGACAAATATTCTCCTTTTCTCTGATTCCCATTCTGGTAACTATCTTATTTTTCATTGCCTAATGATATGGATCACTTTTTTTTTTTTTAAACCAAACCTGTTCTTTCTGTTTCTACTGAAGTTCAACCTCTGAAAGAGATTAGGTACCCTTATTCAGCTTATCAAGCATGAAACCTTCAGCTGTGCTTCCTCACATTTCCCTGGAACAAATGCATCCATATTTGGGGGCTGGCGGTTCATCCAGGTTGGTACAGCAACAGTTGATCAGGCAATCTCTGAAAATGTCAACTTCAGAATCTCTTCTCATTCTCATCCATGGACATGTATGTTAATGGAGGTTAAAATAATGACCATAAAGAGAATCCTAATGTTAGTTGTACATGATACTTGAACTTGACAATAACAAAACCTAAATGACACAAGAAGCAAAAATGGAATGACAGGTAATTTTCTAAAGTCAATGATATAGGCCAGCCCTAAATTGAAGGTTATTCTGATAAGGGGAGCTTGGCAGGCTTGCAGACACTGTGTTTAACTTTTGTTTCTGTCAGAGAACTCTCTGAAAGATGCCAGGTTTAGTGGAATTTAGATAAAGACATTCTCATTTCAGCTGAAAGTTGGACATTCCTTTGTGTCTGATTCATACCTGTAATATTGTCAAGTCTGATAGAATTTCAGAAGCACTTCAACATTTTTAACAGTCCCGGTTTCTGAGTAAGCTGTCACAGCATCTCAACTTGGGGGTTAGGAGAAAATGAGGAGAATCATAGTCACTGAAGGGAGGTAAACTTGAGAGGTGCCAAATAATGGAAATTTCTAGTATAATAACATTCAAGAGCAAAAGTGAATCAGCAGACACAAGTAAATTAGGGAGCTTTAATGTGTAAGGATTTAAAGAGCCCAGAGAAAGCCCCCACCCTTGTTTCAGAATTGTTCTCTCACTGCCTTTAAATCAGTTAGAGATTCATAAAATAAAGCATGGCTCAAAAAGCAGTTATTAATGCTTCATGTGAATCAGTGGACTAGCTTTCTTCTGCAGTGTTGCAGCCTACATGGCATCCTATATGTGTAGGTTCCTATATACATCCAAAAGATAAATAGATAATGAGGTACTAAGGTAGACTGTACATGAGAAGGAGGTTTGAGCAGGTTACTGCAGTGGGTAGAATAGGAGTAGTAATTGGGTGGGTGCTTTGGAGAAAAGGAAAACTGAAAAAGTTTCAAGGGGAAGAGTTTAAAATGCACATGATCTGGATCCTAAATATTTAAAGAGTGGTCTTTCTGGGCCAGCAATATCAGTAGTACCTGGGAGCATGTTAGAAATGTAAGACTCGGACCCGCTGAATCAGAATGGGCATTTCACAGTATCCCCATGTAATTCATATGCACTCTAAAGTTGAGAAGCACCGGTCTTGTGTGCTTCTTTTGCCAAGGGCCTGTTCAAGCAAAATAAGGTTCTCTGATCTCTCAAGGTCACTGATAGATGCTCAGGATGCCCTCTTGAACACGCAGATTCATGGCCCAAATGGAAAATCGGATTCACTTTTCAGCAACTTCATTTCTCTTAGCAACTATTTTAGCAGAGAGAAAGGAAATTAAATCTTGTCTATTGCTATGGATAAGGGTGTCTTTGAACTGCTAAAAAGAAGCATACTTGTTAGGAACCAAATCATGTCCTGTGTGAGAGTTAAATAATGGTTATGGAGAGGCAGGAATTTGCAATACTAGGAAATTTAGAGGTAGAATTCACAGCTGAAGTCTTTATCATTATAAAGCCTTACGAAGGTTATTGACTACACTAGGACAATTTTGATCGTTTTTAGGTTTTAGATGAGATTAGGAGAATTTTGTATCAGGAATAATTTTTTAAATATGAAGGAGAAACTAGTTTTAAAAGATCATTTTCAATACCAAGACACAGAATTAGAGCCAGCTTAAGTGCAATATGAAAAGTAAACTTTGTAAACAGTTTTGGGATGACAGATTCTGATGAGAGAAGTCAGACTATTCTTGATAGGGCTGCAGGAGAGCCAGATAAGAAGACAAAGCAGATGTTTATTGCGAATAGATGAAGAAGAGAGAGTAGCCAATAAGCATTAAGAAAATGCCTGCATCAGTCAGATTCATGTCAGAGTTTTGGAGCTGATATTTTCTTTTTCTTTTCTTTTTTTTTTTTTTTTTTTTTTTTTGAGACAGAGTCTCTCTCTGTTACCCTGGCTGGAGTACAGTGGCGCAATCTTGGCTCACTGCAGCCTCTGCCTCCCAGGTTCAAGTAATTCTCCTGCCTCAGCTTCCCGAGTAGCTGGGACTACAGGCATGCGCCACCATCCCTGGCTAATTTTTATGTATTTAGTAGAGATGGGGTTTCATCATGTTGGCCAGGCTGGTGTTGAACTCCTGACCTCGTGATCCACCCACCTCGGCCTCCCAAAATGCCGGGATTACAGGCGTGAGCCACTGCGCCGGGCTGGGAGCTGATATTTTCTATCAGGTTCCCTGCTAGATGTTAGTGATAATAATATGACCTTGTCCTGCTCTCCAGTTATTCAAGTGAAGACAATTAACCATAGTACAAGCCAGCCTGTGGTAAGTACCATAATGAAGAAGCATGCTTTTTTATTTTTAACATCCTGAACCTCCCAAGAAAATTTTGCTCTTTATCAAAGGAAACAAAAGAGTGAAAATGGACAAGGAGAATAGAGGTAGTTGAGGAGTGGAGGTGGGGGCTGTTTTGGCCTTGTGGTACTTGAGATATGTAATTTGGAAACTGGCAATGCACCTGTCAGTATTTGGCCCTCTTTTGAGGCCTACAAGAACTCTCTGGTTTGCTACCCAATGCCTATAAACAATTTAGCTTGCAAAAAACACCAGCTCTACTATTAAAATTCCTCTTTAGCTTTGAATCCTTGTTGTGTCTTGGTTGCCAACACTTGGTGGTGGTTTAGTGATATGATTCTTAAATGTTTAAATGTGGTGCATACTGTTCAATTTTAACATGATTGATGAAAATAAAAGTTAACAACTCTCCCCCTGTACAGTACTTAGTTGATTAATTGATTGAGCCCTATTAAACTAAATTACCAATAGAAGTAGGTGTTTGAGAGCTGGAGTGGCCTCTGGCAACTTTAAGAAATAAACAAACTTTGCAGCCTCATCCCTATTACTTGGGATGCTTAAGAAGCCTCTGAGTCCTCAAAGCCTCCCGAGTTCAGGTATTAGCATGAAAAATCCCTGATTATTGCTTCCTTTACATCTAGACTTTCTCATGCTATAATCCACTGTAGTTTTCTCAATCTGGCTCTCTCCATCTCCTTCTAATAACCTAGTGTTTGTGTTTCATTTGTTAGTTTCAGATTAATTATTTTCTGATTTTATAAACTAAGATACTATGATAACTGCTATTATTGTTTTTTTCTTCCCCATAGCATAATTAAGTTTAAATAGCATCGTTTTAGGAGCATCTATGGTGGGAATTTCAGGCACACATAGAGGCCTTCAGCAAGTTACTTTATATGTAGGGATTTCTTATTTCAGAATTAGCAAAACTGTGGCTGGATAGGGGCCGCAAGCAGTTTTTGTTTGTTTTAACTCTGTTTATTTAAACCATTAGGTGCTAATATGTAAATCTGAAAATTACCCCTTAAAATCCAAATTTTCGGTTTCTCTTGATGAGTTAGAAGCTCTGATTTCACTTGGTCCACATTCTCTCGCAGAATGAGTTGACTGGTGCTATGTGGCAGCTACCTTTTTCGGATGGGTCATGTCCTCGTACTGTGTAGTGCAGTGGTGTTTTTCTCATATTCTTAACTTTCCTGACACTGGTGGGTATTTGCATTTGGAAATTCTGGTCTAGTCACTCTGCGTTTGGGCTTTGCCCAGATTTGGGGAGCAAGAAAAACCAAAGTGCAAATTAAATATTTTTGCCTTTTTTGATGTCAAATGACAATTTTAAATATCTATCAGCTCTTCAATAATAATTTTAAAAAAGTCTCTTGGATTTCATAAGTTGGCAAAGTTTTTGAAAGTCACACATAAGTCCTTGCATTACAATGGCTAAAATTAACCATGATACAGAAACTAAGTGAGTTGTCTGCTGAGAATTATCATTACTTTGTAGATATATTTTAGAGGCCTATTGGAAACTAAATCCATCGTAATAAAAGAAGATGCTGAGTAAATTATCTTTAAAAAGCTTCTGCTAACAATCCACTCTAATAAAAACTTCTGGAAATCTAGAAGTTGGAAGTGGCATTTAGCCATATTAAAATCTGTCAAAATGAAATGCATATATTCACTTTCTCTTGAAAATGAGGCAGAAAGTCACATATAACTAAAAAATGATAGGCTTTGAAAAAATTAATGGAATCAGTAGGATTAGTAAGCAAGATATTGTAACATGTTACAAACTTAGCTGTGCTAATTTATGCTTTCCATTAGAGGTGTAAATATACTTGTGTGTCATTTCATAAAGATGAGTTTCCTTCTTAGCCTTGATGATTAAGGTGATTACAAAACAAACAAACTTACAACTGTGAATTGCTTCAAGTTCTTGTTTTGTTGTGGAATTGCTTTTGAAGCAACTAAAGCAGATTAAAAAAAAGTATTGTGATAACTAGTGCTAGAGAAAGTTTGAGGGTATATGACTGGATGTAGAAGAGAAAACTGCTTTTGAATATGCTCAGAATGTGTGGCGTTTGTTAATCTTCACTGATAATTATAATTCTTAATCCCAGAAACAAAATATTGATTTCTCATTTTAACACATCTTCGTATGCCTGCAATAACTTTTGGCACCAGGGTTTCAATGTTTCTTCAATCCAGGCAGGCATTTTTTGAGGAGTGTCTGTGTGTGTACTGGGGGTAGTGATAGGGGCGGTGTTGGGGAATGGTGGTAGTTCATTGAAGATTTGTATTTTCTATAACTGTTTTATTATTCTGTGCTTTTTTTTTGGCAAGTAGACATTGTATTTCATGATAAACTTCCCAATCATGGTTCTGAAGCATAGCAACACTGTTAGAGCACTTTTGTATTTTTTGTTTGTTTGTTTGTTTAAGGCGGAGTGGCTTGTCCTAGGCTAGAAACTCAATGACCCATTCGAAATCTACTCTATTGCTCTTTTGTTTTTTAGCTGGAAGCTATTAGCTGGGTCTATAAGCCTTCTTCTTGAAGTGTTATTTTTGATAGACAATGGATTTGAACATTGGGTTTTGAATCCAGGAGTCTAGGTCAATTTTTGTTCTTTTCTTTCTGAGGTTGTTTATTAGTTTCATTTAGACCACTTTAGAAAGAAAGAAACACAGAAATTTAACTTTTGAGAGTGAGTTTTGCTGGTTTTTTTTTTTTCATCCAGCTAGCTGTTTCAGCAGCAAATTAGCTAAAGAAATGGAGATGCAGGTGTCTTGACTTTAGAAGAAGAGAGGCTGTCCAATCACCCTTTAACCCTGTAATTCTTGCTAAGGGATTCAGAAACAATGGAGAGAGGCAGGCTTTCCTGAGCCTAGAATTCAGTACTTGTAAGAAGCCTTGGTGATCATTTATTTTCCAGTATTCCTCCCAAATTGTCACATGGGTTAGTCATTCTCCCCTATCTCTTCCTCATAACTTAAGTTTATTTTATGTAAAAGCTTTTGGATTAATATTTTCCATATTTTTTATTAAAAATATCTTGGACTCATCAAATACATAATTTGAAACTTATATTTGAATTGTGAACATGGATTTTAGTGTCAGTAAAAACTCTAGGGAACTCAGAGGTGCATGGGTAGCCTATTATTAAAATATACATCAGGAGGCTGAGGTGAGAGGATTGCTTGAGCACAGGCATTCCAGGCTGCAGTGAGCTATGATCGCACAGATGCTCTCCAGCCTGGGCGACAGGGCAAGATCCTGTCTAGAGACGAGACGAGACGGGACGGGACGGGACGGGACGGGACGAGACGTATTTAATGTATAGTTTCTTCTTTATTAGGGCAATAATACACAGTCATAGTAGAAATATTGAGAAAAGTTTAAAAAAACTTAAGTAAATAGAAATTATTCATAAGTTTACACAGGAATAAATATAGTTTCCTCAAGTATATTGTGTGTGCTATATTTGTATTTTTTTCAAAATTTGAAGTCACTATGTTTTTATATCCTGCTTTTTAAAAATTAAACTTTTTTTCATGAAACATTTCCTGTCTACTTATACATTCTCAAAAAACATTTTGATTGGCTGAATAGCATTTTACTTAAGAAGAAACACAAATTAGCCACCCAGTTTTGAATCATTTAGATTGTTTCCATTGTTTTCCTATTACAAATAATTCTGTGCCATCCTTTTTCCTTAATGTTTTCTGTGCCTTTCTCATTATTTTCTTGGAATAAATTTCTAGAAGTTGAGTGACTAAAACTGTTTTTACTCACATACCAATGACTTCCAGCTTGGAAAATTCCAAGGACATTTTCATTCTTATATTCTCCGACTTCTTAGATGCGTTAGACTTCAACAATGTTTTTAAATCCACAATTCGGCAATTTCAACAGCAACATCCTTTTTTCCCCTCTATTCTCTGTTACCAGCCTATCTTATATATGACCATGGCTTAAAATATAAACTTGATTGACGTTCACTAATTTCTGTTTCCCACACAGATTTCTTTTCTGACCTGTTTTCTGACATCTTCAGTTTGGATGTCTTACAGGCATATCACACCCAATGTCTTCAGATCCAATCTTCTTCCTTGTTCCCTTCCAGCCTGTTCCTCCTCTGAGGTTTGTCCCCATCAATGGATGATACCACCATCTATCCAGTTGCCCAGGTGGTCAGCTGCTCATGCTAGGAAGCTGTTCTTGATAGCAAATACCTCACATCAAGTTCTAGTGCTTCTATATCCAAAACAGATTTCAAGTTTATCTCCTACTTCCAGTTCATTATCTTATACCATTACTATTTTAATTATGTCAAAGGCAGAAATTGAACAAAGGAGGAGATTGATTTTAATCAGGCCATTGAAATAAAATAAATCATCCTAATCTCAGCTAGTAACTTATGAGAAAAAGAATGGGAAATTGGAGGGGCTAAAGGGGAAGTGTCTGTGGATGACCTTGTCACAAATATGGGAGGGAGTCATCTACTAATCTTATGAGAGTCGTGAACAAAAGTAGTAGGGATTTATGTCTAACTCAGATGGGGAAAGGTAGTTCTTCGTAGTAAACCAGTTCCTGGAACACAAAAGTTTGAGGAGATTTTGTCACCATTGTCCTGGAGCACAAGGCCGAGGCCAATCTCAATATTATCAATAGCCTTCTAGTTGATCTTCCTGAAACTTCCTTTGCCCCAAATAATTAATTTTCCATGCAATGTCAAAGGGATCATTTTAAACAGGACCAAGTTATTCTCCTGTTTAAAACTCAATGACTTCTTTATTCCAAGACATAGATTTCTTAACATGCTCTACCATAACCTTACTATTTTTTTGCTACAATCCTTTATTGTATACCTTGAATTGCCAAACTTTACACTTCCCATTCTTCCAGATATCCTCATCCATTTTTCTTTCTCTCTGGAGTCTCTCTCTTGCCCCTTCTCCCCCACTTTATCTGGCTACTTGTCCTCATCCTTCAGTAGTCAGTTTAGATGGCATTTCTCTGAACCCATCTTCACTACCCCATTATTAGGTTAGAGCTTCTCATTATTTTTTTCTCATAGCAACCTACACATTTTCACTATAGTGCTTAAAACCACAAGTGATTGTATAGCTATTTGTAAAACAATTTAATGCTTATTTTTCATAGCAGATTGTAAGCTTTTTGATGTGTGGGATATTGTATATCTTGCTGTCTCCCCAGTCTGTAGCAGAGTATCCGGTTTTTATTGATACTCACCAAATTTATCTTAAATAAGTGAAATAATTGATACTGCCAAATGACCCTTCAGCAATGGTGTAATAACTTAAACTCCCATTTGCCAATTTAAAGTTATGCCGGTCTTCCTGCAACCTTCACCAAGTTGGTAGGAGAAAACTGGTTTTGTTTTATTACAATTTGCCATTTAAATTATGTTGAAAATTTACCTTTTAAAGATATGCTTATTGACTGTTTTATTCTTTTGTGAACTGTTATATCAAATTTTTGATTGGAATGTTTACCTTATATTAATTTTGAGTTATTCATATGTTAAGAGTATTAATCTTTTGTTAATATGTAATGAAGACTCTCTCCTTTGACTAACTTGAGTCAGGATCTTCTGAGTCCTCTTTCTGACTTTGCCCCAACCTTAGGGTCTGTCCACAGTCTAGCTGCTTTGTCCACTTAGTCCAGTTTAAGCAAAAATTCTGCTGAGTCAGTTTAGCAAATATCCTCCATCCTTGATATCTTATGAAATTTCTTATCCCTCCACCCTCAATATCTTATCCCCTGGTCTGCCTTTAGCAATAACTCTGTTCGGTTGGTTTAGCCAGACTCCTTCCTACCCTCGATGTTTCCTCTTAGTAATTTCCATCTACTGACCTCTACCCTTCTCCTTGCCTATAAATCTCCACTTGTCCTTGTTATATTTGGAGTTGACTTTGATCTCTCTCTCCTGCCACAAAGCCCCATTGCAGTAGGGAGGGCTATGCTTAGAGTGTGCCTTACTGTTCTTTAACAAGTATCAAGAATAATTTTTTCTTTAACAGGTTATAGTTATAGATATTTCCCCATTTTGTCATCTACCTTTAAATTTTGCTAATAATAGCACTCTGATATACATAAAGTTTTAATATTTATTACATTCCATCAATAGTTTATTTTATATTTTTACCTTTACTTTTATGCATACAAAGTTTTCATCTTCATATAAGTTTACTCATCTATTTCTTTCTACCTGGTTTAAATTTAAAAATATATATATTTAAGTATAGGTATATATATATTTTCTTCACTCTTTTTATCATGTAAATTTTATTTTGGTCAATGGTATGAGATAGGTTAATAAGTTTTCTCATATATATTTGAGAATAAGGGAATATTTTATTTCTTGAATTAATATTAAATACAAATAACACAAAATGCTTAAATGTTTTTCTTTAATGAGTTTAAGAATATCTTTAATTTGTTCTTAAGTATTACTCTTCCTTTTATCATCCAAGTTGTTACACATAGCTGTCTTTGACCACGGGTGGAGTGTGTGTTTGTGTGTATGTGTGTGTGTGTGGTGGGGGGCAGCATTATATTGTGGCTTGCTCTTTCTGACCTAGGACCCCTATTATGTACTATCAGCCATTGCTGATGTGATAGGAATCCACATTGCCACCTTTTTCACATGCTGTACATTCATAATTGACTGGAGTTGGAAGAAAACATCATCTTTATTTTGAGTAATGCTTCATGATATTCAAAACACTTTTATGGCACTTTTTAATTCAAACCTCATATAATTTCTTGAGGTTGGTAGAGCAGGTATTATTAAACCCATTTTGTAAATAAAGAAACAGACAAGAGAGTTCATTTTGCTTGCTCCAATTAGCACAGCTTGTAGAGGGTGAGTCTGACATTAGAATCTGGCCTTTTAAAATTCTCAGTACAATATCGTTTTAGTAAATGGGAGTCATTAAGATAGAACTTTGTAATAATGACCTGCTTTGTTTTTGTTGTTGTTGCTCTGTATTGTGAAATGAGATTGCTTATATTTCAAGTTCTGTTGGTTTTGTGTATGGAAGCATTTACTTTTTAAAAAATATATACTAACTTTAGATTGGGAACACTAATCAAATTCATAGCAATGCATACAAGATTACTCTGATTACTCCAAAATAGACTCCATATTTTCCAAATTTATTTTGTTTCTCAGCAAAATAAATTATGTAAAAATCAAATGTCTTTCAACATTTACTGAGAGCTACCTGGACTCACCAATCTTGGCTCAAAGTTTATTATAGTTAGAGGTTAAAGCTGGAGGCTTTGGCTGTGAGCTCTGTACTTAAAATTAGAATATAGTCTTCTAAAAAATGAAATTAGTCTTCTCAGAGGAAGGAAAATGATTCCATATTTCTAATCATGCTATTATTTCTTACACTGTAATGCCTTTTTACGTCAAACTTCTTGAATAGTAATCTTCATTTTTTTAATAGCTGGTGGGTATTTTAATCTGGAGTTCTATTTGAACGATTGTTCTGGGTGTTGGCAAGAGTTATAAATAATTGTATTTTATTCTTGACTGGCTTCTGGTTGAGAAATCAAATGGCACAAATGTTGAAAGACTAGCTTGCTGTAGACATAATGAAGCAAGCAAAATGAAATCTCCAAAGGATAAAACTGTAATGTTCTTTACGTTTTATCTGTTAGGTACAGGCAAATGCCACATCTGACTTTTTTGCCATGGGTGAAAAGGGACGAGGGTGAGGGGATGGGGTTTTATTAAAAAAAAGACCAAAAATAAAATTAAAAAACCCTCACAACTCCAAAATAAGTGGGAGTAGGTGGGAGCGAACTGAAATCTCAGGCACAGATATCATACTGTCCTTAAATTTTCTCTTTTGAGAATTTACATTTTATTTAAATATCCTTTCAGTGTTAATGAGTGTTGGGTGTGCATGTATTCTTGTTTTTAAAAGGGTAGTTTCTTATAGTTTAGTACAGTTTGCAGGGGTGAGATCTCAAACCTGGTTTTAATAACAGGACTTATAAAAACATTTACATTGAACTGCAGAGGGATGATTTGAATAATCTAGGAAATTAACACTATATATGAATCTTTCTAGGTTTTTTTTAAATTATAACAATTTTATTTTTATTTTCATTCCCATAGCAACACACTAAAAGACTCTATAGAAAGTCTTTGAAACTAGAAAATAATCGTTTTAAAAAAAATTTACTTCAAAGAGTTTAGCTCTTTCTATAGATAACTTTAAAAAATAAAATTCTCACTCATTATTAAAATGTTTATTGCAGAAATTCTGGAAAATTTAGAAAAATATAATGGAGTAAACAGAAAATAACCTGCAGTTCTATTACTAAAAGTTCAACATTCATTTCTCTGTTATTATCTCTTTAGTTTTTTTTCTCTTTTTATATATAAATGTAGTTAAAAATATTTGAGACAGCCTTAAAATTCTGATTTTCCTTTTCTTCCTCTTAATATTATACAAAGTTTCTTTTTATATTAATAGTCAGTATTCCTCTACAATATGAAAAGTGTACGGAACCAAGGCCAAGCCATTAATAGGTTATACAAAACCATAGAAACTTGGAAAACAACTGTAGCCAAGAAGTATTCAATTTCAATTGGTCTATGGATCATTATATGTATAGGTGCTCAAAAATATTTGCTCAACGAATGTTGAATTTCAATGTAAAATAATAAAATATGCTAATGAGAAAAAAGCATAATTTTTTCCTCTTTTTCCCCATTTATTATTTTGGGTCCTCTGAGAAGCAGATATCAACATGGGAGAAGACTGAAAGAAATCTATTTGAGGGAACACTTGTAAGGGAAAAATGGGAGGAAGTTGCGAGAGGCTGGAAAAGCTGTGAGATTAGGATCTGACCTCTGTGAAGGGGAGAAGTAAGGAAAGAGGATTGGCTTGACTGAGCCTCGAACTGCAGTGTGGCTCTGAGAAAGTTTCAGCAAGAAGTCCCTGAGCCAAAGTCTCCTTCCAGAGAAGTCCCATGCCTTGCAGGAAGGACTTGCCAACTTGCCTTAGTGCTCCGTCCCATTAGTCATTGGCTGAGAGCAGCCTAAGGGAAGCATAGCCTCAGTATTAAGCCTCAATTAAGACAGTTGTGGGTTCACAACATTTGGAGGCTTCAGTCAATTATGCTGTCTGCAGCAGGAGATCTCAGTGGCACAGTTTTATGAACAACTACACCACAAATTTGCTTTTTACTGGTTTTTACCACAAAGGTTAAAACTGGCATCTATCCATTCTCTCAACATGGACAATTTGCCATCGTAAGTGACTTTTCAGTCTTTTTGACTTTTTTTCTAACTAGATTTCAATTACTTTCCTTCTTGTCTCCCATCTACAGTGTGTCAGGTTCTCAGCAGTTCTTATGCATACTGTTACAGCCACCCTCTAACTGGTCTCTCTGCCTCTAGTCACTACCTCAACAATTTACTACACAGTGCCAGAGAACTCTTTCTAAAACATGATTCATTCTCTTGCTTAACAACGTTTCATGGTTCTCAGTTACCTTCAGGAAAACCCACACCAGGTGTGGTGGTGCGTGCCTGTAATCTCAGTTACTGGGGAGGCTGAGGAGGGAGGACTGTCTAAGCCCAAGAGTCAGAGGCTGAGCCAGGAGTACAGTCATGCCATTGCATTCTATCCTGGGCAACAGAGTGAGATCCTCTCTCTAATAAATAAATGAATAAATAATAAAAACAAAATAAATAAAACCCAGATATCATTTCTCCTTTTAGGTCTTCAATGATGCTCTGGGTCAGCTCCCTTGCTTGTCTTCTCATGGCACTCCCTGCATGTCACTGTTACCTCCCATTATATCAGGCAGTCATCACTTGTTGGTGCATAATTCTTTTATGAACTTTGAGAGCCTTAAGGCTATTTATTCATTCTTCACTTCTACCTTGATTTCATTTCTCCAATGTGATTGAGAATAGACTGATATCAAGCCATGTGAAGTTCATCTTTTATTTTATCTGTGTGGGTGTAGACATGTCATTTTCATTTTTGGCAGGAACCTTCCTGGTCACAGTGCTTGATGAGCTATGTAGAAATGCATACTATACAAAATTAAGATCTTCTATGTCTTTCTGAGTGTTGTCAGAACTACTCTTCTAATGTGATCTCATTTGCATTGGGGAAATTGAGGCAGTTTACCAGAATTACTTCTCTTATTCTCTTCTCACATTCTCTTATTCTATAATTTACATTGTTAGTGCCTCTAGAAAAAAATGGTGTCTTCTTCTTAGATGTGCAAATATTGATAAGCTATTTGTTTGTTGTTCTAGTTGCCTTTCAAGGTCCTGTCTTTCTAACTACAGAGGGTCAAAACTTGTCACTTCTGGTTCTTCTTACAGGCTCTTTAACAAGTAAATAATACAATGAAATCATATGCATAAGCACGCCCATTTAAGATAGACACACAAATATTTGGGGTGGGCCGGGTGCAGTGGCCCATGCCTGTAATCCCAGTACTTTGGGAGGCTGAGACAAGTGGATCACTTGAGGTCAGGAGTTTGAGACCAGCCTGGCCAACATGGTGAAACCCTGTCTACTAAAAGTACAAAAATTAGTCGGGTGTAGTGGAAAACGGCTGTAATCCTAGCTATTCAGGAGGCTGAGGCAGGAGAATCACTTGCACTTGGGAGGCGGAGGTTTCAGTGAGCCAAGATTGCGCCACTGAACTGCAGTCTGGGTGACACAGGGAGACTGTGTCTCAGAAACAAACAAAAAAACCCTCACAAAACAAAAACAAACAAACAAAATAAATATGTTGGGTGTGTGTGTGTGTGTGTGTGTGTGTGTGTGTGTGTATAGAGGTTGTTATTTTAGTAGTAGCACAAGTGTTCTTCTTTGGAAGATAAATTAGTTTGGAGGCCAAAAAACAGCAACAAAAAACTTTTATAAAACACTTGGAATTATATACTAGTCCTGAGGGCAAAGGCTAGAGGAGGACGTCCCTCTTTCTTTTTTCCTTACTTCCTTTTTTCCTTCCTCTCTACCTCCCTTTCTTCAAAAATATTTCTTAACCTCTTTCTCTGTGTCAGGCACTGTTAAAGTTAACAGGGATAATAATTAAATGTAAACTGCTCAGCCTAAGAAACAAGGAGTGGAAGGGGAGAGAAAAGAAAGAGAGGGGACAGGGCAACGCGACAGACAGCTGGAGCCTGCGGAGATGGGTGACCAGTGAGAAATCCTTGTGCAGAGCCAAGAGGATCTGTATTTTATTTTTATTTTTATACCAACCCCAGTTGAATGAACAAATGATTGGATGAGCTTTAGTTATCAGCAGCATTTGCATATAGCCCCAATCAAATTATTACATTACTTACCTAAAAACATTTTTAAGGGACGGGCGCAGTGGCTCAGTCCTGTAATCCTAGCACTTTGGGAGGCCGAAGTGGGCAGATCAACCTGAGGTCAGGAGCTCGAGACCAGCCTGGGCAACATGGCAAAACCCCATCTCTGCTAAAAATACAAAAATTAGCCAGGCGTAGTGGCATGCGCCTATAATCCCAGCTACTAAGGAGGCTTAGGCACGAGCATCTCTTGAACCCAGGAGGCAGAGGTTGCAGTGAGCCGAGATTGCGCCACTGCACCCCAGCTTGGGCAAAATAGGGAGATTCTTTCTCAAAAAAAAAAGTGTTTAAGAATGTAAGTATGATTTTGTAGTTATAGTGATCCTCTCCACATCTTAAATGATGGCATACATTTCAGCATTGGGTGTGTGCTAATCTGAACGCATAAAGTAGATGGAGTGATTCCAGTATTTTAAAGTAGTGACTCTTAACACTGGCTGCACATTTTAATTACCTGGAAAAATTTTAGAAAATGCTGATGGCTGTGCCCCATTCCTAAGAATTTTGATATACTTGGTTTGGGGTGGGCAGACTGATTCAACTCTCATGAATGCCCACACAGTGATCATATGCTGTGGGTGGACACTGGGATTTTTAAAGCTTCCCTCAGATTATTGGAATGTGCAACCAGGTTGAGAATCATTTTTAAAGTTGATTTTCTATTGTAGTAAAATATACCTAACATATTTACAATTTTAACCATTGTAAAAAGTATAGTTCATTGGCATTAAGTACACTCAATTCATATTGTTGTGTAATCATTACTGCTATCCATCTCCAGAACACTTTCACCTTCCCAAACTAAAACTCTGCACCTATTAAACAATAACATCCCATTCCCCCTTCCACCAAGCCCCTTTGTAACCACCACTCTACTTTCTGGCTCTATAAATTTGACTATTGTAGGAACCTTGCAGAAGTGGAATGATACAATATTTGTTCTTTTGTGTCTGGCTTGTTTCACTTAGGAAAATATCTTCAAGGTTCATCTATATGGTAGCATGTGTCAGCATTTCCTTTTATTTTTAAGGCTAAATAATATTGCACTGTATGTATGTTCCATATTTTATCTGGTCACCTATTGACGAATATTTGCGTTGTTTTTACCTTTTGGCTATTGTGAATAATTCTGCTATGGACACTGGTGTACAAACACTTTTTAAAGTCCCTGATTTCAGTTACTTTGGGTTTATGCCCAGAGGTGAAATTGGTGCATCACATCGCTATTTTATGTGTAATTTTTGAGACACCACTGTACCCTTCTACAGAGGCTGCCCCATTTTACATTCCCACCAACATTGCACAAGGGTTAAAATTTTTTTAACATCCTTGCCAATACTACTTAGTATTATCTATTTTTTATGGTAATCATTTCAATGGATGTCAGGTAGTATTTCATTATGGTTTTGATTTGTAATTTCGTTAGTGATCTGTGATGTTAAATATTGTTTCATGTGCTTACTGGCCAATAAAAATTTCTCCAGAATTTTGGAGATATTTCTATTGTAGTCATTTGTCCATTTTTTAAATTTTTTTGTTGTTGTTTTTGAATGAAAATTACTTTTAACAGTTCTTTAAATAAATAATTTTCATTTTTTCTGACACCAAGGGTGGGGTGCTTTTCTGATAAAGTACAACATTTTCATGCTCCTTCATTATGGTACTTAACACAAGCTGGCTGGTACTATGATTAATTGTCTTCACTTGAATAACTGGAGGGCAGGAAAAAGTCATCTTATGGGTTCATACCTGATAAATCTGAGGTCCTTGGGAAGACAGGCAGGGTGTCAGAGTCCAAGGGAAGAAATTAGAGGTGTATGGGTATTTCAGAAAAGCTCTCTGGTATTTTAGGTATCTTTCTCTGTGTAATGAACTACCCAAACAGTGGTTTAAAACAACGACCATTTATTTTCTCATGATTCTTTGGGTTGGCACAGGGGTTCTTTTGCTGGTCTTCCCTGGCTAACTCAGGAAGTTGCAGTCATCTAGCAGCTGGGCTGAGGAGGAAGGTTCAAGATAGCCCCACCTATGGCCACATGTTGGGTCCTTGATGGCTATGTCTGAAGGCTGGGAGCATTCTCAGTCCCAGAATGATGGTCATTCATCATTCAGTAGTCTAGCCCCAGATTCTCTACATGATCTCTGGCTTCCAAGGTGATACAAACAGAAGCTTTAAAACTCTTAAGATCTAGGTCCAAAACTCAAATAGCACCAAAATTAAAGTAAGGCACAGAGCTAACTCAGCTTCTAATAGAGTGGAAGTATGTACAACCTCTTGATGAAAGGAGGGTACAGTCACATTTCTGAAAGGACATGGGAATGCCAGGGTTTGTTGCTGCCATTTTGGGACATAATCTACCACACCACATGGTTCTGATGTCTCCCTAGATATCAGGGGAACCAGCCCCCAGTATTTCAATGTAGGTCCTTTCTATTTTCCCTGAGTTTCGGCTGGTCTGAGAAATAAAGAGAAAGAGTACAAAGAGAGGACTTTTACAGCTGGGCCTCTGGGGATGACATCACATATAAGTCGGTCTGTGATGTCTGCCTGAGCTGCAAAACTAGCAGGTTTTTATTAAGGACTTTAAAAGGGGAGGGGGTTGTACAAACAGGAAGTAGGTCACAAAGATCACATGCTTTAGAGGGCAATAAAGATCACAAGGCAAAGGGCAAAGCAAAGATCACAAGGCAAAGGGCAAAATTAGAATTACTGATGAGGGTCTATGTTCGGCTCTGCATGTATTGTCTTGATAAACGTCTTAAACAACAGAAAACAGGGTTCAAGAGCAGAGAACCTGTCTGACCTCAAATTTACCAGGGTGGGATCTTTTCCCTACCCTAATAAGCCTGAGGGTACTGCAGGAGACCAGGGAGTATTTTAGTCCTTATCTCAACTGCATAAGACAGACACTCCCAGAGCAGATGTTTATAGACCTCCCCCCAGGAATGCATTCCTTCCCCAGGGTATTAATTATTAATATTCCTTGCTGGGAAAAGAATTCAGTGATATCTCTCCTACTTGCATGTCTGTTTATAGACTCTGCAAGAAGAAAAATATGACTCTATTCTGCCTGACCCCACAGACAGTCAGACCTTTGCTTGTCTTCCCTTGTTCCCTAAAATCACTGTTATTCTGTGCTTTTTCAAGGTGCACTGATTTCATATTGTTCAAACACACGTTTTACAATCAATTTGTACAATAGTGGTCCTGAGGTGACGTACATTCTCAGCTTAGGAAGATAATAGGATTAAGAGATTAAAGACAGGCATAAGAGATTATAAGAGTATTATTTGGGAACTGATAAATGTCCATGAAATCTTCACAATTTACCTTCAGAGATTGCAGTAAAGACAAGTGTAAGAAATTATAATAGTATTAATTTTGGGAACTGATAAATGTCCATGAAATCTTCACAATTTATGTTCCTCTGCCATGGCTCCAGCCGGTCTCTTTGTTTGGAGTCCCTGACTCCCCGCAACACCCTAGAACCGTGACCACTCTGCTTTGAGAGTCACCAGCATGAAAGCTCAACTCTAAACACTGTTCTACTGCATTTATCTCCCTCTTCTGCAACAACTGTCCTGGTTCTGTGCCTGCTCTTTACAATCTATAAGGAACAGACCTATGCAAATTGGAACTTATTGTGGGAATGCATGGAACCATGGCAACAGATTTGTAAACTTTGTATCAGGGCTTTGGGGATAGAGATAGCTCCAAAGAACGCCAGTTTTTAAGTTGGCTGTCTGTAATATAATTTATAAGCATATTTTTCATGGAAGAAGATAGGTAGATAGCTCCTGGACCAGAATTGGTAGAACATTCATTTTGAGTTGTTTTTACTGATTCACCCACAATCTTTCACTGATAGACTTGTGGCCCACAAAACACATTTATGAGACTGCTTCCTGGCTCAGGTGCAGATTGACTGAAAAACTGCACAAAGCAAACTTATTCACTCAAGGATTGCATTGCTTACCTTGACTTTATGACAAGCAGATCAGTGTGGATAAGGAGAAAGAACTCAAGATCATGTCCTATGTTTACTGCCAAGTTGTGGTGTGACCTTGGCAGGTTAGCTAAGGTACCCTGGGCTTCAGCATCCTCATTTCAAAATTTTCAATACATCTCTCTGGGTTGTGAAAACCAAATAAAACAACTTATGTGACAGCTGGTAGTTGCATTACATACTAGCACAAATATAGCAATTAGCATTCTGAGCAAGGAAACCAGGCATAAAAGTCCTGTTAATATATTATTGTACACTGAGCTCTGATACTGGCCTATAATACCCAAAAGCAATTTCCAGGTGGATTTTATGTTTGCACTCGGCCTCTACTCACCCTTATTAAGTCATGGCTGAAATTTGCTGCTGTGGTTGCTCAAACAAATCCAATTTGTTTGCACTGGTAAATACATAATTAAAAAGGAAATGAAAGAATGTAATTTGACTTACAAAATTTTATCTTAGAATTTGTCACAAGCACATTGTACTGCTATATGTCTTGTGTTTGTGCCCAGTTTCTTTCTTAGATTGGTTAGTTTTTGAGGAGAGAAACTGATTCCTTATGATCTTTGGTTCTCCTGTGTTTGCACCAGCCTCTTCTTAAAATTTGGTGATGATTAAAATCAATAGCTTACTTCATAAAATGTGGCATCATTCTCCAAATGCCATGAAAATTTATGCTTGAGCTGGGTAAGGACATGTTGAGTGAGATGAGTGTATGTGAAACCTCCTGAGGCTACTT
Organism: Homo sapiens; assembly: GCF_000001405.40. Classification (NCBI taxonomy): domain Eukaryota; kingdom Metazoa; phylum Chordata; class Mammalia; order Primates; family Hominidae; genus Homo; species Homo sapiens. The sequence continues at coordinate 144,073,933 of NC_000003.12, forward strand.
TCATTATCAAATTTGGAGTCTAATTACCAGTCTATTTATGTTTAAAGTCCTGTATTTTTTCTGCATAATTCTAAAGTGTCGCTTTACTCACTAGTTTTTAAGGAAAGAAAATTGTGAGAAATTCAAAGCTTGTAAAGTTCCAGAGAAAATTACTCAAATTCTTCATGCCTGGGCTTGCATAATCATCTTGCTTTAGTAAGGAAAGACATATTATTGTAGCTTTTCTAATAAATAAATAAGTAAATAAATAAATGGACATGTGTGTACACATACATGTGTATGCATTATATGCCGTGGGGATGATGGAGAAATTCACTTGATTATGATTCTAAAATCTGTCCCAATTTTCTTTGAGGAAAGTGAGGAAAAAGGGGTGAGCAGGCATTAATATCAGAATGGAAAGAGCCATTTCTTAGTGAAAGGTCACTAGATTGTAGGTACAGGTTAGAATTATTCTTACTAGAACATACACTTTTTGTCCTCACTTCAGTTTTGTTTTTATTTAGGAAAAGCCATTGCTGTAGCTAAGACAATGACATTAATCTTTCCTCCTGTTGTAGCTTCTTTGGATGAACTAGCTTAGAAATGACAATCTTTGGAGCCTATGACTAATCATGAGGTGTGGCAATTAGATTTTATAGAAAGATGTTGTAAAGAATGAAATCAAAGATATGAAAACATAAAATTGTAAGGAGAATCCTATTACTATAGTAGGTTTCTTTATAAATCTGAGTACCTCACTTTTCCTGGTTTTAAACTTTATGAATATACCTGATTAGTGAAGGAACTGTGGATTTGTTTTTAGAGAAAAAACGTTGTGTTCAATTTTAAATATTAAAAAATGCTCATGATATAAAGTCAAGTTAATAGTAGGGGTTACTCTTGTGTAAGATAACAAGAGTACCTGGAAGAATTTATATCTTATTCCACCATTGCTGAGGTGAAAATCAAACTGGAACATCAGCAGTTTCTTCACGTATTAATGTGGTATAGTCAGCTTTGGTGTAAACGAAACTCTGCCATTTGCCAGCTGTCTGGTTTTGCAAGTCATTTAAATTTTCTGGGCCTCAATTTCCTCAGCTTTTTAAAAAAGGATAATAATTATCTGCTATGGTTTGAATGTTTTCCCTCTCCAAACCTCATGTGGAAACTTAATCCCCATGTAGCAGTATTGAGAGGTAGGATCTTTAAGAGGTGGTTGGGTCATGAGGGCTCTGGATTGGAATTGATTAATATACATTCATGGGTTAATGGATTAATGCATTATCATTGGAATGGGACTGGTGGCTTTATAAGAAAAGGAAGAGAGACTTGAGCTAGCACATTCAGCCCCCTTGCCATGTGATGCCCTGTGCCACCTCAGGACTCTGCAGAGTCCTCACAGCAAGCAGGTCCTCACCACATGTGGCCCCTTGACCTTGGACTTTCCAGCTTCTAGAACTGTAAGAAATGTATATTTTTCTTTATAAATTATCCAGTTTCAGATATTCTGTTATAAACAACGGAAAACAGACTAAGACACTATTCTATCCAAACTCAAGTGACATACTGACAGCATTTGTTCAAATCTTGGATTTGGGGACTCCTTGCTCTAGGTCCCATGTCTGTGAGGGGAAGTACTTGACTAGAATTAGAAAAAAAAAAAAAAAAAAAAAAAGCAAAAGAACTGTTTCTGTTAATGATGCAACATTTAAACCAGGAGAAACTTCTCCTAATCCACTTTATTCCTCAGGAGGTTGTCCAGACAGTAGCACTTCTCACACAGAACATTTGATTGTGGAATTTCCTTAAGGAAACCATTTCAAGGAGGAGAAAAAAATTAAGGGTTCTATTTTAGTCCTGCTGAATGCACATTAAAATTTGCCCTCTTTGATTTTGTCTGTATTCTGTACGTGACTTTACTTTCCTCAAAGCAAGAAATATAGGGAGATCAGAATCTTGCTTTATGAAACTTTAGAGTATTTAAGCTTTCTCTTTTGTATTGTGACTGCTTCAATAGCTGATAAGAATGCTTATTTCCAGAAAGACAAATAAATCTAACTCAAGAGATAAAAGGCGGATCTCTGATGGAAAATTGCCATTTGGTGGCTGAATTTTTCATTGATATAGCATAACTTATTTCAATCATTCACATTAGTGTAGTCTTTGAAATATCAAAATTTAATAATATCCCAAGAGATAATTTTTAGATACAATGTATGACTGGCAGAATGATTTATATGGTATATATAATTATATAAACAAATGCTAATTTTTCTAAAATGAAAATTTTCAGCTATTCTAAGAAAATCTCTCTACCCCGACCATCACCCTCTTTCTTGGTCTTTTCCTATAATGGTATTTCTACAAACTTAATCAAGTTGCATCCATTTCCTGAACAGAAAGTAACAGACTAGTGCAAGTAACTGTATGACTGTAGTCCTTATTGCATCACATATTGGCCTTAATTTACTTGCCTTTATCTCTCCTTAGGTTCCACCAAAAGTGTAGGCCTCATAGGGGCACAGAGTTTGGAATTTATAGGCTTGGGTTTATGTGGGAGGAACTAAAGGATGGCGTACCTTACAAAGATTACTATGCTTGGATCCAGTAGAACATCAAACCAAGCTGAATCCTTACTCACCTCTGGACATCATTTGATTATTTACTTAGGTACATGAAGTAGAAAGAATAGTTTATAATTTTTTTCCTCAGTATGATATTGGACTGACTCAGTAATTATTTTTTTCAGGATGTTTACATAAGTCTTAAAATATATAAAATATAAATGTTTGAATAAAAAATCACAAGCATTCTCTTATTTAGATTGGGATAGTTTGAGGGATATTCATAATGATCTATCCAAACCTTTTCTAATAGATGATAAGAAAGGTGCTGAAAGAGCTGCAGTAACTTGCACAAGGGCATGAAGTTAGCCAGTGACAGTGCTGAAATTCAAATCAGGAGGTCTGACTTCAGTGCTCTTCCCTATGAACCATTCCATCTTAGAGCTACGGTTTGAGTATTGTGGCATGAAAGTAGCTTCTTTTAATGGGAAAATTCACGTTATTTGAGTCTGGAATGTAAATTATCTTGTGTCCTTGGAAAAAGATATTATTCTGGAGTTAAAGAAATACAACAAAAGCTTGACTCTGATTTTTTCTAAAAAAGTCAGTTCCATTATTCATTCATAATCTATCTAATAAGCCTCATTTACATTTCTAGCAGTTCCAGGTCTGTGCTAGGTCTTCAAGAGTCAAATAAGACATTGTTGAGGACTTCAAGGAGCTCATAATTTAGCACTAACTACCTTTCTCCCCACATTGAGGTGGAGGAAAAGATATGAAAACTTCTGATTTTGTTTGTTTCCTAATAAGTGAAAAGAACATTAGCTTTATGAGAAATTTAGTACACAGATCAAAGTAGTTTATGTAAATGATTTACAAATCAATGTACTTACATTAGAGATGCAAATGCAAAAATTTTTACTAATGGGGATGTATAATCAAAAACATTCGATGACTATATAGTGAGAGAAATAGATTAGCCTATTGATTTTGAACATCTGTATGGAGAAACTATTTTTCTTCAACTGATTTTAATGTTATAAAGGATTGATTCTCAAAATGAGAGGAAAAAACTCTCAGCTTAGACTATGTCTTTTTTTTAATTTGAGAAAAGAGAGTATAGTTTGAAAAAAGTGGTATTTTGTCTGCTTGCTTTAATTCATTTTTGGAATGTGATACTTAAATCTGAATATTGCTATGGGATGCATTTTGTAATCAACCATTAGAAGATTCATATCTTTGCTCTATTTTTTGGTTCCTGGTAATGCTGGTCAAGTTCTTTAAATTCATTTAACCTCAGCTTTTTTTATCTATAAAGTAGTGGTGTTGCCTAGAAAGGGCAAATTATTAGTGTTCTTCTCTTGAAATAAGACATCTTAAGAGTTAAAACCATATCCTGATGTTAAACAATGGCTTCTAAGGATTAAAATTCCATAGGAACCTTTCAGTTCTCTATGACTGACTTTCACATTGCCTCAAGATATTAACTGTCACTGTTGCCATCATGATAAAATCTTCATATATTTGTTCCATAAAGAAGTACCCAAAGTCAATGCCGCCATTGTGGTAAGATGTAAAATTCTATTATAGATTTAAGAATGAGTTGAAAGATTGGTAAAGCAAGGAAGAGAAGGTAAGTCACAGCATGAAAATAAATTGATTGTACAACATCTTCACCTTCTCCATTGGGATTTGAAATGTTCATATTTTTAAAGAGCTCTCTGACAAGCAGGGCTGAATGGCATGTCAGTTAACATATTTGATGATAAATTATTTAGTCAGGGCAAAGATGAGAAAGGCTCTTTAAAGACTCCCGGAACATAATAAATTGGTTAGATAAGTGTGGAACAAACCTAGCCAGTTGAGAAAAATAATAGCAGGTGAAATTTGACGTAGGCAGGTGTGAAGTAGGGCACGTGGAAGAACATGATGTACATTTCTTAAACACACTGTATGTGTCTAATTGATTGTAAAACTCTTAGGCAAGTGAAATAACAGATATGGTGGATCAATTAAAATAGCAGCTTGCCTGGTACATAAAACCTTTGACAGAGTGAAAGAGCATTTTCTTATTTAAAGCACTATCTTAAATCTTAAAAAATATTATATTTATATTCTGTGTGGAATATAGTAAAGAAAAATGGAAAAATCCTTGGAAAATGGCAAGTGGAACTGGGGTAGGGGAGTGGGAAAGCACACAAATAAAATTTTTTGAATATCTAAACTGTGTCAGCCACTGATTACCATAGTGAATTGCATTACTGGTCCTAATTTTTGCCATTTTCTGTATCCAAGCCCTTTGTTCTATGACTTTTTGGTTTCTCCTACTATAGGAGGATATATTTCCATGCTTTTTTAATATTCAGAGTGCCATGTCGCTTGCTTTAGCTAACTAGATGTTAGCAGACATGATGTGAGCAGGTGCTTGAAATGGGCTTGTGCAGTTGGGCATGTTCTCTTGTGTTTCTGCAATTTGTGTGAGATCGTGCCTCAGCTAGCCAGTGGTCTGAGGAGGATGAATGCTCCTTGCAAAGCACTGAGGTTTTGCAGTTGTGGTGGTTAATTTTATGTGTCAGGTTGACTTGGCCACAGGGTGCCCCGATAGTTGGTCAAACATTCTGGGTGTGTCTGTGAGGGTGCTTTTGAATGAGATTAACATTTGATTCAGGAGTCTGAGTAAAGCAGATTTTCCTCCCTAATGTGGGTGACCCCCACCCAATCAGTTGAAGGCTTGAATAGAACAAAAAGGCTGACCCTCCTATGAGTAAGATAGGAACCCCCAACCCCACCCACCTAAGTGCTTGAACTGAGACACTAGTGTTTTTAGGCCTTTGGACTTGAAGTGAAACGTGGGCTCTTTTGAGGTCTCAAGCCAACCAGGTCTTGAACAAGAACTTAGATCATTATGTATCTCCTGGGTTTTCAGCTTGTTGACTGCAAATTCTGGTACTTTTCAGTCTTTATAATTGTGTAAGCTAATCCTTTATTATTAAATCTCTGTCTCTGTTTCTCTCTCTACACACACACACACACACACACACACCCACACCCACACACCCTGTTGGTTCTGTTTCTCTGGAGAAACTAATACAGTACTTTTTTGTTACATAGCAATTTGCTAAAATAACATTGATTTGATATAGTTACAATATTTGTATGTTGTTATATCACTTAATTTTCACAATTATCCCCTGTGTTATTTTTCTCCTGTGACATTTTTTCCCCTCTTTAACAGATGCAAAAACTCAGATTCTAAGTAATTAAATGCCTAGTCTAAGGTTGTAGGGTGATAACACAGGGTGGCACTAGGGTTTAAATCCTGCCCTGTCTAGTTCCAAAACCTGTGTTCTGTCCAAAATGCTACGTGCCTTCCCGAATGCATGAGAAATTACAGAGAGGAGATTAGAAAGTCAACTATGGTGCAATGGTTCCTTTTGAAGAATTGTTCTAAACTAGTTTTACTATCAAGCTGGATATCACTTGTTGGTGCTGCAGATGTGGGGCCAGTAGTCTAAGCTGATACAGTGATTGTTATAATTGGGTTAAAAAAATGTATAGATGCCTGAGCTACTTCCCATACAAATGTTATACAAGATAGATCTCTCCTTCGTCCCTATCACTATGTATTCTCTGTATCATAACATGGGTTACTTATGGTTTTATTATATTCAGGTGGCTCTGAGAGGGTTCTCATTAGGAATGAATGTCTCAGGTCACTTGGTGTAACTCAAACAGCTTCTTTTCAAGCAGCTGGGAAAGAAAAATACTAACCAATTACAGTGGAATCCTGGGATCTCGTATTTGATGGATTATCCACTATATTTTACTCCAGCCTAATTATAGTTAATGTCAGCATAAATAAGAGTCTCATAGACACAACCAATTTACTTACCTTTTCTTTATATTTTGGTGACATTTGACTTAAAAAATTAGTTTGCTTAATTCTAGATTGAATAAAAAAGTGTATCATTTCCCCTGTTAGACTTCTCTTATATTTGATATAGCTTTTGTTTTCAGGGGTTAAGGGATAAGATACTGCCAACATGTATTAAAACATTATATTAATACTGAAGTCTCAGTTCTAATGCTTAGTGATAGAGTTAGTTAATAGGGTAATCCTGTATTGTTGAAGCTCATGTTTTCTATCTTGACACTTACGTTTTCTCCTCAAAGATTTTCTCCATGTCCAAATGTATTTCCCTATCTTCTTTAAGTATACAGAAACCTTTTATGGAAGGAGACAGGTAGAATGTGCTTGATTCAACCAGGAATGTGAGAATAAATGTCTAAATGTTTTTATCTGGAACTATGTAGACTTGAAATAGTTAATTCTTGCATTGTGCCTCATGAAGCTTTGTGAGTTGTGATTTTTTTAGTATGAGAACTTCTGAAACAGACCTGGTTTTTAGAGATATTTATGTTTAAAAAGCCTTATTAAGGTTTAATAGCAACTTTTTTATTACCAATTTATTTTTGTATTTCCTTTTAACTGTTTTTATTTCTACTTATAAAAGTTACCTAGACTCAATTTTCTGCATATGGCTAGCCAGTTCTCCCATTACTTATTAAATAGGGAATCCTTTCTCCCTTGCTTTTTTTTTTGTCAGGTTTGTTGAAGATCAGATGGTTGTAGGTGTGCAGTCTTATTTCTGAGTTCTCTATTCTGTTTCATTGATCTATATGTCTGTTCCTGTGCCAGTATCATGCTGTTTTGGTTACTGCAGCCTTCTAGTATTGTTTGAAGTTGGGTAGCATGATGTCTCTAGCTTTATTCTTTTTGCTTAGGATTGTCTTAGATATTTGGGCTCTTTTTTTGGTTCCATATGAATTTTAAAATAGTTTCTTTCTAATTCTTGGAAGAATATCAATGGTGGTTTAGTGGGAATAGCATTGAATCTATAAATTACTTTGGGCAGTATGGCTATTTTCACAATATTGATTCTTCTTATCCATGAGCATGGAATATTTTTCCATTTGTTTGTATCTTCTCTGATTTCTTTGAGAACTGGTTTGTAGTTGTCCTTGAAGAGGTCTTCCATGTTCATTGTTAGATGTATTCCTAAGTATTTTATTCTTTTTTTAGCAGTTGTGAATGGGAGTTCATTCACGATTTGGCTCTTTGCTTGCCTGTTGTTGGTGTAAAGGAATACTAGCAGATTTTGCAAATGAATTTTGTATCCTGAGACTTTGCTGAAGTTGCTTATCAGTTTCAGAAGCTTTTGGGCTGAGACAATGCCCCTTCCTTACACCATATACAAAAATTAACACAAGATGGATTAAAGACTTAAATGTAAAACCTAAAACTATAAAAAAACCTAAAAGAAAATCTAGGCAATATGATTCAAGACATAAGCATGGACAAAGATTTCATGACAAAGACACCAAAAGCAATTACAACTAATGCAAAAATTGACAAATGGGATCAAATTAAACTAAAAAGCTTCTGCACAGCAAGAGAAACTATCATCAGAATGAAAAGACAACCTACAGAATTGGAGAAAATTTTTGAAATCTACCCATCTGACAAAGGTCTAATATCCAATCTACAAGAAAACTTAAACAAATTTATAAGAAAAAACCAAACAACCCCATTAAAAAGTAGGCAAAGGACATGAACAGACACTTCTCAAAAGAAGACATACATGTGGCCAACAAACATATTTTTAAAAGATCAATATCACTGATTATTAGAAAAATGCAAATCAAAACCACAATGAGGTACCATCTCATGCCAATCAATGGCTATTACTAAAATGTCAAAAAAAAAAAAAAAAACAGATGCTAGTGAGGTTGCAGAGAAAAAGGAACACTTCTACATTGTTATTGGGGGTGTAAATTAGTTTAACCATTGTGGAAGACAGTGTGGCAATTCCTCAAAGACCTAAAAGCAGAAATACTGTTTGACCCAGCAATCTCGTTACTGGGTATATACCCAAATGAATATAAATCACTGTATTATAAAGATACATGCATGCCTATGTTCATTCCAGCACTATTCACAATAGCGAAGACATGGAATCAATCCAAATGTCCATCAATGATAAACTGGGTAAAGAAAATGTGGTACATATACACCATAGAATACTGTGCAGCCACGTAAAGGAATGAGATCATGTCCTTTGCAGGGGACATGGATGGAGTTGGAAGCCATTATCCTTAGCAAACTAATGTCGGAACAGAAAACCAAACACCACATGTTTTCACTTATAACTGGGAGCTGAATGATGAGAACACATGGACACAGGGAGGGGAACCACACACACTAGGGCCTGTTGAAGGCCGGTGTGAGGAGAGGGAGAGCATCAGGAGGAATAACTAATGGACGCTGTTCTTAATACATAGGTGATGGGATGATCTGTGCAGCAAGCCATTGTGGCATAAGTTTACCTACATAACAAATGTGCACATCGTGTACATGTACCTCTGAACTTAAAAGGTAAAATAAAATTAATATGCTAAAAAATAAATAACTAAATTCATGTGTTATATTCTCTGTTAAAAAAAGTTATGTATGCTCATAGAAAAATGAAAGAGTATAAACAGTATAAAGATTCATTTGTTCATATATAGTCAAAATGTAGACTGAATAAGTGAAATTTTGATTATTTTGTTCTTACTTTTTTTCTATGGACATATAGATGCATGCATACTTTCTGACATATATCTATGTATATAATGTACACACACACACACACACACACACACACACACACACACACACACCCCTTATTGTGTTTCTGCCTGAAAACATTTCCAGAGTACTTTCCTATGTCTTTATATACATTTTGAAAACATTTATTAATCTTTAATTTTCCCTTCATAAAGGATGATGCTCAAACTTAGTTTTAAGTTATCAACTCCTTGCTGGACATTTCGACCTTGACAATCTTCTTCCACCCACTTTAATTTAATAGGTCCCAAACTGTTCTCACCTCCTTCTGGAATATTTTTATTTTACTATCCCAATCTCCCTGTTAATGGTACTGAAATTCTTTGGGTAATGTAGTTTAACAATTTTAGAATTATCTTGCATTTTTCTCACGCCTTTACCCTGTTTCCAATTGCTCATTATGCCCCAGTGGTATGATCTTGCCAATGCAATCATTTCATCTTTCTACACAATTGCCTTTGAACAAACCTATAAGATAGAGCCTGTATCAGAAAAGTACTTATTCTGTTACTGTGGACACCACTTCCACCTTCCATTGTCACCTCCCTAGTTTAGGCAACCATAATCCTCCTTGGGATTATGAAGATATTCTTTTAAACAGACTCCAACTTAAACCAAGGCGAGCTGAAAAGTCCGTGAGGAGCTATAGAATATCAGCAGTGAAGAAAGCTTTCATCTGAGAAAGAAAATGAGGCTTAGGGAGACTGAGTAATTTTCCCCAAATCAAGTAAGTATAAGTAGCACTAGAACCCAGGTGTCCTAACTCCTAGAGTTCTTTCAATTCCATTATATCTTCTCCAGAGCTTTCTTGGTGTGTGCCAAGTAAACACCCAAAGCTTTAGCTAGCAATTCAAATCCTTCCATAGCCTGACTCCCAGTTTACACTTCCAGCTGACCTCTCATTGTCCTTTGAACAAGGACTTAATTCTACCTGTATGGCTCCTGCCACTCTACCTGCCTGGAATGGCATCTTGGCCTCACCATCCCCTGCCCATGGCCACCTCTGTTGGTTGAAAGGCTTCTCATGAGGCAAAACCAAGATGTACCCTAGCTATTTCAATCAAGCTTTTCTTGAAGCTTCCTGTCGAGATGACATATGTTCTATCCTCTAAACTCCAAAGCACTGGAGTGTACTGTAGTTATCGCGTCATAATAATATATCTTTTCCATAAAAGTATAGATTTCAACATCCCTACTAAGTTCTAGGCTCCCTAAGGGCAGTGATAGCTAGTTCTTAATCCTTTTTTCATTCAAAGCAAGCAAAACACAGCCTTATGTGTAGTTCAGGATTGTGAAATATCTTTTAGATCAATGAAATTATCTTATCTAAGTCATTTTATCTGTTTAGATAAAGGTACTAATTATAAATATTATCACAAATAAAAAAGTCTAATTGTATGAAAATTATGACAAAATTACTAAGTTAACTAATTTTTGATATTCCATGTTAGGGTGTGCACACCACAGAGAAGGCATAACATTGGAGGTGAGAAGTAAATATTAGAATTTTTACTTATATTTATTTTTCTCTTTATATTTTAAAAGTTGATATTTCTTATGCAAAATGTATAGTGCATATAAGTTATTACTAAACAACTACATGTAGGTAGATAACTACAAATGAATAAATATGCATATATATTAGAATATGAAGTCAAAAATTGTATTGTTGGGTTGAGATACAATCAAGATGTACAGAGAGGAGTTCCATTTCTGGCAATGGTTAATTAAACTGTTCTGGACAACCCTCTTGTTGTCCCCAGATTATAACCTAAACTGTTATTGTTTTCCCAAAATAGCTTGCTGTAACTAAAATCAGAGAAGTTTTCTTGTTGTCTGGTATTCAAAATAAATATTATGTGTACTTGCCTAAATTGTGATATTGATTTCCATCTTTAAGAAAAAAAACAAACTCCATAATGATATGAAGCTTTGAGCTGATCTTTATCGTGGGTCTAATCATATTTTGCTGGTTTGTGCCAGATGAACCAGGAAATTGGGAAATGTATTGGCTCCTTTCCTGACCTGAAGGTGCTTCTTGTGAGTGGACGACATGGCTGCCTCAGCCAAATATAGGGCACTAAAATTTTATTTCTATACATAATCAGTTTCCAGATGCACACTGTTGTGAGCCAATATCATCACCCCCTATGCATCATAATTAGGGATAGTCAATAATTAGTGAGCAAAAACTGTCAAAAATCTACTTGTACATTCTTAAAAATTGTTTAAGGTGTTTTTTTCCTGGATAGAAATATATATGTAGATTTTTTCAACTGATGATTAATGTTACATTTTATGAGATAGATATTGAAGCAACCTGTTTATTTTATGTCATCTATTATAACAATGTAAATTTGCCTTTAACTTTGAATGAGCAATACATTCATATAGTTAAATACTTAAAATGTAGAAGAATTTACAGTGAAAAAAAAATCTTTCTTCCAACTCTGACCCCAGTTTTCAAGTTTCCTTTCCGACTAGGAATCAATATAATTAGTTTTTAAGGCATCCTTCATGAGATATTTTATGCAAATATGGGAAATGTTAGTATATATATTTTTGCTTTTCTTGAGCAAATAGTATCATATTATGTGCGTTTGTTTAGACTGTGCTTTTTTGAGATATTTTTACGTCACTACATATATGAGCAGCTCAGTCTTTCCTTTTTCTTTGCTTTTCCTCAGATTTATATTATTTATCTATATGAATTCAGTACACTATTTTTTAACCAATATTTTGTTGATGAACACTTAGACATCTATAGTCTTTTGTTTTAAAAAATAAATTTGCAGTAAATTATCTTGTTACCAGAGGTACATCTGCAGGATAATTTCTTAAAAGTTGCTTTCTTGGGTCAGACGGCAGGTACATTTGTGATACAGAAAGCCATAGGCAGTTTACCCTCCATTGTGGCCTCCCCTATTTCCAGTCCTATAAGCAACATATGTAGTTCCTGCTTTCTTGAAGTTTTGTCCCTAGAGGACATTACCAAACATTTGGATGTTTGCCAGTGTTACGTGTAAAAACTGGTATCGCAGCCTAGCTTTAATGCACATTGCTCTTCTTTTGACTGAGGTTGAGTCATTCTTATGTATTTAAGAATCATTTGTATTTTTTCCTTCAGGACCTGTCTCTTCATAAACTGCCCATTTTTAATTGAATTTTTTCCTAATTGTAGATGTCCTTTTTCTTCTCTTTTTTGTGTATATGAGTGTGTGTATATGAAATAAATCCTTTTTCTGTGTATGAATTGCAATTTTTTTCTAGTTTTATTTCTGTTTATTTCATCTGAAACAGTGCAATTTTAAGCCACCACCTTCCTAAATTTCAGTCAATCTAAAAATGAGAAATTCAACTAAAGGGAAGAAAAATTTGAAATAATTTTTTGAAAGATTTTTTTTCACTGTAAATTCTTCTACATATTGAAGAGAATGATACATTTTCATAAAGAGTAAGTTAAAAATGACATGGAGTTTATGAAATTTCTTATTTAACAGATGAGGACATTATGAAATAATATAAATCTGAGGAAAAGCGAAAAAAGAAAGACTGAGCTGCTCCTATATGTACTGATGTAAAAATATCTCAAAAATGCACAGTCTAAACGAACGCACATAATATGATACTATTTTCTCAAGAAAAGCAAAAATATATATACTAACATTTGCCCGTATTTGCATAAAATATCTCATGAAGGATGCCTTAAAAACTAATTATATTGATTCCTAGTCGGAAAGGAAACTTGAAAACTGGGGTCAGAGTTGGAAGAAAGATTTTTTTTCATTGTAAATTCTTCTACATATTGAAGAGAATGATAAATTTTCATAAAGAATAAGTTAAAAATGACATGGAGTTTATGAAATTTCTTATTTAACATATGAGGACATTATGGCTCAAAGATATTAAGTGTCATACACAGTCATACAAAGTGGTGAGATATTATGCAGCAGGCATTGTTAGTCACCAACACAAGGCCATTCCACTTAAATTTTTGGGTGTCCCCCTCTACCTCACTGACTCAGAGCTAATCTAGACTGGCTTCAGCCAATCATGCAACCCCAATCCCTTTGCCAGTGATCAGTTTAAGAAGGGGTATGTGAATTGATGTAGTAACTGACTAATGAAATGGGAGGCAAAGTCTGCTGAAGGGGTTCTTCTAAAGGATCTCTGGCTCATGAAAACAGAGACACAGGACAGACACCCTCCTTTTTTTGGTCTGCACATTCCTTTGGGATTTGATGCCTTAAACTGAGGCAGCCACCTTGTCACCATGAGGAGCACTAGACTGAAGGGAAACCAGGATGATAAGAGTGGCAGAGCAGAAAGGTGGAAATCGCTGGAGTTCTTGTTAATGTTACTGAGCTGCTGAATTAACCAATTTTGGAAACTTCCTGGCCTGGATGTCTAGTTATGTGAGATGATAATTCCTCATTATTTTGGCTAGTTGAGTTGATGTTTTCTATCACTTGGAGCTTAAAGCTTTCTGACACAACCCAGAACTTAAATCTCCCATTCCATGCCAAGTGAAGTTTTTAATATGCCATGGTCTTTGCACGTAAATATCAGATACTTATTTTGATGGTGAAATGTGTTGAAGCAGTATAAAAGCAGTATCAAATGTAGAAATACATATTTAAAAAGTTAAAGAAAATGCAAAGTACTTTTCCATGATCTCTCTTCAGGTTGACTAAGTCACTTGTTCTTTATTGTAATTATTTTTCAAATGTATAGAAAAGTTTTGCTTGTTTATCAGAGGTATTTGTGACATTGAAGTCAAAGATGGTCCTGATGTTTTAATTTGTGCTCACTTACAGTAAAAGAGCATGCCTGTGCATTTTTCATCATTCCCTTCTTCTTTTCTGAACCTCCTTGAATTCATTTATTAATTTCTAACAGGTGTGCGTGTGTGTGTGTGTGTGTGTGTGTATCTTTAGGGTTTTCTATATGTGAGATTATATCATCCACAAACAGAGATAATTTTACTTATTTCTTTCTAGTTTGAATGCATTTTATTTACTTATTTTGCCTAATTGTTGTAGCTTACATTTTCAGTCCAGTGTTGAATGGAAGTAGCAAAGCAAATATTCTTGCCTTTTCCCTGATCTTAAAGAAAATGCTTTCAGCATTTTATCATTGAGTATGTTCACTGTGGGTGTTTCATATATGGGTTTTTTGTTTACATGATATTCTTCTATTCCCAGTTTGTTTATTGTTTTTCTATCATAAAAAGGTGTTGAATTTTGTCAAATGCTTTTTTTTCTGCATCAATTGAGATGATGATTTTTTGCCTTCATTCTGTAATGTGGTATAGTACATTGATTGGTTTTCATATGGGGTATATAAAGTAAGACCTCTCTGTGTAGCACTCAAAGCCCTCCAAATCCAGCTCAACTTAACTCTCCAACCGTATTTCTCATATATCTCTTGATTCATTCTTTATGCCAGCACACCTGAGGTAATGCCCCTCCTCCTCTCAAGACCTCACCTATCCTTGCCATTGTGCTCTCCTCTCCTTGTTACTTTCTTTCCGGGCGGGGCACAGCTTTGAGCCTGTGCTTAAGTCCAAATCCCATCCCTCCTATCTCCAATTCCACCTCCTTTATGAAATCTTCTGTAATATCCCCTTTTTCTGCTCTCAACCCAGGAGAGGTATTGCTCCTTATTCCGGACTGCCATAGCATTTTGTTTTAGCCTCTTTAACACATTGATGCCTTGCATTTATCTTTATTGTTTTAATCTGCTTCTCTTCTGGCTACTTTCTTCTGATTTTTAAATATTTCTAATTTGCAAGTATGACTTTAAAATGGAAATATCCAAATAATCTTGAATTCCTTGACTAGACTCTAAGTTCCTTGAGAGACTATTCATATTTCTTTTAATGTTATAACTTTCCAGTAGTGCTAGGCACTTCCAGTGAGATTTGCCCACAAGGCATAGCAAATATTTGTAAAATAAATAAATATGTTGGATACATTGTCATTCATCTCCTCGAATACTACTTTTCTGCTTGTATGTCTATGTGTCAATTCAACTAGTCAATAAATCTCAAGAATGGTTCCTCAGAGTTCAGAAGCAAGGAGTCAATCATACTTCATAATTCCTCAAAAAGAAAAAGGTTTCAATAGTGTTGGGTAATGTTAGTTGGAGTAACTACAGCTACCATTCTTGTTAGCCATAGTGAAATCTGATCGTTAAAGTTGAAATTTTTTTCATAACCACTGCCCTACATCTGTCCTATTTGTTCCTGGGAGATTATAGCAGAACATATACCTACATATCTATAAAGTCACTGCGTCTTATTAGCTTTTAGGGTGGAAGGTAGGTTTACAATTATTTTGCTTTCAATGGACTGATCATAATGTGCTTAAAATGTACCTACTGTCATAGTAATATAATTAATTTCTATTATAGATTATATTACAATTTATATTCAATTCTAGATTCTAAGTTTCTTTTGGGCAAGAATATTTATTTTCCCTGTGTCAATTCAGGGACTCCAGGAAACAGAAGCTAAGAACAGAAGCAAGTGCTGGAGATTTACTGAGAGGTTACACTTGTGGAAGATGAAGTGTAGCAGGCACAAGAGTTGGCAGGAAAGCCTTCAGATCAGGATGTACTACTTCTATAGCAAGTACTATGACTTGAGAGTGGGTAGGAGCAGGGATTGAGTGTGAAGAGCCTTATGCTATGATACAGCTGCACGTCTTGCTCTCAAACTAATGAGAAGCTCTGGTGCAAAGATGTCCCGTAGAGAAGGTATATATTTTGCAGAAATGGCTGGGCCCTAGCACCGCCACCACACTTATTCATTGGCTGGAAACTTCCCGGTGAGAGCAGCTGTGGCTTGAAGACTGTAGTAGGTCAAAAAGGTACTGCATTAGGGTGCTGTCAGCTACCTGTACTTCTTGCAGCAAGTTCTTTCTTGAAGGAAAAGCCAAGCAGCTCCACTCATGGCTGCCACAGCAAGCATGATACAACATATGAACTTGTAAAGAGTAGAACTGTGTTTAATAAAATGAGTGTATACATTTAAAGCAGTTTTTTTTTCTGTGCTTCTATCAATGTACATGCTATGGCCCATTTATAGATGAGCATGTCTTTCCATGAATAAATATTGCCTTAGACCATTCCTGCTGCTATAACAAAATACCACAGACTGGGTATTATAAGCAGCAGAAATTTATTCCTCACTATTCTGGAGGCTGGAAAGCCCATGATCATGGTGTCAGCAGATTTGGTGTCTGGTGAGAGCCTGTTCTATGGATGGCGTTTTCTCCCAGTATCCTGACATGGTGGGAAAGGTGGGAGAGCAGAACGGGACAAAGGTTATGTCTTTGCATGGCAGAAGAGATGGAAGGGCCAGGCAGGTCTTTAAACCCTCTTCTAGAAGAGCACTGATGGCATTCATGGGCGTAGAGCCTTCATGACTTAATGGCCCCACCTCTTATTACCATCAAGTTGGCGTTTAAGTTTCAACATGAATTTTAAAGGGGCACAAACATTCAAACCATAGCAAGTATTGCTCAAAATCCAAAAATTACCATAGGCAGTGATACATTTTCCCCAAGATTTTCAAGTGCCTTTAAAGTTTGATTGCAAATCATTGACTTTGAATGACTGAATAATTTTCTTCATTCAGACTGCACCATTATGGAATTTGATTGAAGCTATTCCTAAATTGAAATATGAGCTGAAATGTACACTCTCTTACCTAAAGGCTGGTAATAATAGCTCCAACTTGCTGGCATGTATTGTATGACTGCTGTTTACACTTTATGTATGAGTGTATTCATTGAGCTTTCACCCTGAAAGGTGGGTAATGTTATCTAGATTTTATAGGAAAAAAGCTGAAGCTCAATATGGGGAAAACTCTCAAGTCAAGTCACATGTTTAGAAAGTGGCAAAACTTGTGATGGAACCAAATCTCTCTTACTCCTTAGCCTGTGGTTTTTCCATTGGCTGAGATGCCACATGGTTTTCACAAAACTAATTATATACACTGGATACAACTTAAGGTCCATGCAAGAAAGGAAAAGAGGAGAGTGAAGTTTTGTTGCACCTTTCTTTATTACTGTATAACTTCAAATATTCTAAAGTTGAAGGCAGCAATCTTTAATTTCTAGTACATAGGATTTAACTGAAGAATATTAGCAAGGTTTTATTACATATCATGCCAAGTAGAGTAATGTGTACACAAATATAATGAATGCATATTACAAATTGTTGTTAAAAGAACTAGTTATATCTTTTTCTTCTGTTTGGATTAACACTTTAAATATTTATGTTTTCCTTTAACAATTTACTATGTTTCTGCTCACCAGTGGGTCCTTAATATCAGTGGAAAAATTTACTAAGAATGTACAAACGTGTTGTAGATTGTACTTAATGGAATTTAAGGAAATTAAGGATGTTGTGTATAGAGGGGAACAACACACACTGGGGCCTTTCAGAGGGTAGAGGGTGGGAGAAGAGAGAGGATCGGGAAAAATGACTAATGACTACCAGGCTTAATACCTGGGTGATGAAATAATCTGTACAACAAACCCCTGGGACACAAGTTTACTTATGTAACAACACTGTACTTTTACTGCTGAACTTAAAATAAAAGGTTTAAAAAAAGAATGTTCTGTAGAGTATGTTGAATGGAACCACGTCAGGAAATCACTTTACATTTTTAATAATCTGTTAAAAATTATGTCTTTGGAACAGATATTAGCCTTTTTGTGACCAAGGCAGTTTTAAAAAGTTTTGTGACAAAGGCAGTTTAAAAAAGGGTTGATTACTAGTCAACTCTTAGTATTTTTTATTTTGAAATATTATTTGAATTTTTATTTGAAACATTAAACCATGACAGGCAAGTACATTGAATAATATAAGGAACATCTGATACCCACAACAGTGCTCTGTCATATTCAGAGCAATTTAAAAAAAATTTTAACTATTACAAATGATGCCACCATGTTCATTCCTTCTTGTTTCTTGTTCATAGATAGGAGGGTTTCTCAAGGAGATATATGAAGAATCAACCGCTGATTTGAAATGAGTGTGCGTATTTAATTTCACTAAATAATACCAAATTTTTCTTTAAAGTAATTTCATTATGCAGGGCATGAGTTACCTGTTTTCACATTTTTGTTACCACAAAATGGAATTATTAGACTTTCTCTTTCTAATATAACGGATGTGAAATAGCAAAACATTTTCTTACTTTCTTTTCCTGATTACCAAAGAGGTTGAACAAGTTTTACATTTTTATTGGCCACTCAAGTTTCCTCTTCTGTGAATTGCCTTCTGATGTCCTTTGCCTACTTTTTCATTTGCTTATTTGTCTTTTCGTTACCAATTTGAAGACATTTAAAAAATATAGATACTATGACTTTGTTATTTCTACCATAACAAATATTTTTCTAGTTTGTCATTGTCTAGGGACTTTGTTTACAGTTTCTTTTTGAAGGAACAGTTTCTACCTTTAGGTAACTGAATTTATCAATTTTCCTTTATAGTTTGTGTTTTTGTTGTGTTTAATAAATTCATTTTTTACTCTGGGACAACAAAAATAGCCTGCACTCTTTTCTAAATGTTTGAAAGTTACATTTCACATTGAAGGCTTTAATTCATCTAGGCTTTAATTCATCTAGGCTTTAATTCATCTAGGATTAATTTTTGAAGTGAAGGGACTGGGAATCTATTACTTTTTTGTACATGGATAAATATTTGTCCCAGCATCACATTTAATAAAGCTCTATCTTGCTACACTGCAGTGGTTAACTTTATGTGTCAACTTGACCAAGCCATGGCACTCAGATATTTAGTCACAGTATTCTAGAGGTTTCCATGAAGGTATTTGTTTTTTTGGATGTGATTAACATTTAAGTCATTAGAATATAATTAAAGCAGATTACTTTCCATAATGTGGGTGGGCCTCATCCAGTTAGCTGAAGGCCTGAATAGAAAGATTGACCTCCCCTGAAGAAGGGGCAATTCTGCCAACAGAATTCCATCAGACTTACACTGCAACTTTAACTCTTCCCTGGGTCTCAGGCCCACTGATTATCCTGAAGATTTTGACCTTGCCAGCCTTTACGTCTGTGTAAGCAAATTCTATATATACAGATAGATAGATAAATGATAGATAGATAGATAAATCTCTAATACACTCATTGATTTGTATGCTACATGATATGGTTTAGCTGTGTCCCCATCCAAATCTCATCTTGAATTGTAACTCCCACAATTCCCACGTCATGGGAGGAACCTGATGGGAGGTGATTGCATTATGGGGGCAGGTTTTTCCTGCGCTGTTCTCATGATAGCGAATGAGTCTCATGAGATCTGATGGTTTTAAAAACAGGAGTTTCCCTGCACAAGCTCTCTTCTCTTGTCTGCCACCATGTGAGATGGCCTTTCACCTTCCACTGTGATTGTGAGGCCTCCCCAGCCACATGGAACTGTAAGTCCAATAAATCTCTTTCTTTTGTAAATTGCCCAGTTTTGGGTATGTCTTTATCAGCAGCATGAAACTGGACTCATACACTACATATTTTCCTCATTGTCAGATATCAAGTTTCTGTGTATGCTTGAGTATTTTTATGCCTCTATTTTGTTTGATTTGTCTGTTTTTCTACTCCTATGCCAATACCTTTCCTACATCATTATTATTTAATATCTGGTAGGGTAAGTCTTGCCATTTGATTCTTCTTCAAAATTACTTGTTGACCTCTTGTGAATTTTATGATTAGCTTGACAATTTCATTAAAAATCCAGCTGAGATTTTTATTGAAATTGCTTTGAATCCACTGCTTAATTTGATGAAAATAAAGTCTTTATACTATTGAGTCTTTTTATCCATGAGCATGCTATATCCCTTATTAAGATTCAGATCTACTATTATATTATTAAGATAATCTATTACAATTTTTTTAGTCATCTTTAATAATTTTCTCCATCTTTTGTCACATATTCTTTGGCTTTTGGTTGCTGTTTTTTAAATTTGTTCCTATATATCATGTAATATTGTTATTATAACGCTTTTTAAATTAAAATCGAGTGGCTATCCATTCTCTATTTATTTATTTATTTAGTATGAGACCTGCTAATTTTAATTGGGAACATGGTTTTCTGGAACAACAACCACACTTCCTAGTTGAACTTGAAACAAGAAGGAGACATTTCTCTATGTTCCAAACAACAGGTCATGGTATGGAAGTGAATGTGTTCTGTGATACTGTGAGGAAGTGTCCCTAAACGGGGGGTGATGCTCTTCTTCCTCCATTCTTCCTTCTTATTGGCTGGAATAAGAACATGGTAACTGAAGCATTAGGCAAATGGTTTTAAGGTCCTCTTTAAATGCACTGTATACATTTTCTGGATCTTAGCTTCATGGAATGGAGCTTCGAGGTAGTTTTGCAAAAACTCAGTGTTCTGATTTTCAAAGAATTTATAGTTGTTTCCTTTTGCCAATAACCCAAAACGTTAAGGCCGAGATGAGCCTTCTCATTCATTTCTAAAAGTATGCTATTGAATTTTATGTACTATTATTATTTAGTATTTTTGAATTTATGTTCATAAGCAACACAGATATAAATTTTCTTTTATGGTACTCTTATTATGCACTTGTGGTATCTAGGTTATATTGACATTCCAAAATGAGTTAAGTAGCTTTCTCACTTTTTCAGGTAACTGAAATGATTTCTGTAAAATTAATAGTTACTTGAAGTTTTGGTAGAACTGCCTACGTTTGGTAAAATTGTCTTAGTCTAGTGTCTTTTTGTTGGGGAAATTTTCTCTCACTGATTCAATTTTTTTTTGAGACAGAGTCTCACTGTGTCCCCCAGGCTGGAGTGCAGGGACGTGTACTCTGCTCACTGCAACCTCCGCCGCCTGGGTTCACACCATTCTCCTGCCTCAGCCTCCTGAGTATCTGGGACTACAGGTGCCTGCTACCACGACCGGCTAATTTTTTGTATTTTTTAGTGGAGATGGGGTTTCATCGTGTTAGCCAGGATGGTCTCGATCTCCTGACCTCGTGATCTGCCCGCCTGGGCCTCCCAAAGTGCTGGGATTACAGGCATGAGCCACAGCGCCCAGCCTGATTCAATTTTTTTAATGGTTATTGTTTGATCTCAGCTTTCCTCACTGTGTCTAGCTCCCCTCCCTGACCCCTTACCCCTAGTCTATCTGTCCTGGCACTTCTGGATTTGCTGACCCCACTAACCTGAAGTACTGATCTCTGACTATAACTCAAGATGCAGTGCAACTGAGACATGATGCATGTTGCATGTTTGGAGCTGCCTCTTCACTGTGCCTGGAAAGGGAGAGGACCAAACAGGCCCCCTTTCTTCCCCTTTCACCCTGTATCATTAGTCTCACCAAGATTGGCACTCCAAGATGGGCTGGTATAAGTAATTTTCTTTACTGGAAGGCTAGTCTAGCTATTTTGGACTCTCCACTGGGTCTCAGGGAAATCCTGGTAAAGTCTGAGGGACTTTACAACATATTTCAGGGAAGGTTCCTGGTGAGACTTGCCTTTTCATATGACCTAACAGAGAGTGAGCCAGAGTTAGTCTTGGGCTTCGACTTTGAATCTCCCTGCTCTCACATTCTCCATTCCCATCCCCAGACATCCCTGTCCTTTTCTCCTCATCTGAAAACACTCTGTCTCAAAGGAAGAGGTCTGGGCCCCTGGATCATTTCTCTCTTCTCTCATTTGGTGAATCTTGCTGTCTTGAGTAAGGGAGAGGAGAGGTTTCCATCCCATGAATGGAGATGTAGCTTTCCTAGTTTAAGTTTTCCTTTTGATAGTTCCTCATTATGAGACTCTTAATTTACATACCTAATAAAAGAACCTTGTTCTCTAAAAGTAAGCTTTAATGTTGGTGAATGGTCATTTGTTTTTCATTTTTTTTCTGAAAATTTGGTCATTATCGAGGCCTTAGTTCTGCCCTATGAGGCACAAGTCAATATTACGCTGGTGAGAAGCGTTTGGTTTCTTCCTGCTCATCTCAGAAGCCAATTTGCCTTAACAAAAAGCTTCACTAACTTCCAGTAATGGTTCACTTCCACCCTGGAATGTTTGGCCTGTCTATATATTTGGAGTCAGCAATCCACTTATGACAGGAGAGAGAAGTAGGAGAAAGGGGAATTAGTAATTCCTTCCATCCTACATTTTTTTTTTTTGACTAAGAGTATCACCATTTTTCTCCACATTTCTGGAAAGCATGAGGAGTAATAATAATGATCATAATAGTGATAATGATAAATATGTATTAAACCCTTAATGATTCTTTGCCAAGAACTTTACATGCCTAACTTTATTTAACCCTTACAAAACCTTATAAA
Source organism: Homo sapiens (assembly GCF_000001405.40). Taxonomy (NCBI): domain Eukaryota; kingdom Metazoa; phylum Chordata; class Mammalia; order Primates; family Hominidae; genus Homo; species Homo sapiens. The sequence continues at coordinate 144,096,490 of NC_000003.12, forward strand.
TTAAAATTGTTATCTCCATTTTATAGATGAGAAAACTGGTTTAGATGAGTAAGAGGCTTATTCTTAGGTGCTGCAAATTCAATCCTAGGTTTAAATCTAGAGACCACATCCTTGGCCACCAAAACTTCTTCCCTATCCAAAAAACAACTTGTTATCCCTTTTGAGAGGAAAATTCACCTCCTAAAATTAAGATTTACTGGCTTCCTGGTGGAAAACACCTAACTAAGCAGCTGTGACTACATCCACCCTGAGTCTCTCTCTCCTTGGGAGTGATGGCTGCCACCACAGGCTGCTTTTGGTTGGGGGAGTCCTCTTTTCTCTGGAAAGTTTCACCCTGGGTTAGGCTGGCATGCAAAACAAAAAATATAATTTAGTCAATACTGAGGGAGAACATGAGAAAAGCAAACTAAGAAAAAACACAAAACACAGAAACCATCCAGCTGGCAGTTTTATGATCCACCCTTTGCTTGCTTTCCCCTGGGCTTGTGAGCCTGGCCCCCTTCTCCATCCTGCAGGGCGTTAACAAAGGAATAGGACATATTTCTGCTCACCTTATAGGTGCCTTTTAGGAAGTTGATTTTTCCAGTCCATGAAGTTCCTCTTCCTCCAGCAGTTGGCAAGATTTTCTGGTGATTAACAGAATGTTCTGTCCCTGCACGTATAGACACTTGTCCTGAGCCTGAAGGCCATGATATAAAAATGCCTCCAAAAAATCAAAGCAGAACTGTCGGGGGGGTGGGGACTGGGGTCTCTACTGACATACTCTGCTGTTCATTATCTGTGGTAAAGTAGTTGGCAGAGGAAGCTCACAGCAGCTTGTTTGTTTTACAAAGGAGGTTGTTCTATAGAGGGCTGAATGCAGCACCTGGCCACTGGCCACAACCCCAGTGGAGCCCAGTGTTCCCAGCAGGCCTGAGTGGATTTTGCTGGTTCACTCCTGCTGATCTTCTGTCTACTCATTTCATAGGGCCCACCCCTACTGAGTGTGGGGAAGACAGAGATCAAGAGGTAGGAAGGGGTGAGAAATGGAGTTTCTAATGGTGCCTCTGCCTATTTCAAGAAAAAAAACCGGCATCCTATAAATTATTTCTAACCTTACTCTTTTCTGTTCCTGATAGCTCTCGCTACCCTGACCTTCTTCCCAGAAAAGAAATTTAGCTGCAGTGTGAATCCTCTTTCTCAAGGCAATTGTCCCACATAAGCATCTATTGACCTATTTATTTTGGGTTCAGCTTTGGCCTTTAGAAATTTCTTGGTGGTGATTGTTATTTGAGGAGAAGATTTTGCTAAATTTGTGTAATTCCAGCATTTATCTGAGCAAAGCACTCATGATGCTGTGGAACTGCGTTTTACAGCTTCTAGTCTATAATCAAAAATTCCCATTTTGCAGTAGAGAATGAGGTTCACAAAGAATGAGTAATTTACAAAGTGGGATCTGCTGTTTGCTTTCAAAGTGAGGCCTCTTTGTTTGTTTCTTTTTCACCTTTACTATCCAGCATTTTTGGAGTTCTTTATTTAACAATGCATCAGTAGACTTTAAATGAATAGAAAAAATTTAGATTACCTTCCAAAAGTGTACATGGAAAAGAGAAGCAACGATGTGAGGTCAGGAATTCTGTATGTAGAGAACCATGTTTCCCAGGTCACAAATTATATACGTCTATTTTTTCTTTTTCTTGGGTTTCAAGAGCATCTTAAGATGCTCCAGATTTTTTCTCACATTTGATTCTTGGTTAGTTGTAATGACCCAGGTTGCTGAATGTCAGGAAGAACTTTGCTCAAGGAAGCTTTCTGTTCAAGGAATTTGAATGACATCTGGGGAGAATCTGGTTCCAACTTGCATTTTGGAGCCAACCTACAGCCTGAATGAAGGAAGCTAAAGAAAAAATTTTACTTATATTGCACTTCCCTGAGTTTTCAGATACTTTGTTATGCAGCATAATTGCAACAACAGCTGGCGAATATACCATCCTTCTCTCTTAGTTCTACTTTCTTATGAGAAGCAACACAATTTCTTCACCTTTGGCTCTGCCTCCATTTCACTGGATCACTTGGGTCACAAAAAGGAGTCTAATATCTCTTTCTCTCTAGGACTTCTGTCTTGAAGTTGCAGCTGGGAAACAACACAATGTATTTTAGGATGTAAAATATTGTGAGCCTGAGGATATAGGAAACTGAATGTTGTCTGTGTGTGATCTCAGATGTCAAGTTATAAAGCTAAAAATGTTGCCTTGTGCTCTGGGAAGAATGTAATCATTCCTTTTGATGGTGGAGTTGGCCTGTCTGGGGCAGCCACCGTGGGACGTCGGCTGCAGCAGGGGAGGCTCATCCAGGGCTGCTGGCTCTATGGAGCTGGCAGGGGCCAGGAATAGGCAGGAGCCCCACCCTCCTACTGGGCTGGTGAGGCAGGAGCCCAGTGCTCCTGGGAGCAGCTGCAGCCGCGGAACCACGGCTCTCGACCTGGGCATCCTGGTGCTCCTAGGGGCCTGAGAAGCCCTCCTGTCCCTGCAGACTCAGGAGTGCCTGCTCTTGCTCCCTGGCTTCACCCTGTTCCCAGTGCCCACTTTAATTTTGGAGCAAAGTTGAAGCCAAGCCTGGGTACTGTCTTGACCTGACCAGGTATATGCGTGTTTGGGGCAGCATTGACATGCCAGACCCCCTCCAAAACTTTGGCACTGATGAGCTCAGGGAGGGAGGCCAAGTAGGGCTGAGGGTGGCTCAGGGCAGGCCTGCAGGCACCCCTCGGTGCGAACAGCCTGGGTGCCATGAATTACATGTTGATGGCAGTGGGAGGCAGACAATTTCCTAGGCAGGAAGGGGCGGGTCCCCAGTGAAGCCCCACTTTCAAGCCAGGGACAGTCTGAAGCCTTCGACTGGGCTGCCAGTTCTGGGTAAGGTCGACAGCCCAGAGTGAGAACTCATGGTGCTTTTTCTGGGCCCACCCATGGCCACCCGTGGACCAATCAGTACTCACTTCTTCCCTTCTAAGCCCATTAAAAACTCCTGACTCAGCCAGACTCAGACAGATGTTAGGACTACCAGCTGCAGGAAGGAGCTACCCATTGCCAGTCTCCAGTCTGCTGAGGATGACCTGGCTGCAGAAAGGAGCGACCCACTTTGGGTCCTCTGAGAACTGTTCTGTTGCTGAATGAAGCTCCTCTCTGCTGTGCTTACCCTCCAGTTGTCCACATACCTCATTCTTCCTGGGCATGGGACAAGAACTTGGGACTCGCCAAATGGCAGGACTGAAAGAGCTGTAACACAAATAGGGCTGAAAAACGCCCCCTTGCTCACCACATTGCAGATGATGAGAGGAGAGAAGGCTGTGGCCTTACGGGAAGCCCAGATCTAGGAGCTCCCCAAGCCAGGGCTGTGATACCCTCTTTGGGGTTCTGTGGTTTCTGGCATCTCCAAACTTCTGGGCACCACTGTGTTCCCCTCATCTAGACGCAGGTGCCCACAGTGGAAGCCATGTGTGGTACATCTGGTCCAGCCACAGCTTTGCATGGAGTTGGCACCTGTGCTGATGCCTGGAGCTGCCTGCCCCACCACAGCAGCTGGCATGCCTGGTTGTGCAGAATGGACAGACCCTGTGCTTGTTCACCCACACACCCTTTGTCACTCCGTGTCTGGCTTGCCCTTGCAGTTGTGGGATCTGGGCTGGTAGCACAACCCGAGCACAACCTGCCAGGTTGAGTGGGCAGAATGAGCTCAGTGGGTGCAAGCAATTCTCAGGCAGAAGGCGCCACCAGCCACAGAGGATTCTGGCTGGCAAAGCGTCACCCCAAGGATCCTGTGACACTTTTACCATTGTTTCATGTTCTTTGGAAAAGCAGAAATAATCACTGGTACTTCTCAGGATGTATGATACAATAAATAGACAGATTAATATAGTGGCTCATTGTGGTTCCGTGGAGTGCTACCTTTGTGCCTCTCCAGAGGGCTAACCACTCCAGACATGGCAGGATCCATTTAACCGGATTCTGCTACAAAGAATCTTTGTGTGTGTGTGTGTGTGTGTGTGTGTATGTGTGTGTGTGTGTGTGTGTGTGTGTGTATGTGTGTGTGTATGTGTGGTTTTGAGTAGTTATTAAAATCAATGTGTGGCATTTTATAGTTTTCACTTTAGAATTTCTCTACTAGTAAGAATAAAAGAATGTGTTACAGATGACCTCGCCTAATCCATACATATCTACTGTGAATTACCTAAGGACCTAGAAACATTGTGTTGGAAAAATAGCAATTTAAAATAACTTTCATGATACCTTTGGCCAAGAAATTATGAGGAACAATTCCATTCTAAGCAGGTATTTGCATGACTGTGTTAGATTATGAAAATAGAAAGGCATGAAAACAGTAGAGTTTCAACAGGCATTACTCCTGATGGAAACCCCAAATTCAAAATTCATGCCTGCATCTGAGTCTTAACTCCATGTGCCCTGTGCTAGGAAGGGTCTCATCCTCCTCTTTCAATCTACATTCTCCTAGTATTTTTGCCTATCCAAAGTCCCATAATCTCCCATTTTTTCCTGACTCATTTTGGTGTTTTTCCTTAAAGCATGCAGATTCTACACCCACAAAGAGTTGCATTCTGATTCCAAGGTGTTTTTCAATCCATCTATACATATATGTATAATCTCAATCATAGAGATTAAAAGTATAATTATAGTAAGATACCTTCTCCTGTGCTGTGTGTGTATGTGTGTGTATATATATGTATATCTGTTTTAAATATCATAGACATGTACATATGTGGGTATATATAGTATATATCTATATATCTATAATATTTTAAACCTTTAAAACATATTTATATGTACTATTTAAAAATGATACTACAGGGCTTCTGTATATAACTACATAGCTTGTGCACAGTAAACTGTACTTAGCCCTGGATCCTCATACCAAGTGGGATGGGAGCTACTTGTCTATAGTACACACTTGAACACTGTGTTAGTAGTATTCTCTAATTATTTTATACATTATATATATAAGGCTTGTTTTCTTGACAGTACAAACTTTGAAAAAAATACCTTTTTTTCTTATAGCGACTAGAGTTAGACACATTATAACAGAAATGAAGTGAGCATGTCTTGATGTCTTTACTTTATTAAGCATCCCACCCTTTCACTCTACACCTGCACAGCCACTCTATTCAGGCGTCATGTTCTTCATCTCCTTCAGGAAGCCTGTTTTAAAGGAAGTTGGGAAGACAAACAGTACCGTCTTCGAAATTATTTGGCTGTGTCCCCCGCTAGATCTCATCTTGAATTATGACCCCCATAATCCCCACATGTCTAGGGAGAAACCTGGTGGGAGGTGATTGGATCATGAGTGTGGTTTCCCCCATACTGTTTTTGTGATAGTGAGTGAGTTCTCATGAGATCTGATGGTTTTTATAAGGGGCTCTTCCCCCTTCGCTCCTCATTTCTTCTCTCTCCAGCCACTCTGTGAAGAGGTGCCTTCTGCCATGTGAAACTGTGAATCAATTAAACCTCTTTCCTTTATAAATTACCCAGTCTCCAGCAGTTCTTTATAGCAGTATGAAAATGAACTAATACAGTGAATCATCAGAGTAATTATTACACGTTTTATTTCAGTAATCAAAAATAAAACTCTGTCATAACTTCATACAAGTAAAATGTGTGTGTATGTGTGTTCATACTTAGTTTTAAAATATAAAAGTCCAGAAAGACAAGGATGTAAATTATCTACTTTTATTAAAACTCAATTACTCCCACCCCTTCAACATCATCACTTATAGCAGGAATAATACGGACTAACAGGATGGTAGGGAAGTCCTGGGATCTACAGAACGGCTTTTCAGTTCTGCTTCTGCCACATATACAGGGAGGCAGATGATCACAGAGGACAAGCCCATGTGCTCTGTCTCTGGTCTTGCTGGGTTTGCATCCCCACTTTTCTACTGCTTCTCCTGTTCTTGTGAGATCTTGACTAGGCTATGAGACCTCTCATTGCTCCATGTCCTCACTGGGTAATATCTTTACCTTCCTTCTAGTGTTGCTGTGAGTACTGAATGAGTTCACATAACTAACAACCAAGATCAGTGCTTGGCATAGTATAAACACTCAACTCAGTGTTAAATATTTTCATTATTTCCCTTCTACGAGCTTCAGCTTCCAGATGTTAATATCTGTAAGATAAAAATAGATCAGATGAGGTAAGCATGGGACAGTGCTTTGTAATGCATAAGAACTATTCAAATAAGGGGCATTATTTCTTTTAAAATGCTGCTTTAAAACATAGTGCTGATTTCTTTGCTTTATCTTGTAAATTTCTCTCTAAATGCTGAGTTCTTTGCTTGTGCTATTCGATAGCAGAATCATGTTGGATATTACTTTAGATGCTATTGTTAACATTTAATCCTGATATCTCATAATATACCTATTTTAAGGATGTATTCTTTTATTAAATGAAGGTGAGAGTCATGGTGGTGGGAATTGTATAGTGGTGAGTAAAAGCTAACCTGCTTTTTGAAAGTTCAGTGGACAGCTTAATGCTCTCTGTTTATTCTACATATAGTGCAGACATTTACAGCTCAAGCCCTTAGGGGGGATTTCTGAGAGAACAGACTTTGCTTTAATATGGGAGTGGGTTTAGGAAAATTTTGACTCTGTCTCTGCTATAGAAGCCAGCAGAAAACTGCCATATGTCCAAGTGGTCCTCCACATTCTCCCATTTGCTAGAGTAGGGGTCCTCTTCCTTCTCAACACTCTCCCCAAGCCATCAGCCAGTTGTTCTTTAGTTGACTGAGTATCCAATTTACCTGGAGAGGTTTTTAAAACCTAGGTTACTGGGCCTACCCCTAGAGTTTCTAGTTCAGCAGGTGTGGGGTGGGGCCTGAGAGTTCACATTTCTAGTAAGTTTCCAGATGATGCTGACACTGCTGGTCCAGGGCCAACACTTTGATAACCACTGCCTTGGACAAATCACCAACTCCCTGTACCTACAACTCACCTCTTATTATCATTATTATTTTTGTTAGTCATTATTGCTTTTCCTGGATACCATTCCTTAGCATCCTTATCTATCAAAGCTCAATACTCTTTTTCCTCCGTAGCTTATTTCAAATGTACTTCATTTATAAAGCTTTCTCCAACCCACTCCCAATCACACATGCTCCATCCTTCCCTGAGCCCCCATTACTGCTGTGGTCATGGAATGTGCTCTCTGTATTACCCTACCAAACAACATGTTCCTTAATGACAATTGACTGAATTTTAATTTTTTTCTTTGATCCTTTCAAATTGGTTCTATAAGAGCATGCAGCAGATTTCTTAAGTGGGATTCAAGTATACAATTATAGTTATGGTACTGTTGGCTCTGTCTTCTGCCCTTATTTGTATAAAATCTGATATTGACTATGGTTAGACCCAGTATGTACATTTCCCAGATTTTTCCATACTGGGAGCCAGGCTCATATTTGATCTATTATATAAAAAGGGTGCTATTTGTTGAATGAGCTGTGAATCTCTTTCTTAGCTTCCTGTTTAATCTTTTTAAAAACAGTTTGTGACAGGAAAGGGAATGGCTTTTAAATAATCCAAATTTAATTAGAAATGTTGGATGCTAAAATTCAATTTATTTTTCCTTTTTATGAGAGAAGCTCTGTCTCATTCTGTCTGCAACTCATTCTACCCTTTCCTCAAACCCCTTTTTCTTTTTGCCATTTTTCTCTGTCAACAAGTAAATCCAGGGGCTGAATTCCCAGGCATTTTATTTCTCATGGTAGCAGGTGGCTTTGGGCAGTTACACAGACATCCAATTACCAGAGACGTCTAATAAGCTAATAATGACTGCCTGAGGCATTCACTCAGGAGGGGCTTTGGAGACTCTCTCAAAGCTCTTTCTGCTTGCCACCTGCCCAGACACGGAGCGAGTCTTGTATTCACACATTTTCCCCAAAGAAGGGTAAACATGGGGGTTTCCTTGGAGATGGCTTTTCCCAGAGTTTGAATACTTGGCTTTTCTCACCCTTGTCCAGAGAGGCAAATTGCCAGGATGTTATACAGGGTTAGTTTCTTGGTTATCTAATACAAGAAAAAATGTTATCCAGACTGTTACTGTGGGAAAGAATTAGAAATAATATTTTTCAAATGCTGCTTTAAAATTCTGTCATTCATATTGTTGTTAACTTCCTTAAGGCCAGCAAAATATACATTTTATTTAGAAGTCAGCTGCACAGTTTTTCAATAAAGAAAAAAATGCTTAAAATTGTTTCATAGTTTATTTGCAGAAAGATTAGCAACCTTTATAAATTAATCCTTCCCACAACAAGTCATCCCAAATAGCAGACCTTCTTCTTTGTTGTGTACACTTGAGTTGGTACACTGCACATCAGTAAACTTTGGCCATGAACTGTGGCCGCAGAAGACTTTCCCAGAATCTGGGAGCCCAATTGGCAGGGCCTGGCATGCCCTCTCAGTGTACTCAGGCTATTTCTACCTATATTTGTGCCAGATATTTTTCAACCAAGATCTTACTCTGTTTTTCAATGAGTTGGGGTTTGTATATGGAAATAAAATAAGAAAATTACATGATAAGAAGACTTAAAAAGTTGATTTATATACTATGTAGTGCTTGTTTACAAGGAAATAATGAAAAATATCTACACATAAAAGTGACTAATCAAATAATGACAAAACGAATTATTTGGGGGGAAAAAAGGGATTTGAAAGAATGCAATCTCACAGTGAAAAAAATAGCATGAGGTACATCATAGATCTGATCATTAAACTTTCCAGAATACACAATTAAATGTTGTAGGCTATATGATTCCCAATACAATGCTCAGATCAGGACTTGAAAGCATGATTATAACAGAAGACCAGGTAAAGAGGCTAAAAGAAAAAAATATATTTAAATAAGATTCCTACAGTTCAAAAAAACCAGCGTGAGTTATTTATCCAAGAAGAAGATATAAACTTCAACAAAAGCAATATGGAGGAGAAATGTTTAAAGACAAAGGTGACCAGTCACTGAGTCAATGTCTGGATACTTAGGTTTTTGGGTGACAAGGTAACCTAGAACCACATGATGTGTCTATTGGGAACAGGCTGGGGAGGTGGGAGTGGGGTTGTGTGGAAGGTAATGTAGCCCTCGTATGGGCAGTGTATGTGCTATGCTGGCTTATGTTTTTATTGCACATCAAGCCATTTCCTGGTGCACACTGTGATGCTCTGTTTAACTAGATGCCTTTTGGTCTTTCCAGAGTGGCAGCTTGTTCGGAACAGCCTTATGAGCTATGTTCCAGTTCTTTGCTTTGATGAGGTCACACCAAAGTTCTATCAGCAGTTTACTCATTAACTTGGAATAGAAACTGGTTTCCCTGGAAGCTAAGTGAACATAAAGAAGCAGCAACAGTCCTTTTTAGGGGGCAGATTAAATGTGAGATATTGTCGCTGGGATGCCAATTAAAGTTCTAGAAATAGTTCAGCTATAGGTACCTTGATTGGAATCAATGTCTTTATCATTTCCTCAGCTTTGCAGCTGTTTTTGTTTGTGATGTTTCCATTATGACCACTAAAAGAATAATAATAAACTCGAATATAAGGCTCCCTTCTCCATCCAATTTTTAAATTATTTAATGGGTATTTGCTAGAAAAATTCAGGAAATTTAGGACTAGGATTTACGAGCAGAGTAGGAATGAACTTTAATTAGAAGCAGCATTGGGTAAATGTAAGGACTCAGGACGTAGACAGTCCCAGGCTTCTAATCTGGCTTGAGACCTGTGTGACCTTGGGCAAGGTAACTAAACTTGATGGTCTTTACCTTCCTCATTTGTAAAGCTGAAATAATCACCTCTACCTCACAGAGTGGTTTCACAGATGAAATCTGGCATGAATGCCTGGCACATAACACAGAGCCTGGTCCATAAACAGCCTGCAGTCAATATTAGTTGCTTTGCCCCTTCCTTTATTTTCCAGTTGTATCAGTGGCAAAGCTAAATACTTTTTTTCAACTTTGGAAATTGAGACCTCTTTTAGTTGGTTCCTGTATCCCTTTGACATATACCATATACCCAACATTATGGACTTTTCTTTTTCCTTTTTTTTTTTTTTTTGAGCACATTCTTACTTTCTGACACTACAGGATTCTCCAGGTTTCATTTCCTGACCTAGTCCAAGAATCAGCAATTTCTTCCAGGAATCTTTGGTGTTAGAAACCAAAATCCAGGTTCTAGGTGTACTCACATGTATCATTGTTATTATTAATATTATTTATATACTTTATTCTTTATAAATGTTATAGATTTACAGCAAAATTGAAAAACTAGTCTAGAGAGAACCCATGTACCCCATAATTTCCCCTAGTAGTAGCATATTATATTAGTATGGTAGATTCATTACAATTAATGAAATGTATTAATATTAATATATTATTGACTAAAGTCCATACTTTACTCTGGTTTCCTTGGTTTTTACTTAATGTTCTTTCTCTGTTCTAGGATTCCATCCAGAATACCACATTACATGTAGTCGTCATTTGTCTTTAGGGTTCTATTGGCTATGACAGTTTCTCAGAATTTCATTGTTTTGATGAACTTAATAGTTTTGAGGACTACTGGTCAGGCATTTTTGTAGGACGCCCTTCTGTTGGAATTTGGTGTTTTTCTCATGATTAGGCTGTGGTTATGGGTTTTAGATAAGAATGTCCAGGGATGAAGTGCCATTCTTATCACACCATGCCAAGGGTCCATACTGTCAACATGATTTATGACTTGACCTTGATTATCTGGCTAAGATGTTATATGTGTGATTTCTTCAGTGTAAAATTAACCTCTTTTCCCCTTTTCCACATTGTACTCTTCGGAAGGAAGTCACAATGTGTAGCCCATACTTAAGTAGTTGTGTTCCCCTTTTTGAGGGTAAAGTGTCTATATAAGTTATTTAAAATTTATTGCATGGGGTCTTTAGTCAATTTTTTGTTTTCTTATATCTATTTTTACATGCTAGAAATGAAGTGCTTGTTTATACTGGGCAAATTTTAATTAAGCAAATATGTATTCCTTGTTAGATATTCAGAGCCGTGATAGTTGATAGGCATATTTTTAACCTAATGTTAAAATACTTACTTCTCAGTTATTAAATTGATGGTAATGTAGTAAGCCTGGTTCTGTTTCTTTTACTTGATCACCTGTTCCTTAAATATCACTATTTCAGCTTCAATATACCAGAAATATAACTACTAATTAAATTATTTTTCATTTTGAATATATCTCCTAACTTCTACATGGTGAAAATTTTCTGAGTTTTCTGATGATTGACCAGGAAAAATTAGACTGTGATCTTATTTTACATAATAATTGACCACTAAACACACAAAGCAAAGATAAACGTACAGTGAGGAGCACATTTCCCACAATAATTACTGGGTCGTTTCCTTATAAATAGCAGAGTTGTACAGCATCATGTTAAGTATGAGAATGCGTAGATGCTGAGAGGAGTTTAAAGTTAAAAGGAAAACAAATACTCCTGGGGTTTTAATCACTAATTACAGGTATATAAATAACCATTTCTTGGATTTGGAAGGCATTTGGTCTCCTGGATATGATCTAGTTTGGCATATGGGCTTGCCAGGGTTTTTTCTTCCTCCCTTTGTGATCTGCTTGAAACTGGAGAGGTCAGGCATGAAGACAGGTGGTGAAAATATTCAGGAGAAAAATACAAAAAGTTATTGTCTGGATTTGCCAGCAGTTCTATTTAATGACCTAAAGGAGTTGACCCAGAACTATATTTAGATTTTGCAAGATGGCATGCCACAACACACTGTTTATAGATACTCATTTTCTGAGAAACTATAAGTGTTTCATTGAAAAGATTTATACTGATTAGTTGCACCATCTGGTCCATGCAATATATAAGAAAATCTCAAATAGTGAGAAATACCCAATGAAAACAATTTCAACCCAGAGAGGAGTATAGCTGTTTTTTTCTCTTTTTGAACAAAGATTTCTATACATTTTGTAAGTCAGCAAAACTTTAATATATTTATGATAATAACCATGGATTATTTTGAGAAAAGTGCTATTTTGAAATCAATTTTGCATAACCTGAACAAACCTTATATGTTTATGTGCCAATGTTTGTACTCCTTGCTTTTTATATCATTGTTTTGTGTAATTTAGGATTTTGTCTATTTTGAAGGCCCTGCTGGCTCTGGGATTATTATTTATTTCCTACTATTTAAAGATAAATTAACAAACACCCAGATTCTAGTTCTGTCACCTATTTTGAGAGAGTCTAAATTCATGTAAAACATAATTAAGGGGCCGGGCGTGGTGTCTCACGCCTGTAATCCCAGAACTTTGGGAGGCTGAGGTGGGCGGATCACCTGAGGTTGGGAGTTCGAGACCAGCCTGACAAACATGGAGAAACCCTGTCTCTACTAAAAATACAAAATTAGCTGTGCGTGTTGGCACATGCCTGTAATCCTAGCTACTTGGGAGGCTGAAGCAGGAGACTCACTTTAAACTGTGAGGCGGAGGTTGCGGTGAGCCGAGATCACACTATTGCACTCCAGCCTGGGCAACAAGAGTGAAACTCTGTCTCAAAAAAAAAAAAACAAAAAACAAAAGACAATAACAACAACAATAACAACAAAAACATAATTAGGTTGGTTTCAAGGCACTTCCTGAGGAATCAGAAAAATCTCTTCATCTTGTACTTCAAAGGAGAGATGGTTGAATGTCTGTGAGTTAAAATTTCAACTCCTGGGCCGGGCGCGGTGGCTCATGCCTGTAATCCCAGCACTTTGGGAGGCCAAGGCGGGTGGATCACGAGGTCAGGAGATCGAGACCATCCTGGCTAACACGGTGAAACCCTGTCTGTACTAAAAATACAAAAAATTAGGCGGAGCTTGCAGTGAGTCGAGATCACGCCACTGCACTCCAGCCTGGGAGACAGAGCGAGACTCCGTCTCAAACAAAAAAAAAAAAAAAAAAAAAAAAGTTCCACTCCAATCAGAAAATAATGCAGTTCCTTTACTTCATAAAGTTCAATTTTTCCCTTAAGGTACTCGATGTTTTACATATATTACTTCATATTTTTTTGAATGTGGACCAGAGTTTAATTTTTCTTTTTTACATTATTTAGTAGAGCTTGAGGCACCGAGAAGTTTAAGTCAATGGGTTTGCCAGAGATCAAGTTTTTGAATTTTAATCCAGAGTTCATTCTACCAGGATCTCATACTAAGATTCTGAAATCTTTAGGATGACAGAGGTAGGGTAGTAATTTCCAGAAGACTCTTTGCTTCTCTCTTGATCTCTTCCTACACACTCTTCAACATGATCAACTCTGCAAAAGACAACAAAGAAAATCCGTTGATCAAGCAAGGCTAAGTTTTTTAGACCTTCTGTGGGTAAAGGAAAAAAATCACCTTAATCCTTAGCAGTATTTCAGAAGGAGAAGTCAGGGAGGATATTTACAGGGCTTTAGAGACTGGACTGAGTGATTTTATGGTGGTTCTTACAAGGCAAGAAACATGTTGGGATTGGACAGAGTGTGTGACACAATAACCATAATTATGGTTCAAGGCCCATTCTTATGCAGCCAAGAGGGGATTGAAGCATTTCTAGCCTGAGACTGCCTTTCCCAACAGTGTGCAGAATGAAACCGAAACTTCTCACATTGACGTAGAAAGTCTCTGCATAGTCTGGCCCCTCCTGTTCTCTCTGACTTCAACTTGAATTATTCTCCATATTGGTCCAGTACAGTGCTCTCGTAATAGAGGCCTTGCCTCTGTTCCTGCATTAAGGCCTCTGTATGATTCCCTCAAACTTTTCTGGTAGGTCTGTGCCCCCAGACTTGGATAGTTGTCTTCTTCTTGTAATTGTGATCCTATTTCAAAGATATTTCATCAGAGAGAACTTCCTCAACTACTGAATCCAAAGTAGCCCCCTTTGCCCCTACATATTATGTGATCGAATTCTACTTTCTTTATATGATTAGCCATTATTTGAAATTATTTTGTTCGCTTGCTTATTATTTTATTGCTGCCTTCCTTTTCATAGAGTGTAAGTAGGGATCTCTTTCTTGTTTAATGCTGTATCTGCAGTGCCTACAGCATTGCCTTATACAAAGTAAACATTTAAAAGTATTTGTCTCACTCTGTGGGAATTTAGCAGAACACTCTCATACCTTGCTGGTGTACACTTTGGCAATGTCTATTAATAATAGAAACGTTCATGCCCTTTGATGCAGCATTTCTACATCTAGGTATCCTGCAGATATACTTGCACATGTGAAAAATTAGGTATATACAATAATATTTCTTATTCAGAAAAGAGTTAACATGGCAAGCCTGAAGGTTGGTTCTTGGCTGGCATCTGGGATTTGGCTGGTAAATAGTTCCCTGCACTGACATGAAACTTTCCCTAAGTGATAAAGCTGTTTTACTCACTTGAGGACTGAACATCCGCGTTTCTTCTGGAAATGTGGAGTGCTTGTAGTTGGTAGGCAGGGTGTGTCTATATGACCAGTCCCCAGTGAAAACGTTGGTTTTGAGCCTCTAATGTGTTTTCTTGGACAAACTTTGCATGTTACTGCACTTTTTTTTTTCCTGCTGAAGTAAGGAACACACTCAGTGTGTCATCCCATGGGACAAAGACAACATAGGAAGCCTATGCATGAATTTCTCCAGATTCCTCTTGGATCTTTTCCCCTTGTTGCTCCTGCTACGTATCCATTGCTGTAATAAACCTTAGCAGTTAGTACAACTATATTCTGAGGCTGTGAGTCCTTCTAGTGAATCATGGAATTTGTGAACAGTCTTGGAGAGCCTGGAAACATTCATTGTCATTGTAATTTTTTCCCCTCCAAAACTTAAGACAAGCAAAATGTTCACCTACAGAGGACAAATTATGACACATACATTAAAAGGAATACTATATTATATTCCTATATGAGGCAAGCCTACACACTGATATGATAATATTAAACACATATCTTTATAAAGGAATTAAACAGGGTTCAAAGTGTTCTGTGTAATTTGGATGCTACTCATTGTGCACATTCACATATAAATATGTTTGCAAATGCATAGAAGATCACTAGAAATATGTTCAAGAGTCTGATAATAATGGTTACGTCTGAGGAGAGAAACTTGGTGGCTGAGAGAAACAAGGGCAAGAGAAGTTTTACTGTTTATGCTGCACTATTATGTTTGCTACTAGCCATGTGTGGCTATTTAAATTAAACTAATTCAAATTAAATTAAATAAAAAATTTCATTTTTCAATATCATTAGCTACCTTTCAAGGCATAATAAGCACATATGTGGATAGGGCTACCACATTGAAAAGCACAGCTATAGAACATTTCCTTCATTGCAGAATAATGTTTTAGACAGCACTGATCTACATGCTTTTTTACTGTTGACTATTTATCCTACGTACATGTTTTATTATTCAAAAATTGTTTTAAACAAAACAAAGTATTAGTTGAATGGATGAACAATAAATATTGACTAAATAGTCTCTGCTAACAGACTATTCTGAGAATCTCAACATGTGAGACCAAATCACCTGTTTTTATGGTGGAAATTTACATCTAGTTAAGATAGGTAAGATAAATAGCAGCTTAAATTCTCAGTACCTTTTTATAAAAGCAAATCTTCAGCTTAGGGGTTGGAGCCAATTCCAGATCTTGGAAGCCCTAGCAAATTTGCCAGAGAGAGTGCCAAGGAGCACAGAGTGGGAGTATTGTCTCCTCCTCTTCACCAGCTCCAGCAACGTATGCCGCAGGCATTTGGCTAGCTTTAACATACTGGTATGCAGAGTAAAACAGACCTCTTTGCTTCTTTGTCCCTCCTTTTTTCCCTCCCATAATAAATAGCTCTTATAACTTCTGTCCAGAAGAAATTATAACCAATTTTGTATGCTTGAGTTGGGAGATGTCAGTAATGGTATTATTAGTGTTTTTACAGTTCAGTTTGGTGTTTATTAAGTGCTAACCGAATAATAAAAGATCTTTGTTTTTGAGATCCTCATGGTTCAGTATGGAAGACGGGAAAAGGGAACAGATTGTGTTGACATAATAGCATTAAGTGGTGCCAATGTAAAGGTTTGCTCAAGGTGCAATGAAACATGGAGAAAGGCTACCTGACCCAGTTGTGAAGGATGTGTAAGACATTTTAGGCAGAGAGGATGAGAAGAGCGCTCCAGGTGGGGGCAGGTAATTATGGCAAAGAGAAGAGGTTGTGCAAGAGAATGGCTTGTTGGGAACACTGCAGTAGTTGAATATTAGAACCTAAAACTGCAGGTGGAAATGAGGGCAAGAAGTGAAAGAAAGGCAAAGGAGGCTTAAGTGGTGGGAGGCTTTGTGTTAAATGCTAAGAAGGCTGGATTTTATTTGGCAGGGTTTGGGAGCCTGAAAAGACTTTGATGAGAAGGGTATCATATTTGTGTATATTTTTCTCAATCCATGTTGAGGAAGGGATTTAGTGAGATAAAACCCAGGCAAGATGACCTGTTAGGGAATTGTTACAATCGAGAAAAAAGCTGGTAAGGGCATTTTTGAAATTATGCCTTCTATTAGTATTTTTCTCTTTCTTTTCCCACTTTTTTCTACTTCTCCACTTCAGTTTCTTGAGATTATCTTTCAAGTCAACTACTTGAACCCAGGTCCTTGTTGCAGGGTCTGCTAGTGGGAGAATCTACAGTAAGAAAAGAAGTGAGCAGTCAGTAGAGCCAAACACTGCCCAGAAGGCCAGTCAGGTAACAACTGAGAGTCTCCCCTGGCTTCCTCACTATGGAAGCCATGGGTTATTTTTATACAAGCAGTTTCAATGAAGCTGTGGGAGGAGAATCCAGATTGCTCAGATTGCAGGAAACTATGAATGGTTTTGACGGTGAGGAAGAAGAAAAATGGGTGTAGACACAGCTTCTAAAACATTTGGCAAGTGATATGATGATAGCCAGAATGGCAGACAAATCCAAGAGTAGAATTTTTCCAGAATAGGAGAGGATTCTATAATGGACATGACAGACAGCACTACAATCCTCCCCCTCACACAGTCGCTTCTCAAATAATCTTACCATGGATTAAAGGACACCAACATATTAGAAAAACGGCAGAGAGATGGAAAAAAGTAGATTATTGATAGTCATTTTAGCTTCCAAATCTAATCATGCTTGAAGTTTCTAGATTTTCCACTGTGCAGCCAGACTTTTGAGTTAAGTGAATAGATTCTCTATCTCACTTGAGTCAAATTGAGTTAGGCTTCTTTAACTTGCAAATTGTGAGTAGTACAAACCCTTCTCTAAACCTCATTGGAATACATTTTTGTTTTTACAAAGCGCACACACACACACACACACACACACACACGCACACACACACACACACATTCTATTAAACTGCTAAAAGGAGAAAAGAACCAGTACTGAGAAAGTGGTATAATACACAAATAAAGGTGGATAATTGATAAAACAAGGCTCTTTTGAGGATGGTAGATGATGAAAACAAGAACTTTAGTGGAATGACTACTCATAAGTATTTTTTTTACATTTTATTATGGAATGTTTAATATATGCAGAAAAGTTGAAGAATTGTGAAGGTAGCAATCGTGTATATGCCATCTAAATCCTACCATTAACACTTTGCTACATTTCATATTCTTGCTTTTTTTCATTTATCCATCTTTTCATCTGTCATCAAGGCATCTTCTTTTTGTACGTATTTCAAAATAGTTTGCAGATGTTAGTATACTTCATTACTAAATACTTCAGCATGCATATGATTACTTGATTTCCAAATTTGTTTAACATTATAAATATGTAATATATTGAAAAAATTACCTATGATATCTCTGTTATTCTAATGACATATCTTATTGATCTTTTAAAATTTCAGCACCGTTAATGTTTTTATGCTGTTATTATAATTTTAAAGGATGTTTTTCACTTTCCCTTATATCCAGAACATAGTCCTTTAGAAAATTTTTGAAAATGATAAATCTAGCTTATTCATGTTGCTTTTTAATACATTGCCTGATGGAGAAGTTAGAAATAATCATGCATAAGGTTTGACATATGTCTACTGTTGTCTTGAAAATCAGTTGTATACCACTGACTCTTACATTGCTACATTGCCCACAGCCTTATAAATGGCCACACCTGAGATTCAATTAATATCTTCTCTGATAGATGTTGATCCTAGAGGGGAAGGCATTATGAGCCTAGGCGTACTAAGAGCTTTAGCTTTGTAGCAGAGCCTGGAAAAATATTTTTTGAGAAAATATAGTTTATTTCATATAGGTAAATATTTTTATAAGAATCCACCTTGGACCTTGTCCTATTCTTTCATTGTATCTAAATGCATTGTTCTCTTTATAGTGTAAATCCTTGCTCTCTGAGTTTAATTTCTAGAGATCTGTATATTTCTTGGTCTGGTACCATATGCTAAATTTCTGCTGAGTCATCCTGGTTGCTAAACATAATCTATCATTGCCCCCTCCCTGTAATCCCTGCTTCCTGACCACACAGAATTCTTTGAACAGTGGCCGAAAGTGACTATGCCAGTGACATCCAGAGGAGCAGGATACAGGGTTATAATGTGGGGCAGAAAATAAATTACAAACGTAGATCATTCACTGTGCTCACATGTATGTGTTTTTTTTAGTTAAGTCATATGCATCATGTGTCTTAGTGTCCTCTTTTCTGTGATAAGGTTGAGCAAAATATTCCATTGATTGAAAATGCACAAACAATTTGCCTGAAAAAGGGTATAGAAAAGGCATTTCCAGAATCTGAGAGCTGACCTTGTCTTTCCTCTTGGCTCACTCCTGCAGCTGTGCTCTGGATCCCTGTTTCTCTTTTCTTGAAGCACAAGTAACATCTCATCCTTTAAATAAAGAAAAAACAAGTTCTTTGGTCCAATATTTTCCTCTGAGAATGATCTTGCCTCTTTACCTCCTTCCTTAACCACATATGCACACCTGCCATCTCTCCTTTATCTTTTTAACTCCTTAGATTACTGTGATATGACTTTAATTGTCACCTTCCAATGACAGAGTTATTTTTCACAAAGTCACTAAATTAATGGACAGTTTATAATCATAATCCTACTTAATTGTATCTAATTTTCTTTGCAACCTAAAGCTAATATTTATTGAGGGCTTATATGTCAGGCCTCAATCAAAATGCTAACCTCAAAACAACCTATAAAGTAAGTACTAATTTTATCCTTATCTGTTACACGAGAAAACTAAAGCAAAAGAGATTGAGAAAGTTCCTCAAGGTCACCCATTAGGTGCTGGAGCCAGGATCCCAAGCCATAAGTGACTGCTATGCTTTGAATGTGTCTTTTAGAATTCTTGTGTTGGAAATTTACTCTCCAATGCAACAGTGTTAGGAGGTGGGGTCTTTTGGGAGATATTTAGCTCATGAGGGCTCTGCCCTTATGAATGGATTAATGGCACTACAGACAGGGCTTGTGGGAGTGGGCTTTCTCCCTTTCGCTCTTCTGCAACACGAGGCTACAGTGTCTATTCCTGTTTGCCTTTGTGCCTTTTACCATGTGTGGATGCAGCAAGAAGGTCCTCGGTGGACATCAGATACCAGTGCCTTGATCTTAGACTTCTCCACCTCCAGAATTGGGAGAAATAAATTTCTCTCATTATAAGTTACCCTGTGTGTTGTATTCTGTTGTATCAGCGCACATAGACTAAGGCAGTGACCTGAGAGCTGCTGGATGTGGGATGCTATTGACCATTTTTCCCATTCTCTGACCAATAAACATCCTTTTTACTCCATTTTTCTTCTCTCAAATCTATCCAATTTTCTCTACCTTGCTGTCACTATCCTAGTTAGGAGGACACTTATCTTTCACCAGGATTACTTAAAATGCTTCCCAATCAGCCACTCTGCTTCCAGGCTTTCCCCATCCAGTCCATTTCTAGACCATGGTCAGGGTGACCTCCTTGAAGCTCAAATCTGATCACATCAATCTCTCTGCTTAAAATATTTCAATGCCTGCCTGATTTTCAGCTGAAAATAGAAGTCCCTTTATATCATCTCAGAGGAACTTCAAGATGTGAATCCTGTCAAATTTAACTCTTTGGTTTCATCTCTGGACATGCTTAGTTTGCCTTGTGGACTCTAATCTACCAGCCTTGCTCAAGCTACCTAGAGGCAGGATTTTAAATGTTCTCACCACAAAGAAATGATAAATATATGAGGTGATAGGCCCTTTTAAAAGTCTCTCTTTTTTGCTCTTATTGGAGAGCTCTTGTCCTCGGTGCTCTTTAGTCTGGTCTCCTTTAAGACATCCTTCCTGGGAATCCTTCTCTTGGCCCCTTAGAGCTGGGCTATGTGGTCCTTTGTGTGCCCTCATAGCTCCCTCCCTAAATGTCAAGCCTAGAGCTTACAATTCTGATTTTTAATTACTCATTGAATATTACCTTCTCCATTACAGTATGTCTTGTTGACTTAGCCCAGTGTCTGCTACATAGTAGGGCTTATTAAATAGTTGTTGAATGAATGAATGAATGTCAATTTTAGAAACTGAGTAAATCTAAAATACAGAGTAAATCTAAAATGCATGTTAGTTGGTTTCATGATGCTTCTGCCCAGAAGCATCCCTTTCCTCACTTATGAAATGGGAGTACCATAGTTCTAATATACTTTTATGCTAAATACATGATGTTAAAGTAGCACCAAGTTTCCTCTCAAAATCTGTAGAGAATTTTTATTATTAACTAATAAGGAAAAACTGGATTAAATGTTTCATGGAGATTTATATTCACTACCCACCCCCTCATTCTTACTTTACTTTTTAATCTCATTTTTTTTTGTGAAGTGGATTGGTTTAGGATGAAAGCTTAATGAACTGAAAGTATTTTTTTGTCTGTATAATAAAACTATGATCCCATAGTTTTCAATTGGTAATTCAAAGGGAATAATGACAGTAGTGTCAGAAAAGTAGAATCATACATTTTATGTATAGAACAATGTGTCAAAAATGAGGAACTTATACCAATGTGCTTATAAAGATAAATTATTCTATGAACTATTTTTACCTTGCTTAAAGAACTCTAGAAAACATAAGGAAGTTTATTTATTTATTTATTGGATTTATGCTTATAGCTCTTGATTCACTCCTTTCCTCTTCCAGCAGATTTTTTTACCCTGAAATTCACAAGTTTAAGGATGCTTTTCTTTTCTTTTTACATTGTTCACTTTTAACTATTCTAGGATTCTTAAAATAATTTTTGCCTTTTTTTGACTTTTGTAATTTGTAAATGGTTTCCTGAATGGTCACAAAAGCTTTATCATTAGGCTGTATTCATTTGGAAGTCACTATATGTATCAGTTAGAATATTGGATTATGTTGAGGTAGCAAACAACTCCAAATATCTGTGGCCTCAAATAACAGTTTCATTTTGAATTTAGTAATATGTATTGTGGGTCTACTAGGGGTGGGGCTCATCATAACACTTTAGGAGTCCAGGTTGACAGAGTAACTATCCATCTTGAATGTGGTCAGCCACCATGTCAGAAAGAATAAAGAAATCTTGAATGTCTCCTTCTGGTCATTAAATGCTCCAGAAACACTTCATTTGAGCTTGCAGCTCATTGAACAGGAACAGTTACATGGCTGCAGCCATGGGGATGCTTTAAGTTTCCGAGAAGATGGAAAACTGGATATACTTGGCAAGCTATGCTGACTACATCAATATGACCCTGATATCTTCATTTTCTTGATAACTTGACTTCCAACAGTTCTTTCTAATAACTTCTTAGTATTTTCAGGAGTAATCCTTATTAGTATCATGCTAGGATTCAAGACAGCCTGTATATCTTATCCTAACTCTGTCTAATGCTCCTATTCAAAGGCATGAGGTCATAGTGCTGTAGCATTACCATGTTCTGATTGTTGTCTGACTCCTGTGGTGTCACTGCCACACTGTCCTGCAGTTCTGACCTGGGACTTGTTTTTCTGTTCTGAGAATCAAACCATCACTTCTGCATTACACTCACTTCCTTTGCTCTCTCAAGGGCATCAGCATCCAAAGGAATGGTGATATAGCTTGACTGTGTCTCAACCCAAATCCCATCTTGAACTGTACTCCCATAATTCCCGCTTGTTGTGGTGGGAGATAATTTGAATCACGAGGGCAGATTCCCCCATACTGTTCTCATGGTAGTGAATAAGTCCCACAAGATCTGATGGTTTTATCAGGGGTTTCCGCTTTTGCATCTTCCTCATTTTCTCTTGCTGCCACCATGTAAGAAGTGCCTCTCACCTCCTGCCATGATTCTAAGGCCTCCCCAGCCATGTAGAACTGTAAGTTTAATTAAACCTCTTTTTCATCCCAGTCTCAGATATGTCTTTATCAGCGTATGAAAATGGTCTAATACAAATAGGAAGCAGTTATTTCCTGGGTCTAAATTTGGACCCTGGTAAAAAAGCTTTTGGATCACAGAATCATAAGATTGCTTATATTACTTTTAAAAATGTCTTTTGAACCTGGCTCCCCAAATCTTAGTATTCTATTAATAACTAGAAGGCAGCAAATGCTGTGGAGCACAAAAGGTATGATGCAATAATTAGAATAGGACTTTACCCCAGGAGGCGAAGGGCCATCTATAACATACAACACTCCCACAGTACACTGGGTCCATCTGGTTTCTTTCTTTCTTTTAAATTCACAAGTTGTGCTGTATCATCTGTGACCACCCTTTCATTAACAGGAATTGTAAGGGGGCTTTTTTGGTGTCATTGTCATGTGTGTGTGTGTGTGTATATATATATATATATATATATTTTTTTTTTTTTTTTTTTTTTTTGGCAGTCTTCAACATTGAGAGTGGAAACATGAATTTATAGTTTGTAATTTGGTTACCTAATCTCCAAATGTGAACGTCAATTGATGTATTACAGGTGTTTTTTCAATAGCATCCTTAACTAATAGGCCCTAGGTAAACCATGGCTTTAGACAGTTTTGTACACATGCTTGATTGCAGGCACAATGCTCAAAGGTGAAAAGAGGAAAACCAACTTTTCTAATTTTTTTCATGCTGCTTTGGGGTTCTTTCTTACAACACAATAGTCTTTTCAAGTTCTTCCCCCGCCCTGTTTTATAATCATGACTGAGTTTTTAAAATGTTTAATATCTCCCTGAGCTACATACTATTGTTCTACAAGTTCTTTGCTTTCATCAAATAGTCAATTATATTATCTGTGAATACAGGGAGGCAATGATAGAAAAAAGTGACTCCAGGAAGAGGCAGCTATGGGTAAAATCTTCACCAGGATTCTTTCCAAACAAAATCTTAAAATAAATTTGGAGTGTGGAGCAGAGTATAATAGTGACAGCAGGGTGCCTGCTGCCTACTGAAAGTTGAATTCTGTGTCAGGAATGATAATTACCAGCTCTGAGGCAGAAAAAAACCATCAACTCTGTCCTGATTACTAATTAATCAAGTGCTAAAGGCATTTAAACCAGTGACCCTGTTTCAGAGATCGAAGTTACAAAGTGATGCTTAAGATTTAAAGGAACACTGGGTCCATTTCCAACCCCCTCAAAAAAAATTAAACACAATATTAAAATAATTCTATTAGGTTTGTTTTGTTTTATTTTGCTTTTTAGTTATGTGTCTTGTCTTTATAGAAGCAGAATTCAACAGAGAGAGAGTGTGGCTATCTGAAGTCTTGGATTTGAACTACAGAGTGATATCCTTGGGAAGGTTCCTAGAGATTATAAAATCCCACCTCCACATTGATAAGCAAGTCAGATTTATTTTAATCAATGTTAAGTAGTCTTTTACATTGTTTAGCTTTCAAGTCAGATTTATTTTAATCAATGTTCAGTTGTCTTTTACATTGTTTAGGTTCTGTCTTTAGGTAATATATATTCTTTGGTAGAGTTTTAAAAATACAGAAAATAATAAAGAAATTTTTCATAATGCTACTACTGCCTTACATTTTAATATCTATCTTCCATATATTTTATTGTTTTATTGATAGATCAACTTATTAAATTAGTATACCTTCCTTTCATAATCTAATATTTTTATAAACATTTTTTGACATTAAATTTATTTTGTCACATGACTTATTACTGGGTAGTGTTTAATTAAATACATGCATAAAAACATATTTACTCAATTCCTACTATTGGATATTTAGATTGACTCCAATTCTTCACTTCTATAACATTGTAGTAAACATCTTTTTATATAAATATTGGTGTACAACTCTAATTCTTTAGGGTAAGTAGTTAGATATTGAGTCAAAGGAAATAAATATTTTTAAGGCTTTTGGCACATTGCTAAATTGCTGTTCAGAAAGATGTACCAGTTTATATGAATACCAGCTGCATATTTATATTTTTTATTTGTTTATATATTTTTTGAGATGGAGTCTCACTTTGTCACCTAGGCTGGAGTGCAGTGGTGCGATCTCGGCTCACTGCAACCTCCGCCCCCCAGGTTCAACTGATTCTCCTGCCTCAGACTCCTGAGTAGCTGGGATTACAGGCGCCCACCACTACACCCGGCTAACTTTTATATTTTTAGTAGAGACAGGGTTTCACCATGTTGGTCAGGCTGGTCTCGAACTCCTGACCTCAAGTGATCCATCTTCCTCAGCCTCCCAAAGTGCTGGGATTACAGGCATGAGCCACCGCGCCCGGCCGAGCTGCATATAAAAGCACTCCTTTCCCTAATCCTCAGCAATACTGAATATTAACCTTTTAACAAGTCTTGAGCAATGAATGAGTGAACATGGAAATTTTGTCTCAATTTACATTTATTTGCTTTCTATTAAGATTGAACATTTATGTAGACTTCCATGAATTCTTTTTAAAATTGTAAATAACTGTTTTTTCCCTATTTTCTCTTTGGCACGCTTGAATTTTTTTATTGATTAGTATGACATTCTCTATATGTTAAAGATATTAGTTCCTTCATCTTATATAATGCAAATTTGTGTTATATTTTGTTGTTTACACTGGAATTTCTTTTGTCATTTTTGATGCTTTGAAGTGAGAAATGACTTTCAATTATAATATTAAATATGTAACATAGAGAAAATAATTTAATTTTTCTTGGACTTAGTTGCCTCACTTGTAAAATATATATTAGGAGGGGGATAGAGATGGTTGGGAGGAAGAAACCAGATTGGATGGAGTATCTGTTGCAAGCTTTTCAGATCTAAACTTCTATGATTCCATTACTTTCCCATTCTGTCCTAATTGCTGAATATAATCAAGCCTTTTTATGGAAATGTTTTTGATCTTGTATGTTTTGGGCAAGCATTACCATTGCTTATTAAGTTACTGTGCTACAAATTCAGGGTTAATTTTCTTTTAATGAAGAAACTTCTGCATACCCCCAGGGCTTTTTCTGTTAAATTGTTGTAAACCATTTCCATTTAAAAAACACCAATGGCTTTAATGAGTTAGGCCTGCCACTTTCATGGAATAACAGCTAATGAATGACCTTGCAGACAGAAATGTGCAACACAATTAGGACTACCAAAGTTTTCTTCCCAACTCTGAGCCTATTTAACATTTTCATCATATGCATGGACACACACACAGCACCTCAGAAATATAAAATAATGTTCTTGTGGCTATACTGTTAATACAAGAGATACTGCAGTTTACACCTGAAGCCATCAGCAGTGACGTCTGGTTGTTAAGAGACACTTCAGTTTGTTGACAGGTGGTTCTTATGGTGGGGTATAGCTATTGAGTTTACAGATATCTGATTTCTAAATTTATGTAGTCTATGGAATAGTCTCTATTTTTATATTAATATTTTAGGGAGAATAGCCTGAGAAAGTCCCAAAGCATTTCCCTTGTATCAGAACAATAGGTTTCGCTTCATGGTATTGGCAGTGTTGAATAGGAAGATCTTGAACTTGTATGTGTGTATGGCCTACCTTGATAAATTACAGGAAACCTCTCCAAGGAGCTAAGTGATTTTCTTTTTTGCCCTTTTTTTGCATTATTTAATGAAAAATACTTATTGATCACAAACTCTAGAAACTGACATTTCCTGCAGAGAAAGTCTGTAAGGAACCCTGACTCCAGGCTGTTTCTCGTTAAGGTGCTGTGCTTCCTGTTTTGTTCATTATAGTTTTGAAAGATTCATATTATAGCCAATTTTCCCAGAAAAGTTTAGTTTATAATAACCTAGAATCAGCAATTTATTTCTAGTTAAAATGTTACTGCCTTCCACAGTCTCACTGGGAGAGGGTCTGGATCATTTCTCCTCAGGAAATCACTGCCTTGAGCTGAAATATACTGGAATCCTGCTACTTCCCTTAATTCCAGCCTTCCAACCCAGTATAGTTGTTTTGACTTTTTGCCTTCCATCACTGAGTACTTGAGGATGGTTCTTGCTGTTTTGGGGTATAAACTAGTGCATTGAGTATGATATTTTTGAAAGCTTTCTAATTTAGGTCTTCTTTTTTGGTAAATTCTCTTCTACCTTGTCCACCATTTGTGGCACAACCATCAAAGCTAAGTCTGATAAGGATTTCATACAAGGGAAGGAAGACAGGAAGAAAAAGTAAAGAAAAGCTCCTTATAGCAGCTTCAGTAGGATTGGGGAAGGAGGAAGAGTGAGAGGTAAGAGAGACAAGAGTGGACAGAGGAAGCCCCATTTCCTTTCTCTGGCTTGGCCTGTGCATGGTAATTATGCAAACCGAAGGGAATGCTGTGGACAGAGTTCTCCTTTGATTTTTTTTTTTTTTTTTGGATGCTATGAGAAGACTATCTTGCAGCCTGCCCTCCTGTTAACCTGGAACAAGTCACAACTGGGAAACTCCATGGCATAGCCTGAGAGGAAGATCTAAGTTTGGATCTCTGAGCTTCTGAGCTTCATTTGGCTGGTGTGTGATCTGAATAGAATCCAGACACTCTTACAAGGTCCTGTGGGAGGTGTGGAGGTTAGCTGGCTCTCTGGCTGCTCACCTTCCTATTGCAACAATAACAATAGTGATCAATACTTATATAGTGCTTACATGTGACAGATACCGCTTCAAGTATTTTATGTTGATTAATTAATCCTCGTAGCAACTCTGAGAGGTAGATACTGTTATTATTACCCCCTCCTGATTTTATAGACGAGGAAACCCAGTCACAGAGATTTTATTGTCTCATCCAAGGTCACTGTTAGTAAGTGGTGATGTAAAAACAGGCAGTTTGATGTCAGAATCTGAGAGATGGCCATTGTTAAGAGGGAAGTGACCTATAAACCAGGGCTGCAGGGCAAACTGCCTGGGCCAGATCTAGGATGCCTATAGCAGCGGCAAAGGTTAGCTAGAGAGGACTGTGAAATCTTGACTGAATGAAGAGGTAGAGAAGTGATGAACTATATTATTTAATAGCAAATGATAGAACACAAATCCATATAAGCTACCCTCTTCACCCGCTGCTCCAAGAGCATGTTAGTCTCCATCTATACCCACTGCCAACTTGAGAAGTAAGGGAGAGAAGGAGATGTTGAAGACCTCCATGGCAGCTTTTATCACAATAAGACTGCATGACCCAATTAATGGTTCAAATGATGGGTTTGGAGTGAGAATTTTCTGTTGGCTAAATTGTAGTTTTGTGTCTCTGCCACCCTGTGGGTGGGGCTCAGGAAGAAACCTGAATCTCTTACAGACAAGTTAAGGGAGCAACATTTTCTCTGGATATCTGGATGTTCCAGCAACAGTATCCAAAAGACTGGAAGTTATTTTCTTTTTCTGTGCACACTAAAGTACTAGAGTACAGTTTTGTCATCATCCATAGGGAGATGAAATTAACCTTTGATGTATTATTATTATTGTCCACAAACCAGAGTGAAGTATAACTCAACCAAAAGTATGTAAGTATTTTTTGTTTTGTTTTCTAGGTAAAAACAATTTCTACAAAGAAACTATTATTCCATGACTCCTGAATTATTTAAGATTACTGAACTGCATTTTTTTTTTTTTTTTGGTAAAGTAACAATTAGAACACAAGTCCCTTCAGCCCCACACAATTTATTCTGGTGGTTAATAGAGGAGCCAATTACCTTTTTATTTCCAGAAGGGTAGGGAATAGTCATGTCATATGGGAAAATTGCTTAATTTAAGAATTATATCTGTTTGCCCTTGACAAGGACTTTCTTGACTGTTCGGTATGGAGAAGGTCCAGGGAGTGGGTGGACAGTGCAGTTCAGACGTTCCCAAGCCTGTCTCAGCGGGATAGTGTGAATGCCTGGGGTGCTTCTCGGGTTGACAGAGGTCCTCAATCACACACCGGGATTCTCAAGCAGAATCTACCTGAACTACTTGAGGGCAGTTTGGGACCTAAACAAGCCTAGAATCAAAGTTTTGATGTTATGTGGCTTATGTTCTGGGAAATATGGGGGTTGGATAAAATCTTTCATAGACTTCCTAGAGGTTTCTGTCTTCTTAGGGTAGAACGTCCCAAACCTTAAGCATTTCAGGACTATCTTCATTATGACTACCTGTGGTATTATTTATTTAATATATATTTAAAAAATGGATTCACTATGTCAACATAAATACATTTGTTAAAGTATGCAGATGTGTATGATTATCATCAATGATTAAGAAAAAGAAATCTTTGCCATAAATAGGAGGTCATAATCAATATAAATACAGAAACCAAAGCAAAATAGTAGTATAAAAATCTATTTAACTGCTATTTCCTGCCTGCAAAAGGCTCTGAACTTGTAGCCTGGCCTTTTGTTTTTGTGAAGGGAGATCAGCAAGTGTCTAAAAAGTGTTAAAGGACTATTTAGTACCAATTTAGACTTTTTCCTTGATGTAAATATGTTTGAAAGACAATTGTAAAGGCAATGCATATTGCTTTTTATTTATTTTTTTATTATACTTTAAGTTCTAGGGTACATGTGCGCAATGTGCAGGTTTGTTACATATGTATACATGTGCTATGTTGGTTTGTTGCACCCATTAAGTTGTCATTTACATTAGGTATATCTCCTAATGCTATCCCTCCCCCAGGCCCCCCACCCCATGACAGGCCCCGGTGTGTGATGTTCCTCACCCTGCGTCCAAGTGTTCTCATTGTTCAATTCCCACCTATGACTGAGAACATGTGGTGTTTGGTTTTCTGTCCTTGTGATAATTTGCTCAGAATGATGGTATAAATCATGCTACTATAAAGGGACCTGCACACGTATGTTTATTGTGGCACTATTCACAATAGCAAAGACTTGGAACCAACCCAAATGTCCATCAATGATAGACTGGATTAAGAAAATGTGGCACATATACACCATGGAATACTATGCAGCCATAAAAAAGCATGAGTTCATGTCCTTTGTAGGGACGTGGATGAAGCTGCCAATGTGTATTACTTAAAATTGTCTGGGTAAATTTTTGTGAGAATGGAAATATTGATTTAGGAGAAACTACATATTTTTTCCCTAAGACAGCAGTTTTCCTCACCCAGTCAGGGGCTCTGGAACTTTGCTGGAACTACTGAAGTGATGGGAGAGCTTGGGAGCAAAAAAATGGGGGGGCCTTCAATTGGAATCCAGTCATGTAGTGGACCCTACTGCCTCCCAACCAATGTGATCCATAGTGTAGTATATCACAAACTCCCCAGCATTTTCTCTTTATTTTGAGATAGAAAACATGCAATTAAAGGGGAAAACAGACACTTCTCATTTGGGTGCTCCAACCACAGTACATTTCTTGACACATATAAGATGGTTGTCTTTGTGGACACTGAAAAAAATTGCTGATTGACTTTGAAAGGAGGTTAGTCAATATCTGGTACTGCAATGTGTGGCACTGAGAAAGTTAGAGACTGTATTAATTTCCTGTGGGTTCTATAAAAAATTGCCACAAATTTATTGGCTTAATATAACAGATATTTGTTTTCTCACAGCCCTGGAGTCCAATGTGGATACCCAGATTTCACTGGGCCAAAATCTAGGTATCCACTGGGCTGTGCTCCCTTCAGAGGCTCTAGGGGAGAATCCACTCCTTGACTCTTTCAGCTTTTGGTGGTTGTCAGCATCCCTTGGCTTGTGGCTGCATTACTCTAGTCTCTGCCTCTATGGTCATTGTAACCTCCCATATTGTGTGTGTATTCTCCTTCTGCCTCTGTCATGGTTAGTTGGGACTAAGTTGACACAGCTATAACAAATTTAAGCCACACACTAGATGACTTAAACAACAGTTATCTATGATAGTGTTGAGAAGTCTAAGATCAAGGTGCTAGCCGACCTGGTATCTGGTAAGAGCTCTCTTCCTTGTATGGAGATGGCTGTCCTCTCAATATATCCTCACGTGGCTTACAGAAAAATAATCTCTCTTGTGTTTCTTCTTCTGAGGACACTAATTCTGTTGGTGAGGGCTCCACACCATGATGTAATTACCTTCCAAAGGCCCCACCTCCTAATACCATCACCTTGGGGATTAGGATTTCAATATATACATTCAGAGGATCACAAAATTCAGTCCTTAACATTCTGTCTTGTAAGAATATTTGCGATTAGACTTAGGATCTACCAAATAACTCAGGATAATCTCATCTCGAAGTCCCTAACTTAATCATATTTTTAAGAACACTTTTAGCAAATACATTAACCTTTTCAGGTTCCAGGGATTAGGATGTGGATGTATTTTGAAGGGTTCATTCTTCAGCCTGCCACAGGCAGGGAGAGTTATCTTGTTAGAAAAGGGAGGTAAGGTTTGTAAAACTCCCTCTATGAACCAGACACTGCGTTGCATATTTTGTCTGTTAGCTTATTCACTCCTGGCAACAATTTCATGAGATATTGTCCACATTTCACAGATAAGAAAACTGTAACAGAGAGCTTAAAAACTTGTCCAAGATAACAGAACTAGCAAGTGGCAGATGCTTTAACAATCACAGTTTTTCAGCAGCCAAGTCACATTATATCGCCACCTCACTGATCTTATGTTACCAGGTGAACATACTCTGCTTTCCAGAGTGTATTGGATCTGGATGGGATCTGCTCAAGCTCCTTGTTTTCTGCTGAAGTCACCTTTAATATAAACTTGCCATGACAGGCCAGAGTGAAGGCACGCTTCTAGACAATGTCCTGTAGCCCTGACTGTACTGAATTCATGAGTGAATTTAGACATGTAAACTTTTTTAAATAAAATGCAAAGAAGCCGTAGTGACTACAGCACATCACATATCCTTATTTCATATCCAAACCGCTTCAGAGTTAATCAAGTGTTCAGTCGTTTTGTTGAATTAATCAACCACAATGATAAGCTGTTTATCTTGCCTATAGGAGGCAGAAACATTCAAACTGTTCACCTTCATGCACACTTTCTGTGTGTCTCTGTAAATTATTTTTAGTAGGTGCTGTAATTGCTGCTAAGATGGAGCTTCCTAAGGCTCTTAAACATGAACCTGTCCAACAGCTTTGCTTTGACAGAAGTTTTGCAAGGGTAATGAAACATTCAGGCAGGAACAAACTTGCCTAAGACACTTCATTCAAGGTCTAGTCTTGGGGAAATATTAACAATGACCTTCATGTGTCCCCCTTCAATCCAATTGAAATTAGAAAGCACATTACGATGAAATCTTTTTAGCACCATCTGGTTAAATGGGGTTTTCTAATTGTCTGTGTCATGGGCTAAGCCTAAAAAGGAAGAGTGGCAAGAAACTAATTCCCTACAGACAAAAGATGTGTTGATGCTATTTAAAACGCCTGTCAGGGCCTGGTTTCTGAATCCCAAACATAATGCTGCTTTACACGTAGAGTGGAGTAGAAGTAACCAAGAGATGCAGGGGGCTTTCTGTTGACACAAAACATGAATAAACAGATCTCAGGCAGGCTTTTCTAAGAGCATTCAGTATTTTGCCCCAA
The DNA here is from genome assembly GCF_000001405.40 of Homo sapiens. Lineage (NCBI taxonomy): Eukaryota > Metazoa > Chordata > Mammalia > Primates > Hominidae > Homo > Homo sapiens. The sequence goes on from NC_000003.12 coordinate 144,128,336, forward strand.
ATGTAAACCTTTAACAGCTACATGTTTATTTTTGCAGAGGTGAGTCTAAAACACAAGCAGATTTTGGCGATCATTTGCATAGGAAGAAACAGACTTCACACTTGTGAGTCAGAGGTGTTTGCTTTGGAGGGTTGCATTTTCGCTTTCTATGCTGGGTGAAGTGAGGGTGTTGTCTTTCTGTGTCCCCTTCCTCCTATCTCCCAAACATCACCTACAGGCTTTCCCATGAGAATTCAACAGCTGTTCCTTTCCAATTCCTAAAGGTTTATGCTGTAGCTCTCCATTTATCTTGGACGTTCCCCCTGGGTTGAGCTTATTAACTTATTGCTTTGCCACTGCAGAATTTATTGCATAAAAGGGCTGGCTGCTGGCTGTGAGCTACGAGTAGTAAGTCCAGAGTTTAAGCCCTTATGAATTAGGGTACCAGATGCATAAGTAAGATAAACCTGTTCTCCTTCTAGCCCTTGGGATGAGATTTCTCCCTTCTGAACTCACCCTCCACAGAGTTAACAATTTAGATTAAATTAGTTCAGAACACAAGAAAGTAATTTTCATTTGTAAAGGGATTAGTTATTTTTCTTCTTCTTAGGCAAGAACAGCAATCTAAATACAAAGATATATTAAAATGGGATTTCATTTTTTTAAATGGCTTTCACTAATACAAATAATAACGTGAAAAGAAAGCTATTTGGGTAATGTTGAATAGCATCTGGCCATGGCATTTTAATAACTGTAGGTAATAAATTTAAGGTTTTAATTACCTATGCTAGTATTTTAATTGCTTTACTGAAGTATACCAATGTGGACTAATGATGCTTGTCAGGACCCTTCCTCCAGGAGGCTCACAGAGGTATTGATCTATCTGGTCCTAGGGTAATGTCCTAGGGCCACACAGAAGGGAACCAGAAAGGAAATAGTTTTTGGCTTAGAATAATTTATATTTCAAATGCATCTTAATCTGTAACAAATTTGGTTGAATGCTTTATACTGGGGAAACTCTTATTCCTGCTATAAAATTTAATCAAATGCATTTCATGGTAAATGAACTACTCAGGTTTAATGAATTTTTCTTTAAATGTGGAGTTAATATTCTATTTTCAAATTACTTTTGTCCAGTGAGTGTTTAAGTGAGTGATTACTCAAAAATTCTATGGAGTTGTTCGTAGACACTAGGAAAATGGAGATAAAATGTGAGTTCCTCATTTCCATTTGCTTAAAAAGTACAACTATTAAAAATAATCACTATGGAGATTCTAAAATGTTGGGACAATTCACACTTTTCTGTAGATCTGGTGACTTTTGAAGGAAATCGTGCGGTCTCTGCTTGCCACCTGCTCCTTTGGTCATAGATTAATAACATCTGACCAAGCATGAAGGCATGCTGGGGCCATCTGCCATTACACATAGCAGGATGTGTTTCAGCTTTCCCAAGTAGAATCCTGATTAACTACATGATGCCACTCTTAGTCGATGGTTATCCTATTGAGCTGCATGACCCAGTTATTTTGATAACAGGAATTTAGTACTCATCTTGGTCAAACCAGAACTACTTAATCTTTTTGGTGGTGGTTCAAGCAGTAGGCCATCTATATAATTTCCATGATAATTATGAGCTTTCTTTTCTATTTATGTAGTAATAGGATGTCAAATCAGACCTTTACGTTTGTCTCTATGCTTTGATGTGGTCTGCAAATTTGAGAAAAATAGATACCGAGAACCTCCACATTCTAAATGAATTGAATTCTCTTCCTTTCACGCCAACCCCTCACCTCCCACTGTCTTCCCCAAAAAGCACCCCCACCTTCACTGCCACAGTCATCATGACTGTGACCACTGTTCTCTCCACCAAGATTTCTTTATGCTCTGGCTTTTTATTGCCAAGGAGCCTTGAGACTATGGATGATAGAGAAGTATGCCCTACTTGCTAGGTATTCATGCTATAAAGGTTCTTATGAGGCAGAGACCCAACCTTTTCCCAGGCTCTTCTTTGGAATACGGAGGAGTCCCAGTGCTATCATTATTGACACTCCAAAGGAAGCCCACCCAGCTGCCTGAAAGTGGTGAGCTTAATGGAAATGACATCAGCCCAAGGACTAAGAGGACTTGAGCAAACTGTAACTAGCTGAGCCACGTGGGGCAAGCCATTTGACCTCAAAATGTTTTAGTTTTCTTTTAGTCAAAAATTAAGGACTAGAATCAATGCTTTTAAATTGTGTCATAAAATGTCACAGTTACGTAGAGCAAATGGCTAGTATTCACACCTCCCTTCCTTCTTTCTCCCACATGGAACGAGACTGATTGCTGGCAGTGCAGCAGCTATCTTGTGACTTTAAGGCAACTAGTGTGAGGATAAAGGCTGGCCCAATTCAGATTGTGGAATTGGCCCCAATGGCATCATTTAGGTGCCATCCCTCCCCTGGACTGCCTTTTCTCAGCTTCTTGCTGTGCAAAACAATAAACTCTTATACAGTGAATCTACTCTTAGTTGTTTACAGTTGCAAACAACTGAATGCTGTTCTAATGAAGGCAGCCTTAAACTAGCGCTGTTCAGACAGTTCTGAGATCAGTAACTATGCTTAGCTTACAATTACTATTTTGTAACCATCTGTTGTTAAAAATGCTGTCTCTGTTAGATACTTGAAGGTTTTTAATTTCTTTTAATTGGGGAATATTTTGCATCCCTGCGGATAATATTCCTTTAATGTTCTTTTATAAATTTCTTGTCTTCAGATGGCAAATCTGAGCACCATATTTATAATTTACCTTTTCCTTTTATATTGAAAATAAAAGGTGATTCAGAAATCAAAAATGAAGTATTAAATTGGGGAAACTACTCCATTATTGACAACTAGTATAGTTAATTGTGGTGATTTTTCAGACTAAAAGAGAGGTTTGTTCTCTTATGCCCTAAAAAACCTTGCTAATTTTTAGATAAGGAGACACTCATTTCTTTTTGCCTTTAATAAGGCAAATACAATTATTGCTTACAAAACTGGCTAGGCACGGTGGCTCATGCCTGTTGTATTAGGCTGTTTTTCCACTGCTATAAAGAAATACCTAAAACTGGGTAATTTATTTCAAAAAGTGGTTTAACTGGCTCATGGTTCTGCAGGCTTAATAGGAAGCATAGTGCTGGCATTGGCTTGTCTTCTAGACAGGCCACAGGAAGATTACAATGATGGTGGAAGGCAAAAGGGGGAGCACACATGTCACATGGCAAGAACAGGAACAAGAGAGAGAAAGAGAGAGTTGGGGAGATAAGGTGCCACACACTTTCCTTTTTTTTCTTTTTTTGAGACGGAGTCTCGCTCTGTTGCCCAGGCTAGAGTGCAGTGGCGCTATCTGGGCTCACTGCAAGCTCCGCCTCCCAGGTATAGGCCATTCTCCTGCCTCAGCCTCCCGAGTAGCTGGCACTACAGGCACCCACCACCAAACCCAGCTAACTGGGCTTTTTTTTTTTTTTTCAGTAGAGATAGGGTTTCACCGTGTTAGCCAGGATGGTCTCGATCTCCTGACCTTGTAATCCACCCACCTCGGCCTCCCAAAGTGCTGGGATTTCAGGTGTGAGGCGCCATGCCCGGCCAGTGCCACACACTTTCAAATGACCAGATCTCCTGTGAACTCAGAGAAGAGCTCACTTATCTCCAAGAGTATGGCCTAAGCCATTCGTGAGGAATCTGCCCCCATGATTCAAACACCTCCCACTAGGCCCCACCTGGTGGGGGACTACATTTCAACATAAGATTTGGGTGGGGACAAATATCCTATTTATATTGCCTGAAATCCCAGCACTTTGGGAGGCCAACGTGAGAAGATTGCTTAAGCCCAGGAGTTCGAGACCAGCCTGGGCAAGATGGCAAGATCCCATCTCTATTTAAATAAACAAACCCTGAATACTGAATGACTGGCAATTTTAACTTTGGAATAAAACTTGGATCTGAATTGCATTTTAATAAGTTGAATTAATAAGTAGATACTTAAAATCTTTAAAAAATTAAATTGAAATATTTTAACATTTTATGTATTTACATCTTGATAACTGTCTGTGGATTGCTAAAATAAATTGAAATTCAACTCTAGTCTTTAAGCAAACACAAAAAGCCTTTGGAACAGGATTCTGGCTTGAAATTTGAAAATGTTGAAGAAATGTTTGGTTGAAAGATGTAGTGGAAACATGTTACCTAGGTTACATGAATTTATGATCAAAAATATAAAATGGATCTTTTAAAGCATATAATCCACCCCCCTGCAATTTAAATATATCTGAAATCTGTTGCCAATTTGATGACTCCTGCTTTATAATGCCACTCATATTCTTTATATTGAAGGCAAAACATCTTTCCAAGAGAGTTAATATCCCTATTTGATAAACACAATAGTTTATTTATAACATGCCATTTCTATCATAGGTCACTGGAGACAGAAATCAGATTTTATTTGAAAGAGTTCAGAATGGTAATGAAAACCTTAGTTTAGATTTTTTACTAATATGTTAAATTTCTATAAAATAATTTACATTCCTACAACAAAAGAGGAAGTATAGAGTAATAAAAAGGATGTGGCCTTTATAATCAAACAATTTGTATAAGAATTCCTGTTCTCCCAAGTCTACCTGTGGAGGATAGTTGTTTGGCTAATCTAACACCCATTCCCAGCCTCCTTTTCTTTGTTCATGAGAAGTTGAGAAATTAAGATTCCAACTTCCCTAGCCTCCCTTCCAATGAGATTGTGTGACTCAGTACTGTCCAATAAACTGTAAGGGGATGCTGCCAGGACATTTCTAGGAAATCTTTTCATTAAAAAGAGAGAAAAACATGAGGAGAAAGTAATTCTCTTTTTGCCATCACCCTTACTCCCTTTTGTGTTGGATCTGCACATGGATAAAATGGCCGCAGTCATCTTAGGACCAAGAGGGTGAGGGCAAGATGATACCAGTGACCCTGACCTAGTGCCCCTACCTTGTTGAATCACTGGCCCAACCATGGGGTTACCAGCTTTCTGATTCCTTATTAGATTATTTAAAAAATACTTTCTTTGCTTGTAGCCATAAGCATTTCTTTCTGATGTATGACCTTTACTATCATTTGCAAACATTTTGACTTTTCTGAGCTTCAATTCCCTTTTCTGTACAATAGAAATGACAGTACTTAATTCACAGTTTGTAGCTATCATTGTGTAAGGATTTGTTGAATAATGTATTTGAGTAGACTAATACAGTAGAAGTTCACTGATAAACACAGTTTGATCATAAATACTTTGGATTGTTGTGTGTGTGTGTGTGTGTTTTTTTTTTTTTCAGGTTTTGGGATGTTTGCATTATACTGATTGAGCATCCCTAGTCTAAAAAGCTGAAATCTGAAATGTTCCAATGAGCATTTCATTTCAATGTCATGTCAGTGCTCAAAAAGTTTCCGATTTTAGAGTATTTCAGATTTCAGCTTTTCAGATTAGAGATACTCAACTTGTAGCTCTTTTTGGTTACATTAATGGAGCCGTGTTGCCTTAACCAACTTCAGAAAGATAGAATTTAATAACATTCTACTGGTTTAACAACACTACATGATATGTTTTAACTTATTTACTTCTCATTTAAATCTTCCAATAAATCTATAGGGAAGATATAATGCTCCATTTACAGATGAGGAAACTGAGGCTTAGAAACAGAAAATGTTCCAAGGTCAAACAGTTTGAATGTGTCAGAGCTGGTGATTGTGCCCTAATGATTACCTTCTAAGCCATGGGGGTTAGGAAAACCCTGAATAGGGAACATGAGAAAGCACCAAGCCAGAGAAGCAGCAGATTTCACCTGCAGCCAGAGAGGCCCAAGGTGAGTGCCACTGAGAGATACTGAGAGCTCTGTAATGTGCATGTATGTATCTATGAATGTGGGGCGGGGGGTGCAGAGGGGAGGACTTGGGAAGCAACTGTGACAGAGGACAAGAGCTGGCTTAGAAACAGGAGCCAAAGATCGAGTCCAGAAGAGCTGATAAAGTTAGTGGTGAACTCACACGCCTTCATGAGTCAAAATGGTAACATGAATTTGTGAATCTGGTGGAAGGAAGACAAAAAAGGATGGAAGGGACTGGCAACTGGAGAGAGGGTACATGCCCCCTGTAAACATATCATTAAAAATGTAAAACACCGTGCTAACAAAATAAGACATGTACATGGAGAGTACTTGATTCCTGGCCACTGGTTTGTAACCTGGAAAGTAATGCAGCAGAAAATAGAAGCCCATTTTGCAAATGACTTCTTAGTCCAAGCTTTTTTCTTTAAAACATGTTATCTGGCATGCATTTACTCTTTCATTTAACCATAGGTTTTAGCAATCAACATCATTTGGCATCTTTGGACCAGGTACTGTGCTAGGGTTGGGGTTATTAAGACTCCAGAATGGAACAAGACACAGTCCTGTCCTTAATAGAAAGAATATCATATTTATAAATTGTAGTAGTACATGAAAGGCCTGAAAATAGCTCTCTTGCAGAGTGCATTGGAGCACAAAGGACAAGGCAACTTATCTTCAAGGAGTGATTATGGGAGGCTGCCCAGAGAAGTGAGACTTTACTGAGTTTATACCAAAAAGAATAGGGGGAGGATTTTGCTTTTGCTTTATAGAGTGTGCGTGAAATGGAGGGCAGTGGTCAGAGAGGGGAAGATTAAGGAAAAGTAGCTCTGCTTTAGGCAATAGATGAGAATGATTTTATATATATATATATATGTGTATGTCAAAGTTTCTGGTTTAAATAATTCATTTCAGGCAGAAGGATCAGCATATGCAAAGGCCAAGAGACAACAGAATAAGGGAAGGTGTATTGCTTATCAATACATAAAGCCTTAAAGGAAGGCCAGATAATGAAAAGCTTTTATGACAAGAATTTAGGGTCTTTGGATTTCATCTTGCAGGCATTTGAAGGATTTTAATTGGAAAAATCAAGGGTAAATTAGCATACAGAAGGATAACTCTGGGCTCTCTGAGGAGGGTGGATGTGGAATGAGCAAGATTAGAGAGATGGGAGCCATACAGAGGCTTCTTTCATAGCATGGATAAAATATGATAAAGGATTTGACTGGGATATGAGAAAGGAGGGAACTGGTAGGAGAAATAGGACTTATGATACTAGGATGTGCTTGTTGCTTAGAAAATGCAGAAGAGAGAGAGAAGCCTAGAGTAGTGGCTCTCAAACTCTAGCAAGCAACAGAACCACCTGAAAGGCTCCTAGTAGTCCTTGGCTGGGAACTTGTTTGCATTTCCAAGAAACTCCTAGGGCATGCTGATGCTGACATTGCTGGTCTGGGAGACACACTTTGAGAACCACTGGTCCAGGTAACTTGCAGGACTTTGCCCTGGGTAGGTGACCATTTAAATCTACTCTTCCATAAACTTTAGAAGTTAGTGCAAGTATTGAATTGGCAGACCATCTTATTAACAAGTTATAAATAGTTTGTATCAAATAAGTGGTCAGATGAGAAGTTCATAATTTGCAAAGCCTCTGATTTGTTTTTTTTTTTTTTTTTTTTTGAGACCGACTCACCCTGTCACCCATGCTGGAATGCAGTGGTGCGATCAGGAATCACTGCAGCCTTGACCTCCTGGGCTCAAGAAATCCTCCCATTTATCAGTCACCCAAGTAGCTGGGACTAAAGGCACAAAGCCTCTGATTCTAAGAAAGACTGAAGTGAAAAGGTTTCTAAACACCAACAGTTTTATTTTCCATGAATGATAAAGTAATTGAGATAGGGAAACAGAGGGAATCTTATTAATTTAGATTTCTATAATTGGCAACGTAGAATAATTTGGAGAGATTATCAATGGAGTTTCTTTGTAGTAAATATTATAAGAACTTATAAGCAAGCAAATAACAGAAGGATTGAAATAATAATTCATACCATGTAGAAAGTAATTTTACTAGGAAATATAGAAAATGTTATTTTCTCAGATGAGCATCCAGAGATGAGCATTATCTTTGGCTGGAAGATAATAAATAAGCCTATTATTTCCTGAGGCTTTTTATAGATTCCTACTGTCTTCTGATTCCACTTTTCTATGGATTCATCCAGCCATTGCAAACATATTTGGGTGTTTGATGGTACAGCTGTGGCTGCTGCGAGCACATTTTAAAAATGTGGTCCTAGGACCTCCACCAAAGACTGCCTGAAGTCAGAATCTCAAGGGATGGAGCTTTGAATCTATATTATTAGCAGCCTCACCAAGTAATTCACACTCACACTGAAGTTTGACAACCCCTAGCATAGATATTTGGCTTTCAGGGATAAAAGGTTTTCTTCTCTCAAGAGAATAAATTTACATCACTTACATTTGTAGTGACCTAGCTTGCTGTGACTACACTTTTGTCTCTTAACAAGCAATTGTAATAGGTATTCATCTCAGTCCACAAAATGATGCATAACAAATCAAATCTCTCTCCACTTCCTTCCCTCCCTTTCTCTCTTCCTTCCCTCCCGTGCTGCCTTTCTGTCCAACTCAACTCAGTGTTTATTGTGAGCTCTCATAGCTTTAGAAAATTAGGTTTTAATTTTTTTGTGCTATGGAACCCTCTGGCAGTCTGGCAAAGTCCAGGGCCTCTTTTTGGAATACTTTTTTTAAATGCACAAAATACAATACATAGAAGTACAAAGAAAATGCATTAATTAAATCTTAGATATTGACTGAAAATTTTAAAATCTACTTCCAATAGTAAGAACTCCAGTTGTATTCGAGAAATGGATATATTTTTTAAAAATTATTAAAAATAAGACCCATGGGTATTCTAAAAATTGCCACAATTTTGTAGTGATGAGCATAAATAATATTCTGAGATATCAGCAACAACTCTGATGTCATGTATTGGGGAAAATTCAGCCAGATATAGGGCAAAATTCACCCCTGATATTTCATGTAGGTTCTTTTGTATTTTCCCTAAGCATTGGCTGGTTTGAGAAATAAAGGGACAGAGTACAAAAGAGAGATATTTTAAAGCTGAGCATCCAGGGGATACATCACATGATGGTAGGTTCCATGATGCCCCCTGAGCCGTAAAACCAGCAAGTTTTTATTAGTGATTTTCAAAAGGGAAGGGAGTGTACGAGTAGGGTGTGGGTCACAGAGATCATGTGCTTCACAAGGTAATAGAATGTCACAAGGCAAATGGAGGCAGGGTGAGATCACAGGACCACAGGACCTGGGCGAAATTAAAATTGCTAATGAAGTTTCAGGCACCATTGTCATTGATAACATCTTATCAGGAGACAGGGTTTGAGAGCAACCGGTCTGACCAAAATTTGTTAGGTGGGAATTTCCTCGCCCTAATAAGCCTGGGAGCGCTATGGGAGACTGGGTCTTATTTCATCCCTACAGTTTCAACCATAGAAGACAGCCACACCCAAGGGGGCCATTTTAGAGGCCCACCCTCAGGGGCGCATTCTTTTTCTCAGGGATGTTCCTTGATGAGAAAAAGAATTCAGCAATATTTCTCCCGTTTGCTTTTGAAAGAGGAGAAATATGGCTCTGTTCTGCCCAGCTCACTGGCAGTCAGAGTTTAAGGTTATCTCTCTTGTTCCCTGAACATTGCTGTTATCCTATTCTTTTTTCAAGGTGCCCAGATTTCATATTGTTCAAACACATATGTTCTTCAATTTGTGCAGTTAACACAATCATCACAGGGTCCTGAGGCGACATACATCCTCCTCAGTTTATGAGATGACAGGATTAAGAGATTAAAGTAAAGACAGGCATAGGAAATCACAAGGGTATTGACTGGGGAAGTGATAAGTGTCCATGAAATCTTCACAATTTATGTTCAGAGATTACAGTAAAGACAGGCATAAGAAATTATAAAAGTATTAATTTGGGGATCTAATAAATGTCCATGAAATCTTCAAAATTTATGTTCTTCCACCATAGCTTCAGCCAGTCCCTCCATTCGGGGTCCCTGACTTCCCGCAACAGTCACATAAAAGTGTGACTTCATTGGTGACAGATTTTGCCTAACTACTTGCTCTGCAGACTCATTTTGTAATCGAAAAAGATACCAAATATTATTCAGAAGTTAGTGGAAATGAAGATATTGTTTGTCCTCCTTCTAAGTTCTAGACACCAGGTTAAAGCGCTCTAGTAAGTTAGAAACTTAATCAGCTTGCTAAAGATCATCTCTACCTTCGTGCCTTTGCATATAGGTTCTAGGGGCTTACCTGGAGCTAGTGTTTGTGTTGGAGTGCTGCAGTTTTCCACTGTCATCTTTTCCTGCTGGTTGGTATTGGCTAAGATGTCCACAAGTCCCTCCTCAGATGTCAGTGTATGCAGGCTGCTGCTCTTTCCATCTTAATTCCTTTTCAGAAATCTCCGTTTGCTCCATTGGCTCCTTCTGTCTTCCTCTGTGGCACTCTGGGATCCAGCAAAGTCCTGCTGTTCTTAAGTCATGATGGGGCATGGAGACTGTTGTCAGACATTCTCATACCTAGGTACGTAGTGCCGCCATTTTTTCTCTGGGTAGTTATCACCTCCCCAGGGCTCTACCTGGAAGAATTCCTGCTACTCTGGGGTTGTACAAACCTATTTGAGTATTCTATGCACTCTCCCTCTTTCTTAGCATAGGAGAGGGGTTAGGGTGGGTGCTCAGGAAGAGGGCACCATTCTCACAGCTCACATAGCACCTACACCATTAACGCCTTCTCTGTGACTTTTCTTTCTCATCGCATCTTTGAATTAGAATCCCTTTCTAATCTTGTGGACAGATAGGGAAGAAAGAGTCTTTTCTTACTGAACAAATACTATTCTAAACATGGTATCCATGAGTTCTTTCTAACACCCTTTTCCTTTGAAACACTTTTGTTCTCCTCTTTCTGCTGTAACATGACTCCATGAGGTAATGGCCCTTATATTAGGGAGAAGACCCAAGAGTGAGCATCTCCAGTATGAGTTAGGGTACAGTTTTGTTACTGTAGCAAGGAGGTCCTAAATCATATGGCTTAAATGAAAGAGAAGTCTGTTTCTTCTTGTGTGTTGAAGGAAATGGCCAGCATGTAGGAGTGCCATTGTCCTATGTGGTCACTCAAGGCTTCAGGTTTTTTCTACAGTTTAGCTTCATTTATCCCTTTGGTGTCTTCTATGTGAAGCTTGGGTAGTCTCAGTGGGAAGTGAGGAAAGGGGAAGCATAGATTTCATTTTAAGTAAATGGAACAAGAGTTGCTCAGAACACTTTCACTCATATTCTATTCATGAGGACTCAGCTACAAGGTGACTCCTGAGTAAAAGAGAGGCTGGGCAATGTTGTCCTACCAGGGCAACTAAATGCCTAGTGAAACTCTCATATTTCGGAAAAAGGTTAGCGGGAATGGATTTTGGAGGAAAAACTAGCAGTCTGTCACAATTATTTTACATACCCCCCTCCCCCAGCTATTTTTGGCTAGCCACTTCTCTAGATGTTAACCTAAAGATTTGGCTTATATCGTAGAGTTTCCCTTAATGCTTGAGCGATATTATTCCAACCCTGTTTCCTCGAGGATGGAGGAGATGTCTAGGCGAGGACATCTGTGTGTCTTCTGCTGTGTTCACTGCTGAATTTAAGAAGCCTCTGGGCACATATGGAAACTGGTAAATGTCCTGACAAAGGACTGCAGGCAGGGAGAGGAGCTCTGCTGGGGAGTCCTCATCCTAAGGAAGGAAGCCTGCTGAGGTCAGCAGAGCCTGAGGATGAGGCCTTTCACACTGGAAGGGAGGAGTGCAGCTGGTACAGGGTGGTGTCGCTTAACCACTGATAGCACATTTGGGTCCTTGGGAGGAAATATAATATGTAACTAACACTCAAAAGACTATTACCAAACTTAGTAATATATTCGGACCAACAATGCTGCTTTTGAGGACCATTCCAGTGAATTTTTTTTTTTTTTTTTTGAGATGGAGTCTTGCTCTGTCGCTCAAGCTGGAATGCAGTGGTGCAATCTTGGCTCACTGCCACCTTTGCCTCCCAGGTCCAAGTGATCCTCCCACCTTAGCCTTCTGAGTAGATGGGTCTACTGGTGTGCACCACCACGCCTGGCTAATTTTTTGTATTTTTAGTAGAGACAGGGTTTCACCATGTTGGCCAGACTAGTCTTAAACTCCTGACCTCAGGTGATCCACCCACCTGGGCCTCTCAGAGTGCTGGGATTACAGGCGTGAGCCACCATGTCTGGCCTCATTCCAGTGATTTTTAACACACCTAGGAGAGCTGATTTCCTCCCATTGTGCTCTAATGATGACACAGCCTGACCCCTTGCAGACCCAAGAGTATATCTCTGCGGGACTGTGGAGCCTGAGAGTGCTCTAAGGGAGGGGGACCCTCCAGGTAGGAGCAACACAAAGTAGCCTTAAGTGCTTGGTGGAACTGGTATTAGCAATGGAGTGAGCATTATGCCTTGAAGAGTGCTGGTTCCAACTAACAAGGATATTTCTGTATCCACATGATGACTGCAGAGGTTCTGAGGAGCAAAGCAGAGCAGATTAACAGTAATGCTTGGGGAGCAGCTTAGACAGTGGTGAGTAGGCTTGTGGTTGAGCACATGTGAGATTCCTTCTGGACCCCCTGACACAGACAGTTTGCAGTGGGCTAGAGGTCTTGCTTAAGTTGGTGTGAGCTGGAACCAGGGCAATTGAGGTATATAACATAGAGAGCTGTATTGCTTAGGCAAGATGCAAATAATTCTCCTTTATTGTTAAAAAATACTTCTATTTAATAAACTCCATACCTCAAAACTCCGTAATTGAAACACATACATGCCTTTGATAAAGTTTAATTTATAAATTAGGAACAGTAAGATATTAACAATAACTAACAATAAAATAAGAACAATTAAGTAAAATAGTGTTACTTGAATACAAGCCCTGAGATACCATGATATTTGGTCTGATAACCCAGATGGCTACTAAGCATACATCGTGTGAATACACTAGACAAAGGAAAGATTTATGTCCCTGGCAGGATGGGGTAGGATGGTGTGAGATTTCATCTTGCAACTCAGAACAGCAAGCAATTTAAAACCATGAATTGTTTATTTCTGGAATTTTCCATGTAATATTTTCAGACCACAGTTGACTTCAGGTAACTGAAACCATGAAAAGTGAAGCTGTGGGAAAGCGAGAACTATGGTATTAGAAAATAGAAATAGTACTAAATTCTTGGGAGAAGCTATACTTGAATTTAGAAGCTCATTTTTATGTAAGAAACTAGGACTTGGGTGAATCCTCTGTTGGGTAAAACCTAAGCAAAAAATGTACTTAACAAACATTTATGTAGATTTTACCATGTGCCAGGAATTGTTCCAAGTACTTTACAAATTTTTACTCTGTTAGTTTTCATGATAAGCCTAAGAATTATGTTGCCTCATCCTCAGTTTGTAGATAGGGAAGTAAATCATGAAGAGACAAGTAACTTACTGCAGATCACACAGCAACACAATGGCAGAGCTGGGATTCAAACCCAGTCAGCCTGGTTCCCACTGCTTCTCCAAAGGTGCAGACTATGTAAGGAGTTCTGGGTAATGTCTCTCTCTCTCTCCGTCTGTCTCTCTCTGTGTGTATGTGTCTGTCTGTCTCTCTCTTCCTCTCTCTCTCTTGCTCTCTCTCCCTCCTTTCGTCCCTCTTCTTTTTCCTTACCTAGCTCCCCCATCACCCCCACTTCTCTGTCTCTCTCTCTCTCTGTGTCTGTCTGTCTCTCTCTTCTTCTCTCTCTTGCTCCCTCTCCCTCCTTTCCTTCCTCTTCTCTTTCCTTCACTAGCTCCCCCCTCATCCCTGCCTCTCTCTCTCTGTCTCTCTGTCTCTCTCTGTCTCTGTCTCTCTATCATTGCTGAGGTGCAGTGCTTCCATTGGTGATTTCTGCAGCCTGGTCACAATTACCCTGTGGCACTCCAAGAAGCCAGCACTGGCACAGCTGACACATCTTCAAGTCTGTGTCAGCACAGGACCCACCACAATCAAACATGACACAACTGAGGAGGGCCTCGGACTCTTGCCTTAGCAGAATCACCAGGCAGAGTCATAGAGATAGAGGCTTGCGTGGCTTTGCTGACACAGCTTGCTTGCCTCAAGAGGCTTCTGTGGGGGCCAGGGTGGAATGGAAGGGAGTTAAGATTCCCTCTCAGCAAGACATCAGGGGTTGTAACTTTCTCTCTGCACCTTGCAGAGGTTGTAATTTATGCTGGGGAAAGTGATGGAACTTCACGCATTAGATCTATGTCCTTGAATAACTTTCCTGATCCAAGATTTGAACAAAGTACAGAAGTGTTTAAGTTGTTGTTTAGACTTGCCAGAGAACAGAGAAGTGACTGGAACGAGTTGCCATAAAAGGAAAACTACTCATTTCCAAAGCCTTTGCTGAAATGACTGCTGTACTCAAATTTCAGATTTTCCCTGTAACGTACAAAACTAGGCAGATACTTTTGGTTCAAGCTGTGCTTGTTTTATCTTAATGACATAGGAGGATTCAACAGCAGAAAACCAGGGATATTTTATTTCTCAGATGTAACCTAGAATGGTATTTAGTGGGATAGTGAAATAGATTGAGAATAACTTGTGGGTGGAGAGCAAAACTTAAACAAAACAAAACAAAACAAACTTTGAAATGTTCCTTCTTGTGATTGTCATGATACACCAGCTTTCAATTCTCTTATTTTAGCCCTTGAACTCCTAGGTGCTGTGATTTGGTTGGAGTAGACAAAGGGGTACTTCATTAATGTGTAGTAATTTCCCAGCCAAAGCCCCATCTTGGGACAGACTGCTTGTCATCTGCCTAGTTGTTTCACTGAGATTCAAAAAAGGGAGCATCTTTTCTGTTATAAAAAGGCAATTCCATTTTTAAAGGCTGGATAATTGTATACAGTTTAAATCAACCCTGAAATAATACTGGAGCCTGATCAGATTCTGATGTTAAAATAGATATCTTGGGATGTTTCAACAGTTTGATGACAAAAGCTCACCTCCTGGGATTTATAGCCTGAGAGGCTTTCATTCAATTTGGAAACAAATTAAATGGAAATACTTGAGCAGAAAAGTGCAGCTGCAAACAACACGTGGGGCTCAACATTTACCATAAATATTTTAAGATCAAAATATATATTGATCAGCTGTGGATGAGTTTAATAAAAAAATGTATATTGAATTCTAACTAGATGCATGGTAGTGTTTTACAGTGTGAATGAGAGATAGTTCTGACCTCAAGAGGTTTACAAATTAGATCAATTTAAGAAAGCATCATGGTTTTTAATCTTTTTGGGATCATGACCCTGGATTGATTAGGTTTAGATTAAGCTGGAAGTGGCAGAAGCCCCCCTGCTAACTGTGACTGAAACAAGGTAGTAATTTATTTTCTTTTCTTTCAAACACAAGCAATTCCATAACTGGAATGTAACCTCCATGATCATCAAGGATGCATCTTGTGGGTGTTATTTCACTATTGTAAAATTGTACCTTTGTGTTAACACTGAAATTCTTGGAGATTTTCCCCCATTTGTTTCTCTTGCATATCAAGTTCATGATAAAGCCATTTAACAAGGCCCCTTGACTCAATCACTTTGGCTGCTTTTAATGACTAGCTCAAGGAGCTAGATGGCATCACCTTAGAATAAAGAAGGAGGAGCTTCAATACCAGAGTCGTCTGTGTTTAAAACGTCATCTCCACTATTATGCACTAACCTGAAAGAGGCAAAAGCCGGTAAACAGTTTAGTTGTGCATATGCCCCATTATCTAAGAGTAGATTCAGTGGTAATAATTGTTCATCAGACTAACATGTGATACGCCAGTGCTCTATGTTTACATTCAGGGAGGAAGAATGTAGATTCTACATGAAAAATGGTGACAAAATAGCTTAGTTATTTAAAATGATCTAAATTGAGCTTGGTTACTGTTGTAGAGGTTCAGCTTACCACCTGTCATAAGTTCTTGATTATTCATAACTTAAAGCTTAGGAGTTGTATCAGAATTAGAAAGTCAGAAAAATGCTGCACAACTTATGTACAAATGATGAGGTTGCTCAGTGCTGAGAAAACCTCCAACATGATAATACATCAACTGTCCAGTGAAAATGTGAATTTAATATATCCAATTCCATTTTATCTTTCTTTTTTGAATTATTGAACAGTAAGTGCTGAGAGTTAATTTAATTATACTCTTAATGACATACTATATATATATATATTGTACCATATAAGGCTTCAATCTTAATTTAATTTTATTTTCCCTCTGTTATCCCCAATCCCATTCTTCTCCCTTATATAAAATTTACTTTAATGTGTTTGATAAATATCCTTCAATAGGTCTAAATTCTTGTAAAATGTGTAGGGTTGTTTTGCATGTATCTGTATTTTAAATTTCTTTAAACATAACTCTGTAGATCTAGTTATACTCATGTTGCTGTACATCCATCTAGCTCTTCATTTCTAACTGTTGCCTTGGATTCCATGGCATGCAACAACACTACTTTACTGACCCCTTCCCTATTGAGCTTTAAGGTTGCCTCCAACTCCCCGATGTCCCCATCAATACTTTTGATAGTCACATTACCTGAGACAAGACATGGGAAATATAAGCAAAAATTGTCAGTACGAAAGTTTCAAGCCCCTCTGGGCTATTGATTTCTTTCTTTTTATTTTTTATTTCATTTTTATTTTTTTTGAGAAAGGGTCTCACTTAGTCACCCAGGCTGGAGTGCAGTGGCATGATCTTGGCTCACTGCAACCTCCACTTCTGGGCTCAAGCAGTTCTCCAGCCTCAGGTCCTGAGTAGCTGGGACTACAAGCGTGAGTCAAAAAATGCCTAGCTAATTTTTGTATTTTTTGTAGAGATGGGGTTTTGCCATATTTCCCAGGCTGGTCTTGAACTCCTGAGCTCAAAGCAATTTACCTGCCTCAGCCTCCTTAAGTGCTGAGATTACAAGTTTGAGCCACCATGCCCATCTGGGCTATTGGTTTCTATTCTTGTCATTTTCCATAGAAGCTGGTCAATGCTTTTAAGGCATTCTCAGAGTTGGAACTGTAAAACCTGCTAGAATGTCAACAAAGCTTGACAACAGTGGTCCTCAACTGTGGGTAATTTTGCTTGAGGTTAAGGGACATTAGGCAATATCTGGAAACATTTGGTTGTCATAACTGGGGAACATATAACTGAAAATTGGTGAATAGTAGAGACATAGCTAACATCCCACAATGTAGGACAGCCCTCCACAACAAATAATTATTTAGTCTAAAATGTCAATAGTGCTGAAGTTGAGAAACTTTGTTATGCAGAATTATTTTTAGCTCTGCAAGTATTCCCTTCATACATCCTTTGAGTTTTGGTCTGGTTTGCTTGCTTGCTCTGGCTTCCTTGCTATACTGTTATACTGATGTCTCTTTTCTTATTTGTCCTCCTTTATTTATTGGCTTTTGACTTGTGCTTTGTTTTGCTTCTCTAACTGTGGTTACCTGTTTTGATTAGGTTCATAATATTCTTGGCAACTTCCATCTGCATACCTGCAGATAGGTTTTACTTAAGGGGTTAATTTGATTTTCCATCTCAATTCTTCCTACCCCTCAATATAAGACCACAATATTTCTTGCTGTAAATTAATAACTTGACATTCTGATTCATACATGCTTTCATCTGTGGAAAAAATACTGCTTACCGAATAATCTCCCTTCTCTACTTCTGCTTTACTAACAGAATCTATATTTTATTCCGGGTGAAATAAGTATTATGTTGGTGCAAAAGTAGTTATGGTTTTGCACCATGAATTTTAAATCAGTATAACTAGGCTCAAACACATCCTTATTAATCAAAAATGACAATCGACACATTTTTACCAATGAGAAATAAGTTTGTTTATTCCAGTAGAATAAAAAATTCATGCTTTGGGATTTGACGAACTCTTGGAAAGCATTTTCTGCATCCTGCTGGTTGTGGAAGCAATGCCTCATGGTATGGAAAAGATACTGACCTTCAAATCTAGAGCAAACACCAAATTTCCAAGTTGATCAAGAAAATAGTGAAGAATTATTATTGATTTTAGAAGTCTATTTCAGGAAAAAAATATTTTCTTTTTTCTTAGATGCCATCTCTAAATGGTTTGCATTTTTTATGGAACTTAAGAAACATGTGGACTTTATTTAAGGAAGCCAAAAGCCAGTGTTGAGAGGACCTGTGCTATGTCTTTCATTAAAGGCTTGCTGAGTGATTGATGGGTTAACATTGTAAGACTTTAGTTAGCTGTCTCCATTCTGTCCTAGAAAAAGGTATTTCATATTGCTAAGGATGTATTATGGTGTTACTGTATTTATATCTGCTCTTTACACATTGAAAGGAGGTTGTGCCATTATAGCTAAGGTCATAGAGGGCTACTATAAAGGTGATAGTGATCTCTTCCTCAATTGTGATGTTCTTTTGTGAGACTGGCTGAACAATAGCATTGTCAGTATCCCTTTCATTCACAGGTTTCAAGGGTTGATATTTTGACTGTAAGACTAACCTCCTAAGGATGTTTCAGAAACTACAAAATAAAAGTGAGAATAATCCTTCTTAGAACACTGCAGTTGTTGAAGTAGAATGAACTTCATGGACGTGGAAATACCAATTTTACCACCTCAGAATAGAATATGTACTTAACCATGTAAAGATCTTGCCAGATCAAGGTATAGAGGTGTTACAGGAGCTGAAGGAGACTGGGATTCACTGTTCCTAGTCCTTGAAGGTTTCTAGGCTACAGTCTGAAGCCTGGGGGAGGCCCTTTCATTTCTCTGTGTACCCGAAGTACTAAGGCAGGCCCAATGCTTGGGGCATACTCTACAGAGATTGTTGTCTGAATAAATGAATACCGAGTCACTTGCATTTACTCAGGGGGGCTTTATGAAAGCCTGACCAGTGTCTAGCTTTGATTCTCTCTCTTCCTCTCTTTCTATTTATCTATCTGTCTTACAGCTACTGACATAATCTTGCTGAGGGCATGAAAGACATTAGTTAATTCCTGGGACATGGCTTGAAAATGGGAACCATCAGCACATAACCAGTAATTAAATGGATGACCTTAAATCTTTATTTGTTTGTTTTGTTTGAGACAGGGTCTCACTCTGTCACCCAGGCTGGAGTTCAGTGGCAAAATCTTGGCTCACTGCAGCCTCGACTTCCCAGGTTCAAGTGATCCTCCTGCCTCAGCCCCCAAAGTAGCTGCAACTACAGGCGTGCGCCACCACACTGGGCAATTTTTTGTATTTTTAGTAGAGTTGGGGTTTTGCCATGTTGCCCAGGCTGGTCTCAAATTTCTGAGCTCAAGTGATCTACCTTCCTTTGCCTCCAGAGTGCTAGCATTACAGGCATGATCCACTGTGCCCTGCACACCTTAAACCTTTAAGTCTCTTGAGACAAACTTATTCTTCAAGATTTTAATGAGATTGTTTTGAACTCCAAGCCTGTTGCTTTTCTCAACATCTCCAGAGATCTCGGAGCTTAGTTTTTCTTGAATCACTTTAGTTTTGAGTCCCCACTTCTGAACTGTCCCTTTTCTGCTGTAAATTTCACGTGCAGTCTGTTTGCACTCAACATCATCACGCTGAACATTATCTCCAGCCCTTTATTTTCCAAAGCAGAAGGAAGTATGCCTTAAGTAGCAGCCTTCCTGTGGGGAAACTGAGGTACAAAGTGATGAAATCATTTGCCCAAATTCACACACTAGTAAGTTAGAAGACTACAATGTGTGCCATGTTATCAGAGACCTTGCAGTCTGTGACAAGGCAAACTATGACCATGCAAACTGATGAAAAGTGCTGCAATGATGGAGAATGGAGGGTGGTGGCAAGTCACTCTCCCTGGCAGAGCAAGAACGCCTTCTGGCAGGGAAGATCATTTCACATTTGATTCAAGATTTGAAGGACAAACCGGTACTTAAATGTTGGCGGGTGGAGGTGGTACTGGAACATGGTGGTATCCTGAAGCACCAAATATGGAAAGAGGGAATGATAAATAGAAGGCCACTTAGATAAAAGTGTGCTATGCTGAGGAGTTTGGGTTTTATTCTATGGGCATCAGGAGACCATGGAAGGATTTTGAATGGGGGTGTGGCATGATTCGACTTGCAGGTTGTACTATTTTATGAGTCCCCTGCTCTGTGGTAGTATTCTTCCTTCTGCAGCCTGTTACTGATGCAAATATATAACCTGGTTCTATGCACTCAGGAACTGTTTAGCGCAAGGTGAATCACTGTGAAGTAAGCACTGTATCTAGCATGCCATCATTTCCTCCTCAATTATAAGGAAACCACTTTCTTCTCCTTCAGATCTCTGGGTGTTTGGCTATTCCAACCCACAGAAGACAGCTTCAGAGCATTGAGCCACATTCTTTCCAACTTTATCCCCAATCTTCCTTTGGAAACAGAATCACAGCTCATGGAAAAGAAAGATCACCTCATCCAAACCACAGGCCACTCATTATATGTGACCTGGTCTCAGTCAAGCCTCTATGACCTACCCAATCAAAATCTCTACTCTTCTTCATTAGAGATCTTAGGGACCCAAACCAGAAGCCACTTCCCTTCTTTGCAAGTATCTCAGGAATGAGGTTACCTGTTTCACACTATGGCTGTTGAAGGCATAAAGTGTGCTCAAGAGAGACTTTCACTGGTTCTGAGAAACAACGCTCTTTTAAATATGGTGAAAGTGCTCTCTTATAATTTTTTTAAGATGTCATAAAGTTTCTGCCAACTCTGCCGTTTCAAACCTCAACCTCAAATTCTAAACTGGAGCATCGAGCAGCAATTATCCTAAAATCCTCCTAATCATTTGGCCATAAGTAACCTTTCCCCAGACAGCCTAATAACAAGAGAGTTTTCCTTCAAAGGAAATGTTCCAAACTTTCATTTATAATATTTTTTCCCAGGGCAGTTGAAACTGCCTGTAATATTTACAAGGTTTATAAAATGGAAATAAAATTATCTTAGTAGTCTTAACATTCATACTGAATTTCTGAAGTCACAGTTCTCTTCCAAGATTGGTGTGAAGCAAAATGATATCGTAGGAAATATTTACTCATACCGTTTTCAAAATTTCTATCTCCCTTGATGTTTGCTTTGGGATTTTATATCTTTTGGTGACTGTACAGACATGCATTACCTCTCCCAGAGTCATTTTCATTTTGAAACTAATTGCTACTTCACAGGGTTCAGATTTACCCTGAGACCTGGATGAACACAAGCGGGTGGGTTTGGGTGAACTCTGCTCTTCTTTAATGAATATCCATAGGTATTCATTAATTAACCTAGGGAGTGATAAATAAATAGGGAAATAAAGTCCTGATCTGTGTTTGTGATTTACTTTTGGACTTCTATAGACATTCTCAATGGATGTGGGGGCCAGGGAGCCTGACATGAATAATCGTAGGATTCTATATGTATATGATTATTTGATTTCTGTTTACCTTTCCCATAGGACTGTTAGCTACATGAGGGTGAGGACTATGTCTGTTTTTTTCTCATTATATTTCCAAACACAGCATAGGGGACATATGTATAAATCAATATTTGTGGGGAGAATAAAATGGCCTAGAAACCACTTCACACACACAGACACCCCCCTGCCCCCCACAACACACATACACACACACATTGATCTAAAGGGAAGAGTAGAGTTCAGAGACCGAAAATCTGTGGCAAATTAATAATTTAGTTATCATCCATATAGTCTTAGATAGTTTAAAGGTTCTAAGACTTAGCTTCCTTATATGAAAATGAAGATAATAATACCTGTCCGCAGGCTCATAAGACTAATTAATATAAACACAACAATTGACACAGAGCTTGCCCATAGCAGGAGCTCAATAAACAATCAGCTCTCTTTATTGTCCTGTGGTGCTATCTTGGGACTGTCTTCAGATGAGACTGAGACACATCTGATAAACACTGGTTGGGTGGGATGCTCAGAAGGTTCTTCTCCATGGGAGCCTCAGTGGTGGAAGAATCTGGGTATGAGAAAAGGGACTTGACGGTATGGAGTAAAATCCTGGCAGGAAAGAACACATTACAATTTGTGTCCAGGTAGGAGTAGAAATTTTCCAGAGCATGTCTCCAAGAAATATTTTTTTTTTCTTTTCCAGTGGCTGGTGTCCAATATGAGCAGTAAAGGGCCAAGGGATGGAGAGATTTGGATAATGAGTGTTAATACAGCTTCTTTGAGGCTGGTCAGTTAGTTTGGAGGTATATAACCAGCTGGTGTTTTTACTGTCTATTTAATGAAGTATAAAGGAAAGAAAGCTGGATCTGCAACCAGAAGCCTCACTTGAAGTAAACTTAGTTCTCTCAGTTCTGTTACTTACCAGGTATATAAATACCTTTCCCCGCCTCCGAAGTTTAGCTTTCTTATATGGTTAGATGGTGATCATATATTACCCTAAAGAATGAGAATGATCTTAAAGATCAAATGAGATAAAGTGTGAAGTACCTGGCACATACTGGGCAGTGAGCATGTTGACTGAATTGAATTTTAGGGGCAGCAGGTCTCATAGAATTTTGCACTCTACCATCAGCTAGCTGTGTCCACTTAAGCAAGTCTTTAATAATTGTTGTCTTACTAGATTTTGCCTTGAAACAACTTATCAATCCTACAGATTTCTTAGATCAATTTCTACCTTGCCTAAGCGACCAAATGTTCTGTTTTTTTTTCATTTGGTTTTTAATTATTTGCTAATAGTGGTTACTGGTGTGACAGCAACTTCATTCCTGAGAAAGAATTTTGAAGGAATCCCTATGATGGTCCCAAAAAGGCAAGATCTCATTGGACTTATGCTAGATCAAACCAGTGAGGCCATTTCCTAAGTGATGTTTTTCAGAGGAACTCTGGCTTCGTTATATCTAGAACAACTTTGGGACTAGGTTTGGCCATTTATACTCTTTTTGGACAATTTCCTAATTTATAAAATAGAAGATGTTATGTTGGAGGAGATGAGTTAAAAACAATAGTAACTCAGTGCTAAGATCAATCAGTCCTGAAGATAACTTAGCTACTTTACTCTGAGTTAGACCCTCCAGCTTTAGCAAATGTTAAGCTTATAATAGAATAAGTAATGAGAAATTAATTAGCACCTTGTATTATTTTTCTCTATTGTATGTTCTTGCTAAAGAAACGAGAGGACTTAGTTGGGCTTCTTTCCAAGGTCTGAGCTCTCCTTGTCAATGGAGAATTAGCAGACTTTTTTGAAAACAAAGAAAACTAAAAAGTTTTAGTCATAGCAGAAATTACTTAAAGAGCAGGAGACAATTCTGATGGTGCTTTGTGTTTCCAATGTGGCAACTCTAACCAGCAGGTTGGTTTCACAAACATCCAGTAGGAAAGCAGGAGGGATGTTAGGTTACCCAACAAGGGTCTGCCAAACAGCACCCTGGGGGCCTTGAAGGGAATGCCTGCCTGCCTGTGAGTGCAGGGGGCTGGTCACCAGACTCAGTGAAGTTGCCTCTCATGAAGCTTGATGGAGATGCAGTGGAATTACAGGCCTTTGAAGGCGTTTCATAGGTCTAGTCTGTGAACATCCTCATCGTCAACATGGCGGACTGAGAATTAAATGCCTCATTCTTATCTTTGTGGGCTAAGGTCCTAGTGTAATGGATATAGAGGCGGGGGAACCAAGTAAATTTATAAAATTGGACACCTTGTTGACCATGGTCAGCAGATGCAGGATTTTAGTTAATATAGTAAAAGTAAGAAAATGTAGCATGTCTTTAAAATTAAGTGCTGTTGAGCAATTTCTATTAAATTGGTGCAAAAGTAATTGCAGTTCCTGCCATTACTTCCACTGGCCAAAAAACCCGCAATTACTTTTGCACCAACGTAATGCATGTTACTAGCCTGCCTCATCCTGGAATAAAGAACCACTCCCTCAGTAAGTCATTTACATGACTAAATGAGGCTGTTCATGAAATGATATTTTTTTGTTTAGTGTATGGCAAATTTTCTTAAAAACAAAAGCAAAACAAAGCATCAAATTAGCATATTAAAAATTTAGAAACAGTCTAAATATTCATTAGTGGAAATAAAGTGTGAAATTGTAATGCAATGAAATTCGATGCCAATATTTCTCAAACATTAGTGTGCATCTAAATCATACAGGGACCTTGTTAAAATGTAGATTTTGATGCTGTTGGTCTAGGGTCAGTTCTGAGATCCTGCATTTCTAGCCGACTCCCAGGGCCCCTGATGCTGCTGAGCCACAGGCACCACCTCCAGTAGAAAAGTATTATCCAACAGTTAACATGGACCAGAGCTACATTTGCCAAGATGAATACATCTCAAAAATATAATGGTGTGGTAAAGAAACAAATTGCAGAATGATATGTAGATTATAATACTATTCACATAACATTTAAATGATTCAAAAAATGTTGCATATTGTTTCCTGAAACTAGAATGAAATAAAAGCATAGTGAAATAAAGTACAGTGAAATGAAAGTATGAAAACAAGCACAAGAATGAGAAACATGAAGTTTATAATAGTGGCTAACTTTGGGTACGGGAGAGAGGAAAGTAACTGGAGAGATTACATAATGCTTTAAATGATCTGTTATGTTTATTTCTTAAACTTGGTGGTGAGTACAAAGGTGTTCAGAATATTATTTTCTATATTTTTGTATGTCAACATTAAGACTTAAAGGGGTATATTTGTGTGTGTGTGAGTTAATGCAGTAATCCAGTAGAGATTCTGTATGAAAATTTGGGCCTTTTCTTCCCCCTTATCACTTGTTTCTTAGTTGAACAATTGCAGCTTAATTTACTCTATGGAGATGTGGAAGATGGTTAAAATACAATCAACAGTGTTTTATTTGTAAAAAAGAATAAAAAATTTATTTAATCAGAAATATGGCATTTTCTAAAGTAATTTTAGCAGTTTTTTGTTTTTTCCATGATAGGTAATTCTACACATACTTAATTGCTAACATTTAAAATTTTCCAAAGAATAAATGTTGACATTCCGGTAAAAGAAGAGCTCATAACACATTGGAAGTGTGCTATTTTAAAAAAGCTCATACTGTATCATTAGTCACAGGTAACTTTGATGTACTTAAAATGAAACTATTTCTGTTTAAAATTAGTTTTAATTTTTTTTCTAAAGGAAATTAAAGAAGGACTAGATACTTTAATGAATAAAATGCATGGCGCAAATGGAAAGAAAAGGTAGGACCTACAAGATATAAATGGACAAAAGATACCAATAGAATTCTCACAAAGAAGGAATACAATTAATATACAAATATCTAGACTTAAGTTCAAGTTCACGAGGTTCAAAAAAGTGCATAATAAAACAGCTATAAATTATCAGTTTACCCTTTTACTTAGCAAAAAGCTTTTACTTTTTAAATTATAATATTCTGTGGAGAATTTGGCAATATAAGTACTTTAATTTGTTATTGGTGTTAGAGTAAATTGTAACAATTTGAAACACCATTTGGCAATACATGCCAAGAGTTCTAAAAATGCTCATATTGCCTAGTGAAGAATCTCTTTTAAGAATTTTATTGAAAGTCCAGAAAAATATATATAAATATTTTTCTTTCTAAATATCCTTCCTTTCTTTTCTTTTTCTTTCTTTCTTTCTTTCTTTCTTTCTTTCTTTCTTTCTTTCTTTCTTTCTTTCTTTCTGTCTGTCTGTCTCACTCTGTTACTCAGGCTGGAGTGCAGTGGCACAATCATGGCTCACTGCAACTTAGAACTCCTGGGCTCAAGCAATCCTCCTCTCTCAGATTCCTGAGTAGCTGGGACTGAAGGTGGGCAACACCTTGCCTGGTTAATTTTATATTTTTCTGTTTTTTTTTTTTTTTTTTTTTTTTTTTTTTGTAGAGATGGGGTCTCATTATGTTATGAACAGGATGGTCTTGAATTCTTGGGCTCCATCAGTCATCCTACCTTGGCCTCCCAAAGAGCTGGGATTACAGGCATGAGCCATCACATCTAGCCCGCATAAATATTTTCATCACAATATTGTTTAAATAGTGAAAATTTTGAAATAATTATATTGGTTTGGACACCAAAGGAAGAGGATGGGAAGATGGGATTATACATTTAAGAAATTTAATAGTCAAAATGTGTGTAAAAGATAAAGAAGAGAAACAGGAGTTTGGCAAGAACCTTCAGACTAAGATGCAGGCCTGACGCCAGTAAAAGTCAAGTAAAAAAGTAAATCATTTTAACAATTTGTCTTTTTTCAATATTTTTTCTTGTATTTCTGTATATTGTTTTATATTTTATAAACAATGTATAGTGGGAAATGTAAAGGAATTAACTTCAGTCTGTTAATATTAATTACCTAATGATTAGGATAGGAATGGGGAAGGGTGAGCTGAGTAAAAGGAAAAGGAAACAAAAATATTACAGCAAAAGAAATATCAAAGTAAAATCCCTCCAGATATTTAGTACTGAAATTTAGCAGAAATTCGCATTTAATTTTAAATTTCAGGATGTAATATTATTTACCTTTGGTAAACAAATTTTATATCACCTTACAAATTAAAATTAAATTATGGATTATTATATATATGTAAACTCTCAAAATTTAAGGAATTTCAATAATATTAACATGGGCTAATTTTTAACATAAGCCTTTTGGATGACTATACCCTGCCCTTCTTTCACTGCCCTGACTGACCTGCCTCTACTCTCAATAACACAGCTGCTAGGAATTCTGTGGCCTTCTCCAATGCCACAATCTCTCCCTGTAGGTTAGTGCTATTTAACTAAATGACAGCTTTAATATCAGCTACTACGGCAGCCTTTAAGCCATTCCTGATTAATTAGGACTCATACCACACATGTAGTTTAAAGCAATACTTTAGACTTAAACATAAAACCCAAAACTATAAATACCCTGGAAGAAAACCTAGGCAATGCCATTCAGGACATAGGAACAGGCAAAGATTTCATGACAGAGATGCCAAAAACAATTGCAACAAAAGCAAAAATTGACAAATGGGATCTAATTAAACTCAAGAGTTTCTGCGTACCAAAGGAAACTATCAGCAGACTAAACAGACAACCTATAGGATGAGAGAAAATTTTTGCAAGCTATACATCTGACAAAGGTCTAATATCTACCGTAAGGAAGTTAAAACAGATTTACAAGAAAAAAACAATAACCCATTAAAAAGTGTGCAAAGGACGTGAACAGATAGTTTCAAAGGAAGACATACATGTAGCCAACAATCATATGAAAAAAAGCTCAGCATCACTGATCATTAGAGAAATGCAAATAAAAATTACAATGAGATATTATCTCACACTAGTCAGATTGACTATTATTAAAAAGTCAAAACAATAACATGCTGGTGAGGTTGCAGAGAAAAAGGAAAGCTTTTACACATTGGTGGGAGTGTAAATTAGTTTAACCATTGGAAAGACAGTATGGCAATCCTCAAAGACCTAAAAGCAGAAATCTCATTTGACCCAGCAATGTCATTACTGGGTATATACCCAAAGGGATACAAATCATTCTATTATAAAGATACATGCACACCTATGTTCACTGCAGCACTATTTACAATAGCAAAGACATGGAATCAAACTAAATTGTCATCAGTGATAGACTGGATAAAGAAAATGTGATACATATACACCATGGAATACTATGCAGCCATAAACAAGAATGAAACCATGTCCTTCACAGAAACATGGATGGAGCTGGAGGCCATTATCCTTAGCAAACTAGTGGAGGAAGAGAAAACCAAATACCACTTGTTTTCACTTGAGAGCTTAATGATGAGAAAACATGGACACATAAAGGGGAACAACACACACTGGGGCCTATTGGAGGGTGGAGGGTAGGAAGAGGGAGAGGATCAGGAAAAATAACTAGTGGGTACTAGGCATAATACTTGTGTGATGAAATAATCTTTACAAAAACCCCATGACACAAGTTTACCTATATAACAAACCTGCACGTGTACCCCTGAACTTAAAATAAATAAAAATTTTTAAAAACCTCAAAACTAGTACTTCAAAATACAGCAACATGCACACAATCTATAAAATATACAGCAGTTGACACATTTAAGAGTAAAAAAAAAATCTGCTTAAACATCTTGATATGAAGTGAACAAATGATAAAAGCAGTTCTCTTTTCAAAACCAATCTGCCATTTCCAAAATGAATTATTCAGACTCTAGGGGTCTCTGTCCCATGGTGATATTTACTTGTATGCATTGGCTACAATCTTGGAATCCCGATAGGATTAAACTTTCTGGTTGGTTTAAGGTTGCTGTAACAGCCTGGAATTGATCTTTGGGCAACTTAATTGGTGTGATTTCTGCCTCCTAAATGAAGAGGCTCACTTATCCTCAACCCTAAATCTCTAAATCTGTTTATTTCTTATATGCAAATATAAGTCGCAAGTTGGCATAGAATTTTAACCACTGCTATTTATTTGATGAACCCTCACTACAATCATACTTATCTGGGCCAATTTTGTACTAATTACTGGACTGGGTTCTGACTTAGAATATTTTTCAAAGAAATTATAGGTGACCCATTTGCTTGAAATAGCTATATACTAGCTTGTTTCATAATATTTGGTTTGATTTCATTGTGATGTAAAGGAAATATTCTAGATTCCCTCAGAATGTTGTAGAAATACTGAAAATGGCCAATAGATAGATGTCTCTGGAATGAACCTTGATATTTCTTTATGTGAAATTTTATCAATAAAATTGCTGTTGACAAGTTAAATATGCTGAAACATCTTTGCTTTGATGTAAAACAAAGTTGATTTAAGTCAACATCATGATTATGAAAATTTGCGGGGAGGACTGTTGGCTTAAAACAAAACTAAATCCAATCAAACTCACACAAAGCAAACCAAACCATCCAAATAATGACATTCTTACTAATGGCCAATACATCTTATTTTGTCACTAAATATGAGACAATGTTTTATGCTTAATATTATTGGTTCTGAGGTTTCAGACCTGGGTTAAAGTTCTAACTTTGCCAATTACTAGTTGCGAAATATTGTGAAGCTATTTAAACTTCTTAGGCCTCAGTTTTCTCATCTGTAAAATGAGATGTTAGAAGGACTAAGTATAATAATATGCTTATAAAATAGTGACCAATTCAAAATAAGTGCTCCTTAAATATTGGGACTTATGAGTCATAAAATACTGACAGGCAGTGTGTACCAGTATCTCATTTATAAAAACCTGTGACCTGTGACTAGCATCTGGACTGACTGGTTGATGTCTGTGCCTATTTGGTGTCCTTGGTGTATTAGTAATTAAACATTTGTTAATATTATCCTTAGGTAGTTGTATGTCATGAGACTATTTCAATGCTAGGAAAAAAAGTGAACTGAGTAGCCTCTTCATTTTCTAACTTCTACTGCTTCAAATTCTGCTCCTCTTACTTTTTAGATATATCTTCAAAAAACAAATAAATAAATAAATAAGCCAAAACCAAAAACAAACAAAACCAGAAAATCAAATCCAAACCACAAAATACTTCCTTTGGAGACCAATGTATTGATATTTGTCTAAAGACAACTGTAAAATGTAACAAACAAACAAGAATAGCAAAACACTAAATATCTACTGTTGTTTTCAGAAAATCTTCCCTAAGCTGTTGAACTTTTAGGTACTGCATATATTTGGCTGTCAGGGCAGTGTCTTCCTTTGCATGTAATCTATTGGTTGAACTGTTTGTAGAGCAGACTTTCTTTCTTCCCTTCCATTGTTTTCCTACCTTTCTTCCTTCCCTCTGTTCTTCCTCCCTCCCTTCTTTCCTCCTCACACTTTCTCTTTCTCCGATTTTTTTTTTTTTTTGAGACGGAGTCTTGCTCTGTCGCCCAGGCTGGAGTGCAGTGGCGCGATCTCGGCTCACTGCAAGCTCTGCCTCCCGGGTTCACGCCATTCTCCTGCCTCAGCCTCCCAAGTAGCTGGGACTACAGGGGCCCGCCACCATGCCCGGCTAATTTTTTGTATTTTTAGTAGAGACGGGGTTTCACCTTGTTAGCCAGGATGGTCTCAATCTCCTGACCTCGTGATCTGCCCGCCTGGGCCTCCCAAAGTGCTGGGATTACAGGCGTGAGCCACCGCGCCTGCTCTCTTTCTCTGATTGTCCATGGAAGAGGTGACATAGTCTTTGCTGAGTTCTAAATTAGGAGACCTTGGTTCCAGTTCTAACTTGGCCGTTAACTTTCTGTGTGACTCTGGCCTCCCCACGTAGCTTGCCTGGTCCTCAGTTTTCTTTTGGCAGTATGGTGTGTGTAAATGATCACTATTGTGTTTTAATAATGATGTTATTTTGACTGAAGGTATAGGAATTCTTAAATCTAAACCATTTTCTCTCCTTAATAGCTCTACATTTGAAACAAACAGAAGGTAAACCAAGAATAAAATG
Source organism: Homo sapiens (assembly GCF_000001405.40). Classification (NCBI taxonomy): domain Eukaryota; kingdom Metazoa; phylum Chordata; class Mammalia; order Primates; family Hominidae; genus Homo; species Homo sapiens. Next base: position 144,158,694 of record NC_000003.12, read on the forward strand.
GCAAACATAGATAAAATTAGCAATGGCTTTGGTCGCCAAATTTAGACAGTTCTTATGAGAATTTGGTTGACTCCTGAGAAAGACTCTTTTTTTTTCTCATTTTTGTTTTTTGTTTTGTTTTAACATGAAATAGGTCAAAGGAATTTTAAAACAGAACTGGCTTTGCCTATTTTTTCCACTAAGCATTGCCCTGCTTCTCTTACCCAACAGAGCTGAGGATAAGGAGTAAAAGAGAAATCCAACAAACACTCAGCAGCTGGGCCATCTGCCTCAGTGAGACAGCAGGAGAGAGAGAAGGAGGAAAGGAGGGAGGGGGACTGAGAGGAGAGAGACTAAGAATCTGACAACACTGGTACCATTGACCATTCAGAAATGATAGTGGGAAGGAACAATCTTAAAGTCTTTCATTACTGACCTCTACCTGGATCCAGTAATGACATTGGTACAGTGTGCAATGTAACCTCTTCTGCATGTGCCTGGTGCATGGTGGATGTCCAACATTTGTAGTGGTAATTGACAAACCTGGGGTGCTGTGTCATTTCAGCTGAAAAAAGTCATCTTTGGCTGTTTCCCTAATCAGGGAATTAGAAAATTGAAACCAAGGATTATATTGTAATAACCTGAGTTGAATAAGGCTTTGTTTGAAAGGAACTGATGACTTGGTTTGAGAATAACAGTAGCTGGAGAATCAATCAATTTTGGGACTCAGTCCTAGATCTCTCTGTAAATCAAATCTGGCGCAGTTTAGTGATTAAAAGCACAGGCTCTGAATTTGAATCTCAGCTCTGCTACTGACTAGTTATACAACCATGGAGAAGTCATTTGACTTTGTACCTCAGGGTTATTTTCAACTTTAAAATGAGAACAACTACTGTTACCTATCTGTGCAATAAATTATTTAACCTTGCCCAAAGGGAAGTCTGGACTTTGATCTTAGCTACTGGAGATTATCTCTAGGCCCTTGGAATGTCCTGCCTGTTAAGAGTGTCTTTGTTTACCTGGGGGCATTGACTATGCCAGAAAGTCTAACAATGTGATTTATGGTGAGGCTTTGAGTCATTTGGTATTAGCTTGACCTATAAAGGGGCTGGAAATTGAGATTGGTTGCATAGGTAGTTGACAATGGAGCCCAAAAAAAAGACTCTGGACACCAGAGCTCAGGTGAGCTTCCCCATCCAGCAATGCTCTCTGTGTATTGTCACATATGATTGCCAGGATTTACACTGTCCACAACACTGTGCCTCTCCCCTTGGCTGCTTTTAATCTCTATTCTTTAGCTATAATAAACTGTAACTGTAAGTATAAAAAGTTTCAGTGAGTTCCGTGGGTCCTTCTAGTGAATTAGTGATCCTAAGGGTAATCTTGAGGACTGGTGAATTCAACTGATGTCAGAGATGAGAGCAGTCTTGTGAACTGTTGTATTAGTCTATTCTCACACTGCTATGAAGAATTACCCGAGATTGGGTAATTTACAAAGGAAAGAGGTTTAATTGACCCACAGTTCCACATGGCTGGGGAGGCCTCAGGAAACTTACAATCATGGTAGAAGGCAAAGGAGAAGCACAGACCTTCTTCACAGAGTGGCAGGACAGAGTGAGCACAAGCAGGGGAAATGCCACACGCTTATAAAACCATCAGATTTGAATCATGGGGTGGTTTCTCCCATGCTGTTCTTGTGATAATGAGATTCAAATACCTCCACCTGGTCCTGCCCTTTACAGGTGGGGTTTATGGGTATTACAATTCAAGGTGAGATTTGGGTGGGGACACAGAGCTAAATCACATTAACTGTGTTCTAAATTCATGCTATCTTGTAGGAGTTGTAGAAGATTAACTTAGATAATATATGTTGGGGCACTGATAATAGTGCCTGGCTCAGAGTAAATCTTAAATAATTCAACTATTGTGATTGTTATTGTTAGTTGTATCTTCTGAAGTAAGACCATGCTGAGATTGAGGGGCCTGAGAATTCATTCAGCTAGCATTGCCAAATTTCTCAGATAGAAATACAGAAAATATTTATACTATAAAAATTTTGTTCATCTGAAATTCAGATTTCACTGGGCTTCCTGTATTTGATCTGGCAACCCTAAACATTGCCTAACTACTTTGTAGGTGAAGAGGCTAGTATCTGCAGAGGTTAAACATGCCTGTATCCACAGTTAGAATGTGGTTGGCCTAGAATAAGAATGAAGATCTTTTGATTCTCAGGCACTTAGAAAAAAGAAACAAAACACTAAAGTATGCCACAGAGGAGAATTCCCTTGGGTGGAAGACTAATAAGGGAATGTAAAATCTGGTGATATATAATGAAGGATTTTAACTTTGTACACCTACAGTCGCTCAATCAGGAAACCCTGGGAAGTCTGCTGAGTCTATCTAGGGAGTCATCACTTGACAGTGAAATTTAATTTTATATGCTAGGACAGGCCATTTGAAATCTATTCTGAGTAGAAATCTATTTCAGAAATCTATTCTGAGTAGATTTTATTTCTACCCAATGTCTTGATACCATAAATATTTTTCTTGCCTGTTTAAAAGAAATTGGTATTTTCTAGGTACCTGTCATATATAGAGAGTATTGCTGGTGATATTTCCCTACACTTGTTTAGTCCTTTACAGTTATAAAACATCTGTACTTCTCTCTCCACTATAACTTAGAGGAGTAGATCAAGAAGATAGTAGAATCTCTATTTTACATATGAGGAAACTGGGGCTCAAAGAACTTTTGGCATGCCCACAATTGCTGTTATGCTGAGCAGAAAGTATTAGATCTTCCAACTCCCAGTCCAGAGATTTTTTTCACTATACAGCAATTCATGATTCCAGACATATATAGGCTAGATTAGAAATGAATTACAGAGCCACTTCTTTTAATTAGGGCTCATTTGTTTGGTAATTCCACTGTTAATGCTGAGTGATGTAATGGGAAGGAGTAAGATTTCTACACCAGACTGACAAGATCTACTCCCACCTTCACCATGTAGGGGCTGAGCTACTGGGCAATTTAACCTCCATGAGCCTCAATTATAATAGCATATGTCTGAGGTGGCTGCTGTGTGCATGAAAATAAAACGATGACAGTAAACTGTCTCACATATGTAGAAGAAACTGTTCAGATGTTAATATCCTTTCCTTCGATATCACTTAAATAGTGTTTATTTAAGCAATAAAGTGAAGTATTCATCTTGATCACTACATTTTGATTTTGGAAGAGAAGATTGAGAATTTGTTCACCAATCAAATTTTTAGACAATATTTCTTCTAAATTGTTCCCACAGGTTGCTAGTTTTTAAATAGCATTTGGTTTTAAATTATACTTTTATAGTTTAAACATTCATGTTTAGCTTGAAGGTTCCATGTAAAGTTATTTTTCATGTGTGGCCTAAAGCTGACTGTTTTAAATGAAACTGTTTATTTTGCAGATAATTCAGTAACAATCCTGTTTGGACTTTCATACCCTGAATAGTATCAGGTTTTACAAACATATGAGTGAAACATGCTTATGTAAACAACAGAGGTGCTTTCATCCAAAACAAACATAGCCTTCCCAAGAATCATGAGGATCAACTGCAGACTTGTCTACACAACCTGCCTGACTAATGTCTGTAGCATATTTGGCCACAAAAATTGTTTGAATCATCAACATACGCATATATAAGCTGACTTCACAATGTGCTACAATCTAATTGTTGTGTTTGGGAAGGAATTGCAGGACCACTCTGACCTCATTAAAAGCAAAGCCAGTTGATTTAGATTCATGATTTTGAAAGACTTCAACTTGATTTTGGACATAAAAAACATTGAAGGATGAGAAAATGTTGATTTATCCTCTTAATTTTCTGTGATTTTATTAAATCCTTTGCCCTATCTCCCTGGAATATTTAAAAGGAGAAGCTTTTAGCTCTTTGCTGTTCTCTTAGAACATTGAGTGCAGATTGAATTCATTTGGGTAGTTTTTACTTCCCTGATACCCAGTCTTCACTTAGAACAAATAAATTACAACTTCTGGGAATGGGGCACGGGCCTCGGTATTGTTTTAAAGCTCTCCAAGTGCTTTCAATCAAGATTCAACATCTACCTCAGAATAAAAAAGACAAATCTTTTTGGTCAGAACAGTAGTTTCACCCAGCTGAATGTTATTGTCACCTGGGGGACTTTGAAGACACTGTCAGTGCTCAGAGCCCCCATCCTAAGGTCCTCTGATTTTGCTGGTCTGGAATTTTTCACTATTAGATAGCAGTTTCCCCTTAATTCATATCTACAGCTAAAACCACAGCTTTGATCCCCCAGAGCAAATGCAGTAAACTCCTTTCTTGCCTCTGCAAATGTCTGGATGGTGCTCAGATATACAGTTCACGGGTTTCATTGTATTTTATTGGATATTATTACTTTCCACTTCCATACATGTGCTCACATGATTAAAACAAAAGAAAAAGATGAGTAAGTATTTCCAAAAAGACAAATTGTGCAGATAAGAGGAAAAAATTTTTTAAAGGTCAGAAATGTTAAACCAACACCAACAAAAACTCAACAGTTCACTTGATTTTGAGTGTTTACAGTCAGAAACTATGCCACATTTCTTGTGCATTCTCTTGTTTAAACGTCACAATTTTGTGAGGTAAAGATGATTGTCAACCTCAGTTTTTAGATGTGAACACTAAAGTTATACTGAGATTTATTTATTTCCAAGGTCACATACCTATTAAGTGGCAAGGTGTCCAGTCTGAGATTTTACCCTACTCATAAGCTAACATGTTAGCTTCTCCCAGTTTTATGAATGCTGGCAAAATATATGAGACTCCTGGTCCCAAAGGTGTCAAAAGACAACAGGCAGCACGAGTTTCATGTTCCTATTGTTACTCCTGCCCCCAAAGTGTCAAAGAGGTAAATTAGAGGTAGATCCAGATGGATGCTGTGCATGCAATGGGGTTTGCATCATAGCTGAGCAACCCCAAGCTTAGGAAATTGCTAAGCTATAGTATGAATGTGTCCGCTCCAAACTTCAGGTGTTGTCACTATGATAGTATTGAAAATGGAAGTCTTTAAGAAGTGATTAGGCCATGTGTACTCCTTCCTCACGAATGGGATCAGGTACCCTTATAAAGGGGCTTGATGAAGAGCAATTGCTTCCTTTTGTCCTCTACCTCTCACTGTGGAGGATGCAGCAAGAAGATCCTCAGGTTCTGGTGCTTTGATCTTGGACTTTGCAGTCTCCAGAACTTTGAGAAATACATTTCCGTTCTTTACAAATGATCCAGTCTATGGTATTCTCTTATAGTAGCACAAATGGACTAAGAGAAACCCCAAGCTTAGGAAATTTCAAACTTTTAATGAGCTATGTACAAACTTATTCAACATTTGTCTTGGATGGAGGCATCATCTTAATTATACTAGACAGCAAATCAACATGCTCTCTTGGAATATCTCTGTTGTCCAGGATTATTCACTATAGAAATATCTTTGGCAGGATATTCCAAAATAAAGGCTATATGTGCTTCTGCTGGCAGGTTGTGCAGAAATATGAGCTATCCATGGAAAAAGTTTTCCAACATGGAGTCATAATTTGAGCTCAGATGGTTTGACTTTAGTCTCTGTGCTTTTAACCTCAGTACAGCCTCTCCTTGATAAACTAAAATGAGCACTCAGCAAAGACTGGAGGATGCGGCTCAAGGGGTGTATTTGCTCATTTTTACCCTACTATAAAGAACTACCTGAAACTGGGTAATTTATGAAGAAGAATGTTTAATTGACTCACAGTTCTGCATGGCTGGGGAGGCCTCAGGAAATTTACAACCATGGCAGAAGGCAAAGGGGAAGCAAGAAACTTCTTCACATGGCAGGAGGTGAGAGAGGAGAGAGAGGAAAGAGATAGGGGAAGTGCCACACTTCAAAACCATCAACTCTCATGAGAACTCACTCACTATCATGAGAACAGCAAGAGAAAAACCACCCCCATGATCCAGTCACCTCCCACCAGGTCCCTCCCTAAACATGTGGGATTGCATTTTGAGATGAGATTTGGATGGGGACACAAAGCCAAACCATATCAAGGGGATTGAGTGGGAAACTGAAATAAGTGTTAAAGTTAAGAGATAAATTAAGTAGTTACATGCCGTTTCCATTTTTCCTGTAATGATCACTGATATTTGATATGAATTACCTTTACCAGTAGATAGCCTCCATCTTATTTCTATTTAGCTTGAGTTTCTGGGGATAACTGAGATTCTTTACTCTCTATACTACTGCTGGCACCTCCAGAAGTCAATGAAGGTGTAGAAATAGAATATTTTTCATGTTAGAACATCATGCCAGGGGATGAGGTCTTGGAGCTTTCTCCAGGATAGAATGACTTTCTTCATAGCACCAACATTGTAAATAAGACATTATTATCAATACAGTATTAAACGATCACCAGATTGTGGGTCCACAATTATATTGTTTCTATGTGAAATATCATTTTAGGCAAGCAGCCTATGAATGAACTTTGGAATGCAATTCACTATAAATATAAATGATATTTTAGTAATATCAGTTATTATATATATATATATTTTTTAAAGGCAAATTTTACAGCCTAATTTGTTATTTAATGTAACATTATCAGGTGCAATATATTATCTAATAAATTATTCCATGAAAAAATTCAGCAAATCGCTGAGAGAAAACATCTTCGATACAACAAGGTTGAGTGTATTCTAATATCATGTGGATAAATTACTCAAATATATAATCTACGAGTAGGATAATAGAATATAAACTGAAATGGTGCATACATTAACATGACATGAATTATATTGTTTTTAGATATAGAGTGTCTGTTTCTTAATTTATAGATGGATACAGAGGTTCAGTGAGTGCTTTCCTGGCTTCCTACTATTATGAAAACAGCCAATAATTATCTTAATACTTCCTGAAATGATCTACAAGTAACTCAAATTGATGACAACTTGATTGGTGCCAAACGACTTGGCAAAGAGTCAGAGACTTCTTTGAACACGGCCATTTGTGCTGACCTGCTCTGTAACTCAATATAATGTGATCTGACTGATGCTGCATAATGTTAGGCATCTAGTACAAAATTGGGAAGCATTGCTCTCTCATTCTCATCAACATGAGAAAAAAATATGGCTCTGAACTATTTGTGTTGTAAGGGCTTAATTTTCTTCTAGCTATTTGCTGGTTTAACATGAGACCATTGAGCCTGGGACAACTGGCCTATGTAAATGAGCTAGATATGCCCAGAGGGACTGTTGATGCTTCGCCAACCAGAGGTAATGAACTGGCCGATAAGTGACAGAGAGTTGAAAACAGAGACAAGATTTTTTCGCAGTGTAATTTTCCTGTGAAGTGATAGCTTAGCAAAATCTACTCCTGTATTCTAAATATCACTGTTTTTTAAGGCTCTTTAGTCTCAACTCTTTCCATTCCTACCTGTTACTGAGGATGAAAATATAATCCACTTATTTACTTAAAATTATCCTTATGAGGCTGGGCATGGTGTCTCACACCTGTAACCCAAGCACTTTGGGATGCTGAGGCAGGAGGATTGCTTGAGGCCAGAAGTTCAAGACCAGCCTGTGCAACTGAACATTTTTAAAAATTAGCTTGGCATGGTGGGACACCTATAGTCCTAGCTACTCAGGAGGCTATGGCAGGAGAATAGCTTGAACCTAACCATTCACAGTTGCAGTGCACTAGAATCACACCACAGCACTTTAGCCTGGGCAACAGAGTGAGGGGTCTCTAAAAAAAAATCCCAATGACATTTATGGAAATAGATTATTTCCTTAAATATGCCAATCTAATAATCTTTGCCAAGGAGTAAACCGACATGGTGGTGGGATTTGGGACAGCATGGCATGACTTCTAGTTGTTATCATGGTGACATTTTTGTGAACTTTCCATTTCAATATGTATTACATGGATCAATTTTTTTCTATTTTGTTACAGTCTTCTTTTCATTACCACATGATGAACTTATTTTTCTGAAAAATATTTTGTTTTTAGCTGCTTAAAAAGATCATATTGGCCGGGAGCGGTGGCTCATGCCTGTAATTCCAGCACTTTGGGAGGCCGAGTCAAGTGGATCAACTAAGGTCAGGAGTTCAAGACCAGCCTGGCCAACATGGTGAAACCCTGTCTCTACTAAAAATACAAAAAACAAACAAACAAAAATAGCCAGGCATGGTGGCAGACACCTGTAATCCCAGCTACTCGCGAGGCTGAGGCAGGAGAATCTCTTGAACCCAGGAGGTGGAAGTTGCAGTGAGCTGAGATCATGCCATTGCACTCCAGCCTGGGCAACAAGAGCGAAACTCTGTCTCAAAAAAAAAAATTTCATGTCAATTTTGGGGTTAAATTTTAAGTAGAAGCTATTTCTTAAAACCTATTCATTAATATCACTTAATTATTAAACAAATATTAAACGTGAATCCACAATGAACCAAGTAGAAGGCTATATGTTGCAGACAAAGAGATTAATTATTAATAGTCTCAACAATAAGGAGTTTATAGCCTTGCCTATCAGAAGAAGCTTCGGTTCTTCTTGCTATGTAAATCACTTGGAATTCTAACTAGCTGGTGTAGGTATGAGTTTTCTAAAATTGGGGATACAACTAGATGAAATGTGTTAGATTAAATATGTTCATTTATTTCTGGTCTTTCCTGAAACCCTACTAAAATTACACCAAAGGAATTTTAGAAAGTTAGAAACCCACAGAAAAGAAAGAAAAATGAGAAGATTACAGCAGACTAAAAATATAAACCAATTTTTTTAAGTGCCGGAAAGGTAGTGGATAAGTCATAATTGACTTATCAGATTATGTAACTCTTACATCTAAGCCTGCTGATATGAGAGCAAAGAACCAAGCCAGTTTGTCCTATAGATACCTAAAAAGGCTGAGGAGTTGGTGATACCAGGTACCTCAGGATGAAGAACATAGGCTTGGACAGAAAGCAGGAAGATCAGCTAAAAGTCTTGAAAGTATCAGAACACCAGATCCCCCTCCCTGACTCCAAGTGATTTTCTTTCTCTAACCCATTAAGAAGACCGAAGTAAAGTTTTCTCTCTGCAGGTGCTGAATCAGACAAGTTCTGATCTTGAGAATACTGAACACACCTCTGATTTGGGGGGGTGGCTGTGATGAGCTATATTGAAACCACAGAATTTAAGTGAAAGGTACATACTATATTGTGAGATCCTTATACCATCTTTTCCCTGTTTGGTTCCTAGAATGATCTCAGCTGCATGATGTCTCTAGGAAGGAGATGGAAAATTGCTTTTTTGGGGGAAAACTAACTAGCCTAATAGAAAATTTCTACACACTAATTTTGCGATCCCCAATGAAATGCCTAGTTTTTTTTTTTTTTTTTTTTTTTTTGAGACAGAGTCTCGCTCTGTCACCCAGGCTGGAGTGCAGTGGCACGATCTTGGCTCACTGCAACCTCCACCTCCCAGGTTCAAGTGATTCTCCTGCATCAGCCTCCTGAGTAGCTGGGACTACAGGCATGCGCCACCATGCCTGGCTAATTTTTGTATTTTTAGTAGAGACAGGGTTTCACTATGTTGGCCAGGCTGGTCTTGAACTACTGACCTTGTGATCCGCCTGCCTCGGCCTCCCAAAGTGCTGGGATTGCAGGTGTGAGCCACCACACCCACCCCTAGGTTTTAATTTGATCATGTTATAGTAAAGCTCACCAGTTGTCAAACTCAACCATGTACTGTATATAGAGCTTCTAGTCATCACTTCAGTGCCTTGTTCTCAAAAGTTAAAGAATAGTTAAAAATCACATTTCAGAGAAACTTCCATAAGAAAGAAAGGCAGAAAAGTGGAAGAGAGGGAAAAGAGGGAGGAAGAGAGAGCAGGATAAAAAAGTCAGATGAAACAGGCAATTAGCTAGCAGGCAAAACCACATACACAGACACATAGACACCTGCACACACAGACATCCCTCCCACACATATGGTAATTAAAGTTCTCATAGAGATTGAATACATAAAATAAAAATGAGGGAACATAAAATAAAGAGCAGTCAGATAACAAGAGCTCTTAGACATTAAAAAAGAAAATGGTAACATAAATTAAAATAGAAGGCTGGAAGATAAATTGTAAAAGACCTTCCAAAAAGTAGAAGTTAAAAAATCATAAACTCAGAAGGCCCAACTTTCAACTGGAAATCTCCTTCTGGAATATTAGTTCCAGAAGGAGAGAACAGAGAAAGGAAAGGAGAAGAAATTATCAAATTATAAGAACATTTCCCAGTTTGAAGAGCCCACCAATATTCTGTCAAGAAACATTAAGTTCCTACTAATGTATGTCATCTGGATATTTCAGAATGTCATGGTCAAAGTGAATAACATTAAAAAAGATTCTAAAATGAAAAAAAGGTCACATATAAATGGATTATAAATCATAATGTCATTACAGTAATGTGAGAACCTAGAGCAGGGATTGGGAAGCTGTATTTGCCAATAAAGTTTTACTGGAGGACAGCCATGCTTATTTGTTTACAAGTTGTCTATGGTTGCTTTGGAGCCAAAACAGCAGAATTGAGTCGTTTCAACAATGAGCAGATGGCCCACAAATCCTAAAAGTTTGATATCTTCCTCTTTATAGAAAAAAATTGCCATTTCCTAAATAAGAAGATAACTGAGTGATGCTTTCAAAATTATGAGAAAATACGGTTTACAACTGATAATTTGTTACCACCCACACTAAAAATTAATTATGAATGTAAAATAATGGCCTTTTCAGACATGTAAAATTTTGAACACTTACCTCTTGAACATTGTTTCTCATAAAGCTACTAAAAGAGATGGAGAGGATTTGCAGGGAAATTGATTAAAACAAATTTCAAGATGAAATCTGTAGAGCAAACAATATAATTTGAGACTAGCAGATGGAAGGTTTAGTAGGGATATTCTGATGGATAAATAATATTGCTAGAATAGTTGAAAAATACATTTAGAGTTGAAGCCCTTGAGATGACTTAGTGGTAGGTACACACACATTTTAAATCAAATACAAAATAGAAGGCAAGTATACCATCAGAGAAGCAAAGGTTTATATAAGAGAGAAAATATGAGAGCATACTTAGTGGTTTAACTGGAAACAATATTACCTGGCCTCCCAAAAGATGGTATAACCATATTTGGAAGATGGGGATGAGGAAGTATGTACAGCTATGTGTGTGTTTGTGTATGGGGAACAGCACATACAGAAGCTAATCTTCCTCTTCTGTGTGAGAATTAGTTACTAGCAATTTAATTATGTTATTATGACATATAGATGTAAACACCCTAAGAAAAAACTAAAAGAGATGACGGTGTTGATATAGTTTGGATATTTGTTTATTCCATATCTCATGTTGAATCCCCAGTGTTGGAGGTGGGCTTAGTGGGAGGTATTTGTGTCATGGGAGCAGATCCCTCATGAATGGCTTAGTGCCTTCCCCATGGTAATGACTTGACATGACAGCTGATTATTAAAAGGAGCCTGGCACCTCCTCCTCTCTTCTCTTGCTCCTTTTCTCTCCACGTGGCATGCTGGCTCCCTTTGCCTTCCACCATCAGTAAAAGTTTCCTGAGGCCTCACTAGAAGCTGAGCAGATGCCAGCACCAAGTTTTCTGTGCAGCCTGCAGAACTGCCAGCCAAGTAAATATCTTTTCTTTATAAATCACCCAGCCTCAGGTATTCCTTCATAGCGATGCAAAATGGACTAACACTAATAAGAAGCAGTGATTGCTTCTCTTTTTTTCTTTCTTTTTTTTTTTTTTTTGAAATGGAGTTTTGCTCTTGATGCCCAGGCTGGAGTGCAATGGCACTATCTTGGCTCACTGCAACCTCCACCTCCCCGGTTCAAGTGATTCTCCTGCTTCAGCCTCCCAAGTAGCTGGGATTACAGTCACCTGCCACCACACCCGTTAATTTTTTTGTATTTTTAGTAGAGACGGGGTTTCACCATGTTGGCCAGGCTGGTCTCAAACTCCTGACCTCAGGTGATCCACCTGCCTCTGCCACTCAAAGTCCTGGGGATTACAGGCTTGAGCCACCGTGCCTGGCCCAGTGGTTGCTTCTTAGAAGTGAGAATCAGTTGTTGGCAGAATTGGGAGAGGGAAGAAATAAGGGAGAAGACAACTTTTTTTTCATTATAAATCTGGTATATTCTTTGTTTCTTAACCTGAGAACTTCTATGACTCTCATTAAAGTGTAAATTAAATCTTAATTTAAAAAGGGAGATCTAAAGGTTGGCCATTTACTAATTTGAGCCTATCTGAAAATTTTAAATTGTCAGCGTTCATGTACAAAATCAGATGTTCATGCATGCTAAAATTTTTTCAGGGTTAAGTGCTACCATTTTGCAGGTTTAAAATTTCTCCATTTTTATTACCCACAGCTATTTCAGAATGAAGGAATAAATCTAAATCACTGAGAATTTGAAAATGGTTCACCTTTCTAGAAACGGGTCAAATCTTAAAAGGAAAAGGAGTGAAAATATAATTTCTTTTTAGCAGTTCCAGCAATATATAATAAAGACAGTCATTGCAAGATTTTTAGAATGTAAAACTAACTTTAAGGTAGATGGTTTAATGCCAGAAGAAAGTTAATATTACATAATTATAAAAGATGAGGATAAATATAAAAATGACAGATACAAAAATCTGTTCATTAGACTGAAAGATTATATGTGTGATTTGGAAATTTCAACTACGTTCTTACAGAAAGGACTGAATGCACAGTAGCCATAATAACTGCTGCATCTTTTATGCAGGATTAATAATACACTCTCATTGGTAATCATGATTTATAATGCAGTGCATATTTTATAAAGGTTCAATCACTTATCTTCCCAAAGAAACTTTTTCTCTCAAGTGCACTGTTGGAACTAGAAACTAAAAGTTCACTAATGCTCTTACTAAAATTCACAGAAACATGGTAGTGCTCTTAGAACAACTAGAAACATAATTTACTTGAATGTCAAAGAAGAATAGAAATTTATGCATAAATTTCTGGAAATATAAGAAAACTATGAGAACTGTGAAATTTTCAAGACATTTTTTTGTTGAGACGAGGTCTCACTCTGTCACCCATGCTGGAATTCAAGACTTTTTATTCCCATCTTCAAGAAAATAATTAAAGTGATAAAGCATAAAAATATGCAAAATAGTGGACAAAGGTAGTTAAGAATCAACATCATACTGTAGAAAAGGCAGTTATTTTTGTAATCTGGTTGTTAGCAAATTCTCAGATTTTAGAGTTCCATTCTCCTGATTTTGTCTAATTTAAGGTTATTTTTGTAAAGTAGGTGTGGTACAACTGCCAATTGCTATTCTTGAATTTCTTAGTAAAATACAGGAGATGCTGTAGTCAAATACACACTCTTCATTTCTGATTTGAGCTTCTCCATCAAATTAACATGCACTCTCTTACCAAAACAAGCTAGATGGGAAATAGAAAATTGCAAGGCTACTACCATATCTTTCTTGCTCTTTTGCTTTAAAATTTAATTTTAAAAAGTTTATTTCAAATAATTCAATTGGAACTAGCTCCTCAAGGAGATTTTTGGGGTGATACTAGAAAGGGAGTTAAATACAGAAAGGAAAAAAAGCTCAGCAAATACTTACCACAACCCTTTGGCTCTTGTGGCTGCCTGACAATCATCTCTTCCCAGAAATAACCAGCTTACCATTGAACAGTTATTCTTTATGCAACCAGCATCACAGTGCTCTACTTTGCTTGGAAGGAATGATGGCATAATGTAGGGATTTATATAAATATTAAGCATTAGCTAATGGTTTCACCACGTGTTTGGAAAATTGAAAGGAGTATCAATGGGGGATAGTGGCAAGAAGATCTAGAATAAAAATCTAGATGAATCTCTCAAAATTAGCCCCCCAGTGCTCACCTCAGTCATTGTAAAGACTATTCTTAATAATCAAGTGGGTAGGATGTTTACTCTGATTTTGTAGTCATTTACCAAGGCTATCCTAGTGCTTTTTAAAGGAGTTCTTAAAGAAAGTGGTTATATTTGTGGGATATACTTCATCGTAGGCTCAAGAACACACACTTCTCGCCAATGCTGTCCCTATTTCTACTATTGAGACTCCCATTTACCAGAGAGCAGCTACTAACCTAGAGCATTCATACAGTTTTATACTTCTGTGACCATCCAGCTATCTGGTAGCAGATTGATTACAATGGAACTTCTTTTCTTCTAAAGAATGCATTTTTAATTGCCGTCGCCAATTGGCTTATTAAGGCAAAAATGATGGATATAACAGTACAATAGAAATATCAGTGTGGAAATTAGAAAACCTGGAGTCAAAGCTCAGCTTTACAATATTTATTTATTTACAATAAGCCCTCTCAGTCACAATGTTCTTCACTTTTACAATAAGAAAAATAATCCCTATCTCCAGTGTTGCTATGATCATTAAATGAGATTTTTTAAATGAAAATATTTACAAAATGTAAAGCAGCATAAGTAAGTGAGCAATTACTATTAATAATTAATGGACCTTTGAGTATATTTCAGCTTGTTTTTCAGAAAACCAATCAAAGAAAGACAGCATTTATTCTTTAATCCAATAAACATTTATTAAATTATTACTCTGTGTCTGGAAATATTTTAGGTAATAAAAATAAAACAGTAAACAAAACAAAATTTCTACTCTCATAAAGCTCATGCTAGTGGTCACATAGAAAATAAACAAAATGCAAGTAAATGTAAAAAATTAAGGTTACTTCAGAATTTTTTTAATGTTGGTAATACAGTAAATGAAAGTGATGTGGAATAGGGTCACTGGGAGAGTTCCTTTACTTTGCATCTGCAAGGAATGGCTGTTAGAATTAATAAGGAGCCAACAGTAGAAATGAAGAATTTGCCTATGAATGTAGTCAAGTAGGTATGTCAGATAAGAACATGGTGTTCAAAAGAGGAGTTTAGGCTCAGACATAAATTTGGGAGTTTTCAGCATCTGGAAGCTGTCTAAGGCCATTGAAAAGCATGAAATAAACTAATGAGAAAATGCTTTACAAAAATTAGAAATAATCTCATGTGTGAGTCATGGGAAATTCATGTATTTATAGATTAGATGGAAGAGAAGAAATTGCAAAAGAGAGTAAGATTAAATGGCTAGAGAGGTAGGGGGAAAAAACGCAAAGTATGAAGTCATGGGGCAAAAGAACAGAGTGTTTCTGGAACAAATAAGTGATCAGTTATGTTAAATACTGCTAAAATTTTCAGAATTATGAAGAAATAAATGTAATTTTTGGATTTGGCAATACACAGGATATTGGTGACCTCAAGAAAAGCAATTGTATGGAGTTTAAGTGGTGCAAGATAGATTAGCTGTCTGAGGAATCAGTGGGAGTTGAAGAAAGGTGGATTCCATGTCGAAAAGATTACAAAGACAGATCCAGTAGGTCCCATATCCATGAAACAGGAATTCCAAAAGGCAAGAACTAAGATGACAGAATAGGAAAAAATAAACGTGTAACAGATTAGTCGACTTCAAATACAAATTTGAATCTTCAGAATTATAGGACTCATTAAGTTGCAGATACTTTTTTCAACTTTTTATTATAAAAAAGTAAACCTAAATAAAGGAAGACAGAATAGGTTAATGAGTCCTCATGTACTATGTACCCCCATCATCCAGCTATAATTATTAGCCTTTAACCAATCTGATCTACATCTTAACCAATTTTCTTCTCCCAAATTGTTTTGAATTAAATTCCAGGTACCCTGTTATTTCCTCTGTATATATTTTAGTATTTATTTCTAAGACAAATAAAAACTTTAAAAAAGCATAACCATTATGATTTGCAAAAAATGAATTGATAATATTCCTTCTTATCGTCAAATATTAAGTCTATTGCTTGAATTTCTAATGGTCTCATCAATGTTATATATTTTTTTCAATATGTTTGAACCAAGATCCAAATATGGCCCTTGCATAGAAATTGGTTGATAAGTGTCTTAAGTGCCTTTTATAGGTTTCCTCTCTGTTTCTTTGTTTTTACAATTATTTGTTGGAGAAACTGTGCTTTTTAATTCTGGAGTTTTTCATTATGAAGTCTGTCAATTGCCTCCCTGACGTGTTGAATAAAAAGATCTTATAATCTTTGTATTTCTTAAAGGTTAATATGGACCTGAAGGCTTGACCAGAAAAAGATTGATGCATTTTTGTTTGTTTGTTTTGCCAATGCTGCTTCATAAATGCTCCTATTAGAAAGCATACAATGTCTGGGTTTTTGTCTTTTTGTGATATAAAATACAATTGATCATCAATGCCTAGATTCATTATGGTTTGAAAAATGGTGGTATTCTGATTCTATCACTCATTCGTTATTATCTAGAATCCTTCTCTAAAAGAAAATTTCCTTCATTGTTATCTGGTTACCTGGTGGTACAGTTATATAGGAAATGCAGAGTAGATGCATGAGTCTTTTCCCTATTTACTAGTTTTCAAAATTATGAGTTGGTTCACTAATATTCCATATACTTATTTTTACGTCATACAGACTTATAGATCTAAGCATTTATCTTATTTATCTTATTAATGCTCAAAATTTTTATCATTGATGTACATCGCCTCTTTGGGTTGACCCCTAAGTTCTTTTGAACCCTAGTAGTATTAGAGAGTTTCCTTGCCACATGGTATGGCAAAGTACACTGGATTACCTTATATAATTTCTTCTCCGGACCTGAAGCCAGCCATTTCTCCAGGGCCTCTGATTCCTTTCAGTGGATAATAGCATGTGGTGACCACCAGCTGGATGCTAAGAGCCCTAGAGCTTAAAGTATACATTTAAAAAAAAAAAAAAAGTAGGAACCAAAAAAAAAAAAAAAAAAAGAGTGTACACTATGAATGGGTTGGTCGTTTTCTTCCTGGCTTTTTTTCTTTTTATTCAGAGTTAGGAAATACTTTTATTTTTTAAAGGAAAATTCATCATAAATTTGCGCTGGTACTTTTTGACACAGGATTCTTTCAGTGAAGCTTTGCCGGCCGGAAATCTCCATGGCCGGCCTTGCCTCTGCCCGGTCTTCACTGAAGCCTGCTGGGCTCTCTCCACCTACTTGGTCCATCAGTCTGTGCTTGGCTCATCCTAGCAACCTGGATCCCGCACCCGCTATGGCACCGTGCTTGGCTGGAGGCTGGTCCGAGCGTCCGTGACTAGCTTCCACCTTCGGCGCCAGCTTTTGGACAAGGGGAACGCAGTGGCACCCAAAAACTCGGAGACATCAGCAACCACGGAGGCCCAAAGAGGTGTTACAGCTTCTGCTCAGGGAGTCCCAGCTAGGGAATGAAACAGTTCTGTCTCTTATTCCCGCCGCTTGCAACTTGGTGAACAGGGGCATGTTATAGCTTGTCCATTCTCTCCTCCCATGGCTTGGCAAACAGGGGCGTGTTACAGCTCTGGCTTGAGGAGTCCTGAGGTCTGAGCCCCCAGAAGGGTTGCAGCTCTTCACTCCCATGTGTGGCAAATGGGAGCAGGTTACAGCTCTTTGCATTCACACCGCAGGCAGCTCCGTGAGCTGGCCAGGAGCATGTTACAGCCCCTTTTTGCTTCCACTGTTGGATGGGTTCTGGATTCTTGTCCCATGACCAAGAACAATGAGGTATGCAGACACTGGAGAGTGAGAAAGGCAGAGAAGAATTTTACTGAGCAATACAAAAGCCCTTGACAGTGAGAGGGGACCTTAAGTGGGTAGCCCCCTGTGTGAGAAGGGGCCTGAAAGCAGGTAGCTCGTCTGTGTGGCTGAGTCAAGAGTTTTTATAGGTTTGAAATGAGGAGGCGCAGGTTGTAGGTAGCTTTGGAAGAGGCAACATTTGATTGGTTAAAAAACATTATTCAAAAAGAACCAATGAGGAAGGAGTGGGAAAAAAGTTCTCACTCCAATCACGGACTCTATCCGGAACTGCAGCTTGATTTTCAGGCTTTAATTTTTTTTTGGTTTGAAGGTTGGGTTTCACTGGGGACTCACCTCTGTCTGCCTAGGAATTTGTCTGTCTCCTGCCACTATCGCTTTCAATTCAAATGAAAGATTACGAGGGATTTTACTTAACCATTTCATTGTTACAATTGCATCTCCTTTTACTTATTCTGAGAATTCTCATTCTCAAAAACATAAGGGAATTATAGAATTAGAATATCACATAGTATTCATAATTTTTGCCCAAAAATATACCCACAACAGATTCAGACTAATAATACCAACAATTCACTTATAATTACTAAAAATGTTTTTAAAATTTATTTTAACTTTTGGGTATATCCTTCTAGGGAGCTACAATCAAATTACTGTTCCTTAAAATTACTTGGAACAACATTGTGCCATCAACTAAATGTACAGTAAGTTTACTTTAAAGCTTTTATTTTCATTTTTTAAGGATTGCTTTAAAATCATTTTATTTAGATTCATGTAAAATTTAAATAAACAAGATATATCCAAAGAAATTTAGATTCTATTCCTTCCTGTTTCTTTATATTCTTTTTCTCCTTTTAAAGGAAATTACTCTGTTTATTATGGTTATTTTTCTATTGTTTGCTTTTTAAGACAAAAAATAGGTATTTGTCTTCATATCTTTCCATTCTGTGCTAATTGATAGCATTCCATGTGCAATTTTCTTCACCTTGCTTTTTCTGTTTTTGCTTTTTTAACTTAACAATTTATCTTGGACATCATTCCGTATTAGTAAGCAGAAATATTTCTCATTTTATTTTATTTATTTATTTATGTTGAGATGGAATCTTGCTCTGTCCCCCAGGCTGGAGTGCAGTGGCACGATCTCGGTTCACTGCAACCTCCACCTACCGGGTTCAAGTGATCCTCCTACCTCAGCCTCCCGAGTACCTGGGACTACAGGCATGCACCACCATGCCCAGCCACTTTTTGTATTATTAGTAGAGACAGGGTTTCACCATGTTGGCCAGGCTAGTCTCGAACTCCTGACCTCAAGTGATCCGGCCTCCCAAAGTGCTGGCATTACAGGCGTGAAACACTGCACTTGGCCCTCATCCCATTTTAGACTTGCCTAACACTCTACTTTGTGGGTGTACCCATAGTTAATATAATTAGCTCAAATGAAGGACATTTGGGTTTCTACCAGGTCATAATCTAGCAATAAATAGCTTTGTGTAAATGACCTCATATTTTTGCCAGCATATCTTTGGGAAAATTCTTAGAAGTGAATTGCTGGTTAAAAGGTAATGTATAAATAATTTCACTAGATAGGAACAAATTACCTGCCATAGAAGTTATATATTATGTATTCATATGAACAATGTATGAGAGAGCCTGGTTTCCCATTGGCCTCATTGATAGATAATCTTGTCAAAGTTCAGATTTTAATAGCAGGCAAAACTAACAACCATGACACATCTAGAATATATCTTAGCAAAATTTGGGTTTTTAGGACAGAAAGAAAATCTGCACACATTTTTTGCAGGTGGGAAACTTTCTCCCTCTTGGACTTATCAATCTAAAATAGGTTACCTACCAGGGAGTTAGGAAACACACACACACACACACACACACACACACACACACACACACGACTACTAAAGATTCTCAGTAACATTAAATGCAAGACATATTGGAATAGTTTTTTTTCAAAGTTTTAAGGAGATTATTGCCACCAAAGCATTCTATAATCTATGTAATTATATTTATTAAAGCTTTATAAATAAATTTTAGACAGGCAATAATTTGGAAAGTAGACAAACCAAATAGCTTTCCTGAAAAAATTGCTGACAAATCTTCTCTAGCTACTTAATAAATGAAGCCAGATAAATATCTACATTATATAAGAAAATTGAGTAGCAGAAAATAATTATGAAATATGTGGTAAATGTTAATTTTAAAGAGAGAACACAATTAGAACACAAAAACCATGAGTCGAGTGTGGAATAAAAGAAACAAATACACATAAGCTAACTTTCTTATCCTGCTGATGGGAAATTCACGAGTTTCTTTTCCATTTTTTATTTTAATAGAGAAATAAAAGCTCAATTTAAAAAAGTTAATTTAACTTAAAGGTAAACATTGAAAATAACTGTGGGTACATCCACAATGTAGAGTGTTACGCAATTCTAAAAGGGAATGAGGGCTGGGCAGGGTGTCTCACACCTCTCATCTCAGCACTTTGGGAGTCCAAGGCAGGTGGATCACTTGAGAAAAAAATGTTGAGACAACTTGAGTCATATAGCAATATTAGAGAAGAGAAATAAAGCAAGAAAGCAAAAGAAAAAAGAAAAAAACCCAAACCCAAGTAAGAACAACAGCAACATCAACAAAAGAAAACTATGCTATTTGCATCCAACACACCTAAGACGAAGTGATTCACAGGGAAATATTAAAAATAAAGGAGTACACATCAGGAATAGTGAATATCTGTTATATTTTCTTGTTATCTATTTTTGAAAACTTTTCTATGCTTGGAGAATTTTCTACTTACATGTTTGGCCTCCTCAAAGTAGAAACTAAAATACTCCTTTTGTCAGTGTCTCTTGCAGTAAGGCAAAAACACGTGACTAGGCAAAATTGATTAAACTCATTGGTGCCAGACTGTGGCCCAGAAGTGAACAGTATTAGAAAGGAGGTTCCATGAAGAATCCATTTTATTAACCATGCTAACCAGTATAGTACTTAAGCAGTTTGCTGTCAGGGGTGGATTGCCTCCAAGACTGAATTCCTGGCACAGAATTATTATCAGTATTAGATGCAAATGAAGTCTTATCACTGGCAGTCCTGTAAATTCTACTCCAAAGTGCTCAGTATTGGTAGCAATGGCTATTCCCTCACTGGGCCAGTACTACGATGTGCCTGTGGGCATTAATTCTGGAATCTTAACCTTTAGCCTGTTCCTCCATCCCTCTCAAAATTTTTCCAGCTCTCCATATCTTTATAATAAACTCATTTTCTGCTCAAATCATCAAACTTAGCTTCTTTTGTTGCTGTCTGATTGATATCGACACTGATTCCCAAAATCATTTTAGAAAACAGAAGCTCAGGCAAATAGGAGGTATCTGAAATTGGTTATCTGATCTGATTCAGGCTGAAGGCTCTGAAATTCAACCAGTATAAAGCCTCTTGGCAAGCAATGTGAAACAGTCTTCTAATTCTCATCTGTGGTCACCTGCAATGAATACACAAGGCAAGTCTTTCAGGGAAACAGCACCACAGCCAGAGCCCTATGTAGGGACATAAGAAATTCAGACTATAGAGTGAGTGCTTACTTCTAAAGAGATTTAGGAACTTAAAAAGATTCACATACTCAAACTCTGAGGTTCTGGGTTCAATATATAGAAAGAAAACCATAGAATTGCTCTGTATTAAAAAAAAGTTAGCTCAATTGTGTCGTACAGCTGAAATACATAAAAATCAAATTCAAATTTTGATCCTGAAGCTGCCACTATTTCTCAGTTAAATTCACTGCCTTGTCAGGTCTCTTATGTGAAAGTTAGGACTTTGGAAAGAAATCTAGATTTAGGGACATATAAACTTGAAATGGATTGCTCACATATAGCGTGTTCATTTACCCCCTGTGTTTCCCAAAAGGGCCCTCAAAAAAGACTCTCTTCAATAATGCTTAGATGATAGCAGCCCCATCATCTTTGAAAAGTGCTCTACAACTGTTCTCTGTTCATTTGGGATGCTGGCAGGAGACGCTGCTGTTGAAATGGGATGTTTCATTTTTAAATGCAAGGACCAGGTACTGGAGTGGTCAGTTCCCCAGAGCAGCCCTTAAATGCAAAGGCATGGCCTGGCACGGTAGCTTACACCTGTAATCCCAGCACTTTGGGAGGCTGAGGCGGGCGGATCATGAGGTCAGGAGATCGAGACCATCCTGGCTAACACGCTGAAACCCCGTCTCTACTAAAAATACAAAAAATTAGCCGGGTGCGGTGGCGGGCGCCTGTAGATCCAGCTACTTGGGAGGCTGAGGCAGGAGAATGGTGTGAACCTGGGAGTTGGAGCCTGCGGTGAGCCGAGATCATGCCACTGCACTCCAGCCTGGGTGACCGAGCGAGACTCCATCTCAAAAAAAAAAAAAAAAAAAATGCAAAGGCATGACCTAAGTGTGGCAATTGGTAAAAGGGTAGGTGTGGTCATTATAATGGTTTAACCCACAGGTATTTATGGTTATGGGTAATTGGTCATTGCTTCTTAGGCTGTAAAAAGATGAGAAATCCACCAGGATCCTATTTGACTTTTCTAATTTAAAAAACAAAATCTGGTGAACTGAAGTCTGACTTGAGAGTCTTAGCTTTCTATTTAAATCTCAAACCTTCATCTATTTCCACATCTAGAGTTACTAAAAAGAGAGAAGGCTTTTTTGAGGAAAGATCAGGTGAAAAATCTCACAAACATGTACAGAAAACCACTTAAGTCTCTCCCAAAATGTTATGTGGCCATTTGCCAGAGTAACTAGGTGCTAGGGAAAGAGAACTAGTGAAAAAAAAATGTTGAAAATTGCTTTGAACAGACATAAATCCTTAGTCCTAGAACATAACCTTTGTTCATTAATCAAGTGCTTACGTAGTGCAATGAAAGGGATTTTTACCCAATTTGACTTCATGGGTAGGTCAGTGGCACTGTGAAACCATTTTATCTGGCTATATTCCAAGTTCCTTCTGTCTATTTAGTTAATATACTTAGCAAATGGTAGAATTTTTACCGTGAGTTTCTTCCTAAGCTTTTGAGTGAGAGATATTATGATACAAAAACAGCAATAACAGAAACATGTAGAAGTCTCTCTAGTTTCCCCTTTCACTAACTGAAAACCAAAAGCAAATTTTTTACCAAGTTATATCAGTAAGACAAAATACATGTCAAAAGACAGGAGATCAATTTCATGGAAACAGAAAGGCTTACTCCCTTATTGAAATTTGAGTTCCAGCAGTAAGCAGCTTCCAAGAAAAATCTCTGTAAAGGTAAAGGGAAAGTTACTGTAACTTGGATTTTGAAAGTAACGTATATTACAATTGAGAGTGAGGACTAAGCTCTGATTTTTTATCTTGCCCAAATTCCTGCCTAAGATGTCTAGAGAGCCATGCCCTAGAAACCATAAATTCTCATCAGATGGGTTTTATTTGGCCTTATATATTGTGACTTACTTTTCAGTCTAACTCTAGAATAACATTATGAGACAAGGAAAAAATATTTAACCCCAAAATATATTTCCTTGCCATACATCGAAATTGCCCTGCAAAGTCTCTTGTGGTAAAAATCCACATTCTATAGAGAATCCGCTTCTCCCTTTGTTTTCCGTCCTTTCTTTCCAGATCCAGGAGATAATCAACTAAGAGCCAGGCACCCTTTTAGGTCTGATAAGAAATATTTTAGAACCTGCTCTCTCTCTGAAGTCTCCTATCTGAGAGATTTCTCTGCACAATAAAACTTGGTCCTCTAAATCCTTTTTCTTAACCCGAACATTCATTTCCATTAATCCCAGGTCTTCAGATAAACTCAACCAATTGTCAACCAAAAAATGTTTAAATTTACCTATAGCCTGGAAGCCCCCGCTTTGAGTTGTCCCACGTTTCTGAACCAAATCAATGTATTTCTTAAATGTATTTGATTGATGTCTCATGCCTCCCTAAAATATATAAAACCATGCTGAACCCTGACCACCGTGGACACATGTTCTCAGGACCTCCTGAGGGCTGTGTCATGGGCCATGGTCGCTCATATTTGTCTCAGAATAAATCTCTTGAAATATTTTACAGAGTTTGACTCTTTCCTTCAACAAGAGTATAACTTAATTTACTATTGCTATGTACTGAATGTCCCTGAAAAGTTGTGTGTTGAAACTTAATTGCCAATGTCATAGTAATAAGAAGTGGAGCTTTTGGGAGGTAATGAAGTCATCACAGTGGAGGCTTCACAAATGGGATTAGGGTCTGTATAAAACTCACTTCAGGACATGGATTTGTTCTCTTCTGCTCTTTCCTGACATGTGAGGATACAGCATATGTCCCCTTTGGAGGATACAACAGGGTATCTTGGAAGCAGAAAGCAGCTCTCCCCAGGTACCAAATGTTCTGGTGCCTTGGTCTCAGAATTCTCAGCCTCAAGAACTGTGAGAAAATACTTGTATGTTCTTTATAAATTATTCAGGCCGTGGTATTATGTTAGAGCAGCACAAACAGGCTACTACATCTATTGTTTCTTTTTGGGTAAATTTCTAGAAAATCCTGTATTGAGGAAAAAGAAGCTGGCACCAGATCGGGACTTGCAGTGGTACATTTGAGCTTGAAGAAAAATCAACCAACTTTAGAAGCACATCTTAGAATGGGGGCAGTTTGACAGTAGAGGCAGGCTCAAAGAGTGTGTCAATCTTGTATGTGATTCAGGACAGTATTGTGAGAGCCAATTTGATTGCAACAAGCAATTTAGTTAGCACTGACATTCTATAATTAATTTGTCAATAAATTTTCCTTCATATGTTTTGCCATAAACAAAATAAACTGTGCAAATAAAGTCTCAGGAACAAGGGCCATGAGAGGTTCATAAGTGAGAGCAAGTCAGCTGGTGGCTCTCTGACAGCCAAAAAAAAAAAACTATTTTACTATATTCTAGAGAAATTGTTAACTTATTGTGGATATAAAGATTCATGAAACTTTTGCACCTCCATTCTTAGATAGGTTTTCTGCAGAAGTGCCATAAACTTTCAGCAATACTTCAGATAAAAACATCTAGCATTATGAGACACAGTCAGATTAGATAACTCCTTTTCTTAGGACTATTTTCTTATCACTTGTGCTGTTATATTATATGGCCTATTCATGAATATACATACAATTCAGCTTCTTCTGCTGATCCTTACTTTAATATGATTCCTTTTATTTTAGAGTTGCGATAATTAGAATATGGAACAGAATGAGAGTTATTATTAAGACATACCTTTAATTATTTAAAAATGTAAATATAAAGAACATTAGAAAAATAATAAAACACTCAAATTTCATTTAAGATTAAGTAAATTAATATTTCATTAATTGTTCCAGATTTTTAAAATATGACATATATATCCAATGCCATTTCTATATTCCTTCAGCCTACTCCCTCTCCTGAGAACACTAACCTGACATTTTGGGGTATTTACTTCCTATAATATGTGTCAATATACAATATGTTATATTATTATGTATACTTGAATATATGCATGCCTCCTTGCAAATATAAATCTAGAGTTGGATCCTACTTCCATCTTCCTCACCACAACAATTGTCCATAAATTTACCTATAAATTAGCAATAATATTTCTCCTATTTTTTTCCTGAGATTTATCTATAATATATGCATCTAGTTCACTCATTAATACTAAGGTATGGGATTTCATTATGTAAATAAACTATGGTTATTTATCTTTCTCTAACAACTAAGAAACAGATTATATTTCCCTTTTCCACTATTCCTAAGTGTTGTAGTATCAGCTTCAAACTTGTATCCTTGTGTATGTGTGATATTATCTCTACAGTGGACACCAAGAAATGGTATTGTCAGATAGTCTCCAAAGTAACTAAAATTCTACATGTTCACCAGAAGTGTGTAAAAGTTTCCTTTCTGCTATTTTTTCACTAATACTTGCTGATAACTGACATATACATTTTTTTCTAATTTGTTGTATAATAGCATTTTTTCATTTTAAATTTTGTTTTACTCCAGTGATAGGCAGGCCAATGGTTCCCTGACATTGTCCATATTCTAATTCCAGGAACCTGTAAATATGTTATCTTATATTGCAAAAGGGACCTTGCAGATATGATTAAAACTTTTCAAATAGGAAGATTATTCTGGATCGTCTAAGTGAAGCCAATAAAATCACGGGTCCTTATAAAATGGAAGACAGAGGCGGAAGAGTCAGAGGAGATGTGATGACAGAAGCAGATGTGAGAATGATTCAATTGCTTGTTTCAAACATGAAGAAGGGCCACAAACCAAGGAATGAGGGCAGCCTCTAAAAGCTAGAAAAGTCATTGTTTTTTATTGAATGGTGGACATCATGCATATCAAATTGTAGAGGTCAGATGATATGATATTCCTCCAGAGAGGATTAACTCCTATGTGAATCAGTTGAGGTGAAGGATGTTAACGTGATCAGAACGCTAGTCCTTGTCTTCTTGGCATGGTGGTTTCCAGAAAATTCTACTCTGCTTTTCTGAGCCCTTCATTTCCTCACTTGGCAGACCTTCAGCATCCTTGCCTGCATAGCTTCAGAACTTTGCAAATGTCTTGAGGAGAAAACCGTCAAGTCTCCAGCTGAAACCATTCCTATAAAATTTATAAAATTAATCAGGGAAGAAGAGAAGGGGAGAAATGAAAATCAACAAAGCTTACAGCATGTTTGGCATTAATCATTAGTTTATCTTGCTCTCTGATCTGCTTTCTCATAGTTGTACACTGCTTCTTGCCCCAGAATCACATAGGCCATGTCACTCCTTAACTGCTCTATAGGTAATAACTTGAACATGGTGAAATATTAGTTTTTCATTTGAGATATTCTTTTAGGTGGTATATACCAGTGAAATTACTGATGTCAGCTAGTCTGAAGGACCCCAAGAGAAGCTGACTCACCAAATAATGCAGTTTCTACATCCCGTTGATTTCATCCCCTTTACCACAACCAATCAATCACCCCAGTTTTCCAGCCCCTTTATGATCCTTTTAAAAACTCCAGCCCAGAACTCCTCAAGGAGATAGATTTGGGGGTCTCCTCCCATCTCCTCTCTCAGTGCCCTGTGATCATTAAACTCTGCTGCAAATCCTGCTGTCTCAGTGTATTGGTATGTTATGACTCAGTGGGCATATGAACATGTTAGTCATGAAACACAACTACAGAAACATTATGCCTTCAGTTTTATTTTTACGTCTTTTTAGACCACCAAAAATTTATGCTGGATTTTCTATTCTTAGAAGGATTTTTCTTTCTGTGTAAAAATACCAATTCTTAGCCGTTTGCCCTGTTTCCTAAATCAGCAATTGGACTAAGAAGAAAGTAGTGCATGCTGGGCACAGTGGATCATGCCTATACTCCCAGCGCTTTAGGAGGGTAAGGCAGGGGAATCACTTGAAGCTGGGAGTTTGAAACCAGCCTGGGCAACACAGTGAGAATTTGTCTTGAAAGAAAGACAGAAAGAAGGAAAGAAAGAAGTAGCTGCAAAATGTCAGCTCATGGCTCCACTGTCTCCAAACTCCAGACCCCTTGGATTTTATTGCCTCTGTTGTCCTCCAGTAACACCTCCAAACATGTAATTCTTGTTTTTATTCAGCTTTTCCTATTGTCTTCACAAGGAATATTAGTCTGCTACAAACTACTCTAGCTTACCTATAATTAGGTTATTGTCCTATTACATAAAATTCTTGTTTGTCATATCTCCTGAATCAACAGGTACTCCTGTTTGTCATGTCTCCTGAATCTTGCTTAGGTACATCTTTTTTTTCCATGTATTTTGTTAACTTTTATTGCAAACTAACTTTTAGCAAGGTTTGCTTTCTCTATTAGTCTTGTGTGGCGTGAGTTGAAATCAGGTCTCTCCTTAGGCACAGCCATTCAAGTATTATGGAATTTTTCTGGGGTCTCAAGTGGTATGGTTCCAATGCTACTTTTCAGTCCCTACATGAACATTAAAACCCAAGTCTCTAGATTAATAGTACTGATTCTTTCTCTCTGGGTACCTTCAGTGTTCTTTCATATGCACATAAGATTGTTTTTCAGAATCATCTTGATGTTTAACATCTGAGATTTCTCCCACTTCCCACCTTCTTCTCAGGTTAAATTATGTGTCAAAAACAAAATATGTTATATTTTATCTAGTTTTTCTAAATGTTGGAAGTTTTTAATGTAATAGTCTACCAGTTTGGTTTTTCTATGGATTATTAAAAAAAGGATTAGAAAAGCTAATTTGTTAAAAAAAAAAGTCTTTGTAATCCAGTAAACCATTTTAGGCAATTGAAAATAAGTATATTTGTTATACAAATTAGAAAATAATTTTATTTTTCATATTTATTGAATAGATTGTTAGAAATATTTTTGGTCTGATTTCAGTTATTTCATATGCTTGAAAGAAAGATGCCAAGATGCAAGAAACAAAGCAAGGTAAAACAAATATTCCATAATTATGATTTATCACCCATCCAAATCACTGAAGTTATACAAAGTTTTAGTTATACCAAGAACATAATTTTATTTATTAAGTGTACAGCCCTCGGTACCCAAGGTGATCTCTCATCTAAGTAACAATGAGGCCAGATTGCTTAGCTTCTGAGATTAGAGAAGATTGAGTGCATTCAGGGTGGTGTTGCCATAGACAGGAAAATAATTTTAAAATGATTTGAACTTCAACACTTGAAACAACTTGGCTAGTGTAGTGGTTTGAATATTTACTCCCTTCAAAACTCATGTTAACATTTGATCTCCAGTTGAGAGGAGGGGCCTTGAAGAGGTGATTGGGTCATGAGGGCTCTGTCTTCATGGATGGATCAATCCATTCCTGAATTAATGGACCAGTGGATTAATGAGTTAACATGATGACAGGACTGCTGGCCTTGTAAAAGTAAGAAGAGAGTCCTGAGCTAGCAGGTTCAATCCCCTCTGTCATGTGGTGCCCTACACTGACACCAAACTCTGCAGAGTCCTTATCAGCAAGAAGGCCTTCACCAGATGTGGCCCCCTGACCTTGGACTTAGTTTTCATAACTGTAAAAAAAAAATTTCTTTTCTTTATAAGTTACCCAGTTTCAGGTATTCTGTTATAAGCAATAACAAATGGACTAAGACAGCTGTTAAAATCTATTTTATCCTAAAATTTTTTCCAATGCTGCCTCTCGCTACCAATGAACAGAATAGAAACAGTCCTTTGCAAACATAGTAGTATTTGAATATATCATCTATTTTCATGCAGCTGTATCCTCCTTTGTCCTTTACTAAATTCAATGCTAAGATATCTTTTTTTTGTATATGATGAAATACTTAGTAATATTTGGAGGAAAATAGGCAGTTAAGACAGGAATAAGGTTTTTTGATTACAACAGGCATTTGAAAACCTTTATTGTTGCACAATGTTAAGCCATACCTAACAAACTATACTGAAATTGATGGGTAGATTTTACATTCCTTGATGAAATTGTCACCAAGTGGGCTTTTCCCTAAAAGTCAGAATTGAAGTCATTTTATGATCCAGTAGCAAACATCATTAGTAGAGATGGTGGAGACTTCCTGAGTGTTTAATGCATTCTGGGAAACCACCACAACTTGGCAAAGTCTCTCTGTGGTTGCTTTATAGTGCAGAACCTCACTCTGCGTAGTAAAAATAAAACCAAATTCATTTGGGCACAGTCTTTTTGTTGCTTTATTTAATTTTCACTTTGGCATATGGCCCTTAAAGCTTTAATAGGGCAGATGTGGCTTTGGAAGGGCTTACTAATCCAACTTGGTTAATGACTTTCATGGTAGAAACCAGCTCAGCAGTTTTTTCTCAGTCCACAGTTAGTACCTATTCTCTTTGATTTTTCCTTTGGTGGAAAACCTCTCCATGGGGCAACCTATTATCAGTAGACATTTTCCTGAATTTTGAGGTAACTACCTTCAAGTTTCTGGGTTGCAAAGATACAGGTAGAGGAAATGCTACTAAAACTGAGCTACTGATACCTAGAGAGAAAAATAAAGAATTGTGTTTGTATTTGCAACTTCTTTCACGATGCACAGCATGATGGCTCCAGATTGCTCTGTGGGATAGAGTTGATTATGTTAGGTTAGCATTCGAGAAAATCCTAAATGGATTAGCATTTTTGATGATCATTGGTGTTTCTGATGTCAGTGAGGGACCATAGAAAGAATATGGGCTGTGGAGCCAGGCAGTCCGTTCTTCAGGTCCTGAGGGCCTAGTCTAGATTTTTCTCAGTCCACTTTCTGATAGTAATATATATTACTACTTACCTCACAGGATTTTGTGGGGATTCAGTGGCAGGAAGTGGTGTTTCCTGAACTACAGTTATTTGCATACCATATGAGGATTTTTAAAAATCCTATATGTGGGTTTATTTGTATTATTATTTACATAATATTTTAACAATCAACACTCTTTCCCTCATGTTTTAAAAAATTTATGCTCTTTAGCCTTATTAAAAGCAATACTTGCAAAAATTTAATCCACAAGTTATATTGCTTCATTACACATTAAAATAAATGTAAAGTTATCTTTTGTGCATTATATTAATAAACAGCCGTGGTATTATGCTCAGATAATATTTAATACAATGGCCTTACTTATATTAGTCTCAATCTCCCACTAGACTGTAAGTTAGCTGATAGCAGGGGCTTTTATTCAATTTATTTACTCTGATGTCTTTGATACCTAGCACAATGTCTGGCACACAGAAGTCCTCAAATTGTCTGAAAATTACCCTGGGATTTATTTCTTGTTTACTTAGAAAAAGTGTCAGACTGGAGAAGGGATGACTTCTCCCCATAGGCATGCCTGCACCCAAACTCAGCATTCCACAACACTGGAGGCTTCCTTCCTCTGGCAGGAGGACCTATGCTTGAATCAAATTACCCATGAGCTCTAAGAGCTGAACAATTGGCTTTCCCAGGTTACTGCGGAAACCTCTAAAACTTCGCCTGGTTTGCCTGATTCCCAGTATTCTGATGATCACCACAATTTCACTTTGGCCAAACTCTTTCTTCTTTCCCTATCACCACTCTCTCTCTTCCTCTCTCTCTTTCTCAATCTCTCTCTCTCACACACACACACACACCCACACCCACACACAGACACACCACACACACACACACACACACACACACTCTGACTGGTTGTTTGCATGTTTGCCTTATAAAAAGGTTAATCAACAGAATGGCAGGGAGTCTCCTCTGGAACCATCATGCGTGGTGTGTCCAGCAGAGTGCCTTGGCCTGGACACATCTGCCTGTGTGAAGATGAAAGAATAGAGTCCCTATGGCTTTTTGTTTCTTGTAACCCCAGGCTTGGCTTATAAGTTTCCTCACTGAAACCTTTTCCTCAGTCCATTCTGTGTGAAGTTGTGGAAATCTTTTCAAGCCCTTCTTCATGACAGCTGGCACGCAAAAGGGAACGCACCCTGTATGACCAAAAGATGGCAGGATATATATGTAATCTCATGTTCTGTCAAACAAAACATTCTGAAACCAGAACATATTCCACTCAGTGCCCAGTCCCTGGCACATAGTAGTATATAATAAATATTTCTTGGCCCCATGATGAATGGATGCATGAATACTTATAGTTGGTGAAAGCATAAATGGCTGAAAAAACTTTACAAGTTTTTTCATGTTTAATAAAGTGCAGAAATATTAGAAGAGCAATAAACAACATAAGTTGGCTGGCATTTATAAGGTATGGTCTATTCTAGGCAATCACATTTTCTTAAAAAGTGAAGCTTATTCTTCAAAGCATATATTTGCTTTTTGAGTAAGCTCTCTTTAAAAAGTTGCCTTACTTATCTGAATTATATATTACACATAATTTAACCTTGTCCTGAATATTTATAAGTAAAAACAGGATTTTATAAACAATTAAAGGAGATATATATCTAGCAATTTCAGGGGTATTATTCTGAGTAATTTTTGCTTGGCTACAAAAATAACATATGTAACCAAAAGACACAGACACGAAATGTATAGAATGTGAATGGTGCTTGGTAGGATTCTCTCCCTATCTATTTCCACAATATTTATCTTCCATGGATACCTCCTTAAAGAAAGAAATTTGGAAAGATTATATACTATATTTAATCAAATATCTTTTCCAGTGTTTGTGTTAACATTGAATTTTATTTTTTCTTTTTAATTTTTGTGGTTACATAGTCAGTATATATAGTTATAAGGTACATATGATATTTTGATACAGGCATACAATGTGTAATAATCATAAGAGGGTAGTTGGGGTATCCATGACCTCAAGCATTTATTCTTTCTTTGTGTTACAAACAAACCAATTATGCTATTTTAGTTAATTAAAAGTGTACAATAATTATTTAATTATTTGGCAGTCATCCTGTTCTTCTACCAAATATTAGATCGTATTCATTCTATCTGACTATATTTTTGTACCTATTCGCCATCCCCGTTTCTATTGCCTCACCCCACCACTACCCTTCCAGCCTTTGGTAACCATCATTCTATTCTTCTGTCTCTATTTGTTCAATTATTTTAAATTTTTTAGCTCCCACAAATGAGTAAGAATATGCGAAGTTTGTCTTTCTGAACTTGGCTTACTTCACTTAACATAATTACCTCCAGTTCCATCCATGTTGTTGCAGAGGACAAGATCTTATTCTTTTTTAATGGCTGAACAGTACTCCACTGTGTATACGTACCACTGTTTCTTCATCTACTTATCTGTTGATTGAAACTAGGTTGCTTCTAAATATTGGCAATTGTGAATAGTGCTGCAATAAACATGCAAGGGCAGATATCTCTTTGATATACTGATTTCCTTTTTTTCTGGGTATAAACCTAGCAGTGGGGTTGCTGGATCCTATGGTAGCTCGATTTTTAGTTTTTTTGTTCCAAACTGTTGTCCATGGTGATTGTACTAATTTGCATTCCCACCAACAGTGTATAGGGGTTCCCTTTTCTCTTCATCCTCTCCAGCATTTGTTATTACCTGTCTTTTGGATAAAAGCCATTTTAACTAGGGTGAGATGATATCTTATTGTGGTTTTGATTTGCATTTCACTAATGATTGATGATGTTGAGCACATTTTCATATACCTGTTTTCCATATGTATATCTTCTTTTGAGAAATGTCTATTTAGATCTTTTACCAATTTTTAAATTGGATTATTTGTTTTATCCCTATTGAAGTGTTTGATCTCCTTGTATATTCTGGCTATTAATCTCTTCTCAGATGTGTAGTTTGCAAATATTTTCTCCCATATGGTGGGTTGTCTCTTTGCTTTGCTGATTGTTGCTTTGCTGTGCAGGAGCTTTTTAACTTGGTATGATTCCCTTTGTCCATTTTTTCCTTTGCTTGCCAGTGCTTGTGGGATATTACTCAAGAAATCTTTGCCTAGTTGAATGTCCTGAAGATTCCCAATGTTTTCTTTTAGGAATTTCACAGTTGGGGGACTTACATTTAAGTTTTTAATCCATTTTGATTTGATCTTTGTATATGGTGAGAGATAGGGGTCTATTTTCATTCTTCTGCATATAGATATACAGTTTTCCCTGGAACATTTATTTAAGCAACTGTCCTTTCCTTAATGTATGTTCTTGGCATCTTTGTCAAAAATGAGTTCACTGTAGATGTGTGAATTTACTTCTGGGTTCTTTGGTCCATTGGGCTATGTGTATGTTTTTAGGCCAGTATCATGCTGTTTTGCTTACTATGGCTCTGTAGTATAATTTGAAGTTAGGTGACATGATTCATCCACTTTTTTTGTTGTTGTTAGGGTAACTTTGTTCTGGGTCTTTGTGGTTCCATATAAATTTTAGGATAATTTTTTCTATTTATGGAAAGAATGTCATTGGTATTTTGATAAAGATTACATTGAATGTATAAATTTTTATGTGTAGTATAGAAATTTTAACAATATTAATTCTCTCAATTCTTGAACATGAAATATGATTCAGTTTTTCTGTGTGTCCTCTTGCATCAATGTTTTATAGTTTCATTGTGGAGATCTTTCACTTTTTTGCTAAAGTGTATTCCTAAATATTTTACTATTTTATTTTACTTGTGGTATTGTACTTGGTATGTTTTTATTTTATTTTTATTTTATTTTATTTATTGTATTTCTGGTATTGTATATGTTATATTTTTCATATTGTTTGCTGTTGCCATATAGAAATGCTAATAAATTGGTATGTTGGCTTTGTATTCTGTATCTTTAATGAATTTAACAGTTCTAATAGTTTAATTGTGGAGTCTTTATGTCTTTACAAATATAAGATTATACCATCTGCCAACAAGAATAGTTTGACTTCTTCCTTTACAATTTCTTTCTTTGTCTGGTTGTTCTAGCTAGAACATCCAGTATCAGTGGAAAACAGTAGTGAAAGTGGGAATCTTTGTCTTGTTCCAGCTCTTAGAAGAAAGGCTTTCAGATATTCCCCATTCAGTGATACTACTGTGGGTCTGTTGTACATGACTTTTATTGTGTTGAAGTATATTCTTTGTATAACCAGTTTTTTTGAAGGTTTTTTTAAATCATGAAAGAATGTTGAATTTTATCAAATGCTTTTTCAATGTCAGTTGAAATTATGTGTTGATCATTCTGTTGATATGATATATCACATTGATTGATTTGTGTATGCTGAACCTTCCTTGCATTCCTGAGATAACTTCCACTTGGGCATGATGAATAATTTTTTAATGTATTGTTGAATTCAATTTGCTAGCATTTTGCTGAGAATTTTTTTTTTTTTGAGAAGGAGTCTCACTCTTTCACCCAGACCAGAGTGCAGTGGCGCTATCTCGGCTCACTGCAAACTCTGCCTCCCGGGTTCACACCATTCTCCTGCCTCAGCCTCCCGAGTACCTGGGACTACAGGTGCCCACCACTGTGCCCGGATAATTTTTTGTATTTTTAATAGAGACGGGGTTTCACCATGTTAGCCAGGATGGTCTCAATCTCCTGACCTTGTGATCTGCCCACCTTGGCCTCTCAAAGTGCTGGGATTACAGGCATGAGCCACCGTGCCCAGCCTTGCTGAGAATTTTTGCATCAATGGTCATTAGGCATATTGGCCTATAGTTTTCTTTTTTGATGTGTCATTTTCTGGTTTTGATATCAGTGTAATTCTGGCCTCTTAAAATGAGTTTGAAAGTATTCCCTCCTCTTCTGTTTTTCAAAATAGTTTGAGTAGAATTGGTATTACTTTCTCTTTAAATGTTTGGTGAAATTCAGCAGTCAAGCCATTGTGCCCTGGATTTTCTTTGCGAAACTTTTTATTACAGCTTTGATCTCATTACTTATTATTGGTCTGCCCAGGTTTTGGATTTCTTCATGGTTCAATCTTGGTAGGCTGTATGTGTCTAGGAATGTATCTATTTTTTCTAGGTTTTCCAATTTACTGGCTTATAGTTGCTCATAGTAGCCACTAATGATCCTTTGAATTTCTGCAGTATCAGTTATAATGTCTCCTTGTTCATCTCTTATTTTACTTATTTCAGTGATATCTTCTTTTTTCTTAGTCTGGCTAAAGGTTTGTCAATTAAGTTTGTCTGGTTAAAGGTTTGTCAATTTTTCTTAGTCTGGTTGAAAGTTTGTCAGTTAAGTTTGCCTGGTTAAAGATTTGTCAATTTTTCTTAGTCTGGTTAAAGGTTTGTCAATTTTCCTTATCTTTTGATGAACCAACTTTTTGTCTCATTAATTTTTCGGGTTTTTTGTTCTAATTTCTACTCTGATCTTTATTGTTTCTTTACTTCTACTAATTTTTGGTTTGGTTTGCCTTTGCTTATCTAGTTATTTAAGATGCATCATAAGATTGTTTATTTGAAGTTTTTTTCCTTTTTTGAGGTAGATGTTTATTGCTATAAACTTTCCTCTTAGAACTGCTTTCACCATATCCTATATGTTTTGGTATGTTGTGTTTTCATTTCATTTTTTTGTGAGAATTTTTTAAATTTCCTTTTTAATTCCTTAATTGATCCATTGATCAGTCAGGAACATATTATTTAATTTCCATGTATTTGTATCATCTTCAAAATTCCTTGTTATTGATTTCTAGTTTTATTCCATTTTGATAAGAGAAGATGCTTGATATTATTTCAGTTTTTTCGAATGTTGTAAGACTTGTTTTTTGTCCTAACATATGGTCTATCTTTGAGAATAATCCATGTGCTGAGGAGAAGAATGTGCATTTTGCAGCCATGGATGAAATATTCAGTAAATATTCATTTGGTCTACAGTACAGATTAAGTCTGATAATTATTTGTGGATTTTCTGTCTGGATGATCTGTTCAATGTTAAAAGTAAGGTGACAGAGTTTCCAACTATTATTGTATTGGGGTTTATCTCTCTCTTTACCTCAACCAATATTTGCTTTATATATCCAAATGCTTCAGTGTTGGGTGCATACATATTTACCACTGTTGTATCCTTTTGTAGAATTTACCACTTTATCATCGTGCAATGACCTTCTTTGTGTCTTTATAATTTTTGTGTTGAAATCTATTTTGTCTGCTATAAGTATAGCTACACTTGCTCTTTTTTGGTGTCCATTTGCACGGAATGTCTTTTTCCATCTCTTTATTTTCAGTCTATGTGTGTCTTCATAGGTTTTAGTGTGTTTCTTGTAGGCAACATATTATCAATCTTATTTTTTCATTCATTCAGCCATTTCATGACTTTTGATTGAAGAGTTTAGTCCATTTACATTTAATGTTATGTTTGACAAATAAGGATTTACTCCTGACTTTTTGTTACTTGTTTTCTTGTTGCTTTGGGTTCTTTTCTTCCTTCTTTCCTTTCTTTCTCACTTCCTTTTAGTGAAGGTGATTTTCTCAGGAGGTATGTTTCAATTTCTTGCTTTGTATTGGTTGTATCTGTATTTGCAGCGTATTGGTTGCATGTTTCTTGTATTGCATTTGCAGGGTATTGTTTGCATGTTTCTTTTTTTTTTTTTGAGATGGAGTCTTGCTCTGTTGCCCAGGCTGGAGTGCAACACCATAGTCTTGGCTCACTGCAACCTCTGCCTCCCGAGTTCAAGTGATTCTCCTGCCTCAGCCTCCAGAGTAGCTGGGATTACAGATGTGAGCCACCACATCTGGCTAATTTTTGTATTTTGAGTAGTGATGGGGTTTCACTATGTTGGCTAGGCTGGTTTTGAACTTCTGACCTCATGATCTGCCCACCTTGGCTTCCCAAAGTGCTGGAATTACAGGCATGGGCGACCATGCCTAGCCTGGTTGCATGTTCCTTAATTTGAGGTTGCTATAAGGCCTGTGAATAGTATCTTATAACCTATTGTATTAAACTGATGACAACACTGATTACATAAACAAAGTAACTGATGAGTAAAGAGAAAACTAATGAAAATTCTACACTTTAACTTCATCCTCCTGCATTTTAACTTTTTGTTGTTTGTATTCATATCTTATTATACTATGTCTTGAAAACTTGTAGTTATTATTTTTCATAGGTTCATCTCTTAGTCTTTCTACTCAAAATATGAGTAGCTGACATACCATAATAATATGTGTAATATATTCTGTATTTTTTGTGTACTTTGTTTTGCCAGTGAGTTTTGTACCTTCAGATGATTTCCTCCTGCACATTAAAATCCTTTCTTTCATATTAAATCCCTTTAGCATTTCTTGTAGGACAGGTCTGGTGTTGATGAAATCCCTCAGTTTTTTTTAATGTATGGGAAAGTCTTTATTTCTCCTTAACATTTGAAGGATATTTTTGCTGAATATACAGCAGCACTTAAGCACTTTATTCCTTCAGCACTTTGTGTCATGCCACTGTCTCCTGGCCTGTAAGGTTTCCACTGAGAAACCTATGGCCAGATGCATTGGAACTCCATCGAATGTTATTTGTTTCTTTTTTTTTTGCTGCTTTTAGAATCCTTTATTCTTGAACTTTGGGAGTTGGATTATCACATGTCTTAAGGTAGTCTTCTCCGGGTTAAATCTACTTGGTTTTCTATAATCTTCTTGCACTTGAATACTGATATCTTTCTCTAGGTTTGGAAAGTTCTCTGTTATTTCCCTTTCAATAAACTTTCCACCCTAATCTCTCTGTCTCTCTCTCTGTCTCTCTCTTTCTCTCTATCTCCTCTTTCGAGCCAATAACTCTTAAATTTGTCCTTTTGAGGCTATTTTCTAGATCTTGTAGGTGTGCTTAATTTTTTTATTATTCTTTTTTCCTTTTTTCTCTGTGTATTTTCAAATAGCCTGTCTTTGAGCTCACTAATTGTTACTTCTGCTTGATCATTTCTGCTGTTTAAGATAATTATGCATTTTCAGTATGTCAATTCCATTTTTCAGCTCCAGAATTTCTGCTTGACCCTTTTCAATTATTTCATCTCTTTGTTAAATTTATTTAATAAGATTCTGAATTTCTTCTCTGTGTTATCTTGGATTTTATTGAGCTTTCTCAAAAAAGTTATTTCAAATTCTCTGTCTGAATTTATATCTCTGTCTTTGGGATTGGTCACTGCTGCCTTATTTAGTTCATTTGGTGATGTCATGTTTTCCTGAAAGATCTTGATGCTTGTGGATGTCCTTGGTGTCTGAGCATTGAAGAGTTAGATATTTATTACAGACTTCACAGTCTAGGTTTGTTTGTACTTCTCCTTCTTGGGAAGGCTTTCCAGATATTCAAAGAAACTTGGGTATTGTGATCTAGTATTTGGTCATTGCAGCCTTGCTGCCTTAGGAGGCACCCTAAGCCCAGTAAGGCTATGGATTTTGCAGACTGGCTGAAGCACCTCCTAGGTGGTCTTGGATAAGACCCAGGAGAATTCCCTGGATTACCAGGCAGACTCTTATTCTCTTCTCTTACTTTTCCACAGACAAATGGAGTCTCTCTTTCTGTGCTGAACTCTCTGGAGCTAGAGGAGGATTGATATAAGCACCCCTGTGGCTACCATGACTAATACTGCACTGGGTTAGGACTGAAGCCAGCACAGCAATGGGTTTCACCCAAAGCCCACTTTGACAACTGCCTGGCTACCACTTATGTTCACTCAAGGCCCAAGGGCTCTACAATCAGCTGAGTGTCCTCCACTTTAAGGCAAGTTCTTCTTGGCCTCGGGCAGGTCTGGAGATGTTGTCTAGGAGCCAGAGCCTAGAGTCCGAAACCTTAGTAATGTACCTGGTACTCTGTTCTACTGCAACTGAGCTGGTACCCAAGCCACAGAAAAGTCTTTCCTACTTTTTCCTCCTTTTATTCTAAGCAGAGGAGTCTCTACCCATGGCTACCACCCACCCTAGGCTCATGGTGTGTACTTCCTGGCTACCACTGATATTCACTCAAGTGCTCTTGGTCAAAGTCCAAGTGCTCTTCAGTCAGCTTATGGTGAATGCTACCACTCCTGAATCTCTCTCTTCAGGGCAGTTGGCTTCCCTCTGCCCGAGGGCAGGTCCAGGAATGCTGTCCTTGAGCCAAGGCCTGGAGTCAGGAACCCCAGGAGCCCACTTGTTACTCTACTCTACTGTGGCAGAGCTGGTACCTAGGCTTCAATACAAAGTCCCCTTTACTCTTCCCTCTCCTTTCCTGAAGTAGAAGTGGTCTCTCCCTATAGCCACCACAGCTGGGAATGTGCTGGGTCACACCTGAAGCCAGCATGGCTCTGAGTCCTACCGAAGGCCTACAGTGAGTATAGCTTGTATTCTTGACCTTCCATTTCAGCGTCTATCTGCAGAACAATACAATGCTGATTTTATTCCGATCTGAAATTCTTTTGGTAACTTTCACTGGGACTCCATTCAATCATGGATGTGTAGAAGATTCATGTGTATAGACTTGAATAGTTAATGTTTATGAAGCACATTCTATTGCCAGCTGTCTTCTAAACACTTAAACTTTACGTTGATTCACTCACTCACTTAATCTCCATTGCAACTATATGAAATAGTGACAACATTACCACCATTTTATAGATGAAAACTGAGGCTCAGAATGTTTTGGTACTTTCTCAAGATCTTACTGCTAGAAAAGATGTACAGTCTCCTCAATGGTTGGAACTTGCTTCATCCTTGCTACCTTAGTGTGGTGTATTTATAAATATCTTTGACTTTACTGTGTTGATCATTTTTGGTGACCTGCTTTTCTTCAAACTAGACATCTATCTTCCTCCATTCTCTTAAGTTATCATTGATGCACATTTTTTGTTTGGAGATAATTAAGTCTAATCATTACTGGAAAGCATAGTATAGTGTTGGAAACAGTTTTAATATTAATGTCAAACTTTACTATGGCTAGAAAATTATTTAGCAGATTTCTTACTGGCATGTCCTCCATAGAGCCTCTGCACATGTCACACCATTCTAACTATGGGGCCTCTCTTCTCTCGCTTCTCTCCATTCCCACGGCTTCACATACTCTACTCTGGCAACCTAGGGAAAAACAAAATTCCTTTCACTTTACGATGCAGGGAAGTTCACGTTTCTCTTTTTAATTTCCTCTTGTTTCAAGTCACACGTGAACTCTTAGTTTTCATGTCCAAAGAAGCTGTTCTAAATATTTTCCTAAATAAAAAACCACCTTCACTAATATATGTAAATATAACTATACTTATTTTTTAAATTTTAAATACTGATATTTTTCTTTTTTACTACATCTATTAATAGCAAAAAAGTAAAAAAGAACTTAAATGTGTGATTATAAGAAATTTAACAAATAAAAGACATTTCCATAGGACGAATTATGTGTTTAGTTATACAGGAAAATGTTCACTAAACAGTAAGTTAAGAAAACAGATTATAAAAGATTACACACAACACTATGTGCAGCTTGCTACCTTATTTTTAAACAAAAGATATCAGGACCCCTATTATATATACCAACTATTATTTGTCACACACTATAACTAAGTGATCTTCTCATGGCCTATTCTAATATGTAAGATCATTTGCTTTTACTCAAATACTGCTAGCCACTGTGATTCCCTAATACTACCTTTACAAATGGAAAATAATTACTAAGGGCTTTCTCTGTGCTTAATGTAGTTCTAGGTACTTCACAGGTATGAACTCACTTAAAGTCATTCACAACAACCCAGTAAGGCACATCTCACTACAGTCCTCACTTTATAGCTGAATAAACTGAAGTACAGATAAGTTAAATATCTTTTGAATTCATAAAGCAGCAGTAGCAAAGCCAGATTTGAACCCAGGAAGTCTGGTTCTGGATCCTACACTCCTATCTACTAAGCTTGAGTGTTTTTCTTCTTGCCTCTAGTTCTCAGATAACATTTTTTCCTACTTCAATTGGTTCTGCTTCAGTCAACCTTGGCCATTTCTAATGTGTGCTTCTCTGTTAGGGTGGATAGAATAGGAGTGCTTAGAATAAACATCTAACATCTTAAATGAATAACCTTAATTTTCTGCAAAATATTAAATCAGTCATTTCTAATCAAAGGAACATTTATAATAGCTTCACTGCCTCTCCCATATAGAAAGGAATTGAGCCTTTTCTTCATTTGTAAACCTCTTATTGTTTCATACAGGTATAGAGTTTTTTCCAATAACTGAGTGGCTGGAATTCTGGTTGTCAGAGGCTTGAGATGGTGATTATATACTTTTATATACTTTATGTTACTTGCTGGTCAGCCGCTTCATTGTCTGTGGAAGAGCACAGAGATAAGAGGGTTTAGTAAGCATCTGGTGCCTCCATTGATAAACTTGGAGAAACCCACACATGTAAATAATAGATTGTAGCTGAAATGTTCTTGTATTTATGCCTAATGAGTCTTGGGTTAAGAATGATGGGTAGGGGATTTCCATATAGCCTAGTGACACTGATAACAGGTTTGGCAATAGGCAAAGCATTTTCTTCCCTGATCTGGTTTAGTCAGGCCCTTGACTGGCCCTGGAACATCCTTGGCTCCCAGGATCCTCAGTGGGGAGAAGGTAACAGCCAAGCTGGCAGGAGAACAGTAGGTCTCACAGTACTTTATTGTAAGGTTATGTTTTCATCTTGTTGCAATCTCTGGTTGACTGGACAGGAGTTTCTTCTTCATGAGGGTATATCATAAATGAGTTACCACACAAATTCTCTGTAAAAACTGGCGGTTCTTCTTATCTGCCTTCAAATAGTTTAGTAATCAATTTCTCTAAAGTTTCCTGCTTAAGAATTATTTTTTTTTCATGAAGATCAAAGCCAGCTTCATAAGTGAAGGTGCTAAAAAGGGTGAAAATGACACTGATTTCCAGCAGATAAGATTAATACTTGTTGTTTCACCATGGTTTCCAAAACAAAACAAATGATAATCACTAAACATGAAGCTCCTGGGCAAGGAGTTTGCTGGCACATAAACTGATTTTCCTTGCAGATGTGGCTGTCTGCTTCCTGTGGCTGCAGTGGGAGGGAAGGTTTTGGAGGACAGTGTGAGATGATTGAGGAGCAAATGCCTTTGCCCTGAATTTTTTACCTAGTCTTTCCAGTTGTTTGACATAGAATTCTGCTCTCCTCCCCTCCTCCTGTTCTTCCAATTCTTATTTTATACAATTAAAGGTATCCTTTAAATAAGTACACATAAAAAATTGCAATGTAAGACCATCACATAATCTCCCTTTAAAAACCGTGGGTTCATTTTGACACGTAAGAATTGGCTTGTGCTACTGTGTGATACCATCTTTTGGGTGTTAGAGTACTGCCCTGTGGCCCTTTGACTGGGTTGCTTTTGTTATCACAGTATGTCAACCATGATTTGCCCTGTTGTGCAGTTGTGCTGTCAGTAGCTTTGTTTTGACAGTTTTAGTTATGTTTCTCCTTATAGCATATTGTCACACATACACTGGCAAGAAGAAATGTAGTTTGCTAAATAAAAATCCTCCAGGAAAAGGAGAGAAGTCTAATAGCTCTTTGGACAACTATAAATGATTTTTGAGTTAATGTGTTTCATGTCGGGACAAGACCCACTTCTAGATAATGTAAAAAATGTTTTAATATATAATTTATGAGAAACTAGGGGTTTTAAAGAAAAAATTAATGGATTATTTTATCCATTAAAATATTTTAATTTTGCACAGATTTATATGAAATATTGGTGAAAATAATGATGTGTTAAAACCTATCTCAATTATGGAATAAGAGTTTGCACATGCTGTGCTTTACCAAAAGAAATTATTTCTCTTTGTGTTTCTGTTTGCTTGTACTCTCAGAAGGCCTATGACTCTAGAAAGGTTAAGAACCATAGTGTGCTGCTGGTACAGACATACGCTGATTATCTGGCACACCAAAGAGCTAGGTTACCTTGGACACATCTGATGGCAAGCACAGGACAATTATACCCAGAAGGCTCTGTCACAGGGTATCTTGATGTCCAGTCAGTATTTCTCTTTTAATTCTATAGGAATCTGGAATATTTCCATGATTGGGACAGATGGAAAGGGGCCACATAATGGCCCAGAAGACAAAGACCCTCAGTTTGCCAGCTATTTAAGCATTTCTGTATCCATCTTTGATTGGGAGGGTCTGAACTAATTCTATCCCTCAAAACCAGCCCTTACAATTTCATATGCCCTCCTCTTTCATGATAGTCCCTGAGCCTAGAAAGTGGGTGCTTGTGTAGTTTTAGCAGAGTGTTGGCAACAAAAAGCAGATTGGGTTCAATGGGATCCAAATGAGGAACATTCGCAGGCTTTTTCAAATCATCTGTAGTTTTCAGAATACCATGATTCTGATTTTCTTGGAAGAAGTAAAGCAACAAGAGATAACTAACATTAATGATTTGACAATCAAAAGATAAGTTGTGTGTCAGAACAGAAAAAAGAAGCTGTTGTATTAGGGAACTCAAAAGGAAAGGTCAGGTCTGGATTCTAGTAATAGATATGTTATAATTTTACTTTGAAACATAATTTCTACTCTGTATTCCCCCCTTTTATATAATATAAAGATAAATTATATTCTCTTTTATATTCTTTTTATATTCTCTTTTATACAATATAAATACAAATTATATTCTCTTTTATAAAGAGAAATTATAGTAAGGCCAATCTATGTGCAAAATAAGTTTTAGTCTTATTATATTTGGCCAGATTATTTGCATAAAGTGCAGCAAGGAGATTGGCCATATACGCTCCTTTTAAGTTGGCTTTGCTAGAACTTAATTTTTTTTTATTATACTTTAAGTTCTAGGGTAAATGTGCACAACGTGTAGGTTTGTTACATACGTATACATGTGCCATGTTGGTGTGCTGCACCCCTTAACACGTCATTTACATTAGGTATTTCTCCTAATGCTATCCCTCCCCACTCCCTCCACCCCACGACGGGCCCCAGTGTGTGATGTGTTCCCTACCCTGTGTTGAAGTGTTCTCATTGTTCAGTTCCCACCTGTGAGTGAGAACGTGCGGTGTTTGGTTTTGCTAGAACTTAATTTTAAAATATGTTACTCCAGTCAAAGCCTTGGTAAAATAACCAGTGTCTCCAATTGTGTCCTTGTGTCCTGTTACAAAAGAAAAAATATTCTTACTGAACTGATGCAAATAATTATATTACCATAAAATAAGAATTCTCATGAATAGTTTCCAAATTTTGGAGAACTCAGGTAGAGAAAATGGTAAACTGCTCACAAAAGTGTACTTTACAATCAGAGTAGCAGCCTTTCAAATATGATGTTGTCCTTTCACCTTGAAACTGCCATCCACAAGTAAAGCAGCTCTTTGACAGTAAAGTGAGAGTTGTTTATCTGGCACTTCAAAATCCAGCAGCTCTTCACAATTCCAGAGTCAGTCCTGTCTTCCTCCTAGTGTGGATGAGGAAACAGTTGAGCTGTGGACATCGGTGCATTGACTTTTGATCATGCCGTGGAACCTGGGGTTCTCCAGGTATCCTGTCCTTATAGACCAATCATATCAACTGAAGAATAATGAGGGTCATAAATTTGGAAAGGAGAGCCTTATTTCTCATAAAGGGTTGTAGCCTGCAGGGTAGCCATTCTGACAAGTTGGGAAGTGTAGCCTCTGGCCAGAAGCCAGAAACTTGGCACTTCCTAGGTCATTTTTAAAATACAAATTTCAGCTGGTTAGCCCAAGAGAGCATGAAATTATTCAACTCTTGGTTGAACTATTCAACTCTTGCTCTTGACGATAGCAACAATAGCAGGTTTTAGTTTTTAAGCCTGTAAGTACATTTTCTTTATCTCTAATCTCAAAACTCCTAGCTTGAGTTTCTTCAAAATGAATTTTTTTAAATTTGAGGAGCACTTGAA
This sequence comes from Homo sapiens, assembly GCF_000001405.40. Lineage (NCBI taxonomy): Eukaryota > Metazoa > Chordata > Mammalia > Primates > Hominidae > Homo > Homo sapiens. The sequence continues at coordinate 144,203,580 of NC_000003.12, forward strand.
ATAAAAGCTTAGCCTTATGAGTAAAGTGTTTATTATCTGATATGTATATGGGTGTGTATATATATCTGTGTGTGTGTGTATATGTGTGTGTGTGTATATATATATCTTATATATATATGTGTGTGTATATATATATCTTATATATATATGTGTGTGTGTATATATATATATATAAAGATATATATATATATCTTTTTTTTTTGAGACTGATGCTCACTATATCTTCTAGGCTGGTCTCAAGCTCCTGGGCTCAAGTGATCCTCCTACTTCAGCTATCTGATATGTCTTAAGTCAGGAATCCGTTACGTGGCTTCCCAAATAGATCAATCTTCTAACAAATTCTAACAAGTCAAGATTTTCCTAATTGGCTTTCAACAAAAGATGAACCTTTGATTGTCTTTCAAACAAAAGATGAACCTTTATGCACTGTATTAGTCAAGGGTCTCTAGAGGAACAGAAATAATGGAATACATATTCTTTTATATATATATATAAACATACATATATAAACATAAATATAGATAAACATATATATATAAACATATATATATATATATAAAGTTTATTCATTATTAACTCACATGATCACAAGGTCCCACAGTAGGCCATCTGCAGGCTGAGGAGCAAGGAGAGCCAGTCCAAGTTCCAAAACTGAAGAAGTTGGAGTCCAATGTTTGAGGGCAGGAAGCATCCAGCATTGGAGAAAGATGTAGGTTGGGAGGCTAAGCCAGCCTCTCTATTCATATTTTTCTGCCTGCTTATATTCCAGCTACACTGGCAGCTGGTTAGATTGTGCCCACCCAGATGAAGGGTGGGTCTGCCTTTCCCAGCCCACTGACTCAAATGTAAATCTCCTTTAGCAACTCCCTCACAGACACACCAAGGATCAATGCTTTGTGTTCCTCAACCCAATCAAGTTGACATTCCGTATTAACCATCACAAGTCCACCCCTTGTCAACTTGATCCCACACACATCTCCTCAGATCATACATAATCTTCAAATAAACACAATAATAAGGTCATAATTACACCTAACATAACACAACTATCCTTCGTACAACCAGAAACACACCAATCCCCAACTCAAATACGATTACATAAAGTTAGCAATACTTAAATACTGATGTGAAGTCAATAAATTTTATGTCACATGATAAAGGAGCAATGAAATAAAATGAAGATATTTCCTTAGTACAAGTGAATACAAGCACAAACATGTTTTTAACAAAAGAAGAAAATACTCATGACAATTACAGTCCTCATTTCTGCAGCTGGTCATGTGGTTGTAACTGGTATTGATGACTACCTTCTTCTACTACCCATTCTGTATTCCCTTTGCCTTCAGCAAGCACCTCAGCAGGTCGTGTTTTTTTTCCTGGTTGGGTGACCCAAACCTTCATTCCTAAAGGGTCTTGGTCATTTGGGGTCCTGCCTGGATTGGGCTGTTGCACTTTCCCACTGACCTTAAATACAGGGCATGGTAATACTAAGCTAAGAGATGCTCTAATGGATCTCCTGGATTCCATGCATACTCTTCCTTACCTCTGTTGTGGAGTAGTAGACTTATTTCTTCTTGATAGCCTGGGTCAATCAACCCAGCCAACACCGTCACTCCCTTCTAAGTCTATTGACTTAAAGGTAGGAGGAACCTAAAGTGTCCAGGTGACAATCTTAACTTCCAGTCTAATGGAATCATTGTTCTACTGGACACACTCCCAGTGGAAGTGTTTCTCCCTCTGGAACTAAGACCTCTAGGCCAGCAGAACGTAATGTCACAGGAACAGGAAGCAAAACTTTTGCTAGTGGATCACTAGGGGTGATGGTGAGTGGTGCCACTTCCACTTCCATCCCTTGATTCCTGGACCCATGAATCCTGGCTATGGGAGAAACAGTACCATATATTGGACACTGATTCAGAGCCTACACAGTCTTCTGGAGAGCTTTGCCCCAGCCCTTCAATGTATGGTCACCTAATTGGCCTTGTAATTGTGACTTCAAAAGGCCATTCCACCGTTCTGTCAATCCAGCTGCTTCAGGATGATGGGGAACATGGTAAGACCAGTGAATTCCATGAGCATGAGCCGACTGCTACACTTCTTTAACCATAAAGTGAGTGCTTTGGTCAGGGGCAATGCTGTGTGGAATACCCTGATGGTGGATATAGTATTCCGTGAGTCCGTGGATGATAGTCTTGGCAGAAGTATTGTCTGAAGGATAGGCAAACCCATATCTGGAGTGCCTATTCAAGTGAGGACAAACCCCTGCCCTTTCTATGATCGAGAAGTCCGATATAATCAGCCTGCCACCAGGTTGCTGGCTGATCACCCCGAGGAATTGTGCCATATCGTGGGCTCAGTGTTGGTCTCTGCTGCTGGCAAATTGGGCACTCAGCAGTGGCCGTAGCCAGGTCAGCCTTGGTGAGTGGAAGTCCATGTTGCTGAGCCCATGTGTAATATTCATCCCTGCCACCATAGCCACTTTGTTTATGGGCCCATTGGCCAATGACAGGGGTGGCTGGGGAAAGAGGCTGAATGGTGTCCACAGAACAGGTCATCCTATCCGCTTGATTATTAAAATCCTTCTCTGCTGAGGTCATGTGTTGGTAAGCACACACATGGGATACAAATATCTTCACAGTTTTTGACTACTCAGAGAGGTTCATCCACATACCTCTTCCCCAAATTTCTTTGTCACCAGTTTTCCAATCATGCTTCTTCCAAGTCCCTGACCATCCAGCCAAACCATTGGCCACAGCCTATTAATCAGTATATAATCGCACATCTGGCCATTTCTCCTTCCATGCAAAGTGTACAACCAGGTGCACTGCTTGAAGTTCTGCCCACTGGGAAAATTTACCTTCACTGCTGTCCTTCAGGGATGTCCTAGAAAGGGGCTGTAGTGCTGCAGCTGTCCACTTTTTGTTGGTGTCTGCATATTGTACAAAGCCATCTGTGAACCAGGCCCTAGTCTTCTCTTCCTCTGTGAACTGATCATAGGGAACTCCCCATGAGGCCATGGGTGCGAAGAGAAGGCACCATGGCAGGAGTGGAGACCATGGGCATTTGAGCCACTTCCTCATGTAACTTACTTGTGCCCTGAGGATCTGCTTGAGCCTGATCCCGTGTGTACCACTTCCATTTGATGATGGAATGCTGCTGTGCAGGACCACTTTATGACTAGATGGATCAGACAGCACCCAGTTCATGATGGGCAGTTCAGGTCACATGGTGACTTGATGACCCATAGTCAAACATTCAGTTTCCACCAAAGCCCAGAAATGGGCCAAGAGCTGTTTCTCAGGAGCAAAGTACTTATCTTCTGAAGATGGCAAGGCTTTGCTCCAAAATCCTAGAGGCCTCTGCTGTGGTTCACCTGTGGGGGCCTACCAAAGGCTCAAAATAGCATCCCTATCTGCCACTAACACCTCAAGCACCATTGGATCTGTTGGGTCATATGGCCCAAGTGGCAGAGCAGCTTGCACAGCAGTTCTGGACCCCACTCAAAACTGGTAGCCTTTTGAGTCACTAGATAAATGGGCTGGAGTGACACACCCAAATGAGGAATGTGTTGCCTCCAAAATCCAAATAGGCCCACTAGGCGTTGTGCCTCTTTCTTGGTTGTAGGAGGGGTCAAACGCAGCAACTCGTCCTTCACGTTAGAAGGAATATCTCGACAGGTCCCACACCACTGGACCCCTGGAAATTTTACTGAGGTAGAAGGTCCCTGAATTTTAGTTGGATTCATTTCCCATCCTCTGGCATGCAAATGTCTCACCAATAAGTCCAGTGTGTTTGCTATTTCTTGCTCACTGGATCCAATCAACATAATGTCATCAATGTAATGGACCAGTGTGATACCTTGTGGAAGCAAAAAGTGATCAAGGTCTCTTCAAGTAAGATTATGACACAAAGCCAGAGACTTGATATACCCCTGGGGTAGAACAGTAAAGATCTATTGCTGGCTTTGCCAGCTGAAGGTAAATTGCTTCTGGTGGACCTTATGTATAGGAATGGAGAAAAAGGCATGTGTCAAGCAACAGCTGCATGCCAGGTACCAGGAGATGTGTTAATTTGCTCAAGCAATGAAACCACATCTGGTACAGGAGCTGCAATTGGAGTCACCATTTGGTTAAGCTCACAATAATTAACTGTCATTCTCCCAAGATCCATCTGTTTTCCTCACAGGCTATATGGGAGAGTTGAATCGGGATGGGGTGGGCATCACCACCCCTGTGTCTTTCAAGCCCTTGATGGTAGCACTAATCTCTGCAATCCCTTTAGAGATGTGATATTGTTTTTGAAGTACTATTTTTCTAGGTAGAGGCAGCTCTAATGGCTTCCATTTGTCCTTTCCTACCATAATAGCTCTCACCCTACCAGGTAGGGGGCCAATGTGGAGGTTCTGTCAGCTGCTAAGTATGTCTGTGCCAATTATGCATTCTGGCACTGGGGAAATGACCACGGGATTAGTCCAGGGACCCACTGGACCCACTGTAAGTTGGACATGAGCTAAAACTCCTTGAATTACCTAACTTCCATAAGCTCCTACTTTAACTGGAGGACCACGGTGATGTTTTGGGTCCCTTGGAGTCAACATCAGCGCAGAGCTAGTGTCCAGTAGTCCCCAGAAAGTCTGATCATTTTCCTTTCCTCAATGCACAGTTATCCTGGTAAAAGGATGGAGGTCTCCTTGGGGAAAGATGGGAGAAAGATTCACTACATAAATTGATGGTAATGTGGTGGGGTCCTTCGTCAAGGGGACCCAGCCTTTCCTTCATTCAAGGGGTTCTGGTTCTTTAAACTGTCTCAAGTCTGGAAATTGATTGAGGGGCCATGATTCTCTGTTTTTATAATTCAAATTAGTATTTTATTCATTTGACCTAGAAATTCTCTGCTTGTGTAAATTAAGTAGGAATGCAGTAGGCTTCTTATCAATTTCACTTCTAGGAACACAGTGATTAATTAGCCAGTGCCAGAGCTCTACATGTGTCAAACTATTCTGATTGCCACTTTGCCTCTGCTGTTCATTATGGCAGCTACGCCCACCTTGCCTTTCATGGTTGAATGCCGCCACTTGGATCCTGCCACCTTGGGATTCAATTATTCCCATTGTATTTAAATTTTGTAGCTGAGTGACTGTGGTTCCCACTGTTAAATCTGACATACAGAGAAGAGCAATTACAGGGCTCTTCAAAGATGCAGGTGCTGCCTTCACAAATGTATTTTGTAAGGCACTGGTCAAGGGTATATCTTCTGGACCCTCCCAGCTAGGATGAGTATGTCTAAAGTGATGAACCCACTCTACCATCCAATCTCCCTAAGCCTTTGGATCCCTTCCTCTGCATTAAACCAAGGGAGATCAGGCATTTCCAGCTCACTCACAGTGGGCCATCTTTTAATCCATATTTCAGCTTACCAAACAAATAAACTATTAGAACCTTTTTTAACTCCCCAAGCTGCAACATTAAATGTAGAGTCCCTACTCATTGGGCCCAAATCAATAAATTCAGCCTGATCCAACTCTTTGTTCCTTCCACCGTTATCCCACACCCTTAATATCCATCCCATGTCTGTTCTCCAGATTTATGTTTATATAAATTAGAAAACTCAAGCAGTTCTTTTCGAGTGTAGTGCACCTCCTCATGGGTCATGCTGTCAATGTCACCTCTAGGGACCTGCCAGGACTTTAGTTATAGGTCTAGAAGCAAACAGGGGTGTTTGGGTGGCTCTTAAGGAGAATCAACATTATCTTGCCCGGCAACTGCCTCAGGGGAGACCATCACTATTGCCTCAGGCAACACAGGGTTTATCTCCTCAGACAAAGATGGAAAGGTGGATGGCAGCGTGGGTTGGGGAGGGGCTGTTGCCACTACTCAGGTTGGGGAAACTGTTTCTTCTGGCAAGAAAGGTTCATCAGAGTTTACAAATTCAGTCTCCCCAGCTTCATCAGGGTCCTCCCACACATCCCCATTCCAAGTTGCAGGGTCCCATTCTTTTCCAATCAATGCTCTCACTTTAACAGTACACACCTGGTTAAGCTGTGCATGCACCTTTCCTTGCAGGTCAGCCACTTGCATGATTAGAGCTTGTGTCTGTTTTTCACAATTGCAGCTCTTTCTATACAGGAGATAAGACTCTCATTCAGGGCAATCTTAGCAGATTTGAGGATCAGTATCTGCTTCTGAAGCTGGGAGATAGAATCCCTGGGTTCATCATTTTCTTTCATCACTTTGTCCACTGAACTTAGGAGTAACCAACCAGCTTCTTTATGTTCCTTGTTTTTTCACATATGGTCAAAGTTATTAGGTATAGAGTCACTAAACTCTTTGCCTCTCACGAGTGATTAATCAGGAGTGGTTAAATGCATTTATTTTGCATAACTTTCTAAACAGTTCATGCCAAGGACTATCAGTGTTCTCCATATTATTAGGAGTAAAGTCCTTAGCATTTTTGGGCCTAATCATATTAAGCAGCCAACTCCAGAAACCCCCAAATCAATGAAAGAACTCCATCCTTAATATTCTGTTTCCCTAGAACCACTTCTGGTACCAAAATCTGTATTAGGGTTCTCTAGAGGGACAGAGCTAATGGAATATATATATATATATGATATATATATATATTATACATATTCCAAAAATGGAATATATATATATATATGTAAATGGGAGCTTATTAAGTATTAACTGATATGAGCACAAGGTCCCACAATAGGCCATCTGCAGGCTTAGGAGCAAGGAGAGCCAGTCCAAGTTCCAAAACTGAAGAACTTGGAGTCTGATGTTTGAGGGCAGGAAGCATCCAGCATGGGAGAAAGATGTAGCCTGGGAGGTTAGACCAGACTTTCTTTTCAAATTTTTCTGCCTGCTTATATTCTAGCCACGCTGGCAGCTGATTAGATTGTGCACACCCAGATGAAGGTTGGGTCTGCTTTTCCCAGCCCACTGACTCAAATGTTAATCTCCCTTGGCAACACCCTCACAGACACACCCAGGATGTATTATTCCATCCAATCAACTTGACACTCACTATTAACGGTCACTTGCACCCACCTCTTTGCTCATGTTGTTCCTTTTGCTGGAGATTCCTGATGTCCTTTTGAAATTTTCAAACTATTCATCCTTCCTGGCCAAATTCAAGTAACATTTCCTTATTTTTTCTCTAAGACACCACTACTTATCCTTTATTTTATCTTAAAAATGTGCTTATGTTCCTAGAGCTTATTTTGTTCTTATATTCTTGCTACCTGACTTTATGCCTGTATTTCTCAATGACTGTAAATTACTCAAGTGCAGGGAACGTTTTTTTCTTTACTTCAATTTCTTATGTAAAGAGTGAATGCTCAGTAATTGTAAACTTGATTAAAAGACCCTGAAATAGGTCCAGGTACATGGAGCACATGGTAGAGTCTATAAGCCTCTTGTTTTAGTGACGTTTCAGCTTATGGTGCCTCAACATTTTTGGCTGATGTATCAGTGAAGTGGATGAGCCTGAAAATATTTTTCTGCTTTCATGGTGGACTTCACTGTTATGTTTTGATTATTCTACTCAAGAGGAATTTGAGTATATTCACTATAAATGGCACCGATACAATAGAAAATTTAAAAACAACATCAATCAACTAACTTGAAAAGTAACATGAAACAAAAGGCCAGAATAACAAAAAATGAGCAGGGGAAAATTTAGCTAGAAAGCATAGCTTAGCTAAGGCAATCTTTTGCACATTTACTATATGGGAACATTGAAAACCTTTGCATACGGCATCTCTGACGTAGATAAACTAGAGGTTGCTAAGGCACTAGATGATTGATTAGCATATTTCATAAGCATTAATAGGATAAGTTGGATTTTTCAAGATCTGTATAGAAAATAAATATTGAGATTTCTACTAAATATCTCAAGCAGAGATATTCTGAGCTGTTGATACAACTTTCCAATCTAGGACCTCTTCTACCTGATTACCTGCTGCAGGGCTGATAGCATCAAATTTGAGTGGAAAGGAGACATTAAACAATAAGTTCATGATCCTTGGGAGCTAAGCAATCCATTGGCAGCCACCTTCAGGTGTATAAAAATTTCAGTAATATTTCCATGCAAAGACTGCCACCAGTAAGAACCAAGGGTCACTAAGAGGTGTAGCTTACAAGCAGCTGACAGATACACCATCCCCAAGCAAAGGTTTCTTCAACTTTATCCTATCCTAACTAGCTTAAGTAAAAGCAGGATGAAAGTGGGGGTTGTTTACAAAGAACCAGTGGAGTTCCATTGAACTGAAAGGCAGATGATGGATCCAGGTGGAAAGGTCAGAGACAGGGGTCCCTCTTCTTCTCTTGGCCTGTCTGCTTCACCTTATATTTAGTTGACAGACGCTTTTCTCTGCTTCTTTGTGCAAGGACTAGATATATCACCATGAGGCATGACTCCGCAGTCCTCAAATTTAGATGTCCTTAAAAGTTAAATGTCATAAGATAAGTGAGTAGAGTCACTGAATCTTAACTGTAACCTCATAGGAGGGAGGATCTGATTAATCCGGCTTAGGTCAGTATCCACCCTAATTGAACTAAGAGCGGCAAAAGGGACAGAGAGTTTTAGAAGTTTACTGCTGAAGAGGGTTTAGGGGAAAGGATAGAACCTGGACAGCCACTCACAAATGTCTCATTTAATGAATATAGCAGTGGTTCCCAACCTTTTTGGCACTAGGGACTAGTTTCGTGTAAGATAACTTTTTCATGGATCGGGCTAGGGTGGGTGGGAGGATATGGTTTCAGGACGATTCAAGCCCACTTAATTTGTTGTGCACTTTATTTCTATTATTTTTACCTTGTAACAGGTAATGAAATAATTATACAACTCACCTTAATGTAGGATCAGTGGGAATCCTGAGCATGTCTTCCTGCAACTAGACAGTCCCATCTGGGGCTGACAGGACACAGTGACACCCAAAGTGTGTTGCTTATGTCCAGGCTACTCATAATCTCATTTTGATTGCTGTCACTGCAGAAAACCCTGCTTCACAAAGATAGGATGTTGGAAATGGGAGCAGGCTTTTCAGTGCTTTTTGGCAATCTCAGGATATTCCACCTTGACTTTAATCCAGAATGTATTAAACACACTGTCTCAAACACACTTTTAAGGCCACTTTCATTTTTGATCCCAAGCAGTTGATCCTCTTCTAGCACAGATAAAGTCAACTTCCCTGGCATATTCATAAATAGGCCAAGGATCCAATCCTTGCCAATTAGGGAGTCTTGTGTGGTTAGGAAGTAATGCTCAAACTCTTTTGAAAGCTGAGATAGGTGATCACGCAGCAGCTGGGAGAAAGAAGGCCCCAACTCAGTCTCTTTCTGTATTACTTTTATGCTATGTTTCTCTTTACAAATGGAATGCTTTTAACAGCAGCAAAGTCACCTCTTGTGTCCTCGCTACTTAGGAATTTCTTTTGCCAGATACCCTAAATCATCTCTCTCAAGTTCAAAGTTCCATAAATCTCTAGGGAAGGGACAAAATGCCACCAGTCTATTGCTAAAATATAACAAGAGTCACCTTTGCTCCAGTTCCCAACAAGTTCCTCATCTCCAGGCTGAGACCATCTCAGCCTGACCCTTATTGTTCATATCACTATCAACAATTTTGTCAAAGCCATTCAACAAATCTCTAGGAGGTCCCAATCTGTCCCACATTTTCCTGTCTTCTTCTGAACACTCCAATCCAAATTGTTCCAACCTCTGCCTGTTACCCAGTTCCAAAGTCACTTCCACATTTTCGGGTATGTTTTCAGCAACGCCTCACTCTCCTGATATCAATTTATTGTATTAGTCAGTTTTCACACTGCTGATAAAGACATACCTGAGGCTGGGAAAAAGAGGTTTAATTGAACTTACAGTTCCACATGCCCAGGGAGGCCTCAGAATCATGGTGGAAGGTGAAAGGCACTTCTTAAACGGTGGTGGCAAGAGAAAATGAGGAAGATGCAAAAGCAGAAACCCCTGATAAAACCATCAGATCTCATGAGTCTTATTCACTACCATGAGAACAGCATGGTGGAAACCACTCCCATGATTCAAATTACCTCCCATTGGGTCCCTCCCACAACACATGGGCATTCTGGGAGTACAATTCAAGTGAGATTTGGGTGGGGACACAGAGCCAAACCATATCACTTTCAAAATCTCTGCTAATGTTTGAAACGTGTCAAACAATCCCAATGTTCACTCCTTGACCCCATAATTTCAGTTTGGCTTTGAATGCAGCCACTTTATCTGCCAACTTGAACACATCTGTCCTTCTCCTCTTAAGTGACAAATTGAGTTTGCTGAGGAGGTTGAATATGTCACACAAGCAAGTTTTGAGATTCATCTGTGTCACTGAAATGTGCTGCCAGTGGTGAATGTTTCTCCAAAAGAAGTATCGGCCCTCATAACTGAAAAACTCTGGCCAGTGATCTATCTTTAGAAAGTCTTCTCACTTCTGTGTATGAGAGAAGACGTGTATGCTGTGTCCATCTCCTCACAGAGCTGCAAGAACAGACACGAGTGAAGGGCATGTACCTTAATGTGGTTGATAATTTTAATCACATTCTGCAAAACATTGTTAACTTCACATGACGTTTTTGACTAGCCAGCATTTCTTTATGAATGACACAGTGCATAGACTCACAGTGACTTCTTTGACCCAACTAGTCTTTGACCTGGACAGAAAGCTGTCCAGTCATGGCAGCCGCTCTGTCCATGCATGTACTGACACAAAACAACCAATTCAGTTTTCCTGATATGTAATCATTCAAATACTTGAATAGTTTTGCAGCTGTGGTGTTGGTTGGCAACAAAAGTGCACATTACATATCTCTGTGCACATCCATCTGAAAAATATATTGTACAGAAGCAAGCATTGTTGCCTTGTTTTCAACATTTTAAATTATGTTTAAAATATAAATTGCATTCCTGAGTCAGCCTAATCTAATACTCGTCAACCTGGATTGTGCACCATGGTGACTCATTAATCCTCTCTAACAATTGTGCCTCAGTATCCTCTATTTTATCAATTCATCTAGTTATGGTGCTAGCTGAAAGAGAAACATGTGCCACATTTTGAACTGCAGACTGAAGCATCTCCTAAAAGTTCACGACAAATGTCCTTAGCAGCAAATGGGATCATCTCTTCACCAATAGTAAAGGGCTTCTTAGCTTTAGCAGTGCAGTTAGCCACTAAGAATGATACTCTCTGTGCAGGCACATTTAGTGAAGTGGTTGCCTTCAATAATTGTGTCTGTTCTTCATGTTCACATTGTTTTTTTTTTTTTTTAGAAATTCCAAAGGCTTGTCTTTATTTTATTTTATTTTATTTTATTTTATTTATTTATTTAGATGGAGTCTTGCTCTGTTGCCTGGCTGGAGTGAAGTGGCACAATCTTGGCTCACTGCAACCTCCGCCTCCAGGTTCAAGTGATTCTCCTGCCTCAGCCTCCCGAGTAGCTGGGACTACAGGTGCAAGCCACCACACTCAGCTAATTTTTGTATTTTTAGTAGAAACTGGGTTTCACATTATTGGCCAGGATGGTCTCGATCTCTTGACCTCATGATCCGCCCACCTCAGCCTTCCAAAGTGCTGGGATTACAGGTGTGAGCCACTGCACCCGGCCAAAGCTTGTCTTTTAATGCAGGGTTCTTGTTCTCTTTGTGAAGCAGTTTTGAAGGTTTCATGGCTTTGTTGGATAACCGGTTGCCACATATTATACAGAATGGGATTGAAGAATGTGAATCAACTGTTGCAATGAAACTGTAATTTAAGTGGAACCTTTGTTATTTTCTTTTAAATGCAGTTTTCTTTTTATTGGCAGTCTTAGAGTCTTCTACTGTCTCATCATTGAGTCTTTTCCGCTTTTCAAATAAGCTCTCCAGTGATGTTTATTTTTAACTCATTTTGGCTAGGGTTAGCTTGTGGGCTTACCAAAACCATGACTGAGACAAGTGTGCAGTATGGGAATGAGGCGCGGATGGAAGTGGTAAATAAAATAATGGGTGGGCCATGCATGGACTAAAATGTATCAGATTCTGACTTAAAGCCTGCCACTGGATGCAGCTGTACAACTGAAGTATATCAACTGATTTTCCATATAAAGCCTGCCACCAGATGCAACTTAATTGTCACTTGCCGCTCACTGCTAGGATTTTGATATGAGTCTGCAAGCAATTTATTTATTATTGTCTCTGTGCAGTCAAACCTCTCTACTAATGTTAATCTGTATTTTCAGTCACTCCACAGGGCTAGCAACACCTTCTCAGCTCCACCTCAGATCATCAGGCATTAGATTCTCATAAAGGGCATGCATCCTAGATCCCCTGCATGTGCAGTTTACAATAGGGTTCACATCCTTATGAGAATCCAATGTTGCGGCTAATCTGATGGGAGGTGGAGCTCTGGTGGTAATGCAAGCAATGGGGAGCAGCTATAGATACAGATGAAGCTTCGCTTGTTCACCTGCTGCTCACCTCCTGCTGTGTGACCTGGTTCCTAACAGGCCAGGGACTGGTACCAGTCTGTGGCCTGAGGGTTGGGGGCCCCTGGAATATAGGACCACGTTTGCAGTGTAGAGAACAACCAGGACATTCAGTAAATAGCTTTTATTTCTTAGGTTGTATAAATAAATATTTTGTACCTTAATAAAGGCTGTGCCTTGATCACAAATGACATTACATGGAAGTACTGAGTCTCAATCACTGTTGTAGAAGGCAAAAGAATGAAGTTCAAACACACTTGTTGAACCAAAGGAATGAATAATTGCTTCCATCACCATTTCTGCACTTCTATCTTGACAAAAGAAGTATCTGAAAACAGCAATTACTGATTTTAACAATAGTTGACATTTCTTGCTGTGCACATTAGTCAGTATTTACCCTTCAGGTATGACATTAATATAACCCACGCCTAACACTTTTTTAGATACAAATGATTATTGGTTCCCTTTGAGCCATCAAGAATGATGACAGTTGTGGAGACAGTAGCAAATGGCAGCAACTACCTCCTTTTTTCACCACTCCTATAGGGCTTCCCAACAGGACTGTTGTCTTCTTGGGTTACACTGGCTCCTGGTCTTTTCTTCTCCCCATGGGTGCTTGTTCTGGTTTTTAATACTCCTGTAGGGTCCTCATGGTTCCACAGTCATAACATCCACACTCTGATCCAGAACATGAAGGCATGCTTTATGCTTTACACATTTAAAGTGAAATGTAGACCTCTATGAAAATTATGTTTAAAATATAAATTGCATTCCTGAGTCAGACTAACCTATGGCAAACTCTTTTTAAATTTTACTCTGCAGTACATTTCTTTCTTCTTTTATTTTTTTAACTGATGATTTTTTTTTGCATTATGCTGTGAGGCTACTATGTGTTAACCCTGATGACAGTGATATCAAAATTATGATAGTGTATGCTCCAGTAATTTAACAGAATGAAACTTAGCATCATCCATTCTGAATCATTAATAGAAAGCTCGATGCTGGGTGAGCTTCAGTGAAGTAGGAAGGAAAGGCATAGACATCATGTGTAGAAAGGTTATGTCAAAGCAAACTATTATGACCGTTTGAGACTATAATAGTTATGTATCTTTCAATTTATGTTTCTATTGCTATAGAAAATATAGTGGACTTTTACTATTCTACTTTTTCTTCAATTTACAATCTAATTTCAAGTAGCTATATTACAGGAACTTTTTCATTCTTCTCTCATATCACTGAGCACATAGCAGGTGTTCAATAAATGCTTGTTGATTAATTGATATGAACAAATAAATACCATACTTGCAAAAAGTGTACTTGGGTTTTTAATAATGCTTATAAAGGCTCAATGTAGTATAGAATACCATACAACACCGTTTTTCTGCTTTCTTTTTATTCCTAAATAAATCAGATGGGGTTGATAATGTTAGGTGTTCATGTCACTGTGAGTCTGGTGTGAACTGGCAGTTAGAAGGCTAGCAGGGTGAGGAGGACATCTGCCTATAAGGGTGACCCGGCATGAGGCAGAACCTGAGCAGAGTAAGGGAGAGACCCATGTGACCTTGGTGGGGTGTCATTGTCTGAGCAAGTTGAGGAGGATGTTCACGTGGGGTAGGGGCTAAGATGAAGAGTTAGAGTCTGAGTAGGGTAAGGGGGACATGCAAACTGGCTTTTGAGTCCTTGGATGGGGAATAGGTGATGACAGAGATGGAAATCTGGCTACATACAGAGGAATTGGTTAAATAGATAAATAAATATATGAAAGACAATGGGAGTTAGTTTCTTACTATTGTAAAAAGGGTTGTAAATATAGCAAAGGAGAAGAGTAGATGAACCATGAAGATTGGGTTCAACACTACTGGTATGAACTCATGATTTTTAATATAAATAGATAAAGATAGATAAAAAATATAGTTGTGTATTTATAAACACTCTGAACGTGTGTTTTTGTATGTGTTATGTACATACACATATATATCCACTTGCTCTGTCCACTGAGAAGACTTTGGAGCAGCTATTCTCCACAAGAATGGACCCAAGGGTTCTTTGAGAAACACTGCTTTCAGGTCTGGAGCAGGGGAAGTTTGGTGGGTCTAGGTCATCTTGTGGCAAAATAAATAACTCAGACCTTCTTGGAGGTGTTTCCACTGGCTGAACCATGTTATCCTTGCATATTAAAATAACTATGATTTTAATAGATTATAACCCACTGATAAAACAAGAAAGCAGGAGTCCATGGTGATATAATTAACAAGATAATTATATCACAGGATATTTAAATAGTTTAGAAGTATATCATCACAAAATATTAGTTAGAAAGGAATTTCACAGTGGAGAAAGATGGGTGGTAGGTCTCATGTTAATCTAGTGATCAAAGTGAATGCCATTATCAATGAGACAAATTAAAATTATGTCCCAATTTTAATACCAGAAATGTATAAGATCAGGTAAATCCAGATTGGAGAACATTACAAAATAACTGGCCTATGATTGGCAAAGCATCAAGGTCCTCAAAGTCAAGGAGAAAGTGAAAACCTCTTGCAGCCTAAAGGGGACTAGAAATTCATAAAAGTAAACACAACACGTGAATCTGAATGCTTAGATCACTTTGCTATAAGGACACTACTAGGACAACTGGAGAAACTTACTGTTGTCTACAGATTAGAGAATTTTATTAGTGTTAATTTCCTGATGTTGATAGTTATATGATTATATAAAATAATGTCCTTTTTTTGCTGGAAACAGAAAATTTGGGATTGAGGGACAATGGGACATGATATCAGCAATTTATTCTCAAGTGGTTTAGGAAAATAAAAGATTTTGTGCTGTACTTCTACATTTTTTCTTAGTTTATGATTATTTTTAAAATATTACAAGAAATGCCTCTTGAATTCAGTGTAAGAAAGTGTGAACAAATTACTTAAAATAAATTTCAGAAGTTATTCCTATCATTTTATCTAATGATTAATTAATGCATCTACAAGTGTTGTCTTCATACAAATTTTATTAAGTTATCCTCTTGTATAAACCTAGAAAGAGCAAATTGGAAATGTTCCTCTTGAATATTTTTAGAACTGGCAAGAATATTTCTTCAGGTGATAGAGAATCAGAACTATCTGAAATTCTCTGGAAGCACATTTTTAAAAATGTTTACATCACATTTTGATTGGCCATATTTTAAATAAGAATTCTCATTAGTATTCTTATTTTCTGATCATAATTGATCCCACTCTTGATTAGTTAATATAATTCTTTTAAACATCAACTATTTTTCTGTGCTGTGATAACAAGTGATAGCTTCAGGATATATATATATATATATATATATATATAGGAATACAGGACTTTTAATTTATTACTAAATGGTCCTAAGATTCTTATTCTTTTCCTCCCTCCCTTTCCCACACCTTTGCCTCTCCTCGTCATCCCCCTTCTTTTCCTCTCCTACTCTCTTTTTCTCATTCAGGAATAAGAAAATGCTAATTATTGCTACAAATCTTCAATACTGTGCTAGAGGACTAACCCCAAATAATAATTTTGATGAGAAAAAAGAAAGAAGAATCGTTGGAAATGAAGAGTCATCTGTCATTATCTGTAGATGACAAGATGATGTAAATGGAAAAATCATGGAATTTAATGAACAAGTGTATAAGAGCAAGAGACTTAAACTATTACAAATAAAGGATTTAGTTTTATGAGAAGGGCCACTGTGAATGATGCCACTCTAGTTTTAGTCTCTTCTTATCCAGGTGGAAAAATTAATTTTATATTGAAAAGCCTGGTTGTTTTCATAAGAAGTCACCTTGTTTTCTTTAGAAATAAAGCTTCTATGGATTTATGTCATTATTTGGAAGAAGTGTCATTACAGAAAATAGAATTGGGCTGGGAGACAATCAATTTGCTGTTCCCCCAAACATCAATTTTCAGATATTCACTTCACTTTTCATCTTCTTATGCAAAATCGTAACACCAGCAGATTCACATATTCAAATACATAAAAATTTATATTCTATATTTGCAATGGAGTTCCATTCTTTTTTTATTTGTATGACCTTCTGACTTATTGAAATTATTATTATTGTCTTCATTACTTTCATGCATCATTGAATGCTTTTTGAACCATTGGTCCAAATTTTCAACTAGGAGTATTAGCTCAGCATGATACTTAAAATAGAAAATACTAAATTCACAATTATAAGAAATATGTTGCAAATGGTGACAAATTCATCAGCAGAGACAAAAATACATTATGTTAACTGAAGAATAGGCAAGAAGAATGGCCTGCAACAACTTTTCAGAAGGTGATGATTATTAAACATGTAACAAGGCTTCCATGCAAATCACATCATTTGATATTATAAGTTTCTGAAATGTTTGTTAACATAATCACTTCATTAATTTTTTCTTTTGAAGCTTCCATGTTCTTTGCAGGCCCGTTGAATAACCACTGTGGACCACCAGATGTCTGTAAATGTCACTTGAGGAAGCCCTGATCTATAATACATATTGAGAAAGGAGAATTGAGGCAGCATTTGGGTTAATTAAAATTACACTGAAGTGAAATAGCTAAGCTAAGAGAAGCCACTCACCACTGTCCTGTCTTCATGCATATACTTCTTTCTGCATATTATTATTATTATTATTTGAAACAGAATCTCACTCAGGGTAGAGTGCAGTGGCACAGTCTCGGCTCACTGCAACCTCTGCCTCCTGGGTTCAAGCGATTCTCGTGCCTCAGCCTCCTGAGTAGCATGGATTACAGGCACCTGCCACCATAACTGGCTAATTTTTGTATTTTTAGTAGAAACAGGGTTTCACCATGTTGGCTAGGCTGGTCTGGAGCTTCTAACTTCAAGTGTTCTGCCCACCTCAGTCTCCCAGCGTGATGGGATTATAGGTGTGGGCCACCATGCCGGTCCCATGTATTTCTGTCTGAGTAGATGCTCAGTGCCATTTCCTAGCACTGACCTTGGACTTGATACTTTCTTCTACATTATATTTAGGGCCTTTTTATATGGTGTCAAAGTGTGAAAACATCCATGATGATGATGGTGCTTTAGAAATCATTGGGTTGTTGGTCCTGACCCTCATGGGACTTTTTCCCAATAAAGTCCCTTAGATTTTGTCTGTTTCTCTATTTTCAAAAGGACACATTAATCCTCAGTTTAAGGGAAATTTTTTAAAAATATTTTCCAAAAAAATTAACTGTTAACTTTTTTGGTTATTATAAGAAAGGAATCTTTCTGAATTCATTTATTATGATATTTGATGCTTTTAGATAAAGAAAGCCAACAAAAAACTTCAAATTGCATAGAGACATATTCAAACATGGTGGAGTCCTTAGAACATTTATATAGGCATGTGGCTTTTGATTTCTGCATATTGAAGGCATTGGACACTTTAACAGTATATTTATTTGGGTATGAAAAAAATCACATAAAAATGTATGTATGTATATGAGTGGAGGGAGAGAAACAGGTAGAGACCTGAGAAACTCCTACTTCATGATACTCCAAGGAGGATTCTCTTTGCTCACCTTATGTTTTCTTGGCTTTGAAATGGAAATATCTGGTATTTCCAGCTTGGATGAAATCACACAATTCTAATGAGTTTTCTTGATACTTGCTCTAACCTGATTCAGGTCAGCTTATTGCTTCTTTCTTGTAGTCAAAAAGCAGAGGAACAGGAGGTAAACCTTCCCTTTTTCATTAATGTTTCAGTGAGTGATCTTAACTCAAGCACTTCTAATTAAAATGTAAAGATCATTAGCATGCCCCGTTAATAGAGGTTTTTCTTTCAACTCAGAATGCTCCGGATGGAGGTGCCAGGCACACTCCTACACCCACCGGTGCTGAACAATTGCTGCTCTTGGCAAGGTTTCAGAACAGCTGGGGGTTTCTGTCTGTTACCTGAGCTGCTGGTGACAACTGCAACTTATGTCAGGCTCAGGGGCAAGGAAACAGGAGGCAGGGCTGGAGGAGCCAGGAGGAGAAAAAAAAACTGCAAAGGCAGCTTTTCCCTTCTTACTGCTATCAGTCTCTCAGGGTTGGCATTGCTGAATGAGAAAGAGGGAGATATATGCTAATGCTAATAAGAAAGGCATTAAATAATATTTTAAAATTATTTACTCAAAAAGAAAAATAAATTGAGATGTATACTCATATGGTACAGATCATATTTTTCCTTTTGGGGTTGAAGAATTCAAATATCTATGTAATCCCCAATCATGCAAAACATTTCAATTTGTGATATCTTTTCCTGAAGATTCATATTACTTTTGATTGATATTTAAATTGAGATATTAACTGCTATTTGATGGTAAGAAATTTTAATTGTAATGGCTACATTATTTCATTTTGAATATGAGAATTTTGATTAGTTGAATCTTTAAAGGCCTATGATATATGTATGAGAATTAAATGGAGATTTAACCCAACAGCTTGTAATACTTATGGCTTATTTTATATGTATTGGGCTAATAAGACTAAATTGAAGAGATATAATAAAGAACAAGTTAAAACGTAGACAGCTAAGCCAATGTCCTATTACATGGCCTTAATCTTAGGGACATTAATGTGGGGATTTAAGATAAATCAGAAATAAGAATTATGTCCATTGTGTCCTAGTCACTCTAGTAATTATAGAAAACTTTTGTTAATTTCTTGTTTTTATTTGCTTCTCTATGCCATCATCTCAACTTCTAACCCATTTCAATTAAGTTACAATATAATTAGTGTTTCTATTAAAATATTTGGAGGTAATAGAATAAAAATAGTTTCTTCTATAATCAGAGTTATTGTGTTGCCTTCATTTGGGTTATTTGTGATTTCAAATTTAGTTAGACTCAGTGGCAAGTGCTCATCATATGCACATTTATTTTTATGCCTTTCATCTTCTTGATTAATCATGTTTGAACTATTTGAGGAAGATATTTGAGCGTTGACTTTATACTGTGATTTTATAGAAAACTCATCTTAGATTTAGAAGGTTCGAAGACTTTGAAAACTCAACTATACAGTGATGGGAAGTAGACGACTATTATACGCTAGCATACCTGCAAGAAGAAGGTGCTGGGTTTTAGTCTGCATCATAAATTTAATTTTCAATCCACACATGAATTGTTATAACTTAAAGCCATCAATAGATTCATCTACTTACTTTGGCAGAAAGACCGAGTGGTAGAAGTAGAGTTGAAGTCAAGGAAGAAACATTATGAATGACTGTCTTTTATAATAAATACAGATACTGCTCAGCTTTTCCTTTAGATAAAATTATTGGAATATATTGGGATAGGCCCAATTGTTACTTTTTTTTCCCTAATAGAGATTATTTGTTACCTATAAATCAATGGATTCAATAGTCATAGTTTTATAATAGTTTATGATTTTCATGTAAGCATTTACAAATAAAAAATAGATCATATGTTTCATTGTTAAAATGTCTCATATACAAATACTTACTCATTTAAAAATTATGTGAGCATCTAAAATGACCAAGGAATTAACTCTTAGATATTGAGAATTCACCCAGTAAGCCAAACGTAAATGTTCTGTGAAAGAAGAGTGATATGGTTTGGTTCTGTGTCCCTACCCAAATCTCATATTGTAGCCTCCATAATTCCCACATGTTGTAGGAGAGACCTGGTAGGAGATAACTGAATCATGGGGGGCAGATCTTTCCTGTGCTGTTTTTGTGGTAGTGAATAAGTCTCATGAGACCTGATGGTTTTATAAGAAGGAGTTTTCCCACACAAGTTCTTTTTGCCTGTGGCCATCCATGTAAGACGTCACTTGCTCCTCCTTGCTTTCCACCATGATTGTGAGGCCTTCCCAGTCATGTGGAACTGTAAGTTTATTAAACCTCTTTCCCTTGTAAATTGCCCAGTCTCAGGTATGTCTCTATCAGCAGTGTGAAAACGGACTAACACAAAAACCTTGGGAAAAACAAATTGTCAATACATTCCAAGTTGAGCTTATCAGAGCCCACAAAACTATAACCCATTAGAACAGTGATTTGGAAACTTGAGTGGGCATCAGAATCACCTGGACAGCTCATTGAATTCATATTGCTGCACTCCACCCTCAGAGTTTCTAACAAGTTCCCAGGTGATGCTTATGCCGCTGTATTGGGACCACATTTTTGAGAACCACTGCATTAGATGATGTCAATAAAAATGTTTTAAACAATTTCTTTGCCTTATTTTAGATTCCAATTGGGCTAAGATTTTAATTTTTTCCTGTGATGCTCACCAGAAAAAATGACCTTAACATTTTGTAATGTCACTACAAGATGCTGTCTACAATTATTTTCACACTTATTTGGGTTATAGATACATGTCAACCAACATGCATGACATATATCTGATACATATATTTTTATAATGATGTAGTATCTATATCTATATCTATCATCTATCTAAGTACATGTTTATCTCTATCATCTATCAAAATATTAATTTATGCTGGATTTGTTTGAATTCCATTAAACTCCTAAATAGCTTAGTAATTTTGAATTTGAAGTTGGGGATGGTGGTTTGGAAAAGGTTACAAGTTGGTGGAAAATCTCTAAGGATTTAATACCACAGTTCTCTCAAATTGACCTTAGTGACTCATCATTGTCTTTGCAGAGAAAATTAGTAAAAAAAAAAAATCATAGGAGATCTTAAAATATCAAATGTCTTAAACGATTCTATCATTTTATGAAAGTGCTTCATCAGTGAGATATTCTAATCTCTGAGATTAATGATATTGTAAAAATATAAAACTGCAAGTATATGTGAATAGTTACTTTGGATTGACTTATGTATATATTTTGTTTCCTTTCCTTTAGATTACATACTTTCTCATCTCCTCAATCCTAACAGAATTTTAAACATATAGTCAATAGCATAATCCTAATGTCTGTAAAACTCTGCCTGGCAACTAGGTTGATGGGAGCAGATGTTAGGCAAATAACTGTGGAGCATCTATGTGAACTGCCCGCTGTTCCTTGCTTGAGCTCATACAAGAACTTGTACTCTTTCTCCTTCTTCAGCTCCCACTTGCCTGCACTTGATGAGAGATTTAAAAATCAGGGAGCATTATAAGGGGCAGGCTTTTTAGTGGAGGTGTTCCCCTCCCTCCCCTCAGGAGTCTGAGTGACTGCTCTCAGTGGGTGGAGAATGCCCTGAATGTGGCCATACCACCTGCCTCTATTGCCTTACCTCCACATCTCCTGTTATCTTCAGACAAGTTAGGTAAATAGTTGAGGCTCCAAGTATTTTTTGGAAGGTTTCCTCTGATATTTTTCCAACACAGTTTTGACATTTGGGGTGTGGCAGATTAGCATGTATTTCTGAAAGTTTAGCAGTTATGTCTACTAATAAATTTTAAAATCTTTATTTGATTGGAAACTACAAGGGTATTATGGAAGTGGAATTATAGTTGTATACATAAAGTGTTGAAGTATATTAAGAGGTGGAGGTCATATTCACAGGGACTCCAAAAAAGAGTCAAAACAAAAGGTGACACATGAGCAGGTTGAAACATCCATGGGTAATTACATATAGCTATACATGTAAAACTTTCAAACAGTAACATTATGTAATTGTATATGAAGGCATTCAGTATATATTTCTCTGAAACTTTCTTTTTTGACTTAAAATTTTATCCTGAACATTTGTCCATTTTGGTACATACAGATGTACTTTGTTCATTTTAACAGTGATCTGATTATCTGTTTCATGGTTAAATTCTGATTGATTTAACCAATATCCTGTTAATGGACTTCTACCTCTCCGTTTTACTGCTCTAGCCAATGATATTGCAATGAAAATGTGTGTGTGTGTGTGTGTGTGTGTGTTTGTGAATATGTGTGTATACATGTAGGAGTGTTTTTATAAGATGGATCCTCAAAACTAAAATTTCTCCGTTGATATGTATGCATGCATATTTGAAATTTTGAGTTATTGTTCTAATTGTCCTTTAAAATCTTTTTACCAGTCTCACCAACATTGAAAGTGAATTTTTTACAACATCAAGAATAATTTTTTTCACTCCCTCAGCTGTTAATAAGATATTATGATAAATGATGACTGGTATAGAATAGCTATTCCAGTTTATATTCATCTGATCAATATTGAGGTTTTCATCTCATGTTTATTAGTTACTTGCTTTTCGTCCATAAATTTCCTCCTTGTACCTGTTGATTATAACAATTCTTTTCCTAAATAGTATTCTAACACTTGTATGGTTTTATTTTACGCATTCACATCACTAAACCCCTGGAATCTTGGTTTGAATAAGGGAGGAAGCAGGAATCTAAGTTTATTTATTTTCAAAAAAAATAGCAAATTCTTCAAATACTATTTATGGACTAAATAATTAGCGTAATGATTTGAATTGCTACTTTCACAACATAAAATATTATCTTATGCCTGGGAAGTATCTGAACAAGAAACTTCATTGTTGGCCAATCTTTTTCCTGCCATGTATTGTAAGGAATGCAAATAACCTACAGAAGAAACAGCATGTGCAAAGACCTAGAGGCATCAGTAATGTGCTTTGGAAAATTTGGAATTTTTAGCGTAGCTGGAACTTTAAGTTTAGGAAAAAGATTACAAACATTATTAGAAAGTCCATAACAAAATCAATGAAAAACATACCGTAATTAAAATACAACTCTGCAACAGAAGCATGACATTTATTTATTCTGATTTGTTTTAGATAATCTATACCAGGGACCTATTTCAGCCCTTTCTTATTTTTTATAGAAGGTCAATATGTTTAAGTACAGTGCTTTAAGAAGCCTTTCCCTTTTACTCATTATTATTATTAGCATTTTAAAGTAAGCAATGTTATCATTTATATTTCTATAGTTTCCATCTTTCTTCTGGGAAGAGGAAATGCTGAGGGAAAAAAATGCACTGAGAGCTCAGTATTTGCATCAACTCTTCCCAAATTTCTGTTTTAATTTTCTGCTGAGAAAACTCTTTTCAAACTTCTCTTTTCCTCTCTCTCTCTCTCTCTCTTTTTTTTTTTTTTTTTTTTTGTCCAAACAGAACCTAAACATAAGATTACGTGACAGTGGGAGGTAGGGCATACAAGCAGACAGACTGTGTATATTAGAGTTTTTGTTACTATTTTTTTCATCTTCAATGTTGATTTTTTTGTAAGGCAAATACAGTGTCCTCTGTGCTGAAACATATCCAAATGTTGCCTATTTTTATTAGATCTTTCAATTATGGTTATGAACTCTAATTCAAGGTAAATAAACACCCATAAATAAATCTAGGCACTTATAGTCAACTCATTTTCACAAAGGCCTCAAGAACATACACTGGGGGAAAGGACAATATATTAAATAAATGGTGCAGGAAAAATTGGTTATTCATCTGTAGAAGAACAAAAGTACATCCGTATCTTTCACCATATGCAAAAGTTAAGTGAAAATGGACTAAAGTCTTAAATCTAAGACCTGAAACTATGAAAATACTAGAAGAAAACACTGGGGAAGCACTCCAGGACATTAGTTTGGGCAGAGATTTCTTGCATAAGACCTCAAAAATACAGGCAACCAAAGCAAAAATGGACAAATGGGATCACAACAAGTTAAAAAGCTTTTGCACAAAAAAGGAAACAATCAACGAAATGAAGAGACAACTTACCGAATGGGATAAAATGTTTTCAAACTATTCATATGACAAGGGATTAATAACCAGAATACACAAGGAGCTTGAACTCCTCAATCAGAAAAAAACACAAATAATTCAATTAAAATAGGGGCGAAAGATCTAAGTAGACATTTCTCAAAAGAAGTTATACAAATGGCATATAGGTATATAAAAAATTATCAGCATCACTAATCATCAGAGAATACAAATGAAAACTACAATGAACTATCATCTTACTCCAGTTGAAATGACTTTTATCCAAAAGACAGACAATAAGAAATGCTGGTAAGGATGTGAAGCAAAGGAAACCCCTGTACATTGTTGGTGGGAATGTACATAGAACAGCCATTATGGAAAACAATATGGAGGGTCCTCACAAAAACTAAAAATAGAAATACCATGTGATCCAGCAATCCCACTGCTGGGTATATATCTAAAAGAAAGAAAATCAAGACATTGAAGCGATATCTATGTGCCCATGTTTATTGTAGTGCCATTTACAATAGCCAAGATATGGAATTCACCTAAGTGTCCGTTAACAGATAAGTGAATGAAGAAAATGTGATATATATACACACAATGGAATATTATCCAGCTATAAAAAGAATGAAATCCTATCATTTGCCACAATGTGGATGGAACTGGGGGATATTATGTTAAGTGAAATAAGCCAGACACAGAAAGACAAATATTGCATATTCTTACTCATATGTGGGAGCTAAATAAAAAGAGAAAAAAAATATCATGGAGACAGAGAGTAGAATGATGTTTACCAGAAGCTGGGAAGGAGGGAATAGAGAGAGACTGGTTAATGGGTACAAAAATATAGTTAGATAGAAGGAATAAGATTCAGTATTTGGTACCACAATAAGGTGACTATAGTTAACAATAATGTATGTGTATTTCAAAATAACCAGAAGAGTGGAATTGGAATGTTCCTAACACAAAGAAATAATACATGCTTGACATGATGGATACTGTAATTACCCTGATTTGATCATTACACATTGTATGCTTGTATCAAAATATTGCATTTGCCGTATAAATATGTACAACTATTATTTAATTAAAAAAAAACAAAAAACCCAATTACACTTTTATGTGGTTAGAATACTGTCTCTTTTTATTCTCTTTTCCCATTTCCTGCCTATCATGTATTCAGATAGCTGCAGGCAAGAAAAACATCTTCAAAAGTTATTTTGACTGAAATTAGCATCATTTTTAAGATTTAATCATTAAGATGTAATTAAAGTGCCATCATGTGTACTTTTAAATTGCTGATTGAAATCCACGTCTCAATGTAACCTTTTTCTAAACATCATACCTCTCTATACCAAACCCAAAAGCCCCACATTGTTTTAGATTTACTAATACAATCAACATACTATTCTACAACTCCAAAATATTCATTGAAAGCAATTTAATCCTTGTTGTTGTTGTTGTTGAATGGTTGCATGTTTAAGGGTATTTCTTTTCTAATATTGCGTGCAGATATTGTACTGAAACTATGAGAAAATAGGGCAAGGAGTGTAAGAGAATGCTGTTTATAATGATTTGTGGCACTCAGAGCCTTACATTGGGATATAATGCTAAATTGACTTTTGCAGAAATACACAACTTGTTGTGAAGCTTTGGACATTTTCCATAACCAGTGGTGCCAGATCCTGGAGGGGCTGGGCAGTCTGGGCAAAGACAAAGTAAACAAGTCAGTAGAAAAAACAATGATTAGAAAGACTGACCTCTGAACCATAACATCTCTGAGCTCCCAAAAAGGTCAACCTAAGTTTGGCAAATACTTCAATCCTCCTGGTGACATATAACCTTGGATGTTGATCACTCAAACTTTTATTGTTGTTTATATCTAGAAGCGCAAGTTCTGGGAGGATGCCAAAAGTTTTGTGGTTATGATGTGTGGGGTATATTAGTTGGCATTGCTGGCTTGGGAAATCTATTGTTCTGAAGTGGAAAACCTGCTTGTTTAACATTCTCTCTTCCCATTCTGGAAAAAAAAGTGTGACTAATTTTTTTCCAGAAACTATATATATATATATTTTTTTTTTTTTCTAGTAGACTTGGAAAGGAAATCAGAGAGTGGTTCTCTCAGTACTGAGGTGCCCAGACAAGACAATGGCACAGTTGAAATAAAAAACTGCAGAAAGACTGATGACAATCACTTACTTAAGCACCGAATACTGGAGTTGTAGCTTAGGTTGAAGGTTTGAAGGTGTCTGACACTGCCTTTTTTACCTTTATTTTTATTAAGAGAAGGCAAATAGGCTGTGATGTTTCTTTTTTTCTAAAGAAGTATTAGAACCTTGTTAATTATGGTAGAGTGAACATGGGCAGGAAAAGGAAAATATAATTTTAAGTATAATGGTGCATGCTGGAAACACAGATTGGCAAGCATATGGGATTCTGGCATCTGGACAGAAGCCTTCATTACCACCTGCTTCTCAGAGGTTACTTTGGCAATTTTTGCAGCAATTCCAGTGATTCACAGGTCTGGGCTAACAATTTTTAGCAAGCAGCTAAAGAGGGCACAGGAACATAGAGGCAGTTACTCAGAGCTTCTGTCCACACATTGGTTTCATCTTCCTGGGTATTATGTCACTTTAAGATAATCTATGTGCCACTATTTCATTGTGATAGCAGCAGATGTTACTTCATGCTAATATTTTTTACCTGCTTTATTCACCAGGTGACACTCAGTTTTACCTTGGGAATGAATTATCTCTTCTGGTTCCATGAGATGTGAGGAATATGTGAAAAGACTTGAGTTCTTGTGTGTTCTGAAGTGTGAAGACCTAACTGGTTACCTCCAGCTCTCCTTGACTTTCTCATTCTTCCTAATGTTCCTGGGAATTTTAGAAATTCCTGCATGTTTTCAATTCTGAATAGTGCCGCAATAAACATATGTGTGCATGTGTCTTTATAGCAGCATGATTTATAATCCTTTGGGTATATACCCAGTAATGGGATGGCTGGGTCAAATAGTATTTCTAGTTCTAGATCCTTGAGGAATCGCCACACTGTCTTCCACAATGGTTGAACTAGTTTACAGTCCCACCAACAGTGTAAAAGTGTTCCTATTTCTCCACATCCTCTCCAGCACCTGTTGTTCCCTGACTTTTTAATGATCGCCATTCTAACTGGTGTGAGATGGTATCTCATTGTGGTTTTGATTTGCATTTCTCTGATGGCCAGTGATGATGAGCATTTTTTCATGTGTCTTTTGGCTACATAAATGTCTTCTTTTGAGAAGTGTCTGTTCATATCCTTTGCCCACTTGTTGATAGGGCTGTTTGTTTTTTTCTTGTAAATTTGTTTGAGTTCTTTGTAGATTCTGGATATTAGCCCTTTGTCAGATGAGTAGATTGCAAAAATTTTCTCCCATTCTGTAGGTTGCCTGTTCACTCTGATGGTAGTTTCTTTTGCAACCCAAATGTCCAACAATGATAGACTGGATTAAGAAAATGTGGCACATATGCACCATGGAATACTATGCAGCCATAAAGAATGATGAGTTCGTGTCCTTTGTAGGGACATGGATGAAGCTGGAAACCATCATTCTCAGCAAACTATTGCAAGGACAAAAAAACCAAACACCGCATGTTCTCACTCATAGGTGGGAATTGAACAATGAGAACACATGGACACAGGAAGGGGAACATCACACACTGGAGCCTGTTGTGGGGTGGGGGGAGCGGGTAGAGATAGCATTAGGAGATATACCTAATGTAAATGATGAGTTAATGGGTGCAGCATACCAACATGGCACATGTATACATATGTAACAAACCTGCACATTGTGCACATGTACCCTAAAACTTAAAGTATAATAAAAAAGTTTTAAAAAAAGAAATTTATAAATGTGACTAAATCCAGCTAATGGATTGAAAAAAAGAATAAGGTTTCAAAAAAAAAAAAAAGAAAGATATTCCTGCATGTTTTCTAGTAACTAGGGTGGTGTCATATAATATTCTACTAAAAACTCATGTGAACAGTCATTTAACTCAGGACCACTATGGTTAATTATAAAGTAAAATATTGACTAGCATAATGCATTTTAGATTAAAACTTTATAACAAATTTTTATTATCAAATACTACTTGTTGAGTATTTATAATGGGTCAGATAATGGAATAAACATTTTAAATGTAAAAGATTGTTAATACAAAGATGTAAATGGAAGAGCTTGTGGGTGAGAATAAAAATGGTACAGTCCTCTCAGAAGGGCCATTTGTTGGTGTTATCAGCATCCTAAATGCATGTGTCCTGTAATGGCTCACCTCTTCCTTGTTGCTTTACTAGAACTACATTCTATCTATGCTGTAGAAATATTACCATATACACATAAGGCTGTATATGGTAATTGTAAGATTGTTTGTAATAAATAAAAATCAAAAGCAACCTAAATGTCAATTAATAGGAAAACTGTTATGTATGTTTTGGAAATGCCATACATTTCCAAAATATCATATGGATATGATATGGAATATCATAGAACGATTTTGAAATGTGAGACAGATCTCTAAGGACTGATGCGGAAAAATGTTCATGGCCAACTTTTTAAGTTTAAAAAACACACCCTTATTTTTGAAGTGTATGTAGAGCATATTCCTATGTTTTTGTTAAAGAAACCCTCATATATATATATATATATATATATATATATATATATATATATATATAAAATTAAATCTGTAAGTGCATGTAAGTCATGTATTATGAACTGAGTGAATATTTGTGTCTCTCCAAAATTTATATGTTGAAGACCTAACCCCCTTTGGGAGATAATTAGGGTTAGATGAGATCATGAGGATGGAGTCCCTTGATGGGATTAGGGCCCCTATAAGAAAAGGATGAGACTAGAGCTCTCTCTTTCTATCATATGAGGGAAGCAAGAAGGCAGCCTTCTGCAAGCCAGGAAGAGAGCCTTTATCAGAATTCAACCATGCTGGCACCCTGCCTTCAGAACTGTGAGAAATAAATGAGTGTTGTTTAAGCTACCCAGTCTATAGTTTTTTTTAATAGCAACCTGAGCTGATGAAGACAATATAGGATTCCGGATAGACTCTATTGCATGACTATCTGTAAGATGAGGTGGGAAGAGGGAGAAATTCTCCCTTTTCCAGCATACACTTCTTTATTGTTTGAATATTTGTCAAGTACACATTACTTTTATAGTTGAAGATTGGGAGGAGGGAAGGAGGGGAGGAAAGAAGGAAGGAAGAAAGGAAGAAAGAAAAAAGGAAAACTACCACTCTGAAGGC
The DNA here is from genome assembly GCF_000001405.40 of Homo sapiens. Lineage (NCBI taxonomy): Eukaryota > Metazoa > Chordata > Mammalia > Primates > Hominidae > Homo > Homo sapiens. The sequence continues at coordinate 144,232,999 of NC_000003.12, forward strand.
CCAAAGTCCACATTGCTTTTTCATGAATTATTCTGTTTACCATTTGCAGAATATTAAGTTACCAATTCTAAAGCCACTTCCTCCTTGGATGACCTTAAGGGGAAAAAAGAAAAAAGATACCCTCACATCCTCAGCTCCTCCTATAAAATAAATGGGCTTTACAGAAGAGACTATTATGTTTTGTGAAGTATTTTCAAATATATCGTTGAAGGAAACTTAAACAGAATATTAAGTTGGAATTGGATTGCATTCCCCTTTGAAGGATTAGGTTCTAAAGTCATGCCTTTCCTGTCTACTATGTCCTTTTTTGTTTTCTTCTACATTAGAACCTAGTTGGAGTCCTCTAACGTGCTTATTTTTCTATTAAGCAGAGCCATCAGAGTTCACCTGTTCCCTATTGTCTCAAAGTGTTTGCCCTTCATTTTTCCTTTAGACTATATATAGACTGTTTAATTTTGGTTTGGATCTTTAGAGAAATTCCAAGAGACACTCTTGGTTCTAAAACATATAGAGAGGCTGGGTCTTCAGAAGTTTTCTCGTGGTTTTGGTGAAGGCTATAAATGAATGATTTATTTATAGATAAATAAATCCATCCAAGATGGTTTGCAGATTGATCACATGAAAAGTTGAAAGAAAGAAAAACAAATCACAATATCAGACCTTAACTAACTCAAGTCCACAAATTGCAATTTTGAGGGGATCGTGTATAAAAATCTCTTTTAAGCAAAATTGCTCAAGTAATTCTTGTGTATCTTACTGAAGACTAATAGTTGGAAATAAATTATCTGGTATTGATCACAAAAGCCCATGAATGAGACCACAAAGGCAAATATTTCTGACTTTCTGGTGAAGCTCATATTGGCATGCAAGCTTTGTCCATAAAATGTGTCCCTTGCTTATGATAGGATGTAGGGGTTATGAGTAAGACAAATGCCAGATGTGGGGAAGGATGTTCAAGTGTTGCAATGGGAGAGAAAGTTTTGGCTTAAGAAAATCTATAGAGTACCCTTCTCTCAAACAGAGGTACCAATATTATCTGTTCTCATACTTTGGTGAGCATCATAAGACTAATCACATTTTATAAATTCTGTGAGTCAGATGTGCCCCTTTCTTTGGGCTCTCAGAGATCTCAGGCTGTTGCAGGGATTTCTGTTAGTGGTTTTGAACAGCTCTTAAACAAAAATCAGGTTCCCTGATTCTAAGTAATTTTTATCTGTAATGGATTATTAGAGCTACAAAGAAATGCTCAACAAAACCTCCTATCCTTAGGGATTTACAAATAGTGGAAGTGGTATAAGATGGTGAATGTCAGAAAAAGAAATTGTGGTTTATTTATTACAGTAAACCTCAAATTCATTTTCAGTTATCAAAAAACTACAGAGGAAGAGTCTATGTCATATAAACAGATATTTATTTTTCTATTTTAAAAAGTTGTTTTAGGGAAAATTCCAAACATACTCAAAAGTTGAGAGAATAATGCCATGAAGTTGAGTACCTGTTACCCAACTTCATTAATTAACAACACTCTGTCATTTGTTTCCATTTTTGCCCAATTTTTTTTTTTGGAGTATTTTAAGGAAACCCCAACATAATATTGCCTTACCCATAAATATTTCACTGTAAAAAAGACATTGAAAACAAAGATTAACCAAAAAATATGACTGTATATACATAACAAAGTTTCATCTACTGACTTATTATTTGAAACCTCAAATTGTTTTATATTTTATATGTTGCCTCTACTTTAAAGTGAACAACATAAGATTATCATAAGAACCATTAATAAAATAAGCTCTAAGATAATTTGTAAACTAATAGATGTTAAAGCCTCTTAAAAAGCAAAATTATACTCTATAAATGTTTACTTTTTAAACAGTTGTTTGTTTTTAAAAAAATAATACAGTCATGACACAACATACACATTTTTAAATTACTGCTGTTCATTAGCCAAGAAATAGTCAAGAACATTCAAAATAATTTTAAATATTTGCTTATACTATCCATAATCAAGAAAAATATAGAGTTATCCATAAGATAATTACATTCATTTATTTTTTGTAATTCTCTTACCCAGTAAAGTCCTCAAAAATATGAAAGGTGCTTATTGGGTTTCATCCACTGAATTGTAGTTCTAATTAATAATGCATTAACAATCAGTTCAGTACTGAAAACTCTGTTTCAAAGTAGATGCTGACTATTGTGTTTCTCATTCATCTACTCATTTAGTTTAGAGAAGACTGACAGACTCAGCAACCCACTTGCAAATATTGGTACTTTCTTGTTTTTTCCCATACTTAAATGCAGTTCTCAAATGCTGACTTGTTCCAAGTCTTCTAGCCTGCAGTGATGACTTTGACCATTTGGATTTAAATAAAGCTGCTTCAACTCCCATAATGAGACTAGGAAACCCTGTGAGAAATTCCTTTTCCATCTCAATATTTCAGGGGATCTTTGTGGGATTAAAATTCATTATTATGTCCTCTTGTTCTACTTCTCTGTGTCTACTGAGCTCCCAACTTTTGAGCATTCTGTTATTTTGCTGCCTACCATTATCCCATACTGGATACTGTCCAGATCGTTTCACCTTCCAAAGGACCATTCTCACAAGACTGCATGATCAGGCAACTTTTACTGGTGTTTTGGGAGTAATTCAAGAATAATTATTTTATAACTGCCATGATTGCCTTTGGCACATCCCTGTCCCCTGCACACCTACAGATGGCCAGCTCCACCCACAGATGGCCGTGGCATTCAGTTACTTTGCTGGGCATTTCCCTCTCCCTCTCTTGCCTAGATCCTTTATTGTGTCCCTGCCCTTGAAACTTAAATTTCTTACCTTCTCTGCTGAATCATTCAGTTCTCTTTGACTAACTTATCTGATTGAGAGACTGTGCCTGAGTGCTTCACCTTTCGTATTTGGAAAACAGTTTTTCTAAACCCACAGCATATCATAGGGAGAAAAACATGTCATTCTCCCAGGAGATGGGGACTCTAGTCAGGTGCAGCTCAGGTGCACCTTTACATGGCAGTTTTTGCCTTCTTGGCTACAGATATTCTCATCTTTATTTTTCTCTCTTCTCTCTCCCTTCTTTATTCATCTCTCTCTTTATCAAACCACTCATCCATATACACAGTATAACTATATGTTTGAGTAAGGGCAAACTCACATACACATAACCCTTCCTTGACTGTTCCTGAGCTCGCTTCTCCAGAAAGCACATAGGAAAATATGGTGTGGGCAAGTTAGGCTTCCTTGTAAATGTGGGAAAATTCTTGTATGGGTTGCTTCCCACATATGCCCCTCTGGATGATAAAGTAGATGGATTCTATGAAAATTGTTTCATTGCTGGGAAGCCAGTAAATTTTCAGAAGCCTTCACAGGATGATAGAGTCTGGAGACAGAGCAACAGAGAGAACCCAAAACAGACATCCCTTTACAACATGACCACTTTACTTTTGCTTTGTTTACATATTCTAAGACTGTAAGCTTATGTTTTTGTTAGCGAGCCAACTTAATTTTTTAATAGTCTTATCAAAATTTGATTCTACAGCATCCACTCATTGGCTTTGGGTCTATTCTCTGGAGTCTTACAAAATAAGTTTATTCATTCTTTCAAAGAACAGCCTTTCAAATATTTGAAAACAATTCTAATTTCCCCATAAAGTCATCTCTTCTCAGGCTAAATATCTTTTGTTTCTTCAACAATTCCTTCTATTTTGTATCTTCCAGACCCCTTACCTTCCCTATTGTATTACTTTGGAGTCATTCCATTTTGTCACTATACACTCTCAAAATGCCTTATCTAGCAGAATAACTTGTACAAAACAGATGGATAAATGCCGAGAGAATTTAATTTAACCAAACATCATACTATATCCAGTGCTGGGTCCATCTTTCATCTGGACATTACACTTTTATTAATACAACATAAGATTGCATTAGCTTTATTATAAATCACATTGACTTATAATGTAATATCTCCTGACATTTTTCTTATAATCTTACATTCCTTCGTTTGCATTTGGTTATCTGATTTCCTGAATCTAAATGCAAAAATTTAAGTTTATGCTTATATATTTCATTTTGTTGGCTTTATCCCATCTTTTCACCCTTTCAAAACCTCAGAATTTCAATCTCATTATCAAAAATATCAGCTTTTCCAACATTAATTGAGTCATATATAAATGCATTGGGTTTAGGTTTACCTTTTGTCTCTATCCAAGGGTTTGATTGTTAAGGTAAAAGTTCATTGCAGTTATGGACTTGTTACTCTTTCTTTGCTTCTGGCTCTGGCTGGCATTTTAGGACCACATGCCTTTTGGGAAGATTGCAGGATATGTATCAGATCTGATCATACACAAGCATCGTCAGCCACCATGTGGCATCCGTGGAGTTGTCCTCCCAGCTTCCCACCTCTGTGTGTCTTTTAAGCATCCACATACACAGATTCTCACTTCTTCTGTCACTCAGTACCCCGAAGAGCACGGCCACTGCCATCTGTTTCCAGGCACCAGGCCTGGATGTTGCTGTGGTTGAAGCCTATAATTTTCCCATGCTGTGGTCTCTCCCAGGCTCTCCTGCTACTGCTATTTCCCTGAATCACCCAGGGTGCCAAAGCTCTGAGTGTTCAGCAGCAAAGTAGAGGGAGAATATCGGCTTCTAATTTGAGTGTTTTGTGTACCCTCTCATTTGACAATATTTTTGTAAAAATTGCTTGTATTAGTTTTTGTTTTTCATTGTGATAATGCTGTCCCACAGACAATACCAACATATGTGTGTTTTACAAAAATCAGCATTTAATTTTGACGATGGATTTATGGATTGGCTATGGCTCTGCTGGACTCGGGTGGATGGACTGAGCTTGTAGGCTGCAGGTTGCATTCAGATTAATCCATAAATCATCTACTTCGGCTTCAACAGTTACTTGGGGTAAGTGCTTCTGACAAATGGCAGTTCAAGAGTACTGAGTGGAAACAGATAATACCCCTTAAGACTTCAGAATGCACTGCAACTTATGCTCACATACTATTAGCTCAAGCAAGTCACATGGCCAAGAAGTGTATACTCTAGTCATAGTCAGCCATGGCAAGGACAGGGAAAAATACATTTTGGAGACAAATCTTTCATTTTTATGTCTTTCCTTCACTTTCTTTTTATATGCTACATGAGTCTAGAGAAGGCAGGAGAAAATCCCTTTGATAAACACCATATTAGAATTACCTCTTTACTGTGAGATACAGAGCTTTGCATTGGCTCTATTTTTCCTCTACCTTTACGATTTTTTTTTTTTTTGAGATGGAGTCTTGCTTTATAGCCCAGGCTGGAATGAGTGGCACGATTTCAGCTCACTGCAATTTCCATCTCCCGGGTTCAAGTGATTCTAGTGCCCCAGCCTCCCGAGTAGCTGGGATTACAGGTGTGACCACCATGCCTGCCATATATATATATATGTGTGTGTGTGTGTATATATATATATATGTATATATATATGTGTGTATATATATATATGTATATATATATGTGTGTATATATATATATGTATATATATATGTGTATATATGTATATATATGTGTATATATATGTATATATGTATATATATATGTATATATGTATATATATGTATATATATATACGTGTATATATACATATATATATATATATATATATTTTTTTTTTTTAATAGAGATGAGGTTTCACCATGTTGGCCAGGCTGGTCTCAAGCTGCTGGTCGCAAGTGATCTGCCTGCCTCAGCCTCCCAAAGTACTCGGATTACAAGCATGAGCCACTGTGCCTGGCCTTTTTCCTCTTCCTTTAAAATGTTTTCTCTTCCTGAGAGCATCCTAGCAGAGACCACAGCAGGGCCACCTCACCAGTTTACCAGGGATGCCCAAACCAGTTTGAAACTAGCATTAGGCATATTTATGCTCAAGTTGAGGAGGTTTTGTGTCCCTTTGATACATTCCGAATCAATCTATTTATGGGAAGAGGTGAGACTCTATACAGTACAACTGTAAAGCAACTTCATTTTCTCTCTATCTGCCTCTTTTAACCTGCTCAGGGCAATAGTTCTTTTCCACTCTTTCCTCTAGGTTGCCAGCAGGTAGGGAGGAGAGGTAAGGGCTGAGAAAGTTTGTTTTTGGCTGGTACTAAGGAAATCTGGTATTTGTTTCTCTTGACCTTGGCAGGTATTTAAAGCTGAAATTTTGTCTTGCAGGAGCACCTGTGGGCATCTTTCCTCAACGCCCGGACTACAAATCTCTAACACGGTGAGAACCTCTCCTGCGAATGGTTGTTTACTTATGCCCTGTGTTCCTTCTGCCAAAATAGCCCTACTTCTGGCTTGGTGCCCAAGGAGCCAGCCCTTTAGTGGGTTCCACATTTGGATTTGGACACAAACACACACACACACACACACACACACACACACACGCACCGCTTTGATCTGCTGTCAGTGTTTTGTTGGAAATCAGAAAATAATACCCCCAGATGAGGGCCTTAGAAACAGCCTCAGAAGCAAAATATTTTCTCTGATCTCCTTCTGTTCATCTGCCTCTCAGTCCCATTCTCCCATGAAACGAGCTGTAGAAGCTAGAACCTGTCTTCCTCAAGGCTAGTCATAGAAACTAGAACTCCTTTTCCCCCAAATCAGTCATAAAACCTAAAAATATCACCCTAACTTCCCTTCTACGTTTCTGTGTAAAAACTGGCCATAAAGAAAATTATCTGACTTACCTTATTTGATTTTAGATCATAAGACCCTCATTCCAGAGAAAATGCTGCCCCATTCCCAGAAGGCCAAGAAGAATCTAGCCAGACAGGCCATCCTGGGTTTCCCCACTCAATCTGTTAGATCTTACTCTTTTTATCCAATCATATTTCTACATGGCTGTCCATACTTTGTTGTACCTAAGTATAAAAATGGACAATTTCCCCTGCAACTTTGGGACTTCATTTTGAAGGCTGCTGTACACACATTAATTATAATTTTTATGCCTTTTTTTTCCAATTAATCTGCCTTCATGAGTTGATTTTTCAGCAAACCTTTTGAGGGAAAAGGAGAAGCTTTCCCTTCACCCCTACAGTTCCCAGTTACTGCCTCTTTATTATTGTCACAGAGGGTTTTAGCTAGTACCATTTCAAAACTGAGACACCATTTTACTGTAAAACCTAAATTCCGAAGGGCTACTTTGAATAGTCCCCAGGAAGTGCCTCTTCTCATGTGACTGAGGCCAGAGAAAAAGATTCTACTCTCTTCCCCTCTTGTTCCCTCCACAAGGTGGGCAATGGTATAGGTAGAATGGAAAGGATATGTGAGGGAAACTGCTGCAGCATATTGATGATTTTCTCCACTGAGACTCTTCTGTATTCTTGTAATCCCTCAAAGTGTGTTTGGCTGGCAATTGCAGAGCATGTTTTTGGGCTCTCCTTTTTCAAGCCTTTCATAAATGGTCTAGTGCCCTTATATTTTTGGAATGTGGAGATACCTGCAATGTACTGTTGGCATCTCTTATTGTTAAATCTAGAATTTTAGGCTCTTTGAAGTGAGAGATCTGAATGTCTCACTCATTTCAAAAATGAGAAAGTCAAGTCTGAGAGAAGCAAAACAAATTTTCCAAGATCATGTACAGCTTTTTGCTATAAAAACCCTAAAGCTATGTACAATATGTGCTAATAACCTATATTTTCTCAAATTTACCAACTTTAAAATGGCATAATTAAAAATAGAAGGTCAAGGGTTACTGTAAAGGTTAAAAAAGTTAATGTGTGAAAAACTTTTAGCAGAACTTGGCACAGAGAGAACACTCTTCTACCTCTCCTTCTTTCTCCAAAGGTCTGTGTGGCCAATATTGAGAATACAAGCAAACAGAACTAAAAGTACCATCCATCACCAATCAATTTGGCAAAAATTATCTTTAAAGTTATAAGTCCTCATATTTTCAAAGAATGAGTTGTAGAAACCTTCCTTCCCTGCTGGTGGACGTCCAAATGGCAGCCTGATTTCTGCTCTGTCTATAACATCAAACAATTTAAGAAAAAGTTATATGTTCTAAAATAAGGGAAGGTTTTAAGGTAAAATTGACCATCCGTACAATGAAACATTATATGACCACTAAAAATGCATGGACAAATATAAAAAAATCATTAAATGAACAAAAGCAATTTTCAAAACTGTGGTATAGTATGGCATTAATTTTGAAAACAAAAAAAAAGAGATTTTGTATATTTTATTGCTGGAAGGATAAACCTAAGGTTATGAACTCCAGAGGTCATCTTCAGGTAGCAGGCTATTAGTGACTTTTATTTTTATTCTTATCTGTGCTTCTCAAACTTTGTACAATAAACATTTTTTTCTTAAAATGAAAAAAAGTATTGAGTGGAAGGTGATTGTGAAGTTGAAGAATAGTGCTAAACTTTAGCATGGCTCTTTCATCAGAATTATGCTCTGTTGGCCAGAGGAAGGCCTAACTCCACGGATGTGTGGAAGGCTATGCTCACTGTGTGATACTCTGCCCGGGAGCAATGGTGAAAATGTTGAGAATAAGAGATTCTTTTCAGCAGGAGCAGCTGTTCCGTCTGAGCATGAGCCTCCAGGGCTTCATAACATGCTCTGGAAACTGTTGTGTAAAGACAATAAATCTGACAAGAGAAATAAAGGAATGCTTTAAGTCAGTGAAACAGTTGGCAATGGTTGCTTATCTGGAGAGGTTGATGAGAAATAATAGACTCTCCACTCATTTTATTTTTCTTTAAAGATAGTAGGATAGAAAATGAGTTATGATGTTACAGGAAAATTGATGGGCGAGTGGACCAAGTCCATGCACTGTTTCCTTGATCTATAAGGGTAGAGAATGTCTCTCTCATGGGGGAGAACTTTCCCCTTGTTTTATTAGAAAAGCATGCAAACTATATAACCAGCAAATGTTCAAATATTCACATAATGGCTGTCAGATGAGTTCAGTGAGCTATCTAACAATTTAGCAAGTTTGGTACTTCACTTTACTGAAGGCAGGGATAAAATTTCTATATTATATTGAATTTAAACATTGCTCACACTAAGAAAATAATGAAGGATCAATGACAATTGAATTTCAAGGTATTTCTTTCAAACAAACAGTAGTTGAAAAGTTGAATTTGTAATTAAAATAAATATTCAAAACTCAGTACAAAAATTAAAGCTATTTACATACAGAAATAATTTATTTTTATTTGGCCTTTACATATGTGTGTGGGGGGATGTTCTTTTGGGGAGAAAAGGGAAGATGGTTATCTGCTGTTTCATATAATCCTATGGAAATAAAAAATGACACACTATATTTAAGCTCTGGTTATAATAAAATATAACTCTAGATATCACTTAGATGAATATGCTCTTCCAAATATGAAAACACTTGGCTCAAAAACTAGATTGTCAGATGGCTTCAATTGAGAGAAATCATGTCAGACATGTAATGTTTTATTAGGGTGTTTGGGGTAACCCCTGTGGTTATGACCTATGAATTGAGGTGATCACAGGTCTTGCAGACATGAAAGATTGGTATATTGGATCATTATGAGAGAGGTTTAGACTTCAGCTCTCTTGCAATATATTCTTATTTATAATGACTTAAATTGAGTAATTGTATCTACAGTATACAGATCTCTCATTTGTTAAAAGATTCATCACACAAAGGTTCCTGTTGAGTTCTGTTGCAAGAACCAATGTTTTACCAGTGCAGAGACAAGTGTATGCTCAATATTTTCTGTCTTGACCATGGCAATTAACTGCTGGTCTGTTGTCAAGTATAGGTCATAGCAGTGTCAGTATAAAGCAAGATTGTAACATGAATTCTACCCTGGAAAAAGCAATCCAAACAGGAAAAGGACATAGCAATGAGAAAGGCAGTGGAGAAATCCACATCTTTGCCAAGGGCAGTGTTTTTCTCAACCAGAGAAAAGATCCAGAACAATTGTCAAAGGAACACTATGGTTGGGAAGGAGAAAAGCAATAGAACAACTTGGCAGGCAATGATCACAATTGATTTGATGATATTTAAGTGGACACGTAACTATTAAAATGACACCTCATTCAGAAACTTATCGAGATTCAGGCTTAAAGGCCAGGAAACTGCAAAGCTGTGATAAAGCTTTCACTACCAATAATTGCCCTGCTTTCAGCTAAAAGGCTGAAAGTGCATCAACATTTCAGTTATTGGGTTTAATTTGTTAATATGCTTTCCAGACAAAAAGGCTTTTAAAGAATTCAGAACAATCTACAAGTTTTCTTCTTATAATACCTTGCTTTAACCAATTTCAGATATAGAAAATTGAAATAATGTCCCCCATTAAATTCTCATTAATATTATCCTGACTTAGGGCATTCTATTGTTTTGGACACTTGGCACAGGAAATAAATGTGTTGACCACTGACCTATTACAATGAGGGTCAGATATACTTAAAGTTGACAATACTTTAGTTCCTATAGATTTATGTTCACATTTAGGGTGATGAAATATTAATTAGACCCCCTTATCTCATGAAATGCTAGAGGAAAAATAGTAATTTTAAATGGTATTCATAGCTTCAACCGCGATGTAACTTATCAAAGACATCAATAATATATCAAAGAATTGAATATTAAAATAGTATTTTGTCCCTACAGAAAAGAAAACCTGTATTAAAAGCTTTGTAAATGTTTTAATTCTGCAAAAAAAAAATTCTTTGAGCCCTCAAGGAGAAAGAAGTTACAAAAAGACAAAGTATTTTTGATAACCATAGCCCATTTAAGGTCTATTAATGTACACCTGGTTAGTAATAAAATGTAAAAGTATTAATTTTGGTGAACTGCATGAGTTTTTGATATATCCTTAAGACTTTTTCCTTTGGTTATAAAAAGTGTGTTTGATAGTGGAAGAAAATTTTCTGCCACAATATATTCCTATCACTGAGACATAAATGGATGTTTTCAAGGTTTGAATTGAAAAATATGTTAATTCTCCAAGCTTTCAGATTTCAGGGAAGATTGTTATTGCCCAGAGAAGAACAAAGAAACTATTAGATTTTTTACACTCTTAAAAACTCAAAACTGTTCCATCATTCAGATAAAGTCAGGGACTTCATATTCTCTGATGGAATGTTTTCACAGATAGATTATTCGTTTTTTTTAAAAAGCCTTACCAGGTGCTATGTTTTATAGTATTGTATGTGTTTTGACATGTGGTTAAGCTAATAAAGGGAGTTAAGGTGAGATGTAAATTTTCTCATTAATTTTTAAAATATAATTTCAGCACATTATTTCTTTAAATTTGAACACTCCCAAGTGATTTACAATGTCCTGGCATATTAAGATTATTATGCTTTCAAAACATAATACATAGGCTGTGTAATAACATCAGATATGAAGGGCTTATTGACATTGATGTATCTGTGTTTCATAGTAAACAGTGGGTAAAATAATACCTGGAGGCTTGTAAATCTGTGTTTTTGTTCTCATGAGAAGCAGATTGTGAGGTGGAGAATTGTGTGCAGGAAGTTTAACAGGGAGTGAGTTCAAAAACAATACTTGTGGAAGAAGAAGGAAGCAGGATTGTCAGCATGAGAAAATGGGCTTCAAGGTAGATACATCAAAGCTCTCAGATGATTCCACAACTCTGCAGGAGGAAAGGAATGGATCTACCAGGGTTATCCTGAATTGGGACAATGGGACTGGTCCCTCGTATCCAGACATCAGCCAGGTAGAGGATGTAGGCCCAGAAGCGGAGGTGCAATTGTTCATGAAGTGGCTCTTTTCAGCCCAGGGCAAGCTCCAGAAGAAATCTAGGTTGGGAGCAATCTTTCTTGCAGGTTCTGGGGTAATTAGTGCTTCAGTCGTGAAGGGGGTGCTGGGGGCAGTGTGCTGCAAGGATAGTCTAACTCTTGTGTTATTTGGTGTGACTTACTTGGCAACAGAATGGGAACAGCTCCTTCAAGACAATGGGGTAAGCCTCTTTCACTCAGGGGAAGCTTACAAGAAGAAGGTTAGAAAATTAAGCTTCAGGCCCATTGCCATCCTTTTCTACTATCAGCTAACACTTCTGCTCTTCTAGGTGGCTTACTGGGTGGGGTAGTCTAGACCCTTATCTTTGAGTCCTTAGTTATGCTGCTTTTAGGCATGGTTGTTGCACTTGTTTATTTACTGTCAAAATTTCAGAAGAGAGTACAGAGACTATCCAGTGAATCTGTGTGGCCGAATATGTTTTTCTGACCCTATTATAGCAGCTTTAACCCCTTTGGATCATTTGAATTAATTACTCTTGCCAGTAAGGAGCTCTTTTCATTGCCTGCTGGTCTCTTGGCACATGATACTTGAAGTGACTGAGCAAAAGCTGTAGTTAAAACTTGAATGTCCTTTTACCGTGTTCCTGGTGAAAATGTTACTCCACTGGGAACCAGAAATTTTTTTCCCAATATATACCTTAGCTATGCTTTCATTAGGCTCTTCCATTGCTCTATCAGACTGACAGCTTCTAGGTGGTACCAGTAGGTCCCCTGATTTTACGTCTATTGCTACACCTCCTTTGCTACAGAACTGGTTCCTCTGATCTGAGGTGATATGTGTGAGTCCAGGGTCAATGAACCAAATATTTTAAGCTTTAGATAGTGATGCCAAATGAAGCCTTGAGGACAGAAGAGGCAAACCCATACCCAAAATATGTATTGATTCCAGTCAAGCTGGATGATTCATTGCCTTTTACAGAGTAGAATGTGGTCCGTGTAGTACAGTTGTTACTAAATGGCCGATTGGGATAAAGGGATGATGTCTTTTTGTGGACCCAGTTTGGGTCTCTGTTGCCAACATGTTGGACATTCAGGAGGGAAAATAGCTAGACAAGCCTTGGTGAGCTGGGCTCCATGCTGTTGGGCCTATCCATAACTTCCTTTCTTGCCACTCTGACTTACTGAACATATTTTTTTGAGCTATGTCTGTACACTTATCATCCCAGAGGCAGGCACTTTTCAGTTGACCAAACCATTCCGTCTGTTTTGTTATTTATTGCCTCTTCCAAGGAGGTTAATTTTGATGAGCACTAGCATGTAATACAAAAATATAAGGATCTTCACATAGGCTCATTCACATTCCTTTTTCCTAGAATTACTTGTCTTTGATACTTCAGTATTTCTCTTTTTCAGACTTCTGACCAACCAACTGAGCTGTTTGCCTCTTTCAGTGAATTTGTAAATATTCTGACCTTGGCACATTCATTTTTCAATAAAAGTAGATAATCACTAAATGCACTGTCCTAATTCTGTACTTTAGGAAGATTTACGCCACTGCTGTCTGGCTAGCCTGATGAGGACTGATGTGTAGTTACAGTTTATGAAAATACTCTACATGTCTACATGATGGTTCACCTATTGGGAATTGCTACAATCTCTAAATTGGTTCTTTTCCCATTACAGATATTTTTAGTATCATAGGGCACTCCAGATTGTGTGGTCCAATTGATAAAGCCACTGGTAGCATCACCTACAAGTCTTTTCCTGCTCCGAGCCCCATTAAAGGCTGGCAGCCTTCATTTCAACTGGTAAATGGATCAGAGGTGCTTCCAGGTGTAGATTATGTTGCCTCCAGAATGTGAAGATTTCTATCAGATGTTGTGGGGTTTTTTTTTGGTGGGAGTTGAAAGATGTTATAATTTATTCTTACTTTGTAAGAAACATCACAGAATATCCCAGAGCACAGGAAACAAAAACTTTATTAATGAGGCAGAGTTCTGCAACTTTGTACAGTCCATCTCCAATCTTCTGGACGATGTGTGTCTTACTAAGGCCACCAATTCAGTTGCTATTTCCTGCTCATTAGTCTAAGTAGCATGATGTCATCTATAGAGTAGACTAATAAGTTCTTTACAGTATTACAATGGTTCAGGTGTCTTTGGACTATATTATGTCAGATGAGAAAAGGATTAACATATTCCTGAAGCAAGCATATAAATATATACTGTTGTCACTATCACATGAATGTTTCTAATCTTCCATTCTTATAGCAATGAAAAAGAATATATTTATCAAATCAATGGTTGAGTATTATGTACCCAAGCATGCACTGATCCTCTCTAGAAAAGATTACATATTTGTCACAGCACCCTCCAGTTATTCTACAACTAGGTTGAGTTTTTGGTAGGGTGGGGTAGTGTCATTCAGGATCTATGTGGGCCAGATAATAGCCCAGAGAGTTATGAGAGGGATGAGCACACTGAATTTTTTAGGTCATTAAGTGTGGCACTAATCTTTCTCCCTAGAATGTGATAGTCTTCTTGATTTATAGTAGGAAGTTTCAGAGATTTCCACCTCGTATTTTTCATTATAAGAGTTTATCTCAATATCCAGAAACCAATATCGGGGTTCTGACAATTACTAAGTATGTATATTCCAATCATACTCTGTTGATCATTGAAGTCACCACTGGGTATGTTCATGAACACTATGGACCCAAAGGGAACTTACCTAGGGGCAGTGTCTCATTTGCTAAGTAGTCCCCATAAGTCTTATTATAACAGAGATTAGAAAAGTACCTAGTTGAGATTTAATCCTCACAAAAAAATTATTGAAAGAATGAATGGACTTCTTTTTATCTGCTTCATATTTCCATAATCGTCTGTATTATATGTTTATCATTTTGCTTCTCTGTTTGTCTATATGCACTGCTTGAGTGTAAGCTCCATGAAGATATAAAATTTATGTTATCATTATTGTATTCCAGCTTTTAAGAATAGTACCAATCACATGTTGGGCACTTAATATCTGGTAAATAAATAAATGAGTTGAACATATGGAATTCCATTATACACATAATTTTTGAATCCTAATTGTGATATTTTATTATAAGGCATCATAAAGTTTTAAAATAGCTGCATAATATTCAATTGTAAACATGTATAACAATTAAGGACTCTGTTTCCTTATTTCTATAGTTTTCTTTTGTTGATAGAGAAACTACTGTACTGAGAAATTTGCTGAGAATCTGAAACTACCAAAGGAATTAATGGCAGCCAGAAAAAAAATCATATTTTATTGGGACTAATGAACCATTTACTTAGAATTATAGGCTCAGAGAAAGGTAAAACTGGAAAGGAACATAACAGTTAGTACTTTCCCCTTCTCATTTTATATATGAAACCAATATGCATGATTGACTTTCCCAAGGAGAATCAATGAAGACTGCCTGAAAAGCTACATACATATTTCATAGATAAACTCAAAACCATGTGACTTCAAACTCAGCTACAAATTTATCCAATGACTAACAGTAGGATAATTCATGATAAATATTTTAGCCACACTCTATACAATTCAAGCCATTTGACTCCCAGGAATGCTGTCTTAATTAAAATTGTTTTGATTGGAAGCAAAAGAAATTAACTTGAGCTACCTTAAACACAAACAATATGAAAGAAAAGAGTTTATAAATGGAAAGAAACCAGGAATGTTGACTGGCTGTAGCTATTGTTTTGGGCTGCCCAGCAAGAATTCTTCCACTCTCCATTTTCAAGTTATAAGTTTTCTGTCTCACTCTTCCACTCAGGACTATGAGGTGGATACAGAATTCATTCTTGGCCAGTCAGTGACTATTCTCCTAAACACATTTATTGGTTCAGTGTCTATCAAATGATCTTAGCAGGTCAATCAGAATACTCATCTTAAACTGATAACCCAGATGTCAGAAAAGAGGTTCCGTTGTTGCTAAGGTTGCTCAGCTAGAAGGGTTTATATCTGGTACCATCAACAGCCATTTTCCCCATCAGACAGAAGGAGCCAGGCAGCAGAATAAAACCAGGCAGAGATGAAAGCAGAAACAGAGAGGGCATCTTTGCCATTACTAGGTTCTAAATTCTAGTCCTCCTAGGCATTGGTTCCTACTGTCCTTCAATTTCCTTCCTTCTTTCTTTCCTTCCTTCCTTCCTTCCTTCCTTCCTTCCTTCCTTCCTTCCTTCCCCCTCCCTCCCTCCCTTCCTTCCTTTCTCTCTCTCTCATTCTTTCTCTCTCTCTTTCTTTCTTTCTTCTTTCTCTCCTTCTCTCTCTCTTTCTCTCTCTCCTTCCTTCCTTCCTTCCTCTCTCTCTCTTTCTTTCTCTCTTTCTTTCTTTCTTCTCTCTTTCTCTCCTTCTCTCTCTCTCTTTCTCTCTTTCTCTCCTTCCTTCCTTCCTTCCTTCCCTCCTTCTTTCTTTTCTTGTCATTTTTTTTTATACAGAATCTCACACTGCCACTGAGACTTGAGTACATTCCATTAACACGGCTCACTGAAACCTTAACCTCCTGGGCTCAAGCAATCTTTCTGCCTCAGCCTCCCTAGTAGCTGGGACTACAGGTGTGTGCCACCATGCCCAGCTAATTTGTCATTTTTTTGGAGAGATGGGGTTTCACCATGTTGCCCAGTCTTATTCTCTATGTTTCTCTCAAATATATGAACCAACACTTTTTTTGCTTAAGCTAATTTTTGTTGTTTCAATTATTTGCAACCTAAAGAATTCTGACTGTGGTTAAATACAGTAAGGAAGGAAAAAAAGGAATACTAACTATTAAACTGAGGTAAGTTACAGAACCCAAGTGCTACTGCACTCCAGCCTGGTGACAGAGCGAGATTCTGTCAAAAAAAAAAAAAGAAAAAAAAAAAAAGATAACCCAAAAGTAAATAGGTATTTCAAGGATCTGAAATCTGCACATGGACAGCTTCAGAAATTTAAAGAGTATTGTATATTTCTCTCTGTATTCCTTTCAAGTATTTTCTTCAGTCTTTGTATGTTTTCATTCTTCTTTTTCAAGATATTGTTTACTTCCTTTCCCATGCACATGTCAGGTGGAGATGAGTGGTTCACTTCTCTTAAATTTATATCACCTTTGTACAAATTTTGGGGGAAGAGAGAATTAGGCCTAGCTGGGATCAGGGGCTTATCTAATTCCAATCATCTGTGACCAGGGTTGCAGGGTCTCATATTATAAGCGTGACTAGTGAAGTCCTTCCCTCATGGATGGAACTAGTTTCCAGAAGGAGAAATCTACTGTAGGCTGACAGCACCCAAACACTGACTGTAGCTATTTTATTCAGGTGTCCTTAGTCTCTCTTCTGAGTATAGATCTTGAATATTATAGGAAATTATGAATTGAAATTTTTCTTAATATTTTTCAGGTTTACCAACTTGGATACAGAAAGTTGGAGTATAAATATGAATCCTATTTTACTTAAATAGTATTCTAATCACTTTGTGTGCAGCAATGTCTTATGTCATTATGGAAAAAAAATTTGTTGATTCTTCAGTTCTTTTCATAAAGCGATGCTCAAAGTGGATTCTCTCTTGTAAATGAAAGAAAAATACACTAAAGTTTATCTATGTAGTGATTAAGCTAGTATATTTAGCCGGTATGATGGAAAATACTCTTCAAAATTCTTGACACTCAGTTTTTCATCCTGAAAACCATACCATTCTGAATAAACCAGGGAGCCTTTTACCTAAGGTTTCCTTCATGAACAATTCCTATTTTTTCTCTAAGCTACTCACTATTTTCTCTCTAAGCTACTCCAATCTTTGCTATCAGTAATGGGTTTAAGTGAAAACAGAAAGAAACATGTAAGCTGGGCCAGCAGTTTACAGAGTGTCACTATATTCTGTTTTCTGTTTTTCATTTTTCCTTTGGCCTAACATTTACTCTTACCTTATCCTAACTTCCAGTCCTTATCCCTGCAGTAAAAGTAAGATACCAAACATGACTGTGGACAATTTCTTTTTCCAAAAGAGAGTAAAACACCCTGATTTTGTCAAACAAAAGCCCTAAGCATTGAGCTGGCCAGTTATTTAGCTGCTCTAGTACTGGATTCATATGTGTGGAGAATATCAGTGCAGCTCCCTGTGAAGGGATGGGAATGAGTCTCCATGAGAGTAGAAGAGATGACAAATTTCTGTGCTAATTACTTTCCATTCGATTC
The DNA here is from genome assembly GCF_000001405.40 of Homo sapiens. Classification (NCBI taxonomy): domain Eukaryota; kingdom Metazoa; phylum Chordata; class Mammalia; order Primates; family Hominidae; genus Homo; species Homo sapiens. The sequence goes on from NC_000003.12 coordinate 144,250,939, forward strand.
TTACCCTACCTCACATCATTTTAAAAGAAAATCTTATGATGCTAACCCTGGTGTTGGAGCCACAGCTGAAGCTTGACAAGAACAGTGTGGTATTTTCTAACATGGATCAACATGGTTTGCAGAATAAAGAACATTTGTAAAACATACTGGAGTGTGTAGAGCACACCATCACATGGGGGCTAGGGGAGGGAAGTAGAAGTCTGGGGAGTTGGGGAAATGGAATCATCTAGCTGCTTAAGGTAAGGTCACAGGTGACATTTCTTGTACAAAATGTATCTCGTATTAAAGGAAGGAGAGAACAAAAATGTAATAGGGAGAAGAGATGCTGCTGGTAGGAATGGTTGCAGTTGGCCAGTCTGTTCTGTCTAAATTGTGGGACAGAGTAATGAATCCAATTGCAAGAATGAAGAAGTGTTGATTTTTCTTTCTAGGAAAACAGTCTCCCGTTTTTATGGCCATGATATATCACTGAATTTTCAAAGTGGAACTTAGATGACTATGGAAAGAAGAAAATAGGAAGATCAATGTTGGAAACCTACTTTGAGATGTTTCCTGTTCTGGTAGCATTCCACTTTATACATGTCATAGCAAATTATTTTCTCTCAAGATTTTCCTTTCAGTGTGAGATCACTCTCTTTACCCAGACTTTCTAGAATTTGACTGAAGCTGACTGGAATATACCAAATTATAGCCTTCTACGGTTTTTTTTCATTTTGTATTAGATTATTTTGCCTATCATTTCTGCCATTCCTAGGTATATTCCTTTTGTGTCTCATGAAATATTCTTCTAGTCACAAATTTTATTTTTGTTGAAATATTTGAATGTGAATTTTGTGAATTCTTGATAACTTACACTAAGGCTTTACCTATATACTTTTTCATGCTTCTATACTTTATTCAATCTCCCCTTTTAATAAGTCCCCAAATTGGATTATTAGTATTCTTTTCATGCTTTTCTTCACATAACACAGTAACCTTTCCTGGTATAATTTAAGCTAATATAATAACCACAAATATCAATGATATGAATGGATTTTACTCTTACCTGATAAACAGACATTGCTCAAAGGGTTTTATAGTTATTCCTTGGTGATTTCACTTAAGGATAATGGTTTAATTAATGACGCTTCATTATTAGTATTTATTTACATTTCCCATGTATTTTAAAAATTTTTTTCAGCTTGATTCTGAGAATTATGTTACACATCTTATGGTTAGAGAAACTGAGACAAGTTCATAATTAGTAAAGATTCTCGTTTCTCATAAAACTGCTAGTACGATTGCAGAGATATGGCTTTTCCAAGCCTATTCTATTGTGACCGAACTTTCTACTCACCTGAAGAGACCCCAGTGAGTACTCCACAACTTTTGGCATTGCTTTAAATCGATTGCCTTTATGAACAAGGTTGTCCTTACTTCTCATCCCTGTGGCATAATTAAAACAAACTGTGTACATACTTAATATTACTATATTATGTATTATGCATATATCATATATACTTCTGTTTACTATATTAAAACCAACTCAGAATTTTAAAAATGCTTTCATATTATTAACTGATTGAGAATTTAAAATCAAATGCATCTGCAACTAACTTATGTATTTGTGTGGAAAGACATCACCACAAGCAAAGGCTTTCCCATTTGCCATCCACACTCATCTGACCAGTCATTATGGTCTTGTTTTGTCATCTGGAATTTAAAGAGAACTGCTGCACCTGTAACTCTTCTAGGCAACCTAGTTGACAAAAGCCATAAGAGCTAAGGAACTCGGGCAGTTGTAAAGCAAGCAACTTCTTCCAGCCACCTCAGTAGTGCATCCCATTTCTTTTCCCTCACACTGACCTAAAATCAGTGAGCCTCCTGCTAGATCATTCTGGTAGTGCATACATTTCAAGGTCTCTGTTTCCTACAATGCAGAAGCCCTATAAAGCTACAGAGCCATTTCCCCCAGGGAGGCCTAGAGAAGGAGACCCAATCAGGGGGACCTAATATAAATAGCTGGAGTCCTAGGTTTGTTTATTTCCCGACTACCTCTCTGAATTTCTCCTTTAATATCCACTGACCTCAATAAGAACTTGCACAATTGGAATTTTGATAAGATCTCACCACTTCAAATCCTGCTGTAGGGAAAAAAAGAGTCCAGATCAATCGTGCTGGGGCAGTTTGGGGCTATAAATCGTACCAGACATGTCAGTTGTATCATCACCCATTATTCTGTTCCTGCTTTTGCCAGAAAACCTGGTTGTTTTCTAAGTGGCTTGCTTTATCATAAATATTCTGATTTTATGTAGGATTTTTGTTTGTGGCAATATTTTCTTTTCATGTAGGAAATAGTAACATAACAAAGATAACACTGTATTCTATGAGGGATGTTTTAGAAAAGATAACCTGTCTGTGTGTGCACATTCATGCAAATTTTCTTCCCTGGAGGAGCCATTCAAACATAGGATTTTGGATAGATTATTTTGTCATTTCCTTATTCTCTAGGATCATACTAATTATAATTTAAGCTTCTTCATGTTTGTTTACTTTTATATTTTTAATGTGATGTTTCTGGTTTTGAGGGGCATGGCATTGGATCATTAGAAATTATTGCAAAACTTCAGGAAGCAAATAATTTTTTTCTTTCTTTCTACCCTTAGAATATATTTACCTTTAAGTAGATTTAAGAGAGAGTTTTATTTATCTCTAGTAAATCAACTTTATCTTCTTAATCTAAGTCTATATTTTTTATCTATTTGATTCATCAATTTCTTTTAAAAAATTTTTATGTGTACATAGTAGGTGTATATGTTTATGGAGTACATGAGATATTTTGATACAGGCACAATTTTTTTGTGCCCATTAACCATGCCCACCTTCCCCACCCCTACTATCCTTCCCAGCCTCCAGTAACCATTCTTCTACTCTCTATGTCCATGAGTTCAATTGTTTTGAGTTTCAGATCCCACAAATAAGTGAGAACATGCAAAGTTTGTCCTTCTGTGCCTAGCTTGTTTCACCTAACACAATGACCTCTGGTTCCATCCATATTGTTGCAAATGACTGGATTTCATTATTTTTTTATGTCTAAATAGCACTCCGTTGTGTATACATACCACATTTCTTTATCCATTTGTCCATTGATGGACACTTAGGTTGCTTCCAAATCTTGGCTATTGTGAACAGTGCTGCAACAAACATGGGAGTGCAGATATCTCTTTGATATACTGATTTCCTTTATTTTTGGTATATACTTAGCAGTGGGATTGTTGAATTATATGGTAGTTCTATTTTTAGTTTTTCAAGGAACCTCCAAAGTGTTCTCCATAGTGGTTTTGCTAGTGTAGATTTCCACCAAGAGTGTATGAGAATTCGCTTTTCTCCACATCTTCAGCATCATTAGTTATTGTCTGTCTTCAGGATAAAAGTCATTTTAGATGAGTGAGATTTTATCTCATTTTAGTTTTGATTTGCATTTCTCTGGTGATCAGTAACATTGAGCACCTTTTCATATACCTGCTTGCCATTTGTGTGTCTTGTTTTGAGAAATGTCTGTCAGACCTTTTACCCATTTTTTTTTTCATTCAGTTGTTAGATTTTTTTTCCTACTGAGTTGTTTGAGCCTCTTACATATTCAGGTTATGATCCCCTTGTCAGATGCATAGTTTGCAAATATTTTCTCCCATTCTGTGGACTGTCTCTTTACTTCATTGATTGTTACTTTGCTATGCAGAAACTTTTAAGCTTGATATGATTCCCTTTGTCCATTTTTGCTGTGGTTGCCTGTGCTTGTGGGTTATTACACAAAAAAACTTTGCCAAGTCCAGTGTTCTAGGGAGTTTCTCCAATGTTTTCTTGTAGTAGTTTCATAGTTTCAGGTCTTAGATTTAAGTCTTTAATCCATTTTGATTTTACTTTTTGCATATGTTGAGAGATAGGGGTCTAGGTTCATTCTTCTGCATATGCATATCTATTTTTTCTCAGCACCATTTATTGAAAGGACTGCCCTTTCCCCAGTTTATGTTTATTTTATGGAAAATGAGTTCACTGTAGATTTATAGATCTGTTTCTGGGTTCTCTACTCTGTTCCATTTGTCTGTGTGCCTGTTTTTATGCTGGTATTGTTTCATTTTGGTTACCACAGCTCTGTAGTATAATTTGAAGTCAGGTAATTTGATTCCTTCAGTTTTGTTCTTTTTGCTGAGGACAGCTTTGGCTATTCTGGGTCTTTTGTGGTTCCATATAAATTTTCAGATTTTTTTTTTATTTCTAGAAAGAATGTCATTGGTATTTTGATAGAGACTACTTGGAATCTGTAGCTTGCTTTCGTTAGTATGGAAATTTTAACAATATTAAATCTTCCAATCCATGAACATAAAATAGCTTTCAATTTTTTGTATCCTTTAAAATTTCTTTCATCAATGTTTTATAGTTTTTAGCTTTCCATTTATGATTTTGTTCTATTCTGCTCTTTAGTCCATTTGCTAATTTCACTTTTGATAAATATACTTTAAAAATTTAACATTTCTAATTGTTCTCTTTTCTTGAGTACACTATCTTCTCAACTCTCTCTGAAGATATCAATTACCTTTTTCTTTTTTTTAAAGTATTCTGTTGTTATGTATCTTTGCAACTTTTCAGGGAGCAGTGTTCTTGTGTCTGCTGTTTTGTTTGCGCTTGTCTTTCATTGTGTTATTTTTCCTGAGCCACGTGGTGACTCTCAATCGCCTGTTTCTTTTTGTATTTGAGACCCTCTATTCCTCAGCTGATGGAAGCTCTTCTGATTCCCAGTGGTTGTCTACAGTGAATGTGGTGTTTGTCAGGTGAGAGCTATGATGTGTGGGTTTTACCCATAGCTTGCCTTCTGGTAGTTTAAAACTAAGTGTGATACTCTCATCCTTACTGCTTTGCTTTATGAACATGTGCTTTTGCTACCTGTTGCTCAACACAAATGTGGAAGGAGAGAGATGCCAAGCAGCACATTTACTTCTATACTTCCCATTTCCAATAATTGTCCTGCATCCCTCTTAAGAATCCCTGACAATAGTACCACAAAGTCTGAGATATCCTTGGGGCCAGCCTCACAGTCCCCATCTGCATGTGGTTGAGCCGTGGTTTCTTTCCCCAACTTTATCTTGTTTTCTATTTTTCACAGATTTATCCAAATTTCTGATTCACTATTGACAATATTTCTTGTTTAGTCATGCTATTATGGATTTTTGAAATATGAGCTTATTTAAGTATGTAGCTAGTTATATATTCAGAGGAAGTTGAATAGGCTCAGTCAGCAACTTTAATCGTTTCCTTCTCTTTTAGTATTACTGTAATGTTCAGAGATATAAAAGATTGTGGTTACAGATAGTATCCTTTGTCTATCCTTCTTCTTTTAAGGATTCTGGTCTATTTTGACTAATCTTTAATTAAGATTTATTTTAGGACACTAATGGAAATATAGTTCATTATAAAGAATTACTATTGAATTAAACAGAGCTGTTCTCCATTCAAATAAGAGTAACTTCTAATTTTCTTAAGAAACTTCTAATTTTCTTAAGGATTTCTTCAAATCCTCAAACAATATTTTAGAATGCAGCACAAGCAAATTTAAGAAGCCAAATCTCAGTTTCATTAACAATTGACAAAATACCCACAATTACTAGCAATAGGAGAAAAAATATAGGCTATAGTAATTTCTCACCTAATTGACCTAAATTGACCATCTCTTTGATAAGTGATTTTCCTCTTTGGAGTTAAGCAGTGAAACAGTTTTCCCTTTTATCTCATCCTGATAAAGCAGAGTGACATGCAATTTAGTAGAACCAGTTCTAAGTTACACTGGCACTATGGAAGGCTGGTGGGCTGGCTCCCGTGATGTTTCTGGTAGCTAGACTTACAGAAGATTAAAATGAACATGGCTCTAAAAATATTGTGCTGATACTTTCAGTTTCTCTAATGCTGTATTCAGAAATTCAGTCCATTCTTGGATCCAAATATTTTGTTGAGAGACAAGGTATTTTTGACTTTTTTGTATTAATCTTCAAAAAATCCAGTCCAGGTGGAAATACTTAAGAAATTAAGCAGGGAAATACAGCAACTTAATCCTTGGGTTTCCTGCCAGAAATAACATACTAATGCAAAGAAAAGATGATTAAGTAGAAGGAAATGCCTCTGTTAGTGAATGTCCTTAATCAAAGCTATTGGGATTATTAACTGTATTAATTTATCTCACAACTTGATAATTTTTGTTTCTGAGGTGATGAAGCACACTGTGATTTTCTTAGTTCTATGAGGTATATGAACACAATTAGCTGTATTAGTAGCTTCTTTCTTGACTCAAAACAACTGGCAAATTTCAAAGAAAGGAAAGTAGGGAAGGGGAAAATAATATTAATAGACCTTGGATGCTGAAGGACCATTCAGTCATTGTCAGGCCAAAGCATCACAGGAGGGACCTGCACTGGAGGTTATCAGTAGGGATCTGGCCACAGAGAACAGAATCCAGAAGAGAGAGCTTTGGCAGGCCTTACAAATAAAAGGTGGCTCTTTGAAAAATAGACAAAAAGGAATATACAGTCACTGTGGAGGAATCTGGACTCAAATATTTGATGAATATGATGACGATCCCACATAAAAGGAAACCAAAAAGACTAATTAGTTCCAAGATGATGGGAGCTGGTCCAATTCCATTCCAAGCTTGCATTTACAAAACAAGCGCAGTCATAAAATTATGACTTCTGCCTTCTACTTCCTTAAACCCAAAAAGAGCAGAAAAAGACAATATCACAAAAACTGTTTTATCATACTTTCACTTTCCTGATACATCATTCTTTTTATTCTATGTGTCCTGCAGCTTAGCTGGGCTGCAAGCAAAGCGTCTAGGAATTAAGACATCCTGGGCTGAAAAATTCAGGTTAAGTTTGAGCTGATTCTCTCCTTCCTCTCTCTCCTTCCTTCTTCCAAAAGTCTTCCCACTATGTGCTGATCCTCTGTCTTGCTACCAAAGATGTAAAAGAAATAGAGATTAAACAGAGTGAAAGGGAGAGACAGATACCAAGGGAAGACACAGTGAATGGGAAAGAAGGGGAAGGACAAAGAAGTGGAAAGTTAAGAAAGAGCAAAAAAAAGCAAGAGAAGAGGCAGTTGGTGAGCATAACATTTTGGTCTAATGAAATTAAATATTGGGCAAAAGCTTTAGAGGAAACATATTTATTAAAGAAAGGATAAATAAGTATTTGGTGAAGAGTGGGTAATATATATAATGAGAAAATCAGGTAAGATGAGGAGACTACAAAAGGAAAAAGCCTATTTTGAAACATTTTCCAATGTCGATCCCATTTTTGGGTCATTCCCACCTTTTACTGCAGAATGTACAACATCTCCAAACCATTTTCTTGAGTTTGTATGCCTTGTTCTTGATAAATGTTTGATGAATGAATGGAGCATTAGAAAAAGTTGATATTCTCTAAATTCAGGTTTAAAATTTAAGCCTCCAAAGTTAATATCTATGTCTTAGTCATATTAGTAGATGAGTGAAGGGATAGAAATGGGGAGAGAGGGAAGATGTGAAAAGTATCCAGAATGTTTCTGTGTCTACATGCAGATATTGAATCTCTTAGTGTATGAAATCTATGATAATATTAAAATGTTTATGAGTAACCCAGAGTTAGTTCTACATGCTTCCAAGTATTTCAGAGCTTTGAAATCCATTTGTTCTCTCATCAGTGGAGATAATATCTCCTCCTCATCTCAGAGATACACAAGAGTAGTTTGGAACAGATGAAAACCAATCCCAGCCTAATGATAAGCATGTGAGATGGATTATATCTGTCTTCTATGCTCCAAGATGGTTACTGATTAGACATAATCTTTGGAAATGAAAATGAAACGAAGATTTTAATATATATTGAAAAAAAGTAGATGAGCAGATCTCTGCTTGGACAGCAACTGTCTAAGCAATAAAGATTATAGCCTAACTCAGCAGTTTTTTAAGTGTGTTTTCTCCTTTTTTGGAATGATAATAATCACCAGTGCGATGTTTTTGACTTTTTTCCCTAGAGTAATGATGTAGTCGCTAATCATCCCATTAACTGAAATTACTTTTAGTATTGGCTGGAAGGTAGCAAGATGCTCAAATGGTTAAAAATAAATATTTTTTAAAAGAATAAATGAAGAAGAAAGGGGAAAATGTGAACAAGGAGCTGTTTGTAATAAGGAATACAGTAAAAATACATTCTGAGAGCGAGATTTTGAATTTTCTTCAAGGGAATAATAGATAGTTTTTGTTTTTTTTTTGTCTAAAACACTGCTCTGTTTAGCTTTCTTCATTTTGCCAAAATGCTTTGAGGGGATCACCTATTTGTTAGCCTCAGGAATCTTCTGCTTTTCATAGTAACATCCAATAACAGAGCAACGTCTAGACAACATATTATGCACAGAATGTTGAAAGTGAGGAGAATCAGTCTTGAGTGTACTCAGGTTAGGAGAGGAAACTGGATTTAGTTGCTAGGATAACAAACCACACAGGCCTCTGAGGGTCAGTGCATTCATGAGTGTGTTCATGTGATGCGAGTGGGTTTATGTGCTCAACTTGCACAGGATTAACCACACATCAATTCAGAGTATGACCTGAAGGTAAACATTGACATTGGCTTTTTTTGAATGTGTGAGATCATTCACTTCATCCATACTACATGTGTTCTGTTTCAAGTTAATTTGGTTTGCTGATGAAAGGTCATTGAAGTCAGAAATATATGTGCAACACGATTGGAAAGATCTGCTGCTGGATTTCTTTAAGACTAAAAATTACTGGAATGATGAAATTTGTTTCAAGTAACAACACAACTCTCACTTATATAGGCCACACAACATCTCACTTATATCCAAGTTGCTTAAATGACACATTCTACTGATCAAGGAATAGTCAATAAGCTAAAGGTAAGGGTTACAAAGTCTTCTGATCAACCAAAATATTATGGTCTTTGACAAAACAAAAAACTAACAGACAAAAAAACCTTCTTATATAGCATCTATTTATTCTTTAAGTTTACTTTTACCAGTTTTTTTTTAATCTGGTTTCTTAGATTACAGCAGATCAAAAGTAACCAATTAGAAAGAGAATGGTTTGTTATACTTTAACAGAGTCAAGAAAGATGCCCATATAGTAAAGGAAATATTACAACTTGGCCTGTATGGTGATTTGAAAAAAAAAAAAACTACTATTAGAGAAGGCCTGAAATTTTCTTTTTTTGTTGTGTCTCTGCGCGTTTTGGTATCAGGATGATGCTCGCCTCATAAAATGAGTTAGGGAGGAGTCCTTCTTTTTCTATTTTTGGAATAGTTTCAGAAGGAATGGTACCAGCTCCTCTTTGTACCTCTGGTAGAATTCGGCTGTGAATCCGTCTGGTCCTGGGGTTTTTTTGGTTGTTAGGCTATTTATTGCTGCCTCAATTTCAGAACTTGTTATTGGTCTATTCAGGGATTTGACTTCTTCCTTGTTTAGCCATGGGAGGTGTATGTGTCCAGGAATATATCCATTTCTTCTAGATTTTCTAGTTTATTTGCGTAGAGGTGTTTATAGTATTCTCTGATGGTAGTTTGTATTTTTGTGGGATCAGTGGTGATATCCCCTTTATCGTTTTTTATCGTGTCTATTTGATTTTTCTCTCTTTTCTTCTTCTTAGTCTGGCTAGTGGTCTATCTATTTTGTTAATTTTTTCAAAAAACCAGCTCCTGGATTCATCGATTTTTTGAAGGATTTTTTGTGTCTCTATCTCCTTCAGTTCTGCTCTGATCTTAGTTATTTCTTGTCTTCTGCTAGCTTTCGAATTTGTTTGCTCATGTTTCTCTAGTGTTTTAATTGTGATGTTAGGGTATCGATTTTCAATCTTTCCCACTTTCTCCTGTGGGTATTTAGTGCTGTAAATTTCCCTCTAAACACTGCTTTAGCTGTGTCCCAGAGATTCTGGTATGTTGTGTCTTTGTTCTCATTGGTTTCAAAGAACTTACTTATTTCTGCCTTAATTTCGTTATTTACCCAGTAGTCATTCAGGAGCAGGTTGTTCAGTTTCCATGTAGTTGTGCTGTTTTGAGTGCGAAAATCCTTAAAACAACATTGCTTTGCTTTCCAGGGATATATAGTGTAAAGGCATCTAACTCTACTCTCTTCAATGGCCTCTAACATGTCAATGTAGAAAAATTGATGACAAAGACCTTAAAAAATAAAAAGACAAGAAAATTTATGTTTTAGAAGGTAGGAAAGTGTGTAATATAAACATATTACACATTTAGCTATTTAAACAAATGGCTGAAAAAGCATTGGTGCTTATTGGGGTCAGACTCTGTATAAGAAATATGACAGATTACCTCTTAATGTTGAGTAAATAAGGATTTGCTACATATATGTATGACTTACTGTGTCTTTATGAAAATATATATCCTGAGGGAGGAGCTGTTTACATTAAATATTAAATTCATTCTCTTTACAACAATTTTTCTGCTTTCCAGAGCTAAGAATTTTGGAAATAATCTTTCTGGGTCGTATGCTTGGGAAGGTAAATTTGTCTTTAGAGCAGAGCCAATTACACCTTTGTATGTGGGTTTGCAGTTTCTAAAACACAAGCCAGGAAGTTCTATGAGGCAGAAGCCAAACTGGTGAGAATTTTCTGTATCACATTTCCCTTGACTTCCTTGCTCATATAATTTCTTTTCCAAATATGAAACTCAGTTGCACATTCCAAATTCTTCTCAAGGCAATAAACAATTGATCTTTGGCCAGTGACAAGGGAACAATGAAGTTAAAGTAATGGGACAAAGATAATGGGAAGAAGGTTGAAAAAGTTTCATGTAGCTATAAAATTGTTCAAGAATATAATCACTTTTTGGCTATCCCAGAACACAAAAACCCTTCCTGCCAGTTTGGTCTGGCTCTTTTGTACCTGGCTGGTCCTTTCTGAAAGGGCAAGATTTCTCTTAAGACATTGGAATGACTCCCTTTATTCCATGATCATATTTGTTAGTATTGCTCTTAGTTTTCCATGTCTAACTTCAAGAACACATTTCCAGAAAAATTTGATGAGTTCTCTTTTTTCTTAAATGAAAATATAATTTTTCTGCAAGTATTATGTTGGTCGATAAATAAAATAAAAAATCGATATGTACTTAAGAAAGAGTTTCATGGCACTATCATTCCCTGGGGTCTCTGGCCTACCTCCTCTACACAGGGCCTATGTGGGAAACACTATTGACAGATTCTCCAAACAGAGAAGGTGATTAGGTTGGGCAGTTCAAAATTCTTTAAACTGAATAACTAATTGCAGTTATCAAGCATTCTCATAATATATATCTGCTGAAAGGCAGACGTAACCTGAGCCAGGTTTCTATCTCTTCTAAGTTGTAAGTAATCACATGTATTTCACTATTGGCAATAGTTTATCTTTCATTAAAGGTCACATGTTGCGCTAATTTATTTGAAGAACCTTAATAGGCTTATTTTTTATTCATTCTGAAAGATCTTTGGTTTTAAGTAGCCACTTTGGTTTCAAGTAGCTTCAAAAGATAGACGTGTAAATTGTACCTCCACCTTTGCTCGTGTGTAGCATGCAAAATAATATTGCTTACTTTAACATGCTTAACAAAGAAATATTTTTGACTCAGACTTGGTTTGGTGATGATGCTTGATATCCAAATTCCTGCTTATGAAAATTAACTTTTAGCTTTTGAAGTTCTTGAGTGATGAGCACTTCTTGAAGTTATTACAATCTTCTGGAATTCTAAGGCTACTTAGGTTATATCTTTCTCCTCAATCCACTAGTGTAATAATGCAGGTGATGATATGAGACCCTAACATGCCTGCCCCTCAAAGCCTTTGCATCGAAGAGGTGGGGAATCATCTTATAATTTTATAGCTGATTATATTCTCCATGTAATAATCATGAGAGAGGCAGATATGAATGTGAATAAGTTGACCTTTTGGCTAGAACCCGTGATATTATAGCATTTTATTTTTTAATCTTTTTCCTATAAAATGACAACTTTCTGTGTTACTCAGACTAAAATGTAGATTTTATTCACTGAGTGAAAATAAGACCTAAGAAAGGGAGAACCTAAACTGAACCCCATAAATAATTGCACAGTTAAAATGGACCTCATAAAAGCTGGCAATATTTTGACATGGTGATAACTATTCATGCATACATCATGTCTCGTGATAACAAAACTAAATTTCAATAAAAACCTTATAATTTAAATACATTCGCCTTTCCACACACAATGTTACTGAAGTCTTATTGTATTTCATAACTAAGCTCCTAGACATTTCAAAGATGCTCAAGAAGCTTGTGTGTCTGGCCCAAGTCAAACGTTAGTGGAACCTGATTCATCAATTATTTAGGTATCTTTGAAGGATTCCTCTTGAAAGGAAACATTTTTGTAAACAGATGTTAATAATAGCACAATTTATTTAAGATGTTTTGGTAAAAACAACAAATAATATGATCCTGGGAATTGACAGGCTTGTATTGAACAGTGTGTTTACTTTGGAAAGCTCACAATGGATACACAAGCATTTAACACGACACTTTAGCATGTTTTCAATATTTGTTTATTTTATATTCTAAGCCATTTTACTGACTATCCTAGAAAGGCTTACGTGAAGTTTTAGCTTTTATTTATTTTCTCCTTTGGGGCAAAGCTTCCTGGTAAAACTAGCTGGAATAATTCTTCAACTAAAAGAAAGGAAGAATGTTGCATTCAAATATTATGCCATTCTGTCATCTGTTCCATCATTTCCATTGCTGTTGTTTGAGTTTGTTGTCTATGGCTGCTTAAAAGAAAAAGGAAAAAGAAAAAAGAGAGAAAGAAAAAAAAAGCAAAAAAAAAAAGAGTTTACTGTATGTTTCTGCCTGTAGCCTTAAACAGACATCTGGTTTACATTTTCTGTGTGTTTCAGAATGTTACTGGCTCTTGAAAACATGGCAGAAGAAATAAACCTGGAAAAAAAAATTAGAAAGGCTGTTTCAGAATGAGACTAAGGAGGAATAATGAGGCTGCAACAAGATCAGAAACTAGAATGACCTACTTCTTTCAAGGAGATAAGAAAGTCTAACTTTCCCCTCCCCAAAGGAACCTATGCATGTAAGCAACATGTTCTTCAGGGGCAGGGCCCACACATGTGCCATTCTCCTGCATCAGAATGAATCCATCAGGACAAACACCTTCTGTTTTGTCAGCCACTCCTATTCTGGTATGCTATTTTCTCACTGCCTTCTATAGTTAGCCCTAAGAAGAAGAGAGGACGATCTGGAGAAACCTGAGGCATATATAAGTTTAAGGAAAAACAAAACCAGAAAACGGTGTTTACTCTTTAAAAAAAATCTTCTTACCTTACTTAACCTCTTTACCTTTCTAATCATCCCCAAATCTAGTTAATGCTGTGATGTTGTGCTATTAGGAAGTAGTAGAAAAGCATTTCCAATTTAGAAGGCATAGGTCTGGGCGGGAAAAAGTCAGTGGAAAACAGTACTTTTGGAGAAAAAAGTGTGTTGACACTGGGTGAGGGCTGGAAGAATCAAACCATGACAAGGAGAAAACATGTAGCATCTGCTGTTTCTGAACAAAAATCTCTTTTTGCGAAGGACCTGATAATGCTCTAAATTGCTTTAATGAGTCATACTATTCATTTATCCCAAATTTTGAGCAGCACGCAACTCAGTAAAATCTCAACACAGGGCTACATTGCTTATTTATTTTCTTTCAAGAAGTGCTTCTACTCAGCAATGCACTCAAGTTCCCAAAGGTTAGCTATATTTGGCTTAGCATAATCTATATAATTTCAGCGCCACAATTAATGAGCAGTCTTTTGCAGTCTCCTCCAGGAATTTGAATGTAGACATAATAACTTGTCTGATATTTTTTAAATAATGACTTATTTTGTTCTGTTTCCTGACCTGAAAAACATGACTGGTCAAGAAAATAAGTTTTGTCCATCAGAGCTTTAAGTGATTTAGTCTGCCCACTTTGAGCCATAAATTGGTGGAGACAGAGAAATGAAACCGGTCCCTTTATATGCTGGGGCTCCTAAAATGATTCATTCTGATGAAAAGATCTTGAGTCCAGTAGGTCTGGTTTTCTTTTTTACAAGGCTTATGAATAATGCTTTAGAAACTGGTTAAGCAGTGCCTTCAGTTCCAGTTTGGACCATGTTATTTTAATTTTCTTTATATCTTTATAAGAACAATAAATACAAACCTTACTTTCATTATCTCATTTTGCACTATCAGGATTGTTCATTCTGTATTTGGGAATAGCATCTCTGTTTCCCCCCATATTCTGCCTTCTTCCTCTTCCTTGCTCCAGTTTCTTCTTATTTTTTGTTACGATGATGACTGAAAACCTCGGTTCATATTTCAATTCTACTACTTTCTATGTGTTCTCAGGCAAAGATATGCCTCCATTTCCTCATCTGTACAAAGGAAATAACAATAGGATCTCTTCTTAAAAGGTTATTATGGGGTTAAAGAATTTGACACACATATAGGACTTAGAATAACGTGTGACCCATTGTAAAGTTTGGCGGTTATCAGTGGGAATGTGTAGGTGGAAAGTATTCGTGGAGCTTTTAAATGATGGGGTTAAATGAAAGAGCCCTACCAATTTTATTTTTACAATACCAAAATTTTATTCATGGGAAGAGATTTTTAGGTGCTCTTATTGAGCTACTCAAGGCTTCTTTTGTGGAAGTACAGAATACAAGATGCTTTGGCCAAGGAAAATCCACCAGTAGCCAAATAAACAGTGTGCAATAACAATAAAAGGGGAAGTGGTGTGCTCATGAGTTGAAGACCAGCCAGTAATTTAGTACAATCTTTCTTGAGGCCAATTTGGCAAAATGTCTCAAAAGACTTCAAATTTGCATGCTTTTTGACATAGTAATTTCACCTTCGGGTATTTTTCCCGAGGACATAACTAAGGATGTGGGAAAGACTGTGCTCCAAGAATACTCACTAGAGCACTCTTTGAAAAAATAAAATTTGGGAATTACCTAACACTCAGTTGGTTGTGCTTTCAAACAACGAACCACTGTGCTGGGGGAAAACAAGCATATTTTTTAACATGGAAACATGATCATAATATCTTAGTAAATAACTACAACTTCAAATACATAACAGTTTAGTCTCATGTAGTATGATGGAGAGGGGAGTTTAAGGGATTGATTATTCCCCCAGTTGTTAGAGTGGTCCTCTTTGGGTGGGTAGAATTGGGTATGGTTTTAATTTTTTTCAATAATAGGTATTCATTATTTAATTATTTTTCCAATAATAGACAGATATTGTTTTTTCAGTTTTAACTGAGCTGTCAAATGTAAAGTGAAATGCTCAAAGAGATTTAATCTGACATTTGATTTTTAAAAGTTCTAAGAAACACTCTCTCTGAGTACACATTGTACGCATGTATTGGCTTTCAGAGACCTAAGTTTCATCCTTCGTTCTACAACTGACTGTTGAACAAAATTTTATTATAAAATTACAAGCAGTTCAATTCTTTGTTTTCTTAGCTGTGAGATAGCTAGAGTGATGATAAAGCCATAAGGCTGTATGGATCACATAAAATCATGGATTTGAAAGTAATTTGAAGATTGTAGAAGTATCGTTTGAAACTAATTAATCTGGAAGAGCAATTAACTCTGCTGAAGAGAGGGATAAATTATTATTGAACAGACAAAATAATGTGATTCCTTTGCAGTTCATCTTCTGCAGGACTATCACTTCCCAGGATTCTTCACAGAATACCTGATCAGTGCTTGAAATAGGTACTGAAGTGTCCAATTATTTAATAAACTGTTAACTGTTGGCTAACAGTAAAGTCAATGTTTAGTTTTTTTAAAATACAAAAATAATCAGGGCAAGGAAAAAGTCAAGAATTCTCTAAGTATAGGTTTAGCAACTTACTCATATACTATTGAAAAAAATATGTCATAAGAGAAAACTCTTATCAGTGAAACCTCCTACATGCCTTGACATGGAGCTGTAATTACATTATGAAAGATAACTGGCTAACTTCAGGGCAAACCCTCTGCCAGAATTAAAGATGATATAATAGATGCTTTATTAAAAAACTAAAATATAATTATTTTTTGCATTAAGAATAAGTGAAAATGTAGCTTAATAATAACAGCTAAAATATATTTACTACTTGCTTCTCAGTACTTCTATTTTCAAGTAAATTCTTCTATTCCCAAGTAAATTCTTCTATGTAACAAGAATTATGCCAAGTAACTTGCTTGTGTTATCTTAATCAGTGGTTCTCAAAGTCTGTTTTTTAGACCAGCAGCATCAGCATCACCTGGGAAACTGATAAAGACACAAATCCTAGGGCCCACCCACAGCCCTCCTGCATCAGAAACTCTAGAGGTGGGACCCAGTAATCAGTGGTTCAACTATCCCTTCAGGAAATCCTTATGTGTGCTCAGTTTGAAAACCACTGATCTAAATTAATCCTCATTATAATCTAATAAGGCTATTGTTACGATCCCTATTTGATGAAATTAAAGCTTATAGAGAAACTACCTCCACACAGTCCTAAGCTTAAACCATTTCTATTAGCACCAAAAGTTCAATACCCTCTACCCTTCCTTTAATTTGACACCTTTTTAAAACATCGGTTTTCCCTGGGCATGATAGGGATTGCGAAGGGGAAACTTGAGCTACCCATAGAGATCACCAAAATGGTGGCCATAGGTCATCTACTAGTGTTGCCAGAAGCAGATATCAAAAATATTGTTAAATATTTAAAGGTTTGATTTTATTTGGGGGGAAGGGCAGATTAGATTTTTTTTTTTTTTTTTTTTTTTTTGAGATGGAGTCTCACTCTGTCACCCAGGCTGAACTGCACTGGCACGATCTCAGCTCACTGCAACCTCTGCCTCCTGGGTTCAAACGATTGTCCTGCGTCAGCCTCCTGAGTAGCTGCGATTACAGACATGTGCCACCACACCTGGCTAATTTTTGCATTTTTGGTAGAGATGAGGTTTCACCATGTTGGTCAGGCTGGTCTCGAACTCATGACCTCGTGATCTGCGTGCTTTGGCCTCCCAACGTGCTGGGATTACAGGTTTGAGCCACCGTGCCTGGCCCAATATTTTTATTTGAAAAAGGCTTCATTGAGGAGGCTATATTCATTTCATGATGGGTGTCTTTCAGTTATTAGAAATGTAAAAAGCTTGAAATCGAATGGAAAAAAATCCTTTATCTTTTAGAATTAAAAAAAATCAGTTTCTCATCTCTCTCATGGTCCTTTTTACAAAGAACAACTCAGAATGCCTTTGGTATTTCTTGTGGCCCACCTAATAGCCATTTTTTTTCTTTCTCTTTCTTAACACAGCTTTGCTTTTATTCAGTTACTTTCTCTGTGCGGGCAGCTGTTTGAGGTATCACAAGCCTTAATTCCAGAGGTTAATCATGATTGATACAGCACTAACTATGGCCTAGGGTCACCTGGGGAACTCAGGCACATCTAGAACCCAAGCCCCATGCTATTTTAACTAAATTAGAATCTTTGGTGATTGGCACCCTAGTCAGGATTGAGCAGTCAGGATTGGCTGTACCAGTCATGGGGCCTCTTCCCTTACCAGTACTGTGGGTGTACTTGTGCTACAATGCCAGCAATGAGACATTAAGGCATATGTGGTAGAGGGCTTGTTGAATGATTTTTCTCAGTGACATTTCTTAAAAAGAAGTCCATAAGGAGAAATAGTTTGCTTCCTTAGGATGATATTACATTTGCATGTGGTACCTGCAATTGTCACAGTTGTCTTGAAACCATGAAGATGAGTTGATGTGCTATGGATGGCTTAGATGAAGGTTAAGAGTCTGCATTCTTGATGCTGTTGGCCTAGAACCACTTTATCTTCAGATTTATTTTAATGTGTAATAGTTAATACCCTTTGATTTTAAGGTATTTTCAATTTTGCTTTCTGTTACTTGCAGCCAGAAACATGCTCAACTCACCTGCCCTTCAAGTGTATACTAATGGTACCAATTCTGGTTTACTATATGGTTTTATTCAAAGCCTGGGCTGAGGCAACTGATGTTAGAAAGCAATTAGTGGCCAGGCATGGTAGCTCATGCCTGTAATCCTAGCATTTTGGGAGGCCAAGGTGGGTGAATCACTTGAGGTCAGGAGTTCAAAACTAACCTGGCCAACATCGTGAAACTCCGTCTCTACTAAAAATACTATTACTAATACTAATCATCATCATCATAATAATACAAAAAAAATAGCCAGGCATGGTGGTAGGCACCTGTAATCCCAGCTACTCAGGAGGCTGAGGCAGGAGAACTGCATGAACCCAGAGAGTGGAGGTTGCAATGAGCCGAGATTGTGCCACTGCCCTCCAGCCTAAGGAACAGAGCGAGACTTAGTCAAAAACAAAAACAAAAACAAAAACAAGCAAGCAAGCAATTAGGGCAGTTCTCAATTCAGGAGATGGGTGGCGATGGGGTAAATGTATAGTTAGAATCACCTAGGTAGATATTACAAACACACAAATATCCTATCTCAGCGCTTTGGGAAGGGAAGTATATTGGAATCATGAGGTTTGAGAATTGTAGACAAAAGGAGAACTGAGGAAATGTATTTTGAAAAAGCTCCCTAGGTGATTTAGATATATCTCCATAGATTCGCCATTCACTGAGAAATACTAATTTAAGAAGTCAAAATGTAATTTAAACTCCAAATTTCAACTCTTTATTAAGCTAGAACACAAGAAATATCTCGTATATGTTATAGCCTAGGAATAACTATATTGTGTTAAACTGACTTTTCCTTCTGTCAGTCTCCTTTACAGAACCGTGTAAAGGTTATCTTCAATGTGAATATTATCTTCGATATTCACAAATTTGTATGTACTTGGATATAAAGACATACTTTGCATAGCTTTCTCCCTCCTAAAATTTCTGGGATTTTTTGGAAGACTCAAAAATACCTTTACAAGTTCAGTACTCCTGTTGTTTGCTGTGGCACCCAGCAAGCCAGGTCTCCATCGCCAATGCCCTGATAGCAGGGTTGTCACCATTGCTGGGCTGGAGCTCAGTTCCAACTAACTAAGTTACTTCTGGTTCTACTAGAGTGTCACTGTGGCCCACTGCTATTCTTAATCTTTATAATACTGTTGCAGCTCCCCTAGCTTTCACAAATGTAGAGAAGAAGTTTCTGCTCTTTGTTATACTGTTAGGATTTGCCATATCTGAGTGTTTTGGTCACAAAATGCAGAATTCAGTGAAAGAGTCCTTTCAGCTCATATGTATAACACTTCCTTTTGTGTGTCCCTAGAGTTGTTGGCTGAGGACAGATTCTCATGGCCGGAAACCACCACTTCCCTTGGACATGCATGCGTTGGCTGGGTACTGGGAGCCATAATTCGTTTCCTCTTAGAGTAAGTTCTCTTTCAAAGCTCTCATGGCTCTTTCTACAGTCTGGCTTAGGTTGGGCCCTTCTGGCCCATTAGATTGGCTGGTATGTCTGAACATCTGTGGTGTTTGTGGTGGAATGCTTTTTTTGTTTTCCCTCCAGAAGGTTTTCTCATCCCCAATACACATCAGTAGATGCAATCATCCAAATGATAGTAGATGTAAATGTAGGAAATGTAGGATGAACGTATCTAACTTGGGGCACCCAAGACCATTACCGACTCTGTCCTGCCAAGATACCCCACACTCTTACATTTGTAGAATTAGAATATTGTATGCCCATTTCAATGTTGAATGTTTCATATATAGACACTCATGTACATTTTTTCATAAGGCTAGGAATATTTTTGTCATTTTTCTTTTAGCAAGCATTTTTGAATGTTAGCTTACAAGGTACTAGGGTATATGCTGGTGGTGCAAAGATGAATAAGGCACGGGCCATGCCCACAAAAAATTCAGTCTGTAATTAGGGAGGCAGTTAGAGTACTGTTTGAGAAACGTTGTGATAGAGCACTTGAACTTGCTTTTCCTATTGTTTGAAAACCAACTTTCCATTTTCTTTGAGGGGGGGAGGTGGGCAGGGGGAAAGCTCCTGTAGTTCACAGCTCAGCTGAATTTTCATTTCCCTGAAAAGTATTCCAGGAGAAACAAGCCACCACTACCTCTTGCCCTCCATTTTTTTTCCCTCCACATTTTAAACCTTGGATTATATCGTCTTGTTTTATTTTTCTAACAGGACTTGTGTCTGCAATTATCTTGTCTGCATATTTGTAGTATAAACAAATAAACTGTCTTGCGCACTGCTGAGCCCACAGTGTTTGTAAATGTGTTTTGAAGAAAATCATGAATAAAATAACACAGATACCTAGACACCTAGACCCCCCGCCCCCCAGAGGAATTAGAACAGCCTTGATAAAGCTGGAGATGTGGTTTAAACACTGAGATGGAAACAGAAGGGTCTAGGAGTACACGCAGGTAGATAACAGTATATAAAATGCTCTCTGGGGAATCAGGAGGTTCAGTGTTGCAGGCACTGGGACATACGGTGGCTAGCGAAGGGCAGGAGGCTGGCCAAGCATCCAGGAGATGTATTACCACGGAGTGAGGGCTTATGCATGAGCTGAAAGTGGCTACATTTATACTTTAGGAAAGCCAAAAGTTATTTCTCCAACTGAGATTCACAGCATATGGATCAGGAATTGCTTTCTGGGCTGGTTAGGGAAGGAATAAATAGAGATTTGACTCTTAGGGGCAGTTTCGTCTTGTTGCAGGCTGGCATCCAGTGCCACATTTTTGAAGATGTGCTTCATTACTAGCTTGTACTTTGCATCCTTCTCCTCTTTTATGCTGCTTTGGATCCACCCAGAAGCTTGAACATGAGGTTGTCACCATGTCTTACAACTTGATATTTTCACAAGGGTACAGTGCCTGCTTGTTCACCTTTTGGGGAGCAGGGCTGTAGGGGCAGGAAGAGTGCAGGTGAGGGGTTCTTCTTGAGAAATTGAAAACTATACCAGTTATATTTTTCTCTGGTTTGGTTCTTTTCCACCATCCACCGAACTCAAGCAGTGCAGGGGCTATACCCTATTCATCTTCATTCCACCCACATTTAAGAGTGCTTTGCAAATCAGCTCAATAAAGCCGTGTAAATAAATGTTGTGTTTAGAGTTAAGTTTTGCCTTCACCTGTGATAGACTTCTGCATCTGTGTTCTTCCAGGTGTTAGCTAGATTGATTGTCTTTCGTTTGTATAATAGTTGTAGTTTTATTGGATTTGTGCAAACTGCCTTGTCTCTAAAATGAAATCTTAAAAAAAAAAGTTGGTTGACATTTTATTTTCCTTTAGTTCTCTCCTAGATTTTCTCTCCTCAGCATAGGACAGGTGAAAGTAACACTGCCTTCAAAGACAGTCCTGGGGTTGAGTCATGATTCTTGCACATGCTTATGATGGAAAATGGCAAATAATTGCCCCACACTGAACCTTAGTTTTGTCTTCTATAAAATGAGACAATTAACCTGTTGTAGGGGGTTGTGAAGATTTTAAAAAGGTAATATATGAAGAAAGCTTTGCACCCTGTCACATGATAAGCATTCATTAATGTCAGTTTCTAAACTCGGCTTTCTTCCATGAAAATCAAGTTAAAATATCACCTGCAAGTAGTGTGCCAAGTAAAGACTTCATCCTATGGATAACTCTTGCTCTGTGCTTTGGGTATTTTTACTAGAAAGTCCCCCAAAGCTACTTTGATTTCTTTCTTGTTTCAACACTTTGGTGAGTTATGACCATGCCAAATGTCACTGCTGAGAAAGATGAGGCGCATAGAGAGCATAATACCCTCTGAATCTTAAGAACCAAATGTGAGCTGTTGCCTCCAACTTGGTATTTCTACATTGCACATGATCATTAGGTAGGAAAACAGGCATTTTGCTTAAGACTGCAGAAGTTGCAGTGTTTGCTTAATGATTACTACAGCTTGCTTTGTAATTATGATTGCATGGGCAATCCTGTACAATCCCGGGAACTTTTGGAAAGTAATGACAGTAATTTACAGCCATGTGGTTTTGTGTGGATGCTTAAGTACTTGGTCTGTGGCCTGCCTGCATGCTCCATTGACTGCTTGATGGACCCATTCCCCACCTGCGCTACTTCCCCGCCCTCTTTATGGAAACACTGGAAGTGAACACTGAGTTTGTATGAAAGACAAAGGAAAGAGAATGTGTGTTGGGAAAGGGAGACCGAATCTGTAAGACATTCTTTTCACTGTATTCTTACCTTTTCAATTGGCGAAAACAATTCACAGCTTTTATTTTTTTTTTAAAGAAAACTATAGAATATAAAATTAATGCAAGTTAGGCACTTTAGTGGATATCTAGAGTTTCAAATAAACTTGGAAA
The DNA here is from genome assembly GCF_000001405.40 of Homo sapiens. Lineage (NCBI taxonomy): Eukaryota > Metazoa > Chordata > Mammalia > Primates > Hominidae > Homo > Homo sapiens. The sequence goes on from NC_000003.12 coordinate 144,273,278, forward strand.
ATTCCTGTAGACTTCAGGTAAACTCCTGTGAATGTTCCCTTTCAACTGTGTATTTTTAGATAATTGACAACTAATTTAAGTAAATTTCCATGGCTTATGGTTACTTATAAGTATGTTTTATTCATGATGACAAGCTCCTTCAAAAATAAAAGCACCGTTCTTGAGTCAAATTCAGATTTTTGAGGAAACACAGGAATGATAAAGGGAAAAGAGGAATTGAGCCTCCAATTTCTGTCTGTTGCTTTTGAAAATGTGCCACATCCTGAAAGAAAATTCTGCTTATGTGTGCCACAGTCTCCAAAAGGAAAATGAAGATGTTGGTTAAATTTTCAATAAGCCAGCCCTAAAGAATTTCCTTTGAAGTTGTTTTATATGCTTCTCCACTGAAAAACTTTAAGATAAGTTATAACTCTGCTTTGTGCTTTGAAAATAAATTCAGCACATTAATTGTATTTATGGGGGAAAGTAGTAAATGTCCCAGAATGAATACACAGCCATAATTTACTCAGATGGAACTGCTACTGCCCATAAACTTCTCCTCCTCGCCTCTTCTGGTTTATGACATCAGCCAGCCTTGCAAATGAATCACTGCTTTGTGCACCCTCATATCCTTGTGGTATGTAAATTTCCACTGAATGCTTATCAAATAGTATTATTACATATTACATATTTTCTTTGCTAATTTTCCAGAAGATTAAATGTAATCTGTATTTTGTAAGGACGGCCTCAGTTATCTGAGCTGCAAATCCATGTAGATTCAGAACTATCTGGGCACCACTGGAAGAATGAGATGGCTGCCAGGGATATCTTTGCATTAGGAATTGAGGGGCCTTATGGGAAAACTTCAACCTGGCAAGAGAGAATTGAGTATGTGGGCTTGGTCTAATACATAGCTATGTCTTTGCTGTCAGATAGGAGAGGTGACTAACGCATTAATTGTGTGTAATGCTAGTCCAATGATCACGTGTCCACTGTTGAGTTTTAGTGGGGATATTGCATCATAAATTAAACAATAAATAATTATATTTTTACACAAAATCTCTTCAACATGTTAGGAGCAAAAGGCATCTTTTCTTTGGGATTAGGATAATAGACATAGCAGTAAAGGATGAGGGAGAGAAACCCTCCACCTTGGCAAGGGAAACGTTTTGGCTTGGGAGAACTGAAGCTCCAGATAACTCATGTGAGGTGCAGTGAGGACTCCAGCACAACAGTGGTGGCAGAGGCTCTTAGCCACATCAGATCAGTATCAGGAGAAAACCAGGGGCTTGAAGGGATGAGAGGAACTCAGCCTTTGGTGTGATCTGCTGGCTTTCCTCCTTCCTGAATAACAGGTGAGGCTACTTCTTGTAACACTAGGAGCAGCTGAGGCCTGAAGAATTAGTGGCTACTGAGAGAAGGGACTGTAAGCCTTCTTGTGCTGGTCCTTAGAGACTTGGAAAGAGAGCAAGTGACTGCAAGTTCTGAAAGGTATCTTCACAAGGCTGGGGATCGAACGACAGAATAATGCTGGTTGTTACTAATCCTAACACTCTTTTTCTGTCTTCAGGCTTGTGTGGTCTGAGAAAATGGAAATAACTTCTTTGTGTACTTCAAAGTAATTGATTTTCCTCCTTATTCAATTAATGTTGTTGATATAAATATATTAGTGAGTAAAAAAGAAAAATCACCAATCCATTATAAAGCCTTCTCTATCCCATTTTGGGGAAATATTTGGTGATAACTTAATTATGTGCTACCAAATAATGTGCATGGTTTTCCAAAGAAATATCATGTGATTGACACATATTCTATATGATCCCCCAAATTTGCATGGATTCTGTCTTCTATGACAAAAGTGTCCACTTTTCTAATGCTTCCTGTGCCACCAGACCTAGAAGATATGGTAAGAAATAAGATCATGTGAATTTTCACCAGCAAAGACAAAATAAACCAAAACAGAAAATCAAAACCACAGATAAAAGAAAAAAAGAGAAACCACAAGAATCTTGTTCACATCTATTTGAAGAGGGTGGAGGCTACAATAACAACACATTTAAAATGCTTTTCAGGCACTTTTTCTGATTTCTCATTGTTTATGCTATTTGACTTCCCATGAGATTATCCTAATTTTTTCTGTCATAAGAATATCAAACAAGGTTGTTTCTGTTTTTGGTGTCACTTACCTGTTTTTTGCATTGAGTGACTCTGAGATATTTGCATCTAACCCACATTGTATTTTTAAATACATAAGATGTTATCTATCGGTTTGAATATTTTCCAAACAAAATTTTAATAAAAGAAAGATTTAAAAAGCAGAAGCCATGTAAACTGTTTTATAAAAGTTAAAAAAATAGCAAAGGAAACACATACACACAAACATGCCATCAAGTGCCACCACTAGCCAGTTCTTATCCCATTAACATAGTTCTTTAATAATTTAAAAATAAATGATGATAAAGGAAGCATAAAACCTGTGAGAAGAGGTTACAGTGAATCTACAGAGATTCCTAATATACATATTAGGAAAATGAATAAAAAATGCTCAATTCAAGAAGGTATAACAGCAAAATAAATTCAAGGAAGGTAGAAAGAAATTATTAAACCTAAAAGTTTAAGTTAAAGAAACAGAAAACTTTTTAGAAATGTTAAAAATCAGAACCTGGCCCTTTAAAAGTAATTGATTTATGACAAGTTTGATAGAAAAATTAGAGAATGAGCAATAGCTGCAGAAACTGAAGCAATTAAATATTATAAAATAATTATATGAAATGCTTTATGCAGGAAATTTGAAAACTTAAATTAAACAATTTAGTTAACATTAACTGAAAAACGTCAAAACATCCAGATAGACTAATACTATTGAAAATTATTGTTGATGCTAGTGCAAATTAATACTCCTAGAAAGGTCTAACAAAACTGTAAGGGCTATACCATTTCCATATTAGATAAAAATTTTCAGAAATAAAAATAATGAAAAATTCCAAACTCAACCAACTCAACCAATGAGTTTTGACTTATCTGGATACCAAATCCTAATGAAAATAATATAGAAAGGATACTATCTTTAGGTATTCAAATTGTTATTTTTTTTAATTTAGTTTGTACTTAAAAACTAATTACCCAGTTTGCAAGATACTATGAAATGCTAAATTTACCTGTTATACTTAAAATGTGATTTAGTTTTCAAAAACCTTATGTGCATACTTTTCCAAAATATGCCTGATTTGGAAACATGTTTTATTAAGGAAAAATATCTAGTGGGGGAAGGGGAACTTGAAAGCAAACAAGGATTGAGTTCAAATTACCATACTGAGAAATATATTACATAAAATTACAAAAAAATTTTTAATTATATGCAAGCATAGGATAACAAGAGAGTGCCATACACAAGCTATAAGTTTCTGAAAGAGAAAACATAAGATCAGATCTATGGACAAAAATATATAAGATAAAATACATCCAAAACACATATAAGAATATTGTTATGAGAATAGAATATGTAGCTATTTCGTTACTACGAACCATGAATAAGTTAATATAAAAATAGGATGATTGGGTACTTTTTTTGAGGGTAAATAATTAGAGATCGACATTTAGAGCTTTTGGATAATAATATCTCCCCCTCTGCTATTCCAGTTTTGCTAAGTAGAAATTGAAAGCAGTATTTAACCACTAAAGCAGAGGAAACGATCTGTGAAGTTTCATATATAAAATAGTATGGTATATAAAAACATACGATAATATTATAGGTAGTTTCTGAGTCTGAAGAGGCTCACAAAGCCTCTCTATCCAGAGGACTGGCACATCCTGCCTACCACCCAAGTCAAGCTCTTATTCATAGGATGGAAAGTGGACTATAGTAAACCACGTGCACAAGCAAACAGTAATTTTGAAATACAGACTCAATAAGCATTTGTGACAAAGCGACAAGATGAAAGAAGTATCACATTCAATTAAATAATGAATATCCAAGGAAGCAAAGTTGATAAAGAAAATAAAGTTTATAGTAAATATATGGATATTGTCAGTCTTTTCATTATACAGAAAAAAATTAAACTTTTGGCTTTGAATAAAATTTAAAAATAATTCTCAAGGAAGGAACATAGCTGAAAAGTAATGTGGTGATACAGAAGACAGAGGTGATGAGTTCTACATAAAATAAAGCCATGAGATCAAATATATGAAACAAAGGTTAAGAGACATAAGGAATGGATTCAGAAGTTTCAACAGCCATATGAAATAAAACTTTCAGAGGACACTAAACAATCAAAGAAATAATAAGAAAACTTAAGAGCTAAAGAAAGAAATTAGTGAAGTACTGTCTTCAAAGCTAAGATCCTCTACTCAACACCCTTGAAGAAGGAAAGCAGAGTGAAAATACCTTCAAATGGAAATCAGTTTATCACCTGTAATCCTTTTCTGAAATAATTACCTAAAGAAGGTATTCAGTAAATGTAATCATAAGTACAAAAAGGAGAAAGACTTCACATACAAAGTGATAAGAAATAAAATTTATACAATTAATTCTAAATCTGAGTACTCTTGATGCCTAATATAAAAATAAAATATCCCAAACAACTTGGGAGGCTTCAGAGAACAACACAGGTTTGAACTGGACAGATCCGCTTCTATGTGTATTTTTTGTCAATAAATACATTGGAAAAATCTTTTGGAGGTTCGCAACAATTTGAAAAACCTCAGATGAACCATATAGCCTTGAAAATATAAAAAAATTAAGAAAATGGTGTTTCATAAATGCATAAAATATATGTAAATACCAGTCTATTTTATCATTTACTACCATAAAATATACATAAATCTATTTAAAATATTAAAATGTATCAAAACTTATGCACACAAACTGCATAAAACTGTATATAATGCCATTCCCACTCAACAGAAATGTAAACAAACATAAAGGTGAAGTTTTAAGTCATAACTACATTAACATTATAGCACATACTCTACTACCTTAATTCCATAGCTACACCTGTTGGTTGGAATTGCATTGTGCTCAATTGTTGCAATTATCCACTCAAAATGGCGTGAGCCGCTAATCATTTCTGCTTGAGTATTTCATCTTTCTAGTAAATTGTGTACCACAGTAAGAAGTGATCTCTCACAGTTTTTGCATACTTTTCATTGTGTTTAGTGCAATACCATAAACCTTTAATAACATCACAGGCCCCATAAGAAGTGCCACTAGTGATGCTAGAGGTGCTCCCAAGAAGCAGAGAGAAGTCATGACATTACAAGAAAAAATGGAATACTTCAGTATGTACTATAGATTGAGGCATGCAGCTGTGGTTGCCTGCCATTTCAGAAAGACCATTTATCTTGCCAGCAGATAACATAAACTTATGGTATTGATACATACAGTACAGTACTGCACATGTGTTTTCTCTTCCTTATGATTTTCTTAAAACATTTTCTTTAGCTTACTTTATTGTAAGAATACAGTACATAATACATATAACATACAAAATACATGTTAATCAATTGTTTGCATTATTGGTAAGCCTTCTAATCAATTGTTTATGTTATTGGTAAGGCTTCTGGTCAATAGTAGGCTATTACTAGCCGTTACATTTTGGGCGAGTGAAAAGTTATATATGGATTTTAGATTGAACATGGAGTTGGTACCCCTATGTCTGCATTGTTTAAGGAGCAACTGTATTTTTAAATGTCTAAATCTTTAGATATAGAAAAATGACCAGTACATTTACAATTATTAGATTTAAAAAATTGATTAAAGAAAACTGATCATAACCAAAGTCAATGACAAACAGCTCAGTGTCTACTAAAAAACCTTGTGTTCTCCCTTTTATTACATAAAACTTTGCCAACATCTATATTTCTCATCTCGCCTCTCTGTGGTTTCAGTGATGGAAAGCTAATGGAAATGATGGGTGACGCTTTCGTGGTAAGAGAGTAAGTAAGAGTCCAATGTGCTGTCCCTAATGGTTTAATTCCACTTCTGCCTGGCTGCAAAAGACTCTGAGTATCTATGAATTGGCAGACCAACAAGACAGAAGAAATTTGGGTTTCTTAAATATCCTATGGAGTAAAGCTACTCAACAACCAGGAAATTCTGAGTTGTACTGTTACATGAGCAAGAAGTGAACTTTTATTGTATTAATTCCTTAAAACTTTGGATTATTTCCAAACCAAAGCTTTTTTTTTTTCCTGTGGCTTTGTAACCCTATCTGTGAAAGAAACTATCACCTTTAACTGGAACATTTCTGTTACAAACACTTTAAAATATGTAGCAGAGGGTTGAAAATTAATGAGTGGGCGGTGAGTAAACAGGTATTAGTCAATGAAAAGATGGATGAAGACTTATAGTATGTAGTATGGAAACATGTGACAAAACAGTTGCCTGCAATAATTCAAATGAAAGGCAAAGTGTCCACAGACCCAGGCCTCTAGCTCTATGGGAAGAGGTTGGAAAAGAGATTGTTAGTAAGGTGTGGTGGTTATCCCTTTTAAGGTATCATGAGAAAGAGGTGAGCTCAGGCAAAAATTGACTGGTTTGAGAACAGATACTAAATAAACAAACAAACAAAAAATACCTAGACAGCTAAAAATTTGGGGCCTTTTAGAGTTGGATGAGCTTATTGCTTTTTAACCCCATATATTAAGAGTTAACACTTTTTAAAAGGCACAGAGCAAGAGAAGCCTATTAAAACTTCACGGTTAAACAAATGAACTAAGATCTAAATTAATATAGTTTCCTTCCCTTCCAAACCTATTATTTAGATGACCTTTAGGGAACTGCCTTTTTGTTGAGAGAGAAAGGCCTAAAAAAAGAATAAAGAGATTAAATTTGTAAATTATGCCTCAGAAAAACATTTGAATGTAGTTATAGATACGTAAAATTGGCTAGATGCAACAATTCACAATATTTGAGGAGATTGTAAAACATCCTTAGGAACTCAAACTCACATCAAAAAGAGTTGTGCAGTGATACCTATACAGCATGTAATGAGATCATGTTCCACAATGTCTACTCTATCCATGGAGAATAATGAACAATGAAGAAACTTGTGCACAGTTGAGCTAGGGGGTCACATACAGTAATGGATAAGAGAAGAATCAGGTTCTAATCAAGGAAATACTACCAGGATATAGAGTTTTCAAAATGCTTGCCTACTGGCTAATGTGTAATAACTACTGTGTGTCATCTCCCTTTTCACCTGTCTCATAGTGGGAATTTTTACTTCAGAATAGAGTTGGTCAAACAACAAAAAGAAGACTCGGATGAGCAACTTAAAGAATGGAAGATAACTAAATTTACTGAGGTGATTAAAATTATTACAAAATTATAAGTACAAATGTATGCGAGGACTCTTGAAAATCTGCATAAAATGGCTAATTTCCTAAGGAAATGTAAATTACCAAAAATAATTCAAGAAGTAGTAGAATATCTGACTAAATCAATACTATTTAGAACATTTTTAAGAATACCTGACTAAATCAATACTATTTAGAACATTTTTACTAGTAGTCAAAATTCTACTCCTAATAACTGTATCAGTGCAACATGAATTTACTATCAAAGTCTATCAGATTTTCAAGGAAGATATAACTTCTATTTTTGAGAAAGTGTTCTAGAGCAGAGGTCCCCAACCCCTTGGAACCTATAGGTCTGTGGCTTGTTGGGAACTAGCAGGAGGTGAGCTGCAGGCAAGTGAGCATTACCTCCTGAGCATCGCCTCCTGTCAGATCAGCAACGGAATTAGATTCTCAGAGGAGCAGGAACCCTATTGTGAACTGCACATGCGGGGATCTAGGACGTGCGCTCCTTATGAGAATCTACCTAATGCCTGATCTGAGGGGGACAGTTGCATGCTGAAACCACCTCCGCTCCAGTTCGTGGAAAAGTTGTCTTCCACGAAACGTGTCCCTGGTGCCAAAAGGCTGGAGGCCATTGTTATAGAGCTTAGTAATATACAGAAAACTTTCCAACTCAATGAGGCTAGCATTACCCAAATTCCAAAGTCTAACGAGGTTCTCATCCTTCCCCCGTGTACACATAGAAATACTGTGAGACAATAGCACTAATGAATAATACTGGAACACCCTAAATATTAGCAGAACAAATTCAAAGTTATATTAAAGAAAAATTGAACATGACCAATTAGGTTGTATTTCAGGAATGTAAAGATAGTACATTATTTAAAAATATGTTAATCTCCTCTCCTGAAAGATTAATAAAGGAAAATAAATAATATTATCTTATTATGTGACAAATAAGATTAAATACTCATTCCAGATTAAAAAACAAAAACAACAAACATCAATCTCCTGGGAATAGAAAGAAATCTTTTTCATCTGGTGTAGAGTATAAATCTACAAAAAGTTAGAAAGAGGACAAAGATGCCTGCTATTAATTGCTAATATTTGAAATTATGTAACAATTTGTAATTAATGTAAAAAGTTAATTGTTGTTATTGAAAAGAGAGAAAAAACTGTCACTACTTACAGTGATTATGATCATTAGACTAGAAAATTCAAGAGAATCAACTGAAGCACTTAGATTAAAAATGCAATAAGTTTACTGAGTCAATTTACAACAATCATTCATTTTCTTATACACCAGTGACAACAACTGAAAGCTATAAGAAAATAAAATGCAGCTAAGAACAGCAAAATAACAATAATAAAAATTCTAAAATACCAAGAAACAAATCTTTTAAAATATATTTAAGAATACGATTTTCCAAATGAAACTTTACTGAGTTATATAAAAGGAAATCTTAATTAATAAGTAATATATACATAAGTAGAAAAATTAAAATAATATTGCAGAATTTTGAAAGGATATGGAAAGCTAGAAAAAAGTCTCTCTCATCCTAAGAACAAGAAAAAGCCAGAAAATCTACAAAATCATAATTTTTCTCAAAACCATGAGTTCAAGAATGAGACTCAAATGAGATTCAGGACAGCTAGCAAGCCAGAAATCTAAGGAAAGAAAGGCATCTCCAGGAAACATGAAGATGTCACCACTGTCTCACTTGTAGAACAAGGAAAACAGGTCCACCATAAAAAATAGGTAAGATGTTTTCAGCTAAGCTTTCAAAAAATTCCCACGCATTAAGTATGAGTTTGCATGCATTTGGAGGCTCTTCTTAGATTATTTCACAGGGTTTTCAAGAGGAACAGTACTTCTAGGGTAGGAGACTAGAGAAAGCTTACTTTAGCGGGGGCAGGTTTGTATAAAGGTAGTGGCTGCTGCTGTGAGAAAAGCATGAAGCAATTCATTGTCCTTTTCTCCTAGGGAACAAAAGCCTTAAGCCCCTAGAGAAGGGTGGCAAACAAAGATGACCCCAGGCACAAGTGAAATCTCACTGTTGTTTGGGAATAATAATGATTATTATTAATCCTCCCCCTTTAAGGGAGGGGCAGAAAAATGTCTTGGGCCTATAAATAGCCTATCACTAGGGAAAGAACAAGATCACTTAGAAAACCTCATCCTTAAGACCCAGAATATAAGTCAGAAAACAAACAAATGAAGACAATTTTTAAAATATTAGACTATACAGAGACACCAGGGATATGTGTACACAGAGGAAACAGCATCTTCCCACATGGTGAGAAGATGACTATCTGCAAGCCCAGAAGACAGGCCTTAGGGGAAAAACACCCTGTTAACACCTTGATCTTGACCTCTAGCCTGCAAATCTGTGAGAAAATACATTTTTGTTATTAAAGCCCATCTAGCCTATGGTATTTTGTTATGGCAGCCATAGCAAACTAATATAATTCATAATTCAAAATATATCATAGACCTAAATATAAAGCCTATACTGGAGAACTTCTAAAAGAAAATATAGTAGAAAATATATATGACTCTGAGTTAGGCAAAAATTTCTTAGAGAAGACACCAAAAGCATGATTCATAAAAGAACATATTGATAAATTGGACTTCACAAAGTTAAGAACCTGAGAGGTCTTTGATAGACACTGTTAAGAAAGTGCAAAGGTAAGCCACAGACTGGAGAAAATATACACATCTGATAGATAACTGTATCCAGAATATGGAAATAATTTTCAAAACCAAATTTAAAAAGCCAATGAAAATGGACAAATTATTTGAACAGATATTTTTCCCAAGGAGATATGTGAATGGCAAATAAACACATAAAACATGCTTAACATCATTAGCCACAAAGGGAATTGAAACCACAATGTGCTATCACTACACACTTATTAGAATAGCTAAAGCAACAAAACAAATCAAAAAACCAAATCAACAATTCCAAGAGTTGGCAAAGACGCAGAGCTACTAGAACTTTCATAAGCTGCTGGTGAGGATGCAAAATAATATAGTCCCTTTGAAAAACAGTTTAGCATTTTTAAAAAAGTTAAACATACATTTACCATATAATTTAGCATTCCCACTCCTAGATATTTACCTAAAATAAATAAAAACTTGTATTTACATGAAAATCTTATAGAGAATATTTTTAGCAGTTTTGTTTCTCATCCAAAGTGAAGACAACTCAAGTGTCTTTCAACTGGTAAGTGGCAAACTGTAATGTATCCACATAACAGAATACTACTCAGCAGTAAAAAAGGATCCATGTTCTAGTACCTTCATCCTCAATCAGATGAATCTCAAGTACCTTATGCTAAGTGAAAGACGCCAGCCTCTAAAGGCTACATAGTGTATGATTCCATTTATTTGACTCTATGGAGGAGGCAAAACTATGGAAACAGAAGGGAAGATCAGTAGTTGCCAGAGCCAGGGTTCTGGGGCAAGGGTTGACTATGAAATGACAGGAGGGATGTTTTCCGTGGTGATGGATCCATTCTGGATCTTGATTATTGTAGTGGTACCATGACTGCATACATTTGTCAAAACCTGTGCACTAACAACATAAATTTTACTTCTTGTAAATAATACCTCATTAACTTGGCTTCAAAAGATAGGATTTGAAGAAAGAATAAGATAATAATTGAGTTAGCTTGGAGAGGGGCAATTTTTTCCAAAGCGGGACACAAAGATAGCAACCATATAGAAAAAGGGCTGATTTGAATACATAAAATTTAAACTTCTGCATTACAAAATACACTAAATATAAAGTTAATATGTTTTATTATACTGGAAATATATTTACAACATATTCAACTGCCAACACGTTGCTATCCAGAATATCTACAGTTGCTATAAAATAGTAAGAAAAATAAAAATTATGCAGTTGAAAAATGTCACAAACATACATTTCAGTTCATCAAAATAGATAATAAAAACAAGCTAATATAGTTGATTAGAAAAAAGTAAATTAAAAATGAGATATCTTTACACATTAGATTGGCACAAGCTGTTGATGTTGCCAGGCAAGTAGTCTCTCTCATACACTCTGTAGGAGTGCAATATGGTGGAGCCTATTAGGAAAGCAATTTTACAATATCTATCAAAAGTTTAGCATTAACTATTAAAGTTTAGCATAATCTATTAAAAGTTTAGCATTTAACAAGTTCACTACCAAAATTTTACCTTATAGATGTTTTTATTTTTAACTTTTGTGGGTACATAGTAGCAGTATATAGTTATGGGATACTTGAGATATTTTGATACAGACATGCAGTGCATAATATCACATCATGGAAAATTGGGTATCCGTAACCTCAAGCATTTATCCTTTGTGTTACAAACACTCCAATTATACTCTTAGTTATTTTTAAATGTATGATTAAATTATTATTGACTACAGTCACTCTGTGTGCTATCAAATACTAGATCTTATTCATTCATTCAAAAGCTATGTTTTTGTATCAATTAATCATCCTCACCACCCTGCCCATTACCTTTCCCAGACTTGTAACCATCCCTCTGTTATCTATCTCCATGAGTTCAATCGTTTTGATTTTTGGATTCCACAAATAAGTGAGAATGTATAATGTTTGTCTTTCTGTGCCTGGCTTACTTAACATAATGACCTCTAGTTCCATCCACGTGGTTGCAAATGACAGAAACTCATCCTTTTTTTCTGGTTAAATAGTACTCCATTGCGCATATGTACCACATTTTCTTTATCCATGCATCTGTTGGTGGACACTTAGGTTGCTTCTAAATCTAAGCTATTGTGAACAGTACTGCAACAGACATGGGAGTGCAGATATCTCTTCAATATACTGATTTTTCTTTCTTTTACATATGTACCTAGCAATGGGATTGCTGGATCGTATAGCAGCTCTATTTTTAGTTTTTTGAGGAAACTTCAAACTGTTCTTCTTCATAGTTGCACTAATTTACATTCCCACCAACAGTATATGAAGGGTCCCTTTTCTCCATATCCTCACCAACCTTTGTTATTGCCCGTCTTTTGGATAAAAGCCATTTTAGCCTTACAGATTTTCTTCTAATATTGTACCATATGTTCAATAATAAATATTTTTTAAATGAACTAAACAACTGTCAACAGGGGAAATGTTAAGTAAATAAATATGTATAACTATTTTGTACAACCAGTTAAAATATAGAATAAAGGTATATGTATTTACATGGAAATTTTGGTGAATCACATTATTAAGGGAAAAATAAATTATATTTTAATATATAGATTTTCATCTCTTTCGTGTTAAAAATTAATCAAATGTGTGTGTATTATCATATAAATCAAACGATTTTTGTCAACTTAGTGGTTACCACCTCCTGTCGGGATAGGGTGAATGAAGAGGAATGTTGAGGTTTTGTCCTATAAATTTTTCTATTGCTTGAACTGTTACATTGAGAAATTACTTATAACCTATATAGTTGAAAAAAGAGAACAGAAAATGGGGAAAATAAATTGTAAAATATATATTGTGCTATGCTGCATAATGCCTGTGTTTTGAAATGCTTTTTTAAAAAATTTATAATTGTCCAAATATTTTGTTCAAATATTTTGGTCTGGTAGAGTTTGAGTTGTGATCACTGAAAGCATCACAACTTATTACTAACAATGTGTGCTTCAGTGTGTCATTATTTACAGCCTTTACATAGGAAATCGTTTGTCTCTACAGGAATTATTTCTGCTTCCTTCTCTTGGGACTCTTTACTAGGTAATGCAAACATTCTCATTGGGATATGTGATAAATATAATATTATGTAGCTAGTTCCTGATAATGCCTGTTTTACCACAGGGAAAATTCAGAGCCAGATTTGAGTGTATGGGTTTTCTTTTTCCATCAATGTGAAACCAAGAAGGAAATATGACATGCTCATATATAATAACTCTTTACAATATAGACAGCCCGTCACATAGGATTTGAAGCACTTTGCATGTCAGTGTTTTGTTTCTTCAGTGTCAGTCACTCAGCAGTTTAGGCTTCCATCTGATGGGAAGGTTTCACTATTAATCTCAATCACATCCTTACTCTGCTCAGAAATGTTCCACCATCAATCACTCATTACGTCTCCTTATTTTCTTGAAAGATGGTGTTATTACACAACTTGCCGCAGGCCATAGAAGAGATCAGATGTAATGCCTAGAGAGAAATACCAATTCCTACCAAACTTGTTGATACGAGCGCCAAACTATTTATAGTTTGCTCCCTCTAAGGAATCTCTGTCTTTTGCAGATCTAAGTTCAGATTTGCTACTTAAAGTATGGATGTGTCTTCTAATTCTAGAAAAATTGTCTGTATGTTTTATAAGGACCATTGAGGGTTGAGGGATTCTTCCTATTTAAGGAGTCAAAGAAACTGGGTACTGAACTCTGAAGTTGGATCTCAAGAGTGATAGATACCAGGGCTGTTCATAAATATTCAATTTCTTTCCTCTTCCCAGCATATGAAAGGGTTACATGATCTAATCCAATTGCAATTATATGTGACTAAACAACTCGTGTTAATCTTTGATATGTGAAGAAAGTGATGAGTATCTCTTCCAGGGGGCAGTTTTAAGGAGCTATTATGTACTTTGCTGTATTTCCCACCCCCAGCTCCCATAAGAGTTATGGGCACTGTTCCAGACAGTGGCTCCTTCATCAGCCTGTGTCCTAGAGTCAAAGCAGCATGAGGCAGAGCCACATGTGTGATGACATGTGACAGGGTGAGGAAAATCTTCACAAACTGATGTTGTAAGCCTTTGAAATTTTTGGATTGTTTATAGCATAAACTAGCCCATTGTAACTAATAACATTTTCCTAATGTCATTTTCCCCTGGTCTGAAATCCCAAAATTTCATAATGAACATTCTAAGCTCAAAAACTGTATAATTGCCTTTAACAATTTTTGTTTTATAAGTTGGTGTAATGTAACATTGATATTCTTAAAATTTGTGTGTTTAGAATCTTCTGTCTAAGATGACATTTAGTATTTCAGTTTTCTGACTAGGGGATTTTCATACTGAGAAATAAAATTAGTTATTATTTTATTCATGCATATTTCTCTTAAAAGTTAAACTGTGACTTTTTATTTTTTACCCACTCCTGGGAAACCTAACTAGGAATCACTGCAGGCATTATCTTTGTTATTCCTTCAATGAAAATTCTAATTGTTTCCCCATATCATGTTTGCTATTACTAAAAGTAATAACTATTATTCATTGAATGTCTGTGTTCTAAGCTTAATTTTTGGTTGTTTACACATGTTATTTAATTCAATCCTCATAACATCTATGCATGGTAGATGACAAACAGGCTCAGAGAGATTAAGTAACTGTAGTGTCCAGGAATGTTAGGAGAAGACAGCTAAAAATCTGAGAAAGAATGTTGAGGTAAAACAGAGACCAGGAGAGTGGTATTTAGAAATCCAGTGGAAGGAATCCATTTTAGGAAGTGCTCCAGTGTGCAAAATGTTGCTGATAGTTGCAGAAAGGTGAGGAATAAAAATTGACCAATGACAACATGGGAGCCATTTTGACCTTGACAAGAAAAGCCTTGGGGTAATGGTGGGACAAATCTGCCTGGAGAGAATAGGAGGGAGATGAATTAAAGATGGCAAGAGTAGACAGTTCTTTCAAGGAGTTTTGCTATAACCAAAAATAGAGAAATAGGACAGCAGCCGGAGAGAGAAATTATGCAGGGAATTTTTTATTTCAAAACATACACAGGAGAAATAATAACATAAGTGTATTTTCAAGAATGATCCAGCAGTATTTTGTAATTCTCACTGCAGAGATCTTTCACCTCCCTGCTTAGCTGTATTCCTAGGTATTTTATTCTTTGTGGCCTATTATGAATGGGATTGCATTCCTGATTTGGCTCTCAGCTTTGATGTTGTTAGTGTATAGAAATGCTACTTATTTTTGCCTATTAATTTTGTATCCTGAAACTTTGTTGAAGTTGTTTATCAGATCTAGGAGCTTTGGGGCAAAGACTATGGAGTTTTCTAGGTATAGAATCATATTGTCTGCAAAAGAGGTAGTTTGAATTCCTCTCTTCCTATTTTGATGGCTTTTATTTCTTTCTCTTGCCTGATTGCTCTGGGTAGGACTTCCAGTACTATGTTGAACAGGAGTGGTGAGAGTGGGCATTCTTGTCTTATTCCAGTTTTCAAAAGCGAATTCTTCCAGCTTTTGCCTATTTAGTATGATGTTGGCTGTGAGTTTGTTATAGATTGGCTCTTATTATTTTGAAGGAAGTTCTTTCAGTGCTAGTTTGTTGAGGGTTTTTAACATGAAGAGATGTTGTGAGAGCTGCAGGGGAAGTTATGTCTTCTGAAGGATCCCAGGGTTCAATTAGAGCTAGAAGATGAGGAACACACTGAGAGATGAGATTTAAGATAGACATAGGAATTTTTCTGATGACCTACTGTGAATCCTGGAGATCAGAGAGTAAGAATTTCAGGTCCTGGGGCAGGACGGGAGATGAGAGCACAATGCAGAGCCATTGGGAATTAGAGTCTGGCCTAAATGGGAATAACAGCATAATGAGATTAGACTTGGTGGGCATACCAAGGGGTAGCAATGGCTAGGAGAGGGACATTGCAATTTTGAACACACTGGCCTTCTTTTGACCCCTACAGGAGAAAGTTAGGAGGCCTTGACAGGCGTGTTCTTAGTGCATGGGACTCACTCAGCACTTCCGCTTGCTCTTGACCTTTGCTGAAAGGGAAACCCAAATGACTAAGTGTGTGGTAAAAAAAGGTTCAGATTCACTTTACACTTTGGAGAAATTAAAACATGAGAATAAATTCTTCTCTATCCCATTAGACTTACAAAAATTAGAAGTTAGATAATATTCGATATTTAAGAAAATGGGAAGAAATAGGACATTTCGTGTCCTCATGGTCAGAAGGCAAACTGTTGGAGACATTCTGAAGAGCAACCTGGCTGTAATTAGACAAATTAATATGCTTATACCCTACCCTACCAATCCAATTCCAGGGCATATCTGTCAGAGGAAAAGTTTGGCTGATCTATGAGTTTAGCTGGCCTGTGAAAAGATATTCACTATAGCAGTCACTTGTAGTAGTAAAAGTTGGAGGCACCCTAGACATTCAGTAGGGGTGAGAATAAAAAAATATTGTGTACGCACATGATGGAACGCAACATGTTTGTATCAGAAGAAATGAGCAAGATTTAGACACAGCACATGAATATGTTTTAAAGATGCAGTGCCGGGTGTGCAAAAAATGAACTGATATTTAGAATACAATTTGGTGTAAATTAAATGTCACCTATAAGAATACCATATATTTCAGGAGATGCGCATACAATAAAGATGTGAGTTAAATATATTACAGTGGTCCAAGGGGGAGAATGGGGCTGGAGGGAGGGATGAAAGTGAAAACAAGCACATTCAAATAAAATAGAAGAGGGATTTATAAAGATGATAATAGCCCAGGAAAGAAGGACTCTGGTTAACTCAACTATACACCTGAAGTTTTAAAAAGAAAAAGAAATTCTTAATGATCCACTTTTTGCTTATTAAACTAGTTTTAAATTATGCATTTTGTTAGCCAATAGATTAACTTAATAGATTTAAATAAAGAACAAAAATTTAAAAGTTAGCTGGTTGAAACTAAGCATTTCTTGTTACCGTTCTACTTCCACCTAAATTATTTTTGCATTAAGTGTTTATATCAACATCATAAAAGTGTAAGCAATGAGCTTCTGTAAAACAGTGAGCAATTCAAGAATGAGGACCATGTTAACCATCAGTGGATCTTTAATGCTAATGAAGGTACGTCCATAATAAGTTTTGCTGATCAAAATTAATTTTACACATAGAGGAAATAAGAGGCAAAGCAATCTTTATTAAATGGCAGAGAATTAAATCCTTTGAATGATGTTACAGAGGCTGCCAAGGTAGCATGAGCAATCACTAAGTTGTATGATTATTGGTTTCTTGGGCAAGAGGAGTGTGTCCCATGGAGTTCCTATCTGTAGTTAATACTGCAATCTTATACCGACTGTAAAACTTGAGTAGGGTCTGTTTAGTAATTTACATAGTAGTAGATTACATAGGCAAACGTGTATCATAGTGGTTTGCTGCACAGACCATCCTATCACCTAGGTATTAAGCCCGGCATCCATTAGCTATTCTTCCTGACACTCTCCCTTCCCCTACCTATCTCCAACATGCCCCAGTGTGTGTTGTTGCACCTATGCGTCCATGTGTTCTCATTGTTCTGCTCCCACTTATACGTGAGAACATGCAGTGTTTGGCTTTGTTCCTGCATTAGTTTGCTGAGGATAATGACTTCCAAGTCCATCCATGATCCTGCAAAGAACATGATCTCTTTCCTTTTTATGGCTGCATAGTGTTCCATAGTATATATGTACCACATTTTCTTTATCCAGTCTATCATTGATAGGTATTTAGGTTGATTCCATGTCTTTGCTGTTGTGAATAGAGTTGCAATGAACATACACATGCATGTATCTTTATAATAGTATGATTTATATTCCTTTGGGTATATACTCAGTAATGGAATTGCTGGGTCAAATGGTATTTCTACTTCTAAGTATTTGAGGAATGGCTACACTGTCTTCCACATGGTTGAACTAATTTACATTCCCACCAACCGTGTAGAAACGTTCCTTTTTCTCTGCAACTTTGCCAGCATCTGTTGTTTGCTGACTTTTTAATAGTAGCTATTCTGACTGGCATGAGATGATATCTCATTGTGGTTTTGATTTGCATTTCTCTAACGATCAGTGATGTTGAGCTTTTTTTCATATGTTTGTTGGTCACATAAATGTCTTCTTTTGAGAAGTGTCTGCTCATATCCTTTGCCCATTTTTAATGGGCTTGTTTGTTTTTTGCTTGTAAATTTGTTTAAGTTCCTTGTAGACTCTTGATATTAGACCGTTGTCAGATGGATAGATTGCAAAAAGTTTCTCCCATTCTGTAGGTTGTGTGTTCACTCTGATGATAGTTTCTTTTGCTGTGCAGAAACTCTTTAGTTTAATTGGATCCCATTTGTCAATTTTGGCTTTTGCTGAAATTGCTTTTGGCGTTTTTGTCATGAAATCTTTGTCCATGCCTATGTCCTTAATGGTATTATCTAGATTTTCTTCAAGGGTTTTTATAGCTTTGGGTTTTACATTTAAGTCTTCAATCCATCTTGAGTTAATTTTTGTATAAGTCATAAGGAAGGGGTCCAGTTTCAATTTTATGCATATGGCTAGCCAGGTCTTGCAGCACCGTTTATTAAATAGAGGGTCCTTTCTCCATTGGTTGTTTTGTCAGTTTGTCGAAGATCAGATGGTTGCAAGTGTGTGGTCTTATTTCTGAGTTCTGTATTCTGTTCCATTGGTCTATGTGTCTCTGTATCATGTACCATGTACTATGTACCAGGACCATGCTGTTTAGGTTACTGTAGCTTTGGAGTATAGTTTGAAGTCATGTAGCATGATGCCTCTAGCTTTGTTCTTTTTGCTTAGAATTGTCTTGGCTATTAGGGCTCTTTTTTGGTTCATATAAATTTTAAAATAGTTTTTTCTAATTCTGTGAAGAATGTCAATGGTAATTTAATGGGAATAGCAATTAATCTATAAACCACTTTGGGCAGTATGGCCATTTTCATGGTATTGATTCTTCCTATCCTGGAGCATGGAATGTTTTTTCATTTGTTGGTGTCTGCTCTGATTTTTTTGAGCAGTGGTTTGTAGTTCTCCTTGAAGAGGTCCTTCACTTCCCTTGTTAGCTGTATTGCTAGGTTTTTTTTTTTTTTTAACTATTTTTATGTCAAATGTGAAGATTTGGCTCTCTGCTTACCTGTTGTTGGTGTATAGGAATGCTAGCAATTTTTGCACATTAATTTTATATACTGAGCCTTTGCTGAAATTGCTTAAGCTTAAGAAGCTTTTGGGCTGAGGTGATGGGGTTTACTAGATATAGTATTATGTCACCTGCAAACAAAGATAATTTTACTTCCTCTTTCCTATTTGAATACCCTTGATTTTTTTCTCTTGCCTGATTGCCCTGGCCAGAACTTCCAACACTTTGTTGAACAGAAGTGATGGGAGAGTACATCCTTGTCTTCTGCCAGTTTTCAAGGGGAATGCTTCCAGCATTTGACCATTCAGTGTGATATTGATTTTGCCATTTTTATAGTTTTGTTCGCATATTGCATCTTTATTATTATCTCTGCTAACTACAGCTTAAAAATGCAGTACATCATATTTTGCAAATGGTGTGTCATTATTTCTCTTCTATTTTATTTATGATAGTTCTTTGAATGAATTTATTTTATCATGTTTTTCACATGTTCCTATGACAATTCAAATAATGTAGAGATCTCTGTTCCCATCCATACACTTCCATGCCACCAACTCAAAATATAACCAATATTAACAATTTGTTGCATAGTCTTCTATATTTTATATTTTTATATGAGTATTTACACAGATGTAGGTATTTTTCTTTTTAAAAATAAAATGTAATCATGTAATCATAAAAATAATTTATGCTTATTTTGAAAAACATACTAAGAAATAATCACTGTTAAAATTTTCTGTATTTTATTTTTTATCCTTAACCTTTTATGTTCTAGAAATGCTGAACAATAGAACAATAAGATACATGATATTGCATTTTTAAAATGGAATATCGTGAAATATTAAAAAGTCATGCAGATATTTCCTTTTTAATTATTTAAAACACAATTTTAGATAGTTATTTCATATATATACAAATACATGCATTTTTAACCAATTTCCTATCATCAGACATCTTATTCATCCTAGAATAACATTAAGTAACAAATGTGATAGAAGCATTTGTATTTTATTATTGCTTTTAATGAGAAGACCTCTAGTGCTTTATTATTGGTATACTATTAACTAGTGGGTTTAGATGTTCTTTATCATGCTCCATAATTACTTTCTATTTCCACTTTGCTAAGTTCTTGATGTCCAGTTTGTTAAAATAAAAGATTTATTTGAGAATTTTAAAATGTTATTTCTATTTGTGCTGAACTGATCAATTGCTTTATTTTAAAAAATGATTTGTTGTCTCTAATAGATTTTCTACTTGTAAACTTATTTGTATTTGAAAGTCTTACCAAGTTCAAATTCTTCTGCCACAACACATCATCTGAAGAATTTAGATTCCCATTAGATTATATTAAAAGTTAAAAATTTAACTGTTGGCATGAAATAGTGATTCAGCTATTAGACTTTGTATTTACCATGAACTGGAAAAGCCTACTGTGCTTCATTTGGAATAACCCCTCTCTGAACTGCAGTCAGAAAGTGCCACCAGGCAAAAACCTCATTCTTTTTTCTTCTCTCAGGAATAACATTCCTACCTTGTATGTTTTCTAATATCTGTAGGATTATTTGGTATAATTTTGTCTAAATTTTTAGTTGGTTTTGGTGGGAAGCAAGCTGATTTGAATTACTACCTTGTGGCCAGAGTGGAAATCTAACAGATATATTCCTTAAGTAAAATGTAGACAAACTTTATCACAATACTGTTCATTTCATTCATGTTTAGTGGATAGCTATTGTATTTGGGCACTTGTTAGGAGTTCTTGGTGCAGGTTCTATTATATTGTATACAAAATGAAAACATTCTCATAGTTCTAGATTATTCATTTTACTATTTTTATCAGAAAAGATCTTAAAAGAAAGATTACAGCTAATTTTTACATAAAGAAAAAACTCAGCATCAATTAAATATTAATATAAGTTGAAATAATCTGTTGTATACTCATCAATATTTAATCAAGATTAACCCAACTAATAGGTAGAGCTTAGGTAGTTATATAAGGGTGCATTTTTCAGCTCACTTATGCTAATGATGTCTTTGGGTTGGTGTTATTATTAATATTTAATCTTTTTTACATTAAAATGGAGACATTTATTGATTTGTTTTTAAGATAGTAAGCAGCATTAAAGAAAGTACAGCTTAAAATAGTTAAAATGACCCAAAAATTTTAATGACAATTTTACATTTATGGCTAAATGAAAATGAATAGTTTTTAATAATTAATTCACTTAAAAATGTTTGCTTAATAATTCATCAAAATTAAACAGATACAAGGCTAACTGGGATCTGGGAACCTTGTAAAATAAAGTAATGCCCCTTTATCCTTCTCGAAAAAGTTGTGATCCTAATAAAACAGTGGTTTTGTTCTTCCCACACAGGCCACCTTTCCATTCTGTCACTTCTCAGTGACAATGTGTCAATTCTCAGTATTACTGGTTTGTGTGAATTCAAATTTTGGTTCCACTAAAAATATTTTCAATAGACAGTCAGAGAAATATGACCTATTTACCTTCTACTTAGAGAGGGGAAATATGACCTATTTACCCTCTACTTAGAGAGGGTAAATATGACCTATTTATCATCTACTCAGAATCAGTATCGTAACATATTTTGGTGAGGTCAAATGTTCTCACATAATTATAAATATTAAAAGGTAAAATTTTTAATATTTCAACTTTAAGAGACATTACATTAAAGCCCTTCTATGGATAAGAATAACCAATCACACACAAAAAAAATCAAACACAAATAATTTATGCTTCAAAGACAATTCTTTTAGAGTACATTCTTTTTCCCTACATTAGAAGTTATAGATGATAGAGTCTTCTCTGAGAACCTGTACAGGGCCAATCATAAGAAAAACAGTTTTCTTAGGCTGGCATCTTTCCTGCAGTAAGACCACTTGTTTGTGATGAGAACAAATGTGGTTGACAAAAGTGACAGGTCCTGACTAATAACTAAAGCAAGGAAGTTTCATTTTAACTGACAACTCAGAATATTTATACTGCAGTTTCTTGTGAGATTTAATCATGAACTGACAAAAATTTAGCCTCTGCCAGTGTAACCTAAGGAATCTGACATTTGAAAGAATCTAACTGATAAGTTCAATATCTCACTATTTAAAATGATCCCCTATCTTAATTCAGATCCTGTGAATGTCAGTCTTTAGACCCCCTTGTCTTATTTTCCCCAACCAACTGCTTTCGTTAAATTTTGCTTTAACCTTATGCTTGCTGTTTTTATAAAGGGTGGTCTGAATGGAATTTTTGTGTTTTCTAATCACATAATTGAAGCGATGTGTTCTGATGTGCCTTCTGCGTGTTTTCATGTCATAAATTCCTGCTTGAGTTTAGTTCCAGGAAGTAACAAAGACTGTAGAGACAAATCTGTGTACTTTTGTTTGTTAGATAATGAAAAGAATGTGGTTCAACATGTTATTCTTTGTGTTCTAACTGGCAGAAAATTTGGGGCTCAGTTCAGTGTCCAACCAAACTGTCACCCATTGCAAGAAAAGAGTAATATCTACTTGCCTTTGGCCCATTTGTATGATTAAAACTATGTTGTATTCCTAATTGGTCTGCCACTGCAGTCTTCATTTTTGACATCATCTCATTTTTTTTTTTCTTAAATCAAGCTATCCATTTGTAAGCTACTAATTTCTTTCAGTCATTTTCCCCATAAACTTTTTGTAAAGCATCAGTGATTTCACCATTCTTCCACCCAAGATTCACTATAAATTTGGTGATTTCTCTTACTTCAACTTTAGTAAAATTCATAATGTTCTGATAAGAGCTTTTTTCAAATTGATGTCTTATTCTTGTTAGTACTCCAAACTAGATCCTGTTATAATATGGTAATATTAGCTGGGTGCGGTGGTTCACACCAGTAATCCCAGCACTTTGTAGGACCAAGGTGGGTGGATCACTTGAGCCCAGGAGTCCGAGACCAGCCTGGGTAACATTGCTAAACCCCATGTCTATAAAAAAATACAAAAATAAGCCAGGCCTGGTAGTGCATGTATGTAGTCCTAGCTACTTGGGAGGCCGAGGTGGGAGGATCACCTGAACCTGGATAGTTTAGGCTGCAGTGAGCCGTGATCATGCCACTGTACTGCAGCCCGGATGACAGTGAGAGAGACTTAGTCTCAAAGAAATGAAAATAGAAAAATAAAAACATGTTAATACAAGTTTATTTTGGTGCAAAAATATTTTGATGCAAACAATTTTGAAGTCCATGTATAGTTTTTTCATAATATACATTTTTCATGAACTTTTTGAAGACTCCTTGTGTATGTGTATGTGTATGTGTTTGTGTATGTGTGTGTGTGTGTGTATTTGATTCCAAATATTGGCTACCATAAATGCTGCAAGGAATCTGGAAGTGCAGATACCCTTTATATACTCACTTTATTTTCAGTGGAAATATACTCAGAAATGAGATTGTTAGGTCTTATGATAGTTTCATTTTTAATTTTTTCAAAAACATTCACACTGTTTTCCATAATGGTTATTCTAATTTACATTCTCACCAGCAATATATGCAATATATAAGGGCTTTCTTTTCTCCATCTCCTTGCCAAACTTGTTACTTTTTGTCATATTGATAGTTGCTATTTTAACAGGTGTGAAATGAAAATTCATTGTGGTTTTAAATTGTATTTCCCTAATTACTAATGATCTTGGGCATTTTTTCATATACCTGTTGGCTCTTTGTCTTTTGAGAAATTTGTCTTTAGATTCTTTGCCCATTTTTAAATCAGATTATTTGTTTTCTTATCATTGAGTTGTTTGCATTATTTGTATATTTTGGATATTAACTCCTTATCAGATGTTTGACTTGCAAATATTTTCTCTTACTCTGTAGGTTGTCTCTTCATTCTGTTTATTATTTCCTTTGCTGTGCAGAATTGTTTTTGTTTGAAGCAATCCCATTTTTTAAGTTTTATTTTTGTTGCCAATGTGTTTGGAGACATACCCCCAAAAATCATTACCCAGAACAATGTCAAGAATCTTTTCCCCTGTTTTCTTCTAGTAGTTTTACAGTTACAGGACTTACATATAGCTATCCAGTCATCTCAGCATCAGTTAAGTTTTTAACACATTTTGAGTTGATTTTTGTATATGGTGTTATATAAGGGTCAAATTTTATTTGTCTACATATAGCTATCCAGCCATCTCAGCATCATTTATTGAAGAAACTTTCTCATTGTGTGTTCTTCACCCCGTTGTCAAAGATCAATTAGCTGTAAATGCCTAGATTTATTTACAGGCTCTCTATTCCACCTGTTGGTCCACATGTGTGTTTTTTATGCCAGTAACATGCTGTTTTGGTTACTATTGCTTTGTGTACTATATTTTGAAGTCAGGTAGTGAGAAGCCTCTAGCTTTGTTCTTTTTATTAAAGATTGCATTAGCAATTCAGGGTATTTTGTGATTCCACACAAATTTTAGGATTTTTTTCTACTTTTGATATTGGTATTTTGATAGGGATTGCACTGAATCTGTAGATCACTTTGGGAATTATGAACATTTTAACGATATTAATTCTTCCAATACATGAACATAGGATATCTTTCAACTTGTTTGTATCCTCTTCAATTTATTTTATCAGTGTTTTGTATTTTGTATTGTAAAGATTTTCACCTTCTGGTAAAGTATATTCCTAAGTATTTTATTTTTTTGATAGCTATTGTAAATGGCATTGCTTTCTTAATTTCTAGTTCAGATAGTTCACTATTATTGGCATATAGAAATGCTACTGATTTGTGTGTTGATTTTTGTATTCTGAAAATTTACGAAATTCATTTATTCAAATAAGTTTTTATAGTCTATTAGGTTTTCCATATATAAGATCATGTTGTCTGACAATAGGGAAAATTTGACTTTTGTGTTTCCAGTTTAGATGCTCCTTATTTCTTTCTCTTGCCTAATTGACTAGGACCTCCAGTACTATGTTAAATAACATTGGTGAAAGTGGCCATCCTTGTCTTTTTCAACTTTTCCCCATTCAGTATTGAACTGTGAGTTTGTCAAATATCTCCTTTACTGTGTTGAGATGTGTTTCTTTTATACATAATTTGTTGAGAGTTTCTAGCATGAAGGGATATTAAATTTTATCAAATATTTTTATTTCTGTGTATTGAGATAGGTTTTTGTCCTTCACTCCATTGATGTGATGTATCATGTTCATTGATTTGCATGTGTTCAACCATCCTTATATCCCCAGGATGAACCCCACTTGATCATGGTAAACAATCTTTTCTGATGAGCTGTTGGATTCGGTTTTCTAGTATTTTGTTGAGGATTTTTGCACCTATGTTTATCAGGCATATTGGCCAGTATTTTTCATCTTCTATGTTTTATTCTGCTTTTGGTATCAGGGTAATGCTGGCCACATATAATGAGTTTAGAAGAATTCCCTCCACCTTAATTTTTGGAATAATTCAATAAAAATTGATGTTAGTTATTCTTTAAATGTTTTCTAAAATTCAATCATCGAGATCCTGGGTTTTTCTTTGATAGGAGATGTTTCATTACTTAATCTTATTGCTTTTTATTGATCCTTTCAGGTTTTGTTTTTCTTCATGATTCAAGAAGTATGAATCTGGTGGTTGTATGTTTACAGGAATTTATTTCTCATAGGTTTTTCAGTTTGTTTGTATATAGTTGTTACAAATAGTCTTTAGTGATTCTTAATATTTCTGTGGTATCAGTTGTAATGTTTCCATTTTAATCTTTGATTTTATTTGAGTCTTCTCATTTTTTCTTAATCTGGCTAAATGTCTGATGATTTTGTTAAACCCAACTTTTTGTTATATCTTTTTTGTATTATTGTAGTCTTTATTTTATTTATTTCTGCTCTGAACATTATTTCTTTACTTTTACTATTTCTATTTTACTATTTTATATTGCTTATTTCCTTAGGTTCAACATTAGGCTGTTTATTTGAGCTCTTTCTACTTCTTTTTTTTAAATTTAGCCATTTATTGCCATAAACTTTTCCCTTAGAACTGCTTATGCTGTATCCCATAGGTTTTGGTATGTTGTATTTCCATTTTTACTTGTCTTGAGATATTTAAAATATTTAAAACTTTTCTTCTCTTTTTTTTTAATGGCCTATTTGTTGTTTCAAAGCATGTTGCTTAATTTATATGTATTTTTACAGTTTACAAAGTTTCTTTTATTATTGATTTCTAATTTTAGGCCATTGTCAGAAAACGTACTTGATATAATTTTGATTTTAAAAATTTGTTACAACTTGTTTTGTAGCCTCACATATGGTCTGTCCTGAAGAATGTTCCCTGTGCTGTTGAAAAAAAAAGTGTATTCTTCAGATGTTGAAAAGACTTTTCTGTAGGTAACTGTTAGGACCATTTGATCCAGAGTGCAGTTTAACTCCAATGTTTCTTTGTTGATTTTCTATTTGGATGATCTGTATGTTGCTGAAAGTGGGATGTTAAAATCACTTACGATTATAATATCGCAGTCTATCTCTCCCTTTAGGTCTATTTCTATTTGCTTTATATGTTTAGGTGCTCCAGTGTTGAGTACATATATAATTGTTATACCTTCTTGCTGTATTACCTCCTTAATTATTATATTATGGCCTTCTTTGACTCTTCTAACAGTTTTTAGACGTCCTCACTTGGTCTAATTTTGTTTTTACAGGTGAAGTGAGTTTCTTGTAGACAGCATATAGTTGCATCTTGCTTTTCTTTTTTTTCATTCAGCCATTTTATGAATTTTACTGGACAATTTAATCCATTTACATTCAAGGTAATTATTTTTGGGTAAAAATTTATTCCTGTCATTTTGTGACTTGTTTTTTAGATCTTTTCTTTCCTTCCTTTCCTTCCTTCCTTCTCTCTCTCTTTCTCTTTCTTTCTTTCTTTGTTTCTTTCTTTCTTTGTGTCTTTCTCTCTTTCACCGTCTTTGTGGCTAAGTGATTCTCCAATAGTATGTTTTGATTTATTGCTTTTTACTTTTAGTGGATTTATTATAACTTTTGCCTTGTAGTTACCACGGGGATTACAAAAAGACCTTATAGTTAAAATAAGTTATTTTAATTTGGTAATGACCTAACTTTCATTACACAAGAAAAGATAAAAATTCTACACTTTAACTCCATTCCACTTCATTTTGTATATTTGATGTCACATTTTACATCTTTTCATATTGGCTATCCATTAACGAGTTAATATAATTGTATCTAATAGTTTTGCCTGTTAGGGTTCATACTAAGATATAAGTGGTTTATGCAGTACAATTACAGTATTAGAGTATTAAATTAAGTATAACTTGTTTGTGTACCTATTTTCCCAATGAGTTTTTAACTTTCGGATGTTTCCCTGTTACATATTAGAATCTTTTTCTTTTCATTAGTTTGAAAAACTTCCTTTAGCATTCCTTGTAGGACAAGTCTTGTTGAAATTAATTTCATCTGCTTCTGTCTCCTTGGGAAAGTATTGAACTTGCTTTTATCTCCAGAGGACAGCTTTTTTAGGTACAACATTCTTAATTGGCAGTATTTTTGTCTTTTTCTTCCCATTCAGTATGCTGAATATATTCTCCCACTCCCTCTTGCCTGCAGTGTTTCTTCTGAGAAGTCTGCTGCCAGGAGTATGGAAGTCCCTTATATGTTATTTGCTTCTTTTCTCTCACTGCTTTCAGAATCCTTTGTCTTTGACCTTTGAGCAATTCATTGCAATCTGTGATCAGGTAGTCTTATTTGGGTTGAATTTGTTTATTTTTTTAAACCTTTGTTTAAAAAGTTTAACCTTCCTGTACTTAAGAATTTATATCTTTCTCTTTGTTTGAAGGAAGTTTCTGTTATTGTTTCTTTGAATTAGTTTCGTACACCTTTGTTTTTCTGAACTCTCTTCTCTTTATTTTTGGAGACAGGTCTTACTGTGTTGCCTAATCTGGCCTTAAATTCCTGGGTTCAAGTGATTCATTTACCTCAGCCTCATGAGTAGCTGTCATTACATATGCATGCCACTATGGCTGAAATCTCTCTTGAACTCCAATAACCCATATATTTTCTCTTTTGATGTTGTTTTGTAGATCCCATAGGCTTTTTGTTTCTTTATTTTTTCTCTTATTTTCTAACAGTTTGTCTTCAAGCTCACTTATTCTAACTTCTGTTTGATCAGCTCTGCTGTTAATGCTCTCTCACATTTTTCATTTCATTCATCAAATATTTCAGGTCCAGGACTTATTATTATTATTTTGATGTGTTAAATTTCTCCAAGTTTCAGAATTCTTTCTGTATGTTTTCTTGAAATTTGTTGAGCTTCTTTAAAACAGCTATTTTGAATTTTTGTCTGATAGATTACACATCTCCATCACTTTATAGTCAGCCTCTGAAGGCTTATTCTGTCCATTTGGTAAGGTCATATTTCTCTGAATGTTCATGATGCTTTTGGATATGTAGTGTTGTTTGTGCATTGATCAATTAGGTATTTATTCCAGTCTTCACAGTCTAGCTTTGTTTGTGCCTGTCCTTCTTCAGAGGACCTTCTAGAGATTCTAAGCAGACTAGCTGTTATGTTCCCTGAGTTTGTGACCACTACAGCTGTCTCAGAGCTAGAGGAGGCTTTAAGCCCAGGAGTGACATGAGTCTCTGGGGATTCTGAGGTTGACATGGCTTTTTAGCTCATATAGACCTGAGAGAGACCTAAGGACAGTACCTTGGCTGTGTGAGAAAGCTGGTCTGGGACCTGACCAGTTGGTCCCAGTGTCCCAAATGGGCATGCATCTCAGTAGCACCCTGTATTAGTCCGATTTCATGCTGCTGATAACAACATACCCAAGACTGGGAAATTCATAAAAGAAAGAGATTTAGTGGACTTACAGTTCCATGTGGTTGGGGAAGCCTCACAATCATGGTGAAAGTCAAGGAGGGGAAAGTCATGTCTTACATGGATGGCAGCATGTGAAGAGAGAGAGAGAGCTTGTGCAGGGGAACTCCTCTTTATAAAACCATCAGATCTTGTGAGACTTATTCACTATCATGAGAACAGCATGGGAATGACTTATCCGCATGATTCAATTACCTCTCACTGGGTCCCTCCTACAACATGTGGGGATTCAAGATAAGATTTGGGTGGGGACACAGCCAAACCATATCATTCCACCCCAGCCTCTCCCATATCTTATGTCCTCACATTTCAAAACCAATCATGCCTTCCCAACAGTCCCCCAAAGTCTTAACTCAATTTCAGCATTAACTCAAAACTCCACAGTCCAAAGTCTCATCTGAGACAAGGAAAGTCCCTTCCATCTATGAACCTGTAAAATCAAAAGCAAGTAGTTACTTCCTAGATACAATGAAGGTACAGGCATTGGATAAATGCACCCACTGCAAATGGGAGAAATTGGCCAAAACGAAGGGGCTACAGGCCCCAAGTCAGTCCAAAATCCAGAGGGGGAGTCAAATTTTAAAGTTCCAAAATCATCTCCTTTTATTTCACGTCTCACATTCGGATCACAATGATGCAAGGGGTGGGCTCCCATGGTTTCAGGCAGCTCTACCCCTGTGATTTTGCAGGGTACAGCCTCCTTCCCAGCTGCTATCATGGGCTGGCATTGAGTTTCTGTAGCTTTTTCAGGTGCATGGTGCAAACTGTCGGTGGATCTACCATTCTGGGGTCTGAAGGACAATGGCTGTCTCCTCACAGCTCCACTAGGTGGTGCCCCAGCAGAGACTCCGTATGGGGGCTCTGACCTCGAATTTCTCTTCCACACTGCCCTAGCAGAGGTTCTCCATGAGAGCCCCACCCCTGCAGCAAACTCCTGCGCGAACATCGCAGCATCTCCATACATCCTCTGAAATCCAGAGAGAGGTTCCCAAACCTCAATTCTTGACCTCTGTGCACCTGTAGGCTCAACACCATGTGGAGCCTGCCAAGGCTTGGGGCTTGCACCCTCTGAAGCCACAGCCTGAGCTGTTTGTTGGCCCCTTTTAGCTATGGCTGGAGTGGCTGAGATGCAGGGCACCAAGTCCTTAGGCTACACACAGCAGGGGGACCCTGGGCCCAGCCCACAAAACCATCTTTTCCTCCTAGGCCTCCAGGCCTGTGATGGCAGGGGCTGCCATGAAGACCTCTGACATGCCCTAGAGACATTTTTCCCATTTTTCTTGGGGATTAATATTGGGCTTCTTGTTACTTACACAAATTTCTGCAGCTGGCATAAATTTCTCATCAGAAAAAGGAATTTTCTTTTCTATTGAATTGTCAAGTTGCAAATTATCCAATCTTTCATGCTCTGCTTCCCTTATAAAGCTGAATGCCTTTAACAGCACCAAGTCACATCTTGAATGCTTTGCTGCTTAGAAATTTCTTCTGCCAGATACCCTAAATCATCTCTCTCAAGTTCAAAGTCCCACAGATCTCTAGGGCACGGGCAAAATGCCACCAGTCTCTTTGGTAAAACATAGCAAGAGTTATCTTTGCTCCAGTTCCCAACAAGTTCCTCATCTCCATCTGAGACCACCTCAACCTGGATTTCATTGTCCATATCACTGTCAGCATTTTGGGGAAAGTCATTCAACAAGTCTCTAGGAAGTTCCAAACTTTCCCACATTTTCCTGTCTTCTTCTGAGCCCTCCAAACTGTTCCAACCCCTGCCTGTTACCCAGTTCCAAAGTTGCTTCCACTCTTTTGGGTATCTTTTCAGAAGCACCCCACTCTTCTGGTGCCAATTTACTGTATCAGTCCATTGTCACACTGCTGATAAACACATACCTGAGACTGGGAAATGTACAAAAGAAAGAGGTTTAATGGACTTACAGTTCCACGTGGCTGGGGAAGCCTCACAATCATGGTGAAAGGAAAGGAGGAACAAGTCATGCCTTACATGTATGGCAGCAGGCAAAGAGAGAGAGAGCTTGTATAGTGGAACTCCTCTTTTTTAAACCATCAGATCTTGTGAGACTTATTCACTATCATGAGAACAGCATGGGAAAGACTTACCCCATGATTCAATTACTTCCCACTGGATCCCTCCCACAACATGTAAGAGTTCAAGAAACCATATCACACCCTGCATGGTTCCTCAACTGCAGCAAGAAGGGCTGGAGCCAATACTGGGCCCCCTCAGGGTATACTATGAGACAGAAGCTGGTTAGTCTGTCTCATTTGTTTTGCGGGTAGACATCTCCCTACAGGTTCCTGTACATAAAGGATAGTTTCCTGACTGCAATGAGAATGGGGAGAGCTGAGAACTCGGCTCCCTCCGGATCTTCTGTGGGATGGAGGCTGGTGATCCTGTCTCACTGGTTCAGCAGGTACTTCTCTCTTCGCAGGTCCTTACATAAGAGTCCTCAACTACAGTGAGAGGGGCCAGAGCTGAGACTGGGCATCTTGGGATCTGTTGTGGAATGGACACTGGTGAGCCTACCTCATTAGCTCAAATGGGAGTGCCCCTTCAAGCATGTTTCTGCACAGGCAAGATAGGTCTCTGACTGTAGCATGAAGGGCTGGAGCTATGACTGGCCCCCCTTGAGAACTGCTCTGGGACAGAGGTTAATGAACCCATCCCCTCTCTCAAATGGGTACACATCTCTCAGTATGTCCCTGCACAGGTGGGGCAGGTCTCTGACTGCAGTAAGACTGGCCAGAGCTGAGATTGGATCCCCTAAGGATATGCTGTGGAATGGAGATATGTGAGCCTGTCACAGAGGTTCAGACCCTCAGGCATTGAGATATGGTCAAGTTTACCTATGGGTCCTTTGGCAAGCAGTTCTAAGCTAGGACCTCAACTGAGAGGTCTGGAGCCATGCTACAGGAAAACTTTCAGGCCTCTGCTGAGACAAATGTCAGTAGGCACCTGAAATTCTCCACTGAGGCACTAGTGTTTGTGATTACTGCTGGACCTCTTGGCAGATGGTTTTGATTATAGGCTTGAGGACAAATGGGGTTGTAGCCAAGCTATTTTAGAAATGGGACTGTTTCTGGGTTTGAGCCTGGAAGAATGATCAGTGGGTCTGCTAGTTGGATGCTGCTCTTGCATTCCAAATGTCCTTCATAGGTCTTGGGTGTCACTGGAATTTCACAACTTCCTACCTGAATCCTGAAACTCCCACAGAGAGACTTTTGTCTGTGGATGGGTACAGAATTCTTGTTGTGGGGAAATAACCAGGTTGCCTCCCATTTCAACTTGCTGGCATCATTCCAGCTTTATTCTTTATGCTCACGATTTTTCTGCTACTTGGGATCTTTTGTGAGCTTTTATGGTTTTATACAAATTAAAAAATGTTTTTTCTATTTCTGTGAAAAATGCTATGGGAATTTTGGTGGAGATTACTTTGACTCTATATATTGCTTTGGGTAGTATGGATTTCTTAATAATATTCTGATATCTTTCCATTTGTGTCATCTTCAGTTTCTTTCATCAGTGTTTTATAGTTTTCAGTGTGTAGACATTTTACCTCCTTGATTAAATTTTCTTTAGTATTTCATTTGTTTATTTGATGCTATTATAAATGGGTTTGTTTTTATATTTCTTTTTTGCATAGTTTGTTGTTATTGTACAGAAATGCTGCTGATTGTTGTATGTTGATTTTATATCTTATAACTTTACTAAAATAGTTTATTAGTTCTAACAATTTTGGGGAGAAATCTTTAGGGTTTTCTATGATTTCTAAACTCATTGCCATCTGGAAACAGGATGTTTTTACTACTTTCTTTTTAATTTGGATGTCTTTTGTTTCTTTTTCTTGTCTAATTGCTCTGGCTAGGACTTCTAGTACTATATTGGTAGAAGTGGTAAGAGGGAGCACCCTTGTAATAGTTCTTAAATGTTGTGGTGGTATAACTTTAGGACTATTAGTTTCAAGATCATGTCCTGTTTTAAACTGAGATATTCCTGCCTCTGCCACTAGACACAGGATTATTTTAGAGATAAGACATGCTTGGAGGTGCATCTTCTATATGTTTTAACTAGTAGGCTTGGCATCTCCTCAAAGTGATTCACATTTGGGAAGCTGAGAGAATGCAGCATCTGTCATGAATTAGAAAAGAAGTGGTCTTCTCAGTATATGCTGCTTATGAAACAAGCAAATGACTGGTCTACTGTATATTAGAGATCCTGGGCTCTAGCCTCACATCTGCTTCACTCACAGCTGATTGCCCTTTAGCAAATCACTCCAGCTTTCTGAGCTTCAACATGGTATTCTACTAAAATGAGGAGTTTGCTTTTCTAATGTGTTTGTTATCTCCCAAGTTGCATGATTCTATTTTAGGGGTCAGGCCTGCAGTATTTTAGATATTCACAAAGGCAGAAGCCGCTCATTTCTTGCTGAACTGAGAAACCATCTACAGTTGTCCCACAGTATCTGCAAGGGGAATTGGTGTCAGGGCCCCCTGCAGGTACCAAAATCCATTAATGACCAAGTTTCTTGTATAAAATGGTATAGTATTTGCATATAACCTATGCACATCCTCCTGTATACTTTAAATTATCTTTAGATTACTTATAATACTTAATAAAATGTAAATGTTATGTATGTTATCTAAATAGTTGTTACACTGTATTATTTTTATTTGTATTATTTCTAATGGTTGTATTGTTATTTTTAATTTTTTTTAAAAAAACTTTTGATCCACAGTTGGTTAAACCACAGAGGCAGAACCCACAGATACAGAGAGTTTGCTGCATTGTTAGTCACTTTTTTCTTTTTGGTGAATTAGGTTAAATAAGGTCCCTGTTTGTCTTTTGTCCTTATTTGAGGGCACACATTCTCAGAAAATCTGCAGTGCTTTAGGTTTAAGGGCTGGCAGTATTGAGACTTCCATTCACAGCCAGGTAGTTTTTGTGAGTTTATAACTTAGTTTGCTGAGACAAGTGACATGCATAATAGAATTGCCACATATTTGTATATGAGATCACTGTGTCTGCCAGCTGAGTTCAAAATGAAGAGAGCAAGACTGCATTTCACCACCTCTGCAAAACAGAGGGTGATTTTGTTGCTTTTAAAGTTTACTGTGTACTGACATACAAGTGTGAGATAGAGCAACATTTTATGCACAACCAGTAATATATCTGGGTTTAAAAAAACAAAACAAAAGGAATAACTGTCTTGTTCTTGATGGTGCCTGACAGATAAAGTGTTAGATATTTTGGAATGAATTAAGAAAGCTGTTTTCTTTTTCTGGTCTTTAATAACATTCTTTTTGCAGTAATCAAATGAAAGAATGAATTTAAACTAAAAGAACAAATTCCCAAACCAACTTTATTTTCATTTCCTGCCTTCAATGTCTAATCAACTCCACTTGCTTCTCTTTCTACCTCTTTCTAGTTTCTCCCCTCCAGTGAGTATATTTAAAAGGATACCATTTTCTTTTTGGGGAGAGGGAAGAATGATGAATGCAAGACTGGAGTCAGGGTGGTCAATTAAGAAATGACTGTGGTTACAATAACCCAGGTAAGAAGTGATGAGAACCTCAATGAGGACAGGGTCAGTAGGAATGAGGAGGGAGCAGTCTTGAGAAATACCAATGAAGCAGAAGGTCTAAACTAAGTGACTAGGAGAAATCCAGCAAGGTTTTTATCTTCTGACTTGAAGGATTAAGGATTTGTGGTAGCATCATCAACCTGCAGAGGACAGCAGGCTTGGGGAAAGATTGTGAAGTCTGTTAAGAAAACATGATTTGAGCGGCCTGAGGCCTCTTTAAGTTGTGATGTCAAAGAAATAGTCGAATACGTAGGTCTGTTGCTTAACAGAAATTTGCAATACTATGAGCTTGATAATATTTCTATTTTTAAAGCCAGGAGAGTGAGTCAAAGAGGTCATTTACTTAGGAAAGTAAATTTACAGTAGATGGCAGATTGGGCACTAAAAGTCATATGCATTTTGTCCTTTCTTTAAACAGCTGCAGTGAGTCTTTAAAACAAATGCCTAGAAAGCTGTCTGAGCATTCAAAGCTTTTTCTGTGAAAAATCTATATTAGAGTATCTTCCTGTCATCAAAGAAAACCATGCATGAGAAAAAGAAGAGTCTGGAAGAAGTTTCAATGTTAATATATAATGACATTTCACCTACGTCTCATCTATTCTCTTTCAAAATGTGGACTCCTTGCCCTAGAATCAGCACACATGCTAAAAACATAGGCTTTGGATGGGATCTGGGAGGCACGCAGACCTTGACAATTCTGGCGTCTGCTGATTCTACTTCCTATCAAATAAACCATGTTTGTTTGATGCTGTGGTTCCTGTGGTTATCACTCAGATAGGGGGCCAGAGAGTTTATAAGCAGAGGAACTGGACTCTTCTATTCTAGCACTGTTGGTGACCAGATGGCTTCACTTTCTTCTTTTTCTTTCCTCTCCAGACTCCTTCCTCATCAACTTTTTTATTTTTCTTTCTCCCAAAAGCAAATCTGCCTCAACCCCAGCACTGATTGCTAGTTTCCTCCTCGGCTAAAAGCTTTTAACCTGTTTACTCTTTGCTCCAGCTAACCCAGAGAAAGTGAGAACCCTGTGCCAGGTAATCCCTGATCTTGACCAAGAAGCTAACAGCTGTGAGAGGAAAATATCTTTGGGCGCCTTTAACCTGGAAACTGCTTGGGGCAAATATGCCTCCCATTCCATTCAAAATCATCAGCTATAGGCAGAGAGGGTCCAACAAAAAGTCCTTATTCCCACCCGAGAAAAATTCTATGCCCTCCCCTGGTTACACAAGGACTTGCATATCAGGACTGCCACGTGTTTAATAGAACATTAGATCACTGCCATTATACTTGAAGAGATGGTTACAGAAACTTTTAAAAAGTATTTTCCTTCCTTGATTCTTAGCTCTTTGCTCTAAATTTTACTTGTGCCATCGGCATAATCTCAACAACTGTTTTACATTTCAAGCCATTTCATTCCATTACCTAGAGTTGAGTGCTTTGAAGCTGCCATGAAATTTTTATAGACTAATTTTTTAAAGTACCACAAATGTGAATGAGAGGAACTATATGTTATAATATCAGAATGCAAAAATACCACTTTATATTTTCAGATTGCTTTGAATGTGATGATTCTGTGGGGCTTTACAGAATACACAGTAAATGTAGCATGATTAGAAAGTTTGCATCCCCAAGCTGGCACTTCCTGTTAGCCCTTACTAAGGGCTTTGGTAACTATATAAAACGGGATGCTCAGTAATGCATAAAATAAGTTTAAAATGCCTATTTTAAATTCAATAAGTTTAAGTACAGTTTTCCCTTGGTATATGTGAAGGATTGCTTCCAGGATTGCCCACATTTACAAAAATCCACACAAACTCAAGTCCCATAGTTGGTCTCGTGGAACCCATGTATATTCGGGTTTTGTATCTGTAACTACTGTATTTTCCGTCCATGTTCGATTGAAAAAAAGCCACATGTAAGTTGACCCATACAGTTCAAATGTGTTGTTCAAGGGTCAACTTAGGGAACATGTGAAGAGCATACCACTGATTGAGGTGAATAAAGACAAGCTTTATACCAATAATGCAAAATTTGTCAGGTGGCAATGAGTGAGGCAAGATAGGCAGAAAAATTCACTCCAATGCCCTTCTAGTAGTGTCTTTTCTTTCAAGATAATTATCAGGCTTTTGTTGATTTGCTTTGTTCTTAAATTTACTTCCTCTATGGGACTTTTCTGATAATGCTAGTCTTTTGCAGTAATTAGAGCTGTTACAAGACTTCACTCTTTATACTGCATTGTCCTGTTTGTCTGCGATTAACTGGGCTTTGGCAAATAATATCATTCAGTGATGTGGGTAGAAACGATCTGGCAGGAGCTAGTGGTGATATGGAAGATTTTATCTAGGACACTTCATCCCCAGTTCATTCTGCGACCCATCAAGTGCCATTTTCTTTCCACTTAACAAATACTGTTCTGTATTGTTCTAATCTTGTTATTTATTCCATTGGCCTTAATATGCCTATTCTTCTGTGAATTTCATGCATGGCATTAAAATGACTATGAATAAAAATTAACCTTCATTTTTACTATAAATCAGTTAATCCCGGAGTTGCAAATTACTTAAATACGTCTGTCTTAGTCTTTTAGCCCTTGTGCCCCACCTTTCTTTACTTTTTGGTTCAATGGGGTAAGATGTAAGAAGAAATTGTAAACTGTAATAAAAAGTAAAAAGGATGATGAGAAAACTTCTCTAATTTGGTGAGTCTCA
Source organism: Homo sapiens (assembly GCF_000001405.40). Classification (NCBI taxonomy): domain Eukaryota; kingdom Metazoa; phylum Chordata; class Mammalia; order Primates; family Hominidae; genus Homo; species Homo sapiens. The sequence goes on from NC_000003.12 coordinate 144,310,575, forward strand.
CAATTTATAATCGACAATGTCACTCAGAGGTGACAGATTGCTAAAGCCACCGCTACCGTCCCCCAACCCCCAAGATTTCTGATTCAATAGTCTGGAGTGAGCAGATAATTTGCATTTCTATCAAGGTCCCAGGTAAACTGATATTGCTGGTCTGCAGATCACATTTTGAGATCTGTTTAAGTCCAATGAAGCGTTGAATGAATTAAAATTACTCTTAATCTTTCATTTTCTATTCCATGAAATAAATCTTTTCTCTTTCCTTCCTGCCTTCTTTTTTCTTCTTTTCTTTCTTTCTTTCTTCTTTCTTTCCTCTTTCTTCTTTCTTTCTTTATCTCTGTCTTTCTCTTCTCTCTCTCTCTTTCTTTCTTTCTCTCCTTCCTTCCTCTCTTTCTTTCTTTCTCCTTCCTTCCTTCCTTTCTTCCTTCCTCCTCTCCTCTCCTCTCCTCTCCTCTCCTCTCCTCTCCTTTTTTTTCAAATGCTCACTCTGTTGCCCAGGCTGGAGTGCAGTGGCATGATCATGGCTCACTACAGCCTTGACCACCTGGGATCAAGCAATCCTCCCACCTCTGCCTCCCAAGTAGCTGGGACCACAAGTGTGCATCACCATGCCCAACAATTTTTTCTTTTATTTCTTGTAGAGACAGGGTATCCTTATATTGCCCAGGCTAGTCTTGAACTCCTGGGCTCAAATGATCCTCCAGCTTTGGCTTCTCAAAGTGCTGGGATTGCAGGCATGAGCCACTGCACCTGGCCATTTATCTTTTTCTACTCACTCAGTTCAATCACTTTAAATAAATAGTGGTGTCCTTTAGCAAGACATCAAAGCCTCATCAATTTTTGCCACCTTAGCTCTTCACAGATTCTTTCTCCATCCCTTCAACATGCATCCACCTACCCCTTTGGCTATATAGTTGGGCTTCCCCAATGTTTCTCAATCCTGCAGCGTCTTAATGATATCTTTGAGAATAATTATCCTGGGTTTACCCAGGAACTCTCTTTAGGTCAAAATCTAATGTTTTCACAAAATAGTGGATAAGACACTTGGCTATTTCCTGGTTCTTCCTCTTGACTATAACACATGGGTTGGGAATGACCAATGAACAAGATGAAGCCCCTGGGTGAACATACATCTTCTTTCCCAGGGAAAGGTTATTAATTTTTGATCTATCCCTTTAGTTACTTCATCCCCACACTCCCTGTTAGTCAAACAGCTAAATAGAAAGCAAATATATGGAAATAAAATGAAACAAACCTATGGCTCAGGGGCAGCAATCTTGCTGACATTTGGGCTCTTTCTCCACATTCTGCAGTTTATAGGAACTAAAAAACATTCCAAACTTACAATAATATAAGATGTAATAAATATTCCTGATTGCTGCCATTTACTGAAGGTTTTAATAAGTGCCAGTAGACTACTGTTTTTCCATGCATTCTCCTTTAAACTACAAAACAGCTCCACAAGGCAATTATTACATCTTTTCACTGAGAAAAGTGAACCTTAGAAATTTGAATAGTTTGCTCAAGATCCCTCAGTTAATATTTGGTAGCACTGACCTTTGTGCTCAGATCTATCTGATTTCAAAGTCTATCATGTTCTCAACTCTATCATGTGAAGGTCACCAGGACACTTGAAAAATATATAACCACTCTGATGAAAGGGAAGCATAATTTTGCTATGAGAAGCCAGCTGCAGCAAATGTTAAGTGACTAGTAACTAATGATAATAAAAGTAATAATCACAATAACATTTATTGTAGGCTAACTCTCTTTCAGGCCATATGCTTCACATGATTTTTCTTATTCAATCCTCTGAACAACAGTATGATATAGGTATTGTTACTATCATTCCATAGACGTGAAGACTCAGAAAGATTAAGTAAGTTACTCAGGGTTCTATGCCCCCTTACTCTCATACCCCAGTAAGTCAAAATGGTATATCATAGTCAGTTCAGATGGTCTGCTTTAACAAAATACATTACAAAATACATTAGGCTGGGCTATTTATAAACAACAGAAATTTATTTCTCACAGTTCTGTAGACTGGGAAGTCTGAGATAAAGGCTCCAGCAGATTTGGTATTTGGTGAGGAGGGCTTGCTCTCTGCTTCAAGATGGTGCTTTGTTGCTGTGTCATTGCATGGCAGAAGCAGTGAAAGGGCGAAAGGAACTAAAGCTGTGTCCTAAAATCCTATTATAAGGGCACTAATCTCATTCATAAGAGCCCCACCTTATAGCCTAATCATCTTCCAAAGAACCAACCTCTTAATCAGTTCTAGGTTTGGCTCTGGCATCAATCACATCAAAGCTTGCATTTGTACAGTGCTTTAGAGTTTCAATGGATTTTCAGTGCATTTTAATTAGTTTACTTTCTGACTCTATGCAAGTTTCATAGAGTCAGATGATCTGTGAAATTTGTAAAATAGGGTGGTGAGATAATAAGTTTTTTCAGGCTACTTTCCCGACATGCTCTAATTACGTGAGTCATTCTCATAAATTTTGTCCACAATTCTGCTTTCATTTCTAGATAAGCAGAAGATGAGAGACATTCTTTTCATGTTTTATAATAAACTTTTACTTACACAAATCTTACGTAAGCATTTAAGAGAATAAAACGTGCTCATATGAAAGCAAACAGTACAGAATTCTAAAAGGTAAACACTACCTTTGTATCCTGATTCTCATCTTCCCCATCTCATATCCAGAAGAAAGAACTCTTAGGTTTATTTAGATTCTTTAAAATATATTCTGTATAACAAAATCAATTTCCAAACCTTCTTTCCTGTAGACACCCAGACTTCCTCCTGAGGGGTAAGTAAAAACAAAAACAAAAACAAAAACAAAACAAAACAAAATTAGAATAATGGTATAATGCATTTTGTTGATGTGTTTGCCCATATTTGAAAGAAATAAGAAGACAACAAGACCTAATCAAGTCTAGTCCGTGGGAACATGTTAAATTTGTCAAAATTTGACTTCATTGTCTTCTACTAGTTTATGGAATTTCTTAGAGTCTTCTGAGAGTAAGGCTGTGTTAAGCACCTTATTAGCCAGGTAGCCCAGCACCACCCCATGGGAGCAGGGGAAGGCAGCAGCCATAGTGGCCCAGAGCACAGACCTTCCACCTGGACCATGTGGATTTAGATCTCAGTGCTGATCCTCACTACTTGTGTGCTTTTGAGCAAGTTACCTTTTTGCCTCAGTTTCCCCATTTGTAAGGTTGTTATGGGTATTACATAAATTAACATTCAAGAATTTCAAGTGCCTAGAAAACAGTAAGCACTGAATAAGGGTCTATTAAATAAAGAATGAAGAATCTCCTTCTGAAATAATTTCTGATAGATCATCTTGTTCACAGTTGTTCCTGAATGCCTAACATGAATCTAGGACAATTTTAGTTGCTCAATTAACTTTTTTATAAATGAACTATATTTGGATATTTTCAGAGTTAGGAATCAGAACTCCATGAATAAACTCATTTCATAGTTGGATAGTTCTAGATAACAGAAAATATTTTCTTCTAGTAAGTCAAAAGTTGCCACCCTTATTTCTACTCATTACTCCTAGTTCCAAATGCTGCAACACCTCACGACTACTGCAGACCATTAAATTGGTGGCAGCTGTTTATACATTTTGAAGTTTGCTTTCCATTCTTTCTCTTTTTAGGGCTAAACATTCCTGAAGAATTATATTATAATCTAGCATCCGGATACCTTGTCTCCTGGACTACCAACATTTTCTTCTCAGAACTTTCCTCCTTCTAGCTTTACTCTACTCACAAAATTTTTTAGCTATTTGAGAATCCTTAATATGGCTGAGTAGTGATTTTTTAAAATTTATCAAATGAAGCTTTATCTGACTGTGATTCATTTGTTAAAACTCATTTCTATGATAATTTGATGAATTAACTCAAGTTATTTACGCTTTATAGAAGTTTCATTTGGTATCAAGAAATAAACTGAATAAACAATTACAAAAATATGTTACTTTAGGCTTTTGATATATTTGATTTTTGTTTTCATTGTTCTGTAACTTGGTAAGCAAGACACAAGAGTAAAAAAAGCTTTGGGCTTTGGAGTCAGGCTGACTTGTTTTCACTTCTATCTGTGTTATCATGGACAGTGTGCTATTCATAAAGCATTTGGAAGAATTAGATGCAATAGTGGATGTGAGATCAATTAGCTCAGGTTTTGCCACATAGCAGGGCACTTAAGAATTTTAGTTGTCTTTCAAATGTGTCTCTAGTTTTTTGGATTCCATAGAACTTGGATCAGACCCCAATTATGTTTTTACCTTGCTAGTTGTTTGTTTCTCTCCTTCTAATCCTTATTATTACCGGAATTATATTTCTAAAATACAGATTTTGTCATATCACTGGCCATTGTAGAAACTTCTGGTGACATCTATTGCTTAAATGAGAAAGCCTTTCTTGCTGAACAAGACATCGTAATCTATTTCCCTAGCTTTACATCTGGCCATTTCCCCCTTTTCCTAGTCACATCGTGCAGGCAAGACTGACATGTGGCAGACATTTTTACATCTTTGGACCTTTGCACATGTAGTTATTTTTAACCTAGAATGCTTTCCACCTTCTGCTTTACAATAACCTGTTACCTTATTAAATCCTTCCTGTTCTTCTGTGTTCAATTCAGATGCCATCTTTTCAATAAAGACGTCCTTCCTGGATCTCCTAGACACAATCATTTGCCTTTTTTTACTGGCTTAACATTGCTTACACCTGTTTTATAATTCATTGTATTTTAGATATTTGTTCATGTGTAATTATAGTTGTAATCACATTTCAGGTAGTACCTTATAGTTGTAAAATATTTCCACTTGCATTTGATCTTTATAATCATTCTGCAAATCAGGACTCTCATTTCATGTATGAATCAAGTTGGAAACAATAGAGTCTCTGTTGAATAAGGTAGAATTTCAATAATGTATATAGCATTTATATAAACTTCCTGTGTGTGAGGCACGAGTTTAAATGCCTTGCAGGTATTAATTCCCTACTGTAGCTAGTAGTAATATCGTAAGTTAGATATTACTACTGTATTTCACTTATTTAAAGATATATCTTGTTCCAGTAACCTATTATTGCATATAAAACTCCCCCAAATGTAGTACCCTAAAATAACAAGCATTTATTCTTTCCATGAGGCTAGAGGGTGGTTCTGTTGATTTGGATAGGCTCGGGTGTTCATAGATGAGCTTGATCATATAACTGTGGTTAGCTATCTGTAGGCTGGGGAATAGGCCATCCTAGCAAGACCTTGGTTAGGATTAATTGGCTCTATTCCACATGGTCTCTCATCTTTCCAGCAAGCTAGCTGGCGTTTATCTTCCTGGAGGCAGCAGAGTTCTAATACTGCAAGCAGAACCGTGAAAGACCTCTTAAGCCTAGTTTTGGAATGGGTGAACAATGAAGCTTGCACATTGTATTGTCACAAAAAAGTCATGAAACAAGCAGAGATTCAAGCGTTGGAGAAGTAGATGTCTTGATGGGAGGAGCTGCACATCATCTGGCGAAATCTATGGATTCGGGGACAGGAAGAATTGGGGCCATGATTGCAATTCATCTACCACACACCTTTTTTCCTCCCATTGTAGCATCTCTAAAATTGGTCTTATGATTAATATTGTCTTGGAGTGGCTTCAGCCTGGATTTTCATCTAATTCTTCCAGAGGCAATTGGGATTTGCTTTTGCCAGTCACCTGTAGCATGATCAACCTCAATTTTCTTTTGAGGTTTTTCAGACCACACTAGCAGTGTTAATTTAGCCTGCAGAACTACATGGCTACTGGCTGTTGTTCATGTCATCAGGGAACATAAATTTTCCCTTTCGCCATTCTGGGCCAAAGTGGAGGCATGTAAGTTTTCTGGTAACATTTTCTGTGGGTCAGATCTTTTTCTCATTTTCCATGCATTGAGGACATCGTCCTTTGGTATATGTACTTTATGAAGGGTTTGCCCTTTATCTCCCCGTTTTTGGTGATTTTTCTTTTGCAGTAGTAGAAAAATAATGGTGTGTCTTACAATCAAAGGCGCCTTAGATAAAATATAGTATATCTTTACTTTAAAGAAGAGAAATTTGACCCAAGGTGAGTTTAATTAAACTGACAAAGACATAACAGACACAGCTATTAAGTACTAGAAGAAGAAGAATGTAAGTCCAAATAGTCTATAGCCACTGCCATTAGTGAATTTATGAAACTAAATATTTAGTCTTAAAAATTACATTATAACTTAGAAATATCCTTATATTATGCTTTTTTTAAATTTTTTATTTATTTAATTTTTTTTATTATTATACTTTAAGTTTTAGGGTACATGTGCACATTGTGCAGGTTAGTTACATACGTATACATGTGCCATGCTGGTGCGCTGCACCCACTAACTCGTCATCTAGCATTAGGTATATCTCCCAGTGCTATCCCTCCCCCCTCCGCCCACCTCACAACAGTCCCCAGAGTGTGATGTTCCCCTTCCTGTATCCATGTGATCTCATTGTTCAGTTCCCACCTATGAGTGAGAATATGCGGTGTTTGGTTTATTATGCTTTTTATCACCTGTTGTTTGGATAATCTTTTTTTCTGATAGTAGATGGGGATTACAGTATAAATAATTTAATATATAACACATACATATGGGATGTAAAGTAAATAATATGCTTCATCTTCCAAGAAAGACATACTATTAATGACCTAACTTAACGAAGTTAATAATATATGTGATTCAAATTGTGTGGTAAGGCCATTAAGAGAGACTTCCCTGCATTTTTTTTAACACTTCTATGATCATCCCAGTGTAGTTATCACTGTCTCCATCATTGTATAATGCTGAATTCCCCATTAGGCCTATCACTTTATCTTTTGACTAACAGCATTGTTTATCTACAAAATTATTCACTGTTAACTACAGAGGCCACATAATTATTTGACTCACCCAAACTCTTTAATTCAAATAATTAATATACAATGAGCAATCAATAACTATTACTTAGAAGGTAATTAATTAAACCCCCAATAACAAGAACATTTTTATATAGCTGTACAGTTTTCTGATGTAAACATTTTAATATTAAGTTTTTTAATTTTGCAAAGAAAGAACTATATTTTTGCCCTACGTTGTTTTTTTTCCACCTAGCTTTAGAGTTTAGGAATATTAAAGATTTTGTTTTTAATTCCATACATGTTGAGATAAGCTCTGAAATATTTTCCAATAAAGAAGCACAAGTTTTCCTTAAGCTGTAAAGCAACAGTGGGATATTAAATATTTAAAACCCCCACAAAGTTTTCTCTCTTAGCTGCCAACCCTCTCTAAAAAAAATGCATTAAAAGAATTCCCTCCAGTCTCCATAAGAGCCTCACATTTCATTAATAAAGGTAATACCTTTTCCTCTATGCTGTAAATAAATCTAAAATTTCTTCTTACTGAAAACTCCTCAGAGTAAACATATACAATTTTTTTTTTCTTATCAAGCTGTAAGGAGGCCCCCAAATAGATTTTTCCCACCTACAAATAACCAGGCAGTAGTTATTGGGAAGTGCCATATGTTTCTCGGTCTGGCACCTTGGTAAGTGGCTTTTTAATTTTCTTCCAGTTGGAGATGTGCCACGTCAAACTGTAATACTAATAAATAAGACAAATAGTTCAGCATCTTTTTAATTTCTTAAGTATATTTTTGGGCATATTTAACTCACCAGAATTGGGAGTTGACATATGTAATATCCATATTTCTTTTGGGTAAATAAAACAGTGATTTACTAATGAATAAACATTCTTCAATTATTTTTTGACGCTTAAGATTTTCTCTGAAATGCTGTATTTTAAAATTTTGGCCTCATTTTTTTTTCTGCTAGCCTTTTACTTGGTAGTTCTCTCTTCTTGCTTTTTGCACCGCGTTATGTTAGCTCAAAGAGACATTTCTTTCAGTCTCAAAGTGTGACTAAAACATAAAATATTAAGCTGCAACTTTTGATAATCACATAGTGACTATGGTAATATGTAAATGTTTCTCTTTCAGAGTCAACATTTCAGGTAATTTTGTTCCCTTTAAAATTCATTTTTCAGTCTAAATTCATTTATGTTCAGCATAAATCTTTAAAAGTTATTTTTGCTCAACGTATTATTGGTGGGTGATATAGTAACATTAAGAATAAAAGTAGTAAATAACATCACACTAGGAAATGTTTTAAATGATTTATTTGCCACAAAATAATACAGTTAAATCAAAGAAAATGTGTAATGCTTTTTAGTTTCAAAAACTAAATGAAAAGACTGCTTAATACATACGTACACAAACTGCATAAGGAGTAGATGTGTTGTATTGATTTGAAATTTACAGAACTACCATAGTGTAGAGAAATTCTGAAAGCTTTTCTGTTTTTTCTTAACCTGTTGAGAAGTGGAATGAAATTAAGCCTGGGTGGTAGCCTCCGAAGATGACTGCCATCACTTCTGTCTGTGTCTGTGCATGAAAACCACTCCTCCTTCCAAAGGTACTACCAGCTGAATTCTCCCTGCAATTCTGAGCTGGTTCTGCAACTGCTCCAATTAACAAAGTGTCGTGGAAGTAGCATTCCAGAGGCTTTAAGAGGACAGAGAGCTTCCTATTCCTTCCTTTTGCAGCATTCCCTTTTGTAACCCAGGTGCCTTGCTATGAGGAAACCCTAATAGTTGCATTGGATAGCTCCACATAGAAAAGAACTGGGTGCTCTGGCTGACAGCCCCAACTGAGCTCTCATCTGGTAGCCAGCATCAATTTTCAGCTATATGATTAAGACTATTTGGACCTTGCAGCCACCTCAGCATCCCACTTGTGTCACAGGAAGCATACACACACACACACACACACACACACACACCAAGCAACCCAAATGTATGGACATGTGACTGGTGTAAGCATGTGATTCTGAGTAAGGGAAAAGACAAGACTAGGTCAGATAATTGCAGTGATCTCTGAGGGATCAGGGAAACCAAGGGACAAGGGAGTGTGCAAAGCAAGTTTAGCATTCTCAACTCTTCACTTGTTTAGTTTCTCATAATGAATCTGAGGTGAAGTAATGTCCTTATCAAGTGCTCGGGATTAACGAGAAAGGACTAGATAATTATCTAAAAAGTCTGTCTTACTTTTAGCCAATCAATATGCAGCAAAGCTCTTCTTAATTTAATAATAAATATATATCCGAAGTACATCTGGAGTTGGTCAAGGGTCAGGTCTCCTTCATCCCATCCACTGACCCAATGTCTTCTCAAAGAGTGCTGATCTTGTCTTCTTTCCTCCTTTAGAACAAATTCTGTGCTATCAGTTTGTGTTCTTCCCCTCTACAACCCCCTTCTTGTTGTTCTCGAGAGAGCTCCTAATCCTCTCATTTGGAGAAGGTATTTTGAGGGAACCTCCCTTTAAGAGTGTATCCTCAAAGTCTGCTGTTTCCAAGACAATCCTACATTTCACTGCTGGTTTTAATGCCAGTTTTTCTTAGCGTTATTAAGGATGGTTACGCTAAAATGGTTCCAGTCTCTCTTTTCTGTTCTCAGTTGCTTTATAGAAGCCTATCTTGTTTTTCTTTGCACTTTGTATTCTGTATCTTAGGCAACCTCTCTTGCCCCCCACCCCACAAACCTTCACAAAAAAACAGCCTCAGATTCAAAATCAGTGTTTTATTTTTTTAAATTGAGTTTTATAAGAATAGTTTTGGGCCCTCAACTCTTTTGATGAAATTAGTCTACTTATGTAGATAAAAACAATTTTTCTCCCCCAGAAATGAAAAATGCCTTCGCTTTTGTTACTGAGAGACCAACAAGACCTTGTTAAATTTAAATTTAAATTCTGTGTAGTTCAGAACGACTCATCTGAGTGGCCTACAGATTTTCTGGATTAATGAATCTTTTCCTTTATTAATATCTCTTCACAGGCTGAGCATGGTGGCTCATGCCTAAAGTTTCAGTGTTTTGGGAGGCTGAGGCAGGAGGATTGCTTGAGGTCAGGGGTTTGAAACAGGCCTGGGCAACATAGCAAGAAATTTAAAAAATTAGCTGGATATGGTGTTGCATGCCTGTAGTCCCAGCTACGTGGGAGGCTGAGGTGAGAGGATTGCTTGAGCCCAATAGTTCGAGGTTCCAATGAGCTATTGATACAGGAGATAGAAACAAATTATTTAGGCAGATAATGAGGGCAAAAGATTCCTTAGCAGAACTTCCTTTCTAACAAACAGCAGCGCCCAAAATTATTTTTTTCTAACAAAATCATCTTGAAAGATTGAGCTGCAAACATAGATCAGGAAGCTGGAATCTCGCATGGGGAATGTTGGCAGCTGCATCAATAGAAAAGCATTACCTGGGGGCCAGGCATGTCTACCATGGAAGCTCCATTTTCCCTTTTTCATTAGCACATGTACAGTAAGACAAATGGGCAACATGGCGCAGCTCAGGCTGAAAACCCGCCTGCATAATAAAAGACTGTGGTGGCGGCTGCCAGAAATTCTCACCCTATGCAAATGACACACCTGTTTCTAACCAGTTTTTAATGCCCTGTGTAGATCAGACACTGCCTCCCCACCAGCTCATCTATTAAGCCCCCTGCATTTCATGGCAGATCCACAATTGTTTTTCCAGGACCCCTGTCTGTACCAGAGAGCTATTCTCTCTCTTTCACCTATTAGACTTCTGCTCTTAACCTCACTCTTTGTGTGTCCATGTCCTTGATCCTCGTGGCCATGAGACAATGAACTTCAGGTGTCACTCCAGACAGTGAGACTGGTTTACTATGATAGTGCCACTGCATTCCAGCCTGGGTGACAGAGAACTTGTCAAAAAAAAAAAAAGAGAGAGAAAATATCTCACCACAAATTTTTGGGATGCCAAAGCCTCTGAAAGAGAATATTCAGGGACAAGAGACTAGATATTAAGGTATTCTTTTCACATCATGGTAAAACTTCTCCTTGCCCAACCATGTGAGTGACTGCTTTGCTTATGTATCCCTGACTCCATGGTCTTTCCTGGCTTCTCACTGGTCTGGTTTCTGAACTTGGTGGCAGTGTGAGGCTGTTCATTTAGTTCTTTTGTTAACTGCTGCTACTGGCTACTTTAAATGATTTGGTGAAGTATACTTGTCCCTGAAGGTATTGAGACTGTAGGAAGTAATTTTTAAGAATTTTAAAGTTGATTAAAACACACACAGAGGCATGACTTAAAAACAACTATGAAACAAACAAAAAAAACTAAAATAAGGACATTATAGCAGGAAGAAAATACTTTTCTATAACAAAAGCAAGATGAAGTCAAAGCTCAAAAATCATTGAAGTCCATTAAGTCATCCAAAGTAGTTTATGCATTATTGGTATGAGACAAAAATGTAGACAGTTAATGGCAGGTACTGACGCCAACACAGTAACACCAGGATCAATATTAACTGTATGAAAGGTTTTGTAAATGGAATCTAATAGCAAATCAATCTATTTGAAACAAATTAAAACATATTATGAAATTATACACTCTAAAATAACCAATTATGACTTAGTTATTAGACTGTACTGATTTTTTGATAGGGTGTTCAGAAATATAGGGGTCATGTAAAAGTAATTGCTTAAAAATTCAGAGGAACTGTGAAGTATCACTCTTTTTCTGAAGAAAAAAAGAAATAAAATTACATTTCAAACACTTAAAAATAAAAGCAAAGCTGGCAGATAATAATTCAGGGCAATTTAAACATAGATTAAATCAATTTCTTAATTTGATAAAATGCCCAGCTCTCAAGCATGGAGAGAAGCTTATTTGAAGAACTGGGACCCTTGGGTATATAGAGGTCATTTCTGTATTAAAGAGGGCAATACATTATTTGCAAAATGCCACTCTTTGTACACATTTGTGATGAGTTTCTTGAAAATTAGTAATAGTCTTCAGAAATAGCTACTGTCAGTCTCTGTGGATTCTCACAATGTATATTGTACCATAAATACCACATTCATTACTAGTAAGATTAAAATGATATATTAGTAGGATGAAAATGGCTGATGACAGATGGTCTAACCCTATATTGGCATGCACCAATGGGGAAAAAAAGGTATTTTATTTAGACAAAGAAATACAATAAAGGATGATAGGAAAAATAATTTATTAAAAGTTTAAATAATCTTAGTTGCAGTTCATCTTATATCTCAAAAAACTCCAATTTTTTGGGAAGCAGAGCAAGATGACAGAATAGAAGTCTTCACCAATTTTCTCCCCACACTCCCACAAGGACACCAATTTAATAACTATCTACATAGAAAAATAACATTTATTAGAACCAAAAGTCAGGTATGAGGACTCATAGCACTTGATTTTAATTCTGTATCTCTGAAGGAGGTGCTGAAGAGGTAGATAAAACAGTCTTGAATTGCTGACACCACCCCTACCACCCCCTGACAAGGGTGGCAGGTTGCAGAGAGCATCTCTGGGCTCTGGGGGAGGTAAAACACAGCAATTGTGAGGCATTGAACTCAGCGCTATCCTATTAGGGCAGAAAGGAAAACCAGACCTAACTCAGCTGATGCCTGCCCATGGAGAGAGCATTTAAACCAGCCCTAGCCAGAGGGGAATCACCAGTGCCAGCAGGCTGAACTTTAGTTTCTACAAACCTTGTCGCCATGGGCTATAGTGATCTGTGCTCCAAATAACTTTGAAAGCCAGCATAGGCCATAAGGACTGCAACTCATAGGCAAGTCCTAGGGCTGAACTGAGCCCAGAGACAGTGGACTGGGATAGAGCGTGTGATCTGCTGAGGCACTAGGTAGGGTGGCTAAGAGAGTGCTGGCATCACCCCTCCTCTAACCCCAGGCTGTACAGCATGCAGCTCCCAAAGAGATCCCTTCTTTTCACTTGAGGAGAGGAGAAGAAAGACAGGGGAGAACTTTGTCTTACATCGTGGATACCAACATAGCTACAGCAGGATAGGGCACCAGTCGAGTCATGAGGCCCCTGTCCCAGGCCATAGCTTCTGGATGACATTTCTAGATACACTGTAGGCCAGAAAGGAACCCACTGCCTCAAAGGAAAGGACCCAGTCCTGGCAGCATTTATCATCTGTTAACTGAAGAGCCCTTGGACCCTGAATAACAAGTAGTGATACCCAGGTGCTACTTCAAGGGCCTTGAGCGAGCCTCTGAGAATTGCTGGATTTAGGAACCACCATGGCTACAGAGAAGTGTAGCTCCAAATGGGCTCTTAGTGTCCCCAAATCCAGGACTAGACTCTTAGATGGCATCTCTGGACCTGCCCTGGGCCAGAAGAGAGCCCACTCCCTGAAGGGTGAGTCCCAAGTCAGGAAACATTCACCACAAGCTGACTTAAGAGCCCTTGGGCCTTAAGGGAAAGTTGGTGGTAGTCTGGCAGCACTCTTCATAACCTGTAGTGGTGGAGGCTATGGGGTGAGTCTCCTCTACCTTTGGAGAGGGGAGGGAAGACTGGAAAGGACTGTGCTTTGTGGTATGCATGCCAGCTCAGTCACAGTAAAATAAAACACCAGGCAGATTTCTAAGGCTTTGGACCATAGTCCCTAACTCCCAGATGGCACCTCTGGACCCACCGGGGAGCTGGGGGCCCTCACCACCCTAAAGGGAAAGACACAGACCTGACTGGCTTTGCTACCTGCTCATTTTACATCCCCAGGGCCTTGAGCAAACAAAGGGAGTAGCCAGGGAGTGGTTATAGCAGGCATTGGGCAACACCCAGTATTGTGTCAGCTTCAGGTCTGACCCTGCACAGTCATAGTGGTGGTGGCAAAAGGGGTGATTCTGTCACTCCACCCACCCCTAGTTTAGGTCACAACACAGAGACACTTTGCTTGTTTGAGAGAAAGTAAGGGAAGAGAACGAGTCTCTGCCTGGTAATCTACACAATTTTCTCAGATTTTGTCCAAGATCATCAAGGCGTACCTCTATGAGTCTGCAAGAACCATGGCATTACTGGGCTAAGTGTGCCTCCTAAAGCAGATACAGCTTAGATCACAACCCTCAAATTCTTTTAAATATCTGGGAAGTCTTCCCAAGAAGAATTGGTACAAACAAGCTCAAACAGTGAAGACTGCAATTAATGCCTAACTCTTCTGTGCCCAGACACCAAAGAACATCTACTAGCATCAACACCATCCAGGAAAATGTGACTTCACCAAATGAACTGAATAAGTCATGAGGGACCGATCCTGGAGGAAAAAAACAAAAAATATGTGACTTTTCAGATGGAGAATTCAAAATAGCTGTGTTGAGGAAGCTCAAAGAAATTCAAGATAACAAAGAGAAGGATTTCAGAATTCTATCAGATAAATTTAATGAAGAGATTGAAATAATTAAAAAGAATCAATCAGAAATTCAGGGGCTGAAAAATGCAATTCACATACTGACGAATGCATCAGAGTCTTTTAACAGCAGAATTGATCAAGCAGAAGAAATAATTGGTGAGTTTGAAGCCAGGCTATTTGAAAATACACAGTCAGAGGAGAAAAAGGGAAAAAATTATTAAAAAAACAATGAAGCACACATACAGGATCTAGAAAATAGCCTCGAAAGGGCAAATCTAACAGTTATTGTCCTTAAAGAGGAGGTAGAGAAAGCAATAGGGGTGGAAAGTTTATTCAGAGGGATAAAAATAGAAAACCTCCCCAACTTAGAGAAAGATATCTATATATTCAAGTACAAGAAGATTGTAGAACACAAAGCAGATTTAACCCAAAGAAGACTACCTCAAGGCATTTAATAGTGAAACTCCCAAAGGTCAAAGATAAAGAAAGGATCCTAAAGCAGCAAGAGAAAAGAAACAAATAACATACAATGGAGCAGCTGACTTCTCTGTGGAAACCTTACGGGCCATGAGACAGTGGCATGACATATTTAAAGTGCTGAAGGAAAGAAACTTTTACCCTAGAATAGTATATTTGTTGAAAATATTCTTCAAACGTGAAGGAGAAATAAAGACTTTCCCAGACAAACAAAAGCTGAGGTATTTAATCAACACCAGACCTGTCTTACAAGTAATGCTAAAGGGAGTACTTCAGTCAGAAAGAAAAGGACTTTAATGAGAAGTGATCACCTGAAGGTATAAAACTCACTGGTAACAGTACACAGAAAAACCCAGAAAATTGTAACACTGTAATTGTGATGTGTAAACTACTTTTATTCCAAATGAAAAGACTAGCCAATGAACCAATATAAAATAATAACAATTGTCAAGACATTGACAGTACAATGAGATTTAAATAGAAACAACACAAAGTTAAAAAGTGGGGGAATAAAGTTAAGGCATAGAGTTTTTATTGATTTTCTTTTTCTTATTTATTTGATTGTTTATGTAAACTGTTACGTAGTTATCAAGTTGAAGTAATGGGTTATAAGATAGTATTTTCAAGCCTCATGGTAGCCTCAAGAAACATGCAACTAATACACAAAAAATAAAAAGCAAGAAACTAAATCATATCACCAGAGAAAATTACCTTCACTAAAGGAAGACATGAAGGAAAGAAAGAAGGAAAAGACCACAATCAGCAAGCAAATAACAAGGCTGGGCGTGGTGGCTCAGGCCTGTAATCCCAGCACTTTGGGAGGCTGAGGCAGGTGGATCACAAGGTCAGGAGATCGAAAACATCCTGGCTAACATGGTGAAACCCCGTCTCTACTAAAACTACAACAAATTAGCCAGGCATGGTGGTGGGTGCCTGTAGCCCCAGCTACTTGGGAGGCTGATCCCAGCTACTCAGGAGGCTGAAGCAGGAGAATGGCATGAACCCAGGAGGCGTAGCTTGCAGTGAGCTGAGATCGTGCCACTGCACTGCAGCCTGGGCGACAGAGCAAGACTACATAAAAAAAAAAAAAAAAAAAAAAAGCAAATAACAAAATGGCAGGATTAAGTCCTTATTTAGCAATAATAAGCTTGAATATAAGGGGGTGAAACTCTCCAATCAAAAGATATAAGAGTAGCTGAATGGATGAATAAACAAGACACATTGATCTGTATTTACAAGAAACATACTTCACCTATAGAAACACACATAGACTGAAAACAAAGAGATGGAAAAAGATAATCCATGCCAATGGAAACCACAAAAGGGCCGGAGTAGCTATACTTATGTCAGACAAAATAGATTTCAAGACAAAAACTGTAAGAAGAGACAAAGAAGTTCACTGTATAATGATAAAGAGATCAATTCAGCCATATATTGGCTCCCAGTAAATATATATGCACCCAACACTGGAGCACCCAGATATATAAAGCAAATATAATTAGAGCTAAAGTGACAGATATGTCCAAGACAATAATAACTGGGGACTTTAACAAAGAAACTTCAGGCTTAATCTGCACTATTGGCCAATGGGATCTAATAGATATTTACAGAACATTTCATCCAGCAGCTGCAGAATACACATTCTTTTTCTCAACACATGGATTATTCTCAAGGATAAACCATATGTTGGGTCACAAAACAAGTCTGAAATCATTGGAAAAAATTGAAATAATATCAACCATCTTTTCTGACCATGATGGAATAAAACTAGAAATTAATTACAAGAGGAATTTTGGAAAATATAAAAATACATGGAAATTAGGCAATATGCTCCTGAATGACCAGTAGATCAATGAAGAAATCAAGAAGAAAATTTTAAAATTTCTTGAAACACATGATAATGGAAATACATCCCACCAAAACCTACGGGAAACAGCAGAAGTAGTACTAAGAGGGAAACTTATAGGTACAAGTGCCTACATCAAAAAAGTAGAAAAACCAAATAAGCAATCAAATGATGCATCTTAAAGAACTAGAAAACCAAAAGCAAACCAAACCTAAAATTAGTAGAAGAAAAGAAATAATAAAGATCAAAGCAAAAATAAATACAATTGAAATGAAGAAAACAATACACAAAAATCAATGGAATGAAAAGTTGAATAAAAATTGACAAACCTTTAGCCAGACTAACTAAGAAAAGAGAGAAGATACAAATAAATAAAATCAGTAATAATAAAACAAGACGCAACTAGTACTGCACAAATTTAAAGGAACATTAGAGGCTACTATGAGAAACTATATGCCAATGAATTGGAAAATCTAGAATAGACAAATTCCTATACACATACAACCTATTGAGATTGAACCAGGAAGAAGTCCAAAACTTGCATAGACCAATAACAAATTAAGAGATCAAAGTATTCCAGTAAAGAAAAGCCTGCAGCCCAATGGCTTCACTGCTGAATTCTACAAAACCTTTAAGGAAGAGCAAACAGCAATCCTACTAAAACTATTACAAAAAACAGAGGAGGAGGGAATACTTTCAAATTCATTATATGAGGCCAATATTACCCTGATACTGAAATCAAAGACACATCAAAAAAGAAAAAAAGGAAAACTGTAGGCCAATATCTCTGATAAAAATTGATGCAAAAATCCTCAACAAAATCCTAGCAGACTGAATTTAACGATACATTAGAATGATCATTCAACATGACCAAGTGAGATGTATTCCTGGGATGCAAGGATGGTTCAACATATGCAAATCAAACAATGTAATACATTGTATCAACATAATTAAGGATAAAAGTCATATAATCATTTCATCTGATGCTGAAAAAGCATTTGATAAAAGTCAACATCACTTCATGATAAAAACGCTTGAGAAACTGATGTAGAAGTAACATAACTCAAAATAATAAAAACCATGTATAACAGACCTATAGCTAGTATCATACTGAATGGGGGAAAATTGAAAGCCTTTCCTACAAGATCTGAAACATGACAAGATGTCCACTTTCACAACTGTTATTCAGCATGGTACTGAAAGTCCTAGCTAGAAAAGTCAGACAAGAGAAAGAAATAAAAGTAATCCAAGCTGGAATGGAAGGAGTCAAATCATCCTTGTTTGCAGATAATATAACCTACTTTTGGAAAAATCTAAAGGCTCCACAGTTTGTTTGAACTGATAAACAAATTCAGTAAAGTTGCAGGATATGAAATCAATATACAAATATCAGTAGCATTTATATATGCCAATAGTGCAAAATCTGAAAATAAATAAAAAAGTAATCCCATTTACAATAGACACACATAAAATTAAATTCCTAAGAATTAACCAAAGAGGTGAAATATTTCTATAATGAAAACTACAGAACACTGATGAAAAATACAGGACACTAAAAAAATGGAAAAGCATTCCATGTTCATGGATTGGAAGAATCAATATTGTTAAAATGTCCATACTACCCAAAGCAATCTACAGATTCAATTCAATTCCTATCAAAATACCATTGATATTCTTTAAAGAAATAGAAAAAAGAATTCCGAAATGTATCTAGAACAACAAAAGACCCCCAAACAGCCTAATTTATCCTAAGCAAAAATAACTAAACTGGAGAAATCACATTACTTGACTTCAGATTATACTACAGAGCTATTGTAATTGAACCAGCATGATATTGGCATAAAAACAGACATGTTGATCAATGGAACAGAATAGGGAACCCAGAAACAAATCCACATATGTACAGTTAATTTATTTTTCACAAAGTTACCAAGAACAAAAACTGTGGGAAAGACAGTCTCTTCAATCAATAGTGCTGGGAAAACTGAATATCCATAAGCAGAAGAATGAAACGAGACCCCTATCTCTCACCATATACAAAAATTACGTCAAAGGGGATTAAAAACTTACATCTAAGACCTCAAAGTATGAAACTGTTATAAGAAAACATTGGGGAAAATCTCCAGGACATTGGTCTGGGCAAATATTTCTTGAGCAATACCCACAAGCACAGGCAACCAAAACCAAAGTGGACAAATGGGATCACATCATGTTAAGAAGCTTCTGCATAGCAAAGGAGACAATCAACAAAGTGAAGAGACAATTCACAGAATGGGGGTAAATATTTGTAAACTGTCTATCTGAGAAGGGAATAATAACTAGGATGTATGAGTGGCTCAAACAACTCTAATTTGTTGTTAGAACATCTAGGAAAAAATCTAATAATTCAATCAAAAATGAGCAAAAAATTTGAACAGACATTTCTCAAAAAAGACATACAAATGGAAAACAGGCATATGAAAAGGTACTCAATATCATTGATCATCAGAGAAATGCAAATCAGAACTGCAATGAGATATCATCTCATCCCAGTTAAAATGGCTTATATCCAAAAGACAGACAATAACAAATGATTGTGAGGATGTGGAGAAAAGAGAACCTTCATACATTGTGGGAATGTAAATTAGTACAACTACTAAGGATAACAGTTTGGTGGTTCCTCAAAATGCAAAAGATAGAGCTACTATATGATCCAGCATTCCCACTGGTGAGTATATATCTACAAGAAAGGAAATCAGTATATTGAAGAGATATCTGCACTCCCATGTTTGTTACAACACTATTCTCAATAGCTAAGATTTGGAAACAACCTAGTGTCCATTAACAGATAAACGGATAAAGAAAATGTGGTACATATACACAATGGAGTGCTGCTCAGCCAGAAAAAAAGAATGAGATCCTGTTATTTGCAACCACCGAGATGGAACGGAAGATCATTAGGCTACTTGAAATAAGCCAGGTACAGGCCGGGGACGGTGGCTCACACCTGTAATCCCAGCACTCTGGGAGGCCGAGGTGGGTGGATCACCTGAGGTCAGGCATTCAAGACCAGCCTGGCTAACATGGCGAAACCCCATCTCTACTAAAAATACACAAGTTAGCCAGGCATGGTGGTGCACACCTGTAATCCCAGCTACTCAGGAGGCTGGGGCAGGAGAATTGCTCCAACCCAGGAGGCAGAGGTTGCAGTGAGCCAAGATTGCACCACTGCACTCCAGCCTGGGCAACGGAGTGAGAGACCGTCTCAAAAAAAAAAAAAAAGAAAAGAAAAGAAATAAAGAAATAAGCCAGGTACAGAAATACAAACTTCACATTTTCTCACTGATTTGTGGGTTCTAAAAATCAAAACAATTGAACTCATGAACATAGGGAGTAGAAGGATGGTTACCAGAGGCTGGGAAGGACACAGCAGAAGTACAGAGAAATGTGCTAGGAATACGTTTTTGAAAAAGAAGACATTGTTATTGGAGTTCTGAATGTAACTTTAAGACAACTAATCAAATAAACAGTTAAAATCAGTGAAACTTAGAATTCATTCCGAGAAGCAAGACTTATAAAATATGCATAACAGAAGTTATCTTATTCATAATTTGGGAAAGTGTACATACCATGTTCTCCTTTGGAAGATTCACAATGTGAATTTAACTAAAGCATCTGCAAAGTCCTGTAACAAAGATAACATCTATCAGTGTTTTTGAAAACATATTATTTTTGTCCAAAATGTGTGTTCCTCAGTCCCGACAGGTTCATAAGACACTGTATAAAATTCTTTCAGTGAGACTAACTTTGTCAGAGTCCTTAAAAAAGAATTATTGTAGTAGGAATGATCAAAAGGAGAAGGAAAGGTACATTTAGTCTAATTGAAAGTACAGAGGAAAAACAAAAAAAAATAGTTATGGTCTATAACTATATAACTAAAATATGGTCTCAAGGATCCTAGCTGCCAGTAAGGGTCCCTCCTCAACAGAGATGGCTGAGAGGCCCTGCAGCATGTGGGACTTACTACTGGGCTTGGAGTCGAGGTGTCCCAGGTCAGCTTAATTTTGGGAAAAGCTGGTGAGAAGCTTGGTCCAAATCACCTGAAAAGAAAATCACTTGCATAGTTCACCTGAAGAACGGATCTCTATAATGGAAGCAAAACACAATGCTGGACAAAAATCAAATAAACAAAAGCAACAAACTGAAAAGGAAATGCGGAGTAAAAAAGAACTTAAAAATTAGAAAAATAAAAGAAAAAAGAGCAAGAAGAACCAGTAACCTCAGCCAAGCCAGGGACTTATATATGTGCTTGGAATTCCAAAGTAGAGGTTCCTTATGAGGAAGAACTAAGCCTAGTAACAAGGCTGAGGATAATCTATGTGGCTTTCTCATGCTTTGGTCTCAAGAACTCTTTACTCTTAAAGAAAATATTTTGAGGACCACAAAGAGGATTTTTTATTCATATGGGTTACAGTTATCAATATTTACCTTATTAGAAGTTAAAACCTCTAGGATGCTTCAAAAAAAAAAAAGAAATTATGGAGGAAAAAAAGTACAGTATCATGCAAGACAAGAATAGTAAAGAGGGGGACAATTAAAACTCATCAAATAAATGGGCTTACTGGAGAATGAACAAATTTGACAAGGGTCGCTACCAGAAATTAAAGACTTTTTCAAATTAACATATTCATTGAACTTAAATGCACCTTTGTGCACCTGTGTGTTTTAGGTTCTATGCTGAATACTAAGGATATCCAAATGAATTAATGCTGATCTGTTTACAAACTAGCAAGGGATAAATAAACTGACATTTATAATGATGATCCAAGAAGATAAGAGTGCAACAGAGGTATAAACCAAGTGTCTCAGGATCACAGTGAATATTTAATATGTTTGTATTATGTGGTTCAGAGTTATCCTGGAGGAATGTTATGACCAATATTCAAATCTTAAAGGCAGGAGTATGTCAAGCAAAGTTAAGAAGACTGACTTTTGTGATATAATCTTAGAGTTATTTGATATATTATCTGAGGGACAACTTTGAAGGCCAACTGGCAGAATATGAACATTAAATATTTTAATACGAAAGCTTTTCTTTCCTTTCTTTGCTGTGTTAGCTAAAACCCCAACATCTGGAGATTATACCTCCCTGCTCTTTTGAGTTTCCAATAATTTGGGATCTGGCATTATTGGGCCATCAACTCCTACTGTGAAAGAACTAGAAAAGCATAGACCTAAGAAGATAAAAGAAAGAAAGAACTACTTTCTCAAGAAAAGAAAGGGAAATAATTTTCTACATAGAAGTCCTAGGGAGGAGAGCTACACTAGGTGGACCCTGGTCTCCTGGGAGCTGTTTTTCAAGGAGCTTCCAAGATAGGAAAGGGACCCAAGGAAAACTAGTTGGATGAGCTGTGGGAAGAAAAGTTCTGGGGTATATTGTTCAAGTTCCCTACAGCTTAGTAGGACTGAGACATAACCTCCAGATTACTAGCCTTCACTAAAGCAAACACTTTACAGAGTTTGAGCCCTTCTTATTATTGTTCATTAAAAACTTCACTTAGCATATGGCACTTTACTTCCTGAATTTCTAGGATGAAGGATACCCATCCATACTATATTATTTAGCTATTGCTGTAATAGTGCTGCCTAACAAATCATCCCTAAACTTGATGATTTACAACAACCATTGCTTATTATTTTTCAGGAGTGTGTAGGTTGGCTGGGCTTCGGTTTTCTGCTGGTCTCCTTCATGGACTTGCAGTGGGTTGGTAGGTCAACTGAGGGATGGCTGATCTAGAGTGGCCTCAGCTTTGATAAATCAGATATTTTCCATGTGGTCTCTCATCTTCTAATGAGCTAACCCATGCTTGTATTCACAGCAATGTCAGGAAGCTGAAAAAGAGGAAGTGCACAAGGCGTTTTGAGGTCCAGACTCCTATTCTGTCACATTCTATTGGTTGAAGCAACTCAGAAGTTCGGCCCAGATTCAGTAAGTGGAGAAATAGATGCCACTTGATGGGAAGAGCTGCAAAATTAAGAGCTAGTTTAAAGGAGGGGGAAAACTGGGGCCATTTTTATTAGCACTCCACTACATAGACTTTTTGACTTGGCCCAGTTCCTATCTGCTTACTTCTCAGTCAGTTCAAGGGCACCAATAAATCGAAGGAAAATGGAGTGGTGGCCTGGCTTCCTAGTGATAAGTGGAGCATCATTCTTCTTGCACTTGGGTGAGATCAGTTGACTGAGCTCAGACCCCTTGACTCTGGACAGAGACTAGTGGCATCTTATTTTAAATTTTAAAAGCAGTAATCAACATTTAAAAGGGAAAGCAACCTAAACTGCAATGTGGTGCACACATAAGACAGAAATTTAGGACAAAGTAATGGCCACATTTGTAGGAAAATAAGTTTTAAAGCTAACGGCAGAATTTGGAAGTAGAGAGAGGAATAACAGAGAGCAAAACCTAAAAAAGAATTAGACACATTATCCTTTAGGCACAAACAAATTAAAAAGTTGGTTGAAAAGTAGATGAAGCTCATTACAGATTCTGTGCTGCAGCCTATGAGTGAAGGTGTTGCTCTGACAATGCATGCAACTTCAGCAAAACATTCTCTAGATTCAGCTGAGTGCTCTTTGTCCTCTTAGTGTTGCTGTCTTCCCTTCATCACTGAAATCCTTAAAAACCCCACACAGAATATTAAAGTGTTGGTGGTTGTATAGAGTAACTATGTAATATATTATTTCTATTCATGATTAATCAGAATGAATACCATAGGCTTCATCTGCATTTAATCAATATGTGCATGTGTTAGCAAGATTTCCGACTTTCTCTACTTTTTTTTAATAGTGATCAGGAAACCAAAAAGGTTTTTTTTTTTAACCTAATTTCTGATTAGGCAAATTATAAAGACCATAGAATGTTGTATTATGAGAAAAGACTAAAGAGACTAGAGTAATTGAGACTTTGAAGCATAAGGTTATTAATAAAGTTATTAAAAAATGAGATAGCTTATTATACAGAAAATGATAACCACTTGCAACTTGTTGGAAGTGAGAAAATTGGAAAGTGGATAAAAACTGTAGCATTAGGGAATCTGTATATAAGGAAGACCCTTCTGGTTGTGAGAATAAATCTACTATAAACATTTTTGAATGTGAGGGATAGTGAATCACAGTATTTCTAAAAATTTGAGATTTATTTCTTTTATTTTTTATTTTTTATTTTTTACTTTTCAGTACTGTTTCTTTCCATTTGGCCCATAATAAAAATGGCATACAAAATACCCTTCTGTGGAGTCTCACTGCTTATAAATTTGTTTTACATAATATTTTTGCATATCTTATTTCATATATTTTCCACATTTTCTTTCCTAGAATGTGAGGGATAGACTTTGTCATTCTTTGTGTATGTGTGTTTGAGTGTGTGCATGTTTAAGATGTGGAGATGTGAACATCAGCATCTTAATTATGTGTCCTACCTTATGTTAAATACGTAGTAATTAAATATGATGTTCTTTAAATGTAAAGTTTTGATCTAATTTGCTATTCAACTATAATATTGGATTGCAACAAAAATAGACTATTTATTTTTATTCATGGCTACCTGGAGAATTGTGGCATCTCTTTAGGATAATGTTACCATCCTGCAGAATATATTGGATATTTCCCGGTTGCCTATCAAACAAATTCCAGACTGTTCAGCCTGGGACTAAAAAGCTACTCCTTCTCTCCAGAACCTCCCCCTCCTAATCTTCCATGTACCTAGTTCCCTAGCATCTCTGTGACATTCTCTTCTTCACTTCCTGGAAACAGCCTGAAAACAGGGTAGATGATATAGAATGTTAGGAATTGGAGACCCTTAATCCATATGTGGACTTCCTCTTTTAAAATGATAAGAAATCCTCAATAAGAAAGAAAAAAATTGCCTACATGTTTGTAAGGGGCACTGATTTGGAAATAGTAGAGATGTCATTTCTCCAAGCAGCTTCTACTGTTCTTCTGGAGAAGTGGTCATCAGCTGGCAGCTGGGAAGCCACACTTTCTTTTGTCTAGACGTAAATCCTGGAGTGGTAGGTGACAAGGTGAAAGTCTTTGTGCTTGAAAAAGATAATGGCTGGTTTCCTTTCCTACACGAAAAGGATAACAGAGGCTAGTATTTCATTCTCTAATTTTTATATGTATTCTCCATTTTAAAAGTCTATTCTCTCCTATATTTCTAAATCCTGTCTAATTAGGCAGAAAAAATAACACCATACTTAGAGTGAGACAAACCTTGAGATGTATCTTGGTCCTACCATCTACCAGTGGACAGTCTTGGGCAAGTCAGATAGCTTTTCTTGAAGTCATTTTCTTTGCTCTAAAATGTAGCTAGTTAATTACCTACCTAGCATGGTGGTTGTGAAGACTGAATAGGGGACGGTGTGATCATTTAATCAGTGTGTGTCCATTGACTCAGTGTGTTTCTTACACATACTAGGTACTTAGCCAAAATATAATTGGAAAAATGTAAATGTTCTTTGCTTCACTTTCAAAAGAATTTCAGTTTTGTAAACACTCATTAATCTTCTTCATTTCTACCTGTACTTCAGGCCTCGACTTTAGTATATATTAGAGCACTTTTGGTATTAATAGATTAATGATTTAAGCATAGATTTAGTGACTTCTACATATTGAACTGGCTACTGTGTGGGTGGATATCAATATACAGGCAAAAATTACAGTAAGAACATATATTAAGTGCTAAGTGGACAGGTTTAGACTGTAATTACAGTTGAATCCCAGTAAAGAGACAGACTCTAAGAAGTAATGATAATCTAAGAAAAAAATAGATGCAAGGTGACTTAAGCAGAAGCTAGTTGAATGAGTTGGTGTACTAGGTGGCATAAAGAGTAAGCCTTTCCAGGTGGGGAATGGCATGAGTCAAAGCACAGATATCAACAGGTATGTGGTTTTGCTATGATAAGATTGTTTTTCTCGAGCCTAGGATGCATTTAGATGACAAGGATATGGAGAGCACTTGTATTTTTGATAGGAAGGGGAGATGCAGTTTGTAAAGAGCTTCAAAACCAAGCGAGATTTAACTTTGGTTCAAAAGCAGCAGGGAGGTGGTATGGACCTATGAACAAAAATGTGATATAAACAAGACCTTTTGTTTACTGGCCATGTGTAGAATAAATTGGATGAGGAAAACAAAGATTATTTAGCAGCTTTTGACACAATGCATGCTGTGATAGTGCAAGTCTGTACTTAGTTGTCCTGGGGATGAGCTGAGAAAGACCTTAAAAATTAGAAAGAGGCTGGGCTCATACCTGGATTTCTAGCACTTTGGGAGTCTGAGGTGGGAGAATCACTTGAGCCCAGGAATTCAAGGCCAGCCTTGGCAACACAGCGAGACCTTGTCTCTACAGAAAAATAAACAAAAATTAGCTGGGCATAGTGGCACACACCTGTGGTCCCAGCTACTCAGGAAGCTGAGATGGGAGGATCACTTGAGCCCCAGAGGCAGAGGCTGCAGTGAGCCCTGATCACACCACTGCACTCCAGCCTGGGTGACAGAGTGAGATTTTATCTCAAAAAAAAAAAAAAAATTGATGGTATGGATATGACTAGGAAATTTTCAGACAAACTACTGACAGGATTTAGAGACAAATTTTGGAGGGAGATAAGACAACTGGTGTTTATAAGTTGGAAGACAAAGTAATGGTGAAATTCTTATGTAAAGTTGGAAGAAGGGTCTGTGTTTCAGGAAGATCATGGGTTAGGCTTTGAGAATGCTGAGGTAGTAGAAGGACACCCACATGAAAATGTCCTATAGGCACTTGTAGATATTGAAATCAATATAAGTTTAAGGTAAGTTTCTTGCCACTATTCTGATCCCGAACTCAAACTCTAACCTCAACCCTAATTCTTACCATTGTACCAATATCATTCATTAGTGATGACAAGAAACAACTGGCACAAGAAAAAGAAAACAATAGAGAAAGCCTGTCTCTTAAGGCAAAGTAGATTGACTGCATTCTCTCTCTGCTTCTAGGCAGCTCTTTCATTAATGGATTGGATAATTACTACAATTTTGATGAAGGAAGAGTCTTCCTTGTGTCTCCTTTTCAGATATATTGAGTGATATTTCTTCATGTAGCCATGCATTTTGTAGGATCCAGGCATCCCAAATCTTTTAAAACCATAAATTTAAAAAGAGCACAGCTTTCCAGTTTCTGGTTCACTGAGGCCCTAAGTAGAAAAATCCATGTTATATCAAGATTCAAGATTTATTTTCCTTCTCTCTCTCTCTCTCACCCTGTTCCCTCCCTCTCCTTCTCCTTCCCCCTCCTTCCTCTCATGCTTCGTATTAACTGAGATGAGTCAATTGAAAATAAGTGAATAGTTGAATTAGTCAAAATCTAATCAAATGCATCATTACACTGTTCTAAACCTTCAATATATAGATTATTCAGCATATTCCTGAAGAATTCAAGGCAAACTGAGTCTTGAATTTTGTGTTGCCTACAGCAGCATCCAACAACTTTTTTTTTTAATTTTAATTTCATTTTATTTATTTATTTATTTTTGAGACGGAGTTTTGTTCTTGTCTCCCAGGCTGGAGTGCAATGGCACGATCTTGGCTCACTGCAACCTCTGCTTCCTGGGTTCAAGTGATTCTGCTGTCTCAGCCTCCTGAGTAGCTGGGATTACAGGCACCTGTCACCATGCCCAGCTAATTTTTTTTTCTTTGTATTTTTAGTAGAGATGGAGTTTCACCATGTTGGTCAAGCTGGTCTTGAACTCCTGACCTCAGGTGACCAACTCACCTTGGCCTCCCAAAGTGCTGGGATTACAGGTGTGAGCCACCACACCTGGCCCCAACAACTTTTATTTCTTCTTCATAACACAGTTATGTAGAAATACCAAGTTATCTGGTCTTCACCTTCATCCTTTAAAAATAAGTGCTGGGAAATGTGCCTTCATCACTTTTTGGTCTTTTTTTTTTTTTCCTTTTCAATAAATAGTCCATATCACAGATGCCATTTACTAATCATTAAATTTGTTTTGGAATATTGTCTTTGTTTTCTTAAAGCTCAACTCAACTCTGTCAAAGCCTATATGTGCTTTTTGAAGGATAAATATCTCCAGATTCCTGCTAAAGATGCTGCATATTGACGAAAATGTGGTAGGTAGCCTGAAGGCCATTATCCAGAGAATCCTCAAAGGGAATGTAATTAAAAAGGATTAGATGAGGCTGGTTCCTCTCCTGCTTCTAATGGGAAGGCTGTGAACCCCTCATGTTACGTTATTACAGTGGATTCCATCATTTCCCAATGCTACCGACTCCCTCCCGCAGGACACCTGCCCCACAGTCACTAAGCACAATATTTGTATAAATGGAAAAACGGATGCTTCAGTTCACTGATGGTCTCAGCAGAGGAGGGGAGAATGATGTAGCAAACAAGTAAGTCTCCAATTCCATTTCATGGGCAAATGAAATAGTCTCTGTTGTAGTAACTTATAGAGCATCACAGGTAACCTTTCTTTTTCCGAGAGAGAGAGTGAGAGACCAAGATAAAACTTTTATTCCATTTGCTGAACTGGGAAGCACATTGTGTGGTAACTCACTTACTCAGCTACTGCATTTGATTGTACTGACTCTTACTGTTCAGGACTTTAGTATATTATTTCTAGAAAACCATATGCAGAGATTGCTTCTATTTATGAATTCTTGATGGTTTCTGCTTCCTCATATGCTGTATTTCTCCTTCTGATTGATGGCAGTGGAATAATTCCAGGGTGAAAGTGATATAAGGCTAAGAGATCAACATTATTTCCATGGTGAATTGATTACTTTCCTCTGAGTTTATAGTACCTACCAGCATTGCAAATTAATATGGTTGATGCACTTAGTTATTCTGATTGTGTCTTCTATTGAAATGCAGACAGCTTTGACTTTAAATATTGCAGGTTTACAACTCATAATAAGATGGTAGGTCCTGTGAACAAGAAGAGGTATTTGTATCATGTCTGAATAGAAAATGTTTTTGAAATAGTTGTGGGTCACTACCTTGGATACTATATTCTGCAACATGAAATATATGCCTAGCAGCCATCTATTATTCATTAGATAAACATGCATTCAATTTTAACGTCTGACTTTAGGTTCATATGTAGGAGAAATGAACAAATGTGCCAATAACATGGGATAGTTATACATAATGTATATACACGTAACTAACAAATTATATATGCAAATATGTCAAACTACTATGTAGTTTTAATGTGATTTAAAAATTGTTCTTATGCATATGTTATAAATTTAGATGTAATTAAAACTTATAGGTTTGATTTTTTGTTTTTAGATGTGCAGCCTTCCTATTTTTGAAGGTGAGTTACTGAGAGAGGAATCATCAATTGTAAAGGTTTTGATTTTTGGAGGAAATGGGGTTGTTGCTACTTTGCCACTTATAACTTAACATACCTCCATATAAGACTTTAGAACTATGAAGACTTTTGGAGTTACCTCTTTTAACAACCTCAGATTCCAAGCGTGGTAGTGCATTTTGCACTGCTGTAATGGCATACCAGATGCAGAGTAATTTATAAAGAACAGAGGTTTATTTTGCCTCATGGTTCTGTAGACTATACAAGAGGTGTGGTGCCAGCTTCTGCTTCCAGTGAGGCCTCAGAAAGCGTACAATCATGGCAGGCAGAGAAGGGAGAGAAGACATATCATACAGCCAGAGAAAGAGTAGAAGAGATGTCAGGCTCTTATAAACAACGAGCTCTCATGTGAACTAACTGAATGAGAATTCACTCATCAGCAAGGGAATGACACCAGTTCATTCATGAGGGATTTACCCCATGAAACCAAACATCTGCCACTAGGCAGCACCTCCAACATTGGAGATCACATTTCAACATGAGATTTGGATGGGATAAACATCCAAATTATATTTCCAGGTCGCTAAACAGAGGTTCCAAGCATCAAGTGACACACAGCAGGTCAGGCCACTCTTCACTGGCAGTGCTGGCATTCTGACCCAGCTCATTGCTCTTCCTACCTTGTTATGTTTTATAGATGCTTTAACTGCCTGCAAAGTGGAGTCTCAATTTCCATATTCTGTAGCTATTTTTATTATGATTGTCTTCAGGATGTTTCATCCTAAGCTTGATCCCTTCACAAGAACAAAAGAAGATGTCATTATAAATACAAAGTGTCATTGTTGTGGAAAAAAAAAAAACATGTTTGCTTTAGGTTTATGGATATTAGTATGAACAAATGTTTGGTCAAACATATCTTTAATAAATATTGATCATCAAGATTGTGAAAAATAAAATTCTACATTAATCTTGCTGTGCAGTAAAAACCTTTGTTTCCTCAGTTGAATTCGGAGGACACATTCAAGTCAGGATCTGGAAGCTGTCTTGTTAAATGGCTAAAATCCTAGTGCTGCTCTGAGGCATCGTTAATACACATGAGGGTTTGTTAAAAACAAAATTTACTCTGGGTTATTTTTTGTAGGAGTGTGAAGAAATGACCTTCGATTCTTAATATAATTGATGTCACCTGGGTAAATATAATTGTAACAGAAATCCGTGTAGATATATTTAGGTAGAACCCGATCATTGGCAACTTTACTCGTACAGACATTACAGGTTGGAATTTATCACTTTCATATTACTTTGTTTTATGTCAAAAATGTAGAAACTGCTAGATACTATGTGGACATTTAAAAAAATGTTGATTAGCTGCTCTTTAAGTAATTTGCGTAGTCATCCTCCAAAGCTGAAAAGCTTGCTCCATAGCATAGAGCTGGCACCTTGAACACCACATAACACACATTTGAGTAAGTGGCACATTCACTGTTATCCAAAAGTATAAACAGCAGTTATAAATCTGCAATGTGCTTATTATCTGATACATTATTTTGGGTTTACCTTTCAGGATATTATATTTCTCAGGACTGTACAGGAAAGGTCTGGAGAAACTAATTTAACACAGTGAATTACTTAATGGTCAAAAATTAATGTTTGCTGCTTATAGGATTACATATGTTGGTTTTTGTTCTTTTTTGCTGTTCAGTTTTTACTTAACAAGCTACAGAATATCTTCTTATGCAATGAAATATTTGAATTCAAATCATTTTTTTTCTAAAATGTATCTCAAAAAAACAAGATATTTTGTTACAATCTTTGGAAACTGTGTTCCTCGTTTGTCTCTTTCTGATTTTTAGCTTCTTTCTCCTTTTATCTTCTGTGCTCTACTTAACTCAAAGAAGCCGCAGTTTGAAAAGTAAGATGTTATCTATTTGTTCTCATCAGCCATTTCGAGCTAAATATTAGCAAAGGCTACTCTGTCACCTCAGCCATGTCGGTCCTGTGGAATGATGGGACTTCAATCCCTAAATTTCTGCTGCTTCTGTCGTTAGCTTTCAGTAGGTTCAGGGAAACAAAGAAGGAGGGAAGAAGCGCTTTCCATGAGGTCCAGAACTCTGAGCACTTGCCTGCTTTGGACCCAGAGAGTGTATTGCTGGGAGTGCTGCTATCTGGGAGCTAGTGCTCATGGGTGATAACAGCTGCTGCACTTAGCTCTTTCTTGTCTTGGGAGTGATTTGTGTTCCTTGTGTTTCACTGGCCAGAAATGAGCAGAAGCTGTGTACAGAAGCAGCAGCAGAGAGCCCTCCATTTACAGCTCTCCATGTTCTTCTTCATTTCTGCAGTTAAAAGTCTCAGTTAATCAGATTGGAGCTTTCAAAGATGGTACATTATGTCTTCTCCTCATAATCAATTACAACCTCCAGAAAAATGCTCCATATTACTCTGACACTCCTTCTCCAAGAGTGAAAAATATGTATAAAACAGAAACTTTAATAATTATTAACATGAGCACAGTATTTAGAAGCATATGAAGAACTTTACATACTCAAAAAACATTGCAATAGGTATTATGATGGAGGCTAACATAATTGAAGTAATTTTTACCTTCCAAGTTCCACAGCTATAGAACTTGAATCTCTGTATATCTTCTGACTCCAAATTTCTGACCTGATTCCAAGGATTATACTTCTTCCTTTGTGAACTGTAAGTCACGTGTATCGTAAAGTACCTATGTGTTGCGGCTTTTATTAAATTAAATGTCCTTTTTTTGTATAATATTCAAATATTATATTAATGAAAGGGTATCTTATCAAGTTTCATTTTTTTTGTAGCTCTGCATTTTATTTTATTTGACTTTTTGTGTTTGGGGCATTAAAATGTTAACATCTTCTGCAGCATAACCTGTGCCTGGTTTTATAGCTCATATCAACTTTGGTTATCGTCATCTTTCTTGTTGATATGCTGAAATATATAATAAAATCCCATCTGCTTTTATAATTGCTCAAGATATATGCATTATTGGTGTCACTTGGATGAAGTGGAATTCACAAGAAACTGTCCTGATGTACATTATTGCTTTTGGAACTTGCTTTTGATATTTTATGAATACCCAATTCAATCTATCTTCTAGCTTGTATAGTGCTTGTGAATTTAAATATATTATATTTGATAGAAAGCTATATCAATTACATCAAAAACTTTTTTTTTTCACCAAGATGAAACATCAGGGAAGAGAGAAAAACAAAGAAATGTCTGTTCTGGTTTTTTCTTAGTAAATCATGTAAACTCCTCTGTCATTCTTTAGTTTAGGAGATAAGGAGTTAAATGTAAGTAGGAGAAACAGAACTAATGAGGTTTTTCAAATCAAAAGTAACGTTGTTTTGTTAAATCTCTTCTTGTTCCTTTAGTTAAAAAAATAATACATTTAAGGAAGTATTCCTCCATCTCTAGAACGGTAAGTTTGACAGATGTATGACATTTATGATTACTTTCAGGTAACTGAAACTTTTAAAGTCACTTTCTGTTGCTCATTAAATTAGCAGTTCAGAAATTAGAAGGACAGTCACATGTAGAAATGAACACTTTGGAACTGAATTATCACTAGATCTTCTCCTTTTCCTTGGCTGGATTTCTGCTGCAGGCTGATGGTTGGCAATGAGAGACAGAGAAAGATTGTCTCTATGTCAAATTATTTTGTTAAAAGTTTAAAACATGATTCTTATGCAATTATAAAGTCTGCACATTTCAAAACTGCGTGTAACTTATTAATGAGGGAGTCAACAGAATGATAAAGCTGGTTTAACAATATTGAGGAATAGACATGTTCATTTAAGGAAAGAAAGTTGAATTAAGTTTTCTAATTTCCTAAGCAGTTGTTGCCCTTGAATTGAACCATTTCAGGTTATATTTTTTCCTGGACAGAAATCTGTAAGTTAATTTCAAATTCCAGAGTTTGACCCGTAATCAGGAGAGATAGCTAAGTCAAATAAGGATTCATTCCTCCTCAGTAAACATTTTAGATAATGTTCCAGTGTAACACTGACAGGACATGCAGTCATTTTGTGCCCTGTTTTCTAAATTTTTTAGATGGAGTCTCGCTCTTGTTGCCCAGGCTGGAGTGTAGTGGCGCGATCTCGGCTCACTTAAACCTCCGCCTCCCAGGGTCAAGCGATTCTCCTGCCTAAGCCTCCCGAATAGCTGGGATTACAGGTGCCGGCCACCATGCCCGGCTAATTTTTTTTCTGTTTTAAGTAGAGACAGGGTTTTGCCGTGTTGGACAGGCTGGTCTCGAACTCCTAACCTCAGGTGATCCACCCGTCTCGGCCTTCCAAAGTGCTGGGATTACAGGCATAAGCTACCGCGCCCAGCCTCCAGGATTTTTATTTATTCCTCTTCTCCTTCTTTTGCTCTATTTGGTTTCTGACCCTGCAGGCTGAGGGAAAGAAGAGGAGGAAGAAGTTAGGAAATTTTTACTTGATTGGTAGTGTCAAAAGCTGGCATGCTCTCTGTGGACTTGGCAACTGTTCAAAGTTGACTCTTTGAAAGATTATTTTCTGGGTTTCCAGAGGCCCCCACTGCTTAGGTATGGTCACCCTTTCCCTGATGTGAGTGCTGCTTTTTCCTCTCGTTTACTGTTGGCTCCTAAGTTCTAGTGTTTCAGAAGTCTCTTCTACCCAGATTCTCTCTGTTGGAGTTTGAATGCCTTCCCAGATGGTATCTCTCAGGCTAGTTCTTTTCAGCAATTTTAAATACTTCCAAGTTGGATTTCTCTTTCATATGAGCCCACATCTGATCAACAGGAAACTCTTGTGCACTCTTTAACTATTCAAACTCTGGAATGATAGCCCAGGCCCAATACAGAAGCAACTCTCAGTCTCTCCACCACCGAAGCAGTTTTCCAGCCCGTCTCTGGTTAACCGAGCCTCCTAGATGGAAGGCAGGTACTAGTCCACTGGGTCACTTTACTGTAAGGTGTGTTCCCTTTGAATCTCATCCCTTTTGACTTAAAGAGGAGAGAGTCTTCTATCTCCCTTTCTGGATGTAGAAGGTTCCTGTAGAATTTCTTTTACTATGGAAATCTTTCTTAAGAATTCTCCCACAGCATTCGCTCCTGATTCTTTCAGATTCTCAATGTGGATATAAGTAAAACACACTTCTAAACTTATATTTTACTTGGCAATTTCCTTTGAAAATATATTTGTTGGTATGGCATTTTGTCTTGGCCTGTTGTCTAGTTATCCTAATGTCTCAGATGAAACTTCTACTCAATAGCCTGTGATACTGGTTTAAGGCGATGAGGAGGCTATTGGAAATACTACCTTGCAGGCATGCTGTAGTGAAAATTTTCCCAATGATTTTATCTGCTTATTTTTGAAGAACTATCTGCAAAACACAAACAAATGAGGTTGAATGAGGGGATGGGTGTGAGAAATGCAGGAGTGGAGATAAGGCACTGAGACAGGTAGTTGTAGAATATCTTGATCCATCTCCTGATCTCAGATGATATATGAAATTCACCTTTATGCCAACCCTATCCCCCCTTCCACACCCAAACCTTTTGTGTCTTTTCAAATTCCAGGCATTCTTAGCAGTTTGATTTGCTGTCAGAAAATACAGTATTCAGAGGGGAGAATTTGGTGTGCTGCATTATAATAGCCTGTAGATTTCTCTTTCCCTGGCTGATAATTTCCTTGAAGGGAGGAACTGTGTTATGCTCATTATTGTGTCTCCATCCCCTAGCAGCTAGCATGCAGACTGAGATTTCCTCTTGGGCTCCTGTTTCTAGAAAGGGTTTTGTTTGTTCGTTCTTTTTAGAAGAGTCGGGGTGGGAAAGATAGTGGGAAAGAAGAAAACCACATTTACCACTGTTTGTAACAGTCTTTCCTCCTTTGAAGTGGTTCCTCATTCATCTATGCCCTCTGAATGTGTGTGTGGGAGGAAGCTATAAAATTATTTGTAAAAATGTTGACAAATAATTGCATTGCATGAATATGTATGCCCTCATTTTATAAACTGCCTGCCTTAAATTGAAATGTTTTTAAGACTACAATTCCATGTTCATTACATGCCATATTTGTGTTTAGAGTTTATTTTTTCAATTGAATAAAATAACATCAGTTTTCACCAACCTGGGCTTGGGTGGTTTGATTTTCTATTTAGGGGAATTATCCTTCTTTTTAATATTTTCTTTAGTTCCCAATAAGTCTTTTGAAAGTGCCCTCTTCCTTTATTCCTTCATTTTTTGTACTAAACACAAAGAAAACAGCAACCGCTATTTAAAATGTAGACAATGTTATCCCTTGTGGCTATTGCCCTCTCTTCCAGAGATTAGAGTTTGCTGTAGTTCAGCAGCCCAACAGGATTTCCCTGGAAATAGGTTTTCATGTAAAGTATTAACTTATGGCATTATGTATAGCAAAAGAAGGCTCAAAATATTATAAAGAGAGAGAAGCTGCATTATTATTTTTAATAGGATTGGTGGAATAAATGGTCCTTAAAGAGCATACATCTGTTCTACTCAATGCTTTCTTTCTGAATTTACCATGAAATGTATTTTACTGATAAGAGCCAGCATTCTGATCCGTTATTTCTCTGAAAGCCTGGTTAAGAGGGTCTAAATACAAGAACTGCTACATAGTCTTTTGGTACTTTATTGAAAGTAAGAGTTTCCATTCTAAAATTGAAGGAAATAGAACATACATCCCACAAGTATGTTTTTATTGCCTGTCCTCCTCATTTGGATTATTAAATATTTAGCTTTAAATAAACACATTTTATGTAAATTTCTATTTAAACAACATAGCTGCTTGTTTTCTGTAGGATGAACAAATTAAAAACTTCTCTAACAAAACATTATGGAAAAATTAAAATGTGTAAGTGACAAAGTCATTGCAACCCTCAAAAATTGTATTTCTACTTATCTTCTAAACAGGAGATAAATTTGAGTAGAACTGAGTTTGCTACTGAGTATATGTTTCTCCCTGACTCGAACACATGTTTACCAAGGAGGGATTAGGTGTAGTTTTGTACTGGATAAAATTAAATGTTTGGTATCAAGTGGAAGGCCGCTTCCCCATGGGAATCTGAACGTGCTCTTCTGTAAGATGAAAGATGCAACTAGATTCCACCAGCTCTGATCTGTGCATATCAAAGCCTAAGGGCAATGCCAACTGGCTAAAGACAGGTATGCAGCCCTAATCTTGCATTTTGATTCATTTTCATTGCCTACCTATTAGTGTGTCTGAAAATAACAAGCTATCCTGCAACACAGTTGGTAATGATTTCTCTTCATGGACTGAGATAGTATTAGAGAGACCACAGTGAGAAACAGAGACTTCTAACCCACATGTACTCAGTGGCGCTTTCCTTGGACTCCATACATTCGGGTGAAAACTGACATTTTACATGGTTTTAAAGTCTTGACATTAAGTTTTATCTGAGGAGTTCTGAAATAGGGCCTAGTGAACCAGGGAGTATGTTTTAATACTACATGTACAGACTTGAGGCAGTTTGACTTGTGAATCTGCATTTTGAAGGCTGTATATAACTACCTCTCTCTCCCAAGTAATATTCACAGCTGAGAAACTAAATTCTGCAATATTGCATTCAGAGATTTTCTGAGGTTTTTATGCCCATGAAATCAACAATAGAAAATTCAAGAGGGACATCTCTAAATTGGAATACACACTAAAGCAATAAAAAATGTTACTACTTACTCTATGGAGATTGATAAGGAAAAAAAAAAAGAGAAAGAAAGCATTCTAGGTCTGAATTTTACATACACATAGATTCCACCAGCCCTGGTCTGTAACCATGAAAACCTGAAGACATTGTCAATAGGCTAAAGAGGAGTGTGTAGCCTGAGTCTTGCCTTTTGATTCCTTTTTCCTGCCTGCTAGTGTGTCTGAAAATATTGGGCTATCCTGCAACAAAGTTGGTGATGATTACTCTTCATGGAAATGCTCCTGGAATATCTGGGTGAGACAGCCCTAGTGAGACCACTGTACATATGGAGTTGATTTTACATATTTGAAAAAACATTTATAAACCTTACATTTCTAATCTATTTTATCTATTATTGTTGGTAACCAGTTTTGGTATTTTTCTGTGTAAAGTAGGTTTCGAAGAGTGAATCCTCCCACTTACAACATAACTCTAGGAGAAAAGAGTTTAACTTACAATGCTTTAAATTGCAATTATTGCTTATGAAGGAATAACTAAAAAATATGAGGTCATAATAGAAATATAATGGACTAATAAGAAAATAGGACTCGTCATATCTAAAAGGAATTGCAAGGCAATTATAAGTAGATTCTAGAAAAGTTATATATATATATAGACACACACACATACACAAAACACACATAATAAAAGAGGTAAAGATTGTTGACATGAAGAGATCTTCAACATGGATCAATGATAAGGTTATCAAGGATAACACACTGGATACTCTTAGGAAATTGCTCATCCCAGGAGGCAGAGGTTGCAGTGAGCCGAGATCATGCCACTGCACTCCAGCCTGGGCGACACAGTGAGACTCCATCTCAAAAAAAAAAAAAAAAAAAAAAGGTTCAGTAATAATGGCTTGGATTTGATCCCATTTTGGCTTCTCCTATTATTTTTCTATGTGCTCAATTCCCTTGTAGCCATTGAGAAGAGGCTCAGGAAAATTCCACAGCAGTATGGTTGGGAAAGTGCCCAGTAAATAATAGGTTTTGTCATATAGAGGTTCCATGTTTCTCATATATGTTATAATATCTTGACCAGGTAATATACTTTCCTATTTAACTTAATTATGAAAACAGTCATTGTCAAGTTTAGGTCTTTCCTGTACAATTCTAATGAGACAAAACAAAGTAGCATTTTTTCATTTTGTGTTCTGACCTGGTCTTCACCTGAAATTAAATATATATATATATATATATATATATATATATATATATATATATATACACACACACACACATATAAAATGTATATTCTACTTTTAATAGAAATACACAATTCAAAACCACATTTGTTCCTATGAAAATTCTCTACTACTTTAAACTGCCAAGATATCAAGATATTATTTTCTATTTTCCATCCCTTTTTTGAAGCTGTGTCTTTGTAATCCTAATGTCTTAAAAAATAACACACACATGCACACACACACATGTGCACACACACACACACAAATATACATAGACTTTATCCGACAGACATCTGAATTATATGAAACCTGTAGTCTATATAATGAAGTCAAACTTCTTTTGAGCTCGCATTTTTGTGAGCTACACATAACTGACTTTATTAATCATTATTTCTATGGAAATTCTTAATAAGAAAACAATAGGTAGTACTTTTTTTTAATTATCAAATTCCAAATTGTTAACTTTGGGTTTAGTGAGAAATAATTTAGTTCTGCCATCTTACTGACCTTGGAGTGGTGGAATATTTTGGAAGAGAAATATATGTGTCCATCATACCTAATATATATGATAAATTGTGTATATATGCATACATATATAATGTGTATGCTGAAGACATTTCTACGTAGTTTTAATATGTTAAGCTTCTGACTTTATTTGCATATTTTGAGTAGAATATATTTGGGTAAAATTTTGCATTAATTTTGTTTTATTCCTGAAGAAAAAAAAAAACGTTGTAAAGGATATGTTGGATGGTGCCTTAAAATGGGATAATTTGCACTCTGAGTTCCTACAGGAAAAGAAAAAATCTTCATGGAGTTTCTAGGCAGTAACTCTGTTTTGGGATGATATTGTTAAAACATTTTAATAGCTAAGAAATAAAAATATTCAGAAGATGTTAACATTTTAGAAGGTTTTGCTATGGTTTATGTATACTTTCTAATGGGAACGTTATAAATTATTTTGAATAATTTGTTCCAAAGCACTTTATTATATTAAAAAAGAACCTCCATAAAAAGATGTGCTTCTTCTTCTATTTCACTGAAAATAACTTTTTCCTCTTTTGCACTTAAATTCTCAGTTTTATATTGTCATAATGCTTTACTTTGTATTACCTCTTGAAGTGCTTCATGATCATATAATTGGGACTAAATAGAAAGTAAATGCACCTAAGCTGAATGGTTGCTGCTCACCAACTACATAATTATTGTCAGGGAGGTTAAAATGCAGAATGTCTGTCAACTTTAAAAGAAGTACACATGGAGGGCAGTGGTGGGTAAGATGGAAATCACAGCTGGAGGTAATGATTACTCTGAGTGTCTTGCTACAGCAAACATAGCATTTAGAAATTCATGAACATTCCTTTTAAATGTTGAAAACTCTTTGCAAAACAAACCATACATTAACTAAAGCACTGATGACTGCACTGCCTACACACTAAGCCACCCATAATTTTGGGAAAGGTTATTTCTATGCAACTTCAAAAGAAACAACTATGAATCTTTTATTTCAGAAATTGGCTTTGGTGACAAATAAGTTTGAGATACATAATACATATAGTTCTGCTTCTCTGACATTTAATATGCAGTGCCATGCCACATAATTTTCTTGTTTACTTTCTAAACTTAAGGGTAACATATATCCAAGATTATATATCCTTTCCAATATATATCCAATATATAAAAATGTGGTCGTACATTGCTAAATAAGGCACAGTTCATGAGTGATACTTTCTGGAGTCTCTCATTAAACATTAATCGCCCCAGACTCGCTGTTTTTAAATCAATTTGGGTTAGTAAGCCCCTGTTTATGGGAGAATAATTAACCCTCTAGTTTATTCAATAAGGAAGTAGGTTTTCTCACATCCATTCCTGTCCACATGCTCCTCTGCTGTTCTGGCTGCTACATGAGTAGCTTTCACTGTACACTCCATTGTCCCCCGTAACACAGGAAGGCATCCTCCTGAGTTAGCAGTAACTGAAGGATAAAGATGAACAAACCACAATTTCTTTCATTCTCCCAACTCCTGGTAAGTGGTCAATAAATGTTTTTAGATGAATGAATGAATGAATGAGTGAGTACCTTTATTTTTCAAAATGCTACCATGCAATGCTACTGGGCTTCACTAAGAAGTGGTGTGGATTTTTGGCCTTCTCTTCATTTACCAACTCCTTTTCAAGTAAGATCTTAAGACTTCTCTGTCTCAGAAATGAGAATCCATTGCAAATTGCTGTACCCCTTGTAGACACAAAAGCTCTGCAGAATCTTGGAAAACACCGCTTTTGCGTCCTAGAGTGAAGATCGCACCCTGCAGAGAGGTCTGAGCGTAATGGTTGCACTGAGATGATTGCTCTTTTCCTTAGGCTATTAATCATTTGTTTTATT
Source organism: Homo sapiens (assembly GCF_000001405.40). Classification (NCBI taxonomy): domain Eukaryota; kingdom Metazoa; phylum Chordata; class Mammalia; order Primates; family Hominidae; genus Homo; species Homo sapiens. The sequence continues at coordinate 144,350,815 of NC_000003.12, forward strand.
CAAGTTTTATATCAATAAATACCTAAATAATGTCAATGTTTAATTGTTTACAATTCTGATAATGAGAAAGAAAATGAAAGGGAGGTGTAAAGGGAAAATAATTTGTACTGAGTGTGTCTATATCAAGTCACTATTATCCCTGGGAGTCATAGGGGTTATCGTTCCCTTTTCAAGAAAAATAATAAGATTACAGAAAGCAACTTGCATAAGCCCTCAGACTCATGACTCTCAGAGCCAGAATTGGAACCCAGGAGTGTCTAACTCTAAACAGTGTTCTTTCCGTAATACAACATTTCTCTAATGTCTTGAAAAAGTGAGATAAACAATAGTCATTTGGAGCCAAAGGGTAGTTATTGCATAAGACCTGAGTAGGAAACATGGGCATTTTGGATTTCAGCCTTCAAAGAATGAAAATCTTGGGGAAATGAAAGCAGAGAGGTGGTGCTGGCCAGAGAAGATCTTGCAAATTGAGCAGTTATGACTATTTTTCTGGTGTCAGATGATTTTTCACTGAAATCACTTGCAGAAGTCTTTGGAGTATTTTGGCTTCCTGATGTCAAGTTGGAATTGTAAAACTCGGTTATAAAATAACTACCATGGAGTTGTGATGATCAATTGAAATATGTTTGAGAGAGTAATATGAAAACTAAAAGAAACCACCGAAATACTGTTCAGATATACTTGCACTAGTTTGGAAGGCTGCAAATCAAAGTCCATTCAGGTTTAGTCTCTCGTAAGAATATATCTACTATATATTGATATATATCTAATATTTAATATTATATATCTAATTTAATATAATTTAATATTATATATCTAATATCTAATATTATATACATAATATATAACATACAAATGTATGTTAATATATTCTTGCAAGAGACTAAACCTGAATGGACTTTGTACATATATATATATTAGATTTTAGAAATCATCAGAGGTTTTTCCCAAATACTGCTCTAAGGAGACCTGGGATGCAAGTACATGTTATAGGTTGCATGGTCAAACATGTTTGGGAAGCATGGAGTTAAACAGTTTACAGAGAACCTTCAATGTGCCAATGTGCACTGTGAATCTCTCAAGGCTAGGAACCATTGTTTGCCAGAATTCTTTGACCCTGGACCCTTCATGCTTAAAGAATCACTGAAGAGATAAGTGGTTTCCAAAATCAACAGAACTTCATGTCACATATTCAAAACATTAAAATCTCAACTAACAAAGAGCTTATTTTCCCCTAGAAACACATCATGAGCTGATTAATATTTTACTGTATAAATATTGGGCCCCGTTTCACATGTATGTTGGCAAAACTCTTTCCAAACAGTCTTTTGTAATTTGCTGACTTATGATTACAAAATCCGTCTTCCCTTTTGCTGCTCAGAGTTGAGTTCCCACCTCCCTGCTGATTGCAATGCAAATGTTTAAGGTTATACTCACATATGCGAGAAATCCTTATTCTGATATGTTAGGGAACTGGAGAATAGAATCTCCAACTTTCGGATGAAAAATATTACCCTTTTTCTTTCCTCTGTAATAAGGTCTTATAAATGGCAACATCTTTTAAAAATTTCTCACAACGCAGTAGGTTTTTCTATACCAGCACACACGGCTAGCTAGCATCCACAGAACCTACTTTGAGAAATGCCATTCTATTCCAATGATACTACTTTTCAGAGGAGAAAAATAAAATGTAGAATATGTAAGTCATTTTCTCAAAGTAAACACAAGTGACATCTCTGTTGAGGAGTAGCTATCACTTCAGAGGGACCATAAGAACTCCCTTCAATTTGCATACTCTTTTACAAAGCAAAATTAATATTCAAATGATGTAAAGGAGAATATGGTCCTAGTTCTAAAGGATGAAACCATTACTCTGTCAGCCTATACCCAAACTGAAATTTTCCCAAATATGTATTTCTGAGCTGGAAAAAAAAAAGACTTGTCTGGAGGAATCCGGAAAGAAATGTTATTTTATACAGTTCCCCAAAAGTTCTACCACCATATAATACCATGTAAATGAAATTGAAATGAAAAACTAGATTAATTATATATTGAACTAACTCATGAAGGAATGTAAAGTGAGCACCCTCATGGTTTCTGAAGAATGTGTTTGTGGGTCAGCAATACTTACTAGTCCCCATAGGGCCTGCAAGAGTAGGCTCCATTTTGAACACTATGGTTCATTAGTCAGTCTGCTTTCCTTCTTACTGATTGATGGGGTATTGCAATAACAAATACATAGGGAAAGAGTTTAGATTTATTTTTATTGCGTGGATTGAAAACATACAACTTTTTGCATACTGCTAATGCCTTTTTAATTTTCTTGTGACAAAATTATGATATACCACACAAGCTTCACAGTTCTAGGATAATTCACAGCTGAAGATTTACTTTAGGAAACAAAACAGTAGTATGATGAGATGGAGGCTACTGAGAGAGATGGAGTTACTTCACTTAAAAATATTTAGTTGGTTTAAAATTTTTAATATGTAGATATTTCATACAGCAGAATTTTCAGAAAATGATATTTTTATTTATGGGACAATGTTGACCCCACATCTTTCCTCTGCTGCACAGATGAATGGTCAGTCTGCAAGATGCTTCAAAAATAATGAACACATATAAAAGACATATCCTTAAATTCGAACTCGAGCCTGCCCTCCTGTCCTTTTCTTTTATTGGTTGATTATTTATGTCCATTTCATTATCCCAATATCAATTCCCTCTACATCAGAAACTTTGTTTACACTGAGCTCTGAGGAGGATCTACCAGCTCAGTCGACTGCGACTCTGATGCTGTAACATCCAATGACATAGATATAAAATCTCCCACATATTCTCAACCTGACAACTCTAGGAAAGGACATTCTATTGATGTCTTCTGAAGGCAAGGGATAGATCTCTAATTTCAATGCTTACTGCTTGATGCTATGAGAATTTGCCAACCTCTCCACCAGTGTCTCTCCTCAAGTCAGTGGTTTCTCTTTGGTGTGGCCATTCTTTCAGCTGCCCAGAATCACACTGTGGCACCCCATTTTTCACTATTCCCTATCCCTATCCCATTTATCTCATGTGTTTGTTCATTCATCATCCATTTACTGAGGAGTTATTATGTTCTATAGTACTGTTTAAGACTGAGAGATTTTAGAGAGAAAAAGCAAATTTTGATCTTAATGAGTCCTGGCGACTGTCTGTGCTTCAGGTGATCCCATCCACAGTGAAAGTTCATCCAGTCTTGGTTCTGATTACCATAATTCAGCTGTTTGGTTTCCTATGCAGGATGTTAACCCTTTATATAACAATTTTTTTTTGCATAATTCACTACTTCAAGTACAGCTGTTTCTCACTCGTATGTGTCAAATAAATCAGCACCTAAAATGTTTCTCATGGATATAATCTTTCAGATAAAAAGGCAAGTATTATTTCATACACCTCTTTAATTATTCTAACCCGTCATGTTCAGAAATAGAAAATCTTGAGTTAGTATGTATTGAAATAAATAACACTGTTAAACTTATTCTTATGACCCATGCTTCATTAGCACAATGTTGTAAAATATCCCAAATGCTTTGCAAGTTGAGCTGCACAATAACTTAAAACATGGATTGGATTTTATAGATTAGTACATGACACTATCATTTGTCCAGATTTCTGTGAATACACAACAGTAATACCAACATTAGAATTAAACTTTAGAAATATATTTATTAGAGTAGAAACATTAACAAAATATTGATAGACACTGGCATTTAGGATTATATTAATCTGTTATCCAAACTCTTATAAGACTAAGTTAATTCAAAGACATACTCTAAATTATTTGATGTATATATTACTTTATAAATTATTTGATTTGTATATTAATTTATAAATCATAGCATATCAGTCACAGGACTGTAAACATCCTAACAGGTTACTATATGTATTTGCAGGGTCAGCTGAGTTGTCAATATGCTAATTAGCCACAATGAAATTCATACCTATATTCTTTTGACCCACTATTTCTTTGAAGTGCAGCTAAACATTTATTATCGTTGTCTTCAAATAGACCGTAAACATTGTCTCTCAGTTCTACTACATTTCACAAGATAACTCCTCATGCTTCTTTTTGGATTTTCCAAAGGAACATATTTTTACTGGGGTAAATGTTTTGTAATGTGTGAATCTTAAGTGTGTAATAATGAGTTCTGACAGATGTAACCATCATCCCAATAAAGACATAGAGCATTTCCATTACTTTCTCCACTAGTTGTGCTCCTGGCTCCCATAGGCAGCCACAGTTATGATTTCTATAGTTATAAATTATTTTTGCCTGTTCTTGAACTTCATATAGTGGAATCATAAAATATGCAGTCTTTCTTTTGCTTTATTTTATGTAATATCTGTTTGTGATATTCAAGCATGATATTGCATGTATCAAAATTTAATTTTTTTTAATTGCTGTAAAACATTTCATTGAATAAATATATCATGATTTGTATATCCATTCTCCTGTTGATGGATTTTTCCAGTTTTTGGCCATTATGGGTTTTTCTAGTTTTTGGCTATTATGACTAAAGCTGCTATAAAAGTTCTTTTACAAATCTTTTTGTATAAATATTTAGGACTGGAATTTTCAGGTTATGTGTTGAATATATATTTAACATTATAACAAATTTACAATTTTCCAAGTTGGTTGAATGATATTACACTCCGCTTGAATGTGTTAACATTTCACTTGTATCACATCGTTGTGAATATTTGGTGTTCATAGTGTGTAAAGTGGTTTATCATTGTGAATTTAATTTTCATTTTCCTAAGAATAAATATATTATCTGTTTATGTACTTATTGACTATTTACTTATATGCAAATATTGATATTGGAATATTTACACATGTGTAAATATTCTATATATATAAATATTTAATATTCAATGTTACATATAGGTAAATAGTCAATAAGTACATAAACAGATATGTTCCTCTTTAAGGAATGTTTATTATCTTTGTTTTTAAATAGACCTTAAAAGATAATATACGTTTAGCTGTACCCCAAAGGAATAGTGCATCAAAAGAATATAGGTATGAATTTCATTGTGCCTAATTAGCATATTGACATCTCTCTATATATTCTCTCTCTCATATATATGTATGTGTGTGTGCATATATATGTGTGTGTGTGTGTGTGTGTGTGTGTGTGTGTGTATGTATATATACATACACATAGCCAGAGAGAGACAGAGGGCCTCAATCTGTCGCCCAGATTGTAGTGCAGTGGCACAATCATGGCTCACTAACCTCCTCAGGCTCAGGTGATCCTCCCATCTCAGCCTCCTGAGTAGCTTGGACTACAGGCCTGAGCCACCACACCCAGCTAATTTTGATATTTTTGCCATGTTGCCCAGGCTGGTGTTGAATTCCTGGGCTCAAGCAATCCTCCCACCTTGGCCTTCCAAAGTGCTGAGATTACAGGCATGAGCCACTGTGCCTGGCTAGTTACATATTTTACTTTGTAAAATGTCTGTTCAAGTATTTTATGCATCTTTAAATTGTTTTCTTGTTCAGTTGCAAGTGTTCTTTAGTGTATTCTGGGTGCAAGTATTTTGCTGGTCACTTGTGCTGAGAGTATTTTCTCCCAATTTGCACTTTACTGTTCATTTTTGTGTCATTTGATAAACAGAAGTTTTTAATATGATGAAATCCAGATTATATTTTTCATTTATCTTTAGTGTTTTACATCCTTACTAAGAAAGTTTTGCCTATGTCAAGATTCTTTTAACTTTTATATTGCTCATTATGTCAATGATCAGCTTAACATCAGTTTGGAGAATGGTGTAACATTCTTTCCCTCATACATATATCTACTTGTTCTGCCAAAATTTATTTAAAAAGACTTTCCTTTTCTTCATTGAAATTCCTCTGTATTTTTTTAATAATAATTGACCGTATATATGAGTCAGTTTCTGAAATCTCGTTTCTGTTTCATTGATCTGTTTATTCCCATATCCATACTGCATTATCTTTATTACTGTAATTTTATAATATATATTGAAATCAGGTAGCAGCAGTTCTCCCATTTTATTATTTTTTAAATTAAAAAAATGTTTTTTGCTCATCTAAATCCTTTGAGTTCCATATAGTCAGCTTACAGATTAAAAAAAATCTTGTTGGAATTTTGCTTGCATTACATCTGTAGACCAATTTGAGAAAAAATGACATATTAAAATATCGAGTCCTCTGATCCATGAACCTGATAGAACTCTCCATACATTTCAGTATTTTAAAATTTGTCTCAGGAATGTTTTGGAGTTCTTGGTGCAGAAGAGATCTTCCCTGTAATTTGTTAAGTTTATTTTCATTATTTTATGATTTTGTTGATATTATTTTGTTAATTTCATTTTAAAATTATTATTAGCTTATAGAAATATAATTGGTTTTTGTTTATTGGCACTTTATAGTGTAACTGCTAAATTTGTTTATTAGTGCTGACAGATTTTTCTTTCATTATTTGAGATTTTTAGGTACTCATGTTATTTCTGAATAAAAACAGGATGGAGCTTTAGTACAATGTTGAATAGAAGTGGTGAGAGGAAATATCCTTTCCTTTTTCCCAGTCTTAGAGGTGGAGTGCCCAATTAAATGGATGTTCAATCTTTTTCAAACACTTTTTCTGCATATATAAAAGTGATAACATGGTTTTTCTTTTTTAATTAATCTGTTAATATGGTAAATTACCTATTGATTTTAGCATGCTAATTCACCTTGCCTTCCTGAGAGAAACCCCACCTTGTCATTGTGTACACTGTTTATTTAAATTGCTAAATTTTATTTCCTAATATTGCATTAAGATTTTCCATCTATATAAAAAAGTAGAGATTAATAATATTTTTCCTTGACTTGTTTTATGTCAGTCTTTGGTTTCAGGTTGATGCTTATTTCACAAAATGAGTTGAGAAGTGTTATTTCCTTCTCTATTGTTTGAAAAGGTTCAAGTAAGATTGTTATTTATTTTTCAAATATTTACTGTAATTCACCAGTGAAATTATCTTGGCTTGGAGTTTTTTATGGGAAGGTTTTAGTTACAAGTTCAATTTCCTTAGTGGAAATAGAGATATATGTGTGTACACACATATATATTTTATATTAGTTTTGCCAAGTTGTCCTTTCCAAAGAATTCATGCTTGCCACCTAAGTTTTAAAATTTCTTGGCATACTATTTTTATAAAGTTGTTTTATTTATAAAGAATTTTATTCTATAAAGTTCAAAGAATTTACATTAATGTCCCCTTTTTATATTTACTATTGACATTTTGTGTTTTTTTAATTTTGGTCAGTCTTATTAGGTGTTTGTCATTTGTATGACAAAAGCTATTAAAAAAAACAAAGTTTGTTTTTGTCTCATGTATTACTTTTTTATTGCTGCCATAATAAATTATTACAATCATAACAACTTAACCTCTCATTTATTTTCTCTGTGTTTCCATGGATCAGAAATCAGGGTACAGCATGACTAACCTGGTTCACAGCTTGGTTCCACAAGGCTCAAATCTGTGGGCTGACCGGACCGTGATCTGCTCCAGAGACTCTGGGAAAAAATTCACTCCCAAGCTCATTTAGCTTGTTGGCAGAATTTAGTTCCTTGTGATTATCTAGCTGAGATCCTCTATTTATTTACTGGCTGTTACTAGAAACCTCTCTAATCTCCAAAGTGTGCCTGCATTCCATGTCACATTGCACATCTCAAATCAGCAATGATGTGTGGAGTCCTTCTCAAGCTTCTAGTCTCTTTGGCTTCCACTTAGCCACATCTCTCTGACTCCAGTTGGAAAAAAATTTCTGTTTTTAAGGTCTCAAGAATTAAATTAGACCCACCTTGATAACCCAAGAAAATTTCGTCATTCTAAGGTCTATCATTGTCCTTATATCTGCAAAATCACTTTTATCATACAAGGTCATAGAGTCACAGATATCCAAGATTAGGGGATAGATACCTTTGGGGACATCATTCTGCCTACTATATTTAATTTTCTCTATTATTAGTGTTATACTTCATTGATTTCTGCTCTTCATTTTTTCTCATAATTTGCTTACATTTTATTAAGTTCTTAAGGTGGACTCTTAGATTTTTGATTTTGCCTACGTTTTTCACTACGAGCATTTAAAGCTAAAAAGTTTTCCTCTACTTTAGCAGCAATCCACAAATTTTGATGCTTATTTTTATTTTTCAGCTTGAAATTTTTCTAATTATTTTCTTAAATTTCTTTTTTGATTCATACTTTTAATGTTTGTTAATTTAAAAATATTTGACCTGCAGATCTGTAAATAACAAATATTTATTGTTATTTCTTGCTTATTTAATTTCATTTTGGCTAGACAAGTATCTAACATTTCTATCTTTTGAAATTTATTGTAGTATTTTTGCACAGCATATGATAAATCTGATGAAACTTTCATGTTCACTTGAAAGAATATTTATTCTACGGTGAATGGGAGTGATACTCTATAGATGTCAATTAGGTCCACATGGTTGATGGTGTTGTTCAATTCTTCTGTAGCCTTATCATTATTATATGACTACTTGTTTCAAAAGTAAATGAGAGAGGGTTTGTATATATTTGACTATTATTGTTTACTTGGATTTATAGTTTTCTTCCTTTAGTTTGGTCAAATTTTGTTTGTGTACTTTGCATTATAATTAAGCGCATCACTCTGGGGATTATTATGTGCTTCTGACAAATTATCTCATGTATAATTTTTTGTAAAATCTCTTTATTGAAATCTATATGGTTTGATATATCTATAACTCTACTATCTTTCTTATTGTTTGATGGTTTATAATTTTCATCTAACTTATCTCTGTCTGCACTCTGATAGATAGCAATATACTTGTCTCTTACTGTTTGTAGTCTGACAAATTTTGACATAATTAGTTTCTCCATCTAGATTTAATGTAACTATTGATATGATACATTTTAGTCTAGTTTCCATTGTTTCTCTGTTTCACTTATTGGATTAATTTTTCTGTTTCCGTTTCCTTTTTTATTATGTAAACATTGTTTTATCATTAGGTTTTTAATTGTCAGTTTTTTAGTTATACCAATTTGTACTTATTTTTCAATTGCTTGCTCTATGAAAAAATACTGTTTAATTGGATTTAATATTGTACCACATTATATAGGCTCAAGTAATCTTACAAAAGTACAATACCATTTATCTCTTTATCCTATAATTTGCTCCTATATGTGTCATAAAAAACATACAATGTAATGTTTTTATATTTTGCTTAAAAAATTTAATATCTTTTAAATAAACAAAAAATAGGGTTTTATATTTACTCACATACCATTTTCAGCAATCTTTATCTCTTCTTATTGCTTTCAGTTTCCATTTGTTATCATTTCTTTTCAGTCTGAAAAACTTAGATGTTTTTAGAGTTCTGGTCTGGTAGCTACTAAGTCTTTAGGTTTATTTTCAGGAAAAAAAAAATCTTCATGGCCTTTTATCCTAGGAGCAATGGGCTAGCTTAAAAGGATTTAAGCAAGGAAGTAAAATCATCATTTGATTTGTTTATGATCGTTCATCACAAGGATAAATAGTTGAGGACAGATTGAAAATGGGTGAACAAGATGCGGGGAGCCAGATTAAGATGCAATCACAGCAGGCTAGACTAGGCCAAAGGTGGAAGCAGTGGAGACGGAGCCTTTTAATTATGACTTTGGCTTATTAAATCGCCCTGAGGAGAAGACATAAACACAAAATCTAGGCTCCACTGTAAATTAACAAATTGACATTCTGGTTTATCAACATATTTCATATTGTTTTGATTAAACAAGTTTTAATAATATGTGAGTATACCAAGTAAAATAAATTTTCTATCACACAATAAATAACCCAAATCAGGAGGCAAAGTCTACTCACCTTTTCTAGTTTGTTTACATAAATAAGTATAAGCTTGTTATCTATAGCCATAGCATATTTGAATATCTTATGCATTGATAGAAAATTAAACATTTTCTTCAGTGCCTGTTGTTTGATTCTAGACCAGATAATAATTTATTCTCCAACTTACAATAGCTGATATCAATTCAAGAAATAACTCATTACTAGATATTACCATTGCCATTCACATGTAAGCTTGTTAATTAGTGGGTTACATGAATAACACATGAGTGTAAACTATAACAAGGAAAATTTGAAATATTCCTTCTCAATTTCTCCTTATTCCCTTAAAAATGAGGTGGGATGTCCTGAGAGAGACTCACAATTTTTTTACAGTGGGCCCCTTCCTCATAGTAGGTCTAGTCAACTGTGGCTGCTACTATCCCTAGAAAGTGTTTGAGAATATGCAGAGGTATTTGGTCACATTGCCTAGGGGATACTATCAATATTTGGTGAATGGGTAACAGGAATACTAATCATCCTGGAATGCATTGGGCTATTAAGAATTGTCCCACCCAAATACCAATAGTGCCTCTGTTGAGATATAGGACAAGAGTGATGTTGACCTCTTCTTTGAATTCCCCACTGTGCTTAGCATACTATCTTACACTATCGTTATTGGCTATTATAGTTTGTGTGATATTTTAAAAATAATAAATGCATAAATAAATGAACTATACAAAACATTTGGTAATATGCTGTGATACATCCAGGGATTTGTATCTCTGGCCCAGTAGGAATATAAAGTTTTTCTTTTGGTTGGCAATTCAATAATTTATATTCACAGCCAAACCTTCCACCCACTCCATGCCCTATTTAGAGTGAATTGTTTCTCTTCATTTTAAAGACGGCCTAGATCCTTTTTATATAAGCATGGTACTTGCATCATAAATTAATGCTGGCGTTGCTCAATGTAGCCAAGAATGCAATAGAATTACTAGAGTCTCTTTTTTCTTATGGAATTGCTATGCAGTCAGTTATACGACCTGATATTCCATTAGCCAAATTCTCAGTGTCTAAATTCATTATGTAGAATAAAAAGAAAGTTTAATCCTCTCTGTTAATCTTGTCCACATTTTATCTTATACTAAAACGGTAAAGTACTCTTGCATTTTTTTCAGATTCATGTTTCCCTTATGCAAAGTTTAACAAAATAATGTATATGGGACAATAAAACAGACTTTAAAAATGACTTAACACAAATTTATCTGTTTTCAGTCAACAACAAAATATTAAATGTCTACAAAAAAATATGTGTCTACCACATACTGGAAGTGTACATTCTAGTAAGAGAGTTTCTACCCACAAGACCTTAGAATTTAAATGGGAAAATGGGAAGTTAAGTGTTATGAAGTTATACATATTCTGTGACAAGAGTAGACTCCAGTTCATATGTGAGGTGTAAGGAAGGGAGTAGCCAGTTCTACCAGCAAGTGTGTGGATGTAGTAGGAGGGGAGGAGGCCATGTTGGGAAATACCATAATGAGATGGTGACACTTGAGCTGGAGCTTGAAACATGAGTGGATGTTAAATAGGCAGGCAAATAAAAAAATAGAAAGGAGTAATAGCTAAGCTAAACACAGAGGCAAGAAGGAGTGAGTCACTTTCATTCATCTGGAGCTCATTTATCAGATTTAGAGATCAGGAGATATGGCTGGAGAGACGGGTTGACAACGTCTTTTACACCATGCCATGTAGTTTGAAATATATACTGTAGGCTACACAGTGGTTCTTAAAGTGTGGTCTCAGTTTAGCGGCATTAACACCTGGGAACCACCTGGGAACCATCTGGGAACATCTTAGAAATACCCATGCTCAGGCCCACCCCCACCTACTGATTCAGACATTCTAAGAAAGGGGGCCCAATAATCGGTGATTCAACCAGGCTTTGAGGTGGTTTAATGCATACTAAGGTTTAAGAACTGCTAGGCTAAGAGAAGCCACAAAATGACATTAAGCTAATATGTTGTTTGTCTTTTAAAATATTATATTAGTAAAGTTTGATTAGAAGGAAAAAAGATGAGAGGGAGGGAGACCATTCAGGGACACATGATCAAGAGACCATGGAGACATGCCCAAGTGCAATACTAGTAAGAAGAGAGAGAGGAGGAGAAGTCACAAAGGACACATTAGGAGGTGGAATCTATGGGATTTGATTTTTTTTAAAGAGGAGATCCTAATAGTACTTTTGATTTCTTGGTAGTAGAAAGTGATACCATTCTTAAAGTGGAAAGTGTGGAAGGAGGTGAACTTAATTTTGGACATGTTGAGCTTAAATTTCCTGCGGTAAAGTTGGAATGCAAATAGATTGAATAGACAGTTGGGCATACAAGCATGGAGCATTAGAAAGAGGTCTGACTGAAAATAGAGATGAGGAAGTCTTTAGCTATTATAGGAAACTGATAACATATATGAAGGGACAGTATATTAGTTAAAAAGAGAGGATAAGCCAGTGTAATGCCTCAGGATCATTTATGGGCTAGACAGGAAGCATCTTTACATGCAACAGAGAATAAGTGATCCATTGTTTTGTGAGGCAAAAGGAGAACCAGAAGGGTGTGTGGTCAAGAAGACCAAAGGAGGAAGGTACTGGTCATCAGTGCTAAGTGAACTGTCATCTTTGGGAAGATGAAAGCCCAGAAGAATCTTTTGGTTTTGATATTAGGGAATCATTGTCAGCCTTAGTAAGAACAGTTTCTGGAATATAGGGAGGATAGTTTTTCTTGAATCCTTGGCCAGCAGTGATAGCAGACCCACCCCGCCCAGACCTTTTAGAAGAGGGTGCCAGTTTTTCTCTGCTTTTGCTTGACTTCAGCTTTCATGTGAAGTTGCCAGCTGAACAAAATAAAGTAGAGACAACTTATATTGTTAAAGAGAGAGGATATATTTCCTTTTATTTTTATTTTATTTATTTATTTATTTTTAAGACGGAGTTTCACTCTTGTTGCCCAGGCTGGAGTGCAATGGCAGGACCTCAGCTCACTGCAACTCTGCCTCCCGGGTTCAAGCAATTCTTCTGCCTCAGCCTCCCGAGTTGCTGGGATTACAGGTGTCCGCCCCCACACCCTGCTAATTTCCAGCTAATTTTTTGTATTTTTAGTAGAGACGGGGTTTCACCATGTTGGCCAGGCTGGTCTCGAACTCCTGACTTGAGGTTATCCACCCGCCTCGGCCTCCCAAAGTGCTGGGAATACAGGTGTGAGCCACCGTGCCCAACCTATGTTTCCTTTCAGAAAAGAGGAGGTGGAATGTAGCTACTAGGAAGAGGGATGAAGGGATGAGTAAGGCCGGCATCTTCAGCTGGCAGAGCTAAAAATACCACAGAGTTAACATAATACATGAAAACACCACAGTCCTTGAGTCACAATGAGGAAAGGTGTGAGGACCTGACAGCTGGGCCTAAAGTTGATAACAGGAAAAAGCAACACTTGGGTGCATCAGTGGCAGGTGCTCTGAAGTAAAACAAGAATAAGCATTTTCTATTTTTTAAAAATTTTATTCTAATGAACAAGGGTGAGACTTTGTGATTGCTTCCCTAACATGAGTTCAGAACTGTGGGATGAAGATTATATAGGTTCCCTATTCTTAGATGATGACTTGGTCTGTCACTCTGCAGGATGTTTAGGGTTAACTGTGGATTAAATCAGAATTTCACTGTAGTTCAAATCTGAAAACGCTGGTGACTGGAATACCTAAGTTTGTGGTGATCCTGCTCCTGGCCCATGGTGGCAGTGGTCATGAACTGGAGAAAATGGAGTCTCTCTCTCTCTTTTTTTTTTTCCTGACATCAACCAAGAAAATTTACTGAACTTTAATTTTTGAGGTAAAGATTCTAAAATACCCTCTACAATTTGCTGAATAAATTATAATTTTAATTGTAAGTGTCTTTTCACTTTAGAATGCATTCCACTGCCCTCAACCCCACATAAGGACAAGTCTCAAGTCAATAAAGAACCTGAGATGAAATAAAATATTCTGAGGCTGTCTCTGGCTTCTTATTTTTAGAACCGGATTGGAATGAAACTTGTCCCTGGAGTTTGGGAGAATTAGTTCATGATACCCAATAGCATTAAGCACTTAATTGGCTTCAGTTTAATTCTGGGTGTCTGGGACAGCTTCTACTTAATAATTTAGGCTCCATTATTTTAGAATTGAATTGGAATGACCTTTGAATATCTGGGGTATGTATTTCCTTGGAAATCCCTGTATCTCTGAGCTTCAAACACTCATGCTGGTCATACCATACCACTTGGCTCATATCTGACAATGAAGCATTATTTGCATTTTTGACATTCTCCTGCCATTTCCATTTCACTAGTTTTAGTGGGAATGTCCAAGCGCCAAATCTCATAGTTAATGCTTCCTCCTAGGAAATTACTTCTATAGTGACAAAAATCATATTAATTTAATGATAATAGAGTATTTGGATTGTAGAGAAGTATTGTGAAGAGAATCCAGAGGAAATCCCAGATTCTATCTTGCCAAGAAAATAGTAACAAAGAGGATATATTTATGGAAAACAGTTGCATATTTCTAAAATTACATGAAGGGTTATAAGCTAATGAAAACATATAATCACAATCTTAAAAAGATATATCTGGATTTTGAAGAATATAAATATTTATTAACTGATGTGAAGTGCATGTATATAAAAGCCCTTTATGTTTTGTAGTATATGTTATATTATATGATGTAAATGGGCTTTATAGATGAATAATTGAAATGATTGATAGAATTACTCAACAAATTAAATGATTACTACTGTTTATTTTGATAAGTAGTCTTTCAAAAATTTAATTTATCCAATAAATATTTATTATGTTCCTTCTATACAATAGATTTAACTATTTACTCTTACAGCTTTAGCTACAAACAAAACTGAGATGGTCCCAGCCTTCAATGAATATGCAGCTTAATGAGAATAATAGACATTAAGAAAGTAATTACAAAAACGATAGACGTCATGAGAAGCAAAAATATAGTGGAATGAGTGGCATTGGAGACCTATCTTAATTTCAAGTTCAGGGCCTCCTGGAGAAAGGAAAATTTAGAAGTTTATACTTGAAGAATGCCTAAAAGAACATTTAGAGTTGTCTTTATGTGTATATAAGGCCAGGAGGTAAGGGAGATTACTAGGAATGAACTACAAACTGAAATGAGTCCAACATGGCTGGGGCATAGATAACCAACTATAGAACAGTCGAAAATGCAGTTTTAGAATTAGTGGGGAGCCAGACATGGAGGGCCACGTAAGTTGTGTCAAAGAGATTTGATTTTATCTAAGGCCTATGGGAAGCAATTGTTGAGTTTTAAGCAGTGGATGTTTGTGATTATACTTGTGTTTTATGTGCTGTCTCTGGATAATAGCACAGAGAAGGACTGGAGAAGAACAAGAGTGGAAGTGTTGGTATTGGCTTATAGGCCATGACAGTGGTCCTGAAGGAAGACGTAGTACATGTCATAGCATATATTACATAGCAACATGGCTTGGATTAGGGAAATGACAGTGGTTATCTGGAAGTGTGGGCAGTTCCAAGAGATAATTCAGCAATAGAAGCAATGAGTCTTGGTGTTAATTGTGTGTTGGTATGTATGTGGTATGTGTGTTTATTGGATGGGATCATTGAGAATAAAGGAAGATTAGGTTTGTAGCTTAAGTTAAAGACAAAGGGTGGAGGGAAGAGGCAGGGTACACCAAGTTCCTGGAGGGCAAGAATAAGTATGGCAACCCCAAGCAGACTGTGACAAGATTCTGGACTCTTGCTCATCTGGGAGACATCAAATTTCAGACATGACAGGTGTATTAGTCCGTTTTCATGCTGCTGATAAAGACATACCTGAGACTAGGCAATTTACAAAAGAAAGAGGTTTAATTGTACTTACAGTTCCACATGGCTTGGGAAGCCTCACAGTCATGGCAGAAGGCAAGCAAGTTCCATCTTATATGGATGGCAGTAGGCAAAGAGAGAATGAGGAAGATGCAAAAGTGGAAACCCCTGATAAAACTATCAGATCTCGTGAGACTTATTCACTACTATGAGAATAGTATGGGAGAAACTGCCCCTATGATTAAATTATCTCCCACCAAGTCCCTCCCACAACACATAAGAATTATGGGAGAACAATTCAAAATGAGATTTGAGTGGACACACAGAGCCAAACCACATCATTCCTCCCTGGTCCCCTGCCAAATCTTATATCTTCATATTTCAAAACCAATCATGTCTTCCCAACACTCTCCCAAAGTCTTAACTCATTTCAGCATTAACTCAAAAGTCCACAGTCCAAAATCTCATCTGAGACAAGGCAAGTACCTTCTGCCTATAAGCCCATAAAATCAACAGCAAGCTACTTATTTCCTAGATACAATGGGGGTACAGATATTGAGTAAATACAGCCATTCCAAATGGGAGAAATTGGCCAAAACAAAGGGGTTGCAGGGCCCATGCAAGTCCAAAATCCAGCAGGGCAGTCAAATCTTAAAGCTCCAAAGTGATCTTCTTTGACTGCATGTCTCACATCCAGATCATAAGGATCCAAGAGGTGGATTCCCATAGTCTTGGGCAGCTCCACCCATGTGTCTTTGCAGGGTACAGCCTCCCTCCCAACTGCTTTCATGGGCTGATGTTGAGTGTTTGTGGCTTTTCCAGGTGCATGGCACAATCTGTTGGTGAATCTACCATCTTGGAGTCTGGAGGATTGTGGCCCTCTTCTCACAGCTCCACTAGATGATGCCCCAGTAGGGGCTTTGGGTGAGGGCTCTGAGCCTACCTTTCCCTTCTGCACTGCCCTAGCAGAGGTTCTCTATGAGAGCTCTGCCCTTGTTGCAAACTTCTGCCTGGGCATCCAGACGTTTTCACACATGTTCTGAAATCTAGACATAGGTTCCCAAACCTCAATTCTTGACTTCTGTGCTCAATACCATGTGAAAGTTGCCAAAGCTTGGGGCTTGCACCATCTGAAATGATGGCCCAAGCTCTATGTTGGCCCCTTTCAGCCATGGCTGGAGTGGCTGGGATGCAGGGCACCAAGTCTCTATGCTGCACACAGCTTGGGGACTCTGGGCCTGGCCCATGAAACCATTTTTTCCTCCTAGGCCTATGGACCTGTGATAGGAGGGGGCTGCTGTGAAGAACTCTGACATGCCCTGGAGGCCTTTTCCCTATGGTCTTTGGGATTATCATTTGGCTCCTCATTACTTATGCAAATTTCTGCAGCCAGCTTGAATTTCTCCTCAGAAAATGGGGTTTTCTTTTCTGTCTTATTGTCGGGCTACAAATTTTCCAAACTTTTATGCTCTGTTTCCCTTTTAAAACTGAATGCTTTTAACAGCACCCAAGCCACCTCTGGAATGCTTTGCTGCTTAGAAATTTCTTCCATCAGATACCCTAAATCATGTCTCTCAAGTTCAAAGTTCCACAAATCTCTAGGCCAGGGTCAAAATGCTGCCAGTCTCTTTGCTAAAACGTAACAACAGTCACCTTTGCTCCAGTTCCCAACAATTTTCTCATCTCCATCTGAGATCGCTTCAGCCTGGATCTTATTGTCCATATCACTATCAGCATTTTGGGGAAGCCATTCAACAAGTCTCTAGGAAGTTCCAAACTTTCCCACATTTTCCTGTCTTCTGAGCCATTCAAACTGTTCCAACCTCTGCCTATTACCCAGTTCCAAAGTCACTTCCACATTTTCAGGTATCTTCTCAGCAGTGCCCCACTCTACTCATACCAATTTACTGTATTAGTTCATTTTCATGCTGCTGATAAAGACATACATGAGACTTGGCAATTTACAAAAGAAAGAAGCTTAATTGGAGTTACAGTTCCATGTGGTTGGGGAAGCCTCACAATCATGGCAGAAGGCAAGGAGGAGCAAGTCACATCTTACATGGATGGCAGCAGGCAAAGAGAGAATGAGGAAGATGCAAAACCAGAAACCCCTGATAAAACCATCAAATCTCGTGAGACTTATTCACTACCATGAGAACAGTATGGTGGAAGCCATCCCCATGATTCAATTATCTCCCACTGGATCCCTCCCACAACATGTGGGAATTATGGGAATACAATTCAAGATCAGATTTGGGTGGGGACACAGAGCCAAACCATATCAACAAATAAGAAAGCCAGCATCTTGTGGAGACACGGTATCACAACTGCAGGGTTTCTGCTATGCAAATACAAATACTGATGAAAATAATACTGCTGCCCTTCTGCAAAACAATGGCTGAGTTGCCACAGCCAGGAAGAACATTTCCCACTGAGACAGACCAAAATATCTAGCAAACCAGTATAATCTGAGCAGACCATCTGAGAGAACACATTGAGAAAGTTTTGACAGATAACTCAGATGCCAGGGCTGAATGGGACAAAAGCTGAAAACCCAAACATGGTTGCCAAGTGCTAGGACATGTTCCAGACTCTGAAAAGTTCCTCAGGAAGGGGTGGCTCTGACCTGTGTAAGCTGCCGGACTTGGAGAGAGCAGGGCTATCTTTGCCATGGAACTGGGCTGAGTCTGATCTGTATACCCTGCTGTCTGTTATCCCCTTTCAGATTTTCTGCCTGAACATGCTTGTACACAATGCTGTCTCAGCTGCCCACCCAACCCCCTAGAGTGCTTTTGTCAGTGCTCATCACCATAGTGCTTTCACCAGAGCCCCAGTCATAACACTGAAGTGTTTTTACTGGCAGCTTCCCAGCAGAAAGTGTTTGCCTGTGATGCTGTCATTGTCCCTTTGAAGTGCCTTTGCCCACTGTTCCCCCAGATCCCCTCTGGAGCACTTTCCATCTTTTCCACCCCTGCCATCCCCACCAGAGCACTTTTCATCTGTGATGTATCCTATGGAGTACTTCCTGCCTGTGGCACCCCTACCAGAGTGCCTCCCAGCTACGGCACCCCAGCAGCCTTCCCTTGAGCAGTTGTGCCCACAGCTTCCCTGCCAGGCCTGATGGAGTCCTGTTGTCAGTGGTCTGGAAGCACCTTGGTCCTGCCAGCCCAGGTGGGGCTTGACCTTGAAGAACCAGAGGACAGAGCTGCAGACCTGGTCCCAGCCACCCAGGATTACAGCATGAAGCCCAGGAGTGTGGAGCTGAGCCTGGGCCCTCAGAAATAATCCAGAAATGAAGTCATTCAACTATACATGAATTGTGTGCCACAGTCAAATCCTCAAGGGCAATAAAGGTCATAAAAAGAAAAAGCTCCATTCAAAGAACAACAAATTCAAAAGAAAAAGGAACATTAATTGTCACAGGTGAGAAAGAACCAGCACAAGAACTCTCGTAACATTAAAAGTCAGAGTATTTTATTACCTTCAAATAATCACACTAAATTCCTAACAATGGTTGTTAACTAGATTGAAATAACTGAAATGTAAGACAGAATTCAGAACTGGATGGCAAGAAAGTTCATCAAGATATAAGAATTGATTGAAACCCAATCCAAGGAAAACAGTAAGATCATCCAGCAGTTGAGAGACAATATAAACATTTTAATAAAGAACCTAACTGACCTTCTTGAAATGAAAACTTTATGACAGGAATTTCAAAACATAATGGAAAGCATTAACAACAGAATGGACTAAGCTGAGGAAAGAATCTCAGAGCTTGAAGCCCACTCTTTAGAAGCAACACAGGCAGACAGAAATAAAGCAAATACAAATTTTTAAAAATGAACAAAATCTCAGAGAAATACGGGATTATGTCAGGAGACTAAATCTACAACATATTG
This sequence comes from Homo sapiens, assembly GCF_000001405.40. Lineage (NCBI taxonomy): Eukaryota > Metazoa > Chordata > Mammalia > Primates > Hominidae > Homo > Homo sapiens. The sequence goes on from NC_000003.12 coordinate 144,370,461, forward strand.
CCATTCCTGAAAGAGAAGGAGAGAGAGCATGCAACTAGGATAACATATTTCAGGATACGGTTCACAAAATTTTTTCCAATCTTGCTACAGAGGCCACATGCAAATTCAAGAAATTCAGAAAACCCCTGTGAGATACTATGCATGACGATCATCCCCAAGACACGTAGTCGTCAGATTCTCCAAGGTCAGCATGAAAGAAAAAATCTTAAAGACAGCTAGAGAGAAGGGGCAGATCACTTACAATGGGAACTCCATCAGGCTAACACCAGACCTGTCAGCAGAAACTGTACAAACCAGAAGAGTTTGGAGGCCTATTATCAACATCCTTAAAAAAAGAAATTTCAACCAGGAATTCCATATATCGCCAAACTAAACTTTGTAAGACAAGGGAAAATGAAATTCTTTTAGGATAAGCAAATGCTGAAGGAATTTGTTACCAATAAACCTACCTTACAAGAGATTCTGAACGAAGTGCTAAACATATAAATGGAAGAAGGATACCTGCCACAACAAAAACAAACTGCAGCACATACCACATTGACACTGTAAAGCAACTATACAATCAAGTCTACATAACAACCAGCTAATTACACAATGACAGAATCAAATCCTCATATATCAATATTGACCCTGAAAGTCATTGGGTTAAATGCTCCACTTAAAAGGCATAGAGTTGAAAGTTTAATAAAGAAGCAAGGTCCAAGTATTTTCTGTCTTTAAGAGACCATCTCATAAGTAACGACACCCATTGGCTCAAAGTAAAGGGATGGAGAAAGATCTATCAAGCAAACAGAAAACAGAAAAGGACAGAAGTTGCCATTCTTATATTAGATAAAACAGACTTTAAACTAACAATGATTAAAAAGGACAAAGAAAGGCATTACATCAACCAACAGGCTGACTTAACTATTCTAAATATATATAAACACCCAACATTGGAGCACCCAGATTTATAAAACTAGTTCTTAGAGATCTGTGAAGGACTGAGATAACCACACAATATTACTGGAGGACTTAAACACCTCACTGAAAGCATTAGACAGATCACTGAGGCAGAATACTAACAAAAATATTCTGTATTTAAACTCAGCACTTGTACAATTGGACCTAATAGACATCTACAGAAAAATTCAACAACAACAGAATATATATTCTTAACTGCAAGTGACACATACTCTAAGATCATTAACATGCTTGGCCATAAAGCAAGTCTCAAAAAATTTAAAAAAATCAAAATCGTACCAAATACACTCATGGACCACAGTGCAGTAAAAATAGAAATAAGTACCAAGAAAATCCATCAAAACCATACAATAATGTGGAAGTTGAACAAGCTACTTCTGAATGACTTTTGGATAAAGAATGAAATTAAGAAAGACATCAAACAATTCTTTGAAACTAATGAAAACAGAGACACAATATACCAGAATCTTTGGGACACAATGAAACCAGTGTTAAAAGGAAAGTTTATAGTGCTAAATACCCACATCAAGAAGTTAGAAAGATCTCAAATTAACAGCCTAATGTCACACCTAGAGAAACTAGCAGAACAAAAGCAAACCAACCTCTAGGTTAGCAGAAGAAAATAAAAAAATATTGGCCTGAAGTCTTCTTTTTTTGTTGTATCTCTGCCAGATTTTGGTGTCAGGATTATGCTGGCCTCATAAAATGAATCAGTGGAGAGTCCCTCTTTTTCATTTTTTGGAATAGTTTCAGTAGAAATGGTACCAGCTCTTCTTTGTACCTCTGGTAGAATTCAGCTGTAAATCTGTCTGTTTCTGGGCTTTTTTTGGTTGGTAGTTATTTATTAGTGCCTTAATTTTGGAAGTTATTATTGGACTATTCAGAGATTCAATTTCTTCCTGGTTCAGTCTTGGAATGTGTATGTGCCCAGAAATTTATCCATTTCTTCTAGATTTTGTAGTTTATGTGCATAGATGTGTTTATAGTATTCTCTGATGGTTGTTTGTATTTCTGTGGGGTCAGTGGTGATATCCCCCTTATTTCTGATTTTGTCTATTTGATTCTTCTCTCTTTTTTTATTAGTCTAGTTAGCAGTCTATCTGTTTTATTATTTTTTTTTTCAAAAAAAAGACAGCCTCTAGATTTGCTTATTATTATTATTATTTGAAGAGCTTTTTGTGTCTCTATCTCCTTCAGTTCAGCTCTGATCTTGGTTATTTCTTGTCTTCTGCTAGCTTTGGGGTTAGTTTGCTCCTGGTTCTTTGGTTCTTTTAGTTGTGTTGTTAGGTTGTTAATTTGAGATGTTTTTCAGCTTTTTAACGTGGGCATTTAGTGCTATAAATTTCCCTCTTAACACAGCTTTACCTATGTCCCAGAGATTCTGGTACATTTTCTCTTTGTTCTCAGTAGTTTCAAAGAACTTCTTGATTTCTGCCTCGCTTTCATTATTTACCCCTGAGTCACTCAAGAACACGTCATTCAATTTCCATGTAGTTGTGTCTTTTGAGTGAATTTCTTAGTCTTGAGTTCTAATTTGATTGTGCTCTGATCTGAGAGACTGTTGGTTATGATCTCAGTTATTTTGCATTTGCTGAGGAGTATTTTACTTCCAATTATGTGATAAGTTTTGGAGTAATTGCCATCTGATCTTACACAAACCTAACAAAAACAAGCAATGGAAAAAGGATTCCCTATTTAATAAATGGTGCTTGGAGAACTGGCTGGCCATATGCAGAAAATTGAAACTGGACCCCTTCCTTACACCTTATACAAAATTAACTCCAGATGAATTAAAGACTTAAATGTAAAACCCAAAACTATAAAAACCCTAGAAGAAAATCTAGGCAGTGCCATTCAGGACATAGGCACAGGCAAAGATTTCATGACGAAAATGCCAAAAGCAATTATAACAAAAGAAAAAATTGATATATGGGATCTAATTAAACTAATGAGTTCCTGCACAGCCAAATAAACTATCATCACAGTGAACAGACAACTTACAGAATGGGAGAAAAGTTTTACAATCCATCCATCTGACAAAGGTCTAATGTCTAGTCTACAAGGAACTTAAAGAAATGTAGAAGAAACAAACAACTCCATTAAAAAGTGAGTAAAAAATGTAAACAGACATTCTCAAAAAAAAAAAAAAAAGACAATCATGCGGTCAACAAACATACAAAAAAGAGCTCAACATCACTGATCATTAGACATATGCAAATCAAAACCACAATGAGATTATCATGCCAGTCAGAATAGTGATTATTAAAAAGTCCAGAAACAACAGACACTGACGAAGTTGCAGAGAAAAAGAAACACTTTTACATGTTTGCAGGAGTGTAAGTTAGTTCCACCATTGTGGAAGAGAGTGTGGTCAGTCCTCAAAGATCTAGAGGCAGAAATTCCATTTAACCCAGCAGTCCCATTACTGGGCATATACCCAAAGGAATATAAATTATTCTACTGTAAATATACATGCATGTGTATGTTCATCGCAGCACTATTCACAATAGCAAAGACATGGAATCAACCCAGATGCCCATTAATGATATATTGGATAAATAAAATGTGGTACATATACACCATGGAATACTATGCAGCCATATAATGATTGAGATCATGTCCTTTGCAGCAACATGAATGGAGTTGGAGGCTATTATCCTAAGCAAATTAACACAAGGACAAACAAACAAATGCCATGTTTTCTCAATTATAAGTGGGAGCTAAAGATTGAATACACATGGACATGAAGATGGGAACAATTGATGGTAGGGACTGCTTGATATAGAAGGGTGGGAGGGAGGCATGGGTTAGAAGGCTACCTATCAGGTACTATGCTCGCTGCCTTCGTGATGGGATCATTCATACACCAAGTCTCGGTGACACGCAATTTATGCAAGTAACAAACCTGCACAAGTATCCCTTGAACCTAAAATGAAAGTTAAAGAAAAAGGAAAAAAAAAAGAACCCTTTAGGTGGAAGGCAGGGCTGTTTGCCAAATATTAAAGAATTACCGATAGATTCCAATGAGAATCACACTTTCTTTTATGCTATTGCATGACACAAAATATAAAAGTAAGTAAATTTAAAATACTTATCACTGTTTTATATTTATTTAAGTATTCTTATTTACAGTACAGTGCTCAAGAAACATTATTTGTATATGATTTATTTTGAAAGAAAGTGTTTACAGAATACCTTATATAAATTAAAATAATTTTATTGAAATTTTTAGCTAACTGAAGAATTGTATGTTTTTGCAATGAGATAAAAGGCCAATAACAAATGTTAAACATAGTTCAAATGATATTAAACTGCATGTTCCTACAAATGAGCCATGGGACTTTCTTACAGAGACTTCTCTATTCTCTTAGCATATTTCCTCTTTTATCTCTAGCTGGGGGCAGAGTGAGGTCTCTTCTTGCTGGTCTCCTTGCTCTTTTCTCCGGAGAACTCACCTATGCTCTTTCAACATCATCATTTTTACTTCCTAGATGCCATTCTCTTGTTCTGTTTCTTATCTTCTTCCAAGTTAATAACCTTCCATGCACTCAGTGCTTTTATGGCCTTTCCAGCTGGAGATTATTTTGTACTACAGACCACCCAACACCTCCAAAGCAGAACCCAATCTCTGATGCCTGCAGATCAATTTCCCTCCTGAGGCTTCTCTTTCATGGATTCAGTGGATTCAACCTATACCTCATGGGGTTCTCGGACTCCTCTTCTTATAGAGTTATTAAAGACAGGTAACATGTGCTGAGTATTTACTAAGTGACACTCTATGCTCAACATTTCACAGGCATGATATAATCCACTTCTCACACCAACACTATGCACCTGCTGCTGTGAATAACCCTATTTTATGGGTGAAGAAACTGAAGTGTGAAGTGGATAAACAACTTCTTCTGGTCAGACAGTTAATAAGTGACAAAATGGAAACACAAAACTAGATTTTTTTTCAGACTCTAAAGCTACTGAGTATGTGTTGTTAACTACTCTGCCCAAAGGATTCTTTACCACATGACTGGTCATTTATCAAGCTGTATTAGGGTTGTTTAGATATTTCAGGTCCAGTTCTGCCAAGTCCCACTCCCTTAGTTCCAGTTCAGGTCTTTAAACATCAAACAGGAATAAACATAACATCCTTGCTTCTATCTGCCTTACTTATACAATGATTCTTCTCTTTGATGCTTTCAACATATTGACGCCTAAATAATTATTTTAAATTATCACTTTTATTTTCAATATCTCAGCTATTTTTAAAAATTTTTGTGTCCCGTATAGGCTAAGTCTCAGATAACCTGCTACGTCTTCTGCCCCAATTTCTATGCACAGTCTCCATCTACAAAATTCCTTCTGCAAATTTTTTTCGTGTTGTGACTGCATGATCCCCAAATTTCAGTCTTCTCTTTGGCAGATACTAAGTGGATGGGCATCTTATCCAAGGATATCCAATCTACAGGTGGCTCTATCTAAAGAGTGACTTACCAAACCCAACTTCTCTCTCAGAAATTTGGCCATGTAAGAAAAGCCAACTCAGAGCAGGAAAGAGTAGCAGTAGAGATAGTCACAAAAATATTAATCAGAGCATGGCAATTGCTGGAGTTATGAGAAGGAAGCACATTTAACTCTTGTTACTGAGTCTATGATATAGTACTCTTGTTTCCTCAGAGCCCTGGGGCCTGAACCATACTCAGGTATGATAATCTGGTCACTGTGAGGCCAGGTCAACTTCAGTTTGTTTTGTTTTTTCTTTTTTGATGCTTCCTGGGTTATTTGGAGATCTTGCCATGCATTATCTTCATTTCTATGTTTACTCTGAAAAAACATACAGACAACAAAAGACAACTATGTTAGTTGAAGAATTTGAGTAAGGTTGTGTTTTTTTCCCTGAAAGATCACAACACAAGATCTTTGCTTTTTATTGCATTAATTCATATAATAATAATACAAGCTGAAAATCTGAAAAGCTTGGGTCTAGAACTGTACTGAATTTTCGATATTGTTAGATTTTGGAATATTTGCATATGCATAATGAGATATATTGGGGAGAAGATTAAAACCTAAACCACCAATTTATTTATACTTCAGATATACCATATACACGTAGCCAGAAGGTAATTTTATGTAATATTTTAAGTAATTTTGTGCATGAAACAAAGTTTGCGTGCATTGAACCATCAGAAAGTAAAGGCGTCACTGCCTCAGCCAGCCACAGGAACAATATCTGATTGTTTGGCCGCACCATCATTCCTGACTGTGAAATTATATGCTACCAATAAGCAATTATTTTCTCATACTTATTCACACATGAATACTTAACAGTAAAAATATATATATAATGTACCATTAATACAGTGAAAAAACAATGTGTTCGGGGTAACTAAGCAACACAGTCACCTCACCAGAATACCTATAGAAGCTCTTAAACAACATCAACAAACAATGGGAAGATTTTATTTTTTTTCTATTATGCTGTATTTTGATTAAAAGGTTAATATACACTGCATTTTATTTTTCTTTGGTGAAAACATACTATCAGAAGCAGTTGAGGAACCAGGAAATGGGTTCTCTAGGGATGAGAAAGCATTCTGCTTGATGGCTCTTGAAAATGTTTTCTCTACGCTCATTTGCTTCATTAACAATGGGTTTTTGTCTTAGAAGTTACTCTTTGGGCCCCGCGCGGTGGCTCACGCCTGTAATCCCAACACTTTGGGAGGCCAAGGCGGGTGGATCATGAGGTGAGGAGATTGGGACCATCCTGGCTAACACAGTGAAACCCCGTCTCTACTAAAAAAAATACAAAAAATTAGGCCGGCGAGGTTGCAGGCGCCTGTAGTCCCAGGTACTCGGGAGGCTGAGGCAGGAGAATGGAGTGAACCCGGGAGGCGGAGCTTGCAGTGAGCCGAGATCGCGCCACTGCACTCCAGCCTGGACGACAGAGCGAGACTCCGTCTCAAAAAAAAAAAAAGTTACTCTCTGATTTTCTAGACTGACAATTTCTTCTTCTCTTATGAGTGCATACTGTTCTAATCCTTTAATTAGCCCATCACATCCCACATTTTCACCATATCATAATCAGCACCACTTTTTCTGTAGAGTTAACATCCTCCTCATCATCACTGGTATCATGATCACCTTGATTCAGAACCATTTTGTCTATTTTCCCATTAGTCAATGAGTAAAAACCTGGAGCCTCATTATGTAGGTTAAAAGCTTTTTTGATATTCACTTCTTTCAGCTTACTAATGGATTTTGAAGATACTCATTTTGCATATATAAGAAGGTCAGACATCAATTTTTTTTTCTCACTTGACATATGGAATCCTTCAAAGCCACGACCATGTTCATCATTATCATGGAACATAGTCATATCACAGGCAAGAGGTTGTGTCAGGCACTCACAAATATGTCTTTGGTCACTGTGTTCCAAGCATTGGCAACAGCATATGTGGCATCTTTCATGCTAACTTCCTTTTGAAAACCTTCCACACTCATGCCTCTGTTCATTGTTGCTAGCATGCTATTCAAGAAAATGTTTGTATATTAGTCTTCATTGATCGAAAGATACTCTGTTAAAGTGGCTGAATTAATGAAGTTACTTTTGGGGGAAAGTATGTAGCATAAACATTATTTTCTATGAGAATTTCAGCTGGAGGATGAGCAGAACTGTTGCCACGGAAAAACAAAATCTTGCTGTTATTATGTAGCTCAGCTTCCCTGCAGTGAGTGTAAGCCACTTGTACAAAATATTGGTGAAATAAATCTGAAAATATGCTCCTGGTGGTCCATGCCTTTTTGGTAGTATAATAGTGAACTTAAGTAACTCCTTGAAAACAGCAAGGATGGAAGCTTTTGTCTATCACAGAAAGTTTACATTTATGTGTGCCTGCTGCATTAGCACATCCCAGTACAGCTTATCCTGTTCTTGGCATCCTTAATACTTAGGGGCTGTCTCATGAACTGCCATCATTGTCTTTCCATGGCAGTTACACCACAATTAGCACCGTTCCTGGCATGTTGTTTCATCAGCATTATAGAATTGTTCCGGCTTCAGATTTTTATCAGTGATAACCTTGGCAAACTTGTCAATAAATTTCTTTGCTGCTTTATGATTAGTGGATGCTTTATCACAACAACTCTTCAAAAATTTAATATCATGTCTTTTCTTAAATGTTCACCATAAGCTTCTTAAATACTAACAGTTCCCTTCAATGTTCAGTTCATTGTGATAAATCTTTACTTGGTTCTTGATCAATGTACCATTAAGTGGCGTGTGTTCATTACAATGCTAATGGATTCACTATTTCAATACATAATCAAGATCTTCTTTTTTAGTTTTATGCAGTCTTTCTCTACATTACCTTCTGTTCATCACTTTCAACATAGAACTTCAACAATGTATTCTTCTGTTTCTTCAGGTCATATATGCTGTCATTCCAACAGCATACTCTTCATAAGACATTTCGTACTCACACTGCTGTCTGATTTCTCAGACAGCAGAAACCAGCAGTGTCTGGTTTCTCAGGCAGCAGTGTGAGCATAACACATCCTGACTTTCTGTGTTACAGACAAATATAAATGTTTGCTCTTTTTCTTATTGCTGGTACCCACAGGGATACCTTCAGGTCTTTTTGACATTTCCAACACTATTTCTATACCACGAAGCAGAGAATAAACAACAACAACAACAAAAACACAGAAATAGCTTGGATCCATGTGGAGCATCATGGGAAACTTGCTGTTGGTGCGTCCAACATGCACCTGTGCCATTTTTTACCCTTTGTGGGCATGCTTGTGTGGGAGAATCTGGGCATACAGAGCAAAGAAATATCACAACTGAAGGAATCTGGGAAGTATTTTTTCTCTTGAAGATGTGGAGTGTATTAGTCAGGGTTCTCAAGAGGGACAGAACTAGTAGGATAGATGTATATATGAAGAGGAGTTTATTAAGGAGTATTGACTCACATGGTCACAAGGTGAGGTCCCACAATATGCCGTCTGCAACCTGAGGAGCAAGGATGCCAGTCCGAGTCCCAAAACTGAAGAACTTGGAGTCTGATGTTTGAGGGCAGGAAGCATCCAGCATGGGAGAAAGATGTAGGCCGGAAGACTAAACCAGTCTAGTCTTTTCATATTTTTCTGCCTGCTTTTATTCTGGCCATGCTGGCAGCTGATTAGATGGTGCCCACCCAGATTGAGGGTGGGTCTGCCTTTCCCAGTCCACTGACTCAAATGTTAATCTCCTTTGGCAACACCCTCACAGACACACCCAGGAACAATAATTTGCATCCTTCAATCCAATCAAGTTGACACTCCATATTAACCATCATATGAAGTAAACAGTGTTTTGTGCATTTTAACCATGACATGTCACATGAGGTCAGACATAAAATTTTCCACTTATGGCATCATGTCAGCTCTCAAAAAGTTTTAGATTTTGAAGAATTTTGGATTTTAGAATTTTTGATTAGGGATGCTTTACCTATAATAACTACTGACAATGACTACTAGTACCCCACCTATCAGGAACTGTGCTAAGTTCAAATATGTTGTCTCATTTAGTTCTCACAGTCTTTTCAAGTAGGTTGCATTAACCTTCAATAACAGATAAGGTAACGGAGGCACAATAAGATGCATTAATCAGCCCAAAACCATACACCTAGTGAACGGCAAAGCAAGGACTTAAGATCAGGTCTGTGTGATTCCAGAACCCACATCTCTGTGATGTTCTACCAATTCTTTACCTGATTTTAAGGACTCTACAATTTTCTGACATAGAACTTTCTGACTTATTATTCTGTTTTTATGAAACTGGCATTCTTGTTGTTTCACTGAAATTTAGTTTTATTTTATTCACTGTTGTTTTGTTTTGTGTTTTTTTAAGGAGATTTTGTTCCTTGAGACTAGATTACCTTTTGACTTCATCTAATTAAACCCTAACATTCCTTTAAGATTCAGCTCAATCCTTAATTATCTTTAAAATTCCTTTTTCCACCCCACTTATTCCACAGCAAGAACACACAATGTTACATTATTTAATCTCTCTTTCCACTGATTAACATTGCTTCATATAATAAGTTTTTTCTCCCTATAAGGCTAATTTGGTGTCTGGAATCATGTTTTATTTTTTATCACTATGAAATCACCTTTATAAGTTGAAGTCATGGTAGACTTTACCACATCACATATTTAATTTTTGTTTGATTAAAATTTATTTTAAATTTATTTATTATCAATATGTTAAATTTAAATTAATTAAGTACTATGTGTAAAATATATAATGTGTTTCATTTTACACTGAGAGATTTTTAGAATAAAGTACAACTTCGATCAATCTTAAAGTCATTTTAGTCACTTGACAAATAATTTTTCTTTATTTGCGGATTCAAACAATGTATGTCAGTTTAGTTTTATTTCTATGCTAGTTAAAATAGAAAAGATGATATTAAATGTCTCCGTTTTTGTTGCTCAGCTCTCATTCTGTCTGTCCTCCTGGTAACAAACTCACAGCTTTATTTAGCGAACAACACTCCTTTATTCTTAGTCCATAGAGTTCAGTGCAGAAATCACCCCTTTTGGCTCCTGGCCCTTTGGAACTGCATTGCTTTGTTTACTTTCACTCAGGAATAACAGGAATCCAATCTAAACAAATAAAATTCAAGGAGATCTTTTTCTGGAACTATTGAAAGAAAGGCATGACTCTTCTCTCCTGAACACGTTAGTAATCAGGAAGATGTGGGCCTGGGACTACTCGAGACAATAAGAGGAGCCTGAGAATAAACCCAATGGAGAAATAAGCAGAGATGGAGAGAAACCAAGTTTAGATGGCATTGAACAAGTCCTTGGATCAAACTGTACCACAACCTGCTCTCTTCTCTACAGACACCTGAGCCAATAGGTTTCCTTTTTTGGCATAAGCCCGTCTAAATTGAGATTTCTGTCATGTAAAATCACAGGAGTTCTAATCAATTTACCTTCTTTTACCAAATAAGAAATTACATTTTTCATTGTCCATCTCTTCCAAAAGAAACAGATAAACTCCATACATCCCACTTTCTCTATACTATGTGGTTAGCCACTGTTTGCCCCCATTGTACCAATACCAAGCGTAGTATAACTTTCATTATAAAAAGGAAAGGTCTGATAATAGGTAAAATAGACAAATAGCAAACTCTGATACTGCTAAGTATATATGCATCTTAAAGAATGTGCATTTTCTGTTATTTAAACCAGATCTCTATATTTTTTTTCTCCTATTCTTGTGCTTTGTGTTGGTATAGGAGGGTGGTATCTGCCCTAGTTTATAGGAATGTGAAGGTGAAGAGGCTTGCTAATTCACCTGAAGTTAACAGGAATGTATAGGCATGACTCTATACATAAGACATGACCTACATATTTCTAGACTGACTGGATAAGTCTTCAGGGCAAACAATCCCAAATTAAGCAATACACATCAATTGAGTTTTGAAATAGAAACGTCTCTAATTTCTCGTCATAAAAAAGTTAAAAGATTTCTAGCTCAAATGTCTTGCTATTTCATTTGGAAGTAAGCTGACACAGTAGTCCTTCTCACACAGACGTATTATCGACATGCATTACACTAGAATATTTATTAGCAGCATTCATTCAGCTGTAAATCACTGGGGAGGTCCAGGATTAGCAAGATATTAATGTTTAACAGTACAAGATTACCATTAATTTTATCTTTCCAAGTATTACAGTTTATAAAGACAGCCACATAATTTCAGTTTAAATGTCCCTTAAGTCATCATTTTATTATAACTGAATCTTGCTGTTAATCGAGACTTTATAGAAAAAAAATCAGAATTACAAAAGCCGTAGTCAGCTGTGATTATGTTGAATACTATGCCACTCAGGAAGTACTTTGGACTTGGTATTCTTATGGCAAGATCTAGACTGCTATAGATTAAATGCTTAGGTTCCTCCAAATTTTTATATTGAAAACCCTAATCCTGGCTGGGTGCGGTGGCTCATGCCTGTAATCCCAGCACTCTGGGAGACTGAGGTGAGCAGATAACCTGAGTTCAAGTGTTCAAGACTGGCCTGGCCAAAATGATGAAACCCCGCCTCTACTAAAAATACAAAAATTAGCCAGTCACGATGGCACGCACTTTTAGTTCCAGCTGCTTGGGAGGCTGAGGCACGAGAATTGCTTGAATCCAGGAGGCAGAAGTTGCAGTGAGAAGAGATCATGCCACTGCACTCCAACCTAGGTGACAGACGCGACAGAGTGAGACCCCGCCAAAAAAAAAAAAAAAAAAAAAAAAAAAGAAAACCCTAATTTGGAGGTTGGGACTTTGGAAGGTAATTAGAGTTAGACGAAGTGATGAGGGTGGAGCTCTCATGTTGGGATTAACGCCCTTATGAAAAGAGGACGAGTCACAAGGTCTCTCTATATGTATCATGTTAGGATACAGTAAGAAGGCAGCCATCTGTAAACTAGGAAGAGGGCCCTCACCATGAACTTGACCATGCTGGCAGCTGATCTCAGACTTCTACCCTTCAAAACTGAGAGAAATAAGCGTTTGCTGTTTAAGCTACCCAATCCATGGTAGTTTGGTATAGCAGCTCAAACTGACTGAGATATAGACCATACAAAGACAAATTATGTATCTATTAGAAGGTTTACAGCTCCAAATAAAAGAATACCCAATTGAAAGTGAATTAAATAAAAATTCTATTATCTGATATAAAAAGAAGTACAGAGTTGGTTGGTTTGGGTTTTAACTTCTGTCAAGGTGTTATTAAGGACCAGGGTGTTTTCCTGTTTTTTCCCTCTTTCATTCTTAGAGCTACAAAATAACCACTGAGCAACATGCATATCCTCACACAACACATACAAGAGCAGAAATAAGTCTTATGTATTGGTTATGAAAATCTTTCCCAGAAGCCTAGCACACCTGTGATGAGTTCCCTTGACCAGCACTGGCTTATACATTTAGTGGAATGCATAAGCTGGAATAATTTTTGGAGAATTTTTGAAGAATCGGATAAGTTCAGTGTCTAGAGAAGGTAGAGAGAAGAGAGAATTTGTATGTGAGCCTCTACTGTCTAAATTTTCAGACTGTCTTGCCATCTGATTGCTTTGCAGACCATGAGAAATAGCAGCTCTTTGCCAAATGAAATAGTATATTAGAATCCCAAGTTAAATAAAGATTGATGGGTTTGTCTTTGAGAAAGGTAGAAAGGAAACTTCCACTCAAATCCTTCTTTTTTTTTTAAGACTTATCTAGAATTTGGATTCTACCTAGACAGTGGGTCTACATGCCAAAGAAACCCTTTCTAGTTTGATCTGTTGTCAATAAATGCATCGTTTTGCATTATAATAGAAACCATCCTCTTAAATAAATGGGCCTGCTTGCTTTCACTGGTTGTTGTTGTAATTTTCCCTTTGGGCCCTGCTGTTGTCAAAGGCCTATGTGTGTTTTATAAATGGAGCTCTAGGCTATTGTGCTATGATAGAAATCTACCTTATTTAAGAATAGGAATTTTTTCTATATTCAAGACAATATAAACATAATTATGTTGTTTGGAATGCCCTATTTCTGACATGCTTCTTATCCTAACAGCTGCTTTGCTTTTAAGCTTAAAAAGCTAATATTCAAGTAAACACACACATACCGACACACTCTAAAACAAAAACAAAACTCTAAAAAATGCCAGACCAAAGCCTGTTTAAATTTATAATATTTAAATATTAATGATAGAGAAATCCCTTTTTCTACATTCATTGCTTAGCATTATTGAAGCATTGCTTCTGCTACTTTTAAATTTTAAATTCAATGCAATTAACATTTACTGAGTTTCTAAAATGTAAAAGTCATTATATTAAGTTCTGTAGGGACACAACTAAATAAATTTGCTTTTTGTAAGAAATTAATCATCCACAAATGATATAGATCAATATGTAAATAACTTTAATGCAAGGTATCAGCCATGTACCTGAAGTTTAAACAATGACTATGGTAACAAGCAGTTAAGCCTCTCTGGCAGGATCTGGGGAGGTTTTGTGAAGGAGTAATCTACAGGTTTGCCTTTTAGGATGGGCAAACAAAGGAAAGTAGGACTCTTGGTACTCCAAATTGTGAGATCTAAACAAGAAGGAATGCATATCATGAGGTAAGAAAATGAGTGTCAGATAGTCGGACTATAAAGTCAAGTTGGACTAAAGCACACAAGGGACCTGAAATATGGAATTGGGCTGGTTTGAAGGCAATACAAAACAGGATGGAAGCAACATTAAGCTACTGAATATTCCTGGCCATAGCCAAGGCACAATCGCTATGCTTTAGAACTCCCATACCTCTGTCTGCAAATCACTAATCTTTGTTGAACACTCTGTTCTAGTCAACAGTCTAAGTGCTGCAATTGTACTGACTCATATTATCCTTACAAAAACCCTATTAATCACTTACTACTATAAACTTACATTAAAAGTCAAGAAATGTAGACAAATAGAGATTCAGAAACTTGTCCAAGTTCTTACAACTTGTCTAAGGTCACACTCTTAATTACTACCTCTGTGGATGAGAAGAAAAATAGTTATTTCTTCTTAATAAACAGTATTTACATATTTTTATTAAAAGAAAAAAGATCATATGTCAAAGTGCATATTTCTTATGTTAAAATTATTTGTCTAATGATTTACTATAGCAAATTTTCAATATAAACTTCAATTCCTGTAATTCCCTCCACAAGAAGAAATCTCATAGAATAGTTAAAAATAGTGCATTAGTTATAAATCTTTCATCTGAAAGAAAAAGCTGGAAGCCATTCAGAATATTACAACATTTACAGTATTTATTATTTAAAACAAAAAGGAAAAGGCTTTATAATATTTGTTTAGTGGATCCATGGAACACTGGAATTGAAAGGGACTGAATTAATTATTACCTAGGCCAGAATTCAATCTGGCTGCCTTCAGATGTTATTTGGCCTGCAAAGTGATTTATTTTCTGCTTCAAATTAATTAAATTTTGTAATTTTTCTGAAAATTGAATAAATTCCATTTTTCTGAAATTGAATTAGTTGGCAATTAAAAAAGAATTAGAAATCCAATCGAAAAATATCAATTTCCAACATCTCATAAAAGATGAAACATGGTGCGATGGTGACCACCCATTCCTATGACAACAATCAACTAGAGCTGAGTAGAGACTGGTTCATTCAGATGGATTCTGTTCTACCTGATTAGTCAAAGATCATGTGTTGGTTTTCCATTAATACATAACCAATTACCATAAATATAATAACTTAAAACAATATCTATTTATTAGCTTACAGTTCCATAGGTCAAAAGTTTATAGTAATTTTTCTCTACTTCATGGGTGGCATCTCTGCTAAGGGTCTCACAGGGCCACAATAAAAATGTCAGTCATGCTGGGCTCTTACCTGAAGACTCTAGGGAAGAATCTGCTTCCGAGCTCACCCAGATTGTTGGCAGAATTCTGTTCCATGTCGTTGTAGAACTGAGGTTCCCATTTCCTAGTTGGCACTAAGTCAGGGATCATTCTCAGTAATTATGGGCCACTCTTAGCTCCTTTCCCTAGGTGCCTTTCATCTTCAGAGCCAACAGTGGAATATCTGTCATGTTAAATCCTTATTTATTTATTTATTTATTTATTTATTTATTTATTTTGAGATGGAGTCTCAAGCTGTCTCACAGGCTGGAGTGCAATGGCACAATCTCAGCTCACTGCAACCTCCGCCTCCCGGGTTCAAGTGATTCTCCTGCCTCAGCCTCCTGAGTAGCTCGGGTTACAGATGCCTGCCACCATGCCAAGCTAATTTTTGTATTTTTAGTAGAGACAGGGTCTCACCATGTTGGCCAGGCTGGTCTCGAACTCCTGACCTCAGATGATCCACCTGCCTAGGCCTCCCAAAGTGCTGGGATTACAGGTGTCAGCCACTATGCCCAGCTGAATCCTTGTATTTTGAATCTCTCTGAATTTCCCTTCTACAACCACCTAGGAAAAACTCTCTGCTTTTAAAGAGCTGATGTGATTAGTTTGGGGGTCATGTGGCTAATCTTAAAAGGACAACTGATTAGTAACCTTCATCTGCCAAATACTTTTGATCATGTAATATAATAAGATTATAGGAGCAACACCAGTGCTGACATTATGGGATGATTTTAGAATTCTGTATACAGTAAACAGCAATGGTCTTCTTGACTATTGTAAATACAAAAGTACCAAATGTACATGAGTATGTAGAGTCATGGAAACTTGTTACTGGAAGGAGATATATTGGTGCTGCTATGCTGTAACGCTATTGAATAGAACATGTGCGTGCATGCTTTGTAACACAAAAATCCCACATCCAGATACATGCTCAATAGAAATGTGCCCTCAATATGCAAACAAGGACTCACAGCAAATGTTCTATGATTGTGTAATATCCCTTATAGAAAATATAGAAAACCCCCCTATAAGGGATCCATTATAGAAAATAATCTCATTTTCTGAATACTGCAATTGACTTATGGACATTGTCAACATTGCAGTCTTTGGCCATCTTTTGAACATTTTTGAGGTCTTCCATTTATAGCTGACTGTATTTGCCTGAAGTGCATTAAGGAAGACCCTTGGAAAAAATTCTATAAATGAGATTTGAGAGTTAACACTATCATATAACAATTGTTTTTATTTATTTATTTTTTTAGGAAGTAGATGATACATTTCAACTTTGGGTATTGTCTATTATCTTAGCTAGGTATGTAAAAGTCTACGTGCTCCTTCCCAGAGGTAGGCTATGTGTTTGCCTAAGGGAGGAGAATATGTACCATCTGTAAGTTCTTTACAGAGAGTCCCTTTGTCTAGAAATTATGTTTGTTTGCTTTATTTCCCCTAAAGAACTGGGGAGACACATGTCTCTTTGTATCTCAAATAAAGACAAAAATAAAATATAATTGGATGCTACTTACAAGCCACTTATTTCAGTTCTGACAGAAGGAAGAATAAGGGTCAGAACACCTGCTCTTCTCTGTTGCTGAAGGGTTGACCTGGCAGTGGCTTGTTTTAGGACATCAGATAATATCCTTATGTGTTTTCTGTCCCCAGCAAGGTACATACTCAGGATCAAGGGCAGTTATGAAGATCAGAAATACCACCTTAGGTGAAAGATTTCAGCAGAAAGGAGAATATGTTGGCATTTTATGTATTAGGAAATAAAAGCAGAAGGAAACCATGAAGCTGTCTCTTGATATCCTAGAAGTTATACCTTATTGCAATTAAAATAAATCATAGGGTAATCTTGGACATATAATATAGATAGCCCTACATTCAGCTGGCCCTAAGACACATATACAGTCTGCTGTTTTTCCTTTTTCTCCTTTTACCTAGTATAAAATTTTCACTTCATAAGTTGTTTTACATCAAGAAAAACATCATTCGCATTTTATTTCTATTTAAACAATATTTGTTTTTCTGCTTTTCTAGAGCTTTTCCCAATTTAACAGACTTCTGTTGAAATTGCTATATATAATTGTACCTATCATTATTACCTTTGATAGTCATTAAAGTTATTAACAAATATTGTTAATTTTTTGTCTTCTCTCCTTCTGGGCACAGGGTAGGATTTTACTTTTCCATCAGTGAATACTTCACTATGTGCCCTTTTCTTTCTATGATGCCATCTGGGAATACAAGCTCCATCAGCCTGGGCCACAGAGTAAGTGAGACAGTTACGTAGAACAGCAGTCCAGCCAACTTACAATAGATGTAGCATAAAAAACATTCCTGTGTTGAGGTTTTTGAGTTTGTTATTGCAGCATATCCCAGCTATCCTGATTTCTTCATGGTCAGAACAGTTTTGAGACTCCTTCAAGCTTGTCAAAATCATTCGTGATTTCAATAGTCTTCACTAGTACATGCAATTTGCATGGACAGAACAGAGTTTTACAATGTTCAAATGTTAGGTTTTTGTTTGTTTTGAGGCAGGGTTTCACTCTGTCACCAAGGCGGGAGTACAGTATCACAATCATGGCTCACTGTAACCTTGACCTCTCTGGACTCAAGAAATCCTCCCACCTCAGCCTCCTGAGTAGCTGGGACCACAGGTGTGCACCACCACACCCAGTTAATTTTTGTATTTTTTGTAGAGACAGAAATTTGTCATATTTCCCAGGCTGGCCTTGAATTCCTGGGCTCAAGCTATCCTTGCGCCTTGGCCCCCAAAGTGGCAGGATTATAGGCATAAACCACCACACCTGGGCAAATATTGGTTTTTTACTGTTCAATTATGTGATACTTCTATTGTGCCAAATATTACATAACTGAACTTTAAGTTTTCTTCAATTTTTTTTCACATAGGAATGAAATTTGACTTTCAATAAAAATAATAATTTTCTACTTCATGAATACTCTTTATGAGTTGGTTGTTTTGGGGAAGACATACCTAGCAGTCTCTCCATCTTTTATGAACTTGTATTCTAAGTTATAATAAACACTAAAGGCACTCCAATTTTATACATGCCCTGTTGACAACATGCACTTATAGTCTGCAAACATATTTTGCTTGTTAATGTGTAACAAACTGACACATGAATTTGAATTGCTCTTGACATTCTTCCCCCCACCATATAAAACATGTTCACAAATCAGCTGATACATTTCAAAGTTTGTTAATGTTTTCATTTAGTGCCAGTTTTAGATTCTGAAAATGGTGTATGATGGTTCTCAGATGAGCTGTAAAATAATACCTACATGGAATTTGGCACACTAGAATGATTAATTTATTATAATTACTTTCACTTTATATAGACAACTGATTGTGGGTTTTGATTGATTAGACTAAAATGCAGATGTAGAACTTTCAATGTCTAAAAGACTTGTTTTTTTTCCCATAATCTATTGGAAAGGCTTGCAAAAGCCAGGAGAAGGCTGCTGCCTGGTTTTCAAGGAGCATATATTATATTGGCGAATTCACAAGAGTCCTTGAAACTGGTAAATAACCATTGAAAATCAGTTGATTTGTTTGTAATAAGCAAATTAACTCTTGCGTGGACCACAATATTGATGGAAGAACCGGCCCATTCTGGGAAAGAACAAACAAAAAGTAGATTTCTTTGTAAACACAGAATAGGGACAGTTTGCTGTATGATTTAAATGTGTAATGGCTTAAAGCTAATCCCAATTATTTTATTTACATAATGATAAAAATACTATTGCCAATTGGCCTTGCATACTAGAAAGCAGTTGACTTAATATTTTCTTTGAATGTTTGCCTTCATGCTTCTCTGTTTGCATAGCTTGTGCTACTACCAACTTTATTTTGATTGATATCTACATTTTAAAAATATGTTCATATCAGGCCTGCATGGTGGCTCACACCTGTAATTCCAGCACTTTTGGAAGCCAAGACAGGCAGATCATGAGGTCAAGAGATTGAGACCATCCAAGCCAACATGGTGAAAACCCATCTCTACTAAAAATACAAAAATTAGCTGGGCATGGTGGCACGCACCTATAGTCCCAACTACTCGGGAAGCTGAGGCAGGAGAATCACAAATGTATATATATATATGTATATATTTGTACAAATATATGTATATATTTGTACAAATATATGTATATATTTGTACAAATATATGTATATATTTGTACAAATATATGTATATATTTGTACAAATATATACATATATTTGTGTATATATTTATATATTTGTATAAATATATATATACACACACATATACACACACACATATATATATATGTGTATATGTGTGTGTGTATATATATATGTTCATGGTTATAATAGGACTTATGGGTCTAAAAAAAACTTCTGTTTGTTTTATGTAACATTGCTTATCTCTGCTTAATCTCCTCTGAGTGGATTTGACAGTGAGACTCCCCCAAGACATTTCCCTTATTTCCAGACTTCTGACTTCCACTTACTGATAATAGTAGGTGTTGCCTGGGTAATAAAGACAATGGTCATATGTTCAATTTTCTTGATAGCTTTTTTTTTTTTTAAATGTAAGCAAATTTCTAACAGTCCCATGAAACACATGCCAATTATAAAAAATCATCCATCTGTGAATATTTGTTTTATGTTTCTTTCATTTTTCCCCTTCATAATTTATTTTCACTTAGCACAGATGCTCTGTGAAGAATTATATGAATTCTTGGGGGTTTTGCAAAGAGGATGCTGTTTGAGGTCTACATCATCAAATGCTCATTGATTCCTGAAAATATCATCATCAACTCAATCAGTAAATGTCACTTAAAAACATACAGATAAGGCAATTTGACTTTGAGTTCCAGAGGAAAATGAACACCTATTAAAAAAATTACTATCTACCATGAATGAAGTATTTTGTTTTTAATCTAGACTTTTTATAAGATTGTCTGTCTTTCTAAGTTGTGATTATTCATTTTTTAAAAATGTGTAGTTTGATTCTAAATGAACACATTACTTTGAGTATGATATAAACTTTTGGAATTTACCAATGTATTATTTGCTTTTCAAATTATTCCTTTCATAACATCTAAAAAGAAGAGAACAAACAATGGTTCCTCCACATTCTTGGAATAGTTTATCTTGCAGAAGCTGTGATGTAATGTTGTACTTCTTTTTTCTTTGGCATTCTGGTATGATTATTCAACATTTTATATATGTTGGGCTTACAAAGAAATTTTTAGATGATCATACTGAGCTCTATATAAGACTTCCATTTTCTTTGAGCTTAAATATTAGGCAAATTCTCTTGTTGATTTTACCCTAAGATTAATATTTCTAAAGGATCCCATCTTTGCAAGGAATTAAAAGGTCAGAACAATAAATCAAATAACTGCTACTAAAGTTAAACATAACACATATTACTTTTCCAGCAATGTAAAAAGGTGGCCTTTTCCAGCTATTCTGATAGATTTATTTGAATGATCTCAAAAATTGATATTGAGGCTAAAATAGAATAATGCAAACATTGAAAATGCTGTATTCAAGACCAGTAGCACTCTGACTCATGTAACATGCATATTTTGAGTTTCTTCACTGTGTAAAGGCCAGAAAAGCAATACAGAACTGATCCCCAATGTACTACAGGTCACCTTGGTAGAGAAGCATGGGATATACAGAAATCAGATGACAAAAAAATCAACATGATAGTTCAATTACAATACAAGTCAAAGAGGGAAAACAACATATTTATATCTTTTATTTTTAGCAAATGAGAGAAACAAATAAAATTTACAGACATCAGAGTAGCAAAGACACTTTTTGAAGGTAGTTACGCTTAGGTAAAAGTCATAGGCTGGCAGCTGTGACTGTCATTATTTAGCTGTATCCTGACAATAGAACCTGCCTTTTATTTAGCATCATTATGGTTTTCTAAGCAGGGTTCCTTCAGTCAGCCAAAAAAGTCACATCTCGTTCAGTGAGTACTAACAAAAAATTTGTTTCTCCCCAGGGCATCTGGTGGGGTATTTCCAAGCTGGGCAGTGAATAACTATTTGTTTCATTGTTTTATAATGAAAGAGACCTTGGAAGCTTGTAATTTTGAGAACATTGAGTGAAGTATGTGTTTTGTTCATTTGTTTGAAGAAATACTATTTCAGGTTATAGGAAAGAGTTGACTGTGTATTTTTTTCATAGGTCACTAAAAAAATTGCTGGATGACAAAGAATAGCTGCCTAACAAGTTACATTTTGACAAAAGTGAATGGTAATAGGATGAAAGGGAAAACTGACGCAATAAGATTCATTAGACTGAGCCATATGAAATTGCTGATATAGACCATATTTAACCTCAAAATTAGCCATTTAAAATTGAGCAACCTAATAATTAGAACTCATTTTGTCTCATTTTTGTCTGAAGCCCTCAAGACTGGTAATAATGCAACAGATATCAATTCTCCCAGAAGTTTCCAAGAAAGGTGTTAGCTCTTTTAACCAGGATGGGCTAAGAGATGGCTAAATTGATTTTGCCTGCAGTGATCACCCACCTTCAACCTTAAAAGCATGGAGAAAGAAAATTAATGGAGAAGGCTTCCTTTAGAGAATGTGGGAGACAGTTGTGCGTTCTTTCTTCCAGGGGCAAGAGGAGAATGGATTCCTATTACACCTTAAGTCAAGTGGAAGGAGTCACAAGGCAGCCCCCATCTCAACCCACCTAGGCTGGAGGGAGCCTTCCTGGAAGCATTTTGAAAGGAAATTAATCCAAAACAATTCTTGGGTGACATAGTCTATCCAGGGCCTGAATTGTTGTGGGATCCAAGTCTTAGAATCAGTCAGGCACCGTGTGCATTACAGGTATATAGTAGGAGGCTGCAGCAAAGGAATCTAAAAGACTCCCATAAAAGCAGATAGTGAAAAAATTAGGTTGGGACATATGCCAGTCTCACAGGACAGGGACATTAATTCACAAGTTATTCAATACTGCTGTTTCTCTTTAATCTCTCTCCTTGAGTCCTATCTTAGAGAGGTCACATACTTGAATCTGTGGCTAATTATACAATGTAAAACACAAAAATAATGACACAGCATAAGCTGGGTTGCCTTGCCTAGGCTAAGGTTCTCTCTCATTACTTCTTGCTTTTGCTGTCACTCTCATTTTTGTTCTTATTTTCCTCTCTCACTATTACTCTTTTATTTTTCTATTTGTTTCTGAGCTACTTACTAGGTCACTGCTTCCTATAGGAAGTTTAGATTCCAAGGCATGGAACGAGATTGCCACTTCTCTGTTCAGGCTATTAGACTTCTACCAGCTCTCCCAGCCTTGCTTAGGTGTCTCCCCTTTCACCCTTACTCTAGGAATTCCTGTTCTCCCACTAAACGACTCACCCCACTCACTACCACTTCTCTTTTCCCCCAAGGGTCCTCTAGGGGAAAAGGAACTACTTATCTTCAGAAAGCTTTATATTGCCCAGGCTTATGTAAAACAAAATACTGATTAATTGTGATGACCTTTAGGAATGGCAGCAAGGGATATCCAGTAAACTTAATAAAGGTAATATTTAGACGGTTTCTCAATGTATGTGGATTCCATATCAGTGCAGTTCCACATAGTAAGCACAAAATATTTTTGCCTTTTCAGATCTGGTGGCAATACCTCACACAAGCCCTTTGACCTTTACTTCTGAATTATTTATTACTGTGACTGATTCTGCACATAATTTTGGATTCAGTCTTTCCCATGGTTCTTAGTTGTCACCGTTGCAACACATCTGAAAATGCTCTATGTTGAATTCTACTAAAAACAGATATAGAAAACACACTCACACACACACAGCAAATTGCCTAAAAATTCAAGAGAATGTGGTCTCATGGCTAAACACCTGGCTTATTGACGGGAAAAAGGCAAGGGAACAACCAACTACTTTTACGAATAAAAGGATTTTAACAGAATATATCTTTAGAACACCACTGCCTAATTTTTCTTCCACTAAATGATAATGCTGTCAACAATTCACTCATGTACATAGAAAAGACTCTTCATGGATGGAGACACCTGCTACTCCA
Source organism: Homo sapiens (assembly GCF_000001405.40). Classification (NCBI taxonomy): domain Eukaryota; kingdom Metazoa; phylum Chordata; class Mammalia; order Primates; family Hominidae; genus Homo; species Homo sapiens. Next base: position 144,393,906 of record NC_000003.12, read on the forward strand.
AGAGCTGAGGGTATCTCTGTCTTGGCACTTCTGTAACCCATTCCCAACACTCAGGTCTGGATGCTATGCCTGAGGGATTATTGCCAGGACTGGATTCATTTAAAGTTTCTATAAGAAACCTGAAAGATGAAGTACCCTGTAAAATCTTCAAGTTCACAGATGACACTAAGCTTCTCTGGGTAATTAAATGTCAAGCTGATAAGAATAAACTGCAGAAAAATCTTTCCTGCTTGTGTGTGAGGTCAGGACACAGAAGATGAACAGCACTATGGGTGTGTGAATGTGGTAGAATAAGAAAAAAAACCATATTTATGTGATGATGACTCTTGAGCATCAGTGATGACACATAATAAGGATTTGTGAGTCATTATTATCTTCTCTTTCTGGAGAGCTCCACCTGAAGTCTATGGTGGCAAACATAGTTGCTATTATTCTGTGAATCATCAGAGATGCTGCTGCAAATGAAGCAGAAACATCAGTAGTAATTCAAATACCCATAGGTGCTATTTTGTTTAATTCTCAAAACAATACTGTAGGATAATTTCTAGTGCATTGTACACATGAGGAAAGTGAGAGTTACGAAGTGATTTATCCTTTCATCAAAGCATAGGACTCTGCAATTAGTTCTGGTTGCCGTACCTAAAGAAATGGAATTGAAAAGTGTTCATAAATGGACACATATAAGTAAGGACAAGAACCAAAGATAGGAGGAGATTTTTAGAAGAGTATATACTTTATCCTTTTTTAAAAAGAAGAAATCCTTGATCTGGAAAAATGATTTGAATACTGAATGCAATATGGCTTGAATAAAGTTCTAGAATTCTAGATTTAATTAGGAAATACCATGATGCTTAAAAATAATGTATTAGTTTGCAAGGGCTGCCTTAACAAAGTACCACAATCTCAGTGGCTTGATCAACAGAAATTTATTGTCTCACAGTTTTAGAGGCTAGAAGTTCTAAGTCAAGGTATCTGTAGGAGTGGTTCCTTTTGAAGGCGATGAGGAAAGGAGATGTTACCTCTTTGAATTACAGAGACACATATTCTCCTTGTGTCTCTTCACGTTTCCCCTCTATACATGTTTGTCTCTGTGTCCAGATTTCTCTTTCCTACAAGGACACCAGTCATACTGAACCAGGGCCCTCCCTAATGACCTTATCTAAACTAATTATATTTGCAATGACCCTATTTCCAAACAAGGCCATTCTGAGGTACTGGGGGTTGGGGCTTCAACATATGAAGTTTGAGGAGACACAATTCAACCCATAACGAATGACAAGAAAGCACAACAGAGTGGGTGATGCATTCATGAAAGTTATCAGTATGAGTAAGAACAAGACCTAAAGGTTTTATATGCAGGTGAAAAATAAAGCATTGAGAGAACAATGAGCCAACAAAGAGATGTGAATGTTAATGGGAGAAGAGTGTGTGTCGGTCTTAGCATTATAATCTTGTAGGGTTGTGGACAACCACAGAGATCACTGTGTTATTGCACAGTCAAGCAATATCTGGTAGAAAGTCTGTGCTCTTCTCTCCTTGCCTAACAACAACAAAACCAATTGATTTAGCCTAATATGATACTTGTATTGAAATTTATTTCTGCCGGTTATTTATGTTTTTATTTTTATTTATTGTTATTTTTGTAGAAATGGGGTCTCCTCGTGTTGCCCAGGTTGGTTTTGAACTGCTGAGCTCAAGCAAACCTCCCGTCTTGGCTTCTCAAAGTGCTGGGGTTAAAGGTGGGAGCTGTCTGCCTGAGCATTATGCCAGTTATTAATATTTTTATCCCAGAGAAAGATTAAACCTCAAATATTTAAAAATGTGGCTCACCACAAAACCTAAATAATCTCAACTCTTCGATTTTATAGTGAAAACTTCAGGCTTGGCTTTCTCTTTCAGATAAAATGAAAGCAAAAACAAGTTTACACTAGATACTTCAGACAAGTTTACACTAGATACTTTAGTAGTGATAGTTTCTAAAATGAGCTTCAATCACACTTCTCCATGAATTTGAAGAAATATTTCAATTAAATTTTATTTTATTCGGGGTGTAATCAGCCCCATACTGCAATGTCACATATTATATATGCTATGATGGCCTGAGAGATGTTTTAAGGTATGTAACATATCAAGGAAATTACAACTAATCTTTACTGTCTATAAGTAAGACATAAAGAGGTAGAGACAAAATAAATTTTTATACGTTTGTTACTGCATCCATCCTCTCCAGATGTACATTTAGTTAAAAATGACCCTGAATTTAGTCTTGATTATAATGATATCTTATGCATAGGCCTGCATTATGACTATTTTATTTAGGTTATTGACCATGAGTTTATGGCTCATAAGATGTCTCCACAATTATTTTCATTTTATGCTAATCTTCTGAGTCCATAGAAAAATACAACTGGTCAATTCCTTCTCTTACCCTTGAGTCTTCTGGCTTGTCTCTAGAATACCAAATGGCTGGGGGTTGATTGACAGCTTTGGCAATGTCAATGCAAACACCAGGCAAATCTAAGTAGTGGCAGAGAATTGATAAATACAGTACTGGTATCCACAGACTTCTTGTCAATGGCTTACCTAAATTGACTTCTGCTTTGTAGAGTGGGAAGAACATTGAAATTGTAGACACCAGTTTGCAATGCCCTTTAAAAGAGAAGTGATTACTTGAGACTAGGCACTGAATGGAATTTGTATTTGGCCTAAAATACATGAATCCCAGAGTGTGAAACAGAGAGAATTGCTGTGGACAAGAAGCAGTGGTACAGACTGCTCTACCAAAGGTCAGGGTAGAAAGGACTTTACCTTCATGTTAAGAGGATAGGAGAGCTTTCTTTTAGATAGTTAAAGGAGGAAATATAAGAATAAGACTTCTTTTTTTAACTTTCCATTTTTTTATTTTTTTGGGTACATAGTAGGTGCATATATTTACAGGGCACATGACATATTTAGATATAGGCAAGCAACGGGTAATAACCACATCATGAAAAATGGGGTATCCATTCCCACAAGCGTGTATCCTTTGTGTTAAAAACAATTCAATTGTACTCTTTTAGTTATTTAAAAATATACAATTCAATTATTATTAACTATAGTTACCACGTGGTGCTATCAAATACTAGGTTTTATTAATTTTTTTCTAACTATTATTTTTGTACCCAGTAGCCATTTCCATCTGCCCCCAAGCCCACTACCTTCTCACTAGTCTTCCCAGCCTCTGGTAACCATCCTTCTACTTTCTATCTCCATGAATTCAACTGTTTAACTCTTTACCTCTCACAAATAAGTGAGAACACATGAAGTTTGTCTTTCCATGCCTGGCTTATTTCAATTAACATAATGACCTCCAGCTCTATCCATGTTGCAAATGGCAGAATCTCATTCTTTTTTATGGCTGAATGGTACTCCATTGTGTATATGTACCACATTATCTTTATCCATTCATCTTTTTTTTTTTTTTTTTCAGATGGAGTCTCACTCTGTCGCCCAGGCTGGAGTGCAGTGGTACAATCTCGGCTCACTGCAAGCTCTGCCTCTTAGGTTCAGCCATTCTCCTGCCTCAGCCTCCTGAGTAGCTGGGATTACGGGCACCCTCCACCACGCCTGGCTAATTTCTTTTTGTATTTTTAGTAGAGATGGGGTTTCACCATGTTAGCCAGGATGGTCTCAATCTCCTGACCTTGTGATCCGCTCGCCTCGGCCTCCAAAAGTGCTGGGATTACAGGCGTGAGCCACCGTGCCTGGCCTATCCATTAATCTTTTGATGGACATTAGGTTGCTTTCAAATCTTGGCCACTGTGAAAAACACAGCAACAAACATAGTATGTCTTCAATATACCAATTTTCTTTCTTTGGGGTATATATCCAACATTGGGATTGCTGGATCATATGGTAACTCTACTTTTAGTTTTTATAAGGAATCTCTTAATTGTTCTCCATAGTGGTTGTACTCATTTACATTTGCACCAACAGGGTATCAGCATTCCCTTTGCTTCACATCATGGTCAGCATTTGTTACTGACTGTCGTTTGGATAAAAGCCATTTTAAATGGGGTGAGATATCTCATTGTTGTTTTCATTTGCATTTCTCTGATAATTAATGATGTTGAGTATCTTTTCTTATGCCTGTTGGCCATTTGTATGTCTTCTTTTGAGAAATGTCCAAACATTTTGCCAATTTTTAATTGGATTATTAGATTTTTTTCCTATTGAGTTGTTTGAGATCCTTATATATTCTATTTATTAATCTCTTGTCAGATGGATAGTTTGCAAATATTTTTTCCTCATTCTGTGGGTTATCTCTTCAGTGTTTTTGTTTCATACTCTGAATAAGCTATTTAACTTGATGTGATCCTGTTTGTCTATTTTTGCTTTGGTTGCCTATGCTTGTGGAGTATTATTCAAGAAATCTTTGCTGAGTCCAGTGTTCTAGAGAGTTTCCTTGATGTTTTCTTGTAGTATCTTCACAGTTTGAGGTCTTAGATTGAAGTTCTTAACACATTTTGATTTGATTTTTATGTATGATGAGACATAGGAGTCTTGTTTCATTGTTCTGCATATGGATATCCCGTTTTCCCAGCATCATTTATTAAAAAGACTGTATTTTCCCCAGTGCATCTTCCTGGCACTTTTGTCAAAAATGAATTCACCATAGGTGTGTAGATTTGTTTCTGGGTTCTGTATTCTGTTCTACTGGTCTATGTTTCTGTTTTTATGCAGTACCATGCAATTTTGGTTACTATGGTTTTGTAGTATAATTTGAAGTCAGGTAATATGATTTTTCCAGTTCTTCTGGCTATGATATCTTTAGCTTCTCTGGGTCTTTTGTGGTTCCCATTTAAATTTTAGCATTATTTTTCCAATTTCTATGAAGAATGTCATGGTATTTTGATGGGGATTGCATTAAATCTGTAAATTGCTTTGAGTAGTATGGACATTTTAACAATATTGATTCTTTAAATTTATGAACATGGAATATCTTTCCATTTCTTGTGTCCTCTTTAATTTCTTTCATGAATATTTTATAGTTTTCATTGTAGAGATCTTTCACTTCTTTGGTTAAGATAATCCTAGGTATTTAATTTTACATATGGCTATTGTAAATAGGATTACTTTTTAAATTTCTTTTTCAGATTGTTCACTGTTGGCATATATTGATTTTGTATCCTGCAAATTTACTGATTTGTTTGTTAGTTCTAATTAGTTTTTTGGTGGAGTCTTTAGATTTTTCTAAATATAAGATTATATCATCTGTAAGCAATGATAATTTGACCACCTCCATTCCAGTTTGGATGCCCTGTATTTCTTTCTCTTATCTGATTTATCTAGCTAGGACTTCCAATACTATGTTGAATGACAGTGGTGAAAGTGGGCATCCTTGTCATGTTCCAGGCCTTAGAGGAAAACTTTTCTGTTTTTCTCCATTCAGTATGATACTAATTATGCTCCTGTCATATATGGTATTTATTTTGTTGAGGTATGTTTCTTCTATAACCATTTTTTTAGGGTTCTGTCATAAAGCAATGCTAAATTTTATCAAATGTTTTTCCAGCATCAACTGAAATAATTGTGTGGGTTTTGTCCTTCATTCTCTTGATGTGATGTATGTATCATGTTGATTGATTTGCATATGTTGAACCATCCTTGCATTCCTGGGATAAATCTCACTTGGTCATGAGGAATGATCCTTTCAATGTATTGTTGCATTCAGTTTGCTAGTATTTTGCTGAGGATTTTTGCATCAATATTCATGAAGTTATTCACCTATAGTTTCCTTTTTTGAGGTGTCTTTTTCTGGTTTCTGTATCAGGGTAACACTGACCTCATAGAATATGTTTATAAGTACTTGTCCTATTTTTTTGGAATAGTTTGAGTAGGATTGTTATTAGTTCTTTAAATGTTTGGTAGAATTTAGCAGTGAAGCCATCAGGTCCCAGGCTTTTCTCTATTGGATGACTGTTTATTATGGTTTTGGTCTCATTACTTGTTATTGGTCTGGTCAGGTTTTGGATTTCTTCCTAGTTCAATATTGGTAGGCTGTGTGTGTCTAGGAATTTATCCATTTCCTCTAGGTTTTCCAATTTATTGGCAATATTAATGGTTTCTCATAGTAGCCTCTGGTAATTCTTTGAATTTCTGCAGTATCAGTTGTAATGTCTTCTTTTTCATCTCTGATTTTATTTATTTTGGTCATCTCTCCCTTTTTTTCTTTGTTAGTCTGGAAAAGAAATCAATTCTGTTTATTTTTACAAAAAAAACCCCAAACTTTTTGTTTCATTAAGCTTTCGTATTATTTTCTTCATTTCAAATTCATTTACTTCCTCTCTAATCTTTATTTTTTCCTCCACTAATTTTGGATTTGGTTTGCTCTTTTCTAGTTCTTTAAGATGAATTATTAGGTTATGTATATGAAGTTTTTCTTCTTTTGTGATGCTGGCAGTTATAGCTATACATTTTTCTCTTAGTACTGCTTTCACTGTATCCCATAGGTTTTGGTATGTTGTGTGTCTATTATCACATGTTTCAAGAAATGTTTCAATGTCTTTTTTTTTTTTTTTTTTTTTTTGGAGATGGAGTCTCTCTCTGTCTCCCAGGCTGGAGTGCAGTGGTGTGATCTTGGCTCTCTGCAACCTCTACCTCCCAGGTTCAAGCAATTTTCCTGCCTCAGCTTCCCAAGTAGCTGGAACTACAGGCATGCACTACCATGCCTGGCTAATTTTTTGTATTTTTAGTAGAGACCTGGTTTCACCATGTTGGCCAGGATGGTCTCGAACTCCTGACCTCAAGTTAGCTGCCTGCCTTGGCCTCCCAGATTGTTGGGATTACAGGTGTGAGCCAACACATTGGGCCTTCAGTTTCCTTCTTAATTTATTTATTGACCTACTGGATATTCAGAAGCATACTTTTCCATTTTTTCCCCCAAAATTTCTGTTATTGATTTCCAGTTCTATTCTATTGTGGTCAGAGAAGGTGCTTGATACTTTTTTCATTTTTTGAATGTCGTAAGACTTGTTTTGTGACCTAAAATATGGTCTATTCTTGAGAATAATTCATGAGCTGAGGAGAAGAATGTGTATATTGCAGCTGTTGGATTAAATGTGTATATATCTATTAGGTCCATTTGTTCTACAGTGTAGATTAAGCTTGATGTTTCTTTGTTGATTGTTTGTCTGGGAGATGTGCCCAATGCTGAAAGTGAAGTGTTGAAGTTTGCAGCTATTATTGTATTGGTGCCTATCTCTCTCTTTAGCTCTAACAACATTTGCTTTATTTATCTGGGTGCTCCAGTGTTGAGGGGATATACATATATTTACAATCATTATATCCTCTTGCTGAACTGACTCCTTTATCATTATATAATGATATATATATCATGATATTTTTATTATACCTTCTTTATCTCTTTTTACATTTTTTGTCTTGAAATCTATTTTATCTGATAAGTATAGCTACTCTCACTCTTTTATGGTTTCCATTGCCATGGAATATCCTTCTCCATCTCATTATTTTCAGTCTGTGTGTATCTTTATAGGAAGAAACACACTTCCAAGAAGTGTGTTATAAAAACAGATCATTAGGTCTTGTTTTTTCTTCCATTCAGCCATTCTGTGTCTTTTTATTGGACAACTCAGTCTATTTACATTTAATGTTATTATTGATAAGTAGAGACATACTCCTGCCATTTTATTATTTATTTTCATCTATCTAGTTGTCTTATCCATATTCAAAGACCCTTGTGATTACACTGACCATGTAAATATCATAGGATAACTTCCTCATTTTAAGTCAACTGATTAGTAAACTTATTTTCATCTGCCACCTTAATTCCCACTTGTCATGCAACTATCATATTCACAGATTATGGGGAGTTGGATGTGGACATCTTTGGAAAGCCATTATTCTGTTCACCACAGTGACTGTCTCTTTCCCCAAGCCTAGAAGTTTTATTCAGGAGAATCTGTATCCACTCTTCTTATCTTTCAAATACCAACATCTTGGTTTTATTTAGTATGACAATTGCCCATCTAATAAAATCCAGTGTCCTATTCTCCATGCCAGTACAGAGGCATAATGTGGCACTCTTCCAGCCAATGAGTTACAAGGGAAACACCATTGAATATTTCTTCCAGAAATTTTGCTTTCCTTGTAATAAGGGTCACCTCTTTCTCTCTGCAGTATTGCTTTAGAGTCTAGATGAAGTATAATCACCTTATGACTGAGAATGATAGGAATGAATACATCAAAATTTCTGCATTAAGGATAAGAAGTAAAAATAAGCAAAGAGCCTTGGTCACTGATGACATTGTTTAGTTGCTGTATTGTATCAATTTAAGGCTTGCCTGTGGTCTCCCTGTACTTGTGAAATAAATACTACATACTTAAGTCATTATAGTAGGATTTTTAGTTGCTGGTTGCCAAATGAAATCTTGCTTACTAGCCTACATGAGAGCAAGAACCTTCTCTATCTTGTTTACCCCTTTGCTTCTGAAGCCCAGGACAGAGGAGAACATACATTAGGTACTTAATTAATGTTGGTTAAAATTCTCTAGAGATGTTCACTTTTGATCTATATTTAAATGATAAGTCAAAATTAACTAGTTTAAGAAAGAAGGGCGTGAAAATCATCTCAAACAAAGAGTACATGTGTGTCCTAATGTGACAGTAAGCTTGTTGTATTCAGGGAACTAACAGAAAATGGTATGGGTGTGAAATAAGCAGGAAAGGGAGTAAGGCTGCTAGATTAGCACGGTGAGATCAGCGGGCAGTGAGATCATGCACTGAAGGTCATGTTATTTTTTTTTTCTAATTATAAGAGCATCGATCAGTGATGGACAAATTTTAGTTGAGGTTATCATATTTGTATGTTTGAAAGCTCATTTAGGATGCCGTGAGAAGAAAGGTGGATGGTTAGTTCAAGAGAGATTAGGAGGATATGAAAATCATCTAAATGAGAGATGATGAGAACCTTATGTGGTATGGTGATCCTGGAAATGGAGAGAAATAGATGGATTGGAGAGACATTAGAAGATGAGACAACAGGACTTGGCATTTGACTAGATGTTGGGGCAGGAGAGGAAAGAGGTTGTGTTAATTCTGGTCTCTGGCAGTATATGCGGGAGGATCTCTGACAGCAATATCCTGGCGTTTCTCTGCTGGAGATAACTTTCTCAGAATTCTTTGTTGAATGTTCCAAGTTAGTAAGTGCAGGGCTATGACATAAACTTGTAAATGTTTCAGAACCCAGGATGAGGTACAAGTGACGATGAGTGGCTAGAGATAAAGCTGCCCAGATACAGGGCTTGGCTGACAGCCAGGGCTATGAAAAGCTTTGTAATCCACCTAACAGAATTTTTTTTTTATTATCTGCTTATTGAGGGCACTGTTTTAGGAGCCGTGTACATGAAGATGAATACCCTGATTTCAATGACCTCAGAATCTAGTGAAGAGTTTCTCACATGATTCATGAATGGGTCACCCACAAGCTGAGCTAGAGACCTGCCCTAGATCTCAGGGCAGCCCAAGCAACCTCTTCAACTTAAACCAGTGTGAGGTGCACATGGAGTGTAATTTCTACATGTATTCTGTGGAAGATTTTGGAGTTCACTAGTCCTGGAGATGAGTTAGACAAATAAATATAATAGTAATAATAACAATATAATGATGTAGTAACAAAATATAAGGTAATAAAAAATATCAAGGAGATAGTTTAGGTGACATTTTAAAAGTAAGTACTCTTCATGAAGCTGGAAGAATTGATACCCGTAGTTTTAGGAGTTTCAAACCTGAAAATTCTTTTAGAGTTTGAACTGTAAGATTCCTCATTTGTTTTTTCTGTACCTAGTTACTTTTCCAGGCAAGATGACATGAGACATTTTCCATCATATTTCATCGGCTGATGAATTTTAAATATACAGTAGTCAGAGAGCAGATGACAATGTAATGATGTGTCTCTGTACCATTTCCCCCTCTGGGTAAGAAGTGAATATGGAGAGGTGATATAGCATCTCATTAAGTTGAACTTGGGCGGTTCCTGAAGTAATATCATGCTCTTTCAATTATTTACTTTCTTCTGCTTCTGCGAGTATAAGCTATAGTTACCTGGGAAGCTTCCAATGCTTTTAAGCAAAAAGTGATCATTTTATATCTCCTAAAACTATGTGTTTGCCTGTGAAATTATTTATCTCCACAGATTTGCTTGTCTATCAAATAGCATTATGTTTTAATTTTTTGTAGATAGGCGCTTTATTAAATCTATATGGTTCTATTGTTTTGCTCTTTGTTTTTAGTTCAAGAATTTGGAAGGTTAAATAAAAGGACTGTTGGTTAAATCCAGCTGTACTGCTCCAGTACAACTGTTCCACGAAATTTCAGTATATTCCAAGGAGTTTTAATTGTGATTTAGAGTTGAATGAAAATAAATAAGAGGATCTTCTGAAATGATTGTAACAACTGAACTTGAAACTTGGCCTAGAAACTCATTTGGTTTATTGAGTCACTAAAGATTATAGTGAATATGAAACTATTTAAAATGTAATTCAGTACACCTCATTACTGCATCAGATTTTGATTGAAATAACACCCAGATATGTTGACCTGTTCTCAAACTCCTTGAAATCTGTGGTGTCAGCCATTGAGAACAATGTCAAACTCCGTCACTACCTTTTTCTTTCTTTCTTTGTTTTTTGTTTGTTTGTTTTTGAGACGGAGTCTCGCTGTGTCGTCCAGGCTGGAGTGCATTGGTGCGATCTCGGCTTACTGCAACCTCCGCCTCCGGGGATCTAGCAATTCTCCTCCCTCAGCCTCCCGAGTAGCTGGGACTACAAGCGCACGCCGCCACGCCCGGCTAATTTTTTTGTATTTTAGTAGAGACGGGGTTTCACCGTGTTGTCCAGGCAGATCTCCAACTCCTGAGCTTAGGCAGTCCACCTGCCTCAGCCTCCCAAAGTGCTAGGATTACAGACGTGAGCCACTGCGCTCAGCCTGTCACTACCTTTTTTCAATGCACAGATATATTATGAATCTTGTGAGACCCATCATGCAGATTCAGCCTCGGCCTCAAAGCTCATGTCTAAGCTCTCTATCCTTCTTCGGAGTGCTTAAATCGCAAATGAAGCTTTTTTAGAATTTTAGCATTTAACACAAAAACCATTCTTCCATTTCATAAATGCACTATGTAGGCTGTTATCCACAAGCACTATGAAAGGGCTGCTAACCACGTCAGCCCACTGTTACAATCAAGCTTTTTGTGATAAGAGTGTTTTAAACCATCTTGACAAATGCGTATAATTATAATAGTTATCATACGGAACACTCAGTATCCTCCAAGGGATTTTAAGTAGATGATAGAATCTTCATTTTAAAATAGTTTATCAGCCAGTAGATTTCCATTCTTATGTACGAAAAGTGCATTTTAGATACATAAAACCACAATAAATGCTCTCTTAACTATGTCAACCATTTTAGTAATCAAGCCCCTTTCTTTCAAAAGTATTTAAGCTATCTCATTAAGTATACTTCTAGAGGATATAATGACATTCCTCCACATCAGCAAGGAGATATAGAAATGCCTTGCATTTATATTCTCTCTTATCAGACTCCAGAGTTTTAGTAGTTAGGTCACTGGGATAATTAGGCCGCCAGAGCTTCTCATCCCCTTTTGCCTACCTGTCAACTCTGATGGCTGGCAAAAGATAATTTGCCAAATTGAAAAAGTTGCTATGAGGCTGGAGGTAAGTGTAGGACAAAGTAAGCAAATTTACAGCCTGTCACTTTTAAAGGCTCTGAGGAATAATTTATGAGCTCTTGAAGCCAATGTCAGTTTCATGGCCCAGAAAACATGGACATTTCTTATATAAGTCCTGAAACATTTATCTGATAATTTTAAAATATGGGAAACTTTGACCAGGATGTTCCACTAAGGCTCTCAGGCAGTTTCAGTGTGAGATGGGCATGCAGTGTGCAGGCACTGTTCAGTTCTCAGCATGGGCATATTTCAAATTAACCATAGGTTATATGCCCAGTTTATCTTTTACCTAAATCTCAGAGCTTCAAGGTCCAAAACCATCTTTCATATATTTTGATTTTCCTGTTAGCATTTACTATAACAGGCAATAAATGTGAGATATCTGTTTTTTCTAGAATCAGACTTTATTTTGACTTGGTAAGTCAATATTTAACCCCATCCTCTACTCCGATATCTTTCATATATAGATCTGTAGTAGAGGATGGAATCAAATGTTGATTTAAATAGTCAAAATGAAGAAACAATGTTTTTATGTGTGTGCATATATGTGTGTGTATATATATATATATACACACACACTATATATATTTATATATAAAATTCTTTCATATATATGAGGAAATGGATATATAGGTTTAAATAATAAAAATGTTAAATTGCTTGATCATTTTTATTTGTAATAAAATACCTAAACACAGTGAGAGAAAGATGCCCTTAGAGTCTAAGGTCTAAGGCTGTCTTTTTGGTATTTCATTCTGATGCTCTCATGTTCAAAAATCAATGTTAAACTATTAAGCTTGCAATGTTGTAACCTTAGTAGTTTATAAGTTAAACTACTAAGCAGTTAAATTCTAATAGAATTTAAGTACTGTAAAGAGAGCTGCCCGCCTCACATTGACCCTTTTCTCTTCTGTGTTTGTGTCTTTCAAGGAGTGTGCTTATTTACTGAAAATAGTGGTGTCAGAGCCGTAAATCCATATGACTATTTTGCTTTTCACAATCTGAGAAAATGACAAAATCGACGCCAAATGAATTGAGTGGTACTGAGATGCTGATGGTGTTTGTAAAAACACAAACTTTTTATTGTTTTTAATAATCTGTGGGCAGATATTTGATGTCACCGCCACTGGAAGATTAATATATCTTCATTGAAAGCAGTTTTTATCCTATGTGAATGATCAAACTAAGAACGTTAGAAGCTTCATGTAAGCACCTTCTCTGTACTTTGGTGTGGTGTAAAGTCATGGAATGGGTTAGCATTTATTCTCAAGCTTTAGCAATGAAATATTCCATGCAGTTTTCTTTCTATATAAACCTATTTTTAAAATTCCAGTGTTCACCTTTAAAGTCTTATTGTGCTACTTGGTTCCTCTGGGTGGAACACACTTTGGTCTTTTTGTTTTATTGCACTGGGGATATCAGCAGACCACAACTCTCCCCAGTCCCAAAAGAAGGCTGCTTTTTGAGTATGTGGGGGCAGGTATTGGGGAAGTGAGCATTAAAATCCTCAACACAACTGTACTTGATATCACTGACATGTCTTAACTATTGTCAGTGTTACCATCCCTTTTAAGCACTATTGATTCCCCATTGGCAGGTTCCCTATCTCCTCTGTTTGTTTCTTGGTCCCTATACTCTGCTAAGCCTGTTTACTTCCATTAGATTCATTTAATAGAATTAAATACTCCTTGTAATATTAAAAATTCTAGCTGTCAGGGCTACCCTAGAATTGATAGTAAAGTGTCCCATGACCATATATATGCTTGGAAGGAAATAGACAACACAACAGTGGGAAATAGTGTGCCTCTGCGTGGTTGGCATCAGAGGCAGACTGTGATCAGAATTGAAAAGTGTGTCAGCATTTGTTCTCATTCGGTTGCTCAGCATAGTGCTTCTGACAGGCAATGCTTCATCATGGAAGCAGATTTGAAGAGGACTTGTGCAGTATGCTGTACTTCCATAAATCAAAGAACTGGGCTGCCCAAGTCCTCCTATTTGGGAATAAATTGAATTGAAAATGAAATGCCTAGTAATGAACACTTAGCTGAAAAGGTTAGCAACTGGGACAGAGAGTGGGAGATGAGAGAATGAGGACTGGGTGATTTATTAAATTGACACAATCCCTAATTTTGCAATTTAACACCATTTTCTTTGTTCTTCTCTCAGTAGAGATGAAGAACAGCTGGTCAGTACCACCTATGTAAGAATCTATCATTTTCTTGAATGCCATTAATAAATGTCCTCATAGCCTTAGAAAAGACCAATTCCTTTAATCTTTCAAAAATGCTAAATCAAAACTTCATTTATTTCACCAGCCCAGGAATTTAAAATGTTTTCTGAGGATGGTTTGCTTCTTAGGCTAAAGCTTAGAACAGAACTTTCTCAACTAAATGAGAAAACAATTTGTTGTCCAATGGGAATGGAAATGAAAAAGCCAGGAATTCCAACCAAGCTGTTAAGCCTAGTGGGAAATGAAGGAAGGCAATCCACTGGACCTCATTAGAAGAATAAGAATTCTAGTCAACCCAGACTTGTGGGGGATGGCTACTGAATAGCTATTCAGATCCAGAGCCACTGCGGGTGGATTATCATGTTGCCACCAAGCAACTGAGTTTGTGGATTTTTGTTTAATATTTCTATAGTATTAATATGAAACAGCTGTTAACATGATTTGGCTATGCTTTATCTGCTACAGCTTCTGTGATTCACTGAACAACTGTTTTTACATTTGCTACTACTAAAATGTCTAAAGGGTTTGTGATTGGCTGATAAAATTTGGTAGACTATTGATCAGATTATATGCTCTCTATCCTTTATTCAGGTAAAGGATCCATCCTTGTTTCCATCAGTAATGGGAAGATCATGTGGGACAAAAGATCACCAATATGAGGAGCTGCCTAGGGCTCTTTTTGCAGTGTGGGGCTGACAGCTAGTCAGACACTTTTTCAATCTATCTAATAGTGTTGGTATAGATGATTGAGAATAGGAAAGAATACTTTTCTCTGTTGCCTTTCTATCTAAACACATAATTAGGATTACAAATGCCTTTCTCCATGTCAATGGCCATTGCACAACCAAAAAATACTCAAATGCTAGAGACTGGGATCCTTGGTAAGATATGTTTATACATGAATCTCATCCTTCCATTTATGTAATTTTATTGTAATTTAATTTTTTAATTGGCAAGCAATAATTGTACATATTCATGAAGTACTTAATGATGTTTTGATACATATAATGTATAGGGATCAGATCAGGGTAATTAGAATATCCATCATCTCAAACATTTATTTCTTTTTATTAGGAACATTCAGTATCCTCCTTTGAGCTATTTGAAACTATGTATTAAATAATATATTATTATAAACTATAGTCATCCTACTGTGGTGTAGAACACTATAATTTATTCATCACATCTAGCTGTAACTTTGTATCTTGAACATATCTCTTTCTATCCTCCCTTCCCCCTACCCTTCCCAGTCCTTACTATCATCCGTTCTACTTTTTACATCTATGATAACATTTTTTTTTCTTAGTTTCCACATATGAGTGAGAACATTCAGTGTTTGACTTCCCATTCCTGGTTTATTTCACTTAACATAATGCTATCCATGTTGCCATGAATGACAGGATTTCATTTTTTTAATAGCTGAATAGAATTTCATTGTGTGTATATACCACATTTTCTTTATTCATTCATTTGTTGTTGGACAGCTAGGCTGATTCCATATCTTGGCTATTTGGAATAGTGCTGCCATAAACATGGGATGCAGGTGTCTCTTCAATACACTGATTCCTTTCATTTGGATAAATGCCCAGTACTGGGATTGCTGGATCACATGATAGTTCTATTTGTAGGTTTTTTTTTTTTTTTTTTTGAGGAACTCCCATACTGTTTTCCATAACAGCTGTACTAAGTTACATTCCCACCCACACTGTATGAGTTTCCTTTACTACATATCTTTGTAAGCATTTGTTACTTTTTGATAATAGCCATCCTAACTGGTGTGAGATGATACTTCATTGTGGTTTTGATTTGCATTTCCCTGATGTTGAGCATTTTAAAATATATTTATTGGCCATTCGTATGCCTT
This sequence comes from Homo sapiens, assembly GCF_000001405.40. Lineage (NCBI taxonomy): Eukaryota > Metazoa > Chordata > Mammalia > Primates > Hominidae > Homo > Homo sapiens. The sequence goes on from NC_000003.12 coordinate 144,409,746, forward strand.
CTTTTTAAAAATGTTTGTTTAGATCATTTAGTTATTTTAATCAGATTTTTTAGTTGTTGTTGCTGTTGCAATATTTGATTATTGTGTATTCTGGACATTAATCCCCTATTCCATGAGTAGTTTGCAAATATTTTCTCCAGTTCCACAGGTTGTCTTTTCATCCTGTTGATTATTTCCTTTGCCGTGCAGAAACTTTGCAGTTTCGTTCTTTTTGTTTTTGTTGACTTTGCTTTTGAGGTCTTCTTATTTATAAAACCTTTTCTCAGAGCAATGTTCTGATGCTTTTCCCCTGTGTTTTCTTCTGGCAGTTTTATAGTTTTGGGTCTTACGTTTAGGTCTTTGTTTCATTTTGAATTGATTTTCGTGTAGAGTGAGTAATAAGTTTCATCCTTGAGCATATGGATATCCAGTTCTTCCAGCAACATTTATTGAAGAAACGGCCATTTCCCCAATGAGTGTTCTTGGCACCTTTTTATCAGAAATCAGTTGACTATAAATACATGGGTTAATTTCTGGTTTCTCAGTTTGGTGACATTGGTCTATCTGTCTCTTTTTAGCCTAGTACCAGGCAGTTTTTGTTATTACAGCTTTGTAGTATATTTTGAAGTCTGGTAGTGTTATGTCTCCAGCTTTGTTCTTTTTGGTCAGGACTTTGGCTATTCAGGGTTTTTTTGTGTGTGTGGTTCCATACCAACTTTTAAGATTTTTCTCCCTATTTCTGTGAAGAATGTTTGTATTTTGATAGGGATTACATTGAATCTATATATTGTTTTAGGTAATATTGCCATTTTAACAATATTAGTTCTTCAGGCTTGTAAGCATGTCTTTCTATTTGTATCTTTTCTCAATATCTTTCATCAGTGTTTTACAGTTTTCCTTGTAGAGGTCTTTCAGCTCCTTGGTTAAATTTATTCTGAGGTATTAATTTTTATGTAGTTATTGTATATGGAATTTCTTTGTTGATTTATTTCTTAGCTAGCTTGTTGTTTGTGTATAGAAAAGTTACTTTTTTGCATGCTGATTTTGTATTGTACAACTTTATGGGTTTTCAGTGTTTTCTGGTAGCATCATTAATTATATCATCTCTAACAGGGACAATTCAACTTCCTCCTTTCTAACAAGGATTTTCTTTATTTCATTATCTTGCTTAACTTCTCTGACAAGGACTACCGATGCTATGTTTAATAAGAACGATGAGAAGGGGCATCTTTCTCTTATTCCGATTCTTAGATGAAAAGCTTTCATTTGAGACTTATTAGGTGTCCTAACATGTGGTCATTCCTGGAGAATGTTCCATGTGCTAATGAAAAGAATGTGTATTCTATAGCTGTTGGGTGAAATATCCTATAAATGCATGTTAGGGCTATTTGGTCTATAGTGCATTTGTCTGCTTAATAATGTCCCATAATCTTTGGTCATTTGTATTCTTTCTTCTTTTCTTTTATTTACCTGCAAAAGATTTATCTTCAACTTCAATTTTTTCTTCTGCTTGGCCTAGTCTGTTGTTGAGTCCCTTGATTGTATTTTTTTTATTTCATTCATTGAATTATTTAGCTCTAAGATTTCTGTTTAGTTTTTTTTTTATGGCAAGTCTTTAATTTCTCATTCAAATTATGAATTGTTTTCCTGATTTCATGGAATTGTTTATCGGTATTCTCTTATATCTCATTGAGTTTCTTTAAGATTATCATCTTAAATTATTTTTCTGGCATTTCATATACTGCTTTATGATTGAGGTCTGTTACTAGAGAATTAGTGTTTTCCTTTGAAGGTGTCATGTTTCCTTGATTTTTCATGTTAAGGGTGTCCTACATTAATTTCTATGCATCTGTTGGAAAAATCCCCTCTTCCAATTTTATGGAGAGAATTTCATAGGGAAAGACTTACTCATCTAAATAGGTCTTGGGGTGTCTATTTGGTGGGATGCATTGGCTTTGCTTCCAGGTGGATGCAGTAGTGTAGTCTATCTCTCTCTCTGTGTATGTGTGTGTGTGTGTTTGTGTGTGTGTTTAAATCTGTAATACACATTAGTGGCATTTGAGAGTTTCTCAGTGGAATAGAGTGACAGAGTTTGTGGCAGTAGTGGTATGGCCTTGCTGGGGGTAGGCTCACTGGGTTATTTCTCAGGTCAGCGGCATGTGTGTGCACATGATAGGTTAGCCAACATAGGGTCTGGCTTGTGAGGTTGGGGCCACAGGGCTATTACTGTGGCCTGGAGCATAGGCACATGGTTGTTCAGCTGACCTAAGGGTGTATATATTGTGGGCAGCCCACAGGGCTACTTCTTAGGCTTGGAATGCCAGAATGAGGCTTCTTGGCTGGCTTGGGGGCATATTTGCTGGAAGGGCCAATGGGGCTCTTTTTCAGGCCCAGGATTAAGGTGCAAGACTGCTCATCTGGCCTGGGGGGGTGTGTCTGCCAAGTGTGGCCTACTAAGAAACAGAACTGTTGCTCAGGTCTGGGACATGGGCTCTTTGATGCTTGTCAGTCTTCTGGGCATCCCTGTCAAGGATGGCCTGCAGGGCTGTTTCTTACTCCCTGATTGCAGACACAGAGTTGTTGTGCAGGCCTATGCGTGGGCATATCTGTGGGGGCAGGGGTGCTTGAGGAGTGTTTCTTAGGTCCTGAGTATTGGCATGTAGCCCTTCTGCTGGCCTGGGGGTGTACCACTGCTCAGGTGTCTCTCCCACTTTGGGGAGGGTTTGCAGCGGTGTGATCAGGGTGGGACTGCCAGACTGTTCCTCTGGCTAGAAGTGCATTGGGTGGGTGAGGAGTGGGTCTGGCTTTCCTTCTGTGCAGGACCAGAGTCACAGCTGAAGCTGAGTCCAGGATTCACACAGCTGGGGCTGTGGGATTCAGCCATCCATGTGAGCTTGGTGGAATGGAGATGGAGCCCCAGTGCTGGAGAAGGGCAGTGGCTTTTGACCGCAGAGGAAGGCACACTCCAGAGGTGGCTCTGGTCTCAAGATTGCACTGGGCTGCAGCAACTTTGCTCACTGAGGATAGGTGTGGGGAGTGGATACCTTGTGCTCCTAATCTGGGCCAAAGCAGCTGCACGAGTTTCCAGCAACTCTCCAAACAGGGTTCAGAACTTGTGAAGACTATGGGATTCTCCTGTTGCAAAGACTATAGATGTTTATGGTGGCAATACTGGCTGGTGGGAATCTTCTGTTTACCTTATCCCCTGCAATGGGAAATTCCTCCTGACTCCAGGCAGATGTATCTAGGTCAGCGGATGGGGTTGCAGAAGCCAGAGATCTCCACACTGCCTCCTAGACTTCCAGCCACTACAGGTGTGTCTCCACTCCCCCACTACACTCCAGCACTTTCCCTTCAACACTCTAGTCAAATTTTAGCTGTTTATTAGTTGCTTTGGTCTTTTATTTGTTTGTTGTTGGGGAGGCAAATGCTAGGCAGCTGTAGTCAGCCATCTTGCTGATGTCATTCCTCATCTTCTCATTTTTATTATTATATTTATTTATTGCTTTCAGAGACAGGGTCTTGCTCTGTCATCCAGACTGGAGTGCAGTGACACAATCATCATTCACTGCAACCTCAAACTCCTGGGCTCAAGCCACCCTCCAATCTCTGCCTCCCAAAGTTCAGGGATTACAGATGTGAGCTGCCGTGCCTGGCCGCATTTTTAATAACTCTTGTGACTTCTGAGCACTTGACATATCATGAGTTTTATTCACTTTGTTACATTTCTCAATTTACTTCATGGAAATTGATTTATTTCAGTTTTCTCTATCTTCTGGGATCAATTTCAGTAATTTATGTATTTCTAAAAATATTCTACTTTACTTGAATTTTAAATGTTTGTATACAGAGTTTTGTAAAGTCTTCTACTATACTAATTTTGCCACTCATCTCCAATTTAATCAATTTATTAATTTTTAAATTTATTTTCCACTTGTTTTTCTTAAATTTTGCTTTTCAATTTATTCAATTGAAAGCTGAGCTCATCGATTTTCCTTTTATTTATGAGTGTTATTCCTAAACATTTATGAATTTGTGAAAAAGAATATGTTAAAATTACAGCCATTGTCCTGTAGTGTTCATAATATATTGCTAAATGAGAAAAGCAGGCTTAAGAGTTAAATGTTTAAAGTTATTAATTCTGTTATTTGCCATTAAAATGTCAGTCATTATTGAATATTAGTCTGATATTGCTCGCAATCTTCATGAGATGAACAGTGTACAATTGATATGCATGGGATTCCTTTAGCAATGATGTCAGATACCATCAAGCATGTGTTCCTGATTTGGGGTTATTCTGGGTCTGGGCCATCTCCCTTTAGCCACTCAGAGTTTAAGATCCAGCTCCCGTGTGATCCTAGCTGTGAGGCCTTTCAGAGACACTCCAGGCCCAGAAATTTGGTCCTGCCTTCATGCACATAGACTTTGATATCTATATATGTTTGAGTTCTTACCATATTGCCATTTTTCTTTGTTTATTTTTAATTATTGAAGCACACATTCTCATTGTTGAAGTGAAAAAATATAGAGATGTAAAAGAGAAAGCTGATCAACTGCCATCACCTGCTCGAAATAACCTGTTAATAGCTTGATGTGTATTATAATATACTTTTCTTTGTAATTATATACATTTGTATAAATCCATTAAAAATATAAATTCATATTTGCTTGTTTTTCAAAAATTGTATTGTGAGATATCATTTTGTAATCTGCTTTTCTTACTTAATAATACATCATGAACACCTCTCTGGGTCAAGATATTAAAGTAATCCATTTCTTTAAAATAACATTTTGAAAATTAATTTTTATAAAATATAGATAACAAAATTTACCATATTAATCATTAAGTGTATAGTTTAGTAGTATTAAATGTATTCACATAATTAATAGCCAATAATCTGCAACCAATCTCCAGAACTCTCATCTTACAAAATGGAAACCCTATACCCATTAAACAATAACTTCCCATTCCTACCCCTTATCTCCCAGTCCTTGGTAACCAGCATACTACCTTTTGTCTGTAGAGATTTTGAGTACTCTAAATACCTCATTTAAGTGGCATCATATGGTGTGTGTCTTTTGTGACTGGCTTATTTCACTTAGCATAATGTCCTCAAGGTTCATCTTTGTGGTGGTATGTGCCACAATTTCCTCCCTTTTTAAGGATGAGCATATGTACCACATTTTGTTTACCCACCTTTTGGCTATTGTGTATAATTCTGCTATGAACATGATTGTACAAAAATTTCTTTTAGACCTTACTTTCAGGGTTTTTTTTTTTTTTTTTTTTTTTTTTTGCTATATACTTAGAAGTGTAGTTACTGGATCATGGGCAATTCCAAATTTAATTTTTTAAGAAACTACCATACTGTCTTTCAAAGAAGCTGTGCAATTTTAGATTCCAACAAACAGTGTATGAAGTTTCTAATTCCTCTAGTAACCCTTTCTTTTGGACAAATTCATTATTATTTATCAACGTTGATTTGGTTAATTTCTTTGCATATTTCTTTCTACCAGTAGACTGTGAACTCTTACAGGGCATTTGTGAAGAGATAGTGCTATTCGATTTGGGCCTTGAAAGACAGTTGGGATTTTATCTGGTGGCGGATTGGTTGGAGGGCCTCACTCCTCTCTGCCAGTGCAGCTGACCTTGCACTGATTTCTACTGGCTCTGGAGACTCAGCCACATTCAGATGAGCTTTCCACCTTGTTATACTTCATTTGAGCCTTTTTTTTTTTTTTTTGAGACTGACATCAGACCACAACCAATCTCCCAGTTAAACTTTGAAAAAAAATCATTAAAACTACATTCCCCTCTCTAGAAAAATACACACATGCACTCAGTATTTTACCTTCAGATTTGGAGGTTTTACTGTCCCCTGAATCTCCAGCAGATGCTCCTTCAGTACTTCCTGGATTTAAAACACCTGCTCTAAGGTCTGACTCAGCCCTTTCACTTCGATAAGCAGGAATGAGTCTATTTAAGCTTCATTACTTATCCTTCCCTCATTACACTGCTCTTTCTCTCTCTTTATCTTTGTACTAATCTTGATCTTCCTCATATGTTGCCTCCTTTCTTTTTCACTGCTCATTGTTTATAAATTGCCAAACACACACTTTCATTTCTTCTTACATTGCTAGCATATGGTGCTCATTCTGTCTACTACCTAATAATGCTGAAGACATCCCCAGAAGTAGGTAGAAAACTTATATTACCAATTAAATCCAATAGAGAAGGTACAAGGGTCCAACTGTCTCATAGTGAGTGTCAATAAACTTTTATTTATACAATAGATTATTAAATGTGGCTAGGCAGCCTTGAATACTATTAGATATTTCTTGTTTTTATTTTGAAATTTTCTTTCCCTTGCTCCAGGCTTTAGGGGCTGCTTTCTGGCTTTAAAAATATTGCACTGGAATAGAACCAAGGATCAAATATCTGGGACATGATATCTTGAGTAAAACAGGTATGTTTTTTGTGACCCACTTATGACTAAACTATACTGTCATTGTGATATTGAATTCATTAAAAATAACATTTTCCCCTAAATAATTCATTAATATATTTACATTTTAAAAATCAGGAACAACAGGTATAAACAGTTTTAAAGTCTACACATTTTCAGCAGATTTTTTTTTTTTACAAGAGAAAACACTTTTTAAGTATCTCTGACATCTAGGTATATTTGATTGCCAGTTCACGTGTCAAATATGAAAAATAAGAAAAGAGAGACTTTCCAAAGTAGTGATATGTGACACGGTTAAAAATGTATTTGTGTGCCAATTCTCATGAGTTTTATCATTATCCTTACAATCTCCATTTGTTTCCAATTTATGTTCTAATCTTTTAAAATGCATTTTGTCAACACCTTTACATTTAAGGTTTAAACTCTCTTTAAGGGAGAAGCTAAGTGCAGAGTGCAGTGTACTTAACATTCATTTGCAGTTAACTTTTTGAAATGTTGTTTAATCTTTTTGATGTTTGGGAAACCTCAAGAGATTTTTTTGGTGCAATTTTACCATTTTTTACTTAGAAAATAAAATTGTGTTTTGTGATGGATAAATAAAATAAAACATAAATGATTTACATGATTCTGAGACTTTGGAATTTTGACTGGGTATATTTTCCCATTTTACTTATGACTTTCACAACTATTTTACTTGACAATTTAATGATGCCACAGACAGAGTAGGATAGGCTTATTCTTCAGTACCAAGCAAACATAATTGCAGGGTTTAACATCTGAAATTTATTCATTTCCCCATACAGATGGTAGACCAAATAGTTATTCAGTGCCCCCATCTCAGGTGGTGACTCAGAGGTCTAATCTCTTTGACCGTATGGCTCAGCCATCTCAACAGCTGGTCTCTATGCTTCCTATGAATGAGAAGAAGGTTCACACCTGCTCATTACTATTTGGCCATTCTCTGCTAACAGTGCATCGACCAGAACAAGTCATGTGGTCCTGCCTAAATGCAATAAGGAAAGAAATGTAGAGAACACGTGGAATGAAGTTTGCATTACTATCTCTGCTGCAAAAGCTCACTTTAAATGTGAGACTTAGCGATAGATGAAACTTGGGAGACGTCTCCATCAGTGATGGGTGCACCAAAATCTCACAAATCATCATTATAGAACTTACACATGTAACCAAATACCACCTGTTCCCCGAAATCCTATGGAAATAAAAAATAAACATAGGTGACTGACATATAAATAAAGGGATAAATAACCATCTTGCTCTGAAATTAAAAAACAAAAAAGGATTCTTCCAAAGTATAATTAAAAGGCAAAAAAAAGAGAAGACATGATAACTAATGCAATATGATATTTTGGATAGACTCGTGCAACAGAAAATGGACATTAGACTATGCAACCCTAAAAAGGAATGAAAATAAAAAGGGATAAAAGGAATGAGATCATGTCCTTTGCAGGGATATGGATGAAGCTGGAAGCCATCATCCTTAGCAAACTAACACAGGAACAGAAAACCACACACTACATGTTCTTACTCATAAGTGGCAGTTGAACGTTGAGAACATATAGACACAGAGAGGGGAACAACACACACCAGGTGGACACAGAGAGGGGAACAACACACACCAGGACATGTTGGGGGGTTGGGGGAGAGGGGAGGGAACTTAGAGGATGGGTCAATAGGTGCAGCAAACCATGATGGCCATGTATACCTATGGAATAAACCTGCACATTCTTCACATTCATCCCATTTTTTAGAAGAAATAAAAAAAATCATTAAAAAATCTGCATCTGTTTTCCAGATACTTGCAATTCAAAAAATAAAATTTCACAGAATCTGTGCAAAAAAAAAAGAAAATGGACATTAGATAAAAACTAAGGAATTATGAATAAAGTATGGACTTCAGTTAATAACAATTAAAAAATTATGAAGGTGAGGTTGTGAGTTAGGCCACGTATTCACTCACACTACTACTTGTTTTAAGTAAGCAGACAGTGTGAAGCATGTGCTTCATCATGTCTTTTGTAGTACACTGAGAAGACCTAATAACCTGGTTATAATGCTCTTCTACCTAACCATCATTCTCAAAAGTAATTCTGAGACACTCTTAACTTCAGATCACCATTATATAACAATTATACCATCTTGTTTAATTGTGAATGGTTGCTGCAGAATCACAGAATACAGCATTTGGGAGTAGACTTGGAACATAAGGGGATTTTCCTCCAGAATTAAACTATGCGAGAGCTGTGTGGCAGGTTTTAAGTCCTGCTCTTGAGTCAAAGTAGATATGGAATCTGGATTTTATCTGCAGATTAAATATTTCCTTTCCTACTCATGGCTGGAGCTTTGTTCAGAAATTTGATGATTTAAGACTTCAGATAAGCCAAAGTGAACTGATTTTCAAAACCAAGCTGTGCATCAGTTCTAGTTGGTAGCTGTGGGATTGAAAATGAAAATACAGAACTGAATATTTTAATTACAGATGATAATGCCCAAGGAACAAAATATATTTCATCATTACAACTACAATATACAGAACTTTATCCTTAATTTTTGTCTTTCCCTCATTGGAGATCAATAACAGTTTTCTGACCAGCAACAACCTGTGGGCCAAAATTAGAACAGCACGGAAATGGAGGAAATTATTCAGTGGAAATTATAGAACTGAAAGCTAAAAGGTAACTAGCTGCCTCTGTCACATTCCACAGTTTCATATCTGCAGAAAGTAGAGATAATTAATATTCTGAACTTGAACATGTACTTGCACTTTATTACTTATTTGGTTACAGATCTTTTTGTGTATATACTATTAGGCAGAACATTAGAGAGGAGAGGTTGGTGCCTCCAGACCAAAATATTTATAACAACTTTTGGTAGTAGCTATTATCATACTTATTTCATGAACGAGAAAATATAAGGTTCATAGAGAATAAATTACTTAGCTAAGATTATGCAGATTAAATGGCAACACTGAAATTTCCTTCATGAATGTCTCTGATACTAGTTGTCGTGCTTTACCAAGAATTAAATGATTTAGCTCAAGATTAACTACATGAATTAGTTTCCTGCTGATGTTGTAACAAGTGACCACAAACTGAGCGGTGTAAAATAACAGCAGTGTATTATCTTATAGTTCTAGAGGTCAGAAGGCCAAAACCAGTTTCAGTGAGATAAATTCAAGATGTCAGCAGGGCTTCTTCCATTCTAGAGGCTCTAGGGAAGAATCCATTCCCCTTTCTAGCTTCTGGAGACTCCTTGCATTTCTTGATTGGCAGCCCCATTCTCCATCTTCAAAGCCAGCAGTGTAACATCTTTCAATCTCTCTCTCTCTCACTGTTACCCTCTTGCCTCCATCTTACAGAGACAGTTGTGATTGCATTGGGTTTACCCATCTGAAAGTCTCTAACTTAATCACTTTCTCAAAGTCCTTTTTGCCATGTAAGGTAACACATTCACAGCTTTCAGAGATTAGGATGTGGATATCCTTGGGAGACTATTATACAGCCTACGATACTACAATATTTCCGTTGAAATGTTTATTTCAATAACATATTCTAAATTATTCTATTGTATCTTTTGGGGAAACAGAACATATTTACTTTTTATTTGGGAGTATTAAAACTCTACACAATATTACAAAAAATGAATAGCCCATATTTTTAATAAAAATAGTTAGACTTGGCACATATTTTCTATATCCATACAACAGAAAGAGAGGTGATGTATCTCAAAAGGGACAAAGGAGACAGAACAGAGCCTTATTAGAATAACATACAAGAATTATGATTGATCCAACTTAACAATGTAAATTTTGATTGTCCTGGAAAAGGTTAAACCTGAGGCTCAGCAAGATTGAGTAACTTATGTGTATTCTCTCTTCTACCTACATGGGATGAACATTTATTCCAGCCACATCCATGAAAAATAAATGGGATGTTTGACTTGACAAAGCAGTGTACCATCTGAGGAGGAGAAAAGATGGGATTTCAAATGACAATATAATGGTGTGGGCCCAGTCATTTACTAAGAAATTTAAAAGAAGGGATGTGGCTGTTCTGAGAATCTCTGAGAAATGGATGCAATGGATGCCCTGACGTGAATAATGGCACCATACATTTTGGTGGACTATGCGCTTTTATTTGTAGTTCTGCATGGGATTTTCTTGCCTTCCAACTTTATGGCTCTAACAAGTGGGTTACTACATCATAATCTGGAGCCATAATACCAATTTTCTCTATTATTTTAATTAAAAGGTAACATGAAATATCTACAGGACTGTTGTCATTTGAATTTCAGTGGCATTCTTTGCAATGAAGAATGAATCCCCAATATTCTCTGTTACATTGGAAAACCTTAACACTATCTTGAGACAAGACAAGATAAAGAAGCTGATGTGAAAGCCTTTAGAAAAGGACTGTCAAACTGAACTTTCTAGGAGGCTAGAGATATTCATTAATCTGTATTTCCCATTGCAGTAGTCACTAGCCATAGGTAGTTATTGAGTGTTTGAAATGTGGGTAGTGTGACAGAGGAACTGAATTTTTATAATATACTTAATTTTAATTAAATGTAAATAGTCAACATTTGGCTAGTGCCTATTATATTGGACAGAAAAAATTTAAAAGACACTTTACACAGGATCAAGTCTTTGAGAAGAATGTCTCTGCACAGATGTAAATCAATGTCAAACAAGATCATAGCAACTGGAGCATCAGGCAAGCTGGGAACCTAATACCACCCAAAGATAATCTCAGAGTCACTGGGGCAGCTGAGAGCTAAGGTAACAACACATCTGTACTTCATTATCTGTCTGGGAGACCCACCTCAACACACTTGGAAGCAATAAAATCACTTGTAAAGGTAGGGCTGTTGCAAGACTTGCATGGATCTTAGGCACTTTGGCTTTGTGGACCCCTTTCTCTATACAAAGTATTAAAAATTATATTTTATATTTATGTGTGTATAAAGATGAATATAATTTTGAACATGAAATGTTTCTACATTTCTTCTGATTTTAAAACAAAACATTTTCGTGGACCCCACGATGTTTTGTGGGCTACAGGGACTGCACATGCTCTGCATGGGTAAGTTGGCCTTACATAAAGGATAATTTAGTAACCATGATCCAAGCTAATTGGTTAGTATGTAAATCAAAAGACTTTGATAGATCTAAATTAAAATAAAGGTTTGATTATAATTTACTGGATCATTAATACATTATTTAAATGAAATTCTTACATTTCAGATGTTTCTTTCAATTTTTGATTGCTATATAAATAAAGACTTATGAAAAAGTTCTATTTTAAACATAGAATTTGAGAAAGAAAATTTCAAGCTTACTTTGCATATTATAAGGATAAGTGAGAATTGTCACTTCTGTCTAGAAGAATGGGGTATTTTGATTAGTTGATCAAAGCATGTTGGCCTTGGAGATATAGTCACTAAAAGGCTGAGATTGTTTGTGCCTTTCAGTATGGACTTGGAATCATATAAGAACCTGGGTTTGGGCATTTGCCATATCTGGTGTCAAATCTCCATCCTTGCTTAGTAGACAATATGCCCAGTGGCTGAACATGCATCCTTTAAAATGTCATTACCTGGTCCAGAATCTGGAATTTCTTTTGCTTCCTAGCTGTGTGAACTGGAGGCCAGTTGCTCAGTCTCTCTGAGACTCAGTTCCTTTACATGTAAAATAGGAACAATGGTTGTGAAGATTGTTCTGAAGATTAATGAGAGGATTCATGTAAGTTATTTGTGACATAGTGGGTACTCCATAAATATTAGTAATTATTAGAAATTGACTAAGATTTACATTGAGTAAGATTATTACATTGAATAAGATTTTTTTTTTAATCCTGAGCTTCAGTTTTCGCATCTCTAAATAAGAATCTATTCAATCAACAGATACTTATCTGGCTCCTGGAGCTATACAGCAAAAGACCTGTGGCTATAGCAGAGCGTAGAATTCAGGGAGTTAATAACACCTACCTGCAGAATGTATGTGAAAATTTAATGAGACAATGTATAATTGAAGTACTTGCTTGTTACACTTCCTGGCATACTTTATTCACTAAATAAATGTTAATTTCTTTCCTTTCTCCTTTTTAGTTGGTGGAAAAATCTTACCTCTTTCTTATAAAGTTTAAATATACACTTCAGGAGGCTGGCGTGGGCAGATCACTTGAGGTTAGGAGTTTGAGACCAGCCTGGCTAACACGGGGAAACCTCGTCTCTCCTAAAAATATAAAAATTAGTCAGGTGTGGTGCAGGCACTTGTAATCCCAGCTATTCAGGAGGCTGAGGCAGGAGAATCTCTTGAACCTGAGAGGTGGAGGTTGCAGTGAGCTGAGATCGCACCACTGCCCTCCAGCCTGGGCAACTTTCAATAATATAATAGCTTGGCTAATGGGAAAATCATTTGTTTTCTTATCACTTTAATATAAATGGTATGTGTTGATGGTATGTGATTTATTACAGCAATCACATACATAATGCCAAATTATTTTGAATTAGATTGGTGTTACAAAAAATAAAAATAAATGACAGAAATTCTTATCAAGTATCATAACTATATGTGTGATTATTCCTCGATATTGGGTTTCATTAAGAACCTTTAATGCCCAAGAATAGCTTTTGGCATTTCAGTTATTACAAACCATACAGCTGCTCAATAGCAAATGAAAGACAATCACAGATTGAAAGAGTCTCATCTAGGAGACATTTAAATGAAGAGTCATATTAATAATAAAAAGGGAATGTGCTTTGACTCATTGCTCCTCAACTTCTGCTACCTCTCTTCCACTCTCTGTCCTTTGAGAAAGGCTGAGGGTTGATCCAAGTAGGAATTACCTAATTATGGGGACAAAATTCCTTGTGGCTCAGAATTGCAACAGGGACTGAGCTCATAAAAGACAAATGCTAGGGCCAGAATGTGAGAAAAACATAACTCCAACCAGAGAGATTAGATCCAAATACAGGGGAGCCAGGGTACCCTTAGACAGGTACGTAATGATATGGAAGTACCCAATGTTTATGAGCAATCTGTTCTGATAGGTTGGGGCTCATGCTATATCAGTTGCTAAAAATCTCGAATAGTTACTTAAAATTTATATATTCCTAGGAAACAAATCATGCATTGTGCCAAATATCAAATGGATTTTGGAGGAGGGAAGCAGGACTGAGGTGACAATAGTGTTTAGAACTAACACGTTAAAAATCAGAGAAACCGGAATTGGTAAAATTGAGCTTAGAAGCAAATCAATGAAGGGAATAGACCTTACATTATGGCTTTGAATACCATGTATCATTTGAAATTGGTACTTTGTGGTCACCTTTGGAAAGGGAATGATTAGGTAGGTTGACCTAACCTAAAGTATACATGGCAAAATATTGTTAACATAAGTACTTCTAATTTATACTTAATTGTAAATGTTTCTATGTTTCTGGAATCTGGGGAATTATTTCTTAGATTGTTTCCACCATTAAAAAAATTTCAAACTAATTCTGTACATTTTATATGAAAACAGTACTGTGATTTGTATTGAGGCTTTAGGAAAGGTTGTATTACCATACAGAGGTTTCTTTTATTTCCAACCATGATTGAATTTAATTTATTAAATTGTATAAGCTTTCTGATCTTTTAGTAAATTCCTAAAATGTGCTTAGCTCATGTCAGCATTTTTCCTTGAGAACTTATGCATTTCTAATATCCTGGCACCTCCCAGGAAAGATGAATAGCTCTGTGTGGGATGAGATAATGATAGTAGGTTCAAACTTCAATCACCTTGAAAGGTTCTGGACATCTATTTGCAAACTAATGCTAGTATTTTAAAACACTTAATAATAACAACAACAACAACTGGAAGTATCTTGATGAATTCTAGTTATGCAGTATGCATTGCCGAATGACTCTAACTTCTGGGAGATTCGGGCATTTTTAAGAAATAGAAAAAAAAAGATAAAAGATAAAAACCAAAGTACTAGCCTTTACTACGAGTAATTTGTAAAACATGTGAAACTTGCTGCCTCTAAGTGCGATCCATAAACCTAATACTTATAAAAATAAATATAGTAATATGCTTTAAACTGACATATCCCTTTTATAAACCTGAATCACTAATGGTTAAAAGAAGTTCCAAATGCATTTCAAAAATAGTGAAAATAGTCTGTAGTAACCACTCTTAGATTTATAGGACAGCTTGTCTAAATCATTTCAAGTTGGTGTGTTTCCAACTATGTTCTTTTATTATCACTTTAGTCTCATTTACGTTTTAGAGACCTACTACTGATGATCCTTGGTAATTATGTACAATTGATGAGAAAGATATGCAAGCAGTCAGTCATTCAGGTCAGAGATATAAAAACCTCACTTCCAAAACATCACTGTGGGCTTCCTCTTTATTTCACCTTTGTGTTTCTTCTGCCTTTCATTTCTTACAGCAGTTAATACCACTGTTGAAACTAGCATTTTAAATATAGATGACCCTGGAATTATGAGAGCACTAGCATGTGCAGTTTATGAATGCCAATGGCACTGCATCCGAGCTGCCTGCCGGCCCCTATTTCTTGTGGATGCCTCAGCAGATCCAGTGCAGGTACTGAGGGGCGGACTGCCAGCAGTAGTGAGTCAGCTGGCTGGGTGTGCGATTGCACTTAGTGCAGGTATGGTTTTTGATACTGCTCTTCACTTCTGTACTTTCTTCAGTTTTTAAAATAAAATTCCTCTACTTCATGTCTTAGAAAAGGAGATATGATGCACTGAATGGCAAATCACACAAAAGTGAAGAAAAAGCTCACTTCAGATACAAAGGCTGGAATAAAGCTGAATGAACTAAATTCCAAGTTAAAATTGTCTCCTTTGGGTCTGAGTATAATTTGTTAGAACAAGGGAAAATGTTTGAAGAAAAAAATGTTAAATCAATTCAATCAATGGTGGCATGAAAAAGCATTGGCTGAATGATGAGGTGGGAACACGTGCAACTCTGTGAATGCCTGCTCAGAGAATACATATGCTGATAAAATTTAAAGTCTAAACCAAACAATGAATTTTAGGAAAGGTGCTTGACACAAAGGAATGAATGGCTTGATTACTTGCAAAAAAGAAATTGTTGGCCTAGCACCAACATTTAAGGGAAAGCTTGAAACATGGCTATAGAAGTAGCCAAGTCATTTTCAGAAAATTTTGTCTGGATAATTAAAAGGGAAGGCAGGTATTTGCAATTTATATTTAAAACTGATGAAACAAGACTTTTAAGAAAGCCAGCACACTAGCAATACTGCATTCCTAAGGAAAGAAGGGCCTACTTCTGGTTACAGAGCAGATATGTAGATTTTTTTTTTTTTTTACAGGAGTTAGCAATGAATGCTTTATTGAAAGCAAGAGCATTGGATTATGAAAAGAGTCTCAAGAGAGATGTCATTTTTGCTCTCTAATGTATCCTAAGTGCCTATACCAGTGCTCAACATGAAGTAGGTGCTCAATAAATACTCACTGAATAAATATTTTAAGAAGTCTCAGCTCGTCTGGTCTATACTAAAAAACAAACAAACAAACATAATGTAGCTTTTGTAGCATGTCAGGTGGCTATTTTGCATGTCTGTAAACTATGTATTTGTTTTTACTTTTGTGCATTAATTTTATAATCATTTTTTGGTATCTCTTGGTTTGTATAAAATGTCTTTTCAGAAATTAAACCTGAGTTCATAATACAGCATCTACAGGAACAAAAATGGAATCAACTTGTGAAAGCTGGACCCATACCTTTCCTTCGGGAATCAATTAAATTTGTCAATAGTTATTTACCTTTTCTCTTTATTCTCCTTCTTTTTTCCCAGGGACTTCCTAATAACCATCTTTGTATTTTACTATTTAAAACAATTTTCCATTCCAGTTTTCTCTATATCATTCAATTTGTTAGCTGAGACTTACTAAACATTCCCTCCCTAACAAAAACACACAGAATGCCCTAATGATATTTAGAATGCAGTAATAGTCCTGAATATGAACTAGCATATCCTGATATACAGAGTGAAATTACATATAACAAAAAACAATGTCACTCTCTCCTAATACCTTTGAAAGTCAAAGATGATACCTTCGACTCTCCAGAGATGTTTCAGTTTTACCTTTTCCTCCTCTTCTCCTCAAACCTCTCTGCTAGTACTGACATTGAAAATACATTTTTAAAGCTACTACTAAAACCTTGCATTTTTGGTTTCATTTAGTTTTATTATTACAACTGCATATGAATCTATTTTAAAACTGGAAAGCTGCAGTAATTCAGCTACCTGGTTAAATGTATTTTGTGCAATAGCCAAGAAACCTAACCATTTGTAGCATTTTCTAAGGGATAAATGAGTTTTGGATCATAGCCTATTTATAAATAGTGGTGCTGCCAGTCCACTAATAAGAATGGGGTTTGTACCAGGAATCACATAGAAAACATTAGGTGGAAAATTATAAACCAGATGACTTTTACTGTGCTGAATTTCATGGATAGAGAGGTCTTTATTGCTCCCTAGCCCTGTCACTGTTATTCTCAGTTAATTTTAATTTTAAAACATTTTGCCCATTTTCTTGATTCCTGAAACTATGGTGTGAAAGTGATATAATTATTTTGAAATGATTACATTTTCTTTAAAATATCAAGATGTTGACACACACAACAGGCTTCTTTCTTTTTCATCTCACTGAAACATGGCAGTCCTAACCTCTCTTGTTTTTCCTTCAATCACTTTCTTGAACAAAAGCAGAAAGGATTAAAGATCCCACTTTTTGCGTGTTCCATGTGTTTATGTGCTTAATGGTAGTCAACCATATAAATGATAACAGAAACTTCCTTTTGAGAGGTCTTTCATCTCTGAAAGCATCTTACTGTACCCATCATGGTTAATTTTCTTATTCGCATTAAGGCATAAACCTAGTGGAACAGCAGCGTCAGAGGACATTTGCACTTAATGACTATGCCGGGAATTCATAGTTCTGGGCTAAATAGTGCCTTCTCCACTTTGATGACTCAGGGTGGTTTGATTTTTAAAGCACTAATAACACTGATGGACAATGGGCAGTAGTTTCACTGTTTTGTTTATTTTCCTAAGGTAGTTCAAAGTGGATTTCACTGGTTTAGTAGTGATTCTTGCTAAGACCTGGAAGGTTTACCTGGCTATAAGGTCACCAGGAGCCAGAAGGTGATGTGGTTGTCAAAAGCAACTGCGTTTTGGAATAGGTTAATAGAGCAAGCACACAAGTAACTGCACTGGGCTCATCAGACTGTTGGATGGTTGGATCAGATGGCAGTCCACAGTAAAATAGGTGTTGGCAAACTGCAACGTCTGCAGAAGGTATTTAGGAATCTGGAATGCATGACACAACGGGAAGCATTTCTTCAGGGAGTTAATTTACTGTCTATAACCCCAAATCCCTGTGAAGTGGGGAGATAAACTGCACTCTTTTAAAAATATGCTTTGCCTGCTGATTTAGTTGCTCTTTAAAACAATCTGAATGTACCACTTGCACATTATACACTGCTGAGAAGGCTTTATAAGAGTTGACATGCTTGCTGGGCACGGTGGCTCACGCCTGTAATCCCAGCACTTTGGGAGGCCAAGATGGGTGGATCACCTGAGGTCAAGAATTTGAGACCAGCCTGACGAACATGGAAACCCTGTCTCTACTAAAACTACAAAATTAGCCAGGCATGGTGGCACATGCCTGTAATCCCAGCTACTCAAGAGGCTGAGGCAGGAGAATTGCTTAAACCTGGGAGGGCGAGGCTGCAGTGAGCTGAGATCGCGCCACTGCACTCCAGCCTGGTCAACAAGAGTGAAACTCCATCTCAAAAAAAAAAAAAAAAAAAAAAACGGCTGACATGCTCAACATTGTGACCTTCTTTACACACAGAAAAGCTCTTATCTGCTAAGTGTTACTTCCAAGCAACATTTTGACACTGCCATAGAAATTTTTCTCAAGGTCTGGAGGAATGGAAAGACCAATGTGGAGGCTTTTTTTGTTTGTTTTTTTTTCAGAAATACTAAACTTTACATGGAAAAGCATATGGAATTCTACTATCTGCATAAACTCCATGAATGCCTACAAGTACTGCTCAAACCAGAAGGTGTAGAGTAAGAGTTCCCACATTGAACAAGAGAGAAACTTTCAATATTTTTCTGTATCATGTTATAATTTATTGTATTTCTTGTGATTGCTATTATTTTTCTGTGATGTATATCAAGTTTCAACATTGCTGCGCTAGGGGAAAAAGTTGTATAATCTTTAGACAATGAAAACAATTTCTTTCAAGTTTTTAAAAAAATCCACTTCAAATCTTTTTTACTTCTTATTTTTATGGAGTTAAAATTTCACCTGACACAGTGATATATGGTGACTTGATATAAAGTACTCATAACATAGTTTCAATTATCCTTAAAAAGTCTATGTTTCTTGAATATTAAGGAGTGTTTTTACAGCATTTTATAAGTCAGAATGGCTTGATTGGACAGTGTAATTCTTGATACTATATTTGGTACATTTCTACTAATACATAGGACCTCATTTCTGATAAAAAAAATTTGAAAAAACAAGCCTAAGAATGTAGACATTACTTTTGGCTATACTTCTAATGAAATGGCATTTTCAGGTTATGGCTTGAATGTTATCTTTTTATAAGCATATTTTTGTTAGTTGGAAAAATATTCAGGCTATTGATGAATTAGCTTCAGAAAGATGAAGTTGGCAAATATTTTTGATAATTCAAAACACTTAGTGGAGCATCAAGTTAACATTTTCATGGCTTATAAAGGAAGCACCAGCAAGTGCAAAGTAAAATTATTTTACCTAATAATAATACAGAATGATATTTCTTTTGATTAAATATTAATCCTTTTTAATTTGATAGTTTAGAACAAGTGGGCAGGGATTTTTGCATTCCTTAGGAACTCAGGCCTGATGAAATAAATTTTCTTGTGCTGAAATGTAATCTAATTCTTTAACACCATATATAGTTGTGCTATATTTCCAAAAAGGCTAATGAAGCCAAACAGAATCCTCATTTTCCCACAATTTTCAGAATGAAATGGGAGAAAATAATATATGCCATAGTTAAAACAGTAAGTATAAAACATGTACCACAATATAAAAATATACCTAACTCAATAGGCTAACATAAAGGAGAAAAATAGCTTATGAATTATATTAAGCCACACATGTGCTAGTTATAAATATTAATATGTAAATATTGAAAGGAAACTTATCTTTGGGAATCCAAACATAATATTTATTTATTGGCATTGGAACACTGAAACAAACTGTAGTAAAGAAATTGGAAAAAACATTTATTCATGTATGTATATACACAGTGACCAATAACGGATCACTAAATTGATTTTTTCTTTGCTGTAGTTTTGGGATCACAGTGGGATAATGGGTTCACAATCAGTAACTGGGGTGTGGCCCTGAGTAATTCACCTAATAGCATTACCTTAGTAAATCCTTGTAGTTCAGGGTCTGATCACTCCAGTGCATCACCAGAAGTTGGTTAGTTACTAAGTGACTCTAGGAGACTAATATTACCAAATTCAAAACGGAAATGATCTGTTCACTAAGTAGCCTAGTCATTAAATTAACATGAGAAATACAATTGTCATAGATACCAGGGGAACTAGTTAGTGTTGCTGTAGAAAGCCACAAAGGAAACCAAATTAAAATCAGAATGTTGCTTGGTGAGCAATGAGTCAAAACAAGATGAACTTGTTGCATGATTGAAATAGCAGAAGTGCCAACTTATAATAATCTAATACATCTGCTGTCATCACTGGGACTTGGCTGCCATGGGAGCTACGTAGTTGAGCTTGACGTATTAATACTACCAACATTTTGCATAGTAGCCAGTTTGTAAACTGGAAGCCACTCTGCTTCCTAGGGTGGTTTTTTCTTTTGGTTTTATTGCATCTCCTATGAACTGATTTTATCAGATTAACTCATAAAATTTTGGAGGGTCTTGCTGATACTCAGGAGCACAGAACAGTGAAAAAGACACTGACACTGGGGTCAGACCACTGTGTGTTTGAATCCTGGTTCTGCAACTTATTATGTCAATTTTTTAATCTCCTCAAGGCCAAATGTTCACATTTATAAAATGGGAATGATAGTATTTATTAGGATTGAATATCATCAGTATCAGCTCAATAAACAGTAAACAGTGTTGTGTAGTGTTCATGAGTATTGGGTTTGGAATCAAACCTGTCGTTGGCCCAATATCTACCACTATTTTTCTTCTCTAAGCCTCATTTTATTTATCTGTAAAATGTAAATAAAAATTCTACTTATAGATTACTTTCAGGATTAAGTGAAATAAACATCATTTAACAGAGTTTCTGGCAGTTAATGTGGGCTCAATATATGATATCTGTCTATCTGTCATCTGTCTATCCATCTATCTATCTATCTACCTATCTATAATCTATCACTATTTGTATCAGTATTCCTTCCATTGCTTAGAATTAATACTCTATAGAGAATATGTCTGGAACCATGATTAACTAGAAAATAATATTCAAAACTTTTCCTAATTTAAGGGATCATCTTTGGTTTGAAGACTTTTCACTGTTCTTGTCATTCATTCAGATGGTAGCGAGTTTAGCGTTGATGGAATGATTACACTTGAAATTTATGAGTCCTTATGAAGAGATTCAATCACCTTTCTTTGTAGAGCACAGCATCAGAACTGCCTCTGAAAAAGTGGAGCCTCACTGTTTGTAGACTTCAGAATTGTCCCTCTCACTTCAGCAGCACTCATTCTGGATGAGAGAATCTTCCATCTTGTTTCCAGGACTATTTTTTTTCTTTGATTTAGAAAATGATGCTCTTTCACAACAAGATTCTGGCTGTAATTTCCCTAGATCAACCAGAAAACATTTCAAAAGAAAAAAATAGAAATTTTATGAAGGGAAAATGTATTCAGAGAAGAGTAGGTGACAGTGGCTATTCTTTTCATAAAACATGAGATGAGACACTGATGGAAATTAGGATGAGACAGAACTTATACAAGTGACATTACAAAAGTGATATAATTTGAAAATGTGATGAAATAAAAACTACAATGTCTAGTCATACTAGAAGTGAGACTGTTTGCTCTAGGCAACCATGCAAAAATACAAAAATGTTGAAAGAGTGAAACATTTTCTAAGTTTGTCTGTCATGAGACCATAAGGTATGTCATAGTTATCTAGAAGACACTGCAGGAGAGCAGCAGAAAATAGCTGCCAAGTGGCCACTGTGAAGTTTCCCTGGACAATAATTATTTCAGGTGATTTAAGTGATATGAAGCTAGATTCTAACCTAGAATTAAACAGATGTGAGTATCTAAGAATTTTTTCTTGTAGTGATTAAAAACAATTATGCATAAAATTCAAAAGTCATATATATCTATCTGAAAAGTCTTATGTCTTAAAATTCAAAAATCATATATATATATATATCTTAACATACATATCTTAATATATATCTTAAACACAACAAGTCACAAACAAGTCCCAAACAAGTCCTGATTCCTCATTCTCCACCACAATCTTGCTTTTCCCACTATCTTTCAATCTCAGTGGCTCAGGCCAAAATTCTACATTTATCTTTGACTGTTTCTTTTTTTCTCTCATCACAGATTAAGTCTCTTAGGAATCCCATTTATATATCCTTTCAAAGTATATCCAGACTCCAACCACTTCTCACTCCCTCCTCTGCTACCACACTGGAGTAAGCCACCATTAGTTATTACTTGAATCATTGCCAGAGTCTCACAAATATTCTCCTTGCTCCTGTCTTTGCTCTCTACATTTTTTACTACACAGAATAGTGATTCTTTAAAATCTATGTCAGATCATGTCAGTATTCTATGCAAAATGGTGTGATGAGTCCCCATTCTAATCAAGTAAAAAACAAAGTCCTGAAAATTACCTTAAAGGTCTTCTATGGTTAAAATTCCCATTTTTTCTCTGCTTCATATCCTGTTACCTTTTCTCTTGTTCACTCCAATCCAACAACACTGAGGTTTCCTCCTCTAGAATCTACAAATCTGTCTGACTACTCTAAAATGGAGTTCAGGTTGCCACCTAAAGAAAAGCATGGCTGAGCTAGATTTATTAATATAGAATATAAACATACATTATTCTAGAAAATGAAAGCAAAGACATATAAAACTATAAATATTAAGGGTCTTTGTAAAATTATAAATAATGACAGAGCTCTACCTCTAGAGAGTTTAGCTGGAATATTTGAAGAGGGTAATTATAGAATATTTAAAAATGAATACATTAAAACAGAAGAAATATGCTCATAAAAACATTCTGATGTTCTTGTTAATATAAAACATAGCATATGTTTTATTAATAATATTTGGATAAATTATAGATTCATAATATATCAAAAATGTATACATTGTAGAGATATCTAACTCTGTGGTTGTGATACTGTATAAATTATTCATTCTAACTCCTAATTGTCCATTGGAATTATTTTCTGGACGGATAGATGGATGGATGATTATATTAATTCAGCGTTATACTTTTCATGATCATAGGTGTTGCATTTATATAAATACGATGATGAGTAGATATGTATAAGATGTTTTCACTATTTTATATGACATCTTTCTTTTTTAACAAAATGTAAACAGCTTTCTTTTACTAGATTGACTAATTTGTAATTCTCAATGTATATACCAAACAGAATATACCATTATAAGGAAGAGAATAAAAACCACCTTAAATCTCAACACCCTGTGGAAACCACCATGAGTGGTTTGGTGATTCTCCTTTCAAATATATAAACAAACATGCAGACACCCACATACTGACACGTATGAATATTTACACATGCACTATCATACCTCATACACTGCCTTTATCACACCTTTTATTCTTTTACTTAATACATCTTTCCTTCTCTTTTCCAAATTCCCCTTACCTCATCTATGCAATATCAATAACTTTTTGCACATTTTCCCACACTCTTCTCTATGTTTATTTAACAACTGAATCACAAAACACACAGTCATATATAAGACTTATTTGTCATTGTTATGCAAAAATGATCTCATATTACTTCTCTTCTCTGGCTTTAAAAAATTAACACATGCTCACATAAATTCTTTTAAGTGCATTAGTAGAGCCTTAATTCATTCCTTAAAAATTCCAAATGATATTTCAAGTATACTTGTACCATAATAATTCACCAAATCCCTTATCATTCTATACAATTTTTACCAGCAGTTGCTTCTTACTTCTATAAATGATTCCACAACTGATATATTTATACATATGTATTTATCAGCTGGTGCTTTTATTTGTATGAGATGGAGTCACAGGAGCATAAATGGTGGCTTTGGATTTATTAAGCTAGAAGATAGTGTAATGCAGACCACTGCCATAATGACAATGCAAAGGCTCCATATGCTTCCAAAGTATCATTTATCATCATGATGGAAAAAAAAATTGAGGCTAGGCAAGGATTCTGAGAATATATCACCAAGCACCACTTTTAAATAAAATATTAGAAAAGAACTCTTCAAACCAAATGAATCAGAACAGGAATATCAAATAGCAGAAGATTAAGTGAAAAAGAGAACAAGGTAAGCAAAGAATCTTGCAATATGTATAGTTAATTGTAAAAAAAACTTAGACTAAATGTGAATGAGGAAGTTAAGAGATAAAGATTGCCATGGAAGGGAGGTACTGCAAGGAGAAAACTGAAACTAAAAGTCAAAACAGCAGATGCTGGTGAGGCTGTGGAGAAACAGTAATGCTTTTACACTGTTGGTGGGAATGTAAATTAGTTCAGCCATGTGGAAGACAGTGTGGTGATTCCCCAAAGACCTAGAACTAGAAATACCATTTGACCTAGCAATCCAATTACTGGGTACATACCCAAAGAAATACAAATAATTCTATTATAAAGATATATGCATGCATATGTTTGTTGTATTACTATTCATACAACAAATGTATGGGCAAAGAATCAACTCAAATGCCCATCAATGAGAGACTGGATAAAGAAAATGTGGTATATATACACCATAGAATACTATGCAGCCATAAAAAGGAATGGGATCTTGTCCTTTGCAGGGACATGGATGGTACTGGAAGCCATTATCCTCAGCAAACTAATTCAGGAACAGAAAACGAAACACCGCATGTTCTCACCTATAAGTAGGAGCTGAACAATGAGAACACATGAACACAGGGAGGGGAACAACATACACTGGGGCCTGTTGGGGTTGGGAGTGTAGGGGAAGGGAGAGGATCAGGATAAATAGCTAATGCATGTGGGGCTTAATACTTAGGTGATGGGTTGATCTGTACAGCATACCACCATGGCACACGTTTACCTATGTAACAAACCTGCATGTCCTGTACATGTATCCCAGAATGTAAAATAAAATAAAGTAAGATATTAAAAAATACCGAAAAAAGTCAGTCCTAAATTATCTCAGCAACACTTGGGACAGGAGGAGGAGGGGGACTATGTATTCTGAAATTTTCAGGAGGCTGTCCCTTCAGAAAGCAGAGCCTCTTGAAGGGGGAAATACATGAATTTGGGGAAAGGAAAGGTAACTATATACACAAATATCCAAGTTAACAAGGGATAAAACAGCATAAGTAATTACAAAAACAGATGAAGTAATAAAGCAAAATAAATTGCACATGTTAATGGGACAAAACAATAAAATGAAATAAGTAAGTTTCTACATTAAATGTGAGCATGCTCAATGATTCTAAAAAACAGTGATAGCAAGACTAGAGTAAAACTTCACACCTAGCTATTTTCTGTTTTTAAGAAACACTTAAAATTGCACATTGAAAGAGGTTGAAAATGAAGATATGATCAAAGAGAGACAAGACAAGGAAAGCAAAATGAAAGTGGCAGTATAAATAATATAAAGAGTTGAATTTTAGGTTAATAGCAATAAAGAATATTGAGGTGCAGAATTTAATAAAGAGCTCCAAGTTAAGAAAGAAATATTATAATAAAAAATTCTTAGGCACTGAAATAAATAGCAGCTGAATATATTCAAAGCCAATGCTACTAGTAATGCAATAAAAAACCTTTAAAGATTAAAAGATTTTAGTATATTTCTTTTAAGATTAGATAGATATCATGAGCAAAAAATAGATAAAATATAAGGTAACTGAATAATATATTCAATAAATTTCATTATATATTTGTATGCATAGGCAATATCAATAAAGAGATATACAGAGACACTTATGGACTACAAATGATGGACATAATCTATATCTAAATTTTAGATATGATCATAATTAAGAAATAGAAATAAATTATTAAAAGGTGAGCTTTTGAAAACAAAAAAAAACTTACCTAATTTAAAATTAAGAAATACTCTTATAAGTAATATCCAGTTATTGTGGAAATGAAATTAAAGTGGCAAGCAATGTAAGAGTAATGCAAATGAGAATACAGATGTTCCTGCCTATCCGTGTGTTCTGTATGCATGGATTCAGCCAGTCTCATATTGAAAATATTTTTTAATTGCACCTCTACTGAATACGTACAGAATTTTTCTTGTCGTGATTCCCCAAACAATACAGTATAACAACTATTTACATAACTTTCACATTGTATTAAGTATTATAAGTAATCTAGAAGTGATTCAAAGTATATGGGAGGATGTGCATACTATATGCAAATACTATATCATTTTTATATCAGTGATTTGTGAATTCACAGATTTTGGTATCTGAGGAAGGTCCTGAAACCAATCCTCCATGGATACTAAGTGACGACTGTATTAAAATACTCCACTATTATTGTGTTGCCATCTATCTCATTTCTTAGGTGTAGCAGTGATTGTTTTATAAATTTGGGAGCTCCCATGTTAGATGCATGCATATTTAGGACTGTGATATTTTTCTTTTGGATAGTCTTTTATCATTATATAATGTCCCTCTTTCTCTTTTTAAACTTCTGTTGTTTTTAAGTTTGTTTTGTCTAATGTAAGAATAGCTACTCCTGCTTGCTTTTGGTGTCCATTTGCATGGAATATCTTTTTCCACCCCTTTACCTTAAGTTTACGTGAGTCCTTGTGTTAGGTGAGTCTCCTGAAGACAGCAGAAACTTGGTTGGTGAATTCTTATTCATTCTGCCATTCCGTATCTTTTAAGTGGAGCATTTAGGCCATTTACATTCAATGTTAGTATTGAGATGTGAGGTACTATTCTATTCATTGTCCTATTTGTTGTCTGAATATCTTTTTTTAATTGTGTTATTATTATATAGGTCCTATGAGATTTATGCTTTATGGAGGTTCTATTTTGGTGTATCTTGAGGATTTGTTTCAAGACTTAGAGCCCATTTTAGCAGTTCTTGTGGTTCTGGCTTGGTAGTGGCAAATTTTCTCAGCATTTGTTTGTCTGGAAGACTGTATCTTTCCTTCATTTATGAAGCTTAGTTTCACTGGATACAAAATTCTTGGCTGAATTTTGTTTAAGGAGGCTAAAAACAGGACCCCAGTCCCTTCTAGCTTGGTTACTGCTGATAAATCTGCTGCTGTTACTCTGATAGGTTTTTTTTTTTTTAATAGGTTACCTGATGCTTTTGCCTCACAGCTCTTAAGATTCTTTCCTCTGTCTTGACTTTAGATAACCTGATGACTATGTGCCTCGGTGATGATCTTTTTGTGATCAATTTCCCAGGTGTTCCTTGAGCTTCTTATATTTGGGTGTCTAGATCTCTGGCAAGGCCAGGGAGGTTATCCTAGATTATTCCCTCAAATATATTTTCCAAACTTAGATTTCTCTTCTTCCTTGGGAAAACCAATTATTCTTAGGTTTGGACACTTAACATAGTCCCAAACTTCTTAGAGGCTTTGTTCATTTTTTTAAATTCTTTTTTTCTTTGTTTTTCACGGATTGGGTTAATTTGAACATCTTGTCTTTGAGCTCTGAAGTTCTTTCTTCTGCTTGTTTGATTTTATTGCTGAGATTTTCCAGTGCATTTTGCATTTATCTAAGTGTGTCCTTGATTTCCAGAAGTTGTGATTGTCTTTTATTTCTGCTATTTCACTGAAGATTTTTTCTTTCCTATTCTGTATCAAGTTTTTGATTTTTTAAAGTTGGAATTCTCCTTTCTCGGTGCCTCCTTGCTTAGCTTACTAATAGACTTTCTGAATTATTTTTTGGGCAATTAAGAGTTTTGTCTTAGTTTGGATACATTGCTTGTGAGCTGGTGTGATCTTTTGGAGATGTTAAAGAACCTTATTTTGTCATATTACCAGAATTGTTTTTCTGGTTCCTTCTCACTTGGGTAGACTATATCAGAGGGAAGATGTGGGGCTCCAGGGCTGCTTTTCAGATTTGTTTCACAGGGTGTTCCCTTGAAATGGAGTTCTCCCCCTTCCCCTAGGGATGGGGCTTCCTGAGAGCCAAAGTGCAGTGATGATTGTTTTTGCTCTTCTGGGTCTAACCACCCAGCAGATCTACTGGGCTCCAGGCTGCTACTGGGGAATGTCTGCAAAGAGTCTTGTGATGTGATCTATCTTCAGGTGTTTCAGCTGTGGATACCAGCTTCTGTGGAGGAAACAGAAGAGTGAAGCAGACTCTTTGAGGGTCCTTGGTTGTATTTTTGTTTAGTGAGCTGGTTTTGTGTTGGTCGGCCTCCAGCCAGGAGGTGATGCTTTCAAGAGCACATTGGCTGTGGTACTATAGGAAGGAAGCAAACTTGCCTGGTTAAGTATTGAGGTTTCTCAGGTGGTGGACAGGGCCATAGAGCTCCCAAGAGATTGTGTCCTTTGTCTTAGGCAACCTGGGCGGGCAGAGAAAGACCACCAGGTGGGGGCAGGGATAGGCATGTCTGAGCACAGCCTCTCCTTGGGCAGGGCTTACTGCAGCTGATATGGGGCATGGGGGTGTGGTTCTCAGGCCAATGGAGGTATTTTCCCAGGGGGATTACGGCTGCCTCTGCTGAGTCACACAGGTCACCAGGGAAGTAGGGGAAAGCCTGCAGTCACATGCCACACTCCACTCCCATGCAGCCCACAGTCCTAAAGGCTGGTCTCACTCCCACCATGCCCCACCAACAGCACAGAGTCTATTTCTGGTGACCAGGGCTGAGAAGTTGCCTCAGACCACCAGCCTCCCCGCTGAGACTCAGTTTTTCAGCATCTCAGGGAGCCTGCAGCAGTGATCCAGTTCCTTCAGAGGGTCTGTGGATTCTCTCAGCTTTCCTGGTATGTTGCTGTGGTACTTCTTGGAGTAAAAGTTCACAATGCGAGTCGCCACACGCTGCTCTGCCTGTGTGAGTGGGAGCTGCAAGCTAGTCCTGCCTCCTACCTGCCATCTTTATTCAGTATCTCACAAGTAAGAAAATTAAATCAGCAGTCAAACTTTTTAAACAACAACAAAAAAAGCCCCGGACCAGATGGCTTCATTTGTGAATTTTATGAACATTTCAAAAACAATTAACACCAACCCTTTTAAAGCTCCTCCAAAAAATTGAACAACAAAGACTTCCATACTCATTTTATGAAGCCATCATTACCCTGATACTAAAGCCAGACAGAAAGGCTAAATGAAAAAGAAAACTATAGGCTAATATTCCTGATGAACATAGGTATAACAGTCCTCAACAAAAGACTATGAAATTGTATTTACTAGTACATTGAAAGAATCGTACACCATGACCAAGGGGAATTTATTTCTGGGATGAAGGAGGGTTCAGGATAGGCAAGCTAATTAATGTGATATACCACACTTACAAAATGAAGGGTAAAAAGTCACATGACTATCTAAGTAAAGGCAAAAAAGCATTTGAAAAAATTGAGCACACTTTTATGAGAAAAACTCTCAACAAACTAGGTAAAGAAGTAATTTACCTCAATATAATAAGCAATATATAAAAGGTCCTACACCTAACATTATATCTGATGGTGAAAAATTGAAAGCCTTTTCTCAAAGATTATAAACAAGGCAAGGATGCCCAGTCTCATTACTTTTATTCAACATAGTACTGGAAGTCTTAGCTAGAGTGATAAGGTTAACTTTGTGTCCCCACCCAAATCTCATCTTGAATTGTAATTCCCATAATCCCTACATGTGGAGGGAGGGTCCCAGTGGGAGGTGATTGGATCATGAGGGGGGTTTCCCCCATGCTGTTCTCATGATAGTGAGTGAGTTCTCACGAGATCTGATGGTTTTATAAGACAGGTTTCCCTGCTCTTGCTCTCTCTCTCACCTACTGCCATGTAAGACGTGCCTGCTTATCCTTCTGTGATGATGGTAAGTTTCCTGAGACCCCCGGCCATATGGAACTGTGAGTCAATTAAACTACTTTCCTTTACAAGTTACCCAGTCTCAGGCGTTCTGACAGCAATGTGAAAATGGAATAATACATAGAGTAATTAGGAAAGAAAGAGAAATAAAAGGCATCCAAATCAGAAAAGAGGAAATAAAATTCTCTCTGCAGTTGAAATGATCTTATATGGAGAAACCTCTAAGGACCCCACAAAAAATTGTTTAAATGAGTACACAAATTCAGTAAAGTTTCAGGATACAAAATTGACAAACAAAAATAAGTTGTGTTTCTATACACTAACAACAAACTATTCAACAAACAAAATGGGTATTCTTCATTTTCTTAAAACAATCCCATTTACAACAGCAACAAAAATAATGAAACACTTAAAACTTAATCAAGGAAGTGAATTAGTGTTAGATATTACTATTTTTTCTTTAATTTCATTGTTACGTATATAAAAATATGGCTGTATTTTATTATTTATGGACACAGGCAGTTTTTTGTTTATTATTACAGACAATTCTGTAACAATACTAATTCTAAACAGATTTTTGTATAGAGGTACAATCTAGGCTAGATAGTAAGACATGGAATTATTAAGCTAAAGGGTGTGGCCACTGAAAATGTAAGTATATACTATAAAATTGTTATGTTAAAATGTTGTATAAATTTACATTTCCACAAAGCATGTGCTTTAGAACTATTTCTTCATTTGATGTTTACATTTTTGCCAATTGGATTAGTGGGAAAGGTATTTCATTATTGGCTTACTTTACATTTTTGATATGACAGTACAAGTAAACATTTTTACATAGCTCTATTAGTTATTTGTATTTTGCCATCTGGTAATTGGCTAAAAATTAATTCTTTGTTCCTTTTCTTATTTTGATTTTGTCTTTTCCTTTTAATTTTTAATAAAGATTGACAATATTCTGGTTATTGATAATTTACACATATTGAAAATATGTTCTCCCAGTCTTTCATTTCATTAGATTTTAACTTTCTTTATAGCACTTTTTTTGGTTGTTCAGAACTTTTTAACATTTAAATAATCAAGCTGATAATTGCTTTATTATTTATTCTAAAGTAGGTCTTGTTTTAAGAAGGACTTCTCTTCTTAAAGGGAATAATATATGTTATATTATTTCTTATTTTTCTACATTTTCTTTTAGTTCTTTTTATTTAGTTTAATCATTATCCCTTTAATACAGCCGAAAATTGTTTTGTACATTTCTATTCATGCATTTTTTTAATAGAAAAGAAAACATGTTCACATATATGAACACAGTAAATTAGAAACATTTTCAATGGGAAAAATCCTGAGAATCCTAAAGTGTTCAAGATAACAGATTATTTAAAGGATTTTATATGACTTTTAAAAAGCATCTCTTTTGAATGTTAATTTGAATATTTGAATAATTGAGAAAAAACTGATTGAGTTTAAGATTTCAGGGAATATAGCGAATCTAAATAATCAGTTTTTGATTTTGCTGTTATTAACACTACTAACCAACAGAACCAAAATTAGAAAATTACAAAAGCAAAAATAGTGTAGTACCCCATTCTAGTGATTAACGTCAATAGTGATGTCATATTGATAGTATGTTCCTTCATAGGATATAATGAAAATGATACAAACCTCTGTGGTCTTTCTTTCCAAAACGGTATGTTTGTCTAATTGTGAAAAAACACTCAAAACCAAAATAAATAAATAAATACAATCCAGGCAAAGAAGCAGGCAAAGCCCACATGAGAGACATTCTACAAAATATCTGACTAGTACCTATCTCTTCAAAACTAAGGAAGTCTGAGAAGCTTTCACAGACAAGAAGAACCTAAGGACACATGATGACTAAATGTAATGCAGTGCCCTAGATGAGATCCTGGAAGAGAAAAGGGACACGAAATTAAAAACTACAGAACTCTGAATAAAGCATGTACTTCATTAATAATGAAGTGCCAATATTGCTTCACTAATGTAATGTAATGCAGAGGAAACTTGGTACACTATTTATGTGTTAACTTCAACAGTTTTCTGTAAATCTAAAAAGAAAAACATGGCTTAGCTTATGGAATTAGCTTATGTTAAGATAATTTTACAGAAGAAACTATGACTTTTCTTTAATATCGTTAAGATTACATGACCAGTTTTCTATGGTGATGTTGGCTGTGTGGTTCAGTGGATAAACATATAGCAGCAGACATTAATTGTGTTTCGTTATAAAAGCTTGGTAAATATAAGCACTGCTTTCAGGAGAAGCAAGGAAGAGAAATAATTGTATTGCTTTCTTGAACAAAATAAGTAAATGTTCCTATTTCTAAATCAGATTAGGGTTTCTGTTTTGTCTTCTTTTTTTCAATTTTCTGCCTCTAATTAAATAAAAAGTACAAAAAGAAAGCAGAAGAATTTTTAAGAGATATTACTGGGGCAGAGAGACCTTTTTTAAAAAGACGCAATCTTAGAAGCTGTCTTTTTTTGCATCTGGTATACTGTCAAGTTGATGATATGAATTCCTCAAGGAATATAATAGATTTTCATATAGTTTATGCAGGTATGAGATAAATGATTTTTAGTGATACAACATTGAAAAAGTGAATATCAGATACTCTACATAGTTGTTCTCTGACATATATTTAAAACTCAGTGCTCCCAAGGTAGTTTAACAAGCTGTGTGCTGTCCAGAAAGATGTGAACAATGTGAGCATTTTTTTCAGAGAAACTGTAATCCAGTTATTAATTGGATAGCTGAATGAGGATGAGAGGATTATAGCTTTCATCTTGTGGCTTATCAAAACCAGTATCTGCATCTTGCCCGCTTTTTAAATTTTAATTAGAATTGACAGCAGAAGTCAAATCCTTTAGGCAATATGAAAATAGTATATCATACATTCAAGTTAATGCATTTTAAAATTTATTATTGAGGTAGTCTTTATCCCAGTGATAGACAGGGGCTTGGAGATCATCTACAACACTACTGAGAACTCTTTAACACCACGTTAGGCATACCCATCTACCACAATGAAAACATTGAAGTGATATTCGCATTTTGCTTTTATCTCCTGGAATTTCATAACATATGAGGAGCATGTGGTCATATGAGATCAAGGAAGATAAATGCTAATCTGCATTTTTCTTAAATGGGCAAAATAAGTCACTTTTCTTTTCTTTTCTTTTTTTTTTTTTTTTTTTTTTTGAGACGGAGTCTCACTCTGTTTCCCAGGCTGGAGTGCAGTGGCACAATCTTGCCTCACTGCAACCTCCGACCCCCCTGGTTCAAGTGATTCTCCTGCCTCAGCCTCCCAAGTAGCTGGAATTACAGGTGCCCACCACCATGCCCGGCTAATTTTTGTATTTTTAGTAGAAACGGGGTTTCACCACGTTGGCCAGGCTGGTCTCGAACTCCTGGCCTCAAGTGATCCACTTGCCTCAGCCTCCCAAAGTGCTGGGATTGCAGGCGTGAGCCACCGAGCCTGACCAAGTCACTTTTCTAATGTATTCTACATCTAAATATGTTCTACAGTCTCTTGTTGCTGTCTTTGCAGAGTTCAAGTTTATATTTCCACTGAAGCTAATGACTAATACAATGCTTTAGAATTTGTGGGGTTCTGATCTTTTCTTGTTTAGAACTATTTTCAAATAAACACATTTCTTTTTATTTCTTTTTTAAATGTGCAAAATCACAACTGATGTTTGCCTCTGTATCTTCTATTGAAGTTCAGTATTCTCTATTTGGTATTTTTCATGACTTAGAAAATGTAATTATTTCCATGTCACAAAAATAAAACTATTTATAATTATGATAACCTTTACAAGTGATTTTTCCCAAAGGATAATTGACTTTAATATTTAAAATATAAGTTTGGCATATACCTCTAATTGTGTGTGGAGACAAACTCATTTCTTCTTCTATTTACAGGTACATAAATGCATATGATACTCTGATCTCATTATAGGATTAATAACCTTCTTTCATTTAGAGTATTTTTATTGTCTCCATATCTAGCATCTAAACTAAAATTTTATGGTTTTCTATAGAAGCAGCTCAATTCTTGTTTATACAGTGTAAAACTTAGCAGCTATCAGTGCGTTTATCATCCATGAAGCTCATTTCACATCTCATCTATTATATGAATAAAATGTGAAGATAATTATGTTTTTCTAAAATGACATTGTTAGGACTGATCCCCCCAGTCAAATTAAATTCCACTATTTCAAGTAAGTTTACAGATTATTTTTATCTTACTATTGATTCTTGAACAGAAATACCAATAAATTAGTGAAGAAAGACCATATATCTAACGGTAGCTCCCAAAACACAGACCGTGACCTCCAAGCTACAAGTGAAAATATCAGTAATGGGAACTAAAAGGAAATGGAATGAAACTCCTTTAGCCTTTTCTGTTTGGTAAGGAAGGGTCCACATTCTGTGAGGCCTGAAACTGATATAATTTGAGGTAGAGGTTTTCTAAGAAAAAAATATATAACTACAAACTCATAATGAGGTTCCAAAGTAAGTATTTAGAATCAACAATTACTAGAGCTTTGGAGATAGAGATTAATTTCATCCAAGATATTTCAAGGTTATTTATCAGAGTTGCTTCCAATGTTGTTTACCCTATTTACCTAGAACCTTCCACAATTTCCAGAAACTCCCTGCGCTCTCAGCAGTTAGATAGGAGGGCTCCATAGTTTAAGCATCATTAGCTTCAGGGTAAATCTGCACTTGCCTGTTCTGATGATGATTATCTGTGTCTCTGCCTGCTGTGTTTCTAAACCTGCTTCCTCTGCTGTTCTGGGCTACCACCCAAAATGGGGGCCCGCTTGATTAGCTTTATTTTTTTTGACTGTCTCTATCTTTTCCATTAAAAAAAAAGGCTTTTTGCAATAATATGACATACTTAAACCTGTTTGTTTATGGCAGGTGAGAATATCTGTTTAAATATAATTCTTAAGAAATTTTTCTCCTCTTGTGAGTACAGATAAATATGAGGATGTACTCTTTATACTTTGGGAAAAGAGTATTTGCAGTTGACAACCTGATCTACCTGAATGGTCAGAGGTAAAACTGTTACCCTAAGGATAAACAGAGTTCAGGCACTCAAACTGGGTCTAAGTTTTCTAAAGAGGCCATTTTTTTAATGAAGCATCATAAGCAAAAATGATTTCATCAATGTTTCTGTGAGATCCAATGCCCATAGACCCAGAGCATTGTGACCAGCCTTCAACGTGGGGGACGGGAATTCCAAGGATGATCTCATTATACTGCATTTCACTGATTTCAAACTGGTCACACATGTGCAGGTAGCTGAGCCAATTTACATTTAAAAGATTTTCACTACAGCTCTTCGGTACTAGCTAGTGCATGAGCACAATCGTGTAAACACAATTTATGTTTTCCTAATCTTTTCCAGAATTATTATTCAAATGCTGACTAACCTATTGTTATTAAGGCTTCAGCCAACTATGAAGAGTTAGTTGATAATAATCTAATATATAAATCTTTCTCCATTTTTCCATAGACTCTTGAGTCAAAGATTTTAGACTCTAAAGGTATAAACTGCTAATGATATAATGAAACATAGATAAAACTATATACAAATGTCCCAAATAAAAGTAAATGGCAATTTGTAGGCAGGAGCACAGGGGGTGAGGTCAATCCATTCTTTGGAGTTGTATAGATAATACAACAGTTGAACATTATATTACAATCACAAATGGGTTAAATTTGGCTTTTGTAATGCAAGGTTTTGAGAGATCTAAGAATTGGAGCATTTTTTAAAATATGGGAAAGAAAATATATAAACACCAAATCAAGGCATTTTGCATTGTACTACTCATCTTTTGAATTAAAAGACTCAAAAATAGTATAATTTTGCCTGCTACTGTTTTCCTACATAAATTCAATTATAAAATGAAACATTTTCAACTCATTAATCTTTCTAGCAATAAACTATTCTATAGATAAAATCTAAAGTTGATATTAAGAACTGTTGGGGATATGGGGAATAAAAGAGAAGGACTATTACATTTGTTGAAACAAGTTTGTTCTGGGCATTGTGCTAAGAATTGTAAGTTATTCCATTTGATCTAATGAGTAATAGAAACAAGCAAATCAAAGTGGAAATGAGAATTTCAAGTTGGTGTAATTAGTGTTATGAAAGATGTTTCACAGACTAATGTGGGAACATATTTTTTTTTGAAATTGCAGTCCATAAAAGCTTCTTGTGCCCAGGCATGGTGGCTCATGCCTGAAATCCCAAGACTTTGGAAGGCCAAGGCAAGATAATCACTTGAGCACAGGAGTTCAAGACCAGCCTGGGTAACATAGTGAGACCCTGTTCCTTAAAAAAAAAAAAAAAAAAATAGCTGACTGTGGTGGCACATGCTTGTAGTCACAGCTACTTGGGTGACTGAGGTGGGAGGATCACTTGATCCAGGGAAGTCAAGCTTGCAGTGAGCCATAATCATGCCACTGCACTACACCCAAGGTAACAGAGCAGAGTGTGACTCTCTGACTTTAAAAAAAAAAGAAAAGCTTCTTGAGGAAGTGACAGGCTGATATGTAACCCATCTCTTGAAGGGTAGATACAAGGTGAACAGGTGAAGAAGAAGAAGGAAAATGTTTCCCAGGCAGATGGAAGAGTATATGAAAAGTTCAAAATTTGAACGAAAGTATATTTTCAGTAGATATTTAGGATAGTTGAATCACAAGGAGTGAAGGTGATAGAGAGGAGGATAGAAAGGTAAGTGTGAGATGAGGCTAAAATTTTATTTTATAATCAGAACAATGGGAAGCCATTGATCAGTTTTGAGAAATTAATATGATCAGAGTTCCAGTTTAAGAAGTACCTTAAGGTTACAGAGAAGGAAAGACTAAAAGCACTGCTAGAATGTCTGTATATTACATTACAATATTTTAGAGTAATCAATGTAATATTATATATATACCAGTTAGTTTAGGCTTCAGATCTGGGCCTGGGTATCTAACATACATCATGATTGCACAGCCAAAGAAGGTGGTCAACTAGCCTCAAATCAAACACAGCCACATCCCAGGGGCTACCACTGAAAGCCTTTCTCTAGTCCTATCTCCAACAACAACCAATTCTTTGATAAATAGCATACTGAATGTTAAAAATAGTGTTTATTGATATAACTAGACACCTGTCAATTAGCAAGATGAATGCTAGAAAAAGAATATCATTTATTAAGTTAAATATTTTAAAGACACGTAGAGTGACTAAAATTTATACACCTTCAAACTTTACCTGACAGGATGTAAGAATTAAGGATGGTGTCTGAGGTTTGAACCTTGATTGTTTCTCCACTCAGGCATTAGTTTAGAGGATTTCTGATTGTGTGGTGCCAACTAAAGGCAATAATTGAGTTTATGGTTTTGCTAAAGACTATCTGTCTAATAAATGTCTATATATTTGTCAGAATTTGGCCTGATACTTGCTTTTATTAAAAGTTAATAGCGGGGTAATAGGAGAATAGTTAATCCTTGATACCTGAAATTTCTTTGACAGCTATTACTATCTACCAGAAAGAACCTAAGCATTATGCAGAAACAATTTGGCAATGTGGGACTTTTTTTGTCAATTGCATGTCCACATCAGACAATATCATCTCTTCTTTTACAGGAAGGATGGTGATAGCATGGAAAAGCAAGTTGTAAATGGTGGCTAAATTGATTTAAAAATGTAAGAGGTAGACTCAATAGAATATATTAATTATTAATAAGATGAAGAGATTATAGATTGAGGAAGAGGAAAGAAAGAAAATTACTGTCTTATTTTCTGATACTAGCAACTGTGTTGGAAAAGTTTACATTTACTAAGACAGAAAACAAAAGTAGGAAAGCAGGTGTAGGGAAACATGGTGAGTTCAGTTTTGTAAATATTGAATTTAAAGTGCCTGAAATATTCAAGCGGAGTTAGTAGAAGTCAGTTAGATATGCAAGTCTGAAACCATACAGGATCTGTGAATTTGTGAATCACAAATCTGTGATTCGTAAATGTGCAATGGGACCCAACCTTCCTAGTAAAAGGAATCAAAGTAACAGGTAACTTAAATAATGGTAATCACCTAGCCAATGAACTTGTTCTATTTTTCAGTCCCAGATTTCTCCCAGGTAGCAATGTTGACTGGAAGAATTAAAGACATAAGCTGATAGGCAACTATATGCTTATAAGCACTAGTTAAAAACAAATGTTGTTAGAAACAATACATATGCAGTTTCCAGGAGCTCCGAAGTATTCTGGGCTAACTTAATTCATTTTTATATAGCTTAACTTGACTCCTCCTGAGACTTTCTCCCAAAGTGAACCTAATTAGACCTTGAGTTTCTTTGCTTTTCATATATATCACATTGATGTGGTGCATTTTTTTTTTTGTCCATTACATATTATTAGCCTAAACAATAGTCTCCATTTCAAAGGGAATCCAGGGTGAGGTGAATGTACAGGTAAGTCTCACTTGCACACTTTCACTTCTTACCTCATCTCTTTCCTGTGGTAAAAATACATATTCTATAAATTCCCCATTTCTATTATGTTTATTTATCTATAAAAGCCCCTCTCCCTTTACTAAAGTACAATTGACTAATAAAAATTGTATATATTTTCGGCATACAACATGGCATTTTTGTATAGGTATATACTGTGAGATAATTGAATCAGTCTAATTAACATATCCATCACTTCACATACAGTTTTAGTCCATTCAGGCTGCTATAACAAAATACCTTAAATTGGGTAATTGATAAGCAACAGAGATTTATTGCTTATAGCTCTGGAGGCTGGAAAGTCTAAGATCAAGGCTCTGGCAGATTTCATGTTTAGTGAGGGCTCAATCTCTGCTTCACAAATGGTGCATTTTTGCTGTGTCCTCACATGACAGAAGGAACAAACAAGCTGCCTTGGGCCTTTCTCATAAGGGCACCAATCCCTTTCATGAGGGCTCTGCCTCCTGACTGAATCACCTCCCAAAAGGCCCTACTTCTTCATGCTATCAAATTGGAATCTGGGTTTCAACATATGAACTCTGGGGGAACACATACATTTGGATCACAGCACATACTTATCATTTTCTATGGTGAGAATTTTTAATTATATTCTTTTAATATTTTTCAAGTATATAATAAATTATTATTGACTATAACCATCATGCTGTACAATAGATCTCCAGAAATTACTCCTCCTATTTAACTGAAACTTGGTATCCTTTGACCAACAGCTCCCTGCCATCCAGCCCCTGACAACTACCATTCTATTTTCTGCTTCTATGAGTGTGAACTTGTTAAGATTCCACGTATAACTGGGATCATGCGGTATTTGTCTTTCTGTGCTTAACTTATTGCATTTAGCATTATGCCCTCTAGTTTCATCCATGTTGTCACACATGATATAATTTCCTTCTCTATAAAGGATACATGGATAGTATTCCATTATGTATATGTGATATTTTCTTTATCCATTTATCCACTGATGAATACTTAGGTTGATTCTATACTTTGGCGATTGTGGGTAATGCTGCAATTATCATTGAAATACAAATATCTCTTCAACCTATCAATTTTATTTCCTTTGAATATGAAAATCCTGATGACATATTTATTTCTTAGAATACACTGACTTTAAATGTTGTATTTCTACTCACTATTTCTAATACATTTTTATAAGTGTGTATTATATGCTATACCTTCAGATTAGTATTCCTTTCTCAACATAGTTGTTCAGTCAGAATGAAGAGTCAGAAGAGAAAATGTCCGTGAAAAAGACTTAAAAAAACAAGCAAACAAACAATATGGTTTGACTGTGTCCCCACCCAAATCTCAACTTGAATTGTATCTCCCAGAATTTCCATGTATTGTGGGAGGGTCCCAGGGCGAGCTAACTGAATCATGGGGGCTGGTCTTTCCTGTGATAGTCTTGTGATAGTGAATAAGTTCAAGAGATCTGACGGGTTTATCAGGAGTTTCTGCCTCTGGTTCTTCTATAGTTTCTCTTGCCACTGCCAGGTAAGAAGTGCCTTTTACCTCCCGCCATGATTCTGAGGCCTCCCCAGCCATGTGGAACTGTGAGTCCAATTAAACATCTTTTTATTCCCAGCATAGGGTATGTCTTTATCAGCAGCGTGAAAACAGACTAATACAAACTGAACCAAAAAAGCCAGATTTAGAACAGAAGCCCCCAAAAGGGCAAATCTTATAAGAGTTAGAGATGAGGCCGGGCGCGGTGGCTCAAGCCTGTAAATCCCAGCACTTTGGGAGGCCAAGGCGGGCAGATCACGAGGTCAGGAGATGGAGACCATCCTGGCTAACACGGTGAAACCCCGTCTCTACTAAAAATACAAAACATTTGCTGGGCGTGGTGGTGGTCGCCTATAGTCCCAGCTACTCGGGAGGCTGAGGCAGGAGAATGGCGTGAACCTGGGAGGTGGAGCTTGCAGTGAGCCGAGATCACGCCACTGCACTCCTGCCTGGGCTACAGAGCCAGACTCCGTCTCAAAAAAAAAAAAAGAGTTAGAGATGCAGTGACTGAATAAAAGAAAATCCAGGAGAGTGTGCATTAAAAAAGAACAGGTGTTTCAGGATAAAAGGTGTGATCAACAATGCCAATTGCTCCCAAAGGTGGTAAATATCCACTGTGTTTAGCTATAGTGAGGTTAGTGCTGATATTTTTATAACAATATCAGGAAAGCAGTATGGAAATAAGTCAGAAAGCAATTATCTGGGGGGCTGGTAAATGTTGAAAATCTGGAAAACATGAGTGAATGTTTAAAAACAATTATTTTGGAATGTATAGCTTGGTAGGGAGAAAAGGGTTAGGGTGGTTTTTAAAAGACTCCATAATACTGACAGTGATTACTTTTTGATATAGAAGGAACATGCTTAAATTTCAGTTTAGTAATTCAAATGAGATAAAATATGCAGAGAGAAAGAGGATGAAGGTTAATAATTATAGGTAATAATCAATTGATCAAATTACCTGAGAAAGAGAAATTCATGGGTCCCAGAGAACAAAGCTGAGAGATCAGGTATGGAGAGGAGAGAGGCTTTCCCCACTGTCTCAAGACAAAAGGAGGAAAAGGCATATATATAGTGTGTGTGTGTATGTGTGTGTGTGTGTGTATGTGTGTGTGTGTGTGTGTATGTGTATGTGTGTGTATAGATAGACAGATGGCAAAAGTTTTTGAATGCTTATTATGTGCAACCACATTTCCAAATCTTCACATGTACTAGATCAGTGGTTCTGAAACTGTGTTCTTTGTTGCTGTGCTACAGTGTCAGCATCACCTAGGAAATTGTTAGAAAGGCCATTCGGCAAAATTCTAAGAATGAGGCTGTCTGCTATAACAAGATTGCTGGGTGACTGTGATACTCGTGCAAGTCTAAGACCACTGCTCTAGTACATTTAACCATGCAATGCATTAGATATTAGGATTGTGTACATTTCACAGACAAAAAAGCTGAGGCACAGAAATTTTATGTAGTTTTCCAAAAATAACCAGCTGTCTGGATTTAAAGCCTATACTCTTAAGTTCTATCTTATGTTGCATCTAAGAGTTTGTAAAATTGGTGATAGGAGACTAAGAAATTTTCTGTTCAACGATTTCAATGTTTAGTTGTTGATTTCCCTGCAACTCAAGAAACAGCATTACTTACTGAGATTGAGAGTGGTAAATGATGGGATTAGTATAAATGCTGAAGGCTTGACATAGTTTCTGTAGAAAATTAGATACATACTTGAGTGGAGCAAAAGGAAGAATTGTTGATTACCATTAAAGGTCAATTGATATTAAATACCCATGAATCTATAAAGGCAACAATCTGCAAGGTTGTTAGTTTTCTCCAGTATTATTTAGGAATGAAGAAGTGAAACAGATTAATCTATCCAGAATTCCCTCAGCAAGAGTCATACAAAGATAGAGAGGCAAGAAAGTAAAAAACAACAACAACAACAAAAAAACAGAAACAAAAACAAAAAGAAGTACAAGAATGGTTATAATGACAGAGAATGCCATCTAAATTGGATGAGAAAGGAAGTAAAAACACTCATTTTTCCAGGTGATGTCACCCACATCTGTGATTTCCATTATAGATAACCCCAAAGTCTAGCTCTCCAGTTCAGACTGTGTCTTTGAACTGGAGACCTATATACTCAACTGCTTATTCAAAATCACCACTCAGATATCTCAAGAATGCCTCAAACTCAAACGCAGTACAGCATATCTTTTTACCCACTAAACTTGGTCTTCTTCCAGAGTCTCCCACTTCACTGAGTGTCACCACTATCCATGCAGTTGTTTAGGACAGATGAGTTGTATGTTGCACCCTCTTGTCTTCATGTACAATGCATGGCCAAGTTTAGCTAATGTTTATCCCCTAAATCCTTGTCAAATTTGTTCTTCTGATCTCCTTTTGCACTACTGTCCCTTGATCTCTTGTGTGAAGTGTAGACCAGTCTCCAGAAACTCATCCGCACCCTGATCTCAGTTTCACACTCTAACCAAAGTAACTTTTTAGCTCAACAATGTATGTTTCAACTAGTCTTTTCTTGGACTTTTTGGATAAGGGTAAGAGTCTTTCATATGGCTAGGTTAATTTGGTATTTTTCAAACTGACTTTGACATGGTTAAACTTTCTTACAACACACACTCGCAAAACTATTGTCAAGTATCTTGTAGAACTTAACATTGTTGAGCTTTTATGGTTATGTATTATTATTTGTTAAATATCTATACCCATTTCCAGCTAGGATTTATTTATTTACTCACTAATTTTTTTTTCTTCAAGGTTTTGGAGACCTAGCACTGAACAATATAGGCTAGGCCACTTGCTCTCATGGAACTTACATTCTTGCTCACGGATATGGACAATAATTATATAAACAACTGAAGGAATATTATAGATTCTGATGGTAATTTCCTTAGTAAAATCAATTAGGTAAGGTAGGATGACAGATTGAG
The DNA here is from genome assembly GCF_000001405.40 of Homo sapiens. NCBI lineage: Eukaryota > Metazoa > Chordata > Mammalia > Primates > Hominidae > Homo > Homo sapiens. Next base: position 144,452,479 of record NC_000003.12, read on the forward strand.
AATGTACTACCTTTGATATTATGACCAATGGTATACCTTTGAGGAGATGAAATTTGAGCTGAGAACTGAATGACGAGGACAGACCAGGCATACTAATATCTGTGAGGTCAAGGTCTAGATAGAGAGGCAAGAAAGTTAAAGAAATTGGTACAAGACTGGTTGTAATAATGGAGAATCAGCTTGTTCACATGACCATGCTAATACCTGGCATATAGTACCCACTGGTGATAAAATTATATTTCAGAATAAATGAAAAATAGATGTATGGATGAATGTATGATTTTTCCAGATGGCAGAACTAAAGCTTCTAAAAATCAAGAGTGAAAGCTATTTTATGGTTATAAATTTGAAAGCGTTGCAGTAAGAAGAAGTAAGTACATATTCAGAAAATGTGTGGATAAGAATATTTTTCATCTTTCCAAAGAAGTTTACCGAATTATCTCTCTTAAAAAATATTCAACAAAAGAAATATAATCTGCTTTTCTTTTTAATGCCCATAAAATAGTAATTTGATAAGGCAAGCTTTTCATTTTGTGAAGTAATTTGTTCATTATATATTTGGCTTAAAGATAGAATTACATAATAAAATGAGAGCTAGATCAGAAATTAACATTTTATAACTCATTCGCTGACAAGATTGTACTTTTATATAAAACAATATAGTCTTTAGTGGAGAGAAATCATAATAAGAACAGATGGTACCACTTTTAGATGAACCCTAAAGCCCTTTTTAGACTCCTAAAATAATATTTCAAAAATAACTCAAACAAATTTCTCGCCCTGTAAGTCTCTATTATTTGTGTATCCTACAGAGGGAAAATATCATGAACACACTAATTATAAAATCACAAACTAATTACACATTTCCTGTTGTTTATTTCTTGTCTAAATATACTTAGGTTCACCCAAACTGTTCCTTTTCAGAGAAAAACAGGAAAATTCTGGGCAGGACCTCTAGGGTCTTTTGCTTTTGTTTTTGACCTTTTCTGGTTGTTGTTTGTTAGTTTTGTTTTCTTTCCTTAAATCAGTAAGGAGAAAAAAAATGGATCTTCCAGGGATCAATGTGTTTAGGCCTGAGAAAGCTCACTGGTTGCTTTACATTAATCATATCTTCAAATCTGAGACTAATAGTCAACCTTTTCATTCATTGTTAGTTCTTTCTCTAGGAGTGCGGACACATTAGCTTGGCAAGAGCTGTACTCTGATTACGATATATAATAATAAATAATGATTATACATAGGCTAATTATATCTGTAAATTTGTTTGTCATGGAAATATTTTGGGGATTCTATTTTTTTTTTTTTTGAGATTGTATCTGACTGTTTTAATGGAGAAGTGGAGGACTATGCCTATATTTTTTCTCACTTAACTTACTCTAATTCCCAGTGGTCTTTCTTCTACCTTCTGATGTAATGAGAGCTACACCTGAGACTCAGTGGGAACGACAAAGAAGCTGTAAGGAAGGAAACGACACTAAAAAGACAAAACGCTTTGTTATTTATTTAAGAAATCATTTCATTGTTTTCCACTTCCAACCTCAAGGTTAGATGGAGTTAGAGAAAAATTTCTTTTGTTTCTTGTCTTTATTTTGGAAGATCTACTTTCTTTTTCTTTCTTTTTTTTTTTTTTTTTTTTTTTTGAAGAAGAGACTAAGTATTTTTCAAGAGCGTATAGATAGACGGGAACAAAGCAACAGCATTGGGATAGAGAGTCAAAGCAGGCAGAGGCATATGGATGTGATCATGGTAGTAAGGTGGTTTAGGAGTCACTTGGATCTGATGGATAGAATAACAGAAGTAAGCTTTTGTGGAGTGAAACCTATATTCCACTTAATATCACACTTGTTGCAAGGCTCCTATGACATTAGTCCTAATATTATTCTCTTTGATTAGATGAGGAATTCTGATCATAGAGAACTTAAGTAACTTGTTTAAATCTAGTAAAGAGTATAATTACTTTAATCCTATAATTTTGTCATTATATTACCTCTTAATATGAAACGAAATAAAATATGAAGTAGATTGTAAAAAGGCACAAACCTTTTCTTTTTTTTTCGAGACAGATTCTCGCTCTGTCACCCAGGCTGGAGTGCAGTGGTGCGATCTCGGCTCACTGCAAGCTCCGCCTCCAGGGTTCACGCCATTCTCCTGCCTCAGCCTCCCGAGTAGCTGGGACTACAGGTGCCCGCCACCACGCCCAGCGATCTTTTTGTATTTTTGGTAGAGATGGGGTTTCACCCTGTTAGCTAGGATGGTCTCTATCTCCTGACCTCGTGATCCGCCCGCCTCAGCCTCCCAAAGTGCTGGGATTACAGGTGTGAGCCACAGGGCCAGGCCTTTTTTTTTTTTTTTTTTTTTTTTAAAACACATGCTACCCCTTGGTTACTCTAATATCTGGTTTAGATTCACTCATTGAATCAGATAGTTCCTTAATTATTTGGCTATTTAATAATAAATGCCAATATCTCCATATTCTATTTGCTATGTCCCTAAGACATTGGGAATATAGCAGTGTTTAGCAGAAGAATTTGTGCATACCTGAAGCCCATATTCAAATTCATGCATATAAGATCTATTTAATTATTTTATTTAAAGTTCTAAAGAGTTAGTACTTGGTACTATTTGTAGGCATAGATAAAACTTTATCTATAAGCATAGAAAACATTCACAGTGTCTGGGCACGGTGGCTCACGCCTGTAATCCCAGCACTTCGGGAGGCTGAGGCAGGTGGATCACTAGGTCAGGAGATTGAGACCAGCTTGGCCAACATAGTGAAACCCCGTCTCTACTAAAAATACAAAAATAAGCTGGGCATGGTGGGCCAAGCCTGTAATCCCAGCTTCTCTGGAGGCTGAGGCATGAGAGTCGCTCAAACCCAGGAGGACGAGATGAGATTGTGCCACTGCACTCCAGCCTGGGCTACAGAGCAAGACTTGGTCTCAAAAAAAAAAAAAAAAAAAAAAAAGGGAAAGAAAACATTCACAGTAGACACAAATTGAGGTAGTTGCCAGGCTCACAGTGATTGTTTTTCCTGTGGCCATATTTATGCCACCCACTCTCTTCCCACCCCCAAACCTTTCTGCTTAGGGGGAATCTGTTCATTTCTTTCTACTCTCTGCTGTGGTAGGTATTCTTAAAGAGATTTCGACAACTTGCTTCTCTGGCCACAGCAGACAGAATTAACTCATAGTAACTCAATTTCCTGATGATACTAATTCATCCATGGAGTGAGCATTTTGACTCAAGATTGCTAATCAAAGGATTTTGTCTGGATTTTTAAAACTGTAACTAGCAAAGAGAAGTCCTTTTTTCTCTGTTCTCTCAAAAACCAGGATGAGAGAATAGGGGCTGCTGCTGATTCTGGTTCCAGCAGGCATAATCAGCCTGAAAGAAAAAATTTGTCACACAGAGAAAAGCAGAGATGTGATGAGCTGAAGTCGATAGGAAGTCCTAATAGCATTTGAGTCCCAGATTCTAACTCTACCTCTACAGCCTTACGGAGATTCAAACTAATACAGTTACTTACTTCATCCTCATTCCTTCCTTTAAGTAACTAACCCTAGATAGATTTCTGTATAAGCTGTGGGTTTAGTTGCAGATAATAGATACCAACTCTGGCTATTATAAGAAGGCAGTTTGAAAGTATATTAACCTTACTGAATTTTCAGGCTGGCCAGAGAGCCCTGCTTAGAAACTGCTTATCCAGTATCAGTACTCAAAGTCACACAACATAACTGGTCTGTTGACGACAACTGGGCCACCACTCTTGAGTACAAACATTGTGAGCTTGTAGTTGATAGTATCTGAACTCAAACACCGCTGTCTCTGGAAATTAGATGTCACTGTCACCTTTCTTCCCAAAATAGATTCTTCACAGTGTATGCTGTTTTGGCACCATTAACTTTGAATTCGGTGTTTGGCAGAAGTGCTTCTGATGATGGAAGTTATGTGCCTTTATCCTTACTATAAAGGAGGCTGGGAAAACAGATGGACTTTTATGGTTAGATTTAAGAAAATCCCTAAATAGCAGAAAAAAAAAGTTTAAAGATGTTTAATCACTGAAAAGAATGACAGATATCTACTATAACTTATCTTACTTACATCTAAATACGTCCTCAGTCATATAGCTCATGGTTTGAAGTGTGCCTCTCAAAAAGATGTGTTGAAGTCTTAACCTCTGAAATCTGTGAATGTAACTTTATTTAGAAATAGGGTTGATATTGTTTGGCTGTATTCCCATCCAAATCTCATCTTGAATTGTAGCTCCCATAATTCCCACGTGTTTTGGGAGGGACCCAGTGAGAGACAATTGAATCATGGGGGCGGTTTCCCCTATACTGTTCTCGTGGTAGTGAATAAGTCTTCTAAGATCTGATGATTTCAAAGGGGTTTTCCCCTTTGCTTGACTCTCATTCTCTCTTGTCTGCTGCCATGTAAGACATACTTTTCACCTTCCACCATGACTGTAAATCCTCCCTAGCCATGTGGAACTGTGAGACCATTAAACCTCTGTCTCTTTATAAATTACCCAGGCTCAGGTATGTCTTCATCAGCGTGATAACAGACTAATAAAGGGTCTCTGCAAATATAATTGAGTTAAATGATGTCTTATTGGGTTAGGATGGGCCCTAAATTCAATATGATAAGTGTACTTACAAGAAGAGAAAAACTTGGACATAGAGACATGAACACAGGGGAAAAGCCTTTTTGAAGATGGAGGCAGAGATTGGAGTGATGCATCTCCAGGCTAAGGGACACCAAGGATTGCTGGTAACACCAGAAGCTATAAGAGGCAGGAAATGATCCTCCCCTAGAGCATTCAGAGACAGTGTGGCCCTGCTGACACCCTGATTTCAGATTTCTAGCCTCCCTAAATGTGAGATAATAAAATTCTGTTGTTATAAGTCACAAAGTTTGTGGGTATGCTTTTTTGGCAGCCCTGGAAAACTCATGCACAGCTTCCTTCAGGAAGTGACATCTAAGCCAACCTCTGGAGAAGGAGTATATTGGAAGTGGATTCTGAGACAGTTTAGTGGGCAGAAAGTTTATTAGAGAGAACCATCAGGATCTACATTTGCGAAAGGAAGGGGAAGAAACAGTATTCAGCAGAGGGAGAAGTCAAACTGTGATGCCAGCCTCAGGGGACCCCATGGGGAGCTCTGTAGCTACAATGGTCCATTCAAGTTGTTCAAAGATGCTCCACTCAGTAAGTCACTGGATGTGGGTCTCTCCAAAAAGGGCATGCTCTTGGGCAAGGTGGTTGGATCCCTGAAGCTGAGGTAGTCCTTGAAGGGGCTTACAATTGAAGCTGGGACATCACATCTTTCCTGAGAGAGGATTTGGGTGACATCTTTGTGTCACCATGAGCCAACAAATAAGTTAAGGGAGTGTGAAGTAAAAACAGAGTGGCAACCAAGGTGATGACATGTATGAAAGCACTGAGGTGAGATAGTGATTAAAATATTCTTGAAAATGAAAGGAAAGTAATGCAGATGGTAAAAAAAGGAGAGTAGTTCAAAGTAAGAACAGTGAAAGAGAGCAGAGGTCAGGTTATAGGAAGCCTAAGTATACTCTACCTTTATTCTAAGAACAATGGGAAGCCACAAAGGTGATTAGATAAGGCTGGAGGTGACATGATCAGATTTACATTCTAAAATATCAACAATGGCTACAATGTGTACACTAATGGCATACTCCCACAGGAAAACAGGAGGGTTTCATTTTAGTAGTCTCCCCGAAAGAGACAAAAGTCCTTAGACTGGGGTGGTGTGTTTGTGGTGGAGATACGTGGAAGAGTTGAGAGTTTTTTAGGATGTACCTGAACTTATACAGAGAGGGAAGCAGACCTATTAAGGATGACTTCCAGTTCCTTGCTAAGATGAAAAAGCTTGGAGGAAACCAGTTGAGCACAGCCAAAGCACGAGTTTGGTTTTGGGCATAAAGGGTTGAGTGCTAGGTGGTGTCAATGAAGGACAGCTGGTTATGAGTCACATATTTGTGTGTGAGGCATCTGCACACTCAAATAAGGTACCTGGCCTGGAGATAAATGTGAGAGATTTAAACTGATTCCAAGGGGTGACTGAAGGCATTAGAGAGGGAGGGAATGAAGAGGAAAAGGGTGTGGCCTGAAGTGTGAAACTCTGATGTTTAAAAATGAAGAAAGAGGCTGGGTGCAGTGGTTCCCGCCTGTAATCCCAGCACTTTGTGAGGCTGAGGCGGGCAGATCACTTGAGGTCAGGAATGCGAGACCAGCCTGGACAAGATGATGAAACCCTGTCTTTACTAAAAATACAAAAATTAGCCAGGTGTGGTGGCATGTGCCTGTAATCCCAGCTACTCAGGAGGCTGAGGAAGGAGAATCGCTTGAACTCTGGAGGCAGGAGTTGCATTGAGCTGAGATTGCACCGCTGCACTCCAGCCTGGGAGACAGAGTGGGCCTCCATCTCAAAAAAAAAAAAAAAAAAGAAAAGAAAAAAAGGAAGAAAGAATGGTAAACAGGAAGGATTAGACAGGTAAGAGAGCCACAAAGTCTGAAAGTGGACATCTTTGTAATTTTGTTAGAAATATTGTTTTATATTTTTTGCAGCTGCAGTATCAACAGGGAAAATATTCATCCTTTCGTTTTTTTCCTGATCAAAAAGACATAATTGTCTGAAATGAGAAACATGGATAACTATCTTAAGATGAGTGAATTCTCTCCTAATCAATATACTCATAAAATTAAAAAAAAATGACCTAATAATAGTAGACGTAGACTGACAAAAGTGAAGAAGCATTTCTAAGTTTTCTACTATCAGAGGATTGACCTAATTAGCATCTGAGAAAGCCAAAGTGTTCCTTTGACTATTTGACAGGTCATTCTGTTATTCTAGTGTATATTTTAAAAGTTAAGCATGGGATAGATTTAATTCCACTACCCCTTCCAGACTTTTTGGTTAAGATTTTAAACATGGACCTTGCTGGAAGGTGAAGGACTAATCTGAGGAATTTAAGGAATAATATGTGTTATTTATACAGAAGAACATGCAGAGCTGTCTTGGGTTGTAGCATTAGAAGGGCTAATTAGGTGTCTTCATGCAGTATAGGGATATGGACCAGCTAAATCTTTGTAGACTAAAAACATTATTATGCAAGAGAGATGTTGCTTGCCTGCCTACCATGGAAATGAAAATGTTCCTTCTTAGTTAATCAATACAAGCTAAAGTATAGAGGAGCTTTTTTTGTTTGTTTTGTTTCATTTTCTGTGTTGTTCAGAATAGTATTACTAGTGAATATTATATCAGTATAACGGTGGATGAGGTCCAAGTATTGTAATTATGGACTAACAATTAAGGTATCTTTGACAGTGCTTTAGGTAACAGCAGTGCTTAACAATCAAGCTAAATGCATCTACAGTGGGAGAGAAGTGCATAAATGTTTATAAATGCACATAGTCTCCTGTGTGATCATAGTAAAGAATAAAAGTCAACATACAATGATTTACCACAATGGGCCAGTATTTATCTTTAAATGAAGCAACATATCACTACAGACATCTGTGTTTTTAAATAAATTCTTCTCATATAATTGGTTTTATTTTGTAAATAATAACCGACTCTGATATTTACACTGCACTAGCTATGTGTGCCCTCTGTAAGCCAAGTTCCTAAGTTTCCTCATCTTTTTAGATGCCTACCTCCTTGTGTTGTTATGAAGAGACTCACTCTGTTGCCCAGGCTGGAGTGCGGGGGTGCGATCTTGGCTCACTGCAACCTCCGCCTCCCGGGTTCAAGCAATTATCCTGCATCAGCCTCCCGAGTAGCTGGGATTACAGGCGCGTGCCACCATGCCCGGCTAATTTTTGTATTTTTAGTAGAGATGGGGGTTTCACCGTGTTGGCTAGGCTGGTCTCGAATTCCCAACCTCAGGTAATCTGCCCACCTGGCCCTCTAGAAGTGCTGGGATTACAGGTGTGAGCCACAGCGCCCAGCCTGTTATAAAGATAGAAAGACTATACACGGAAAGTGCTTAGCAAGCTGCCTGGTGCATGCTAAGCATGAATGCATATTGGAGCAGTATTATGATAACTTATGTGACTGGAAGACTTACTAAATGTCCAAGAGATAATATTAAAGGGCTTATAGAGATTTTTATCCAGGGATAGGGTAAAATCAGAAGGGGTTTGTATAGTTAATTGACAGAAAACAATGTTCTGATTTTACTGAACCTTAATGATGTAACATACTGGTTACATGAACAAAATTATACGTAAAACATTATTGGGACATTATTTATAACATGAAAAAATTGAAAACAATTGAAACATTGATTTGTAAAAGAATTTTTTAAATTATCATACATAAATTCCACTGAAAATATAAAGCCATAGAAAAATGATTTACATATACCGATATGGGAAAATTCCCAAAACATGTTAAGAAAGAAAAAAAAAGCAATTTAGAGAACTCTGTATACAATGTGGTTAAAATTTTGTCAAAAACCTGTATGTATATATAAACATATGTTTGTGTACATGCACGTATGTGTGTAAATGACTAAAAACAGTGATTGAAAGACATACGCTGCATTGTAAATAGTTGGTATCTCTGGGGAAGAAAATTGGATTAAAGTTGGCATAGGAGCATTTAGGGGACTTCTATTTTACATCTATTATCAGTTTGAACTTTAGAAAAGCAGAAACCTATATATGTGTTTTTTTTCAATATAAACAAATACAACTTAAAAGATAGGGAAATAGATACAGTATATGTATAAGTTACAAATGAAACAAAAGAGCTAAGGAATACATTAAAAGTGTTCAACCATACTTATATTTACATAAATAGAACAGAAAATTTTATTACATTCTATTTTATGTTAACTTGGAAAAGATCAAAAGAAATAACACCCATTGTTGAGTGGTGCAAAAATGCAAATAATGCTGGTAATATATACACAAAAAAAGAACAGCAATTCTGTGTGTGTATGTGTTTGACAGAGAAAAACAGGAGGAGAGAGAGAAGATAGAAAAGAGTAGTAACAATAAACAAAAACCTTTATTAACTTTCTACTTTTAGTATATGAGCAGCATTTCCTACAAAAATGTTCATTATAGAGTTTTTGTAACAGTAAATCATCAGGAATATTGCTTATTCGACAATAGCAGATTGAGTACATTATGACACATTTAAGCAATTAAATGACATGCCACATTTAAAATGCTGTAGAAGAAAATGTTTATATACAAAGAGATGTAGAGAGTTTCATTTTTTTTTTGTATAGCATACAGGTTACAAAATTATATGTCCTGTATGAAACTGTTTATTTAAAATCTATAAGAGTTAAGTGCAAATATATTATCATAAGTATAGTCAGGAAAATTATGAAACAAATGAGTAATTATGCAGAATGGGTCCTACCAGTTATCAAAACATATTATTAAAGTAATTTATAAATCTTTTAAAACATTATCTGTGGATAATGTAATTACAAGTTTATTTTTTCTTTTTCGTGCTTATCTGCAGTCATATTTTTCTAGTTACTATTTATTGTTCTGTAATTTAAAAAATAATAAAAGTTGATATTGAAAATATCTCAAGTCAAGTAACAGAATGACTTTTCGCAGGTTGATTTTAATACCTCACAATATTCTTCCATATTTAGAAAAGCTAAAGGGTAAGTAAGGTTCAGTTCTTTCCATTTCTGTGTGCTTAAATGTCATTTTGATTTGGTTGGGAGTTACACTTCCTTTCAGCACATTCTTCCTCCATCTTTTTGTTTTGTTTTGACTCTTGGAGTAAATAAAAAGAGGAATGTAGCATAATATACAGCATTTGCCCATTTGCAACAGAGTCTTCTACCCCAGGACAGCAGTTGCCAGACTTTAAAGTTCATGGAATCACCTGGAGAGCTTATGGAAACACAGTGTCTTGGGCTCCGCCCCTAGAGTTCCTGATTTAATGATTCAGTGTGGGGCCTTAAAATATTCATTTCTAAGAAGTTCCCAGATGCTGCTGATGACACTAGTCTGAGCCCACACCTTGAGAACCACTGTGCCTGGGCAAAAACCTGTATTTTCTGAGTTGGAACAGCCAGCTTCATTGACAAGCTTTGCCTTCTTCAGGAGAATTATGAATAGATAAAATGGAATCTAACCAAACCTGTAACATTCCCTCCATGTTCTTTCTCCTTGCTGCTTCTTAGGAAAAAGGTTAATTGGATAATGGGGAAATTGAATCTTTCTTTACAATAAGTCCTGTAAGATTTACTTATCTTTAGTTATTTCTCCAGCTTGAAAATTTAAATTATATGAAGCTTTACACAGGGCCTGTCTATAAAATGTACTGATTTTGGGCTACCTGAATTTTATTTACCATTTGTTTTAATTCTCTAATACATCTGTGTTCCTTGTTTGCTAGTTTCTTTTCTAAATTTTGATTTATAAAAAGGGTTTTGGAATCATATTCATATGTAAGATTGGCCTATAATTTTCTTTTCTTGTACAGTCTAGTTTTTGCTATCAAGGTTATATTAACCAAAACAAAAAAGATGAGCAGGGGCACAATATTTCTATCTCTGTTCTCTAGAACAAGGTTAGGACCTATCTGTTTAGTGGAACTTGCCTGTAAAATCATCTTAGCCTAATGTGCTTTTGGAGGGCTTTTGTTTGTTTGTTTCACTTTATTGTGGTTTTTTGTTTTGTTTGAAATATTTTTAATGGCTACATATTTTTTGTCTTTCTTCCAGTGAATTTTGTTGCAATGTACACTATAAAATCATAAAGGTAGATCTCAGTAAACTTTCACAGCAGTAACACAGCTATGTCACTACCACAAATCAAGAGGGAATAGCACCCCACAAGCACACCTTATATCTCCTCCTTGTAAGTGCCTCCAGTATCCTAACGTCTACCAACTTCTTAAGTGAAGAGAAATAAAGGCTAATAAATAACAATATAAAATGAGGCGAATTTATTTGCATGCCTGGCAAGGCATTATTCAAGTACAAGTTCAGTTTCTCTTTATTTAGAAATTGAAAGAGCTTGATGTAGATCAAAAAAGGAGAAATATTATAAAATTAGGCAGCTTTTTGAGTTCAGGTATTGGCTGGTTTTAAGGTGGATGGTAGACTCTTCCTTGTGAGAGGCCACTATCAAGTTTCACTTCACTGCTAACTGAAAGCCTGGTTTTAATCAAATCAAGACTGGGTTGTGTAAAATTCCAGAGAGCATAAGGTGTTCAGGATACACAATTGTGTGTGCATGCTCAAAGTTGAGCAAAAATTTTCTTTAAAACAAAATAGATTAGTTTGAACTCTATAATAGTGAAATCACGCAGCGTGTGCTGTTCTGTGTTTGGCTTCTTTTGCTCAGTATTACATTTATGAGACTCATATTTGTAACTGCATGAATGAGCATACATTCATTCTCATTATTTTATAGTATTCTCTCATGTGAATATATTATACTTTCTTCATTTATGTTATTGTTAATGAATATTTGGATTGTTTCAGTGTTTTTTTCTTACAAGTAGTCCGCTGTGAACTTCCTTCTACTGTTTTTGTATACATACATTCAAATACACACACAAAGACTTGGGCATATGTCTAGAAGTAGAATTTGTTGAGTCATAGGGAGGGCATATGGGAGCTTTAGTGCACACTGCCAGTTTTCCCTAGCAGTCAAACAAATTTACAATCCCACCAGCAGGAAATTAGCTCCAGTTGCTTCACATTTTTGTTGATACTTAGTGTTGTCAGTCGTTTAATCTTAGCCATCTCAGTGAATGCATAGTGGTATCGCATTGAGGTTTCAACTTGCATTTTCCTCATCACTAGTGAAACTGAATATATTTTTATATGTTTATCGACCATGTAGATATCTTCTTGTGAATTTCTTGTTCAAGTATTTTCCCTATTTTTCTATTATTTTTTTCTTTGTCAAAGAATTGTAAGAATATCTATCATCTACACATACACACACAAATACATATGCATACACACATGTATAGCTTCAGTTTGTGGTCTTTATGGATATATGTATACAAATATCTTCTATTGTGTGGCTTGCCTTTTCACTTTTGTTTTCTATGGCTTGTATTTTTATGTTCCTAATGATGCCTTCTGTTAAACAGAAATTCATGAGAAATAAATGTTTAGCAAATTTAAATTGTTCTGGATTAATTCACATTTTTTCTCTTTCTTCTTGTGTCTGTATTGATAGTTATAATTTACCAGGATATGATCTCTTTAATTAAAAATTGTCATAAAGTTGCTCTTTCTACTACTTTATAATTCTTTAAAAAACAAAAATAACTCTACTCAGGCCAGATGTGGTAGCTCATGCCTTTAATCCCAGCACTTTGGGAGGCCGAGGCAGGCAGATCACCTGAGGTCGGGAGTTCAAGACCAGCCTGACCAACACGGAGAAACTCTGTCTCTACTAAAAATACAAAATTAGCTGGGCTTGGTGGCGCATGTCTGTAATCCCAGCTACTGTGGAGGCTGAGGCAGGAGAATCGCTTGAACCCAGGAGGCAGAGGTTGTGGTGAGCCGAGATCCCGCCATTGCACTCCAGCCTAGGCAACGAGAGTGAAACTCTGTCTTAAAACAAACAAATAAACAAAACAACAAAACAAACTCTACTCAGTTTATAGCCATGAACTCTTTTCTTGTTCCTAACTCTATTTCATTTGGCCCATTGTATCTTTTTCACTTGATAAATATTGTCACAGTTTTGTCTATTTTCATAACAAGTTCAGATCCTTAATATATTTCCATCATTGTAGCATCTTGATTAATCAAGAGAGACTTCATTCTACATCACTAATATATTTAAAACTCTTCTAAGTTTTATCGAGAATACGGAAGACTTGGAATTCTTTACTTGGACAGTATATTTGTATGAGTCTAAAAACATTAGTCAAAAAATTCTATAGGAAACAGGATATAGAATATTTAAATACCAAATATTATGCCCTGGTTTTCATTTTTGGTTATATGGTGAATTTACAGACATTTTCTGAAATTCATCCATTCTATTATGTTTTTAATCAAGCTTTCCATCTCATTTTATGTGTGGGGCTGAGAAATATGCTAATGCAGACAAGAAATTATGTTGTATGAGATTACTTATGTCTTATGACTTATGAAATAGCTGAATAAACATGTTGGAGGAATTTAGGTCATGATTCCCACAATAATTTTACTTTATTCTAAGAAAAAGTGGTTATGAAAGTATCAAAAGTGAAGTTCTTTTTTGCTTCAGTCATAAAGCCACACAGGGTCCCTGGCTTCTAGTGGAGGCGTGTTTTTCACTTAGACGTGAAATGGAGGTTGCTTTTTCCCACTCAGACCCAAAGCAGAATAGAAATCCCTTCCCACCACAGCAGGTCAGCTCCAAGTAGAGATTGAGAAAGAGAAAAAGACAGCATTATACAGAAATAAAACAAGGCTATTTCTGGAAAATATGTTATTGGTGACAGGCATTCTCCAGAACATATTTTTTAAAAAAGAGAAAGAGAAACTCTTCAGGTCTTTTAATAACAGAGACCCTTGGAAGACAACCCCCTCTTTCTCCACCCTTCCCTGCAAAAAAGTCATTCATTAAGGACACACATGCAAACTTTTAGCAATAAGAAGAGGAAACTAATTTTTGTAATTATTATAAAAACTCAGCTATGAGTAATTACCTACTCCTAGTCAGAGAATGTTGGAGTGTTAAAACTCTTGAATACAGAAAAAGATCAGCAATTTAAGTAGAACCAGATAAGAGGGTAAAGGGAAGACAATACAGAAGGAGCAGATAAGGAACATGGCTAAGGCAGGTGAGGTTGCCAGCATACATGCTCCTGCACCCACAGCAGGCAATGCTGTTTGAATAGGGCATTTCTTTCCTGCTAATCTCAAGCATGACTCAACAATCCTCCTTGGCTATATACTCGAAATTGCCATTTTTAATCTACCTACAAGTGTTGGCCCATGAGAAGCAACTACTTTACTTTCATGGGGTTAAAGGCTTTTGTGAGTGTATTAGAGAATTAAAAATAACAGTTAATAGTAAATTTATATTGCATGTGTAGTTTGTTTGTGTGCCTCTTTGAAGCAAACTCTATTATTCTTATTCCATTGAACACACTCAGTAACTGTCAATTAATCTCTGTTCTTATAAAGTCTTGCATTATATAGCCTCTTCAGGGATTGTTATAGATGGAGGGAGCCCTGTTGACGACTGGGTAAAGATTTTGGTTTCTACACTCTGTACAGTATATTGCCTTAATAAGGTTTATTTCTGATATATGACATAATGCATGAACTCTCTAGCATTTGTTTGCTTTCTTTGTTTCAGAATGACTTATTTCCAGTCCTCCTATGCTGTGATTATGTTTTAATTCTTCTCCTAAATTCTCCTTTCTTGATTGATTTTAGCATGCATGTATCTAAAGCACAACCATCAGCCTCAGTATCTTACGAAGATTACTCTATGATAGGTGTGGGGAGCTTACGATGTGGGCCTCAGGCAGCATGTGATTTGAGTTGGTCATGGGCATTCACCTGGAGCAGAATTGAGCTCTGGAAAAGTGATTGTGACCAGTAGAAGAGGATGCATGTAGCCTGATCACTTAAGGCACTGATTCTCAACCACGGAGATCCCTTAAAAAACAAATTCTGCTCCAACCCACATCCTGATTTTATGGGTCTTGAATAAGTCAGAGACCAAGGCATGTATTAAAAGCTTCCTAGGCATTTAATATGCATCCAAGGTAGGAAAAAAACACAGTTTTGTAGGGTAAAGTTTTGTTTAAGGGAAAGAGGCATAATAGGTAGCTGAGTGCATTTATCAGGTGTTGTTTTTAAGAGTAGGCTTAGTGGTGGCCCAGAGGACCAGACTAGTCAGCTTTGTCACACAGCCAACAAATGCTCCAGGGTCACTTTGCTTCAAAAGCCCTTTATCAGATTAGCTCTGTTTCTCTACAATGGACAGATAGCTCCCCAGAGCCACTCCAACTTCTTATCATGGCAGAGTCATATTTTCTAGTAAAGGCCATCCTTAAGCTATCTTTTGGTATGGTATTTCCAAGTGTATTACTCTTTTCCCTATCCCTCCCACCAGCTTTTTCATCTTTGGAAACAGAGCCACCTTAATTGTGAGGTATGTGATATTGCTATATTCCTTTAGATCTCTTACATAAACTTAGATGAAACCACAGAACAAAACATCATTTTTTATGGCAGGTGTATTCATAGAAAAGAGGGAAGGAATATGTTTAAACATTTGGATCTACTTTCCCAACACAAATAACAATTTGGATATAGCAGAAAGAGCTGTGAAAAAAAATTAATAAGTATGAACATGGTTGTTGAACTGTCAATTGTTCAATGAAATATTTGTGTTCATATTGAAAACTACCCACACATTTATCTATTCAGATTACTTAGTAAAATTTTATTAAATACTTTCATTTTTTAACCTTTCGGTTGAGGTATATAAGAAGAATTCAATTTACTCTTGCCTTGGAAAATGATAAACCTTATCAAATGTAATATTTTGTTAAGATTTAAAAATTTAGGTTAAGAATTCAAAATAAATTTAGACAATGTATTCATGCTGCAATCTGTTTTCGCCTCACAGGAAATGTCTGCTACAGAGACAAACTGAAGTTTGTGTATATCGTGCTGATTCAGAAGAGAATGAAGGCATTTGTCAAGAGATAATGTCAGACTAATCAGACATGTTCCAATCGATTAATGCATTTGGAGGATTTCCAAATATTTGCTGATCTAAGGACGGTGAGGTGAGGCTAATCCATAATTTGTCAATTCCACTGAAAAACTATCAAAAACACATTTATACATAACTAGGTATGCTTCTTTGCATTAGAAAATAGATCAATAATTAGATCTTAAGACAAAGGTCCCCTTGTGATAATGTAAGAATTTAACTGTGATTTGTTGCTATTGTAACTGGATAATTAATTTTAATTTTCAAAGGCCCGAGCTTGTGAGAAAATGATTTAGAATTGATATCTGACCTCCAGCTATTGAATGAATTATAATTTTGATTATTGAAAATATATTTGTGGAGACTACTAACAGTAGAAGAAATAAAGAGACTCCTAATAAGTATATGAGTTTTAAGTTCAATTTTAGAAGTGCTTTTATGCTCTATTACTATGAGTTAAATTCCATGGTAACTCAGCAAGCAGTATGTTAGTTTAACCATGAAGCACTTATAATAGGCATTGCACATAATTGTCTATTCACCTTTGAAAAGGTGCAGCCTTTTCAAAAACACAGAGGAATTGGGGTATATGTGGAAAAATATAAATTATTAAGGGATTGATTTTAATTGTTTCTTATAAGTAACATCTTAGGCAGGGATATGTGTCTTTGGGGAAACAAATGGTTTTAATGTGACATTTGTATTTGTTACAGATAACTAAATTTCATGACAGGAGAATTATGCCTATAAAATGTGTATTTCCAAAACATGATCAGTTGAGACTGTTGTTTTATTACATTTCTCCTTATGTCTTTTTGGCTGAGGTTATTAATGTTACTACTATTCTCTCAGACACATGGGTTTGAAATGCATTCACCTTTGACTCATCTTTATTTTCTCCTGTTTTTTCTCTCTCCCTTACTGCAAACCATCTACCCAGTATCTATCTATCTAATTCATGGTTCTTTGTATCACATTTATCTTCTCAGAAACCATTAATGCTTCCCCATTGCATACTGAGTTTTAAGTTAAATCTTTTTTTTTGCTATTAATGACAGCAATATTACTAATAAAATTCACATTTTCAAAAATTGTATTATAAAACCAATTGTTTCAATATGTATGTGTTAAGAGAGGGTAAGGAAAGGAGTAAATAATACCAGACCACAATAACCAAATTATATTTTATTCAAAAATTTCTTTGATGAAATTATTATTCAAACTAGGTATGGCAGTATTATATGAAAGCGACAAATAATAAACAAAACCAATAAAAATAAACCAAAACATCCCTGGGAAGATACTGAAGAGCATGTAAGATCAGACAAGAATCAATAAACTTTGTACTGTCAAAATGAATTCTAGTGATGTTTACAACTTCCAGCAGGAAATAGAAGAAAGAACACCAGCTGAGCATCCATTTATTGCAAGCCAAGCAGGTGTGGGTTCCTACTCTGTTTACTCAATAGCATTTTCCCACTGAGCAAGGTGCTTCTTCCCAGTCACAATAACATTATTTCCAACAGCTGCTGGAGTAGTGACACTCTTTCCCCTTAATTATTCAATCATATTCTCTCTAATTCATATCACATAAACTCACACAACAGGAGACATGCCTAAACAAATTCTGTAGGAGGCAGGCTAGGTCCTCACGACATAGCCTTAATCTACTTAACCAGTTCACACTCTCCTATTTCCTCAATATATAGTATGGCATAGTGATTAGGAATATTGGCTTGACAGTCCCTCCACCTCAATTCATAATCCTAACTCTCATACTTGTTAACTGTGTTCTTGAAGGTAAGTTATATGAACACTTTGTACCTTAATGTCTTCATCAATAAAATGGTGATAATTTAATACTGCTACTCCCATAACTTTATTGGAATATTGGACCACAGTCATTAGACCTACCTGTGTATACTATTGGCTGTGCCTGGCACCTAATTCTCAAACATCAAAGAGAGCTATTGTTACCCTCCTGCATCTCAATGGCTATTTCGTAAACATAGGCTCTTTACCTCTGTTATTCCCTCTGATAAACATGCCATTTCATTCTTCTTAGCCTGCTAAAATCTCAACTACTCCTGTGGATCTATTTCCAATATGTATCTTTATAATCCTTTTGATCTGTTCAAATTAATGAAATTTCACTTCCCTTTCTACTTCATGGTGGGCCTCTTTCCTCTGAGACTTGAGTTCAAGAGCATTCAAGTGAATATATATGTGTATATATATGTGTGTGTGTGTGTATGTGTGTGTATATGTATGTATATATATATATATATATATATATATATATATATATATCCCCCTTTTCCAACCTTCCAGCCTATAATAACCAGTTATTAATCTATTGGTTTAAAATGCAGCAAAATTCCATATTCTATTTTTGGATTTTCCAGGTATATGATGGGAAACAAATCTGAGAAAAGAAGGATGGTAGATGCTTTCCCATTGTGACCTGTGATCATTTTGGTAAGAACACTTTACTCAATTAAGAGGCGATCAAGTGATTCCAGGCCTGCTGCTAAATAATTATGAGATGATATTTGGAAATATGTATTTCTCCTTTACCTCCTGAAGCCACAGGTATGTGCCTGAGGTTCTCAACAAATGGCTGATTATCTCTCAGAATATTCAGTTGTCTGGTAGCTGGCACTAATAGCTCAGAATAAGCTATATTTAACTTCAGGATCCATCTGGACTCTTGGCCACTAGTGGTAGGTAATACTAGTTGCCGAATTCAGTTTCTCTGAGCCTGTGAAAACTGCCTGATTTTATTTCAAATTCATTTTGCATCCTGTGGGATGGATTTGAGATCAGGGCAAAATATTCAACCTTATTTTTGTTAATCTTGCCCCAAATATGATCCAGATTAACCTTTCTTAACACAAATTTGCATTTTTTACAAATATCATTTTTAGTGAAATTAAAATCTATGATTATTAACGTTAATATTGTGCAAGTAGCATTTGTAATATAAAGTTTTCAAAAAAGGAAGATAATTTTATTTACTGGAGACTTATTTTGCCATTTTCAACTTGGAAGCCCAGGACTCAAACAAAAGTATTGTTTGAAAACTGTTGGGGTTGATTATTACTTATGCCGGAAGTTTCAAAAAAAATTTTTAGAAAAAAAGAAAGCTGTCTTGTTCTAATAATTTGAAATTTTAACAGTTAAATTATTGCTAAATTTGCATAAGATTTGCTCTGTAAGACAATACTTTTTATAATTGTTAACATGTAGTTGTTTTACTTATTTGTGCATACTAGGTTAATATATACATAGTCATATTAATATATGTTTGTATGTATACATACTTAAATATAAATTTTATTTTTTAAATGCACGATTTAAGATTTTGTCATAAATTGTTATAAATTGTTTTGTGGAGTTTATGCATTTTGTAAATTTGATGGTGGCAGATGGTGTACATGTGAGTTAATTGAATAGATCTTTCATAGTCTGGCACTTTTTATGCTTTTAGAATTTGGAGAAGTTAGTCTTTACTGATGAATAGAGAGCTATCGTACTTTAGAAACTATTGAGCAAACATAAAATTTTAAGAACAACTTATTTTTATCCTATGGATTTTCCTATTATATTTAAACTTGCTCTTTTAGTTTGTTTTTAGAGCTCTCCTCAAGAAACATACTCTTTGTTTTTAACGCTCAATCCTTTTTTATTCTTTGTAGAAACTAGTGGTCTCCTATTAAGTAAATAGATGTGGGTCTCATTAGAGGGATCCATTCTAAAACAGAAGAGGACAACACTCAGGGAGGGCTGCAATGAGACAGAGAATCCTGAGATTGTTCCTCATGTGCAGATCTTCACCTGGGGCTGCAGAAGACTGTACAGCTATAGACAAAATAATGATAAGGTACAGATGTCGTGGAAAGCCAGAACATAGGAGTGAATCCATCCTACAGTCTGAAGGCGGAAACAAAGCCATAAATGGGGTTGGGGGAGAAACCCTGTGGTAAGAATCTGTAGAGATGAGGAAAAAATTGTAGGATTTAAGGTAGGTTAGGAACTGGCAGTTCAGAGCAATGCCAGGGTATTAGAAACTCACTCTCGTGTCATCTAAGTTTCCCAATATAGGATTGAGTGGACCTCATCATATTAGCCACATTCAAGGAATATATGTATGTTATAGAAGTCAATGGTTACATTAAAATATTAAGTTTGAACACAAGTTCTAATTTATTTTTATCATTATTTCTTAATAGCAATTAATTCTTTGGGGCTTCAATTACTGACTGTATTCCAAACGGTTACCAACAGTTCACTTCTTTTATTGCAGAACTTACACCATTTCCAAATAACCAATGTAAATTTTTACCTCGGATATTATTTTGTTACCCGCAAACAACAAATGTGAATTTAGATTTATCATCTTCGTCGGGGACTGAATTTCCCCTGTAATATTGTTTTTTGTTGATTTGTTTGTTTTGTAGTGGCATCCCCTGCCCCTATGTACCTATGTTTGATTTATCTTTTATTTCCTTCTTTTATACTTAAACCTTAAGGTGGATTGGAAAGTTGATATCAGTGACACAAAGTTTAGTTGATTGGGTACTTTACATTTCTACTTGACTTTGTACATTTCTGATTTATATGAACAACAAGCAACTCAGACTAAGCCTCCTTCATTGCCCTAAGAGGTCTACTATATTTCTAGTGATTTTACCTAGGGGATCTATACATGTACTAACAGTAGAAATTAGAGGTGCAACACTACTGGCCAGAATATAGCAACATCCTAAGTACATTAATAATGTGTAAAGTGCCCAGCATGTAAGGCACAAATAAAAATAGGGAATGTCATTTTATTAAATTATCAGAAGTTATGGGTCACATTCAAACAGAAATATTCTAAGAAATTCAATTCTAAGAAATTCAACTTACTTTTAATGTCAATGTTTCTGAAATTGGTAAACATCATTGACGTCAAAAAGCCTTCTATGCATGAAATAAATTATACTTGTCATTTCTGAGCTTATGGTAACATGGTCAAGAATTAAAGGTATATTCATCTGACTTCTGTTTCATCAGGCTGCTATTTGAGAAGGGTTATTTGCCTTAGTACCATCAGCAGTGGTTGAATTTTATATTTGGTTCTGCATTTGTCATTTAAAATGTCCACAAAAAGATAACCCCCTTAAGGAGCATTAGAACTAGAAGTTACTGTGAACCTAGACGATCGCCTGTTTTTTGCCATCTAGCATAATGAAGGTCGTAGTATTGCCAAAGTTTTTCGAATTCACTGTAGTTTTTTCAAAACTAGATAAAAACTCTGACCAATTTTTGAGTCCTGGGGGACTATCACTTCAGCCATAAACACAAACAAGTTAACTAGAATTTAACGAAATAGTAAATGGAGAAAAAAATTCTAGAATTACCTGATTTGTTTCTAAATTATACTGTTGCTCCTAAAAATGTTAAGAAATTAGGGTCGTGAGCACTGTTGGTCACTATGATGATATGCTTACCCACTGATGGTCAAAATTTATCAGAAGAATTTTTAGATTTGGACTATGTCATGGCTTAGATGCTGATACTGATGAATAAAGTGACATGCAATTTTATGGATAAATGAATGTTACTGTTAAGTAGTTTTTAAATATGTACATTTTAATATAATGTATTTCCTCAAAATGCTATTCTCAATTTGATGATATGCCTTGAAAATCAATACTGTTTTAGGAAGAAGGAAATGTGGTAAATTAATGGTGTCATTAGAAGAACGGAGGTTGCCATAGAACCTCATTTGCTTTACTCTTAGGATGTAACTTTTAAATTTATTCTTATTTGAATTTTCTTATCTTCCATACTGAACAGGAAGCTTATTGAATGAACAAACCATGAGTACAATTAGCATATACCTAAATTGATTTGCAGTGAAAAGGTGCTTCATAAATTCTTGTTTGCCTGAAGAAATTAGGAGGCAAAGGAGCATCAAAACAAAAGGGAAAATAAGAATTAAAGTGAGATGCTGTATCAGAGGCCAAGTAAAGATGCTGGTCTGCCTAATCTGACTTTCTGACACTGAGAGGCAAACCTCCAAAATTTCCACCTATCTACATACATTCATTCACTCACTCACCCAGTCTCTATACATTAGGAAGTCATTGCTTTATGTTAACCCTTGGTTTTGAAAAAGAATGCAAAATTAAATGAAGAATAAACTCTGTTTAAAAGGGAGGGTTTGTTTGACAGGCATATGTATAAACACTGGAAATTATGAGAGTACAGAGGGTTTCCAATTTTCCACATACAGAAAGAGTACTAAAAAATGGTGGTGTGTTCAGAGTAATGGCAAACTTAATTTAATTTCATGCCTTCAAGCAATATTACTTTATTTATTGAGAATTTTAACACAAAGCAATCATTTGTATATCACGGATACCCAGAAAGAATAAATATTGTGGTTCTAATTCCTACACTTTGATTTATTAGTCTTTAGTTTATTTGAATGTCATGTCACAGAGTACAGCTAATAAAAGCATGAACATTTGTCTTTGAGCAAGTTTGATCTGAGGTGAGTAACATTAAACAATAGCCTATTGACAAGCAATTAAACACCACTTCTTTTCTTAGGAGTGTTTTGAATTACATTTGTTCTAACTAGTGGCAGCATCTTTTGTGTTTAGAATTCCAATATAATCTTAGATGAGAAGAATCTTTTAATTAGATTTTCAATAGAATCGGCCAAGACCCACTGCTCACCATCTTGACTCTTTGTCTTCATTGATTTGGACCAAAACAAAACAAAGATAAATAGCAAAATTCATTATCAATGTTTATTTCAACTGTCTATTGTCATTTCCTCAGGGTATACAACACAGTTTTCCGCAGACAGAATGCTGTGTTTCTTACTTTTAGCTTTAGAGCTGTATATTCAACAATTCTGTGTCATGGAAGAACCTAGCTGAGGCAAAAAAAAGAAAAAGGTAATTTTCTTCTTCCATTTACACGTAAAATGTTTATTTGAAGAATAAGAAATAAGCAAAGAGACAGGAGAAGGAAATTGTGTTTCTTTCAGCAAGTAAAAAGAAAGGCAAAACCCAAAATAAATAATATGTAATTATTTTTTATCTGACTATTTTTTGGCATTTGTTTCTGCATTTCTAAATAATGGAACTATAATACATTTTCACTATTGGTCAATTTTAGGTATCATTTACTTACTACCTATAATAAAAGTTAAAATTGTAGCTATGAAAGGACCCCTTTAATGCTAAAAATATCACAGGAAATATTTGCATTACCTAAGTCAATACGTAAGTCAGCCAGGAAGAACATTTACAAGACAAAGTTGATCATGATACTCTCTTGTAAGTGAAGATGCTATTATTTTATAACCTAGATGTGAGGATCTGAAAGTTGTTAAATAAAGGCTCCATATGAGCTCTTGTACTCTGTAAAATGTCCTCTTAAGTTAGCTTTAGCTAAACTAACATACTGCCAGGGAACAGTGTTAATGTGTTTAATTACCAAGCTCTTTCCAAGAAAGCCTTGTCACTTGTTCACTGGTCTTATTGCCACTTTCTGTCTTCACTCTACTTCTACCTTTCCACAAACACATCAGTACAGATATTTGCATGTTTTGCACTTCTCCACAGTTTGTACTAGTTTCTAGAAGAAATTTTTTACTGTCAATTAAGGCAATGCTTTATTCACATGTGGCTGCCACTAGAGAAATGTCTTAAATTAACAAAGAAATAAATCCATTAAAAAAAATGTTTCTCTGTTGCCTGTGCCTTTTGTGAAACCCCAATTCACATGCTCACTAACTTTTAAAATCATATAAAATTTTAAGAGCAAAAGAATTTTATTACAGTGTGATGCAGGGTTAACCGTTTTGAAATGATACTTATACTGCCTAAATTATACCTGGTCATCCAAGTAGAAACTAACAATGATTGGGTAATAAACAGATGGAAACCAGGTTGCTAAGGAAAAGGAACAGGAAATGAACTCCCTAATTAGATAACAAAGGTTTTGTCTACATAATGCCAAAATAACTAATTTAATATTTTGAATCAGTTAGATTGGGTTTTATCATGTAAGCAAAACAGAGAACTGATTCCCTGATGCTTTCGTTCTATCTTCAGTTGTTTGTGGCATTATAGAGACAACACTTACGTATGTTTCAAGCTACTTTACCTTTGTATTTCAGGCCACATTTCCTAGGGAGACTGTCTAAGGGAAAATGATTTTCTCTTTAGTTATGAGACAAAGCCTATACCTACAAATTAGTTTGATCACTTTGGTTGAGTTTACTAGTAAAGAGCCCTCCTAAATAGTTTACATGATATGTGTCTACACGTGTGTATCTGATTTGCCAAAATTGAAATATTTTGTACATGGCAAATACGTTCTTTAAATGTGTAAGCAAATAGGTTTATTTTAGTCAACAATTGATGACAGGATAGAAAAATAACCAGAAATGTGGATCCAGCTCTTATCATAGAAAATTTGTACTCCTGTAGATTCCATGACATCCTCACCTCCTGGTTTATCTTTGACCTTTCTTTTGGAATTTCTAAGGGTAGGCATTGAAGTCTTCCATTAGTCCTTGAAAACTCAGTCATTACTCCTTTAAGTATTGTCTCCCCTTTATTATCTCTCTCTCTCTCTCCTTCTGGGACTCCGATTAGTTACATACTAGGCCTCCCGACATGTTCTCCCAGTCTCTTAGCCTCTTTCTCATATTTTCTATCTCCTTATCCCTCTATGCTACATTCTGATTAATTTCCTCAGATGTATCTTCGAGGTAATTAGTTTTTTTTTCATCCATATTGGTTGAATCTACCATTAAATCTATTTATTCAGGATTATTTATAATTTTTAGTTTTTATTTTTATCTAATTAATAAGTGTGAATTAAAAAATCAAATGATTCTACAAACTATGCAATTCTTAGAACCTCTCTCCTTTTATTTCTTCATCCTGAGAAATAATTTTTTTGTTCTTTTATCTGATTATTTTGGCGTTTGTCTCAGCATTTCTAAATAATAGGACTATAATACATTTTTATTATTGGTCAGTTTTAGGTATCATTTACTGACTTCCTATAATAACAGTTAAAATTTAGTTATTAAAGTATCATTTTAATGTGGAAACTCATAAACTTCAGTTGTGGGCACTATTCTGAAATTATTTAAATGATTACTTCCTCTCAATTTTCTCTGTTCTCTCTTTTTAGAACTTCCATCTGGAAGTTATATCTCCAGCATTCATTTTCTAATACTTTTTACACTTATTATTTTTTGCTTTACTTTCTGGAACATTTTCTTGACTCTATCTTTTAGCACTTCTCCAAAGTTTTTCATTACTGCTATTATATTTTTAATTACTGAGATCTTTTTATTCCCTTAAGTATTCCTTTTTATAGCACTGTGTTCTTACTTTATGGTTTGCCATCTTTCCTTTTTTCTTTAAGGATACTAATTGTTGTATTAAAGAGTTTTATTTCCATGTATCCTCTCTACAGCCTGCAAAGCACTTGTTCTTATACGTTTTCTTTCATCTCTATATCTCTTGTTAGAGGTTTCCCCTAGATGTGTGCTCATTTGTTGTTGTCTGCACATGATTAAGAGTAGTGGAATCCTCTGAGGCCTGTTGACAATAAGCCTCATTGTAGGATGATGTGGCTGGAGCTTTCATTTGGCAAACTTCTGATATCAGAATCTTAGGTCTTTCATTTGAGGCTGTCATATTTCCACATTTGTCTGGAGAGTAAAGACCTAATTGACAGCATTCTTAGAGCCAGTTAGGGTAAGAGAGGTAGAGTTTTTGGTGGGGGAGTTAGAAGGGGCTTCTTCACTTTGTTGCTTATTTCCTTTGCTGTGCAGAAGCTTTTTAACTCAATGCGATCCCATTTATCCTTTTTTCTTTGGCTGCCTATGCTTGTGGGTATTGCTCAAGAAATTTTTGCCCAATGTCTTGAATATTTTCTCCATTGTTTTCTTGTAATAATTTCATAGTCTGAGGTCTTAGATTTAAGTCTTTAACTCATTTTTGATTTGACTTTTGTATATGGTAAGAAATAGGGGTCTAGCTTCATTCTTTTAAATGTGGATGTCCCGTTTTCCCAGCACCATTTATTGAAAATACTGTTCTTTCTCCAGTATATGTTCCTGGCAACTTTGTCAGAAAGGAGTTCACTGTAGATGTATGGATTTGTTTCTGGGATCTCTGTTCTATTTCATTGGTCTATGTGTGTATTTTATGCCAGTAACAAGCTGTTTTAGTTATAATAGATAGCTCTGTATTAAAATTTGAAGCCAGGTAATATGATTCCTCCAGTTTTGTTCTTTTTCCAGCTTTGGTTATTCTGAGTCTTTTGTGGCTCCATATAAAATTTAAGATTGTTTATGTCTGTGAAGGATGCCGTTGGTATTTTGACAGGGATTGAATTGAATCTATAGATTGCCTTTAGTAGTACGGACATTTTAACAATATTGAATCTTCCAATTCATGAACATGGAATATCTTTCCAGTTTTTGTGTGTCCTCTTCAGTTTCCTGAATTAATGTTTTATAGTTTTTATTGTAGATATATTTCGCTTCTTGGGTTAGGTTTATTCCTAGGTT
This sequence comes from Homo sapiens, assembly GCF_000001405.40. Lineage (NCBI taxonomy): Eukaryota > Metazoa > Chordata > Mammalia > Primates > Hominidae > Homo > Homo sapiens. The sequence continues at coordinate 144,478,779 of NC_000003.12, forward strand.
TTTTTTCATCTGTAGCTATTGCAAATGAGATTAAATGGCACATATACACTATGGAATACTATGCAGCCATAAAAAAGAATGAGTTCATATCCTTTTCAGGGACATGGATGGAGCTGGAAACCATCATTCTCAGCAAACTAACACAGGAACAGAAAACCAAACATCGCATGTTCTCACTCATGAGAGTTGAACAAGGAGAACACATGGACACAGGGAAGGTAACATCACACACCAGGGCCTGTTGGGGGGTGGGGGCAAGGTGGGGGAAACCATTAGGACAAATACCTAATGCATGTGGGGCTTAAAACCTAGATTACAGGTTGACAGGTGACAGGTTGACAGGTGAAACAAACCACCATGGCACACATATACCTATGTAACAAACCTACACATTCTGCGCATGTATCCCAGAACTTAGAGTAAAGTAAAAAAAAAAAAAAAAAGATTTAAAAATTATCTAGCATTGTAGGTTGCTTTCAAGTCGGAGGATCAATCATGATATCTAACCAGTTAATTATTTTCTTACCTTTGCTGTTTTCTCTTAAAGATATGAGATGTAAAGATGCCAGTTTTCCTTTCTCTTATTGTTTTCTCCCCTTTCCAGGAATATTATCCATATCAATAAGCTTTCCAAGTATATATGTTCATAAGGACTTCCAGTTATGTGTCTGTAGCTCGGATCTTGTAATTCAGCTCCAGTCCATCTCTTCCAGGGTGTCCAGGACATTTTTATTTAGTCCTCTTAATAACATCAAACAGGAGAAGATTTTGTGTTGATGCTATTGTTTATTGTCTTGTATTTATTTTTTATTTTTCCCAGAAAGAGTTCCTCTTTCTGCGTTCCTTGTCTCGGATAATCTACCCAGTTTCAAAAACCAGACTCACTGTAGGCCTAGTGAATTTTACTTTTTCCTTCAATATCCACATTCAATTAATCACTAAATCCTGATGATTCTACCTTCTTATTAGCCCTCCTTTCTTTTGCTTATCTCTCCATTTCTTTAGCCACATTTTGAAAAGCCAATTAAATTTTATTAACTGCCTTTCCTTTTCTTATCTAAATTTTCACCATCTCTTCCTTCATGAAGCTGACAGGTGCAAACTTTATAAAGTACGTACTTAGTATTCTTTTTTTTTAAATTATTAAAGGCTTTCCTGTGGCTTCCAATTACCTTCAAAGAAAACCCTGCCTTTTTTTTTAGAATGGTACTCAAAATACTCTTTAATGTGGCTTTGACATTTTAGTCTCATATTCTTAAAATATAGATGTTCTAAGTTCTAGTGATAGTAAACCATCTACATTTTTTCATATCCGCATCTTTGTTCACACATTTGCATGCTTCTGTATGCCCCCCTACCCATACAACTCTTGGCATTCCTTGACAAGGTTCTTCCTCTTCTTTCTGCTGCTACTGAACTGTGTTATGTTCCTCTATTGATTCAGCTATTGCACTGTAATTGTTTGCTTAAAATTTTTCCTCATCTATTCAAATACAAACTACTTGGACTATACCTTTTTTTTCCTTTATTTTTTTTCTCATGAAGTTCCTGACACATAGCAGGCACTCAATAAATTTTGAATTTATGAATGAATGAATTTATTAGAAAGTTTGGAACAGAACTATGTCTCCAGACTTTTCATTTTGCTTTTAACTGTGTAATGTGAACCAAATTTAATAAAAAAGAATCACTTTTTTATAGAAATGCTTTCCATGTCCTAAAAATTACAAAGCTCTTTTGGAAAGTTCTGATCTCACAATATCATAACCTCATGGCTGGAAGGGAGCCTAGATAGGGCATTTAACCCTCCCTTCTAACCAGACTGGGAGTTACTGCTCAATTTTTCTGACATGTGTTTTTCCAGATTGTATTTGGATAACTTCAGGCATTGTGAAAATGAGGAAACCATGGAGCTTGTTCTTTCTATCTTTGTAAAATGATGACCATGCAAAAGGTCTCTTTTTACACTAAATCTGAATCTCTCTCTACAAGTTTCACACACTGACCTTAGGAAAACCCCAAAGGCAAAACACAACACATTTATGACCTCTTCCATAAAACAATCTTCAAGAATTTGAAGACAGGTTATGTTCCTTACCAAGTCTTCTCTATCTCAGCTTAAAATATACAAAATGCTTTCAATTTCCTTCATAGCATCTCCTTATGCTTTTCCCCACTACCTCTCTTTTTGAATCTACAAGGACACTCTATTAAATGGAACTCAAGCTTCTTGGCTGATTTAAATGGAATTAACTGGATTCTCACATTACTATTTCTAAATTAGGTTTTATTATGATAAAAGCTCATTCTCTCTATATTTATCATTATTGTTATTTTTATCCTATAAAACTAATTACCTTATTATTATATAAATTAAAACAACATAGAGTTGTAAACATAATGTATGTGCTTCATAATTCTAGCTTCTGGGCATTACCATTGTTAATAGTTTTGTATATGATCATATACCACATGACAACAATTTTGTCAAAGAAGGACTGCATATACTATGGTGATCTCATAAGATTATAATGGAGCTGAAAAATTTCCATCACCTAGTGAGGTCGTGGTCATCATAATATTGTAGCGAAATGCATTATTTACATATTTGTGGTGATGCTACTGTAAGCAAACCTACTGTATAGCCAGTTATAAAGTCCTGGCACATGCAATTATGTACATTACATTATACTTGATAATGATAATAAATCACTAAGATAATGGTTTATGTATTTACTATACTATCTGTTATTATTTTAGAGTGCATGCCTACTTATAAAAATGTTAACTGTAAAACATCCTCAGGTAGGTCCTTTTAGGAGGTCTTGTTATCATAGGAGATGACGGTTCCATTTGTGTTATTGCCCCTGAAGACAATCAGGACAAGATGTGGAGGTGGAAGACAGTGATGTTAATGCTCCTGACACCTGGTAGGCTTAGTATAACTTCTATGTGTATGTCTTAGTTCTTAAAAAAATAGTTTAAAAGGCAAAAATAGAATTAAAAAGTATAAAAATAGGAAAAAACTTATAGGATAAGAATATAAAGAAAAAATATTCTTATATAGCTAGCTGTACAATATGTTTGTGTTTTAAGCTATGTGTTATTACAGAAAAGTCAAAAAGTTTGGAAACGTAAAAACTCTATAAAGCAAAAAGTTACAATAAGCCAATATTAATTTATTATTGAAGAAAGACAAACTTTTTAATAAACTTAGTGTATCCTATGTGTACAGTGTTGATTAAGTTTACAGTAGTGTAATGTCCCAGGCTTTTACATTCTCTCACCTCTCAATCATTGGCTCACCCAGGGCAACTTCCAGTCCTGCAAGCTCTGTTCATGGTAAGCATGCTATACAGGTGTATCATTTTTAATCTTTTATCTGGTATTTTACTGTATCTTTTCTATGATTAGATATGTGTAGATACACAGATACTTACCATTGTGTTATAATTGCCTACAGTATTCAGTATAGTAGTATTCTGTACAGGTTTATACCCTAGGAACAGTGGGCTATACTATATAGCCTAGCTGTGCAGTAGGCTGCATTATCTCAGTTTGTGTAAATACACTGCCTGATGTTTGCACAAAGAAAAAATATCCTAATGATGCATTTCTCAGAATATATCCCCATTGTCAAGTCATGCATGACTATATGATTTGTCCAGACACTTCATAGTATATATGTATTTAGTTATGAATACTATATATAGAGTTTGTATTTTACCAAAATATTACAAAAATTGGATCACTCTATAGCATTCTGTAACTTGTTATTTTCACTTAACATTATGTTTAAACTTTTGTTATATATTTTGGTTACCTTTGCATAACAGTATATGTACCACTAGTCAATTCTTTTTAAAAGCTGCATAATATACTACTCTTAAAGTGCATTGTCACTTATTTAGCTAATTTATTGATGCTATTTTCAATTATTAAAATCATAAACAATCCAATAAAAGTTATTGGGCATTTTCAATCTGCACAACATTGTGCCAACCACTGGAGCTAAGATGAATACAATAATCTCTGTCACTAGGGAGTTTCTGATCTACTGGAATAGAGCAATGAATTAATCAATATAATGCAATATAAATGCTGTCTCAGAAATATGCACATAGACACAAAGGACACAGACACTTGGAGAATTCAGGTAAAAGTTGGTATATTTATGTTGCATATTGAAACATTAAGTAAACAGTCACCACGGAGGAAAGCTATTTCAGGTTGCTGGTTTGCATGTTTAAATTCATACTGTTATGCAAAACTACCGTGTCTTTGCAGAACTGCAAGTAGTTCAATGTGTTATCTATGGCAGAATCATGTAGAAGATGACACTGGTGAAGTAGGTGAGGGCTAGCTGATGAGGTGCCTGTTGTGTCTCAGGCCAACAGATACTTTGGTTCTTATAGGCAACAGGGAGCCAGGTTAAATAAGGGAAGAAAACAAGGGAAGGTATAAAATGCAGCATTGCCAGCTGGAAATAACTCTTCTTAAAGAAAATTCTGTAAGCAGTAATGTTTTGCCTGGTTTCCCTTACTTGGGCATAGCAGATGACATCAGTGCCCTGAGTATATCACCTTTGTTATTATTAGTTTAGAGTGTCTGTGTATCAGTTAAAGTGTAGGATCACCTCCTAACTAAATTATTTTTACTTGAATTCTTGCTTCAGTGTCTCTTTCTAAAGGGACCTCAAACTAAGGTACTGGTCAATAAAATCTTGGTCAAAATAGTCTAGGTTATTTGCCAATTTAGTTACCTACTTATTAATTCATAGAAACACCAAACAAAGTATTTTGTTTGTTTGTTTGTTTTTGCTCCAGGCTTGAAAGAAAAGGTCAAGTGTGGTGGCTCATACCTGTAATCCCAACATGTTGGGGGGCAGAGGCGAGAGGACCACTTGAGACCAGGAGTTTGAGACCAGCCTGGGCAACATAGCAAGGACCTGTGCCTACAAAGAAACAAAATAAATAAATGAATAAAAAGACTATTCAAATGATGGATAGTTTGGTTTTAAAATATGAAAAGAACCCATAGAAACTCAAATGAAGAAAGAGAATCTCAGGAAACAAAGTTTAGCTTGGCAATAATTGAACCAAAATCACTGGGGATCCATTCTTTCTCTTTTATTTTGTAGATGAGTTATCTTGCATATATTTCTGCATATTGCTTTACTTTTCTTTGCTGCAGCCTCACTTCCAACATGAAAATCTTAGAATTGGCACCCTTATAATATTGGTTTCCACATAGTATGTGGTTAAAATGTCATGAACTCTGACATTAATTATCTGTTGTATCTCCAGAGACTAAATCAGTTTATTTGATTCTGTTTTTTAAAATTAATTTGTTTGTACAGTTTATGGAGGTATAATTGACATTCTATAAATGGCTAATATCTCATAGTACAATTTGGTAAAACATAATCTATTTGTACCCCAGTAAAACCACCACCATAATGGAGATAATGAATATGTGCATTATCCTCAAAGCTTTCCTCATGCCCTTTTATAACCTCTTGCTTCCAGCTCTCACCTCTCTGGATTCGTCTCTGGCAATCTTTATCTGCTCTCACGATGCATGACTGAATTTTATATAAGTGAAATCATATGTTTGCCTAATTTCTTTCATTCATTTAACTATTTTAACATTCACCCATATAAATGTGTATATCATTATTTAATGCCTTTTTAACTGCTGAGAAATACTGTATTTTATAGATATACCTCAATTTGTTTATCCATTCACATTTAGGCAATTGGACATTTGGGACATTTAGGTTGTTTCTAGTTTCGAGTCTTTAAAGATGATGTTAATGATGTTACTGTGAGCATTTATGTACAAGTCCATGTATAAACATATGTGTTTTAATTTGATAAACACCTAAAAATGGGATGACAGAGTCAAATGGTAGGCTTATGTTTAACTTCTTAAGAAACTACCACATTTTTGTTCAAAAGCAACTATCAGATTTTACATTCCTGCCTGCAGTAAATGAGAGTTCTAGTTTTTTGATGTTTACAATACTTGGTAAGGTCAGTCTTAAAATTTTAGTCACTCTTACTGGTGTGTGTACTAGTATTTCTGTGTGTTTTTTAACTTGTGATGTTCAGAAACTGTTTCTATGGTGATTTACTATGTGTACATCTTTATTAAAATGGATCTGTTCACAGTCTTGGCCAATTTTTTTAAAATAGGGTTGCTTGTTTTCTTATTAATGAGTTTTGTTTCATTCTATAATGTTTAACATTGAGATATAAGTCACGTGAAATATAATTCACCATTTTGAAGTGTATATGTCAGTGGTTTTTAGTATAACTACACAATATTGTACAACAATTATGACTATTTTATTCCAGAACATTTTCATTAATCCATAAAGAAATCACATACCTATTAACAATCATGCCTAATCTTTTCCTCCACTCGTCTCTGGCAACCCATCAATCTACTCTGTTTCCCTAGATCTGTATATTCTGAAAATTTCATATAAATGAATTCATGCAATAGTGATAATTTCTGATATGGCTTCTTTCCATTTAGCATGTTTTCAAGGTTCATCCAAATTGTGGCATGTGACAGGTTTTTATTACTTTTTATGGCTGAAAAATTTTTCTATAGAGTTTTGAGAATTTTTATATAGCCTGGATACACATTATCAGATTCATTATGTGTAAATATGTTTGTAATTATTCCTGTCTGTTGCTTGTTTTTTAATGTTTCTTACAGTGTCTTTAATTGTTATTATTATTACTATTATTATTATTACTTTGAGATGGAGTCTCACTCTGTCTCCCAGGCTGGAGTGCGGTGGCACAATCTCGACTCACTGCAACCTCCGCCTCCCGGGTTCAAGCAATTCTCCTGCCTCAGCCTCCCGAGTAGCTGGGACTACAGGCATGTGCCACCACGCCCGGCTAATTTTTTTTTTTTTTTTTTTTTTTGAGACGGAGTCTCGCTCTGTCGCCCAGGCCGGACTGCGGACTGCAGTGGCGCAATCTCGGCTCACTGCAAGCTCCGCTTCCCGGGTTCACGCCATTCTCCTGCCTCAGCCTCCCGAGTAGCTGGGACTACAGGCGCCCGCCACCGCGCCCGGCTAATTTTTTGTATTTTTAGTAGAGACGGGGTCTCACCTTGTTAGCCAGGATGGTCTCGATCTCCTGACCTCATGATCCACCCGCCTCGGCCTTCCAAAGTGCTGGGATTACAGGCGTGAGCCACCGCGCCCGGCCTAATTTTTGTATTTTTATTAGAGACAGTGTTTCACCATGTTGGCCAGGCTAGTCTCCAACTCCTGACCTTGAGTGATCTGCTTGCCTCAGCCTCTCAAAATGCTGGGATTACCGGCATGAGCCACTGTGCCCAGCCTAATTGTTAATTTTGATGAGGCTGAATTTATTTTTTATTTTGTGAATTATACTTTTGGTGGAGTATCTACTAACTCTTTGCCCCTAACACAGAGTCACAATCATTTCATTCTATGCTGTCTTCTAGAATTTTTATAATTTCAAGATTTACTTTTAGATCTATAAATCATTTTACATTAATATTTTTATATGTGTGAGGATGGAATAAAGATTTTTTTCTTTTCTGGCTATAAATATTCAACTGTCCTACCCCTGTTTTTTGAAAAGTCTGCTACTTCCTAACTGATATACTTTGACTATATATACGTAAATCTACTGTTTCACTTTCTAATATCTTTTATTGATCCACTTGTCTACCTTACCACTAATACTATACAATCTGGATTATTTACTGTAGCTTTACAATAAGTCTACAAATCAGGTAGAGTAAGTTCCCCGCCACCCCCAAAATTTTTTTTCAAAGATACTTTGGCTATACCATGACCTTTACATTTCCATGTACATTTTAGAATTTGCTTATTTTCTAGAGAAAAGCCCAATAACTTTGAGATTGCGTTAAATCTCTATATTAATTTGAGAAGGACTGATATCTAAGCCCCATTAACCACATATTAATCTAGGAACATTATATAGTTCTTCATTTACTTAGGTCTTCTTTCACTTTAGTAATAGATTTTATGTACAATTTTTACTCATTTTAGTTAGATATATCCATAAATAATTCATTTTCCTTGAAGTTGTTGTAAATACTATTTCAAATTTTAACTTCTGATTGCCATTACTATTAGTAGTATATAGAAATACAAGTAATTTTTGCATATTGATTTTTTTATTCCAGAACCTTGCTTAATTCATTCTTCTAGTCACTTTTTTGAAGATCACATTAGATTTTCTACATATACAACCATGCCATTTGTGAATAGAGTTTACTTTTGGTAGGATTTTAAACTATAAATCCAGTACAAATTACTTAATATAGATAGGCTATTCTACCACTTCCTCATAAGTAAGCTTTGTTATTTTATCTTTCAGGCCATCTGTTTATTCCATATGTTGTCAACTTACTGGCATAGGGTAGTACATCATATTCCCTTATCTTTTTATATGTGTAGCATCTTTGAGGATATAACCTCTCTGATTCCTGATATTGGCAATTTGTGTTTTTTAATCCTCTCTTTTTAAATTTTCAGTTTGGCTAGAGTTTATCAATTTTATATTTTCAAAGAACCATATATGCTTTTATTATTTTCTCCATTATTTTTTCTGTTTTCTATTTCATTTATTTTCACTCAGACTTATTGTTTGCTCTCCTCTGCTTACTTTAGGTTTAATTTTCTCTTATCACTTTTTAGTTTCAGATATAAGATGAGTCATCGATTTGAATCATTTCTTCTCTTTTAATATATATTGCCATAAATATTACTCTAAGAACTATTTAAGATTCATCCCATAATTTAGATGTGTTTTCTTTTCATTTTCTTTTTTTTTTTTTTTTTTTTTTTGAGACGGAGTCTCGCTCTGTTGCCCAGGCTGGAGTGCAGTGGCACCATCTCGGCTCACTGCAAGCTCCGCCTCCTGGGTTCACGTCATTCTCCTGCCTCAGCCTCCCAAATAGCTGGGACTACAGGCGCCCGTCACCACGCCTGTATTGGCTTTACTTCTTTGTCAAAGATTGGTTAATTATATTTATGTGTACCTATTTCTGTTCTATCGATCTATTTGTCTATTCTTTTGCCAATATCACACTTTCTTACTTACTGGGACTTCATTATGAGGCTTGAAATTACATAGCATAGGTACTCTGATTTCCTCTTTTTTAGTATTGTATTAGCTATTCTGCATCTTTTGCCTCACCATATAAACTTTAGAATCAGTTTGTTGGTGTTCACAAAATAATTTGCTGAGGTTTTGACTGAGATTTTGTTGAGTCTGTAGATCAAGTTGGGAGGAACTGACAAGTTGACAATATTTAGTCTTTCTATCCATGAACATGGACTCTCTTTATTTATTTAGTTCTTCTTAGATATATTTTGTCAGATTTTTATAGTTTTTCTCATATAGATCTTGTACATATGTTGCTTGATTTATTTCTATTCATTTTTGGGTGCTAATATGAGTGATACTGTATTTTACAATTCAAGTCTCATTTTTCATTGATGGTGCATAAAAAAGTAATTGTCTTTTGTACATTAACCGTTTATTCTGAAACCTAATTGCTTATTAGTTTCAGGTTTTTTTTCTTGTCAGTTTCTTTGGATATTCTCCATAGGTAAATATGTCACCTGAAAACAAAGACAGTTTAATTTCTCCTTTTCCAATTTATCTACCTTTTCTTTTCTTTTTCATTGCATTAGCTTAAACTTCCTGTATAATGTTGAAAAGCTGTGGGGACAGAGAACAGTCTTGCTTTTTCCCTGATCTTAATGTAAGAGATTTGTGTTTCTCACCATTATATATGATGTTAGCTATAGGTTTTTTATAGATGTTCCTTAACAAGTTGAGGAAGTCCTCTCCTAATTTGTTGTTTTTTAAATCTTGAATGTTGAATTTTTTCAACTGCTTTTTCTTCATTTATTAATATGAATATATGACTGTTCCTTTTTAGCTTGTTGGTGTGATGGATAACATTAACTGATTTTTAAATGTTGAACCAGCCTTGCATCCCTGAAATAAATCCCACTTGTTTGTGGTGTATTATTCTTTCTATAAGAATATTCTCAACAAAATGTTAAGTATGTTTGTTAGATTCACTTTGCTAATATTTTGTTTAGGATATTTAAAATATACTTAAAGCAAAAAAAAAAAAAAGCTAACCAGCTAGCTAGATATAAACAGATGTAGGTATCAACAAAGCCAGAGCTCTAAAAATATTTCTGTTACCACCTCTCAGAAACTGTAAACATCTTTAGCTTGTAGAGTTTGAGAATTTCATCTGTTCTGGTCTAGGGAAATATTTGCTTACTGAATAATTCAGTTTTACTGATCTTTTCTATATGACTATGACTCAGGATTATCATCCTAAATTGAGATCCACTAGAATTGTCAACTCTTTGCATCAGAATACTTATTAACAATTTATGGAAATTTCCATGATTTGTCTATGCATGCTCCCAAAGTGCAGTTTTCTGTTCTTAAGTGTTTATTTTTCTACAATGTTTTAAAGTATTTCAGCAGCTACTTGAAATCTTGCAAATGACCTCTTTTTCTACTTTTGCAGTCATGTTGTACTGTATTATATTTTCTCTGATAGTCCTTCTTTTCTGCCAGTGTTGTGTTTGGAGTGCCTCTAAGTTTTACTTAGCAATCTATATGTCCTCATTATCAAGACTGAACTCATTAATGTTATCTTTCTGTTACCTGATGCTAATCAATTTTATAATGTAATTATTTCTAGATGTTTTCCTATTCATTTAATAGTGTCTGTCCAAGATATCAAATATCTGAATGAATTACTGAACATTATAAATGTAAGCTTTTACAAGGTTTCAAATATTCTGTGTCTTAAAAGTTTAGAAAACTTTCGCTTAAAAATTTGGATGCATTTGTGACAAATATGAAGAAAAACATTGTTTTCATGTGGCCCAGTTTGGAAATCTTCAGTTTGTTCTTTTTCTTGCATATATGCATGTTATGTTTATGTTTTTATCATGAGAGTTGTATAAGAAAAATATTTGAAAAGACTGGCATGCACTGATAACTCATAATTCAAAATTCATTTTTAAAGAATTAATGACATATTTTATGTTAATATAATAATAAATGGCAAATAAATATATTCTGGCTACTCGATTGAATAAATGTGGGGGTAGTGGTCTATTTTTAACATTAGATCATTGAATATAGTGAGAACATACCTATAGCACTATGTAATTATTCAGGTTACATTCACTGTTTAACTGCTCTTAATGTGTACTGTAGGTGGGCGTTTTAAGCACATAGATGAATTGTAGAGTAAGAACCATTATGTTCATGTCATGTATAAAGTGGTATATGTGATTGCAAGATATTAAACCATGAAATGAGTTAACCATTGTTTCCTTGGAAACAATGATGAATAAAATAACTCATTACACTGAATTAACCTGAGGTAATAGAGCTCATGAATTATATCCCACCTACATGTCTCTCTTTCTCCTAGGTCTTTTCAGTATATTATCTCTGAAGTTGTCTACCTTCCCCACAGATTCTTATAACTCAGGGTTAATTACATGCTTTCAAATTGTAGAGTACCCATCTCTTAATTCTATATTAACTACTTTGTTAATTTCATCATTGATTACCCCCCAATTTGTTTTTGTTTTCTTGATATTATAAATATGTGATGATTTTTTCTTAAAAATTAAAATATTAAATGTAATAAAACCACCAATGGGATTATATTTAATCATTGGCGCTCAACTATTTTTGCTCTTTATACATTATTTTGGCCAGGTGAAGTTAAGAGAATGTGTTAAAAGTAAGTATGGTAGAATCCCAAAAATAACTCACTAATGATGTCACAGAAAAATTCTCAACTAGGAATCAACAGACTTGTTTTAATTTTGCTTATCTCTCTCTTGCTGGTAATCTCTTCCAGATTAAGTTTTATTATCTGTATTGGGATAATAAAACCTATTTTACTTACCTCAACTAAATTGTTAAGTGGAATGAAGTCATGTATCTAAAAGTACTTTGAAAGCTGTGATCTGACATAAAAATTATAATATGGAAAAGGCAGCATTGCCAATATCAGTTTGTTTATAAGTTTACTATGTAAAATAAGTAGGCACATGCATTAAATAACATTTACTGAATGCTTTCTTTTTACATAATTTAACTCCATATAGCATAGGTATTATTACTACCCTCATTTGGCAGATGAGGAAACTAAGGCACTGACATTAAATAATTTACCTAGGGTTACAAAGCTAAAACTGGGATTAAACCTAGATTGTACAGCTTTAGAAATTATGTTCTTAACCATTATGCTATATTGCTGTTGTGATAGGATGACTGATGAGATGTGGCAACAAAACCAAGTTCAAAAGTTAAAAATAGTAGGTTAAAGGTTCTATAGAAGAGAATAATATACATTGGTTAATATTGTATCAGAATATTTGCCATTCTGTCTTCACTTTCTACGTCTTCATATATGACTGTTCTGAAGTTCATTTTCTTTTTACTTCACATTTCCCAGTCACATCCTGAATCAGGAAAAAATAATTCTGCATATTTGAAACATGAGGAATGTATAAAGGGATTATCTAAACAGGAAATAGAAAAGATGAGATGCAGCAGTTGATGGGGAGGAAGCCCTGAAATTGGCAGCAGTAAGAGGCAGCAGAAGCCCCTAGGCTCCAGGGAATAAGTTAAGTTGTTACCAGAGCCCAACTATGCTCACACAGTAGAAGCTGGAATCATCTAAGGCCTATCTGGGGGAGGCTGGAGCCAGAGACTCTGATGCTGTGGAAGAACCCACCTAACCACAGGAGGGAGATAAAGACCCTGGCCTCTCTCTGCATCCCTTCTACCCTTCACTTCCTTTTTAGTCTTCCTTTGGCCAAAACCAGCTGCAAGCCAGCTGTCATTGGAACCTGGGAAAGGCAGCCTGCAAGCATCAGTCCCACTCCCACCTCGACACATACCCCCACCTCTGAGTTACAGTGCAGAGCAGGCTAAGAGTAAAAAGATAGTCCTCCAGCGTCGGAAGATTTCCCTTCAATTTTCTTTGTTTTTTTTCTCCTTGACGATTCATTCCCAGTATATCGCCTTCATCAGAGAATGAGTTATAATGGCAGTTTCAAACTCTTTAATGTCACTGAATTGTTTTTTCCTCTACTGACAAGAAAAGTTAGACTTGGCTGCTGTGACCGTTTCAGGGATGAATATAATATAGGAAATGTCGATAAAAATTTTTAAAGCAACCACTTTATGGGATGGTGGTCCCTGCATAATAAATACGGTGAACAGCCTGATCTTTGGGGTACAAACATGGATTGGTTTGATTGTTTTTTTTAATAACTGCTGCAAACCATGTCCAGTAGAAACCGTTTTTTCCTCTAAATATCTGGCTTTAATTTTTTATCTCTACCCGATTCCAAAATTATTCAGTAACTTTCCACTATTAAACAGTCACATTCCAAGCTGATTAATTTTTCTCCAGCTATCTTGAAAATGTTCAAGCCTATAGAATGCATAAAGAATACAGTGATTGCCATACATCTTTTCTTTGTATTTGTTAATTATATATGTATACTGATATTATTTATATATAAATGTACACAGTTTCCTCTTTCTATTTGTGTGTGTTTAACTGCCTATGAGCTAAGTACTATTGCTATCACCATTTTGCAGCTGAGGAAACTGAGGCACACAGAGGTTAAATAACTTACCTGAGATTATAAAGCTAAAGCTGGGATTACACCTAGACTTTCTAACTCCAGAAATTGTGTTCTTAACCATTATATTATATTGGTATTTTCATGGAATGACTGATAAGATTTGGCAACAAAGCCAAGCTCAAAAGTTAAAAATTATATATATTTATGTTTTCCCCATATTACATATTTTCTGGCTTTATTGAGGTATGATTGAAAAATAAAGATTGTATTAAAGTATACAATGCGTTGATATACGAGATAAATGTACATTTTGAAATGATTACCACAATCAAATTAATTAACATATTAATCACTCCATATAGTTACCTTTTTGTGTGTGGCGAGAAAACTTAAGATCTATTATCTTAGCAAATTTCAAGTACACAATTATGTGTACACATATACATTATTGTTAACTACGTATATAAGCTATTTAAAAGTAAGTTGTAGGCATTATGGCAATGTTTTTCTAAAAAATATAAAATACATCTCTTAAGAATAACAATACCAGAAAGGTGTAATACCTCACTTCTGTAGTCCCAGCGCTTTGGAAGGCCAAGTTGGAAGCATCCCTTGAGGCCAGGAGTTCAAGATGAGCCTAGGCAACACAGTGAAACCCCATCTCTACCAAGAAAAAAAAAATTAAAATTAGTTCAAGATGAGCCTAGGCAACACAGTGAAAATCCATCTCTACCAAGGAAAAAAAAATTAAAAACAAAGATTTAGAATTAAAATTTTAAAATATAAATTATAAAATTTTGTAAACATTTTATAAAATTAACTGAGCCTGCTGTCATGTATCTGTAGTCCCAGCTACTTGGAAGGCTGAAGCAGGAAGAGCTCTTGAACCCTGAAGGGTGAATTTGCAGTGAGTTATGAACATGCCACTGCACTCCAACCTGGGTAACAGAGCAAGACACTGTCTCTCAAAAAATAAGATAAAATAAAAAATACCACATACCATTACCACTCTTGGAAAATAAACAATAATATTTTTGGAAATGTTTATAGAAAATTTTGGGAAATTTTTGGAAATGTGGAAAATTAAAAATCTTTTCATAATACTGTCTTATATATAAGTCATATTTAAGTTCTCTCAATTGGCCATGTAATTTATTTTGGATGTATAGTCAGATATTATGTCCAAAATTGTATGCATTTTTTTCTGCCTAGTTCACCAGCCATTTCAATATATGGTTGGATTCACTTATTTCTATTTATACTCCATTTGAGAATTTTCTTTGTCATTCTTTAGATTTAATTATTTTTAAATTTTTAATATAGAGTTCAAATATCAAAATACTCAAAAAAATCACTGCCATTCCTATTCTTCTAGCTCATTTTTATGAACTCTGTAAACACCATCCCGTCTTTAGCTTATGGTTTACTTTTCCAGTGTTTATGTATGTATAGATATAAATACACACACACACACATATATATAGAATATCTCCATTTTTGCCACCAAAGTGGAACTACTTTTATATCTTTTCATAGAGATTTTTCTTATTCCCCTTGAACCAACAGTTCCCAGTCTTTTTGGCATCAGGGACTGGTTTCTTGGAAGACAATTTTTCCACGGAGTGGGATGGAGTAGGATGGGATGGGCCTGCGCAACCTAGAGCCCTCTCATGCACAGTTCACAATAGGGTTCACGCTCCTATGGGAATACTACAAGGTCCGTGGCCTGGGGATTGGGAACCCCTGCCTTAAACAACAAAAATGTATTTTGTCATAGTTCTGGGGGCTAGAAGCTGGGAATCAAGGTATCAGCAGGACCTTGCTTCCTCTGAAGGCTCTAGAGAGGAATACTTCCTTACTTTTTCTTTAGCTTCTGTTGCCAGCAATCGCTGGCATCCCTTGCTTTGTAGCTGCATCACTCCAGTCCTTTCATCTGTCTTCACATAGTCTTCTTCCTAGTGTTCCTCTGCATGTCTGTCTTCTTACAAGGAAACCATTCATGTTGGATTTAGGGCCCAACCTAATCCATTAGGACTCCTCTTAACTAACTATATCTGCAGAGACCTGATTCCCAAATAAGACCACATTTTGAGGATCCAGCAGGGCGTGACTTTTTTGGTGACGCTATTCAGTCTACACCCTTTTTACTCTCTGGTCCAGTGAAATTATATTCTTGCAATGTACAAAATGCATTCACCTCCATCCAAAGTCTTAACCCATTCTAGCCTCAGCTTCTAATCCAAAATCTCATCCATGTACAACTAACTAAAAAATGTCCAGGCCGGGCACCGTGGCTCACGCCTGTAATCCTAGCACTTTGCGAGGCTGAGGCAGGCGGATCACGATGTCAGGAGATCGAGACCACGGTGAAGCCCCGTCTCTACTAAAAATACAAAACATTAGCCTGGCGCGGTGGCGGGTGCCTGTAGTCCCAGCTACTGGGGAGGCTGAGGCGGGACAATGGTGTGAACCCGAAGGCGGAGCTTGCAGTGAGCCGAGATTGCGCCACGGCACTCCAGCCTGGGCGACAGAGGGCGACTCCCTCTCAAAGAAAAAAAGTCCAAAATCTCATCTTCTAAATCATCTAAGTCAGGTATGAGTGAGACTCTTGTAGAAAACAAGTTATCTGACTCCAAAATACAAAGATGGGACAGGCATAAGGTATCCCTTTCATTTTTCTCAGCAGTAGGCTTTAATAGCCAACTCTAGAAAATAAAGAAGAGCCTACATAATCTCTCACATGAATCTATTCTCACATGAATCTATTCTCACATGAGTCTATAACCCTGAAAAGGGGTCCCCTAAAATAACAATATGAAAGCTTACCACTGTTTAAAAATTGAGGGACTTCGGCCGGCCGCAGTGGCTCACGCCTGTAATCCCAGCCCTTTGGGAGGCCGAGGTGGGCGGATCATGAGTTCAGGAGATCGAGACCATCCTGGCTAACACGGTGAAACCCTGTCTCTACTAAAAATACAGAAAAATTAGCCGGGCTTGGTGGTGGGCGGCTGTAGTCCCAGCTACTCTGGAGGCTGGGGCAGGAGAATGGTGTGAACCCGGGAGGCAGAGCTTGCAGTAAGCGGAGATCGTGCCACTGCACTCCAGCCTGAGCGACAGAGCGAGACTCCGCCTCAAAAAACAAACAAACAAACAAAAATTTAAGGGACTTCATTTCCAACAGTTTCCATCAACAGTCTGTTTTCATGCAGTAATCTACTACTACCTTTGTTGGAAATGAAGACTTGACGTAAATCATTAACCTAGTTGGCTGTTTTGTTGTTCAGGTTATTTGAAATTTACAAATTATAATAAAATGAAAGTTAACAGGCAATCCCTTATATCTCTAATTTTTATCTTTCTTCACTGGTGTCTTACTGTTTAAACAACCACTATCAGTACCTGTTTCTAATTAATTTTCTTGATAAACCCATGATTTGGTGTTACTTACCACAGTCTAGTTAACTTGATGTGTATAGACATCACTTCCAAACTATGTTTGAGGATTCTCCTGCCAAAGAAGGTAACCAGTGTGGGACTGTATTCAAATCTACATTTAATTTGTTTTAAACGTTGTTATTGAAGAAAAATAAAGAGAAGAAAATAACTGCTACACATTTATGTCAAAAATGACTCCATATTGATCGAGAAATTAAAATCCAATAAGGTTTTACTTGTGATTCTGTTTTCATGAATGAAACACTGACTCTAAAACAGCCAGGAGAGAGAAGAGGCCACACATGTCTTAAAATGTTTTTTTTTTCTAATTCACACTTAATACTTCATTCATATTTGGGCTGTGAGCAAGCCAGCTCCTCCTCTGCCAATTCAATATAGCTTGTGTGCCAGCTGCCAGAGAGCTGAGTCCAACTCCCTGTGCCACTGTGGCTAAGGCTCATTGTACTAAAGTTGTGGCTGTATTTAAATGGATCACCAGGAAATACTGGTTGCTTGGTTCTCTCTGCAGTCTTTCTGTGTCTTCAATGCTAGGCCACCCAAGTACTTCCTTGGAGAGCTTTGCCGTTTCCCCCTTGAAATTCCACCCAGAACACTTTAAAAGACCACTCAGTACTGACTACAGTATTGTGGCGTGGCAAAAAAAGAAGTTGTGTCTGATTCACACATAAGTAGGGACTAATGCCACTCTGAAAAAACAGGTTTGAAATTTGAAAAGCATAGGCAAAAACCTGCAAACCTAAACCCAACAAGGAAGCTGAACAATGGCTGGCAACAAGTTCAAAGGAATCGAAGTATGCTCCCATTAAACATTTATTTCCTTTTTGAGCCTTTAGGTTTATCTTGGGAAAACGATTTAAATGTCAAGAATTCAGGTTATTTGGAAGGTTAAGGATTTAATATATATTTTTTGTTTTCTAAAGTGTTTACGATAGTTTTGGTGGCTTAACTTCTTTAAGCCACTTTAAAAAGCTCAAACAAGAGTAATAATTATTTTAAGAAAATTAAATTTGGGTATCCTTCAGCTTAATTATGGAGCTTTGATTTTTTTCTCCTTTTTCTCCTATCTATCTATCTATCTATCTATCTATCTATCTATCTATCTATCTATCTATCTGTCTATCTGGCTCTCTATCTAGCTATCTGTCTATCTATATCCCTCTATCTAATAGAAACTTAGAAAATTGTCAGATGTGAACCAGATGTGTTGGCTCATGCCTGTAATTCCAGCATTTTGGAAGCCCAAGGTGGGCAAATCACTTAAGCTCAGGAGTTCCAGACCAGCCTGGGCAACTTGGCAAAACTGTGTCTCTACAAAAAAATAAATAAATAAATAAGAAAGAAAAATGAAAAGAAAACTAGCTAGGCATGGTTTTGCGTTTCTGTAGTCCCAGCTACTCGGGAGGCTGAAGTGGCAGGATCACTTGACCAAGGTGGTAGATGTTGCTGTGAACCAAGATTGTATCACTGCGCTCCAACCAGGGCAATAGAGTGAGACCTTGTATCGAAAAAAAAAAAATTCAGATGTATTGCTGATAAGGCTAAATGGTACAATAAGCTTGAATTTGAGGCAAACAGGGTCTTTTTATTCCACTTTCCCTCTGAGTTGAACTTACTTACCCAGTCTCCAATTGGAAAACTGACAATTGCAAGCCTCCTCTGCAGGTTCTTCTAGTCTGCCCTGGAGGGCTAACCACAAGACAGAGATAACTCCAGGTGGGCCATTTCAACAACAAAGCACCAAAGAGGAAGAGACATAAAGCATCTGCAAACAGACTTATCCAACCCAACCATTTAACCTCCCCAGTGGAGGGCAGGGTCCCACAGTCTCACTTTGGCAGGGTGCATGCGATCCTCCAAAAGGTGGATCTTATAAAAGAATGTGTACCTTTCCTTATTGTGGAGTTTTCCCAGGAAGGCCGGTTCCCAGCCAAAGGCTATGTGTTCCAGTCCACCTCTTGCCTCCAGGTGTAACCATATGACTATTTTTTCACTAATGGAATATTAATAGAAAATATGTATGTCAGTGCTGAACCATGATGCACCTTATTCTCCATCTCTTTCCTTTTCTCATTGGGTACTTAGATGTAGACATTTTCAAGACCCTAACAAATGGTGGAGCCATTCATGGGAGGGGTCTACATTCTTAAGCCACTTTATGAAAGACAACTAGATCTAACGGCATGGGACTCTTATGTGAGTGAAAAAGAAATCTCTATTGTGCTAAGCTAAGCCATTAAAAGTTGAAGATTTGTTACAGCAGTTAGCATTACCTTAATTTACACAGTTACTGTTCTTCTCTAAGGTAGAAGAGAGAGAGAAGGGGGTCCAAAAAATGGCTGAAGTTTTCTTTCTAATATTTCTAGTGGGATAGAAGTTCTTATCAAATAGGCTGAAGTAGATACTAAGAGAAAGAAAAAATATATAGCTTCCCTTATAGTAAGTCCCCAGATGCCAAAGGGACTAAGTTAATTTAGCAGTTGAAGTTCAGCCCCTTGGAAGACAGGTAGACAAGTAAGCAGGTTGCCACATAAATCTTCCTGATAGTTGCCTTAAGAGAGTAGTTTAAGGGAATTCCAGAAGCTCTAAGACCATTTTTAAGGCTTCTCAGGGTAAAGCAACAAGATGAGTTGAAAAATAAAAAATCTTTCCAGGGATTGATTAAGTTATTTTGGTGCTAAGCTGTTGCCAATTGTTTTTGAAAGAAGGTAGAGCATATTTTATATACAAACCTACAAAGGGTAGGCTTTGAAATGGGATAATATTGGAATTGGAGAAGTTTTCTTCCTGATGTAGTCAAGGTATTAATAATCCTTTTAGACTTCCAGCTCTTCTGATTTTATAAGGAAAAAATACTTGGAACAATTTTCTATTTGTCCTGGGTATCATGAAAAGTAACTTCTCAGATACGCAAATGATGGCTTCAGAGAAACTTGGCATCTGAGTTGTGTGACAATTTCAAGACACACACACAAAAAATTTGATAGCATTTTTCAATATATTTATATCATATTAATTGATTTATTAAGTTATTAACTAACAAATATACAGTGAATACCTACTATTTCAAACCCTCTTATAGGTGCTGAAGATACTGAATAAAGAAGACAAAAATCCCCATGCCAATAGAGGTAAACTCTGCTGGGAAAATAGATGAAAAGAATTAGATACATTCCAGAATACGCCAGAAGGTTGTTAACAATATGAACACAAAGCAGGCCTCCAGCTTCATAAATGTATGGAATATCTTGATTTATGTCACAGAGGGAACTATTTCATTTAAAATGCAAACTCTTAGATATTGCAGTCATTCTGGGCAGCCTGCTTTTAATGCCAGAACTTCAAGTGTCTTTTGTGGTTGTCTAATATAGAGAGGAAATTAGAGTTGGTACTTTTTCTTTCTTTCTTTTTTGCTTATTTTTTTAAAATGGGTTTTAAATTTCTTGCTTGAAGGAGCACTTATCTAGCAATAGCAAATGATTTCTTTATCATATAGTCTTTTGAAATGTAAATGCAGAAAATGAAGGTCTCTTTGCTAAGAAGTCCAGGAATGACTCATTTATATTCTCTTGAATTGCTTTTATACCTAAAGAGTTTCTAGCATAGTCATCTGGCATCTGTCATTAACAAAGAGGAGTGACAATATTCAGGCTTCTGCTGCTGCTTGCTAGCTGTGTGATCTTAGGAAATTTCCTGAAACTCTCTGAGTCATTTCCTTACCCAAAATACAGGAAGAATAATACTCAGCTCCTTGGGTTACTATAAGAATTAAATGAAATAATGTATTTCCTGGCTTAGCATTCCTTTGGAATACGGTAGCTTCTACTATTATTACTACCATTTTTATTATCATACTTACTTCACAGTTCTGAAAGCATGGCAAGTCATGCATGAAGTCCTGTTGATTCTCTATTTTTCAGAATCATAAATTAATGTTCATGTCATTGATTCAAGGTCCAGTGCTCACAGAATAACAACAAATTTTTGTCAGGTGACAAATCAATTACTGATTGGCTTGGAACAGATTTTCTCAAGTGTTTCACTAAACTTCTACTTGCAGAAGAAAATAACATTCTTACTAAGTATAGTTGTGCTTGGAACTTCACAGAAAGAAAGTCTTTATATAAGATCATCAAAGTGTCTATATTACAATTCACTTAGTACCATTGGCCATATTTATAAGTTGATTGGATATGAATTGGCTGCTATTTTCTAGAGTTTGTCATTAGACCAACTGTCTCACAGTCTGGTTATCTCCATCATACAGATACCTCCAAGAAATTATTCTATGTTCACCCAAATTTTAAAACAAAAATATAAGTAGTAATAGTAATAAACCCTACAAATGTGATTGTATTGTCTGCACTATATATCACTCTCAATCTTTGTAGATACTACATTCTGATTTAACAGTGGAATGTTTCTTTTAGCTGATATATAGAGTAATAGGTATAGAAAACTCTAACACTGACTTTTTCCTACCTTTCTGTTTCTGTGAATCAATGGGATTGTTTTCTTTTTCTCTTTTCTGGTGTCTCCCTCAACATTAGAAAAAGCTTGTCAGTTGTAAAATTGTAGCATGTAGAAGATGGAAAGGATTTTAGGAGCCCTACATATTTGTTTTCTTATTTTAAAAATAAGAAACATGAGGCTCAGAGCAGTAAAGGGACTTGCTCAAAGTCATAAAGTGTGTGGTAAGGTGTTAATAATAGTTATAATAGTTAACATTTATTGATCATTCACTAGGTGTATTGCTTAATCCATTATAGGTATTGTCTTACTTAAACCTTCCAAACATGCTTGTTGCTTGTCTATCTTGTTCACTCCTATATTCCCAGCACCTGGAAGAGTTCCTTGCACAGAGTAGGTACTCAATAAGTACTTGTTGAAAAGATAAATGAGTGACAATGTTAACAATGAGAGAACATCATATCCCCATTTTACAGATAATGACACTGAGGCTTAAAAAGGTTAAGTAATTAGTATGAGATTATATAGCTAATAATTGGCAGTATAGAGTCACATCAAGTGTAAGTGACTCTGGGATCCTAGTTCTTAACCTCCTTGAAGGGCTACCTCTGGGTTTGTGGCCTAGGTAGGGCTACAATTTGTAAAAACATGCATTATGAACATTTATTTGTACATTATTGGATTTAATTTCCTAGGGCACCCAAGTTGTAATGAGTTTTCCTCACTTTTTTGAATGAGGTAGGAAGTGAGAAATGAAATGACCTTATCCCATTACTAAAATACCCACCAGGTGATGCAAACAATTCATTTGAAATATTCTGTTTTGTATGAAAATAGTCAAAAGATAAATTTGACCACTGATGCTATTATGTTTGAATAAAATGATAGAAGCAGGAATGTGTTTTATACCACTGGGAATTCGGCAATTGGGAAAACATAATTTATAATATAAAGCTCAAGTTCCTGACATTGTAGGCTTCCAATAATCAGATTTCAAACCGCTCAGCTGATTTCACAAACTTTT
Organism: Homo sapiens; assembly: GCF_000001405.40. NCBI lineage: Eukaryota > Metazoa > Chordata > Mammalia > Primates > Hominidae > Homo > Homo sapiens. The sequence continues at coordinate 144,501,413 of NC_000003.12, forward strand.
TATACTGGTCTGCCTGTTTCTCACGAAGTGTCATAATTCATTTCTGCCCTCCCCTAGGGTTCACACCTTCACTGGAATGTTCTCATCACTCTTTATCTTTTTGTCTTTTCTCATGTTCTAGCAGGCTTGTTCAATTATTCCCTTCTTTAAAAAGCCTTCCTGAAATGCCTTCAGCCACAGGCAGCTGTCCCTCTTTTGAACAATCATGACACTAATCATTTCACATTTAATCACAGTCTCATATGGAGTTGTCTTTTACTTTCCAGGCTTGACTGCTGCTCTGTACAAATGGATGGCAAAGTCTGCAAGAGAATGCATTGCGTTTTGCACTCTCCATCATCAGAGCACAGTACCTTACATATGGTGATGGCTCAATTGATATCTGCTGAGAAGGCAAGAGAATTGGATAAAAAACATTATAATACTGTTACAAGAAATATTTTTCTGCTTGCTTTGTTTTATAAATTATAAATCTTCAGCATGACAAGCTTTGAAATGTAGGCTTCCACCTTATAAAGAACAGGAAAATGAATTTAATATCTGTTTCCTTTTCATCTTTACTGTTAGATAATAATTTATGTGGTTTAGTGCTTAGAACTTGAAACTGAGTTCTATCTTTTATGCATTCTGTCGACCTGACTAATTTGTGGCTCTCTCCCGATTTATGTCTCAATTTCCCACTCTGTTTTCATAAACAACAATAAATGTGTCCTTAGAGGAGATCTGTGAAATATAATTTGTGTTTTGGGAGGCCTTTGGGACATTTGTGTGAAAGTGTGTAAAATGCAAATTATCATTGTGGATTCTTATACCTTCATTTGCATGTGTTGTTTCTAGTGCAATTCTGAAGGCTGGGAATGTTTTCATCACTTTATCCGAAAAGATTCAACCAAATTGTTTCCTCATAAGGAGGTTGATCCATTTGCGTCATGCAAATCAGTTTTTCATTTTCTGGTCAATTCTTAAAATTGACTGTAGCCAAAATGTTAATTATCAACATAGTAAACCATGGGCAACCCAGAACACTGTCACTTGCACAAGCAACAAAGTGGAAAATTCTCAGTGCCCTGAACCTTTTTACAGCCCCTGTGAGTGACAATCGCTAGCATTTTGGTTAAATCTCAGGCTTTCTGTAAGAAATCACAGCAGGCGATTGCTTTTAAGAAAGAAGTCCTGAGGCTCTCAGCTCAACTAGTCAGGTAAAATCTCTTCCCTCAGAGCCTCAGGCCTGCCAATTAGTATCTGACATGGCTGCCAAGGAAACGCCGATGCTCAGAGTCCTGATTATTGCCCTCCTCTGAGCAAGAACCCAGTGAAAAAAATGTTTGGCAATTAGCTCAAGCCAAAGAGGCTCAAAACTTGTCTTCCTTTTTCACTAAAGACCAGGATGATAATGAAGGAAGCTTCAGTAATTAGCGCACAACAGGTAAGATATTTCTCTTCACTTTAAGTCCTTCTTTATATGAGAGTAAGGTCAAATGAAAACTTGTCATGGAAAAGATAATAGTATGAAAAGTTAAGGGACTTGCACCTTAATAGGCCTGGGGGGTACATAGCGATACTAGGAACTGCCTTTTCATGAATTTCTGGGAATTTAGTGACATGGTACTAATCCTATATTTCAGAACTGGGTTCCTGTGTGGCTGTTTAAAGAATGGGAAAAACCAATGTCTATTGAGTGTTATTCACTGTGCTATATTCTTTTCATGCATAGACAATCTTTAAAATTTCCCAATGAAATAGGTACTATCCAGTATCATTTTACTGGCTGGGAAATGGGCAAGGAATTACTGATAATTATACTTAATGGTTTTTCTTTTTACCTTTTAAAAAACTTAAGCATGCATTTAAAGAACTGTAAAAATGATGCAGGAGTTTTCTCGACCGCTTTATTGGACTTGCGACTGGGGGCCCTGAATACTGGGCCTGCTGTGTTCAACCTCTTGCAATGTCTTGCAGGAGGGAGCCCGTGAGTGAGCGAGTCCCGAATTCAGCCAGCCACTTTGGGTGCTGGCAGGAGCAGGCTTTGTGTGGACCCCATGGCCAGATCAGGTATGAGTGATGAAGTGAGGGATCCAGCCAGCTGCTTTGGGTGGCAGGAGCATGCTCCATGCAGACCTTGCAGTGGCACCCAAGGCGGGGTGCCTGCAAGCACCGAAGCCCCAGAGGCCACGTTACAATGCTATCTTATCTCTGCTGTTCATGGACAGCAGTGTGTTATCAGCTCAGTGGGCCCCTTGCCTTGTGGTGTGGGGTGGCTGCTCTCCGCCAGACAGGACAAAGGGCCAGTGGGACAGCCCTTTTTGGGTACCTGCACTCAATGAGTCCTGAACTCTTGTCCGATGGTCCAACAAAAATTAGGTCACATGGACCACTTGATGGATGGTGGAGGTGGAGAATTTTATTTAGTGATGCAAATGGCTCTCAGCAGAGAGGGGAGATGGAGAGGATGGGCAGATAATCTTCCCTGAATTCTGGCCATCTCGGGCCGGCTCCTCTGAAGTCCAGCCATCCCTCTGAAATCAAGTCACCTCTCTCCAGTCAAGCCACTTCTCCCTCTCTACTGACTGAGTCTGGAGTGTTTATAGACACAGGATGGATGGCAAGGCAGGCCATAGGTAGTTTTCGAAAAGGCAACATTCAATTAGTAAAAAGACATTATTCAACAACAACCAATTGGGAGAGAGCAGACAAACAGGGATAGTAGGTCTCACTTTGGGCCACGGGTTTTAGGCTTTTCAGCTCAAAGGTGGGGTTTTGCTGGAGACCTACCTCTGTCTGCCTAGAATTTCTCTGCCTCCTGCATCTATCGGAAATAATGACTAAACTTTGACAAAACTGTTAGAGAAATTTTGGAGGTGGTAGCAAATTGATCAATTATATGAGACAGACTTTAAATTTTATGTCAGGGCACATGAAGATAAGCCAAAAAATAGTGAGGATGAAAAGGGAATTAAACATGAAAAGAGAAAAGTTTCCATGGATTTATCAAACAGAAGTACTAGAAGTCACAATAAGCTATTTTCAACATGGAAGTGCCTAAAGTAGCAAGTTTTGTAAAGTAGAAAATATACCAGGAAAAGTTGTTAAGTACTTTGTATTAGTCAGGGTTCTGCTAGAGGGACAGAACTAAGAGGGACAGAAATAAACTGAAAATTTATTAAGTATTAACTCACACAAACACAAGGTCCCACAATAGGCTATCTGCAAGCTGAAGAGCAAGGAGAGTCAGTCCGATTCCCAAAACTGAAGAACTTGGAGTCCGATGTTTGAGGGCAGGAAGCATACAGCATGGAAGAAAGATGTAGGCTGGGAGGCTAGCCCCATCTCTCATTTTCACTTTTTTCTGCAGGCTTTATCTTTGCTGTAAGCTGATTAGATTGTGCCCACCCAGCTTAAGGGTGGGTCTGCCTTTCCCAGCCCACTGACTCAAATGTTAATCTCTTTTGGGCAACTCCCACAGAGACAAACCCAGGATAAATACTTTGTATCCCTCAACCCAGTCAAGTGACACTCAGTATTAACCATCACAAGTCTACCCCTTGTCAGCTTGAACCCATACATATCTCCTGAGATCACACATAATCTTCAAATAAAGACAATAATGAGGTCATAATTTTGCCTAACATAATACAATTATTCTTCGTACAACCAGAAATGCACCAATCCCCAACCCAAATACTATTACATAAAGTTAACAATACTTAAATGCTGATATGAAGTCAATAAATCTTATGTCACATGATAAAGGAAAAGGAAATAAAATGAAGATATTTTCTTAGTACAAGTGTATATATGACAAATATCTTTTTGAACAAAAGAAGGAGGAAATATTCATGACAATTGCAGTCCTCATTTCTGCAGCTGGTCATGTGGTCATAGCTGGTTTTGATGACTGCCTTTTTCCACTACCCATTCTGTATCCCCTTTGCCTTCATCAAGCATCTCAGCAGGTCACAGTTTTTTTCTTGGTGGAGTCACCTAAACCTTCATACCTGAAGGGTCTGGACCATTTGTAGTCCTGCCTGGATTGCGCTGTTGTAGTTTCCCATTGACCTTAATCACAGGGCATGGTAATACTAAGAGACACCCTAGTAGATCCCCTGTATTCCACGCATACTCTTCCTTACCTCTGTTATGGAAGAGTATACTGATTTCATCCTGATAGTCCAGGTCAATCACCCCAGCCAACATTGTTAAGTCCCTTCTTAGCCTGTTGACTTAAAGGTAGGAGGAGCTCAAAGTGTCCAGGTAGCAATCTTAAGTATCAGTTTAATTGAATTGTTGCTGTTTCCTCGTGGCAGTGTTCCTCCCTCTGGAACTAAGAACTCTAGGCCATCAGAACATAATGTCACAGGAACAGGAAGCACAAATTTTGCTAGTGGGTCACTAGGGGTGATGGTGAGTGGTGCCACTTCCACTTCCACCCCTTGATTCCTGGACCCGTGCATCCTGGCTATGGGAGTAATAGTACCATTTATTGGTTACTGATTCAGAGCATACACACCCTTCTGGAGAACATTGCCCCAGCCCTGCAAAGTATTGTCACCTAGTTGGCATTGTAATTGTGACTTCAAAAAGCCATTCCACAGTTATATCACTCCAGTTGCTTCAGGATGATGGATAAAATAGTAAGACCAGTGAATTTCATGAGCATGAACCCACTGCTGCATTTCTTTAGCCATAAAGTGAGTCCCTTGGTCAGAGGCAATGTTATGTGGAATACCATGATGGTGGATAAGGCGTTCTGTGAGTCCATAGATAGCAGTCTTGGCAGAATAATTGTGTGCAGGATAGGCAAACCTATATCCAGAGTAAGTGTCTATTCCAGTGAGGAAAAACCTCTGCTCTTTCCATGATGGAAGAGGTCCAATACAATCAACCTGCCACCAGGTGGCTGGCTGATTACCCCGAAGAATGGTGCCATATGGAGGGCTTAGTGTTGGTCTCTGCTGCTGGCAAGTTGGTCACTCAGCAATGGCCATAGCCAGGTCAGCCTTGGTGAGTGGAAGTCCATGTTGCTGAGCCCATGCGTAACCTCCATCCTTGCCACCATGGCCACTTTGTTCATGGGCCCATTGGGGGATGACAGGGTTGTCTGGGGAAGGAGGCTGAGTGGTTTCCACAGAGCGGGTCATCCTATCCACGTGATTATTAAAATCCTTCTCTGCTGACGTCACCCATTGGCAAGCACTCACATGGGATACAAATATCAGATCTCATGAGACTTATTCAGTATAATAATTATAGCACAGGAAAGACCAGCCCTTATGATTCAATTACCTCCCCCTGGGTCCCTCCCACAACACATGGGAAGCCTGGGAGATACAATTTGAGATTTGGGTAGGGACACAGCCAAACCATATCATTCTGTTCCTGGTCCCTTCAAACATGTTCTCACATTTCAAATTCACCCAACAGTCCCCCAAAGTCTTAACCTATTTCAGCATTAACCCAAAAGTACACAGTCCAAAGTCTCATCTCAAACCAGGCAAGTCCTTTCTGACTATGAGCCTGTAAAATCAAAAGCAAGCTAGTTACTTCCTAGGTACAATGCTGGTACAGGTATTGGGTAAATACAGCTGTTCCAAATGGGACAAATTGGCCAAAACAAAGGAGTTACAGGGCTCACACAAGTCCAAAATACATCAGGAAAGGCACATTTTAAAGTTCCAAAATGATCTCTTTTGACTCCATGTCTCACATCCAGGTCACACTGATGCCAGAGGTGGGTTCCTATGGTTTTGAGCAGCTCCACCCCTGTGGCTTTGCAGGGTGTAGCCTCCCTCCCGGCTGCTTTCATGGGCTGGTGTTTAGTGTCTGCGGCTTTTCCAAGCACATGGTGCAAGCTGTCAGTAGATCCATCATTCTGAGGTCTGGAGGAGAGTGGCCCTCCTCTCACAGATCCACTAGGCAGTGGCCCAGTAGAGACTCTGTGTAGGGGGGCTCCAACCCCACAACCCCACATTTTCCTTCTGCACTGCCCTAGCAGAGATTCTCCATGAGGGCCCCATCCCTGCAGCAAACTTTTGCCTGGGCATGCAGGCATTTCCATACATCTTCTGAAATCTAGGCGGAGGTTCCCAAACCTCAATTCTTGACTTCTGTGAACCGGCAGACTCAACACCACATGGAAGCTGCCAAGGCTTGGGGCTTCCAACATCTGAAGCCACAGTCTGAGCTGTACATTGGACCCTTTCAGCCATGGCTGGAGTGGCTGGGACACAAGGCACCAAGTCCCTAGGCTGCACATAGCATGCAGACACTGGGCAAGGCCCATGAAACCACTTTTTCTTCCTGGACCTCTGGGCCTGTGATGGGAGGGGCTGACATGAAGGTCTCAGGCATGCCCTGGAGACATTTTTCCCATGGTCTTGGGGATTAACATTAGCCTTCTTACTACTTATGCAAATTTCTGCAGCCGGCTTGAATTTATACCCAGAAAATGAGTTTTTCTATTCTACTGCATTATCGGGCTGCAAATTTTCTGAACCTTTATGTTCTGTTTCTCTTTTAAAATGGAATGCTTTTATCAGCACCCAAGTCACCTCTTGAATGCTTTACTGCTTAGAAATTTCTTCCACCAGATACCCTAAATCATCTCTCTCAGGTTCAAAATTTCACAGATCTCTAGGGATGGGGCAAAATGCCACCAGCCCCTTTGCTCCAATTCCCAACAAGTTCCTCATCTCCATCTGAGACCACCTCAGCCTGGACCTTATTGTTCAGATCACTATCAGGATTTTTGTCTAAGTCATTCAACAAGTCTCTAGAAGGTTTCAGACTTTCCCACATTTTCCTGTCTTCTTCTGAGCCCTCTGAACTGTTCATCTTCTGCCTGTTACCCAGTTTCAAAGTTGCTTCCACATTTTCAGGTACCTTTTTCAGCCAAGCCCCCCTCCTAGTACCAAAATCTGTATTAGTCAGGGTTATCTTAGAGGGACAGAATTAATAGGATATATATATCATACACACACACACACACACACACACACACACACACGTATGTATATATACACACATATATATTAAGGGGAGTTTTTTTAAGTATTAAATTACATGATTACAAGGTCTCATAATAGGTTGTCTGTAAGCTGAGGAACAAGGACAGCCAGTCCGATTCCCAAAACTGAAGAACTTGGAGTCTGTTGTTTGAAAGCAGGAAGCATCCAGCATGGGAGGAAGATGTAGGCTGGAAGTCTAGGCCTGTCTTTCATTTTTGTGTTTTTCTGCCTGCTTTATCTTTGCTGAAAGCTGATTAGCTTGTGCCTACCAGATTTAGGATGGACCTGCCTTTCCCAGCCCACTAACTCTAATGTTAATCTCTTTTGGGCAACACCCACACAGACACACCCAGGATTAATATAATACTTTGTATCTCTCAATTCAATCAAGTTGACAGTATTAACCATCACATTCTTCAAATACACACACACACATGCACACACACAGACACACAAAATACACACACAGAGAGATACACTTAAAACTGTCATATTGCAAAAGGTTGACATTAGTATTTTGGTAGTAAGTTTTGACATCCACCAATATAGCATATATTATTCCACTGACAATGAACACAGTGAAAGGGAAAACTGTAGAGAGTCTTATTTCATCTATGCCTTCCCACTTGTATATTAGTGAATAAACTGAGGAACAGAGAGGGGATAATTAGTCTAAGTCACACAAGTGGTTATCAGCAGGGCTGGGATGAGAATGCAGTTCTTTTGGCTTTCAGTGTAAATTTTCTGTAGCTCAATCCTGTTTCTGAACTTCTTCACAGGTGCCCACAGTTGTTAAATGTATCCAATTTTTCTTCTTTTTAGGTTAACTGTGAAGCAAAACCCCAGCTTAGACTTCTTTCACTGATGTTGAGACATGTATATAAGATCTGTTTATAATTCTAAGAGTTTTACAATGGGGGAACAGAAAATAAGAAATATGATAAAATATTGAAGAAATAACAAAGGCTAAGAAAAACTCAAAAAATTTTTATAGTATTCACATATTTTTAGTTGTACATAAAATCAAGCCACACCTGTCCAACTTCTTTCTTAACGCTCTCTCTTTTTTAGATTTTTCTTATTAAATTTATTTAAATTTCTGGAGATGGAGCTTGCACAATTCCCCTCCTCTTTTTTTTTTTAACTTTTATTTGAGGTTAAGAGGTACATGTGCAAGTTTGTTATATAGATAAATTGTATGTCACAAGGATTTGGTGTCAAGAGTATTTCACCACCTAGGAAATAAGCACAGTACCCAATAGGTAGTTTGTTGATCTTCATCCTCCTCCCCGCCTCCACTCTCTGTCCTGCATTAGTTTGCTAAGGATAATGGCCTCCAGCTTCATCAATATTGCTGCAAAGGAGGTGATCTCATTCTTTTTATGGCTGTGAAGTATTCCATGGTATACATGTACCACATTTTCTTTATCCAGTCTACCATTGATGGGCATTTAGGATGACCCCATGTATTTGCTATTGTGAATAGTACTGTAATGAACATATGCTTGCATGTATCTTTATGGTAGAATGATTTATATTCCTTTGGGTATATACCGAATAATGGGATTGCTGGGTTGAATGGTAATTCTATTTTGAGTTCTGTGAGAAATTACCAAACTGCTTTCTACAATGGCTGAACTAATTTACATACCTATCAGCAGTGTATAAGCATTCCCTTTTCCCTACAATCTCACCAGTATCTTATTTTTTGACTTTTTAATAATAGCCATTCTGACTGATGTGAGATTAAAACTCATTGTGGTTTTAATCTGCATTTCTCTAATGATTAGTCCACTACACTATGGTCCTCCATGATTTCTCTTTTGATTCCCATTTAAAGCAATTACTTTTTATTTATCCACAACCATTTTCTGCATCTCAACCTCAACCCTGATTCATCATTTGTTTGCTTTCGACTTTTGGATTATTTCTCCTTTTTGGTTTCTGAAATTAGGCATCTTTAATTACTGCTGCAGTCTCATAGCTTCCATCTAATTAATGTTGCAAAATTCCACTCTGTATTCTGAGCAATTTCCCAAGTAAACATTAATAGGTGTATGTTTTACATATTAATCAGGAGAAGTGGAATAAAAAAGCTGGTCTAATGTTAAGATAGTTAAGTTTTTCTAGTTCTACTAATTGCTATCTGACGTTATACATGCAGTATTTCTTTTGGCATGCATACTGTCTAAAGTAACTTTTCAGAACTATCATTCTATAATACTTTATGTTGTAGGTCAGTGGTAGACAACTATGATATAAAATACAGTTAATTTTGGGAGAAAAAAATGAATAGATTAATATGTAAATTATCCACTTTTTTTACTAGTTCTTAGGAATATTTGGTTCAGCTTAAGTCAAGTTTATAGATATTTATCTCCAAATTGATAAAAAAAAAATCCATCTTGACCTGTGGCCTCAAATTATACTTCAGATTCTTGGACTGTCTCACAACTAGTGACAACTACAAATGGCCAACCCTTACAACTATGTGTGTAAATTAGTGTAAAAATTGACTATTGGAAAACAAATTCTACTAATAAGTCAATTGCCAAATATTTTTGCAGAAATGCAACAATGTTTGATTTTTTAGATTGATAATTAAATTTTTGAGTGAATGAAATCTGTTGTGTATCTCCTTTGTTCTGGGCCTGTGCTGTGCACTATAGGAGGCAGATACAGGGCATGAGGGAGAAAGATAAGCAGTCCAAAGTCACTGTTTTTAGGGGAAGACTTTAAGGAGATTTCTATAAAATTTCAAATGCATCTCCTATGCATTTAAAAACTGTTGGAACCAGAGATATGGTGTTTCCTATAGAGTATTGGTTTGAAAAATGAGAAAATAGGGAAAAGAATGAGGTTTTCTTGAGTTCTGGCCAGTAAAATTTTCAGGTGAAGTGAGTATAACTAAGCCAAAAAACATTCAGGAGCAGTATCGGAAGATGCTCAGGGGCAAGTGACCACCAGTAGTAGACATACATTAAGTTAGAACAACAGAGTAGCAGGAGAGAGGAATTCAGCAGGATTCTCTTGGAAGTTTTCAGAAGTGGCTTAAAGAGAAAAAGAATCAGTTTTATCTTCTGCTGCAGAGTAAAAAGCTAGCTTCTATCAGTACAATATTACTCATAACTTCTATATTCCCTTATCTCTCCTCTCTCCTGCTTAGACTCTAGTAGTGTCAATACAGCAACTAGCAAAGGTCGAGAAAGAAGAGAAGCCACAATTTCCCCTCCTTCTCACTGGCTACCACCTTGTATTAGAACGTAGTTAGCTGAGGGAAAATTATTTACTGCAAAGAAGAATTCCAATAATTATTACAATTAGACTGTAATTAATAAATCACAACTATGCAGCTTTACATACAGTAAGAATATCTTACCCAGAGAAGCAAAGAAGTTATGGGCCTTCCAGAGTTTTTACCTTGGGATGGGACAGATTGCTTCTACTGAAAAAAGTTTGAAAAGTTGGTGGAAATAAAATTAATTTGTTTGTTGTCACAAACCATGCCATGTTTGTTCAACATAATGGACACATATGTTATCTTAATTTTACACATATAACTTCTAATTTTTAAATTAAATTTCTTGTTGAATGGACTTGACTTTCTTTCTAAAGATTTCCTTCAGGAAATCCTCTGGTTTCTGTACTGATATGGATCAATTGCTTTCTGCTTAGGTAATTTTCTGAGCTCTCTTTGAAATGAACCACTCGGTTAGGTCCACCATTTCTTTCTTATCTCTGTATTTCTCTTCTGCTTTGTGAAGAAGTCATGTGGGGGCACAAAATTTTCCAAGACCTTACCAATTTTTCAATGATTGTTTACCTATTCACATTGTCACTGTCCAGCTGAATATAGAATTTAAACTCAAAATTACCTTCTTTCAGAATTTTAAATTATTTTATCTGATGCTGTAAAAGGGTATATACATGGGTATATATAGGTGTACACATTTGTGTATATACATGCACATGTATACACCCACATATATACATATATGCACATGTATACTCTCACATACAAGTACATACATGTGTGTATGTATGCCTGTGGGTATATGTATATACTTACATATATGTGTGTACACATGTATACACATATTTGCATACATATATACACATATATACCCATATATACACACACATATATATGTACAGCTATGTACAACATAGTGACATTTTGTTCAATGATGGACTGCATATATGATGGGAGCCTCTAAGATTATAACATTGTATTTTTACTATCCCATTTTTATGTTTAGATATGTTTGCATAGACAAATACTTACCATTTGTGTTACAGTTGCTTATGTTATTTTGTACAATAACATGCTGTGTTAACCAAAGCAATAGACTATGCCATATAACTTAGGTGTGTAATAGGATATATTATCTAGGTTTGTGTGAGTACACTAAGTGATGTTCACACAACAATGAAATTGCCTAAGAACAATTTCTCAGAATGTGTCCCCATCATAAGGCAAGGGATAAATATATGTATCTAATTCCCTTTGAAAGTGAACTTTGAAAGCTCTTTTAACATTTTCCCATGTGAAATTTCAGAAGGATGCTTTCCATATGGGTATTCATTCATTCATCATGCATGGTACTCTAAGTACTATTTCACACATTGGTCTTGTTTTCATATCTAACCATATCAAACCTCAGGTATGTCTGGGGTTCTGTGAGCAAGAAGGTTTCCCACATAGAATTCTTCTTTGACTAGGTTTTGTACTGCAACTTTCTCCATTTTAATAGATGCATCAGTTTAAACATAGTTACTTTTCATCTTCAGACATTTGTCTAAATTGTTTGTCACTAATGGCATATCCTCAATTTGCGTCTGTGTCTTAGGTTTAGTTCCACCTTTATTTCCTTAACTCCTTTCACTTAGTTCAGGGAAAAATAAGAGAAAAAGTCATGTACTCATACTCAGTTTGTCATTTTGGTCCAAAAGTCTCAGAGCAGTTTTATTATTATTTTTAACTCTTCTCTGAACTTTTTCACAATTTGGACTGAAGAGATCAATATCACAGTGTATAGAAGATATGCCCTGACAATACATTTTTTAAAATTGCTGGATCAGTGTGGATCAGTGTTTTTTAATTTTTTTTAATAGAAGAATATGTAGTTTTGAAATAGTATTTTTATTCCTTTGTTTCTTGCAGCTTAGTGGTCTTGTGATTTATAATAAAGCTAGACCCTGAAATTTTGGCCTGGTAGAAGTTAACCAAAGGGATGATTACTACCAGCCTGACAAAAATTATTGAAAAGCTTATTTAGTCCAGTTATGAAGAAAGATGAACAAAAATAGTTCAAATTTTCCCTCTCTGTTATAAACTAATGGCATGTAATTAAATTTCAGCTCCACTTGAAACTTAACAGTGTCTATTCTTTAGAGTACCATGCCTAAATTGCACATATTGGAAATTTTCTATCAGCCAATCTGCTTCCTAGGATCACATGCAGATAATAATTTTAAGATATTGAAGCAAATAAAAAAGTGATGCCACTGCTTTCAAAGATTGCAGACATCCAAACAATGATCTATCCTTTTTATAATTTCTAAATAGTTTTCATTGGAGGTTATGATGTTTAAAAACTCCATATATCTTCTTAATGATCAAATCACATTGGGCCAAGTCCCATTCTCTCCCTTGAACTCTACAATTTGATTTTTCCATTTCATGTTGGACAACACATTTAATAAATCTAAAATTGTGCTTCTGATATTTCATCCCTGTAAATCCTCTTCCTGTGGCCTTCCCTATTGCAGTAAATGGTAATCTCATTCTTTCTTTTATTTTGCCCCCAAATTTTAGAATGCTTCTTGCCTTATTTTGCCTTACATCTCATGCACCATCCAGTAACAAATCTCTTTAGTTTAACCTTTAAGTTACACACAGAGTTCAAACATCTTACCACATTCATTGCCAGCTCCCTTATCCAAACCATGGTTTTCTTCTCCCCGGACTATTCCAATAGTTTTCCCAGTGGTCTTCCTACTCTGTTTTTGGCCCATCTCATTCCCTCCTCAGCAAGCAGTGAGGGTGATCCTGCTAAACTCTAAGTCAGATCATATCACTTCTTGGCTCACAACCCTCCAATGGTGACTATTTCGCTTTACAAAAGGAAAGATGAAATGACTGCAATGACTTATAAGCCAACATGATCTGGTTGTTCTCACTTATTTCTCTGACTTTATCTCTTATACCTCTGCCTTGTTTATTTTGCTCTAGTCATCTGACCTCCACACTTTGCATTAAGAAAGCCTGGTATGCTCATAGCTTTGGGACTTCGCCACTTACTGTTGCACCTCCCCATATACATCTTTTTCAAATACATCTCATTTACTCTCATTCTTCAGGTTCTTACATAAACATTACCTACTGAATAAGACCTTCCATGGGCACTCAGTTCGAAATTCAACTCGCATCTAATGCTTTCTATTTATCTTGTTTGTCCCTCATTTTTTTCCTATTTTACTTATCTTGTTTTTTGTTTGTTTCATCTAGAAGGATTTAATCTTCATCAAGGTAGGAATTTTGTTATGTTTTGGTGATTTTCGAATCTCCAGCATCTAGAAGAATAATTGGGACATAGTGGTACTCAATAAACATTTATGGAAAAAGAAAGAAATGAAGGGAGGAAGGCAGGGGGAAAAATGTAAGAACTTTATATTGGATTTCATCCTAAATTGAGTATGAAGGGAGGCAATTTAATCTAGTTCTTAAAAGCCACCTTTAGTTTACTTCCAAAAGAGAGTACCTTTTGTGGGAAATTGCATGTTTTTTAACAGTCTTTATTTTGGATTGGAGACAGTAAGAATAGCATATTCTACAATTGTTACATGTGAGTAAAATCTAGAAATCATGTCTACTTGCCTGTACCTGAATTGAATATTGGCAAATCTATGAAAGGAATTTAGCACCTACCAGGCTACTCAGCATAAGTTGTGAAAAAAATGTATATTTTCAAAGGAAAGAAAAAAAAGTTTCAGTTAAGAATCATTGTAGAACTTTTCAGGACCACAAAAAGGAAAATATCATTTGATTTTGAATGGGGCCATGTTTTGATATTGATATATACATTCTTTAAAAATGCCTTCAAAATTTTCCAGTTCCTTCTCAATCCTGTTTTCCTCAGCTCTAACTCTCCTAATTACTTCCAACACATGGTTCATTCCTGACAATGGGCATGAATATCTTTGTTGAGGTTGAGGAAATTATAGACAGAAATATTATTTAGACTGCCGCCAAAATGTCTTACAACATCAAGTAAATGCCCAGCCTGCAACCCTTTAACAGACTCAGGATATTCTGAGAGGATTTGCCAACTAGATTTGCTAGGTTTCTTATTACTTAATAAGAAAAGGCTGTTCTTGGGAACCTGGCATGCCCACCTGATTACTACCATTGAACAAAACAGCACCATCAGAAGTCATATGTATGTTTTGGTTTTAAATGACAGGCTTTGCTATCTTAATCTTTATGAAATTAAAAGTAATGAAAATGACGACCAATCTCAAACATGCCTATATTCTAACACGAGCAAAGCTTTATCATTTTTCCATCTGATTTATATGTATCACTATATCTCTTAAAAATTTTGTTACACTTTTTTTCTTCTTTTCTTAAGTATAAAAACTAAACAGACTTTGCTTCTTCCACATTTTCCATTTGAATCAAAGTCATGGCTGGCATTTCATCACTTGTCTTAAATGCCTCATACTCTCCTCACAGGCATTTGATTGCAAGAGTGCTCAAACTGACATAAACATTCAGACTTCAGGGAGAAAAGCTTGAGAACTGAGAACAGAAGATTGGATTATTAGTGCTTTCTTTCAGCCTTGACAGTGCCACTTTTGATGAAGGTTGGAAAATTCCTGGCTAAACTTCTTTGTGACTCATTTTGATTAAGCCAGAGCATTTTCATAGTGAAATGTTTATACATCAACTAGAGACAGAAAAACTGCTCTTTAAACTGTAAACTTAAATAGAAAATGATAGTAGCAAGAATGTTCACTCACAATTCTAGGAGATAAAGCAAATATTTGAGGGTGTGATTTTCTTGCTCTTACAGTCACTTAAAAAATAAAGAAACTCAAATTCTCATTGAAATAATAGCAATTCATGTGAGGTTTTTTGCCCTGCTGTAGAAAGCTAGAATTAGAGGCAAATGTACTTGTCTCTTAGAAATTTGGAAACCAGAACTGCTAGTGGATTTAATGAGGGTATTTCTACTAATTTGAGCCAGAATTATGACAAGTGCTTTTTAATTTAAGTTACTCAGCAGGACTGCTGTATCATACTGACGATGTGAAGGGCTTATGTTCCAGTCATAAAAATTGGCTAAAATCTTTAAGTTGCCAAATAACTCAGCCTCAGAGGGACCATGCTGCTTTGAAAGATAGCCATGTGGGGATTTTGAAGTGTCAAAAATGAATGAGAAGTAACTTAAAGAAGCTAGCTGGTTTGGTATATGTACCATTTTATCCTTATTTTTATCTAGTTACTAGACAATTTGATTGGCATTCCTAAAGTGCAAAATGCTTTCAATAATGAGATTTTAAAATTAGCTGCTGAGTATGTTTACAGCCTTTTGATAGTGTCAGCGTATGACAAAGGTGAGTTCTGAGAGGATGAGCCAAGTTTTGAAGCCCAGGGGACTCAGAGCCTGGGCTATTACCCTTTGGCTTTCCCATTATTTTTCTGCACGAATCCCCCGTTGACCTTGAATGAGACACACCTGAAATGTACTGAGGAGAAAGAGATGAGAACTGGTCAGCTGAATACTAATTTGCTCTCTGCCACTTATTACCTCCGGCTTTTTGGCTATTACCACTAACGCTCAATTGTGATGCTCTCTTTCTTGAATCAGTGCTCTCCATGTGGAGGCCCTATGAATGAATTCCTTAATTTTTCAACATCAGTGCAAAAGAGATGAAGAGAGGCAGATAATTATTTGAAGCTTCTACAGGGCAATGTACTATGCAGTATGTCTATTAACTAGAGATTGCAACCAGAAGAGTAAATGATACCCATGCTTATATACATAGTTATCATTATTTATGAATATAGACTTGGGCTGCAGTAGCAGTTTAATGGATTCAGAGACATTTATTAAATTGGTTTCATGTATTTTTCTGGCCATGAGCTTAAATAATTATATTTCTTACAGGATTTGCACAAACTGAAAATGATTTGCAGTTGTATTAATGGAAAGAAGTAAATTGAAGACATCCAGATGAAGATTTTAGCTTAAGAAAGTGTTTGATGTTTATACTCTAAGAGTTTAGGGTGCAATTGAGTGCACCCTAATGAGTTAAGAGTTAAGTTCTTTGTGTGCTTTTTGTTTGGTTTGGCTTCTTAGAATTGATTTTTAAATTTTTAAAGGAAATACTACTATGGTAATATTTTTGTGTTCTTTGCTGATCATTTTAGTAAATACTTTTGTAAAAAACTAAAGTGTACAAATATTCATGCAAGTTAATATCAGACAGCCATGTTAAATAATTGGAAAATTTTGGTTTTATATTTTCACTGTTTTTAAACACTAATGTTGGTTGTGGCATGATTATGATGTTTAATTACCTCATGATATCAATCACTATTGTACCTATTACTTAAATTATTATACCACTAATGCAGACACCCTCACTTAAATAACTATAACAGTATCTAATAGATTGTCTCAAATGGATGTCAGATGATCTGAAGAGACAGAACATGGCTATATAAATCTTAGGTGAGGTAGTGTGTGTGTTTGTCTGTGTGTGTGTGCGTGTGTGTATTTACGGGTATCTGTTGGTTTGTGTGTTTTTAAGAAGTAGGAAATTTTGTAAGTTTTGGAAGAAGTTGGAACACTCTATTTTGTCAATTCACTTCGGTAATCCCACAAGATCAAGGTGGAAGTCAATAAATCTTATCTCTGAGAGAAGAAATAGTAATGGTATTTTACAGCTAGGACACTGGAGCATTCTGGGATTAGCAAAACAAGGAAAGACTGGAGAAAAAGATATTGCAAGGATCTGTCTGTCCCAAGAAATCAGGAAGCTCATCTTGGGGAAGAGAGAATAAAATGCTTGGTGAAGAGGAACATTTTTGAATGCAATCTACATGGCACCATTCAAAGATCCATTATATCTTCGCCTGAAAGAAAGAATGGGATTTATGTCTTTTTTATCATCCCTCTAATCTGTAAAATGAGATTTATCTTATTTAATGCAGAAGCTTTCACAATCTGAGACAACTAGTCTTTTTCTATGTGGGCAAGAACACAGAGAGAAAAGCAACAAGATTGTTGTGGTGCAAGCTACACAGATGATAGAAGGGATGGAATTGGGAGAATAATAAATATAGAGTAGACCCAGACTCTTTCAGGAGAAAGGAGGATACCTGAGAGCCTTGAAGTTCGGGTGCTGTCACTGGATAATAATTTAGAGTCAATGTGAAATGAACTAATATCTCTAATTTTAATGATCTTTCTCTCTAATGCTTCCTGTTCCTTACCTCCTTAACGAAACATAATTTTAGTTGTTGTAACTTGAGGAGTAAAAGGTTAAAATTATTATTGCTGCTTTTCCAAATTTTCAGTGAACATTTCAAAATTTCCAACTGAGTATGTAAATATCAATTGACAAAAAGCATTTTTTGCTGCTGAAATGATACAAATTTACATATAATTTTAAATTTTTCTTGCTTCATTGCACTGACTTAGAACCTTCACTAAAATGGTTAAAAATAATGAGAATGGGAAACCATGTTTTATTTCATATTTAAGTGAAATTACTTTAACATTTCATTATTAATTTTTTAAAATATGCCTTTTATTAAAGTCAAGAAAATTCTCACCTATTCTTAATTTTAATGGATGTTGGAGTTTTTGCATCTAATATTTCTGCATCGAGTGAAATAATATTATGATTTTTCTCAGTTTTTGTATTGACATAGATAAATTCATTGATAGAGTTTTCTAATGTTAAGCAATTTCAAATTCCCATAATTCTATTTGTCAGAATTAAATATAAATAAGTATATTTTTTAGGTAATAAACTATAAGAAGTTTTTACATTTGTATTCATAAGTAGAGTTGGCTTATAATTTTCCATTCACATGGAAAGCTGTTTTCATACAGTTTGAATCTTTCATACTAGCCATGTAAACTGGATTGGGTAGAATTCTTTATTTTTTTCTATATTTGGGAAATATTATATCTAAGCAATGTTTATTTAAAGCAGTTAGCTGGAATTTTTTTAAATGTTGAAGATCTTTTTCTTTTAACTGAAATGGTTAAATGTAGGCAATTATCAGAATTAATATTAAATGTTTATAACAGAATTTATTTCTTCTATAGTTTGTGAACATTTTAAAAATTATCATTCTTTTTGGCTTTATTCTTCCTTTTTTTGTTTTGTATTTTTAATTGATATATCATGGTTATAAATATTTTTGGCATACCTGTGATTATTTTGATGCAAGTATACAATGTGTTACAATGTGTAATGATCAATTCATGATAATTAGGATATCTATAATTTCAAATATGTATCTTTTCTTCGTATGGGGAACATTACAATTCTTCCAGCTATTTTCAAATATACAATAAATTATTGTTAACTGTCATTTTCTTACTGTACTATTGAATACTACAACTTATTCCTTCTAACTGTATTTCCCTGTTTCTTGGCTTCTATTAAATAAATTGGATGTCCTATACTATCTTGTAAATATTCTATCCAATAGGTTGAAAGTTACATATTTTAATCAGTATATTTAATTGTAGGTTTTGATTAAAACACAAAAATGAAATATGTAATATAATTGCAAAGAAAGGTGCTAGTATAATAATGCAGACGTTTAAAGGAATTGTCTAAAATATTGTTTCAGAACTTAAAAAAGAAAGCCTATGCTGAGATTTTTCAAGGCAAATGAGAAGAGGATTTATGAAGAAAATTTATTTGGCTAGGGTGCTGTGACTTCCACACCCACCACCAAGAGAGAAGGGATAGGGATTTAGCTCTTAGCTTACATCCAGTGAAAGGGCTTCACCAAGACCATTACATCTTGATCTCTTCCCTCTGCTTTACTAGGCAGAGGTAGTCCTCTGCCTTCTGTTTGGGAAAAGTAGAGCATGAGACAGGTGGGGGAGTCAGAGATCCAGTGGAAGAGGGAAGTCAAGTCCTTCTGGCAGTGAGTTAGGTCTGTGCTTTCAGTGCATTGGGGGAGGAGACATGAGCTTCCTTTGAATGAGATATAGGCTATGTGTGAGTGGACCTGGTGGAAGTGTTGTCATCAATGCTATCAGGTCTGATGGGAAGCATTAAGTCTCTCAAAAAGTGATTAAAATCAAGTCACTGGGTTCCTAGGGGCTTCCATGTCAAGGGCACTAGAAGTCAACAGTCCCCGAAGACTGGCGTCTCTATGGAAGCCACAGTTTCTTTATTCTCTTATATTGTCGCTTTTATACCACATTATTTTTATATTTGACAATCCCTATTCTCTATTACTTTCCATATTTCTTTGGGAATCTTGGCAGATTCCTTCTCCCACATATAATTCAAAATAATGTTAGCAAGTTCAAAAAAATCTCACTGAAACATTGATTGAAGTTTTCTTAGATTGTATATTAACTTTTGGTATATTTACATTTTTACTTAGTGTTAGCACACAGGCTGTCTTTCCATTCATTTAGGTCTTGTTTTATGTGCTTCATATACATTTTTTTTTCTTATGGCTGCCTCACTTTTTTCATTTGTTGTAATTGAATTTATTTCCACATTCTGTTTAGCTACTGTTGTTCTTGCAATAGGATTTTCCACATGCAGCAATTTGGTAATGCATGCCCCAGGGAGGCAATTTTTAGAAAAAGTCTCTCAGGAAATTTAAGTTCAGATGTTCTTGGGGCACAGCCAAGAACAGGTGTGAGCCTCCTTTGAACAAGATGAATGAGGCATATGCTAAGCCATTGTAAGACCACAGGGCAACCTGTCATTTATTTCCTTCTCAAAGATTTACTGAATACTTATTATTATGTGCCAGGGACTTCTCTAGAAACTGAGATACTGTAAGTACCCACGTTATATCTAGATATTGGAATACAGACAACAAGAACTACTAGAAAGAAAATCTTGGCTTTATTTAGCCTATATTTTAGCAAAAGAGACCAATAATAGATGGTCTAAGTAAATTATGTACTGTGTCATATGGTGTTGAAGACTAAGGAGATAAAGAAAGCAGGGAAAGGAGATAGGAAGTAGTGGGATGGGCTGAAGTTCCAGGTAGAATGCATCATCTACTGAAGAGAAGAGCATCAAGAGACGGGTAAGTAAGAGAGGTGATAGAGAGTGAGACAGGTCATACAATGAGTTTTAGATCCTAGCAATAATTTTTACTTTAAGTCCAAATAAGATGGAAAGCCATAGGAGAGTTTTCAACAGAGTAGTGAAATGATATGACCTTGGTTTAACTGCATTCTTTTGGTTCTGGGTTGAGGATAGATAAAAGAATAAGTAGCACCGACTCAGGTAAAAGATGAGAGTGGTGGAAAGTGGTAAGTTCTGGATCTTCTTTGAAGGTAGAGTGGGAAAGATTGGCTGACTGGATTAGTGTGGGGTGTAAAAGAAACATAGAAGTCAAGAATGACATCAATGCTTTCAATCTAAAAATCTAGAAACATGGAGTTGCCATTAACTTAGGTGGTGAATACTGTGGAAGAAGCCAATTTGGGTCAGGAGCTCAGTTTTAGACATCCTATTTAAGGAATACCTGTTAGAAATCAAGTAGAGATAGTGATTTGGTGGTTGTTGAGTATGAAAGGTAGGGACCACAAAAGATGTCACAAATGTGGGAGCTATGAGAACACCGATGGTATTCAAAGCCATGAAATTGGAAAAGATCACCTAGCACGTAAGCACTGATAGCACAGAGAAGAGAATCAAAGACTGAGCCTTGGAGCATTCTAACATTTAGCAGTGAGGAGGAAGAGGATGACTCAGTGAGAAGAGTCAGGTGCAGGGACCAGAAAGGTAGAAAAAAAAAAAAAAACAGCCAAATACGTTGTGATTTAAGCTAAGTGAGGTAACTGCATCAAAAGGGGAGTTTTGCTGTAAATAATAAGAGAGAAATGGGACAGTAACTGGAGGAGGAAGAGGATAATGAAAGTCTTTTTGGAGACAGGTGAAATTACAACATGCTTTTGTCTGCTTCAAACAGTGAACCACAGGAGAAGAAAAGAATAAGTGGAGTGATGTATTGGAATGACCGAGAAAGAATGAGACGTAATTTACAAGTGAAAGGAATGGCCTTGACTAGGAGTGAAGATACACACAAAGAATATGGACATAGTTGCAAGCAGGTGGGCAGATATTACAATAGGAGCTTGTAGAATTATTCTCTCAATTGCTTCAATTTTTTATTGAGAAAAGAACCAAGGTCATTAACTGAAAACAAAAATGGTGAAAGGTGTGCTGGAGATTTGCAGATAGAGAAAAATGACTGCAACAGTGACTTAGGAGTCAGACTGTTTCAGCTCCAATCTGTGAATACTGTATGAAATATCACTGATTGTCCACCCTTGAAATTATCTTCTCCTTCCTGTATTATGGTTTTGCAAATTTTAGCTTAACACATTATCTTCTGGAACATCTAGGCATTCTTTGTAGCTAGGTATGTCTCTTTTTCCAAGTGTAGCCAATGAGAATTAGGAAGAAGTGTTGTTTATAATTTCTGGGAAATTGTCTGACTAAGGAGAAGCTGTATGCTTTCTCTTTTCCTGCTTACTGTTGTACTATTGCTTGGATTGCAGATGTAATCCTTGATTGCCAGATATTTGAGTATACTAATTGGAGCACGAACTAAGAGATCTAGGTTTCTTAGAAAGCAGAGGCCTAGACAAACTTAGGTGCTAATTTATTATTCAGGGGAGTAAGAGTAAAAGGGAAAGTGAGGAGGAAAATCAAATATAAATTTGTTTCTGATTCATCCACAGCTTAAGAAGAAAACACAGCTGGACCTACAATCGGGGAAAATCCATAACAGGCAAGACAAGAGCAATTTCTCTGCCAGCTTCTTGCTACCTGCTGTCTCTAATTGGCCAAACTTCTCACGGTGGAGTGCTCTCTCCTCCCCATGTCTAAGTTGTCTTGTCTGGCCCCTCCAGGCAGGCACTGGGAAGCCATAGCCTCAGTATGACAGGTTGAGTCACACATGGCAGTACAGCTGATGAGTGCCTGCTCCTCTGGGCATGATGGACACTCTGCCAGTGTGTGGCCCTTATCCCAAGGCAGGCAGAGACAAGCAATAGTGGGAGAAGATAAGAAGATGGTGATGACCAGGGCTCTGCAATTGTGGGGACTTTGTGACTTGTTGCTGAGACCACTCTGTCCAGGAGCTAGGGCACAGAGCTATGGGCTCTTGTTCTTATTCTGGGGCTATCATCTAGGGAGATCATGAGGAAATTGTGTGTCTCCATTCCTTCATCTGTTTCAAGACAACATTTTATGAGGTTAGTAAAAATGACTGGAAATAATGTTCTGTCATTCTATTAATTCAAAGAAGTTTGAGCACCTTCTGTGTTTACTTCCTCTCA
This sequence comes from Homo sapiens, assembly GCF_000001405.40. NCBI lineage: Eukaryota > Metazoa > Chordata > Mammalia > Primates > Hominidae > Homo > Homo sapiens. Next base: position 144,524,001 of record NC_000003.12, read on the forward strand.
GTTATATATTTATCTAACAGTGTATTGCTAAGAAATACTTCAGAACATATTCATGTAATAGCTGGATTCTAGATTCTAGATTCTAATTTCTAGATTCTAATTCTAATCTAGATTCTAGATTCTAAACATGGAATATTCTTACTGCAATGGCAGTGAGTTGGGCAAATAATAAATAGTGCAAGTTCCTAAAACAAAGTGCTGCAGCACTGACAGAGAGACCATGATATTCTGTTGATTAAATTGACTTCAGTTTGGTCATCAAATAGGGCAAGAAACTTTTAAAATATCCTGTTTTGTAATTAGTCAAAAAACATGACATGAAAAGCCTTCCTCTCTTGATCTTTATTCATGCTCTACGGTATTTTGAAAACTAAAAATAAATAGCCAAACCAGTGGATTCTACACAGTTGAAGGTAGAAAAGGGAAGGAGGCAGTCTCACTTCTCCCCATAAAAAAAATGGTATGTGCCAAATGAGCAGCAAAGAGAATAAGAGGAATGGCTCAGGTCACCCAGGGCTGGGCTGAGAAAAAGAGGAGTAGAGCTTGAATGGGTCTTTCAGAAAGGACACATGTCAGATAAGGTGGTGGGTTGATAGTGGCATTACAGAACTATTTAAAATCCTTTCAGTAGGGGGAAGAAGAAATCAATTAATCTGAGTCATGTGGTTTGGATGTTAAAGCCTGATATCCTGTCAGTGTTGCTATAGGCTCCCTGGAGAGATATTTTGGCTCTTGGCAAAGTGCTGTTGTTGACCTTACTGCCTGTAACATTCAAAGGCTTAGAACAAAAACTGACCAGAAAGAAAGTGAAAGGCTAACCAAGAGATTTGTAGGTCAGAACATAGCAAGTGTCTGTTATTCATGTTAATGGAATGGAAATATGACATAGATAATAAATAGTCATTGCTTTAGTTAGGACTAAGTTTGGTCACAAATGACAATAAACTCAAAATAAAAGGGGGTTAGTCACAATAGAAGTCTATTTTCCTCTCACATATATGTCCAGAGGGGAAGCCCAGGGGTGATATGAATATGATGGTCCATGATGTTATGGGAGCAGGCTTCATCTGTCTTGCTGCTTGCCATGCGTGGTCTCCATACCCAAGGATCACATGGTCTCACATGGCTGTTTCAACTCTAGCCATAAAAACTAGTTCTGACAATAAGAAAGAGAGCAAGAAAGGGATGGGCCATATCCCTGACCTTTAAAGATATTTCCAAGAAGATGTGACCTATTTATGTGTACATACCATTTCCAGAACTTCGTTATCTACACACACTTAGCTGAATGGTCAGACAGAAAGTGTAATTTTTGCGTGATGCTGCCAGATGCCCAGCTAAGATTTGGGGTTCCTATTACTGAGAAAGAAGGGAACACAATCTTGAAAGGACAACCAGCAGCCTCTGTCCCAATCATCTGAGACACTAGCATTTGGTTTTCCAAACAATTTTATAATTTTGAGCAATATATTTGCATTGTAATTTTTAAAACTTAATATCAATTTTTTTTATTTTGTTGTTCATTTAACCCACTTACTGAGCAGTACAGAATTAAAATTATAATTTCATATAGATATTGACATTTCATTTCTTCTGTGAGCCTAAAAATCATGGATTTTCCATTCTTTCAGCAGTAGTCTCTCATTGTAGTGATGCCTAAGTTATGATTTTGAATGCGCAAAAGAAATAAAATTTATTTACCACTAGAGTCCTGCGTATTTCTAAATTACTGTCTTCTATTTTCTTAAGCATTTGTTTGCTCACTCAGTGAACATCTGTATATGTATGGTAATATGGGCTAGAGAAAGAAGGTAAGTAAGACATACTCCCTGCCTCAAGAATTCCATTTTCTTCAACAAGCATGAGATGCCTACAGTGTGCCAGGCACTGTGTTCACAGAGTACACAACAAGACCCTGATCTTTGAGGAGCTCTCCAGTGATGAGGAAGGCAGCTGCAAACAAATCCATAGAATTCCACAGGATAATCTTGGGTGCAATGGGATATATATGTATAGGGAGTCAAGAGTCAAATGGGGGAAATAACCTATTATGCAAATAAGTGCAGCTTATTAAATACCCTAATAAAGTTATATGCTAAAGAAGAAGTATCCAATATTTTTAAAACATGATTTTTCTTTTTAAAAAATGTAGAGTTATCTTTTACTTTTACTTCTACCTCAGCTAGTTTTACAATTTTGATTTGTGGCCATTTTTTTTTTCTTGTTGACAATCCTTCATCCCTACTTTCATAAGTACAGCAGAGACCTCATTACATTTTGAGGAACTGTCCTCCCACTTTCAGACCATGGGGAGGGGTGAGCTTGACCTGCTCCCCGTGCTAATTCTGAATTGGGCATGTGCCGCAGACTTTGATGAGTAAAGCCCATCCTCTTGACAAATGAGCCTGGTTGTGGGAATAAGCGCATCACCAGAGCCAAGCCAATGAGACTTAATTAAGGAACTTCATTGCACAATGTAGAAGGAGCAGCCACTGTTCTGCTAAACTAAGAGGCTCAGAAAAATTAAATCTGACTCTGCTGGGTGGTCACCTTCTGAAAAGAAGCTGACTAAGAGGGATGTGAACCAGCCACAGGCCGAGGAGAGTCAGAGACTGAATAGAAGCATGATTGAATTCCTGGACCTAGCCATGTTCAAAGCCAGTTCTAGCCCTATATTTTCACTTTTATTTCACAGGAAACTATTTTGGGAGGCTTAAGCCAATATCAATTGGGTTTCTGCATTTGCATATAAAAGAGTTCTGAAAAATACATAGAGTTGAAGAGAACATAATGAATGAAGTGGCCAACACCTGATATAGGGTTTAAGTGTTTATAATCATTCCTACTTCCACCCTCTACATAAAGGCTTCCCCAGCAATGTTCCTTGTAAATAGGCTTTTCTACAAAACTAATGATTTCATGAGAAATAGCTTGTTGAAGAGCATTGCTAATTATATCAATCTCTTGGGGCTACATTTTATTAAAATCACTGAGAAATCTTTCAGTAAGGAAACCGGCAATGGTGTTTAAAAACAGTGTCCCTCAATTTTATTTATTCATGGATACCACATTTCCTAATAAGCTCCTATTTTGAAGAATATATTAATAGTTTTTAAAATCTTGCTATTCAATATCACCTGGAGGAAGATTGTAGGTCACAGGTTAGTGATAATATTTAAATGCTTTGTGGTCTTTGAGTTTGGTTCCCAGATTGAGAAAATGGAAAAGAAATCTCTCATCATCACCTAGACAACCCCTTTCTTCATAAAGCCTAAGACTTGTTAATATATTTTGTTGAACTTTTGGAATGAATGTCATAGCTGTTCAGATTTTTGACATATTAAAGATGACTACTATTCTGGATGATGAACATGTGGCTACATAAAGTCAGCTGGAAAGGTGCAGTTCATCACAGAATTGTCAAAGATTCCAGTCAGATTTTGGCTTAACTGTAATATCAGAGTGCCAAGCCACATTTGGAAAAGTAGCATCATTTCTTTTATTATTATTAGAGCAATTCCTACATTTAAAAACAATTTAACTTTTAATTTATTTCAGAAAAAGACTGACATAAGGTAGATAGAAGGGTATTTCGGAATTAAAACATTTATTCTCATTTATATTCTTTTTAGCAATTTCCTAAATATATGTAGCACTGAAAAAAGAAAGAAAACATAATAATTGTAATTAACTGTATCAGAAATCATATGATATGTGTTCTTTCATTTGACAGTGAATTATATATGAGATTTCAAATACAGTACAATATGAGATTTGCACTAAAAATCATCATGATAAAAAGATTACAATTGATATAGTATTTTCTTATAGCTCAATCATTACCAAATTCCTGGTCAAAGTCCTTTCGAATCAGAGGTGTAATAAGTTATCAATTTTTAACTTCTTTTGGAAGCCATAGGAGCTCTATTATCAGTTTTTGAAATCAGTGTGGTACTCATATCCTTTCATTACTTTTCCTCATTATTGAGGTCTACCCTGAGCTCTCTAAATAAACCTGAAATATCTTCCACCTGTTACATTCTCTGCGCCCTCCATTTCAGCTCTACATTATTCCAGTGGCACTCTCATCATTGTGTAATATGCTAAATAACTTGTTTATTTTTACTTTTATAACTTTTTCCTAGAATACAAGTAATACAATGGCTTGGACATTTGTTTGTTTTGTTCACAGCTATGTTCCCACTGTCTAGAACAGTTCCTAACTCACAAGCGTTAAGGAACACTTGAGGCATGAATGAATGAGTGAACAGAAAGCATTATATACATCTCTGTTCAACATTTCTTGTTCTCACAATTTCTAGAATAATCTGACACAACCATTATCTTGTACATCAATGCAATTATGCTTGTGGAATAATTTGAGGGGCCCATGAAGAGCTCCACCTGAAATTTCTTCTTCAGCAATGCTTAAACTATTAGTGATCTCCCCCTTCTTCTTTTCTTCTCTCTCTTTCTCCTCCTTCTTCTCTTTGTTTTTAATTAAACAATCATTTTTTTTCAGGGAGGTGAGGCATTGTCTGGTAAAATTAAAATACACTTTGGAAAGGTAACAAACTCTATGCCTCCCTGGATTACTGGTATAATGTTCTAAATGGCCTTCCGGCTTCTACTTTTAACCCTCTATAATCTTAGCCCAAAACCAGAACAATCCTTTTAATATTGCAATAGATTGTGGATCTCCTGTGCTCACAAATCTCCCACAGCTCCTCACTTCCCTCATTTTAAAAGTCTGAGTCTATGCCATGCTCTATGCAGCCCTGTGTGATCTGGCTCCTGTTACCTCTGACTTCATCTCCTGCTACATTTCTCCCTGTTCGCTGTGGGCCTCTTGCTGTCATTCAGACACTTTTTAGTATGTTAGTTTTGTCTGCTCTCCCCCTGCTCTTGCCCAGGTACCTTCATGGCTAATTCCTTGCTTCTTTCAAGATTTTATTTACATGCTTCATTTTCAGAGATCTACCCATGCTACCCTTTTTAAACCCCCATATGCTACTATGTAAGGCCCTTACTTTGTTCTACTTTTAAAATATTTTCTAAAGCATATGTCAACTTTGAACATAATATATAATTTACTTGTTTCTGATATTTATCATTTGCTTTTGGTCTCCCCCTACCAAGGTGTGGATTCTGTGAGGGTGGAGATCTTTGTTAGTTGGGGTACAAATGTACTCTAAGTACCTAGAACAGCACTGAATACATAATACCTATTCAAATCACATTTGTAGAATGAAGAGATATATAAAATTTCATCTACAAAGGACAGGAAAATATTAACAAAGCACAGAAGCCTCAGATGCTTTACAAAGATGGGCAAAGGGTTAAAAAAATGTGTAAAGGATCTACATTGTTTCTAACCTATCAGCAGACTCTGAGGCCAATCTGGCTAGAAATTAATTTAGATCCTGAGCTTGTGATATGATCATCTGATCATTTACCAACTTTATTTTACCAAATTCTGAGCTTGTGATATGATCATTTGATCATTTACCAACTTGATTTTACCAAATTCTCTATCAACTAGAAAGAAAATACACTGTAGCAGGCTTTGTCTCAGTCAAACTGCTATACCAAGGCATGTTTAGGATCGTGCCAGAGTGAAATATGCTTGTTCCTAATGGGAACTCATTTAACTCCACTGTCTTGAAAACCCTCAAATGTCATTCAGCTACTGCTGTGTGCAGATGACCTTCCTTTTAAAGTGCACCTGTAAGACAACTGAAAGAGTTTATCAGAAGCATTGCTGTATCAGCACAATGCTATTAACTGCTGATAAGCCTGACAATAATTTGAGTCATGGACAGACCTGCACCAGGGACTTAGAGAGAAAGGCCAAAGACCTTAATTGACATAATTGAGCCCCACATTCTCACAGAAACTTCTATAGTAGACAGTATTTTGCTCAGGTTTTTACTGATTAGAGATAACAAAATTAAATTGAAAACTTATATTTTCTAGAGAAACTTTTGGGAGCTACTAGTGGCAAATGTACTTGGGCCTCTCTAAAAGACCCTCCTGAAACCATTAAAGATATTAATATTTGTTTTGAAGTTATTAAAGGAGTCCCCTGGAAAAGAAACTATTAGCAGTGTTTATTTCTGGAAATAGGGAGGTTTGCAGTTAGAGAAAGACTTTTTATTTTATACGCATATTGTACTGTTGGAATTTTTGGTAGGAAATTGGATTACTTTTTAAAAAGTTGTCAACCTATTTTATAGTGAAGTCAGTATCTGTATGTGCATGTTGAAATCCATGAAAACATTATTAAAATGGTAAAAAAAAAAAAAAAGCAAACAAAACACCCCACTAGACCAGAAGCTTTTGTATTATGCAATCTTGGGTTATGATCCCTAAGAGGCGGGTCATAATATATCCTGTACTTTGTAGATACAGACAATTCTCATCCTAAAAATGGCCTTTGTCCCAAAGGTAATTTACACTTCAGTGGCTTGGAACATGAAATGGATTTTTCCCCTGTAGAATCAATTTTGCACAGGTGGTCTAATTCCTTTACAAATCTCTAAGTAACTCAAGAAAAAACATTCATATGTCTATGAAGAAAAATGCTAATAAATCTGAAGGTCTTAGCACATATTAGCCATGTTTCAGTGGAAGAAAAGTATTTCTAGGTTCCAGTATGGAAGGCTAGGACAACACCTCCCTCTCTATATTGCCATAATCAAGATGGGCAAGGGAGGTCATCTCTTTTCTCTCGCTCTCACTGATGGCAATAGGAACGTTTCCAAGACCTCCAGCTTCCTTGAGGTGATGCTTTCCGACCAGAGCAGATAGCTCAAGAATCAGGGCAGAGAATCTGGAATAGTATGAGAGAATAAGAGGTAGGACTCATTCCTGAGATTTTAAGAGGAAGGAGACCAGAGAGGTAGGCCAGGGACTCAGCATGAAACAATGGCGGGGTGGAGCTAACCTTTCTTGAACCTTCATTTCCTTGATACTCACTACTGCTCAGTGAGCCTTGTGTGTGGCTGGGAGCACCTCTAGAAGTAGGTAGAGAGGGAGAAACAGCAGTCCTAGCAGCTCTATGAGAAGGAAAACAGGTTTCTCTTGCCCTTTCCTCCCACCTTTCTTACTAAGATGAGATTGATACCAGGATGTTAGGGAAAAGCAAGGATGATAGGAATAAGGGGACTGAGAATAGGAAGCGTGTGGGAGGAAATAGCTGAACAGGTTTCCTTTTTCTTTTTTCTCATTTAATTCTGCCAGTTTCAGCTGCCAGCTTAAAATTTATAAAGAGCTTAACCCAATGCTGGAAAGTGAGAGGAAGGAAGAGAGTGAAAAGCAAGGGCTTGGGACGCTGGTGAAGAGGAGAAACAAGGAAGAGACCCAGCTCCCACTGCTTGAACAAGCGTGGGAGAAAGTCATTTTCTCTTCTTTCATCAGCCATGTCCTCTGCCATAAGACCCCAATGCTAACACCTTTACAGTCTTCCCAGATTTATAAGACAAAAAGCTAGAGAAAGAAACAAAGAAGGATATGAATACTTTTATAATTATTGTAATTCACATTTATTTAGCACTATTTAGCACATATTTTTCTAAGCCCTTTATGTGTGTTAACTGATCTAAACGCCATAATGACCACGTAGTAGTATAGGTATTTATTATTACTTTCTTTAATGGTTGAGGAAACTGAGGTGCAGAGAGATTGCACACTTTGCCCAGAGTTATACAGGTGACTTAGCAGATACAGATGCTCATTTGTATTCACTAATTCAAGAGGGTTAGAGGAAAATCAAGGACTGCTTCTATTCCATGTCTGTGTGTGTGAGTGGTGTCATCAGAGGTCTAAGACATAAAAAGACAGTTCCACTGTAGAACTTTTTACATGCAAGAAGAATTGTGCCAGAACAGAAGTACCTAATTCTAAGTTGATATGGTGTAACTTTTCATAGGATTTTTTTAAAGGCAGAAAACATCATGGAAAAAACTGAATTGTTCAAAAAATTGTTCAAAAAATTGTAAGTAGAGTGAACAAATGAGCCTGGGAAAATAGGATCTGGCAAATGTTCCAACAGGCTTTTATCCTTAGCATAGAGCAATAATCTTGGAAATGAGGGAAGCCCCATTGCTTGAATGATGTACCACTTGAGAATGATCAGGTGAGATAATGGCTTTTCTCTATTTCATATTGTTTGAGCCTTGGAGGAAGCACATTCCCTATATTATAAGAATTGAGTTGTATTGATTCACATTTTACTCATTTATTTTAGATCATGTTACTCTTAAATCACTGAGAGACTACCAAATTCTGCTTAAATATTTTCTAATGTATTTTCTATCTTAAATCACTTAAAAAAATCAGCATTAAAAACTAGAAGAGTAATTTTAACCTTCAGATTACCTCTGCAGTTCACAATTTTAGGCTTGGATTGAAATTTCCTAGAATAATAGAAAACAGAATTGGGGTTTAATGAGTTTATGTAAATTACATGTGAATGTGAGTTATCACATTAAAAAAATTACCATCAATTGCCTGATGGAATAAATTAAAAATAAAAACAAAATATTTACAAAGCAAACCACTATATTAGGAATTAGATGATGCCCACTGTGGTATATCTTTCTGGAGCATCTGTTTTCATTGGGAAAATGTTAATACTAACAATGATGATTTCAATAATACCATTTATTGAGCATAAACCTCCAAGGGCAAAACTGTATGAAATACTGCCATTGCTTTCTTTTCTGCTTTGTCTCAAAGATGAGAGCTGTGGACAAAACCATCTACTAATTTATCTGCTACTTACTCAAATAGCTGTTATTTCACATTCTAAGATACTAGTTAATATTAGGGAAACAATTTAAGGAAAGTTAGTATTAACAATTATTGTTTATGCTTTTGCTGTATGCAAATTATGTTTGAAATATTCACAAAAAGAGGTGAAAATAGTACTGACTCTGTAAATTTCTGATCACAATAGGAATCTGAGCATGCAGTTGATACTTAGACAATGTAAATTACCTATAAGCAAAGAGGATTCACACCAAACCTATGGGAGTGATTGGTTCAATCCTTACAACATCCCTAAAAGTTTCTTGTCCCCATTTTGTAGAGGCAAAAGAAAAACAAATATAGATAGGCAAAAGCGGGAAATTTAAAAATGTAACTACATTATATCATTGACATTTTAATTCAGTGCTGGTTACTGGGCATGAGGGAGGGAGCCTTAACTACCTTTCTGGCTCAGAAGAGTATTTGAGTGAAAATAATTCTGAACATAATTGCCCAAAAGCATAGACAAAAATCTGGGAACATGAAGTCTCAGGACATATCAGCAAGGTGAGGCTAAAAACTAAGAAAATCCAAAAAAAAAAAATTACCTGTTGGTTATGGCCGTCCAAATGAAGTTATTTCAGAGGCACCGGGAAAATTGCCAGATCTACTTTCCCAACCCCTCTGCAAAAGAACTTGCTTGCTCATTGACACCTGAAGCTCTTAGTAAAGCATGAAATCTTTCTTTCATCCAATGCATAGTTATTGATCATCTATGGAGTGACCGGCACATTTTTATTTTCATTTAATCTTTGTACTCATGTGAGAAATTATGATAAAACAGAATCTCTTCGTTGCTTCCCAGGAAGTAGACTCTGAGAAGATTCGTGTACAAAAAATATAGTAGGATGTATTCTGGAAATAAGCACCTAAGGACGGGAAGAACCCTGAACAGATTGAAAAACTGGATATAATTTAATATTAACAAAGGCCTCTCAAAACCCTACATAAAGCTCTCAAACTGGAATGAATGTTGAAAGTTGTTCCTAGTTGTGGCAAAGGGGCTGTACATTTATAATCTTGTGTTGACTAGTAATTAGAAACAAGCCACCTTGGGAAGGGGCTGAGATATCGGACAATGTGATGCTTTTCAGATAACACAATTTCTGAAGAGGGCTGAAAGCTGAAGCAGCATGGCATGTGAATTAGTCCGTTTTCATGCTATAAAGAAATACCTGAGACTGGGTAATTTATAAAGGAAAGGGGTTTAATTGATTCCCAGTTCTGCATGGCTGGGAGGCCTCAGGGAACTTACAATCATAGCGCAAGGGGAAGCAAACACGTTTTTCTTCACTAGGCGGCAGGAGAGAGAAGTGTGAACAGTGAAGGGGGATGAGTTTTTATTAGATAATGCTCACTGTGGTGTATCTTTCTGGAGCATTTGTTTCATTGGGAAAATGTTAATACTATATGTTAATACTTATAAAATCATCAGATCTCCTTAGAACTCATTAGCTATCACAAGAACAGCATAGGGGAAACCACTCCATGTTCCAATCACCGACCACTGGATTCCTCCCTCAACACGTGGGGATTATGGGGATTACAATTTGAGATAAGTTTTGTGTAGGGTCACAGAGCAAACCGTATCAGCATGTAAGTTTTCACCTCTGAAAGAGGAATCAAGACAGCACTGAGCCTTGTCAGACACATTCACTATTGGAGGTTGTGCCTAAGTTGCCAAAGTCTTGGGAAAGTTTACCTGTGAACTCAAATTGGTGTTCAAATATAAACAAGCGGTGTCAGACACAATTAACAGGTTTATTTGGAGAAGAAAGAAAGAGCAAAATGACTCTGTCAGTAGAAGGAGGGAACATTGGCTAATGTGTGAGTGAAAGAAGGAAAGCAGAAAAGAAAGGAAGAAAGAAACCTAAAATGGGTTATTTTGTTATTCACCATGAGAATGGTCTTTTTTATGTTAGATGAAAGCATTTTCCCTGGTCTAGGAAAATTCTAGGTGGTTCCAAACTTCCTGAAGATTGGCCTTGTAGTATTGAGAACACCAAATACGGAATGCCATAGAACCACGTTCACTGTTTCTGTTGAGTTACAGGACATCCTGCAAGTTGTCCAGGCTTCTGACTTATAACTTGGATGCACAGATTGGGGTATACATTAAGGCCAAGTGGATTTCCTCCAGGGTTCTACCCTTCCAAAGGGTGAAAAGAAGTTTTTTGAGAAAGCACTCTTTGTGAAGACTTTTAAAGTCTCTTATTTCTTAAAATTAGAGTTTGACATGAGAAGTATATAACCCAAAGATAAGTGTGATGTTATCACACTTCTCCATATTTGTGACTGGCAAACCTTCTGGAGACTGGCAGTATTTAACAACTCTATTTTTATTAATTCTCATAGTTCCAGAAAAATCTTCATTACAAACTCTATCCAAGTAATATTGAAATTTTATATTAATTACCTATTTGTAGATTATAAAAATTGGAGAGTATTTAAATTCAGAACATCAAGAAATGCCTTTATAGTCTTGAATAAAGACATGTTATTTACAGATGTAAACCATGACATTAATTCTCTTAATTGGAAAAAAAAATTCCCAAGACCACTTTTTTCAGGCTGAAAAAGGAATTGCAAATTTGCAAAACCAATGTTCCTGCCTGTAAAGATAAAACCTCAAAATAATGATATGGTGATAACTTTCTCATCATTTGGTAAGTTCAGCTGGAGTCAGAAGCAGAATGTTTATACCTTCAGAATTTACAAAGAAGCTGTAAGTGCTAACTCATGCTCACATAATACTACTTAACAAATTCTTATGTGATAAACCCAGTAAGGGCAAAAAAAAGAAAAAAAGAAAGTGGAGAGAACACTAAATGTCTTTGTTTCACACTTAGCAAATTTAACTGTCCTCTCCAAATTAGCACCAGATTTTTCCTCGGCAACACCAAAGAAGGTATTCTGCCCTACATTTTAGCACATACAGTAGGAAGGAAAAAATGACAAATACTTCAAAAATGCTAAAATGGTTCCATTTTATTTATGGTATTTCTTGTCCTTTGAAAAAGTAGATATACATATATATATATATATATATATATATATATATATACACACACACACACACATATACACACACATACACACACACATATATATATGAATTCCTTATATATTCTTCTAATTTATTTAATTTTTTTTCTGATAGAGGATAAAATAATGAGCTTACTCCCAGTGTTAACAAAAGTGGCATTGGATTATTGTTTGTACGTGATACTGAATAGTGTATAAGGGACATTCTTCATGTTGACAGTTCCCCTGCTCATTGGTTGGAATAATGTTAACTCTCTTGGTTTATTGGTAGTCCAAATACCAGCAGTTTAAATCCATTTTATATGTAGACTAGTTTACAATGGTTTAAATTAATCGAGGCTGAAAATTCTTAAAACTGTGGCTAAAATTCCATTTTGATTCCATTTGACTCAGAAACCTGTCTCATCAAAAAACTAGGCAAAGACCTCTGGTGCCTCAGCCCATTCCACCCATAGCAAATAGGCTGGGTCACCTCCTCATGGGAACCACAGTATTAAACCCAGATCATGTAGTAAAAGTAGACCATGACTGTTTCTTTCCAGTGTTCTTCTAGCCACAATAAGCTGCTACTATTTCATATGAAAACAGAAAAATCCCTTGCTCAGCTGGAGAGGACCTACAAACACAGTCAAAGGGCCACAGCTCATTGCTCTGAGAGACACTCCTTTATCCACCAAAAAATGACTGCACCTGCAGGTCAGCTGAATCCACTGAAGCATCTTTAGTTCCTTGATCACTGACAAGTTGCAGGACTCATCTACCAAAAATGACTTCACCTGCAGGTCAGCTGAGTCCACTTCAGCATCTTTAGTTCCTTGATCACTGACAAGTTGCGGGACTCATCTACCTTCTCTTCTACACCCATCCTTATATTTTTGGGCTTATTCTTTTGCAATTCAATACTCATAATAATCCTGGGTATTATAGTAACCTATAAAATGAACCATATAAAACTCTGTATTCTTAGTTCTCCCACAAACACATTGATCTGCACCTTTATGCCATTTCTCCAATCCGCTCTAATAGTTAGATCTTGCACTGGGCCATCACCTGCACATAACATCCTGCCTTTCACCTTTCTCACCAGTTTTTCCAAATCTCTTATTCTTCATTATTTTGGGACCCCCTGGTTCCTTTCCCTTATATAATTTCTCTCTCTCCCTTAAACCCTTCCAATATTCACATCACTCCTTGTACTTCACTATGTGCCAGTATAATCAACTAACAGCTGATAGGATTCCCTCAGTCTCTTGTCACTAAAGCCTCATGTTTACCTACCCCTGTACTCATTCATTTCACCTCTATCTTGTTACAACTGAAGAGTCCTAAGCCAGTCCCTTCATCTGATCTATGGCTCCTGTTCCATTCTGCTTTCCGAGGAACACTGATCTATTGTTTATGTCCCCTCTCTCGGGACAAATTTTCCTTCTCTGTTTCTCATTTTCTATCAGATTTAAACAACCTCAGGTGTCTTCTATCTGAAAAATGTAGTCTTTCTAGCTCATATTCTCTTTAATCTACACTTGATTTTTATCTCCCATCTTCACAGGATAATTTAATAAAAGAGATGTTACACTTACTGGCTTATTTTATTATCCTGCACCTTTTCTCTGAAACTTTTCCCATCCTAGTCACTGACACATCCCTTTAGTAAATATAATGTGCTGTTTTCATAGCTTGGACCCACTAACGACATTTAACACACCTCATCACTTCCTCTTATAACATTCCTTTTCCGCGGCACTTAGGGCAATATACTTGCCTTTTTGGTCTGTTGTTCTGGCTCTTCCTTCTCAGTCTCTGCGCAGGTGCCAACAATGTTACTTTTATCTTAAATGTGCTAGGCCCTCTTGTCATCTCATTTTTCCTTAAAAAGTGAGCTTTGTGACTGTCATGGCTTCAAAAGCAAAATGAGTTGTGATATCTCCCAAATCTACACATGTATTGGAGATTTACCTCCTTAGCTCCAGACCTGTGTAGTCATCTACTTTTTGGGCATTTCTAATTGCATATAATATTGGTAGTTTCAAATTAATTCACTCAAAACTGAACTCACTTTGTACTGTGCAAAACCTGATCTTCTGGCATATGTATTTATGACAGAGGGTTGTCATCCACCCAGGTGCCCAAGCCAGAAATTTGAGAATTGTCCAAGACTCTTAGCACTCCTTGACCATCCTTCTCAGAACAAATCAGTTAGGAAGATGTGAGGATTCTACTTCCCAAATATCTATCAAGCCTGTTCACTAGCCCTAATTCAATATGAAATTGCTGTCTCATGAGAACATAACGGTGATCCTTTGTGCCCTCAGTCAATTTCCCACACTATAAATATATCTTTCCAAAATCTAAATGTGTGATTGTGTCACTACCTTGCTTAAAACACTGAGAGTGTTCAAACTCTTGTCCATGGTGTCCTATGCCTTGTTCTCACATTGCACCTATCTCCCCAGCCCCATCCTCCATACTTCAACCATATTGAACTGTTTCCTTTATCTAAAGTTTTTAGTCTCTTTAAGATGCAGTTCTTTGCCTGCTGTTCTCACTTTCTCTTCCTTTACTTCTTCTCCAGCTTCTTCACCTAGCTAACTTCTATTTGATGATTCAAATATAACTTTCTCTAGGAAGGCTTTCCTGGTCACTGTTAACATCTTCCCCCTACCTTACCTCCCATTTGATTCTCTTTCCCATTATTTTTGTGATAGTTGAAAGCTGTACTTTCCCACATACACCACACTACATTATAATTTCTCCTCATCTTCAACTTCTTTATATTGAAAATCACTCAAAACCATACAGTTATATGGAAATTACATTACCTGCTCCTGAATGACTTCTGGGTAAATAATGAAATTAAGACAGATATCAAGAAATGTTTTGAAACTAATGAGAACAAATATGCCACATACTAGATTCTCTAGGACAAACCAACAGCAGTGTTAGAATGAAAGTTGACAGTACTCAATGCCCACGTTAAAAAATTAGAAAGATCTCAAATTAACAACCTAACATCACATTTAGTGGAGCTAGAAAAACAAGAGAAAATCAACCCCAAGGGTAGCAGAATACAATAAATAACCAAAATAAGAGCTTTACTGAAGGAAATTGAGATGTGAAAAATTATGCAAAAGATCAATGAATCTAGGAGCTGTTTCTCTGAAAGAATTAATAAGACAGATATACTGCTAGCTAGGCTAATAAAGGAAAAAGAGATGAGATCCAAATAAACACAATCAGAAATGACAAAGGGGACATTATCAATGACCCAGAGAAATACAAAAATGCCCCAGAGACTATTATGAACACCTCTATGCACACACATCAGAAAACTCAGAAGAAATTGATAAATTCCTGGAAATATACACCATCCCAAGATTGAACCAGAAAGAGACTGAATCCCTGAATGAATCAATAATGAGTCCCAAAATTGAGTCAGTAATAAGTAGTCTACCAACCAGAAAAGGCCCCAAACCAGAAAGATTCACAGTCAAATTCTACCATATGTGTAAGAAAGAGCTAGTACCATTTTTACTGAAATTATTCTGAAAAATCAGGGAGGAGAGATTCCTCTGTAACTCACTCTATGAGGCCAACATCATCCTGATACCAAAACCTGGCAGAAATACAACAAAAAAAGAAAACCTCAGGCCAATATCCTTGATGAACATAGATGCAAAAATTCTCAACATAATATGAGCAAACTGAGTCCAGCAGCACAACAAAAAGCAAATCCAACACAATCAAGTAGACTTTATCCCTAGGATATAAGGTTGGTTCAAAATACCCAAACCAATACAGTGATTCACTATACACACAGAACTAAAAGCAAAAGCCACATGCTCATCTCAATAGATGCAGAAAAGGCTTTTGATAACATTCAACATCCCTTCATGTTAAAAACCTTCAACAAACTAGGCATTGAAGGAAGATACCTCAAAATAATAAGAACCATCTATGTAAACCCTACAACCAACATCATACTAAATGGGCACAAGCTAGAAGCATTCTCCTTGAAAACCAGTACAAGACAAGGATGACTTCACTAACCAATCATATTCAACACAGTAGTGAAAGTCCTAGCCAGAGCAACAGGTCAAAAGAGGGAAATAAAATACTTCAAAATAGGAAGAGAGGATGTCAAACCATCCCTGTTTACAGACAATATAATTCTATACCTAAATAACCCCATAGCCTCTGTCCCAAAGCTCCTTGACCTGGTACAGAACTTCAGCAATGTTTCAGCATACAAAATCAATGTACAAAAATTAGTAGCATTTCTATACAAAAATAACATTCAATTTGAGAGTTAATTCAATCTTATTCACAATATCCGCAAAAAGAATAAAATACCCAGGAATACAGCTAACCATGGAGGTGAAATACATTTACAATGAGAAATACAAAACACTGCTCAAAGAAATCAGAGATGCCACAAACAAATGGAAAAACATTCCTTGCCAATGGACAGGAAGAATAAATATTATTAAAATGGCCATAATGCTCAAAGCAATTTAAAGTTTCAATGCTATTCATATCAAACAACCAATGACATTTTTGACAGAATTTTTAAAAGCTATCTTAAAATGCATGTAAAACCAAAAAAGAGCCCTAATAACCAAGGCAATCTTAAGTAAAAGGAACAAGTCTAGATTATAACACTACCTGATTTCAAACTATACTATAAGGCTACAGTAATCAAAACAGCGTGGTACTGATGTTTGTACTGGTACTGGTACAAAAACAGACAACTAGACCAATGGAACAGAATGAAGAGCTCAGAAGTAATGCTACACACCTACACCCATCTTATCTTAAACAAAATTGACAAAATAAGCAATGGGGAAAGGACTCCTTATTTAATAAATGGTGCTGGGATAACTGGCTAGCTGTATGCAGAAGACTGAAATCAAACTCCTTCTTTACATCATATACAAAAACCAACTCCAGATAGAGTAAAGATTTAAATATAAAACCTAAAATTATAAAAACCCTGGAAGATAACCTAGGAATTCCCTTTCTGGACCCAGGACCTGGAGAAGATTTTATGAGAGAGATGCCAAAAGCAATTGCAGCAAAAATAAAAACTGACTATTGGGATCTAATTAAACTAAAGTGGCTGGGCATGGTGGCTCATGACTGTAATCCAAGCACTTTGGGAGGCAGAGATGGGCAGATCACCTGAGGTCAGGAGTTCAAGACCAGCCTGGCCAACGTGGTGAAACCCCATCTCTACTAAAAATACAAAAATTAGCCCAGTGAGGTAGCACATGCCTGTAATTCCAGCTACCTGGAAGTCTGAGGCTGGAGAATTGCTTGAACTTGGGAGGCGGAGATTACAGTGAGCCAAGATCACACCACTGCACTCCAGCCTGGGCAACAGAGTGAGAATCTATCTCCAAAAAAAAAAAAAAAAAAAAAAATAGAATAAAATAAAATGTTTCTGCAGAGCAAAATAAACTATCAACAGAATAAAGAGACAACCCACAGATTGGGAGAAAAGATTTGCAAACTATGCATCCGACAAAGGTCTAATATCCAGAATCTATAAGGAATTCACACAAATTTAGAAGCAAAATAAACCAACCCCATTAAAAAGTGGACAAAGGACATGAACAGACAATTTTCAAAAGAACACATACACATGGCCAACAAACATATGAAAAAATGCTCAACCTCACTAATCATTACAGAATTGCAAATCAAAACCACGGTGAGATACCATCTCACACCAGTAGTCAGAATGGCTATTATTAAAAAGTCAAAATATAATACACTGGTAAGGTTGCAGAGAAAAGGGAATGCTTATACACTGCTGGTGGAAATGCAAATTGGTTTAGCCATTGTAAAAAGTAGTTTGATGATTTCACAAAGAACTTAAAACAGAATTACCATTCAATCCAGCAATACCATTATTGAGTATACACCCAAAGGAATATAAATAATTCTACCATAAAGACACATGCATGTGTATGTTCATCACAGCACCATTCACAATACCAAAGACATGGAGTCAATCTAAATGCCCATTAATGGTAGACTGGATTAAAAATAAATGTATTACATATACATAATGGAATACTGTGTAGCCATAAAAAAGAATGAGATCATGTCCTTTGAAGCAGCATGGATGGAGCTGGAGGCCATTATCCTAAACAAACTAACACAGGAACAGAAAACCAAATACTGCATGTTCTCACTTACTAGTGCATGCTAAACTTTGAGTACCTATGGACACAAAGAAGGAAATAGCCACTAGGGCCTACTTGAGGGTGAAGGGTTGGAGGAGGATGAGGATCAAAAACTATCTATTGGGTACTATGCTTATTACCTGGGTGACAAAATAATGTGTTCCTCAAACCTCCACAAGACAGAATTTGTTTATATAACAAACCTGCCAGTATTCAAACGAGGGGTACTTATATAACATGCACCCCTGAACCTAAAGTAAACGTTAAAAAAAAAAGACAACTCCACTAGGGCAGTGATTTTTGTCAGACTTGATCACCATTATTTTTCTAATCATAGCATCAGACTATGTAATAAAATTTCTGTTGCATAAGTACATAATTGAATATGTAAAAATTACTGAATAGTATATTTTAGGTTATAATATAGAAATCTTTAAAGCTAAGTGCATGTAGCAGCTGTCTAGGATCTTACAGTTGAAATGGGGAGAGGAAACCATACTCTCCACCTATCCCAATAAGAATAATTTGAGGAAAGTTCTAGAATGGAGGGGGTTTGAAATCAAGGCTTATTTAAGGCTTTGAAGCCAAGTTAATGAGGTTGAGTCTGAAGTAGCAGGGTATTCTTCAGGTAACTCTAGATATGTAATGAATCAACTTGAAAAAGAGTAACTAAATCAAATGAACTTGTTTTGGAAAAATTATAGGCCAGCATCATTCCCTTTCCATCTCTCAAAATTATTTGTTTTATTTTTCTTTCATTTATAGTATCCACTTTTGTTGACAATCAACTATAAATCTTGCGATATATAATTACATCTCTATGGAGGTATCAACATATTGGGTAGGTTATGGTCAATCTGATTTCAATAATACAAAGGACTTAAAGAGACATTAAATAAGTCAACAACTCTAACCCTTTGAAAATGGTGGTCATATAATATTTATATTACTCAGCTTAAATATTGGTGAAAGCTTAACTGTCTCTGTGCTTTAAAAATGTTTTGATATTGACATAATATATCTATTACTAAAGGTAATTCATGCGATAATTTTATTTTACCTTCTTTCCAAATATTATCATGTAAGTTATCTTTCCAAAGTACATCACTTAACCCTATATTAATACTTTCTTCAGTTTCAAGCTATAAGTTTATAAAATGCAATACTAATAATAGGTATCTGGTAAGGATATTATAATAATTAAATGAATTAAGCAGTGCTTTTCATCCTTATTTTACTTCCTTTTATTGAATGAAGAACACCCTTCACAATTCCTATACCCTACTAAGGTAAAATGATGAGGTGACTCATGATAGTTCTAGACTAAGGGTTTCAGCCTGGGGTCTCTGATTGTCCCAGGACCCTCCTGGCTATCATGAGGTGGTACTGGAATTATTCACTTTAGAACCTGAAACCCACTGGAGACACACATTTGGGAAGGTTTGAGATACTGCATGTAAAATTTTAAAATTAAGTAATGAGTGTTCAAGTCATTATGAGGACTTTACAATAACCTTGTGAATGCAAAGCAGGGCACATCCTATCACCATTTTGCAAATGAGGGTTGCAAGGCTTTGGCAGATGTGTGGCACAGAAAGAAGGTTCTTTTCAGGACATGGACTATTTTAAGCAGGACTAAGTCTCAGAACTTCCCCTCCTCAGCCTTTACCCAAAGCAAGCCAAGAGAGACATATAAGAATTACATGGGAGGAGCAAATGAAAGTTTATACATGAAATTTCAATACACATTCCCAGTTGAGAGTTACTTCTGCCATTTAGAATGTCTCCTATCCCTTCTGATGGTTGTAGACACTATGTTACAAAATGTAGAGATGCAAAGGACCTTGATTCTATAGGAATGTTTGTCAATGACATTTATTCTTGGTATAGTGATATACTGGAAACTGTGAATAATGTTAAATGTGTTAAGCACATAGACTGAAATTGTTAGTGATAAAATATGATCATATGATTTCCAGAAGCATTTACTTATAATTTGGTCATGTTGTTTTATTCTCTTTCTCCTCTGGAGAAAAATATTTTAAAGTTGATCCAGCATTTTTCTTAATTCAGAAGGTGATACAAATTGTATCACATCAATTTCTTAGGTTTCTTGAACGAAAGCATATCAAAGTACACAAAATCCCAGATGATTTGTTCCAAGGACAATAATTCACCTGTGTTCATATATACATACCCCAAAAGAAAACACAAAAGAAAATAGCATGGTAAACATTCAGTAAATTATAAATTACTAAGATATTTAGCAAAAATTGAGAAGACTTAACAAAAATTAGTTGAATTATGACTTAGCTACCATACACTCAGGTTTAAAAATTGTACAGGTTTAAAAAAAATACTCCCAGGACTTCATTTTTAAAAATATTTCATGGTATTACATAAAACCTGATCATTTTACGAAGGTATTAGTTGAATAGTTCTTTCTGTTGACTATGTGTATTTTTCATATTTCCATTAAGGTAATCAGAATTACATAAATAATAAATCATTATTTTGCTAAATAAAATTAGATACGGCCAAACAGTCAATGAAAGACTGAAAAACAACAAACAAACAAGAATAAAATGGATAAATAAATTAATAAGATATACTAGGGTGGCACACATTTATGGAAATGAAATAAAATGCCTTTCTCACATAGTAATTTACCAAAATATTCCTTCTGCTTATTTTAAAAACTGTAACTTTAGAAGAAAGTTGTAATATGATTTGTTTTTAATAAAAGACTTTAAATGTATAAAATGCTCAAATACATATTTCTGATTTATACAGAAGAGGGAATAAACGTGGGGTTTGGAGCTTGGTGTATTTCTGGATTCCTTCATTGCGTTTACATTTAAGCAGCTAAACAGTTGTTTGGTGATAAAGAACAAGTCTTGATAGTGAATATGAATGCTTACTAAAATGAAATGCACAGTGATTACAATAAAATTAGGCTCCCCAAAGAGATAATCACATAAAGCTCAGACGCAGAAAACCTTTAACACTATTTATAAAGGAAACAGCTGGCGGTCCCCAGATGTTCCACAACTTCCCTCTAGAAGAGAATACCAGGCATAACCCAGTGGACCATTATTAGAAAACACGATTTGAGTTTTTTTCCCCTTGAATGGCTATTGATTGGAATAATGCAGAAATATATTCTACACAGTTTAACTCAATTAAAAACTCTCTTGTGTACCAAATATGTGCACAGTTCTGTGTTTTATAATGGGGGAAATGTAAAAATGAATAAGACATTATGTCGAAACTAATTTTTTTGTTGTTGAATTTGCAAGGTACTCAAGCAGGCTGTGTATAAGCAGTAGAGAAAAAAGAAAGACCAAGTATTGTCTGCTTTTTAGAAGTTTAAATAAAACCACATGCCCTGGTTGATTATCTCATCATAACCAATGGCTGATTTAGTTTAGATTCCTGATATAAAATGAAATATATGTGAATATTAAACACCCCAGGAATATTTAATATTTTATTTACTTCCAAGCAAAAATTACCTTTTATGGTTTTGTACTTTAAATAAACTATTTTCATTCACATAGTACCTCAAACTTGGTTATATTGATAAGAAATATTAAAAACATGATAGTTTTAAAAGTATTGATTTATTTTCTGAATAATTCTAAGTACTTTGCAGTAGAATTGAATAAATATTATTTTTCTAAATAGTCTAATTCAAGATCATTTTCCAAGTTTTAGTCTTCCTCTGTTAGTCATATATAGTGCCAGTAGTGTGCATATTAGCTAATACTTACACATTATTAGGCCTGAAAATATGAAAAGGATGCATAATCCTCAACATTTTTCTACTAGTTTTCAGGTAGGGACTTCTTATCAAAATATCTGTGTAGGTATTGATCACGATTAAGGGAAGTTTTTCATGAAAATACTTATTGTCAGAGCTCCCACTCATTAAGTTTCTATAATAAAACTGTAATTACTCACTGGTGGATTATGAATTATATAATGTGACATTTATTTAAGAATAAACTTTGGTCAGTGTATTTACAAGTATATATCTGTCTATATCTACATCTGATTCTAAGTCTATAATAGTATCTCCAACTGCCTAAGATGATGTCAAAGGAGAGGGAGAACTGAAAATATTATGTGTGAGGTGGAACTTAGAGAATGTTCAAAGGCAAATTATTCTACTACTGTGCAAACTCATTTTCAAGGCAGTGGCCCAAAATATTTAAAAGCTGGAAGTCATCTGTATCAACAAATGAGGAGAATATAAAATCAACCTGGGGTGGAGAGTTTGATTGCTGGTTCTGAGAGCTCTAGATAAAAAAAAACAAAAAACAACAACAAAAAAAAACAAGCCACTCCAAGATGAAGCAGTTCCACCATGAATGCTAAGTCTAAGACATGCACCTACAACTTGTTTATTTGCTTACCTGTCCACGAATCTAGCTTCCAGACTGTCCTCACCATCTGTGGAAGTTTCCTAATTTCATCAACACTAAGCAAGTCAATGCACACGTAAGGGATCAAGTCCCTTTTATAAAAAGGAAGGTAATAAACACCTTGTAAGGATGTTGCAGTCTCCAGCTCTTATTTCCCCCAACTAACTTTTCTTTAGTTTGGGTAAAACAACCTGCAAGCCAGAATGTGGAGAAACCTAAATTTCGGTTTCAAAAGTCAAATTCAAGACATGGTTACAGATAGAAAAGATTAGAGATAGAAAAGTGTACAACTTCTTCTGCCCTGACACAGCTGCTCAGAAAGTTCCTGAAAGCTCCTCATTCTTTCATTCTACATATTTGAGAACTCTAAGCCATCAGGGGACAGAAAGGAGATGAGACATGGCCAGTGAGCTTTAGGACTTCCCAGTCTAGCTTAGAACTGAGGGCTGGAGGCAGAAGCTACAGATATTTATCCCAAAGGAGAAGATTCACAGTCCTTGTCTATAGTCTCAAATTGACAATAGCAGGCACATATAAAAACATGTCTCTCTTTTTATATTATATATATTATACATAACATAATAATATATATTATGTATGTAAATATATATCTTTGTAGTCATAGGTCTCTCTATTAGCACTTTCCTTAAAAACTTGAGTACACATATACACACAATCATATTGAATTTTCTCTTTATCTGATTTCTGATTAATATTTATAGTACACAGAGACTCGAGGTATATACTTTTGTACTCATATCTTCTTGCTTCTGAAAACTTAAAGGCAGGAGTATTCAGAGAACTGATGTCACTGTGGGCTCTACAGAAAAATATTTTCTCTTTCAAGAGGTAAAAGTATCTGACTTAAATACAAATAAGCTGAGAAAAACATTCATAAGCTGTTTTTTTTTCTATATATACTTCCTAAAGTTTGTTTTAGTGAATCAAATTCATTGCTGCAGACTTGCAGTGATGTGGGGACACTGTTTCTTTTGTAAATACTAACTAGCCTACCTCCATGTGTTTTATAAGGGAAGCTAATTCTTATTTTAAAATTAAAGTGATGATACAATGAACCCAAAAGAAAACAAAAGAAAGGCTTCACAAAACCTCAGATGTACCATATACACAGAAAATTTTAGTGTTACATTACCATGATTTGCATTTAAAGCCTCATATACCCTATCTTTATTTGTAGACCCATATTGCCAATTCATAAAGGTACATTGGAAAGAACATAGAAAAAGCTATTTAGGAAGAAAAAATCACTCATAGGTAAATTGTAATTACTATTCTGACTTTTGGGCAGTGAAGTCTTTTTCCAGGCACAGGAGGAG
This sequence comes from Homo sapiens, assembly GCF_000001405.40. Taxonomy (NCBI): domain Eukaryota; kingdom Metazoa; phylum Chordata; class Mammalia; order Primates; family Hominidae; genus Homo; species Homo sapiens. The sequence continues at coordinate 144,547,809 of NC_000003.12, forward strand.
ATCACCAGTGTGAACTCATTGTCCTTGTGAATTGGAGAGGATGGTGTTGTTTGGATGAGTTACTGAAGGGAAGTTTGTGAGAGGACAGATACCTGGTGCCTGGGTCGTGCTGGGTAAGCTCACGTTTTGTTTATAAAGCAGCCTCCCCGAAAAAAAAGAACTTCCATTTCCAGTTGTCTAGCAGAGGCTAAAATCATACTTCTCTTTAAGTAGTACGTGATTTATATATTAACCTAAGTAATTTCCCTCTTTTCTATTTATTGCAAAAGTGATTCCAATAGGCACTTCATGGACTAGCTCACCTTTCTTCAGTTTTGTTTACTTACTTCAAATTAAGTGTGTAACAATGTGAATTCTTTTTTTTTTTTTTTTTTTTGAGATAAGGTTTCACTCTGTTGCCCAGACTGGAGTGCAGTGGTGCGATCTCGGCTCACCGCAACCTCCTCCTCCCAGGTTCAAGCGATTCTCCTGCCTCAGCCTCCCGAGTAGCTGGGAACAATGTGGATTCTTTAAAGGCCAGTTCTCAGCAAGATGAGGAGAGTTTAGATCCTAAATACATTTGCAGTACCTGAGACATTTGTTCTCCCTTTTATTGCTGAAATTCAGACTAGACCCGAGGCCTTGTTTCTATGGATGCAGCAGTTGTTGTCAGAGTTATTTCAACTGCAAACAGACTTTTCAATTCTCATGCCTTTGTGCAAGCTTCATAGTTTTAAGCCTTATCTTGGGCTTTTCTTCTTTTTTCTTTGATCTTATGCCAGGAAAATCTTAAAAGGCAAAGTGAATTTGTGGCGTTTGCTCATTTTTAACTTTGCAATTCCAAGACAGAAATATCAGAAGCTTCAAAAACCTTTACCCTGGCTAAAGTGGCAGTCACCAACTGCAGAAGCACATGCAATATGAACTTACTTTCCGTATGATTGCATATGAGTGTGCGCATTTCTGATGTCATGTCTATATTTCTACTGATGGAAACTTTAAAACTGGAAGATAATGTGGAGGAAGAGAAAGAAATATTATACCAGTTAGAAACTACTTTTAAAAGACAAGAGTTGCAAATTTTAGCTCGTGCAAATTTTTGAAGGAGGCAAGTGCTGATGATGCCTTTTTTGGTGTAAAGTTTCTATAGAAGTAGACAAAATATATTTTACATAAAGGAAACCCTTCTGCAACTTCTTTTGATAATGTTTTAAAATTATTACTGAGGGTGTTAGGAATAACAAAGAATATCAGTTGGATATAGCATTCCCAATTTAACATGACAAGTGTAGCTGGGAATGAAGTAAGTTGGAAGTAGCACTGTTTTTTTGTTTGTTTATTTTTGTTTTGTTTTTGTACATGCCATTTGGATTTTTCTCCTTTTCTGCCTTTCAGAGATGGTAAAGGGGTTAGGTAGTATACTTAGTCATAAGGAGATTTTGTAAGTTGAAACTTAAATAAATTTAGTGCTTTCAGTCTTTTGGAAGAATAAGTCAAACCTGAGTTCTGAGTTGGGCAAAGAAAAAGAGCAGGATGCTGTCAGGCATGGTATCAGATTTCACATTCTTACTTAATTTGTGACTTGCCCAGCCTGAGACTAGGCAGCCACCTGCTTCTGTGAGAATCTGTAGGATTCTAAGAAACTTCTCATTGGCCTCATACTTGTCAATTCTCACTGGAGAATAGTCCAATTCTGGCCCTCACTTCTTTAGCGATCTTATTCAGAGAAGAAAAATAAAATAAGGATTATAAAATGCAGTCTCTTAAGGAAGAAGAAAAATAAGAGGATGTTTTAGTTTCAAGAAAAGTAATTTGAATAGAGACTTGATTGAGTTATTTCTACAGAGCTCAGTGAGCAGATATTCTTAGGTTCAAGACAACCGGAACTGGTTTTAAAGTGCAGCACAGGAGCTTTGAATGAGAATGATCTAACCGCAAGGATAACACACAGGCAGAAACCAAGCTTTGGAATAATTGCCCCAGTAGAGGAGATAATGTGATATTCATTTATTTAAAAAGGTCACTTGCTGACTCTTTAAGATCTTTTGAACCTGTCTCTCTATTACAGCTTGGGGTTAATCTCTGGACATTTTTCATTTGTTGATTTTCTTCTGTAGAATGCAGAAGTTCTGTTAGCCACTTGCACTATAATCCAAGTCATGATGTTAAAAACTAAAAAGGCTAAATTAACTATATTTTAGTGTATTTCCTTAGTGAATTTCACCTAGCCCATGTTTTCTTGTCTCCTACAGCAGAATTAAATATTCTCAAGCACTGGCATAATGCATGTTACACCTGTGATGAGGATGAACAAAAATTGAGAGATATTAGAAGGCTGTACCAATGCAATAACATTCTATAAAACATTGGTACAATTTGTGTACTTGTGTATGCTAAATGTCATATAAGACCATAAGACCTACTTTGGGTTATGAATTTTATTTCACGACTTTTAAGGCTCCCAGAAAAAGCCAAAGCTGCCCAAACTGCCAACATTTAGTCAAATCCAGGGGCAGTAAACGGGGGTGGCAATTTCTTTGTATGATCAAATGTGGTCATAGAAATCCTCAAGTCTGGTTCCCCAATCTTACACATGAGGAAAGTTGGAGCTCAAGATAGTGAGGTAAATGGCCTATTATCACAGTGATATTTAGTGGTAGAAAGGTGACAAGTGTCCATCTTCCTAAATTCAGAGTATTGTCTTTTGTACTATCTCTCAGTTTCCCTCAAAGAACAAGGCACAATAATTTAAGAACATGTTTCTTTATGTAGGATAACATAAAGAGCTTTCACGGATTAAAGGTACAAAGTATGTCCTAAATGAATAATTTTCACCGAGAAAAAAAATCAGTTGAATTATATTAGATTTGGAGAAGGAAAAGATATTTTATCTTTTTTTAAAAATTGTTTTCCTGTAAATTTCCCTTTCAAGGAATACAGACAAGTGACAGAGATAGGCTTGTTTATGAGACCTGAAGCCAGTCCTCAGAATGTCATTGCATTGGGTTGGCCTTAAAACACCTTTCAATTTTTGTTCATCCTCTTCACAGGTGTAACATGCATTTATTGTATTGTTTGAGAATACTTAATTATGCTGTAGAAGACAAGAAGACATGGGCTGGATGAAACTCATAAAATGTGTTAAGTATAAATAAGTAATAGATAGAGCACCAAGAGATAATGTATAATCATGAGTCACTGTGAATTATACATGAGGCACCTGAACACTAAATATTCGTGATATAAAAAACATATAAGAAACACTTTTCTGGGTACAGTAAGTATACATGAGCACTCAATATGGAAGAGATCTTAATTTAGTCACCCGTTGGTGACATCATTTTGGTTGCATGTGTCTTCTACCAAGGAAACACAAATAAAACCCATGGCTATTTATTAGGTTAATTGGTAAGCTACAGCTATGGCCAGACATACTTGTCCCTTTGTCTTGCCAATGTGTATCATTGGTCCAGGGCACCTATAATTCATGGACAGTTTTACTCAATATCTCAACTCTGATTTTCTTAACCACAACAGTGGGGTGATTGGGAGGCTGATCTAGCAGAGAAAGGGGACAGAAAATATGAGCATAATGTTCAGTGTTCAAGATTCAAGTAGTATGCTTGCACCCTATCTTAACCGTGTTGACTTACTTTATCTCCTTTTTCTTACATCATCTTTTGCTTCTTATCATGTGTTTTAAATTTCTTTAATAAGCCATGTGATTTGAATATTTTAATTTGGTCTGTTAACTACTCTGTTCCTTTATTTCAAGAATGATACATTAGTTTCTGTTGCTGCTGTATCAAATTACCACACATTTTAGAGCTTTAAAACAATACAAAATTGTTATCTTACAGTTCTAAAAGTCAGAGCCCCAAAATGGATCTCACTGGCCTAAAAGTGAGATGCCAACAGGTCTGTGTTATTTTCTGGCAGCTTTAGGGAAACATCTCTTTTCTTGCTTTGTCCATCTTCTACAGCCTGCTCCCCTTCCTTGGCTAGTAGCCACCTCCATTTCCAAAGCCATTAATAGCAGATTAGGTCTTTCTCAGAACACTCTCTCTGGTTCTGACCTTTCTGTCTCCATCTTCCCCATTTAATCACCCTCGTGATTACATTGAGCCCACTTGTGTAATAGGATATAATCTCTTTAAAACAAGAAACTAGCAACCTCAATTCTATCTGTAAGCTTAATTCTCCCTTGCCATGTAACCATATATGATATCTGGTCGTGGATTTGAATATGGACATTTTTGGAGGCCATTATTCATTCTGTCTACTACAGATAGCTTCCTGGGTGGTGTATCTGGAAGCTACCATTGCATCAAGACAATTTTTTCACCTTATTATTGGTCTTATTAATTTAACAATCTTTCATTCATTTAATATTGAATTGTTACCACGTGCATTGCTGGGCTAAGGAATCCACTTCTCAAGGCCATGCTTCCTTAGCCTCCAAACAAAACCAGAATGCTTATAGCCTTATTGTGGCCTTTTCACTCATACTCCAGCTGATCGCAGAGCTATAGGTGAAAAATTAAACTCCCATATTAATTGGAGTTATTCACTCAAAACACGAATGATTAACTATCCTGGTTTGCCTGTGAATGAGAGGTTTCTCATAATGACCTTCAGTACTAAAACCAAGACAGTCCTGAGTAAACTGGAGCATCAAACCTCTCTTTACCCTTCCTGCCCATCCATCCAGTGGCTGCTATCAGCCCCTGGAATTAGAGACAATTTTACTGTGGTTGTCAGTGTTGGTCAATAAATCAAAAAAACATGGCTCAGAGGCTTAAATATTTATGGGCCTGTGAGCATATCACGTAGTCTTTAGCTGTTCCTATATTTGCTGAGCAGAAGAAAAATGTGTTTGAACAGATTATTACAAAATTTTCTTGTCATTCTAAAACAATATGATGTTTTTATTTTTGGTGAAATTATTACTAAGCACTGAAGTCAGTTACAAACAAGTTTAATGTTAGGGCTGTTGTTCTCCTGTTAACAGATTTCTGACTAGCCGTGGACAGAGTAGCCATATAAGGGCCCCCTTTGGGTTTTGACTATTTACACAGAAAGTACTTTGGCTTTTTATAGAGTCTTTCCAGATCCAAGCAAATATTTAAAATTTGGGGCATGTAAAGCTTTTAAAAAGAGTGAGCAAGCATATAATTAGGCTTGAGTTTTTTTCATGGCCCAAGGCAAGGCTTATTCCAAGATGTTCCAAAGTTCTGTAAGTATTTATAACATGTTTGCATGTGCATTTGTGGCAACATGGCTGTTTTCTAAACACTTTTTTTTTTTGCTATATCACAAATGGAAATATAAATCCCCGATTCAACAGAGTATTCTAGAAAGCAGATACATTTAGATATAACAAAGAGATAGTAAACCTACATTCTTTAGCTGTACATGTATAAAGAAGGGGTTTTAAGAAAACAATTGATCATTAATGTTTGCACAGTGTGAAATTATACTATGTAGAGTTTGAGATGGAGGTGAAAAAGAGTATTTAAATACAGCTGAGGGGAGTCCTATTACATCCTTTGGGAATGCACATCCTTCAGGAAGGGAGTTCAAGAAATTAAGTAAAACTCTGTGGCTACTTATAGTTGTTAGGAAGAATAGCCCTTTGTTTGTGTTACCTGTTTAACTCCTGCCTACTGTGTACATCCTAATTCCTGGGACTCCCCACCCCCATCCCCCCAGCCAAAACCATGTATCCCAAACAGCTCCCAGAGGAGACACAGACGTCTGCTTTCTTTTAGGATATCCCATTATCAGCTAACTTAAATTCCTATGGCAAGGAATTCAAAAGGGTGGCTTATCACTAAACAATGTATATGTCCTCCTTAAGCTTGCCTACACTGCTGTGTATGTGTGAGAATCCCTGACCATCCCTATAAACAGAGGCAGGAAGTCTGGGCTAAGAGCCAAAAGGTTATTTACAATTTTTGTTTTGTTTACCTTTTCCCCATATAATACCAATAGGAGAATAGGCAAAAATGAAGATGGAAAGACCCATGAAGCACTCGAGTTTGGATTGTAAGAAGGAATTCACTATTCTAGCCCTGTTGCCTAGGGCTCATCTCTCTTGCCTGTAGTGGGGAGAGTTGGAAAATATAAATGGAACTTTCTGCCGTTTGTTCCCCTGTTGCTTATTCATTTCTTCTGAACTTCAGTAATTATGAGCTGGCCTTCACAGTGACTTGCTTTATATTTACTTACTTATTTTAAACCTCGTTCTTTGTTTTTGATTGTCTCCTGCTTATGGTGTGGCAACATGTGGGAAAATGGGCCTTTAGAAGTTAGACAAAATTGCCATATCAAAAAAGGAAATGGATAGATGTTTCCAGATAAGACTGGGACCTTCACAACACACAGCATAATCAAATAGATGCAGGAACAAGCACACTTGATCCACAGATAAAAATTGCCAATAAGCCTGGGGTTTTGACATGTGTGGTCAGAATGAGTTTCATCAATGGGTGTCAAATTTAAGACCCCTTGAGGACTGAGAGCCTCATACATCTCCTGTATACTTACTTAGTCCCCACGTTGGGCCCTCTATCTTTAGCACTCAGATATTCTGCTTTACTTTATCTATGTTGGCCTCGTCCTATCATCTTATTTTGTTTTTGTTTAAGACATTAAACAAATCCATTCCATTTGTTTTGTGTTATATAGAATTGAATATTTGCAACTAATATAGCAAATGCACATTATGCTTCACTAGAAAATATGTATGAAGTATATGATCATTTTTTTCTATAATGTAAATGTGTGGAGCATACTTCCTGTCTTTATTTATTAATGATCTTATTTTACAAGTTTTCTCTGATTTTGTTAAAGTAGTAGTTGGATTATATAAATATTTCTAGTATTGTTAAACAAAAAGGCTTAAAATTATGAAAAGAACACATATTTTACTATCTTTTTATTATGTTTAGATGAATAATTGCAGTCTCTTCTCATTCATTCAACACATATTTTTTGAGGGCCTAAAATCACAATCTACTGTTAAAGACAGTAAATGGTAACAAAGACATGTATACCACAAAATGTAGTACACATTGTAACACAAGTGGGAAGATTCAATTTTAGAAAAATGTGTTGGTTACGGTGAGGGAGTCGAGAGGTACACTGCAGAAGGCCTTCTAAGAAGGTAGCATTTGGCCTGAAAAGAAGAGTCAGCCACACCAAGAGAGGGGAAAAGAACATTTTAATTTTAAATTCAAACAGCTGGAAGCATAAATATTTAAGTCGGTGTGGTCTAATAACTGTCATGGCTAAATAAGATGCTGAATATTTGCATCTAACGTTCTCTGTATCCTTCACTAACCCAAACATCATTTGGAGTTTGTCTAGGCAGAGTTCAGATTCAGTCTTGTTGTCAGATGAGACTTAGCACGTTGCCTTCTAAATCAGATGACTGCTTTCAAATCTGGGTCCTGCCTATTAACTGTCTCTTGAACAGGTAAATCATGGGAGAACATTTCACTGGTAGTGTTGCCAAGGAAACAAGCCTATCTTCACTTTTAAGAAATATGTTTGTAACAGGGACAACTGTCCAACCCACATGACTGTGGTGCTCATTTATGGTGATGGAGTGAGGGTAAGAACAGTGGGATGAGGGAATGGTATGGGGAGGAAGAAACAATCACCTCTTTTCATACAGAATATGAAGTCTATTATATTTTATTTAGAGATTCAAAAAGGAAAGCCATCGCCAAAATCTAGTGCCAAAATATGCCTGATTATGTGGCCATCCCTATGCAAAATTTAAAATAGAAATGAGGGAGTTTAGTTCAGAAGGCTTAATTGATTAATTAAGTAATTAATTTTCAATGAACTATAGATTTCTCATTGTGAGCAAATAACAGTGGTGTCGTATTTTGTTCATATTTGATTGACAAACCATATTAAAACTTGCCTGAGTAAAAATCTTAATACACCAGGCTTTATACCATTAAAGTCTGGAAGGCTAAAGATGATACTTTTGGCCTTTATTCCAATTACTCTAACTTCAATTTCATCAAATAGAACTATATATAGCTTAGAATGGCAAATGCAATTACTTCTATTTGAACATAGGTTTCTGACACTCCATATGCTTACAGAGGGTGGCCAGCCTTGACAACACTGACCCTGTAGTCAGTGGTCCTGTGGTCTCATGTTGTTTCCTTGGCAACCAGGAATAATTGAACTTTGTGTTTTGCAGAGAAGTTTGCAAAGGAATCTGAATCTGATATCTGGAGATTAAATTCTAATAGAAGGCTCTGTCAATAAATTTTTTATCTGCTGAGAACTGGTATAGAACTAACACTGTTATGGGTACAATGGGAGAACCAAATAATTACAAATGGGAGAACCAAAGAATTACACAAACTCTTTCTGGGCTAGAAAGAACAGATACAAAAATCAGAAATTTATTTTTAAGAGTATGTGTCTAAAGCCTAAAGACCTCTCAAAATCTCACATTCTCAGTCTCAAATAACCAAACGTTTACTTACCTTATTTTTTCTTTCAAGTTCCATAATTTCTCCACTGATATAGGAACAGGGGTAATAAATGATAGCCATTTTAAGGTTACATATGAGGAAAATGTGTGTAGGGAGCATCTAGCTTTAAAAGTGGACTTTAGAACTCTGAAATCACATAGAAGGAAAACTCATGGAGGCTATTGCAACCAGGTTGTATGAACTGAGGGCATTTTAAGATCTACTGAGTAATACCACGTTATGAAGTACTTATGGTTCTCCCACAAAACTACCACTGATGTTAAAAATAAAGCAAGCATTGGTGTCACCGCAATGAGAAAGCTAGGGTGACTCATTTCTAACATAGCTATCTAAAGACTGGGTTCTTGTCGATGTCCTACTAAGGAAAGTCATTTAAATATGGGCAGCAGCAAATCCCAGCCACAGAATTTTGCAATAGTTTTGAGCTTTGAAACTTACAATTTGGTTTGGGGTCCAGGAGGAGAAACTCATGGAACTGTTACAGAGTAATACAATTTAAGTATGATAAAACATCAACTTTAATATAATTGCCTCAAAATGTATTATTTTCCAGAATAAAGATTTTAGAAGCATATTTCAAATACCTTGTTTTTCAAATTAATATCTAGTTACATTGAATATCTACTGAAATATGCATGTACTTGCTACAGGTTATTTTTTACATAGAAATTTATATTTATCCAGTTAGTTCTGTAACCCAAATATCTGTGGATTAGATAGCCACTATCAACCAAATGATGAGATCTCACTTTCTTTTCTTGGCCCCTACCTGACCCTTCCTTGGACAAAGGCAGCTTTCCTGTAGAATATTTGGTTTAAATGGGGTCTGTCTCCCTCCTGATCTGGAGTAGGGTGTGCTGCAATCTGTTCTTCCCTGACACCGGGCTCTTCCTGATCACTCCATGGTTTCTGCCTAGAACTACAGAATTAGCAATGTCCCTTCAACAATACTTTTGCCATTACATAAACTTCTAATACTGGGTTTTAATGCATAATGTGATTAATGGATGTTTTGAGCATAACCACAGGGAATTACAACAATGTGGGGAGAGTAGACCTGGAAATGAGATGTTAAGATGATATTTCTAGATTCTAAGAATAGAAGATGAAAGAAGCTCAAACCCCATCTTTTGGTTTCCCTCTAGGGAATACCCCAGTTCCTGACTTTGATTTCTTTTCTTGTAGTCATCCTAAGAGAGCCCACTTTCTTCTATTCACAGTGAAAATGTGTGCCTCTTTAGGAACATCCCACTGGCTATACACTTCCCCAGGACATTCCTGCCAGGGCATTATCCTTCCACCAGGATAATACTTCATGGCTGTCTATTTGCAATATCTGAGTCATGTAACTGGAATAATAGCATGCAGGTTTTTAGTAATAGTTTGAGGAAAAGAGGGGGAGTTGGATGAGTTGCCTCACAGCAAACAGGTGTTTAAAATGGGTGTCAGGGCCAGGCGTGGTGGCTCATGCCTGTAATCCCAGCAATTTGGGCAGCCTAGACAGGCCCCTACTTGAGCTCAGGAGTTTGAGACCAACCCAGGCAACATGCCTAAACCCCGTCTCTAGAAAAAATACAGAAAATTAGAGGGGAGTGGTGGCCAGTGGCTGTAGTCCTAGCTAAGCAGGAGGCTGAAATGGGAGAATTGCCTGAGGCCAGGGAGATCGAGGTTCCAGTGAGCAGTGATGGCACCATTGTACTCCAGCCTAGGCAAGAGAGAGATACCCTGTTTCAAAAAAACAAAATTAAATTAAATGGCTTTCAGGGCCCCTGGTTTCCTCTCCCACTCCCATCCAACTTTGATATTCTGTTATTCTCTCCTGCTAGTAAATTACTCTTAGACAAAAAACACACTCATATATGCACAAACACTCAAACACATGCATTCTTAAAAAATATGTATCTCAAAGAAAAAATGGTATCAGTTTAAGATGAAATCAGCTTAAGATCAATCATAACTTTCACTGTGGGAGCAGACAGTGTTAAAAGTTGCATTGCCTTTAGGATGATGGCCCTTAACACGGTTGTTTCTTTGTCCTCTTTTCTCTCATTTTTAGCTTCCAGACTCTGCCTGTGGAGAAAATTTCTTATAAGGCACAGCAAATTCATATTTAAAGAAACAAAATAGCAGCTTTTCTCTCTTTAACATAAATTTAATGTGGAGACCCTTCCTTATGTTTCAAATGCTGATTATGGGAAACATTGTTTATTCCAGATGAGGTAGTGTGATGTTATTTCATCCATCAGAGAGACAGCAGGCCCCTTTCAGAGCTCTAGGATCTGAATTTGCCTGACATGGGAAACTTTTATCTGACTGATATTGACTTTGCTCCCTCTCTGAGACTATCTCAGGAATTTATGAACAAGTATTGATTTATTTTATGATCGCAGTTTGGTGTTTGAAACCAGAAGGTTCCTGGCTGGCTTCCTTGGACTACCTGGTATTTTCCATATGAAGTCATTTAGAGGACTTCAAATTGATCTAAACCATAAAGAAACTCCCCAAAAGGAAAATTCTCCAGAGCCATAAATAAAATGTACACAATATTTGGAACACTTTTGGATTCTCTTTGACTTTTTTAATTTAACTTTTTTTTTTTTTTTTTTTTGAGATGGTGTCTTAATCTGTCACCCAGGCTGGAGTGCAGTGGTGCGATCTTGGCTCACTGCAACCTCCGTCTCCCGGTTTCAAGCAATTCTCCTGTCTCAGCATCCTAAGTAGCTGGGACTACAGGCACATGCCACCACGTCTGGCTAATTTTTTTTTCTCTTTTTAGTAGAGACGGGGTTTCGCCATGTTAGCCAGGATGGTCTTGATCTCCTGACCTCGTTATTCACCTGCCTCAGCCTCCCAAAGTGTGGGGATTAGAGGCGTGAGCCACCGCACCAGGCCTGATATATGTTTTGTATGTAACCACGAGATCGCCCAACCTTGCTATGCCTGTGGCTACAAATAGGACGTATATAAATTTATACCACATTACAATGGCTCCATACTCAACATTCCTCAAGCAAGATATTTAGTCCTTCAGAATAAACCCTACTTACATCAGGAAATCCCGCCCCCACAGCAAAAAAAAAAAAAAAAAAAAAAAAAAAAAAAAAATGTGTCCCTTATGCCAGTGAGTCAGATGTAATTATCACACAAATACCTGCCAAATCTATCTTTTCTTATCTGGCTGCTCCTTCTAAGTAAGCTCAGTTACCTGCAAAGCTGTTACAAGGAAACTTATTGCACTCCCTACTGAAGGTGACCCACCATAAGCATCTTTGTTTCTGCCATGGGCTGCCATCTCCTACTAATCTCCAGTTCTTCGTGTAGAAAGGAGCTGTTGAGATCAGTGCAACAGAGGGAGAATGTCCTATTTCGCCACATCGCGGCAGTGACTCACAATGACCCTCCTGGAAACAATTTCTTAAAATTTTATCAGTGTCCTAGAATTTCATGATATTTTATAAATATATCACTATTAGGGCCAGATGCGGTGGCTCGCACCTGTAATCCGAGCACTTTGGAGGCTGAGGTGGGCGGATCACGAGGTCAGGAGATAGAGACCATTCTGGTTAACACTGTGAAACGCTGTCACTACTAAAAATACAAAACATTAGCCGGGCATAGTGGCAGGCGCCTGTAGTCCCAGCTACTGGGGAGGCTGAGGCAGGAGAATGGCGTGAACCCGGGAGGCGGAGCTTGCAGTGAGCCGAGATCGCGCCACTGCACTCCAGACTGGGAGACAGAGCAAGACTCCATCTCAAAATCAATCAATCTATCTATCTATCTATCTATCTATCTATCTATCTATCTATCTATCATCTATCTATCTATCTAGTTTCTGGATTTAACCTCTCTGACCTAATGGTTCACAGGAATAAATACTGTCATCGGTTTAATCACTGTTGTTCTCTTCTCTGCTTTTGTTTCCACTTTGTTTCTCCTGAATGCGAAAAAGAAAAGTGACCACACACTTCACAAGCCAGTGGTGTGCATATATATGTGTGTATGCACTCCTGAGCCAGAACAGCCACACTAGCAGCATCTAAGCACCTCAGCTCAACCAGTTGAAATTACTGCACGGTTTAACCATTATCCTGGGGATTTGCGAGAAGCAGTACTGTGTCTAATAAATACTGGCCATAAACCGAAGTAAGATTGATGGTTCTAATCTGCCTCTTTGCTTGCCTTTTCTTGGCTATGTTTGGTAATTTTGATCTTATCCACTTCTCTCTGTTCTTTTCCTTCAGCTTCTTGGTTGCAGGCATTGGAAAACTCTGCCTTTCTTCCTTCCCATAATCTGCTCTTATTTACACTTACTGAGGTCCCTCACTATTATCCTATCTATCCTCCTCTCCAGAGATTTTAAGATGGCTCAGGATGGATCATTCTATTTGATCTTTGGATATTTGCTCTATTTCTCTTTAGTCTTCCTGAAATTCTGAAAGGTTGCTAATCATGCTCCCAGGATTATGGTCCAGAGTGGCTGTCATGTTGTCTACATAAAGCAACTATATTGAAAGCCACCTCTGGGTTTTTATACTTTCAAGTTTTAGCAAGGGTAAACACTTGCCAACTTTAGCTTTCTGGGTTCATTTTCTAGGCATAGGCATAATGAGGACCCTGACTATTGAATTCTACCTGTGAGAGTTGCAGGTACCAGGATGAAATCACTTTTTTCCAGATCCAAACAACCCAGAGCTGGAAGGGCACAAAAGAGGAGGGTTCATGCTTGCATATCTGGAATAAAGACTGCTTCAAGGACTTTCTAAAATAAGCCACAAGAATTTCTTTCTTTAGGACTGCAGCAATTCAGATAAGATGCTCTTGAAAGAACACCTGCCCACTAATGGCATCTCTGCCAATGAACTGATGCCAATTATTGCTTTCAGTCTCTAAAACCAAGAACTCTGTTTCCAAGCAGCTTATGAGAATTTCTCCTTTGCCAATAAAACATTCCCTTTACCCTCCCCTTTTCAGATGTATATGTGACTTGCCATAGCTGTGCATATGGGGTTATAATCCATTTTTCTAATTCCTGAATAAATTAAACATATTTGGAGATACTTCTCTCTGATTTTTTGATTGGCATACCCTAGAACAAAAATAAGCTATTTCTATATTAGATAAGTAGATTACTGCTTTTGTATTTTTACAACTATGAGCTTATATTTGCAAGAAAGGTATAATAGTTATGTTTATATAACATGGATCAAAGATTAAATGAAGCTAAGATGCACTTGAGAGACTAGAATCCACTGAGTAGCAGAAAAGTCTATTTATATTTTTCTTCTTTAGATATCTCAAAACTACAAAAAGTTTATGCCTCTTTGCTCAAACCTAGTAGTCAATATCATACGAAAGGATTTTGTTGATATAATTCATATCGCTGAATTATGACATTAATCCTTTAAGTGCATATAGACTAAGTATAAAATCAAGGGATTAAAAGATCAGCTATATGAGATTTACACATAAATATAATACAAACTCATAAAGTGTATAAAATCAAAATATTAATTACATAAACCAAATCTATTTGATACCCAAGAGAATGGAGTAAATAAAAAGATACATAAAACAACATGATGGTATATAAATTTTATCCTAGATATTTTATTGGGAATGAAAAAGAAAGATATATAGCCTAAAATGCAGATTTTGGTAGCATGATTTGAACAAGTAGAAAGGAAAGAAAAAGATAATTAAAAGCCAGAGCAGATGACCATGCTACTGGGGCAACATTGAAGCCGAGTACCATGCTCGAGCCCTTGAGACAGGCAGAGATGTGGGTGCAGTAAATGGTGAATGCTGAAGGTCTAAGGAATGGTGACTCAGGAAGTGAAAGTCAAGAGGAGAATCGTAGGGTCAAGAAGGTATTTACATAGGACCAGATGTATATTAAAATACTTTTGTAAGTTGACTCTCAACAACAACAAACTAAAGTATATAAATCTTATGTATACAATATGCAAGGAAAAAATCAGATAAATGTTTAAAGATAAAATATGTTTATTAAGGTTCCTATAATCACAAATGTTATAAATAGATAAATTCTCCATCAGTCTATTGTTTGGTTAAATAAGTCATGACACCGTTAAACACTGAAATAACAAGTAGCAATCAAAATGGTATAGGTTCTATCTTCACTAACATGGACACATGTTCACAATATATATATGTGATGAAGGCAGACACAAAAGGCACTGAAAGCACAACCTAGCAAATAGGTAGAACTAAATTACACATACACACATAGGCACACATGCACATACACACGTAGAAAAACCCGGAGAAATAGATTTTCATAATGGGTATCTGAGATAGTGGGATGAAAGGTAATTACTTTTTTCTTTTGGTTATGTTTTGTAAGTTACTGCTTACATTGACAAAGTATTGATTTTATCACCAGAAGATAATTCAACTAAGAGAAAAAGAAGGATGTGTCAATGTAAAGCCACTGGTTAGAATGAAAGATGGGAATGTAAGCATATGGTCAGAGCGTTTGAAATTTTCCAAGATACTGCATCATGGGGAGCAAATAATCTGTTCATTTGCTATAATTTTCCCTCCCTTGGGAGCACTAGAGCTATTAAAATGGTTGAGAAGAATGTAAGCCTGAATTGTTAAAAAAAAAAAGAAAAAAAAGAAAAAAAAAAGCTCAGGGGCACTTCATGAAACACCATGAAATAGAAGTAATTACAGGTTTCATAGAATTTGTGCTGAAAATGACCTTAGAGTTTCTTTCCTCATTTTACACACAGGGATGCTGAGACCCAAAGAAGGTACTTAATATACTAACAATAATGCAAGTAATAGAAGCAGAGACAAGACCAAAACTTGGAATTTATTTATTTTTAAAATTTTCAAATATGAAATCTTTACACAATGTCATGGTTATTAGAAGTGCCAAGATGCAGAAATGAAACAAGACAAAAAAATTCTAAAAAAATCCAAAAGCCTAGAAAATAATATTTTATATATATATATATATATATATATATATATACACACACACACACACATATATATATAAAATGTATAGTTAATAAATCAAATGATGTATTCTGAGTTGGAGGCAGAAATACCTATATCAATCATAGCATCTGCTGTGGGCCAGGGTCTGTGCTCTGTTCTGGGAATACGATGCCTACCATACTTAAAGTACCTTTTGTGTATGTGCTAAGTGAGAATTAAAAATACCTTTTAAAAACAAATGAAAAATACAGCACACTACAGCACATTCGTTCTTTGTTTTTTGAAACAGAGTCTTGCTCTGTCACCCAGGCAGGAGTGCAGCTTGGAATGTGACCCTCATAGCAATTCTGAGAAATTTATAAAGGCGTACTTTGTTTTGTTTGTGGTTCTTGATTCTTTGGTTATCTTCTTTTAATAGGGACATCAAGAGTGTCACCTCAAACCCCCAATATCTGTTAGTGAATAAAAAGGTGATGATGGAGAAAATGTTTTATAAATTGAAAAATGCAGTCTCAAGTGGTCTAATATTGTTACCAAGTAATCCCCAAAAGTTTTTAAATTGGTATCTAGGGATCAAGAAACTGCTTCACTCTATTTGCTGTGCTTTCTTATCTTTCCAAATTTTACCCTTCCATAAAGACACCTTTCAAATGCTTGATTTCTCTTTTATAGTCTCTGCTCCATAGTAAGACAGCAAACAGGAGGGCTCAAGCCATGCTTCTTGAGAATGCAATGACTGTTGATGTACTATGAAGAACCTTGCTTCCTTTAAAATTACGTGAGAGATTAGTGTCAATTCTAGGCTTTTGGATTAATGCAGCTGGACTATGTCTTTTCTCCGGCTGTGTGCCTCTCATTACAGCCTTCTCCAGTTCTCTATACTTAGAGAGGACATGTGATGGGAAATGACTCCTTTCTAGATCATGTTACTTTTGGATATGATATAAAAATATGAGATCACTGTCAAATAAATAGTTCAAAATAAATAGTTATCTGTTGTCGCAGAACTGTGTACAGCTTCCTTCTTGCCTTGTGAGTGGAGAATTAAGAGTCATACAAGTCTGACCTCAAAATCTCACTACCTTTGGCTCCCATACACACATACATGCATGCACTCCCTTTCATATAATTAATTTGTTTCAAATATCTATTTTCCAGACTCATTGCTAAAGCTATGAAATATTTAATTCATTTTGTTTTTATCAGCTTCCAAAATTATGTCTACATAATCATTGTATGAATGCTATCTCAACCACTGGAATATAGGATACTTTCTCTTCTATCCTTTCTAAAAAATAATCTAAGGCAGCAGTGAATTAAAATAAGGTAAAATAAATGAAGACAGACTGTCTTGCTCTGTTTTTGGAGGAAAAAACAGAAATGAAGTCTGTAATGTCTACTTGTTAATTGTCACCACATTGATCAAATTGAACTCTTTTAGTTTTTTGGAGTTATTATTATACATAATACCCCAGAAATTCCCATGTAATTTGCACTGTTGAAAAACTAGCTTGTTCCAGGAGTAGCATAGACAGTTGCTGAGGAACTTTCTTTACCTTTCAATGCAACTTCTATATCTGAAGTCCTCAGCAGATGCTGTAGATTCCTTAGGCTTCCAGCTGTGCCTAGAGAGAATGTCATTGAGTGTCCATGCAGAGTCTAAACATCAACTGGTTTCTGCATAGATCATTTTGACCTTTTAGATATCATTCCAATCCAAGGAAACCTCAAGTCTGCTGTCTAAAGTGTACAGGAAACATAGTCTTATTTCTAATGTCCTAAGCAATTAATAACCAGATAAAATTTTATTTTTACCCTGAATAAAATTTGAGGATGGTGGAATAGTTAAAGTAGATTCAAAAAATCTTATCCTTTTTGCAATTATGGTCTTTAGAATCTCTAATGTTACCTGTTTAGATTTGTTTAAAACACCACTTATTAGTGTGCTTCTTCCTTCAATTGATTTATATAGCATTTAAACTAAAAGCCCACATGTATTTATAGCCTGCACTATTCTTTTGAGCAGAAATATGTAAGTATGAAGGGCTTACATCTGTATGAAGAAAGTCAAAATATAGTGAAAGTCCCCTGATTATCATGTTACTATTCTTGTTCCATTTTAAGTAATCTCTAAAAATTGGTTAAATTAAGACTATATTTTATAGTTTATTTTTAGGGATACAGTTAGATTATTTTTAAGACTGAAGTTTGAGATAAGATATGAGTTTATTAAAATGTATTTTTCTATATAAAAGCCTGATTATGTAAATGTATGTGCATATTCTCAACAGTTGTGTTATGTTAGATAAGATACTCAAGTTACTTATCTTACTTAACTCCTCCCTATTAAAAAATAGGATGATCTTAAACGTATCTTAAAGAGGTTAATGGAATTACATGAGTAGAACACTGTCTGCATACAGTGAGCATTCAACAAATGTTAATTACTATTTTTATATTTCCACATATGTTCATCTGGGTTTTAATCTCTGGAAAATTAATATTATTTATTTGTTTCAATAGTTTTTGGGCAACAGGTGGTTTTTGGTTACATGGATAAGTTCTAGGGGTAATTAGTGAGATTGTGGTGTATCCATCAAACAGAGCAGTGTACACTGTACCCAGTGTGTAGTCTTTTATCCCTTGCCCCCTGCCCCCATGCCTCCCACCTCTCCAAAGTCCGTTATGTCATTCTATGCCTTTCTGTCCTCATACCTTAGCTCCCACTTATAAATGAGAATATGCGACGTTTGGTTTTCCATTCCTAAGTTACTTCACTTAGAATAATGAATCATTCTATGAAGACAATATCATCCTAATTCCAAAACCAGTAAGTGACATAGCCAAAAAAAGAAAACTACAGACCAATATCTGTACACAAATGCAAAATCTCAACACAATATCTGTACACTCAAATCCAATATCTGTACACAAATGCAAAAATCCCCAACAAAATACTACCTAACTGAATCCAACAGCATATCAAAAAAGATAATACACGATGATGAAGTGGGTTTTATACCAAGGATGCAGGGATGGCTTAACATATTCAAGTCAATAAATGTGATACATCACATAAACAGAATTAAAAGCAAAAATAATATGGTCATCTCAATAGGTGCAGAAAAAGCTTTTGACAAAATCCAGCATTACTTTATGATTAGAACCTTCAGCAAAATTGGCATAAAAGGGACATGACTCAAGGTAATAAATGGCATGTATGACACACCCACAGCCAACATTATACTAAATAGGGAAAAGTTGAAAGCATTCCCCCTGAGAACTGGAACAAGATATGATTGCCCAGTTTCACCTCTTCTATTCATCATAGTACTGGAAGTCCTACCTGAGCAATCAGACAAGATAAAAAAAAATCAAGGGCATCCAAATTGGTAAAGAGGAAGTCCAGCTGTCACTGTTTGCTGATGATGTGATCGTATACCTAGAAAACGGCAAAGACTCATCCAAAAAGCTCCTAGATCTGTTAAATGAATTCAGTAAAGTTTCAAGATGCAAAATTAGTACACACCAATCACTAGCACTGCTATACACCAATGACCAACCTGAGAATCAAATCAAGAACTCAATCACTTTTATAACAGCTGAAAAAAAAGCAAAAAACAAAAACACAAAAAAACCTTAAAAATATAGCAAACCAAGGAGGTGAAAGATCTTTACAAGAAAAACTACAAAACACTGCTGAAAGAAATCATAGATGACACAAACAAATGAAAACACATCCCATGCTCATGGATGGGTAGAATGAATACAGCGAAAATGACAATACTGCCAAAAACAATCTACAGATTGAATGCAATTCCATCAAAGTACCATCATCATTCTTCATAGAAGTAGAAAAAAGATACCAAATTTCATGCCAAACTTAAAAAGACCCTGCATAGCCAAAGCAAGACTAAGCAAAACGAACAAATCTGGAGGCATCACATTACCTGACTTTAAACTATACTACAAGGCGGCTATAGCTACCAAAACAACATGGCACTGGTATACAAATAAGCCCATAAGTTCCATAGACCAATGGAACAGAATAGGGAACAAAGAACTAAAGACAACTGCTTGTAGCCAACTGATCTTCAACAAAGTAAACAAAAACAGAAAGCAGGGAAAGGGCACCCTATTCAAAAATAATGCTGGGATAACTGGGAAGCCACATGTAGAAGGATGAAACTGGAACTTCATATCTCACCTTATGCAAAAAACAATTCAATATGGATCAAAGACTTAAACCTAAGATCTGAAACCATAAAAGTTCTAGAAGATAACATCAGTAAAACTCTTCTAGATGTTGCCTTGGGAAAAGAGTTCATGACCAAGAACCCAAAAGCAAATTAAAGAACCCAAAAGCAGTGAAAACAAAAATAAATACATTGGACCTAATTAAACTGAAAAGCTTCTGCACAACAAAATAAATAATCAGCAGAGTAAACAGACAACCCAGAGAATGGGAGAAAATATTCACAAACTATTCATCTGACAAGTAACTAATATCCAGAATCTGCAAGGAACTCAAACAAATCAGCAAGAAAAAAAACAAAAAATTCTCATCAAAAAGTGGGTAAAGGACATGAATAGACAACTATCTAAAGAAGACATACAAATGGTCAACAAACATGAAAAAATGCTCAACATCACTGATTATCATGGAAATACAAATTAAAACCACAATGAGATACCACCCGTATCAATCTGTTCTAACACTGCCATAAATATACTACCTGAGGCCAGGTGAGGTGCAGTGGCTCATGCCTGTATTCCCAACACTTTGGGATGTGAAGGCTGGTGAATCACTTGGGGTCAGGAGCTCAAGACCTGCCTGACCAACAGGGTGAAATCCCATCTCTACTAAAAGAAACACCCACAAAAAAAAGATAGCCAAGCATGGTGGCATGTGCCTCTGTATAGCCAGCTACTTGGGAGGCTGAAGCAGGAGAATTGCTTGAACCAGGAGGTGGAGGTTGCAGTGGGCCAAGATCATGCCACTGCACTCCAGCCTGGGCAACAGAGTGAGACTCCCTCTCAAAAAAAAAAAAAAAAAAAAGATACTACCTGAGACTGGGTGATTTATAAAGAAAAGATGTTTAACTGACTCACAGTTCCACATGGCTGGGGAGGCCTCACGAAACGTAAGATCATGGTGGAAGGTGAAGGGGAAGCAAGGCATGTCTTCATAAGGTGACAGGACAAAGAGAGGGCACGCAGTGGAAACTGCCACTTTTAAAACCATCGGAGGCTGGGCGCGGTGGCTCACGCCTGTAATCCCAGCACTTTGGGAGGCCGAGGTGGGCGGATCACGAGGTCAGGAGATGGAGACCATCCTAGCTAACACGGTGAAACCCCGTCTCTACTAAAAACACAAAAAAGTTAGCCGGGCGTACTGGCGGGCGCCTGTAGTCCCAGCTACTCGGGAGGCTGAGGCAGGTGAATGGCCTGAACCCAGGAGGCAGAGCTTGCAGTGAGCCGAGATCGTGCCACTGCACTCCAGCCTGGGCAACAGAGTGAGACTCCATCTCAAAAAAAAAAAAAAAAAAAAAAAAAAATTCAGAATTCTCCCTCACTATTATGAGAACTGCATGGCGGACACTGCCCCCACGATTCAACAACCTCCCACTAGGTCTCTGCCTAGACAATTGGGGATTACAGTTTGAGGTGAGATTTAGGTGGGGAAACAGAGCCAAACCATATCATTGCCTTACTGCTGCAAAAATGGCCATAATTAGGGAATAAAAAAATAACAGATGTTGGCATGATGTGATGAAAAGGGAATACTTTTATACTGCTGGTGCTAATGTAAACTACTACAACCACTATGGAAAACTGTGTGAAGATTCTATAAAGAACTAAATGTAGGACTACCATTTTATCCAGCAATCCCACCATTGGGCATCTACCCAGAAGAAAAGAAGTCATTATATGGAAAAGACACTTGCACATGCATGTTTACAGCAACACAATTTGCAATTGTAAAACTATGAAACCACCCTAAATGCCCAGTGACCGAGTGGATAAAGAAAATGTGGTATATAGGCACCATGGAATACTACTCAGCCAAAAAGAGGAATGAAATAATGTCATTAGCAGCAGGCTGATGGAATTGGAGAACATAATTCTATGGTAAATTAATATTTTTAAAGTAAAATATATGCAGTGTTTAGCTTAGAAATGTGCCTAAATATACATATGTAAACGTTATTGAAAAATAGTACTTCATTTTTAACATCTGAAGAAAGAGTATGCATACAAATTCATTGGTGTAGAAACTCATTTAGTAGAACAGTGAAACACAGAGGGCCATTATTACTGAATACAGAATTATAGTTACGTGGAGAAAATGTCCATTTAACTCAATTGTAATATATTTTTATAATTTTGAGAAATCAGCAAAACCATGAAGATGACAAAAAAGATGAACTTTATGTGAACTGTGTTAACTGGTTGTTTTCTAGATCCTTGATGAAAGGCCTCTGATTCTATATTTATCCCACTGAGTTTACAGAAAAGGAAGATAATTTAGAAATAATGTGCGGCTTAAATGACAGTTCTGTGATAATAGGAGAGCAACACTTAGGATTAAAAACAAGAGAAAAATATTTCTAGATCATTATGTGTTATTTGACCCATGTTGTGAAATCCATTTTAAAATTCCATTTCCTGAGATACTAACATAACATAATCCTTACATAGCAAAGGATGTTTGTGTGTGCAAAAGAAGAAGCTGGTTTTACATTAAACTTTACCTTAAAAAGGTATCTCTATCCTTGAATTAAGCTGGATTAAGGTCTGATTAAAGATTCTAATTTAGTAAGGTAGAGCTACAGGTAGGTTTTCCTCACTAATATGATTAAGTCTTAACACAGCAAAACTCAAAGGTAAAGATGAAATATCAACAAACATTATTCCTACCACCTTTCCTTCATAGACCACATGGGTATAAAAGAAACTGGAGTGTCCTGAGCCAAAGCCAAGAGTAATTATTTCTCACTAATCCAACCAGGATCCTATACATTCTGATGGCAGAAAGTTGGGGACAGTCATCAGGCCCCTATGTGAACTTTGTTCTTCCTTTTGCAGGCAAAGGAGAAGTGGAAAACAGTATCTTAAACAGAGAGGGTCGTCCTGGGGCACAAGGCTGGCCCTGAGAGTTGAAGACAAGGCCTTTGTTGTTACTATGTCAATTGAATTTAATCCTAATATCTATGGAGACCATCCAGGAATCTTGAGGGTGGGCTCCCCAAACAAACCACCTAAACAAACCTTCTAAAATATAGTGCCAAAAGCCAATTACACCCTTGAATTTAAACCACAACATTGGCTTCTAACTGAATCTGTTGTACTGCAACCAAGTTGTCACTATTTTTTTTAATTATTAAAATGTACAGGTTTCAAATAATTTCCAGAAAAATCTGATGACCAAAGAGAAAAAGTTTTATTTAAAAATGGCATTTGCTCTAATGACCCCAAGTCTCTGGGAATCAACTATCTAGGGAGAACCCTTGACTAGACACTACCCTATAGGCTGATGTGAAGATTGAATAAAACAAAAATTCAGAGTAATTTATACATTACAAAATGATATAAATTTATAATTAATCTTATTATTTATAAAGTTAACATTATTTTATCATCTATTTAGGGGCTTATAATGATTTATTTATTTACACAGCATAAATAAATATAAATTATACATATTATGCATTACATTCATTGTATATATAATACAGATAAATAACATAAATGTTTATTTAAGACATCACATGTGTATTCAAGCTCTGGCAATTGAGCAGTGTTTTCTCTATCTCAGATTTTATAAAACTAATTGTAGAAGATCAGGTAATTTAAGACATTTCCACACTGTATTCCTACTAAAGTGGCTTGTATTTTCTTAAAAATTTGCCTCACAGTATAATCTTTAAATAAACAATCAATATGCTTAGCTTTCTTGTAGGTTCTGTTGTACAAATGAGAATGACATGATGCTTGACTTGAAGGAAAGAGGAGATGAAAACTTCCATTTCCTTACCAACAAGCATTTCCCAAGTACCTGTAATGTATGAAGTCTCTGTATTAGGGTTTTTGAGGAGATAATAAGTAATCTATTTTTCCACTCTCCAGAGAGAGACTGGATATGATCATGTGGAGGAAAAGAATAAATAATTCTTGTTTTAGTGGAGGAAAATAATAACTAATTCTCAGAAGAAAGCCTGAAAGTTCCCATCAAAGTGGAAGGGAAGGAGGATCTGTAAACAGGGAAATCTGAAGACACTTCTTTAGGAGGTGGCATCTGATCTGAGCCTTGAAGCAGGATAACAATAGTTAAAGAGTAATGTGGAGGAACAAGTCTAGAGACTCAGGTAAGGTTTAAACTATGTAATATGTTATAAGGCAGGTGAGAATTTTAAGTTTTATTTCTCTTTCTTTAAACTAGGGATAGGGGCATATGGGGTGGGAATACAATATTTTAAAATAGAGACAAGACATAACCCAATTTTTGTTTCTCGAAGAGATACGCAGCTTGTAGCATGAATTGAAGGGTATTATGGAGGCTAGAAGAAAGAAATAAATTCATGGTATTATGCAGGAAAAGGTAAGAGCTATACTGGAAAAACAAGACAATCAGGCATTTAGATAAGAAAAAGATCCACATGGGTGAAAGTAATAGAGGAAGTCTTCTGGGAAAGGCAGAATTTGCAACGATTCTGGAAGGACTCATTTATTTATTCAAGAAATATTATAATGGTAACATCTTAGAAGCCCTCAAGTAGATTACAATCTTGTAGATGGAGACAGGCAACTAGATAACATGGAATTTAATATAACAAAGACTTTGGTGTTAGAACTAAAGTGTATTGGAGTAATGGGGACATTTATGAGATGCACACAGACCATTCTTAAGAGAAAGGGGTATCTTCTTGGAAGCTTAACCTGGAAGATCAATGTGTTATTTAAAGTGGAGAAGAGAGGGGTGAATACTTGCACAGGTGACGTTTGAGAAAAAGTCTGAGATGAGGATGTTCATGTCTCCCAGAGAATTAGAATAGTTTCCTAGGACTGAAACTTAGAGCAAGCCCAGGACAAAAGGTATTGTGTGAGGAGATAAGTTTGAATAAATAAGGCCCTCACAATTTATGTTAGGGAAAGATGGGTTTTAAGCAGCAACCTAAAAGTAAACATTTAGGTAAATGTAAAAAGTAAACATTTTTGAAAGTTTACTTGAGCAGTGGTGTAGAGAATGGATTGGCTAGAATAAGACAGAATCAGGAAAACCAGGCATAAGACTGTTCCCTCAACTCATGGGAGATTGTTCTGGTGTCAAAAAGGACAATTGTACAGGGAATGGAGAAAGTAAATGGATGTTGAGGATGTGGCTTCAACTGGACTTGGTACTTGCTTGGCTGGGAGAAGCAAGACGGAGAACAATGCAGGAGTCAGGAATGCCAACTGAGTTGCTAGCTTGGGCAGATGGGCAGATAGTGCTACTATTTAATGACACAGAAAACTACAGGGAAGCAATAGGTATTGAGAGAATATTTCGGCATAAAGAATATGTGGGCATATTAAATCTGAAGCTGACATTAAGCTGTTCAAAAGGAAAATTGAAAATGCAAAGTTTAAATTCAGAAGACAAATGAGATTGAAGAGACAATTCTGTAAATTATCAGCAAATACATACAGCTATCCGTAGCCAGAGAGTCTAAAAATTCTCTGAAACACTTTAAGCAAAACTTTATATCCACGAGTCCATTCATATATATATATGGAGAAAATCCACAGCTTTCTCTAGATTTTTGAAAAATGTGACCAAGAAAAATGTTAATCATTAATTATTTAGAGTAAAGCTACGACACTGGATCATATGACCCAAAGTTAGCATGCAAATTTAGAGAAAGACCTAATATACTGTTTGAAGGAACAGAAGCATTTAGGAAGTGAACAAAAGTAAAGGAGTCCCCAAGAGAAAACAAATTGTACTGGAGTAAAGAACAGTGTCTGGAGTTCTAATGATAGATGTGGGACCCCATGAAGACCTTGACCATAAACAGTACATAGGATCAAGTAGGTCGGGGCAGCCGAGTGCACTTTGGGCATGAAGTGTCTTAAACAAATTTCAGGGTGGACGTTTGCCCTGAGACCTCAGTGTTCCAATGCATAAAAGAAAAGTAACTGATTTTCAGTTTTTAGCTTTTTCTTATGAAGAGAGGGGTGATGATTTTCAAGCTGTACATATCAGACCTAAAACAAGAAGTCCCTGTCAATCTTTTTTTTTTTGACAAAGGTACGAAGCAACTCATTACAGAAAGCAAAGCATTTTCAACAAAGTATGTTAAAACAATTGGACATCCTGCAAAAAATAATAAATAAATAAACCTCTTACTATACTTCATACCTTATAACAACATTAAATCAAAATATATATTAGAGCTAAATATAAAATATAATGTTAATCTTTTTGAGGAAAATACAGGAAAAAATCTTCCAGATATTGATGAGCAGAGTTAGTTATCACACCAAGAGCATGATCCATAAATAAAGAGTAAGAGTAGAACTTGTTAAATTGGACTTCATAAAAATTAAAACTTTTACTCTGTGAAAGACATTATTAAGAGGATGTAAAGACGGCCATGGTGTGGTGGCTCACGCTTGTAGTCCCAGCACTTTGGTAGGCTGAGTCAAATGGATTGCTTGGGTTCAGGAGTTTGAGAGCAGCCTGGACAACATGGCGAAACCCCACCTCTACCAAAAATACAAAAATTAGCTGGGAGTGGTGGCGCACAGCACCTGCGGTCCCAGCTACTCAGGAGGCTGAGGTGAGAGGAACGCTTGATCCCAGGAGGTGGAGGTTGCAGCGAGTCAAGATCGTGCCACTGCACTCCAGCCTGGGTGACAGAGTGACACACCGCCTCAAAAATAAATAAATAAATAAATAAATATGTACAGACAGAGAAAACTTTCTCCTTTTTTTTTTTTTTTTTTTTTTGCAAATCACTTTTATTTATTTGACAAATTTCTTTGGCTGAGAATTATGAAGATTAGGAAGTGATTTCTCTGAGCTACTCCGGAGTTGCACCTTTTGGACAGAAGCCGAGCAATAACCCAGGGGTAGGTAGTAACTTTTTAGGGTTAGAGGGTTCTCTCAGACCCAGAATAAAAGCTCTAAGCACATTTTGATTTTCAATATATAACTACAAAACAAGCTATGGCAAACAGAAGTTACTTACAATTAAAGCAAACACATAGAACAAATATCAAATTCACCATGCGCTAAAGAATGAGCAAATTCTTTAAAAATGCCAACAACATGAAAGAGAATTATTGAATTTAATAAGCAGAATAACCAACACCTTATAGCACTATGCCAATAAAACAAACCAAAGGAAATTTAAAATAAATACATATTTCAGTGAGAATAAAGGAAGTATTACATTTAGAAAATGAGAATAAATTATTTTTAAAAATAAATGTCACTTAAAAGGAAATATAATTGTAGTTAAATAGCATTAATACACAGACTAAATAAGAGAATGGTTACAGTTAAAGTAAAAATTTATCAACTGGAAGATTCAGCAAAGGCAAAAAAATGATGCAAATTAAAAGCAGAAATTATAAGAGAGTTGGAAGTGATATAAAAAGGTTTTAATGTGAATTAACAGAAGTTATCAATAAAAAAGAGAGAGAATGGAGCAGAAAAGTGAGAAAAAATAATTGAAGAAACTTTGCTAGGTAAAATGGTAGCTGTGTTTTTGTTCTTTCTGAAATCTCCAAACTGCTTTCCACAGTGATTGAATTACATTCCCACCAACAGTGTATAACTTGCCCTTTCTGTACAGCCTTGCCAGCATCTGTCATTTTTTGCCTTTTTAATAATAGCCATTCTTACTGGTGTGAGATGTGATCTTACCGGGTTTTAATTGACATTTCTCTGGTGGTTAGTGATGATGAGCATTTTTTCCTATGTTTGTTGGCCACTTGCATGTCTTCTTTTGAGAAGTGTCTATTCATGTCCTTTGTCCATTGTTTAATGGGCTTATTTGCTTTTTGCTTGCTGATTTGTTTAAATTTCTTACAGATTCTGGATATTAGACCTTTGTCGGATGCAGAGTTTGTGAATATTTTCTCCCATTTTGTTAACTGTCTGTTTACTCTGTTGATATAGTTTCTTTTGCTGTGTAGAAGTTCTTTAGTTTAATCAGGTACCGCTATCAATTTTTGTTTTCGTTGCAATTGCTTTTGGGGACTTAGCTAGCCATCCCATTACTGGGAATCCCAAAAGAAAATAAATAATTCTACCCAAAAGACACGCATATGTTCATTGCAGCACTATTCACAACAGCAAAGACATGGAATCAACTTAGGTGCCCATCAATGGTGGATTGGATAAAGAAAATATGGTATATACACACCATGAAATACTACATAGCCATAAAATAAAACAAAACCATGCCTTTCTCAAGAGCAAGGATGTAGCTGAAGGCCATTATTCTAAGTGAATTAATGCAGGAAAAGAAAACCAAATATCACATAATATTACTTACTGGAGCTAAACATTGAGTACACATGGACACAAAGATGGAAACAAGAGACACTGGGAACTACTAAAGGGGGAAGGGGCTAGGTTGGAAAACTACCTATTAGGTACTGTGCTTGCTACCTAGGAGATGAGAGCCATGCTCCACACCTTAGCATCATGCAATATACCCACGTAACAAAAACCTACACATGTCCCTCCGAAATCTAAAATAAAAGTGGAAAAGTAAACATCGCCAGAAAAAAAATATTAGTAATCAGATTTAAAGTTCCCATAGACCTAGCACCAAAGACGATTAACAAAATAATATCAATTTTGTCTGAAATTTCAGGACACCAAATTTCTGGAAAGAAAAACAAGTTAATTCATAGAAAAAACACAATTATGTTAGATCAGTTCTTATCAGCCAGTTTTATTTTTTACATTGAATATACTAATACGGTAGTATATTCAAAATTTTGTGACGCTAGTTTGAAACTGACTTAATATTTAAAATATTTGAGAAAATAGCATTTTATACTTAAGAAATCAGAATCACTGTATTATTTTATCAGATACTTTTATAACATTTTCATATTATTTCTGAACTTTTTTTTCTCTTTTTATAACCTAATATTTCTAGAAGTTATTGTATACCAAGTATTGTGCCAGTATCTTTATACATGTGATAACATATAATCCTCAACATTTAAAAAAAAAAAGAAAGCAAAACTCAGAAATATGTCCATTATCATCTCAACTTTAAGGCTAATGTATTATCCATACTTAGGGGTGACATGCAGAGAAGTTAGATATAGTGTTCGATGTCATATAGATACGGAGTGGTAGAGGCAGGATTTAAATATAAGTTGTTTGAGCTCAAAGCATGCACTCTTACTCATTAAGTCACACTTGAAAAGTTAAAAAAGAATCCTGGCTGGGCGTGATGCCTCAGGACTATAATCCCAGCACTTTGGGAGGCTGAGGTGGGTGGATCACCTGAGGTCAGGAGTTCAAGTCCAGCCTGGCCAACATGGTGAAACCCCCGTCTCTACTAAAAACACAAAAATTAGCCAGATGTGGCAGTGCGGGCCTGTAATCCCAGCTACTTGGAAGACTGAGACACGAGAATCGCTTGAACCTGGAGGGCGGAGGTTGCAATGAGCCGAGATTGCACCACTGCACTCCAGCCTGGGTAACAGAGCGAGACTCTGTCTTAAGATAAAAATGAATGAATAAATAAATAAATAAATAAATAAATAAATCATGATGATGCCAGAAAAACTAGATATCCATATGGGTAGAAATAAACTTTAATCTTCATTTCACACCATACACAAAATTTAATTTGAGCTGGATTCAGACCAAAACTATAAAGCTTCTAGCAAAAAACACAAAATATATTTGTGACTTTGAGTAGGCAAGATTTTTTTGAGATGGTACAACAAACACTATGCTTGAAAGAAAATACATGTTAGAAAAATGTTAAATTGAATTTCATTAAGACTAAGACCTCTGTCCTTCCAAAGTTACCATTCAGACAATGAAAGGGCAAGTTATATTAGATTGGGAGAAATATTTGCATATGTGTATGTGACAAAAAGTTGTATTTTAAAAATATATAAATGACTTTTATAAAGCAATTAGAAAAAAGACAAACAGCCCAATTAAAAGTGGGAAAAAGACTTGACTGAGCGTTAACAATATGAAAAATATGAATGGCCAAAATTACTCAGAGGTTTCTCACCATCATCATTAAAATGGCAAACACAAATGAAACTACAGTGTGATGATATTTCACACTCACTTGAGTTTCTAAAATTGAAAAGACTAAAAAAATCAGTGAAGATGCACAGCAATTGGTATTCTGAAGCATTGCTCAGAGTATAAAATTGTAAGTTATTTTAAAAAAACTAGTTAACAGCTTTTCTTTTTTTTATACAATTAAACACATACCCATCCCATAATATGTCAGTATTCTTTCTAAGTATTTACTTAAGAGAAATAAAGACATATACCCTTAGAAAGTTACACATGTATTCTTATAGCAGCTTGATTCATAATAGCCAATAACTGGAAACAACCCAAATGTTCATCAACAGGAAAGTGGATGAAAATATCATGATATATCTATACAATGGAATACTTCTCAGCAAAGAAAAAACAAACTACTGATATAAGGAATAATATAGATTAATCTCAGAAACATAGGTTGACTTAAATAATACACAAATAGTACACACTATAATTTTATTCATATGAAGTTCAACAACAGACAAAACTAATCTACGGTGACCAAAACTAAAATAGCGATTGCTTATGCATTGTGTGGGGACTGGAATAGGGTACAAGAAAACTTTCAGCAGTGATAAAAATGCTCTACATTTTGTTTGAGATGGTGGTGACATAGATGTTTGCATTTCTTAAAACATTAAATGGTACGTCTAAGATCTTATTTATCTGTTTGTAAATTTTACTTCAACATAAAAAATACCCTTCTACCTCCCTCAAAATAAATCAATTTCACACTAATATGATTTCACTGTGGAGATAATGGGTAGGGAAAATAGTAGATTAAGTGGTTCATCTTTTATGGAAAAATATAATTCGTTCTGATTAATTCTGGGCATTGTAAGAAAAAAAATCTAGCATATATCTGTATAATAAGACCTAAGGGTTTTACAAGATTAGACATCATATATCTAATATACAATTAAAATTTAAAAATTGAAGCGAGAGAATACTTTAAAAACTACCATAAGCAAGAAAGGATCAGATAGAGAGTTAAGAAAACAAGGTAAGTTAAATACTGTAAATAAACAAGAAAAAAATAAGTTCAAATATATTAGAATTGCAATAATATCAATGGGTAATATTTTTCTATTTAAAGATGTAGAATAATAACTCTTTAATAAAAATCAAAACAGATGTAAGACATTGTTTTTTAAGCATATTATTTTAGCAAGAATATAAAAATATGGTAGTATTTACTATTGTGCTGGTGGGAAGAAATGTGTTCTCATGCACTCTTAAAGGTAAGAGTAAATTGGAACAATCTATTTGGAGCATCAACTTGGCAGGATATATCAAAATAAGAATTATCTGTAGCATTTCACTCAACTTATTATGTTATTAATCTTATGTAGAAGCATGCAGACATACACGTGCACAAAGATTTATCTACAGGGATATTTATTACAAATTTTAAAAATAGTTGTAAATTTGAAATCACTTCAAGCCAAAAAAAGAATGGATAGGGCAAATGATAATCCATATATGCTATGGTATACATTTAGCTATTACAGTAAAAAAGGAAATCTATACTTGCACAGAAAGTCATAAACACATATGTGTGGTATCATTGAAGTAAATACATGTGAATGCACACACACACACACACATACACTCATATGAAAAAGACAATAAAGATACATACCAAACTATTAACAGTGGCTTCTTCTTCAGAGAGAATGTTTGGAGTTTTGGCTACAAAGATTTTCATATTTTACTCTATATGTATCTAGATTTTTTCACTAAAGTGAGAATATATTTACATTCCTTATATAATTATGTTCATGTATTACTTACATTTAAAGTAGAAAAAGATACCAAGATGGGAATGAATGTTTAGCAAGTAGATCACATCTTAGTAGAATACAGCATCGAACTGTGAGATGGGTGGACCCACCTCAGTCTCCAACAAACTTCAGGGATTCCACCTCTATCTTTTGAAATGTTAAAAATAAAACACATAGACTCATGTCTAAAAGCAATATCTTGGGAAGGAGAAACGTTTATTTTTTATGTGATGATGCCACTTTGATCAAAGCTGAAATTTAAAGGAAACAGTTTTTTTTTTTTTTTTTCAGTTGTGGCAGAAAGGTCTTGAAGAGTTAGGAAGGATTAGATAAATGGGGAATATACAAAAGTGGTTCCTAATATTTTCTATACATCCTCAAGATTTGTGCAGGGAATGCTTTGTGCTAGATTTCCAGGACTCATTTTCTAAAATTATACTCCAGGAGCTAGTATTTAAAATACATTAGCTGTTTACAAGCATGCTTATTACAAGTAAAAGAACCATCTATTCATATTCTGAATAAAAAAGAGATGGCAAGATGCAGAGATTTTCAAAGGTAAAGAATATGTTTCTAGTTTCTGTGTAAGAAATTACAATGTGTTTTCATCAAATACTATACATATTTAAGCCCTCATTCTCAGATACTAATTCTTATAATTCAGTTAAGTGTGAATAATTCATTATGTTTCTAAAATTAACTATGAAACACATGATAAATTAAATTCAATAAATAAGAAAAAAAGGGATTAGAGTTGAAATGCATTTTGGCATTTTTTATTTATTATTTTTTTTTTACAAAATTTAAAAGCGCTTTATCTAAAGCAATGTACGTGCAGACACAACCGCAAAGAATTTTAAAGGGGAATTTAGCACTCATTGAAAACTTACTAAAACTCATTACATATATTTGTGTGCTGATTCTGTGCTAGCCTTTTAGGACCACGTGCAGGCCTTTGAACTGAATTTTCCTTTAGGGAGTTTGCATCTTAGTTCAGAGCAATGATATTAATAATAATACACAAAGACAGGTGATAGGCTGCTATAATTGCTACAAAAGAATATTGAACAGTAAAGAGGATCAGAGCATGAAGTGACTGAGAAGGAAGATGGATGTATCTTATACAGGCTAGCAGAAACATGAATGAAATTAGTGAGACAGGGCTGTCCTAGGGATATATTATTTTGGGCAGGCAGAAAAAGCAGCAAATACAAGATCCCGAGTTGAGAATGTGCCTGGAGTACTGAAGAAACATCAAAGATTTCAGTGTGGTTGCAGCTCAGTGAGTGAATGCGGGAGTAGTTGAAATTCAGGTCAGAGAAGTTGTCAGATGGCAAATCATACACAGTATTTTAGGGACTGATAAAGAGTTTGGATTTTGTTCTACTGTGATGTAAAGCCATTGGAGACTTTTTCAGCAGTTGTCGGCATAACCTAATTTGCACTTTTGCTACTCTGCCAAGAACAGGTCTAGGTCAAGATTGAAGTGGATAGTATAATAGATGGGACCAAGATTAGGTATCCTACATCCCTTTGTGCTGGAAAAGATCCTTGTTTTTCTACCTGTTGTTACTATAAAATTATTAGTAGTATCTCCATTCACTCTGAGAGAGAGTGCAGTACATTTTATGGTCGTCTATCTAAGAGGGTAACAAGGAAGGTTTTGTGAAGTGGTCAGTGGGGAAATTTTAAAGACAGAGTCAGCAGCACTACCAGTAGATGAGATGTAAGATGAAGAGAAAAAAGGAATCAAGAATGATGACAATGTTTGAGGACCGAGAAACATGATGTAATGGTGGTACTATTGAGGAAGAAGTGCCAGAGGAGGAGCCGTTGGGATATTAAAAAAAGCTTTTGGGGTATCTAAGCCTAGAACCAATTCCTGAAACTAGAATTTGTTTGCAAATAACTTAATAAGAAAATATTTCCAGGAGAGACTAAAGGAGTGGGGAAGTATAAAAAGGAGGGGAAGAAAGCTGAGCAAGAATGCCATGATAGATAAAATCCCAGACTGCACCTGATTCATAAGGAATTCTAGAGCATAAATTCATCTCAGAGCTTTTCCTCCCTTAAGTCAATTTGGGTATGAGCTAACAATCAGGGAAGCCAATTTAAATTCCGAAGCACTCCAGTTCTTTGTGACTTCTAAGCAGCTCTAGTAGGCCAAGGGCTATCTTCTTTAGAAGATGCTATGGACTCAACTGTGTTCCTTTCAAAATTCATATGTTGAACCCCTAACTCCAAGTTTAATGGCATTTGCAGATGGTATTTGGAAAATAATTAGGGTCAGATTAAATAAGGCTTAGAAAATAATTAGGTTAGATCTCATGAGGGTGAGATTTGGGGCCTCATAAGGTTAATGGCCTTATAAGAAGAGGAAGAAAAAATGTTGTCTCTTCACCAGGTGAGGACGCAGGAAGAAGCTGGCCATCTACAAGGAAGGAAGAGGACCTTTACCATGAACCGAATCAGCTGGCCTCTTCATTCCAGACTTCTTAGCTTCCACAACTATGAGAAAATAAATGTTTGTTGTTTAAACCACTTAGTCTGTGGTATTTTTTAACAGCATCCCTAGCTAAGACAGACTATTACAGGTACAAGCTCAAAGAATGTTGAAGCTGAGGAATGGGAATAGGAAACAGGTTAAGGAATCCCAGGGGCTTTGGGTTGGATCACCAACTATAGTGGCCAGAAAACTACAGAAGTAGAAATTAAAGTCAATAATTCACTTGAGCATACACTGAGGCATATTAGATAATCAGACTAAATGAATAGGAAGCTAGATATGTAAGATTTAGGAGATAGGAGAGGAATAAAGATAGAAACGTTTTAATCAAACTGATGGCATTTACAGATTGGATTGACTGTGTGAATGCAGGTAAAGAAGAGAAGCATAGTACTGTGTGAGGCACCGTGTGAAGCACATGTAAGTGTGACATAAATCTGTACCCTTAAGCAATCATAATCTTATTTGAAAAAATCATAGGCAAAGACAATATGGCTTTCAAGAGTTGACATCTGTGGTAGATCTTCTTAGGGCTGTTAATTTAATTTCTTTATATATTATAGAGACTGTCTTTACCTATTTCTTGACCTCTGCCCTCCACCCCTCTGCATGGCAAAAGTCAGCATCTTTTCTTCTCTCTTAAACAAAGAAACGTCATAAATATCATACCAATTTTCAGGATAGATGGTTTTAGGCCAAAGATCTGCAGATACATGATGCTGTGAGATCTCTGAATATCCCATGGGTTTTCAAGTTACTTCAAATTAGTTATAAAATTATCATAGATAATGAATTTGAAAAATTATGAATAAAACAAAACTCAAACAAGATCTTATGCCTTTGAAGACAGGGTAATATTTACTAAGTCAAACAAATAGTCAGAGACTGTTAATAGTCCAGAAGAGTTGAGATTTGCTGTTGAAAGGATGAACTCTTAAATGGTTCACAATACCCCTCCATTTTTTAAATAGAAATTTTATAACAATTATAACCCTTCGGTTTGAAGGAGACAAAACCTCTTTAGGCCAATCTCCAATGCTCCCATCATCCCTACAAGGAGTCAAGCAATTTTTGGCTGAATCATAATTGTAGGAAACTCAAAATTTCCTGCAGTCACACTTTCCATATCAAAGTGATAGAAAATTCTTTCTTTCAGAGGGATGGTGTGTCCTTTCCTTTCCCTGGCAGATGAGCCTGCACTTCAGAGCCCTCTTCTGTTTTCTGTTTTTTCTATTTACCTTTACTTTCTTTTCATCACAGTCAGTCAGATAGGAATTAAACATGTAGAAGCATAATGGCTGGTAATATAGCTCACTATAACCCTGTCTAAGCACTTTACATGTATTTACCATATTAATCCTCAACACAACTCTAGTAGATTGATATTCATTTACAAATAAAAAATGAGGCACAGATATGCTAAGAAATTTTCCCAAGGTCATTGAGTTAGTAGGTGGTGGATGCAGTATTTAAACCTTAGCAAACTGGCCCTAGAATTCAAGCATTTCAAGCATACAACACTATGATACACACCATTTTTTTTTTATTTTTTATTTTTGGAGACAGAGTCTCACTCTGTCACCCAGCCTGGAATGTAGTGGCATGATCTGTAAGCTCTGCCTCCCAGGTTCATGTGATTCTCCTGCTTCAGCCTCCTGAGTAGCTGGGACTATAGGCGCCCGCCACCACGCTCAGCTAATTTTTTTTGTATTTTTATTATAGACTGGGTTTCACCGGGCGGATCACGAGGTCAGGAGATCGATACACTACTTCTTAAGGTAGAGTACTAGTGCTGTCTTTGAAATTCACTCCCCTACACTAAACTATCTAAGGCCCTGCCTCACAATAGCTAAGGCCACTTGTGGTGGTCATTTATGGGCTAGGCTTCAAAAGCGCTAGAGCTATTGTCTTTCAGGACACAGAAAATATATGATGTGGCTTATAGTCTCCATCCTAGAAACTGATGAAATTCTATTAATCTCCCCCCCACTAATTTGATTTGGTGTGTTCCTTTCATGGAAGACCCAGCTCATCATAAATCTGACAGGCCTTGTGCTCATGCTGCATTGCTTTTATTATTATTGTATTACAGGGTTTCAGTAACTCCGATTTAGGATTACAGACATAACTGCCAGAAAAATTTACAGCAAGCTGCCATCTCCACATTTTTATGGCTTGGCTTCTTGCACAGTTTCTTTTAAAAATCTTAACACTTATCCCTTGACTTCAGTTAAAAATACAATGTGTACTCTTTCTATCTGTAAGAACTGCTTGTATTCTAGGATAACTAAAGCAATTCTTGTTTTTATTTTTGCTTTGTTTTTATATCTTCAGCATGGAATTGGGAAATATTCTTAATAAAAACATTTCTTAGGTTAGTCAATAACAATTAAACATGACTCTTAATTTGTTGGTATTTCAATATTGCATCATTAAAGTCACACTTTGAGGACATGCAATGTCACCTCAAATAAAACTCAAGTATAATCTGGATCCTTGTAATGTAACTCCTAATTAGTTTTGAGAAAAGGCAAAGCTTGTTCATTATTATGCTAGGAGAACACCTAGTTTTTTAAAAGGACAAAGATAATTATTAATTATATGATTAGAATTTTATTTTTAGGCAAGAAGTATGAGGTGCAAGGTAATTATCTAAATTAATTAATTTTAAATTATAAAAGATGAGAAAAACTAGGCTTTTTTCATATGCCACTCAGAGTATTAAGCGGCTTATTTGTATTACCTCATTAAAATGTCCCAACAGGCTTGTAAGATAATTAAATGTTTTAAAGCAGTACAAAATACAATACATTGTCTTGTATTTCTGGAATACAGTTTACACTCTATCATGTGTTAAATTCTTACCTACCATACACTTTGCTTTGAATTTATCTATTTTGATCCTGAATCTATCTTTTCTGCTCATGTAAGTGCTTTTACATTTAATTTGCCTAAAGTTTATCTTTTAACAAAGCAGAGATCATCTATTTTAAGCTTACTATATAGTATAATGCTATTTATTACTGAATTTGTTATATATGTTTATTATACTGTTAGACATTACCAGATATTTACTTAATTTCTA
Organism: Homo sapiens; assembly: GCF_000001405.40. Taxonomy (NCBI): domain Eukaryota; kingdom Metazoa; phylum Chordata; class Mammalia; order Primates; family Hominidae; genus Homo; species Homo sapiens. The sequence goes on from NC_000003.12 coordinate 144,584,971, forward strand.
TTGTTTCATTTTTAAAAACTCATACAGTCCTAATTTTAGATGGCATGGTAATATGTCCAGTTAAAAATTAACATTCCAAAAGCTACTGGTGGCTAAATTGTTATAAAAGCAAATGGGCTCCCTGCCCTCCATGCATAGAAGTCAACAGTATGGCACCAGCTTTTGAGAAAAGAATGACTTTGTTGCAAGGCCAACCAGCAAAGAGATAGGAAGGATATAAGGCTTTTGCTGCAACTGTAAAAGTGTTTAACCTCTATTGGGCCAACTGTTGTTACACAGACCAAAGATACAGACACACACACAGAAAAAAAAAAGACCAGACTAGATTGAGCACTCCAGGGGTTACAGCTTTTAAGTATCGATCTTGCCCTTAGTCTTTAGGACACTAATCCGAGTCTGGGACTCGAGTCTGTCCAAGATCTCCCTAGGGTAGGATTTGAACCTATGGTCCTAGACAAAAACGGGAATCCAACCCACAATCCTAAACAAAAGACAATTTAAGGTGTAAGCACATATTAACAAAGTACTCACCCAAAAGACATCTGATCCAGAAGCAATTCTTTCCTCAAAAGACAAAGTAGTGTTGGAGGAGGACCCCAAGTGGAGAAACAGGGACAGCCAACTGAGGCTCCAGACAAACAGACAAACCAATCTTGGTGATGCCACTTGGATGCAAAGAGTCTCAGGACCCCACTGAGGCGCTATAGTGCCTTGGGCAGGCTTTTGTCCCACCTTGGGTACCAGAATTGTTATTCAGCAAATGGGCTCACTTTCCAGTGCACAGAGAAGCCAGTAAAATGGCACTGGCTCTTGACAAAAAAAAGGCTTTATTGCAAAGGCCGCAAGCAAGGCAATAGAAGACGCAGCTCAAATCTGTCTTCCCTGTTTGGGATCTAGGTCAAGTTTTAAGAGATCAGCAGAGGGCCAGGGAAAGAATTTAGGAATATTGACTTGGAGGGATCTGATTGGAGGGCTGCAAATTTGACCATTTATTGCAAGGTATGTTGAGGCGGATTTTAACCCTGGATCTTCCTGGCCGATAGACTTCTCACTTCTGAAAGTGTCCCAGTGGTCTGGTTCGGGTTATGTCCCAGTCTTCTTGGTTTTGCAGGGAGAATTGTTGGTTCTGGACGTTGTTGGAGGTCAAAGCTTTTTCTATTGTTCATGCCTGGGCTACATGACTTGCAGTTTTGGCTCTTTTCTGCCTTCAAGGGAACTTAGCATTCTGTTATAAATAAGGAAGGCCCAGTTTGGACTGCTCCTTCAGTTACAATATGACGTTACCTCAACAAGTGAGGTGCGGGAGGTTCTCTTCTGGTGAGTTTCTGGGAAATTTATTATTTTTCTGGGTGAACAAAAGTCTTCTTGTTCGGAGTGTGGATGTCATACCTAGAATTGAAACAACCATTTTGTAACCATGAGGAAGGAAATTGCAAAGTAAAATGGTGGAGGATAGAATTAGAGGAAACCGATTACCTCACTACCGAATTCCTCCAAATCCAGTATCAGCCCTGAACTGCCTTCCTACAGAATTCTTGCTATGTGAAAAACAAACCCTAATTAATACAGTATGTTTGAGTTTCCATGTATGTTTGAGTTTCTGTAGGCAGGAAAGAGCCAAAACTGCAAGTCATGCAGTCCAGGCTTGCACAATAGAAAAAGCTTTGACCTCTAACAACACCCAGAAGCAACAATTCTCCCTGCAAAACCAAAAAGACTAGGACAAAATTGTACACTGAATATATAGCAGAAACACATTTATGACACGATTACATTATACAGAAAATGTTGACTAAAAGAATAACCATTTAAAAATTTGAAGAGTGAAATGAATTTTAATTAATTCAGTAAAAGTACCAGATGTAGAAAATGAACAAATTTATATTAAAATGAATAAAGAAAACATTGTCCTTAAATATAGTAACCAAAAATAGGTGCCATTAAAGTTGTGGTAGCCATAATTTTATACATATTTCACACAGACACACACACACACACACACACACACACACACTCTACATATGTTTATAGGTTGTTATAGAGGTGATCATGTTATACACGCTCTTTTAAAAATTTTTGAATACTTTTTTGTTCTCTTCTTCATCACCTCTAAGCAACTAGTGTTAATCATCTGATGTATTCTTCTGATTGTTTCTTTATCCTCATACAGTCACTTATATATTTGTACACATACATCATCGTTTTGTGAATATGAAATTGTTATATCTATTACTTTATATTTAAAATTTTACACTTGGCAATGGATTATGAAATCTCATCAAATCAGTTTGAAAAATAACAACTCATTCTTTTTACTTGCAGCATAATAATCCGTGGTATAGATAGACATCAATTTATACTATTTCCATCTTTGGAGGACATTCAACTTTTTTTCCCTTAATGACATTTTTAATAGAAATTTTTATTAAGACAAATATAGATTCATCTGTGGTTATAAAAACTAATACATAGAAATATCATATCTTCTTCATACAGTTTTCCCAATGAAAATACTTTATAAAACTATAGTCTAGTATTATAGTCAGGATATTAATGAAAAAATAACTCATCTATGTTATTCAAATTTCCTTTGTTTTACTTGTCCCCATTTATGTGTGTACACATGCATGTATGTATTTATTTCAATAAAATTTTATCATATATGTAGTTTTGTGCATCCACCACCACCATGATCAAGATACAGAACTGTTCCATCATGACAGGGATCCCTCTCGTCCTTTTATAACCTCATCTACCTCCCCTCATACCTATTCTAGTCTTAAAGCCTTTGAAACTGCGAACCTGTTTCTAGTCTTTTCTAAAATTTTATCTTTTAAAAACTGGTATATAAATGGAATCATATGATGATTTATATGAAACCCTTTAGGATTAGTTGTTTTCATTCAGCATAATTCTTTGGAGATTCATCCAAGTGGTTCCACGTATCAGTACTATGTTCCCTTTAATTGCTGAATAGTATTCAATAGTATTTATGCTCCAGAATTTGTTTAACCAGTCCCCTGTTTAAAGATATCTTGGCTGATTCTAGTATTTGGCTATTGAAAGCTTCTATGAACATTCATGTACATGTTTTTGTGTTAACGTGAATTTTGGTTTACTTGGAATAAGTGCCCAGGAATGCAATTGCTGGTTCATATGGTAATAACTTGGTTAGTTTTACAAAGACTGCCAAAATATCTTACAGAGTGGCTGTACCATTTTACACTCTTAACATATTGTAGGCGTGTCCACTTTTTTGCATAGTCAACATCATTTGGTATCATCACTAATTTTTATTTTAACCATACTGATAAGTGTGGTTAAGTGATATCTCACTGTGATTTTAATATGCATTTCCCCAATATTGTTGAACATCTTTTCATGTGCTTATTTGCCATCTATGTATCCTCCTCCATGAAATGATCAATGTCTTTGCCCATTTTCTAATTGCATTGTGTGTTTGTGTTGATCTTTGAAAGTTCCTTAGTTATTCTAGGTACTAGTTCTTTGTCACATATGTGGTATATTAGTCAGTTTGGGTTGTCTTAACAAAATACTACACACTGGGTGGTTTTAATTACAGAGGGTAATTTTATCACAGTTCCAGAGGCTGAGAAGTCCAATAGCAAGGTGCAAGCAGCATTAGTGTCTGGCTAGAGCTCCGTCCATGGGCTGTAGACAACCATCTTCTTGTGTTCTCACATAGCACAGATAGAAAGGGCTCTTTTGTGTTTCTTCTTAGGACACTGAACCTATAGGATGAGAACTCATTTAAATGAGCTTTATGACCTCATTTAATTTTAATTACTTTGTTAGAGACCCCCATCTCCAAACACCAAAACCCTGATAGTGGGGGGTAGCATATTCAGTCTGTAACATGTGACTTGTAAATAATTTCCCCCAGTATGAAGGTTGTCTTTATATCCTCTTAAAAAAGGCTTTCAGCTGGACACGGTGCCTCATGCCTGTCATCCCAGGCAGGAAAATCACTTCATCCAGGGAGTCAGAGGTTGCATTGAGCCGAGATCATGCCAATGTACTACAGCCTGGCGACAGAGCGAGACTGTCTCAAAAAAAAAAAAAAAAAAGGCTTTCATAGACCAATTTTTTTTTAACATTTTGATGAGGTACAGTTTATCACATTTTAATGAATTGTGCTTTGTTTGGTTATGTCTAAGAACATTTTGCTTACCTGTAGATTCTGAAAAATTTCCCCTTTTTTTAACAGTTCTATATTTTAAAATTTATGTATGTGTATGATTTTTAATTAAATAATTAAATATTACATAAGGTATAAGACTTAGATCAAAGTTTGTTTTCTTTCCCTATGGATAATTGCTTTAACACCATTTATTGAAAATCCTTTTTCCATTTTTTTTTTCATATTTGTTAAAAATCAGTTAAGCATATTTTTGTGGGTCTATTTTTGTGTTCTTTTTTTTTTTTCCATAGATGTATGTGTCTATACTTTCACACAATCTTGATTTCTGTAGTTATATTGTAAGTCTTGAAATTCGGTAAACTGATTCCCCTTTTTTTAAATTTTTCTTTTTCAAAATTATTTTGCTATTATAGATCCTTTTTCATTTCATATACATTTTAGAATAATCTTGTCCATAGCTACAAAAAATCTCTCTGGTATTTTGATAGAGTTGTGTTGAAATTATAGATAAATTTGGGAGAACTGATATTTTATTTAGGTTGAGTTTTCCAATATATGCTCATGGCATGTCTCTTATTTATATCATCGTTGATTTATTTCATCAGCATTTCACCATTTTCAGCATAGAGCTCCTGTATGTACCTGATTAACTGTATAACAATGTATCTCATTTCCTTTGGAGCCATTATAAATGGTGTTGTGTTTTAATTTTGTTTTCTCTATGAGCATTGTTAGTATATAGAAACATAATTGATTTTGTGTGTCTTCTGATGATATGTTTACTAAAAATAAACCTGGCAGTTTTTTAAGATGATTACTATTTTTAATATAACTTCTGAAAAGTATACACTTTTATTTTTAACAACTTGTTTACAATTAATCTTTTTGAAAGAAGCTTGTTTATATTTAAGGTTTAGGAATAAACCTCAGAGTGGTCATGTTGCTTTGGACAAGGTATTTGCAAACCCCAGTCACCTAATAGATGATATTTAGTTAATAAATTTTGCTTTTATTATCATTGCCATTTTAGGTTCATTGATACTTACGTGCATTGGGAGGTTCAATTTTCTATAGTGTTTTTAAGCAGAAATTTGGTCCTGAATAAAGCAAGTCTTTTGAAGAGAAATAGTCACCTTTGTATACAGACAGTTAAACAAATATCTGGATTTAATTAGCAAAATAGGATTTTGATAAAAATGTATTTTAGCCTTGGTTTTCTAAACTGTATCCTGGATTAGTTAATACTTAATTATTTTTATAATTTTCTGGATAGATATAACCAAAATCTATAAAAGGAAATTAAACATGTCCAACAGATATGTCAACTTGTGATTGGTGGGGTGTTTTGATGCATTGTTCCACTCATTAAAATTTGTTTAGTTGATCAAGTGAGCATCATTTAAAGCTACTTTTAAATGTGCTTAAATACCTGCACATTTATAGAAAAAAACCCCACAAGATTTAAATATAGAAGCAATTTTACATGAGGTAATTTACAAATGATTAGCAATCTCCTGAAAGGAAAAGCATAAAAGTGAGTGCAAACCAACACATGCTAACACATGAAAATCATCATTTTGGTGATTTTTCTTGGGAGTTAAATTCCAAGCTGTTTTGTGAGTTCTTCCTTTTCTTCCTGAACTAGAAAGATGAAATGGTGGATTGGTTTATGTATAGCAGATTTGCAAGAACATTTTTTTTTGGAAATCAAGTTAGGATTTTTCAGATAGTGTAGAATTGTCATCGAGCAAGGACTTACAAGCTTTGCTTTTATTGCTTTCATGGTGTAGCTTTTTTCTGCATCTGAATTTTGCATGTGTATGGCATGACTAAGCAAATGTTGGAAATGTTTGAGAATATAGTGAATGTAGGAAATGCAATTGAGTCTCAAAGAATGTGAGCTTCTAGGTCCCTATGACTCATTGAATTTTGTTAAGCAGTTTGCATAAACTGTAAAGTAGCACTTCCATTTTTCTTTCGATTCCAGGCTGACCTCCTTATACTCCATTACTAGTTTCCCTCCAAGGGTGCATGAGTTATTTCCTTCTGCCAGAGGAAAGATTGGCAATGTAAATTTCAACTAAATCTGATAGCCTGCTGTGTAGGTATTATACAAATGCCATAATCATGACATTCCCGAAATTTCTTTCTTATCCTTCTTTTTTATTGAAATAAATCAGTTTGCCAGGAACTTCTGCTCACTGGTCTTAAAACATGTTTATTCTTTCTTACCTGTGATAGCATTGCATAGAGATTTACATTGACCTAATAGTCATTCTCAAAACACAGTAATACTTTTATAAATTTTTCCATTACAGAAATAAAAACAACAAAATCAACATGACATTCAGAAGTCTAGGTGGAGACAAAGAAGAAGCAGAGGTTTGCAAAACCATTCTATGTTTCAGTCCATACAATGAAATATGTACATAAATTGGTCTTAGGTGTTAGTCATTTTTTCTAAATTACTTCAGAATTTAGTGATCTTTTAAAATAGGTTCTGCTTGAATGATTCTAGTGACAGGGCTTGCTGCTTAATATCAACCTATTCCACACTATTAGATAAACACCATTACCAGAATTATCCAATTATCTTCTTTTCTATAGTCCTAGTTCTAACCTTTTTCTGAGAAACAGAACAAGTTTAGTCTTTCTTACATATTAAAGGAATTTACTGTTATGGATATAATTAGTGATTTCTTATCTAGCTTGAACTTCCTCCTTGAAACCTTTTCCATACAGCGTCATTTCATCTCTCTTTATTAGAGCCATTGTATTACATTTATGCTTGGTTTTGCTATGAGTACCTCTTTTTCATTCAATAATCATTCATTTATCCAGTACCTACTATGTGTCAGATACTGGGTTAAACCTTTGGGAAAATTTTTGTTTTACTTTAACAAATATTTACATATTATTTTCTGTGTTCTAGAATTTTTTCAAAGTGACTTACAAATATTAACACATTTAGATCTCTTATCAAATTCTGTGACTTCAGCATATTATTATCCTCATTTTATATATGAGAAAACTAAGATACAAGGAGATTAATTAACCTGCCCTATGGTCACACTATTAGGAAGTGGTGGAAACAGGTTTTTAATGCAGGGAGTTTACATTCATAGTTCACCAAGGTATGCTGTCTCTCATACACTGAGCTTCCTCTCACACAAAGGTCCTTCATGAATGTAGAAGCATATTGGATCCATAGGACGCAGCTTACTTGGGGGAAGGCCGAATGAAAGACGGAAAACCAGTGGGTCCTTGGAAAATTCACTGATCTCCTAATCAAGCTTCACCTGAAGCACCTGCTCTAGATAAGCCAGTCTGTTACTTTTACCTAAGTTCAATCTTACTAATATAATAAAACTGCAATAATGAAGAAAGTATATATATCACTTTGTCTAGAAATGACTTTAGGAGAACTCCTCATGGCCACAATTCTATACTTCCTGGAATTCTACTTAAGATTGCATTGCCATTTTATCATGCTTAATAGTGTTAATTTTAGCATTTATTAAAGCACTCAGATTTTTGTGAGGGATGCATTGACAAATGAGATTTTTCCCTCATTCTGTTGCCGTATGATTAATTTTTAAAAATCTAGATAATAATACAAGATCATTTCTGTTAAATTATATATTGGTGTGGGCTATTTAGGATAATGAGTTTATTATATTAGTTATATCTTACAACTGTGTACCATAAGGTTTTTCACTACCAAATGTTACTTACATGAAATGCTGTAATCATTAATATACTTTATCCCAAATATTCGTTACTATGAATAAATTTCTTTCCGCATAAACATATATGCAATAGTTTTAAAAATCAAGGGAAAACAATCTTGGCAAAATATACTTTGGTCCGTCCATTTCATCCATTTGGAAATATTCTGAATTCTAGACAACTGCCAACATTGCACAGTTGGAGTTACCAGATATAGCAATAGCTTTATAGGTTTGAGAAAGTTGAAGTAGTTCATCAAAATTACGTGAACTTATTCTGTAATGATGTGTGATAATTAAGCTTTGTGCAGATCAATTTTTGATGTATAAAACACAAATGCCCACAAAGCTTACTTCACAGGATTGAAGTATAATAGAAATCACTGAATGGAGAAGTATTATGTGATTGTACTTTGCAAACAATAAAGTGCTGATTCATGAAAGACAGCATTCTCAAGTTATAAGTTTTCTACTTCAAAATTAAAGGCACCCTATACAAAATGGATTACTGTTTAATAATATAAATTTACAAAATTTCAACATATAAAATTTGATATTAGATTCATATGTGTGTATATTTGTAACATGATTATAAAATATTTATCTATCTCATATATGTCTCATATATATAAAATAGATGTCTCATACACAAATACAAACTTAAAATATTAATTATGGATACTTTCATTGAATGTTCATATGCTGTCCCCTGTAGTAAATTCTCTTCATGATGATCTTATTCTCAGGTAAACTCTGAAGGTGATTTTTCTTTTTATCTATCTCCTTTTAATAGATGGAGAATCTAAGGGCCTCAAGAGAATAAGTCAGTTTTTCAAAATCTTAACGTTATTCGTTAGTTGACAAACTGAAATCAAACTCAGGTCTGTTTGACTTCAGTAGCCATTCCTCAATCACTTTGTGCCTCTTCCCTGTTGAAATAAATGCTCTATTATACAGGAAGCCAGACAGCACTCTGTCTGCTCAGCCATTGCTGGAAATTCTGGTAGAGAAAGTCAGTGAGGCCCAGTTTATGATTTATAGAGTAGGGTGGTCTTTTTAATGCCACTTATATAACTGTCTTGAGCGAGAGTTTCCTGAATCAGATATTGAGAGGAGGACTTTAATAGGGCAAAGCCTGCAGCAAAAAGTGGTCAGAAAGTGGAAGAAGTAGAAATAGGAAAACGGAAGTATCTATTACCTAAGCATGGATATGAATTCAGACAGTACTAGCATTAGCTTAATCTTGCAGAGTGGCCCTGGCATGTGAAACACACATTCAAGTGCATTTCAATTTGAGGCAAGGAAGTAGGATTTTCGTATTTGTGCACAAGTAATTTACCATCTAAAGGCTGCCTAGAGACGTAGAGTCAAAGTCACAGGCAAGTGCCAAGCTCAGAAGCAAATCACATAAAAGGGGAGAGGATGGGCTCAAGGAAATGTTAAAATTGATTGAAGAGGCGGGTCTGGCAAGTAATAAATATCTCCATTTCTCCAGATGAGCTCATTAGGATGAAGTCTTGTTTTGTAGAGATGAGGCTAGTTTTGAACTCCTGGACTAAAGCAATCCTCCTGCCTCACTGAGGCATAAGCCGCTGCCCCTAGCCTATGTCCTCTTAAAATGGAATTGCCTATATTGGTGCCAAAAGTAAAGACATTATATAATCTGCAAATAAAAAAATATGAAAATTTTATATTTTCTAAACTCTTCCAAACGTAATTGAAACTTGAGTTATAAGATTCTCAGAGCTCAAGGAATGTTGTTAAACAGATTAAACAGACCATAGCAGAAAAGCATGACATCCCACAATATCACCAGTATCTGGCTTAATGTTTAGATGTCAGTACAGTTAAACTTAATATATTACTCAAGGACAGACTTTTCAAAGACTTATATTGGATCCAAAATCGTAGAATAACAGCCAATACCTTTAGACATTCACCTGTCTCTGGACTGGGTCACATATTTCATTATCTGTCAGGGGAAAAAGTAATCTAAACTTTAAAGCTTTTTTGAGGGTAAAATTCAGACAAATTTCAACTCTTCATGTAATACAGTTACTCATGCATCATCAGTGGATGATGAGATCATTGGGAGAAAGGTTATTGTCAAACAATATTCATACAGTGCCAAATATAATTTTAAAAAAACATACATGTGTTAAAAGAATTAAATCAAACATGACAAAATATAAACAACTGGTGAATTAAGCTGAAGACAAATAGGCATGTATTTAATTATTCTTTCTGCTGGTTTGATAACTTTTAAAATTAAAAGTTGAGGCAAAAAGCCCTTTCTCTTATACCAGCTAAATTAATTATAAATTTTAAATCTTTGATTTCTTTTAGATAAAATATTTGCATGATCTGTGATCCTTCATGGACTAAAGGTTATTCATGTGGTGGCTACAATTTTTTATTATAATAAATTTGCCATAAGGTATTGTCATTTTGACTAGAAAGTATAAATATTTTCATTAGGTAGAAGTTTTTTGTTTGCTTGATTTTTTAAAGGAAATATTAATCACAATGAAGAATTGGTTCATTGCTTTATACTGCACATTCCTTCTCATTGTTTCTCTTCAGGAAGCTTATGTATTATTAAATTCTGGTATTCTGAGTGACATTCTCCAACTATGCCCCATAGGACTAAAATGCTTATGTGCATGATCCTTACACCACTAACCAAGATGTTATATCAGGGAAAGTTCTGACACTATGAAAAATTAAATAATAAAATAATTCTACAGCTTTGAACAAATGGAAACACTGTGATTAAGTAAGAATACTGTGTTATCTGAAAGAAGCATTCTTAGATAATGTGGCTGATCTTTCAGATACTGCTGTGCATTCTTTTTTCTGTGAACTATTTCAAATACAAAATAGCATATAAAAATGAGACAAAATATGCATATCTATTATCTAGCCAATATTTCCAGTTGGCATGTTCTTTGAAGATTTAAGGAATAAACTATACAACACAGATACAGTTGAAGCCCCTGTATGCAACTTTTTAGTTCCCCTCCCATTCCTGGTGAATCAGTCCCAAACTATGCAATTGCCATTTCTATGTAAACATTATAATATTTCTGTGATGTTGATAAACAATCTATAGTATTGTTTCATGTATATTTAAATTGTGTTATCAACATGATGTCGTAGATATTCTTCCTTTTTCTTTCTCATTATGATATATATTATACGTTAGGTAAATATGTAGAATTGACATATGGCATATGTTATGCAAGTGTGTGTATGTATAGAAACACATATATATACACACACTTTTCATTGAATTGGCCATACTGTATCGCATTGTGTGATTAGATCAGAAATCATTTATCTATTTTTATTGAAGAATGGTTAGCTAGTTTCTATTTTCTTTATTGCAAATCATGTCTCATGTCCATTATTATAGATGTTATCTTCTCCACAAATACCTATTTCTTTACAGTATATAGAAAGAAGTCTTGGAATTGCTAGATCAAATGGAATTCAGAGTTTATTTTTATTAGATACCTTAAACTGTTGTCCAAAAGATTGCAATTATTATCTTTCTCTATCCAGTCATGAGGTTTTTCCATTTCTTCCACTTACCATTGATAGAGATGGTCAGATATTTAATTATTTCCAAACTGATGAGCACAAAAATGTATCTTATGGAATTTTGTTTGCCTTTCTCTGATTACTATGGAGATTGTTCATTGTTTCTTGGTCACTTGGGCTTTCAATTTAATTAGTTGCCAATGTATAGTCTTTGCCCACATTCTAATGTGCTGTACTATTTTAAACTGATATGTTGGTGTTCTTATAAATTATGCATGCTAATCCTTTGTCACTTTTATAATTTGAATATATATTTACCATCAGCAGTTTGCCATTCTTGTTTTAGTAACTTTTAATTATAGGGATTTATCAATTATGGCATATATATTTATAACACTTTTAATAAACCCTTCCTGCAATGACATCTAAAAAGGCTTCACATTTCTTCTAAAATTTAAATACAAGACAAGAATTACCTTTGTTCTTATTCAAATGATCTTAGCCATTCTTAGCCTTTGTATTTTTTATAAGTTATCAAATCAGCTTCTGAGTTTCAATAAGACATTTGAGATTTTGATGACTTTTTTAATTTATAAAATAATTTGAGGCAAATGACCTTTAAACAAAACTATGTTTTCTGATTCATGAATATATCTTTCTCTTTATTAATTTTTTAATTTTGTCCTTCACTGATGTTTTTAAAATTTCTCAAAAATTTCTGTATTATTGAGTACAATCAGATAATTTATATATTTTATATTTTGTTTCTCCAAATTCAGTGACGATTTATTTTTTATTTTTAGTTGGGTATTGTATTAGTTTGTTCTCATGCTCCTAATAAAGATATACCCAAGATTGGCTAATTTATAAAGGAAAGAGGTTTAATTGACTCATGGTTCAGCATGGCTGGGGAGGCTTCAGGAAACTTACAATCATGGCAGAAGGCACTTCTTCAAAGGGCATCAGGAGAGAGAATAAGCACCGAGCAAAGGGGCAAGCTCCTTATAAAACCATCAGATCTCACGAGAACTTACTCACTATTATGAGAACAGCTTGAGGAAAACTGCCCCCATGATTCAATTATCTCCACCTGGTTCTGCCATTGATATGTGGGGACTACTACAATTCTGGGTGAGATTTGGGTTGGGACACAGCGAAACCATATCATTCCTCCCCTGGACCCTCCCAAACCTCATGTCCTCACAATTCAAAATACAATCATGCCCTTCCAACACTCCCCGAAAATCTTAACTCGTTTCAGCATTAACCCCAAAGCCCAAGTCCAAAGTCTCATCTGAAACAAGGCAAGTCTCTTCGACCTATGAGCCTATAAGATCAAAAGCAAGTTAGTCACTTCCTAGATACAATAGGGGAATGGGCATTGGGTAACTACACCCATTCCAAACAAGAGAAATTGGCCAAAACCAAAGGGCTACAGGCCTCATGCAAGTACAAAATCCAATAGGGCAGTCATTAAACCTTAAAGGTCCAAAATGATCTTCTTTGACTTCATGTCTCACATTCTTGTCATGATGATGCAAGAGGTGGGCTCCCACAGCCTTGGCCAGCTCCATCCCTGTGGCTTTGCAGGGTACAGCACCACTCTTGACTGCCTTCATGGGCTGGCATTGGGTATCTGTGGTGTTTCCAGGTGCATGGTGCAAGATGTTGATAGATGTACCATTCTGGGGTCGGGAGGGCAGTAGCTCTCTTTTCACAGCACCACTAGCCCCAGTGGGGACTCTTTGTGGGGGCCCCAACCCCACATTTCCCTTCAGGACTACCCTAGCAGAGGTTCCCCATGAGGGCCACGCCATTGCAGCAAACTTTTGCCTGGACATCCAGGCATTTCCATACCTTCTCTGAAATCTAGGCAGAGGTTCTGTAACATCAATTCTTGACTTCTGTGCACCTGCAGGCTTAACCCATGTGGAAGCTGCCAAGGCTTGGAGCTTGCACCCTCTGAAGCAATGGCCTGAGATGTACGTTGGCTCCTTTTAGCCACAGCTGGAGCTGAAGCAGTGGAACACAGGGCACCATGTTCTGAGGTTGCATAGAGCAGTGGGGCACTGGGTCCAGCCCAGGAAACCATTTTTCCCTCCTAGACCTCTGGGCCTGTGATGGAAGGGACTGACATGAAGGTCTCTGACATGCCCTGGAGTCATTTTTCCCATTGTCTTGGTGATTAATATTTCTGCAGCAGGCTTGAATTTCTCCTCAGAAAATTGGTTTTTCTTTTCTGTCACATTGTCAGGCTACAAATTTTCCAAACTTTATGCTCTGTTTCCTCTTGAATGCTTTGCTGCTTAGAAATTTCTTCCACCAGATACCCTAAGTCATCTCTCTCAAGTTCAAAGTTCCACAGTTCCCTGTGGCAGGGGCAAAATGCTGCCAGTCTCTTTGCTCAAACATAGCAAAAATCACCTTTATTCCAGTTCCCAACAAATTCCTCATCTCCATCTGAGACCAACTCAGCCTGGGCCTCATTGTCCATATCACTATCAGCATTTTGGTCAAAGCCATTTAATAAGTCTCTAAGAACTGCCAAGGTTTCCCATACTTTCCTGTCTTCTTCTGAGCCCTCCAAACTGTTCCAACCGTTGCCTGGTACCCAGTTCCAAAGTTGCTTCCACATTTTGGGGTATCTTTAAAGCAGTACCCCACTCTCTACAGTACCAATTTACTCATTCTGCTAATAAAGACATGCCCAAATGCCCAAGACTTGGTAATTTATAAAGGAAAGAGGTTTGATTAACTCAATTTAGCATGTCTGGGGAGGCCTGAGAAAACTTACAATCATGGCAGTAGACACTTCTTCACAGGGCATCAGGAGGGAGAATGAGTGCCAAGTGAAGTGGGAAACCCCTTATAAACCACCAGGTCTCATGAGAACTCACTATCATGAGAACAGCATGAGGGAAACTGCCCCCATGATTTAATTATCTGCACCTGGTCCCTCCCTTGCCACATGGGGATTGTTACAATTCAAGGTGAGATTTGGGTGGGGACACAGAGCCAAACCATATTAGTTATTATGGATATGCAGAAATTATGTTGTTTTCTGTATTCATATTCTAACCAAAATCTTGGCTGAAATTTCAATTGTTGGTATATAAACTTGTGTAATCTTTGAGATTTTCTTTGCACTCAGCCAATAAAAACTAATGAATATGACTTTCTTTCCATTTCTTATGGCCCACTTTTTTTATTTATGTATTTATTTATTTATTTATTTTTCACCATACTGCCTTGACTAATCAGTATGAAGCTAGTAATCTTGGAGATAGGAGAATCACTAGTTATTATTGTTACCATTGAAAGGTGTATGCCTATTGTTTTCCCACTAGAGTGACGTCTGCAACTGGTTGATCAGGCTAAGATAGCTTGTTAGTGCTATTTATTTTGTAATCAGTTAGTATTCTTAAACATGTTTCAGACTCTATTGTGATGATCATATAATTTTCATCTTTAACCTGTCACTGTGGCATATTAAACTGATATAATTTCCTGATACTCAAGTGTATTTGACTTGCTTTCAAGAATACCATTCAGGTTGGGTGCAGTGGCTCATGCCTGTAATCCCACCACTTTGGGAGGCCAAGGTGGGTGGATCACTTGAGGTCAGGAGTTCAAGATAAGCCTGGCCAATATGGTGAAATCCCTTCTCTACTAAAAATACAAAAAAAAAATAGCCAGACGTAGTGGTGTATGCCTGTAATCCTAGCTACTCAGGACTCTGAGGCAGGAGAATCAATTAAACCTGGGAGGCAGAGGTTGCAGTGAGCCAAGATTGCGCCACTGCACTCCAGCCTGGGTGACAGCCTGGGTGACAGAGACTCCATCCCCCAACAGCTGAAAAAAAAAAGAATCCCATTTAGCCATGGTGTATCTTCTTTTTTGCACTTTTGTAATTAATGTGCTAATTTCTTTTTAATTTTAAAAAGTTTAGGATATTTGTGTGTATTGTTACATGCATTGTTTAGTTTTAGGTATAAAACTACTATTAGTTTTATGAAATGATTTAACTGTAAATTATACATTTATTATTTCATATTTTCATCAAAATATATTATTTTTAATTATAATGTTATTGTTATATTACCTTTTATATTATACAGTCTCTTGCTTTATCTTTATTGCTTTTTTGTTAATTATATTTTGGTTGATATTAATATTGTCATGCTTTTGTGTTATATGTGTTTGTACTATATTTTGAATAAGAGCTTCATTTTAAATGTATCTTTTTAATACCATGTATGTCTTGATTTAAAATATACAATCTAAATACTTGTGCCATTGGCTGAAATATTGTATTTATTTCTAAAACTGTATTTTGTTTTGTGTTTGTTTACTGGGTACCACATTTTTTTTTTCTTCATAGACTCCTTTTCTAGCTTCTGTGAAATTGATCAAGGATTCTACCATTTCTTTTATGTTCTCTTCTTTCTTTCCTATTTTCTTTCCTTCCTCTCTTCTTTTGTCGTCCACTCATTTACAAGCTATACATTTTGTGTCTATTATTTTGTAATTCTTCAAATATACACCATAGAAGTAATGAAACTTTTCCATTAAATCTAAATTTATTTTGCATGCATATTTCAACCTAAACATGACAAGGTTTTTATTGCACTCTAAGCAACCAATTCATGTCCTGTTTTGTATTCTAGGATCTTTTTATTACTGCTTTGAAATGAAGTTTGACAGTTTTTTAAAGCACATTTTTTTTGCTTTTCTAGTAAACAATTGAAGCTTTTAGCAACATACTCAATTAATTTCCATTCTCTTTTGTCTTATACATTCTTTCCAGTTTCTTATTTCATCTGGATGAAATACGTCCATTAAGAATTTTTTTTTAGTGAGAATTCTTATGTTACAGCAATACTATCTCTTGCAATGTCAAAATGTATTATTACTTTATCTCCACACTTGAGTGATCATTTGGCAGGTTATAATATTGGATGGATTCACTATTCCCAAACAATCAAAAGATGTTACTTCATTGTCTTTTAGCATCATTTAACAGTTTTGTTAATAAACGTATTCCCTCATAATAGTTATTTATTGTAGACTATTTTATTTCTAGTAATTATAAAATGCTTTTTTAAAATGATGAATTTATTAAAATAATTTTCTTTTTCATTCCTGATGTTGTGCAGTTTACTCTGCTGTGTCTGGATGTGAGTTTATTTTTTTCCTGCTCAATGCTAGCAACACACTTTCTTTTTTTTTATTTTGTTTTAATACTTGGATATTTTATTCCAGCAATCCTACTTTAATCTCAATAATCAGCTAGAGATAATCATGTTAGCAACAGTATCAAAATAGTAGTATAAACGTTGAGCAATAAGAGAATATTGCTCAATATTATAGAAAAAAGGGTAAAATTTTACATAATCATTAGTCTATGATTTTAGACACTATTTAATGCCATAAAATTCTTTTATAAATATTGTTTGAAAAAATAGGCTATAAAATATATAAACCAACATTACTAAAATTTGTTATGTGCATGTGTGTAGATATGGATAGGTATGTACATGATCTCATTTAGTGTATATAATTTTTTTCTTTTTTCTTTTATTATTTGTTTAAATTATACTTTAAGTTGTAGGCTACATGTTCACAATGTGCAGGTTTGTTACTTATGTATACATGTGCCATGTTGGTGTGCTGCATCCATTAACTCGTCATTTACATTAGGTATATCTCCTAATGCTTTCCCTCCCCCCTCCCCCCACCCCACAACAGGCCCTAGTGTGTGATGTTCCCCGTCCTGTGTCCAAGATAAAAAAACATGAGTTCATATCCTTTGTAGGGACATGGATGAAGCTGGAAACCATCATTCTCAGCAAACTATCGCAAGAACAAAAAACCAAACACCACACGTTCTCACTCATAGGTGGGAATTGAACAATGCAACACACTTTCAAACTAAAGACTTAGTTCAATTGACTTCTGCAAATCGTATTTGAAGATGTACGATGGAGGCTCTTTAAACTATTGCTGTGTGGTGAATCCTTCCCTATCTTCAAGTTCAGCAATGTTTCAAGAAACTGCAGTTTTTCTAGTAATAGTTTCTTAAATTTAACTACCTTTTTTATTTCCAAGTTTTTTGTTAGCTATTTTTCATACCACTTGTTCTTGTTTCATTTCTGCTAATTATGTGACCCAATTTTATGAACCAGTTTTTCATTATTGTTCATGCATTTTACAAATATTGATATAAATTATTTTGTCACCTATTCCATAAAATTAATTGCATCTGGAATAAATATATGTTCAGTATTGTTTGGATATCTTTCTTAGATTTCTCTGTGTGATTTGTAATTATGTTGGCTAGCCTGTTGCAATTGCTTAATCTATTAATTAAGTCATTTATTTTATCTCTGCCTGTTTTGTTTACCCATCTCTTATGAGTTGATTTCATTTGTCTCCACTTAAGGCTTTTGTCCAGGATCAGATAAAATGACTTTTAGATCTATTGTCTCCAAAATCACAGCCCTGATCATTGCTCAGCATTTCTATTCCATTTATGGCCTGTTGGAGATTTTTGTTTTGTTTTTGGGCATGGCAAATTGGTTTTGGGTTTCTATTATTGAGTCTCATCTCTCAACGTGTATTTGTAATACAGATGGTGAGTTAAAACATGGGCTTACTTTGCCATTTTAAGTGGAAATATCTATGACTGTTTACGTGCATTTTCAAACATGTTTAAATGTCACCATAGAATGTCCTTGTCTCTTTTGTTGCCAATATTAGGTCTTATTGGATCTTTGTCCATGTACTCATTATTTAGCAATATTTTGGGAAAACTTCAAGTGTCATATGTCTTCTATGTTAAAAGTTTTCAACACAGAAAATGTGTGTATCTTGTATATTTGGAATTATAGTTTCTCCAATTCTTTTACTATAGAGAGTAAAGTAAGATGTGACCTAAAATATGAAATTTAAGATATCACTGAAAGAAATAGTTAACTTAAGTATCATATGTAAATTTATATAAGAAAATGTGGGTATTTGATGCAGGAGAGTGATGGGGTGCAATATGGAATTCTGAGAGGAACACTGGACTCTAGGCTAGAAGATAAGAATCTACTACGGGATTTGTCAGCAAATAGGTGTAAGAGTTTGAAAGGATATGGTAACTTCTCTGAGCCTTGATTTTTTTCATTTGTAAAATTAAAGTTTTGGGATACAAAATTTCTAAGATATTTTCCATCTCTAATATTATATGATCCTGATATTCTAACTGATATTATGTGTCTGAGATTATGTCTAAAGTTTGGAAGTTGCTTTAACCAAAGTATAAACATTTTTTATAGAGACCAGAACTATAAAGAGAATAGATTCCAAATGAGAAATTTAGATGTATAAAAAAACTGGCAATCATGCACAGGTAGAAAATAAATCATAACATAAAAGAAAATAACAGTAGTTTTACAATAGTTCGATTTCTAAGGAGTTCAATTTTTTCTGGAAAATAATATTTCATCTGGGCAATTGAAAAGTGCAAAATTGTGTTTTCAATTCTCAAGTTTGAAAATTAATCCATTGCATAGTTCCTATTTTAGCCTTGAACAAAAAAGAGTGTATGGAATTCATATAAGGAGAGAAACTAAGCCAGCATATATCATGGTATCTTCCACTTAGCAACTTGTTTTTTACAGATATAGAAGGAGGTCGCAAATATGTACTCATTTTGATAAAAAGGCAAAGGACACCATTGCAATAACTAGATTTTCTTATTACCACAGAAATATTACTATTTTAGAATTTTATAACATTATTCAATAATAGTTTTTTGTTGACTTAATGCCCAGGTATACACAAAATATTTTATTCTATAGGTGAAGCCTTGAAACAGACACCCTTAAATTACAGTTACCATGTTTTGAAAGGATCAGGAAGACTCAAAGATTTTGGCTTGAGTTTAACTGAAGGCAAGGATCAAGTGAAAATTATGTTTTTATCTTTAGTACTTATTATAATATTTGGCTCCTCTTACTTATGTGTGGTTTGCTGTATTGATTCTAAAGAAGTTCAAACTTTGAGAATGCAATGTGGGTTTTGAAATGTTCTTCAATCTAACCAATAAAGCCACATATATCGAAGCTTTTCTAGACTTCTTAAAATTTTGCATAACATCTAGAATCTCCTAAGTATATCTTCTGGTTTTGAGAAATCAAACTATTTCCCATATGTTAGATGGATGATTTTTACATGTGCTGTATATTGTATGTCACCCAGAGAGACACTTAAAGCAGAGTACCATAATCAAATAAATAATTTGTGTAGCAAAAGAAAATCACATTAAATGGGATAAATAGCTTTATATTAGATCAGGTTTTTCTCTCAAATGATTTTGTAGCTTAACAAAAACCTTTTTTTTTGGAGGTTTTTGGTTGTGGAATTGCAGATAAGGGATGGTATATCTACATAATACTAAAAGTACAGAGAACCTGCGGACGGAATGAGAAGTGTGACGGAGTGAGAAGTGTGTTTCAAAAGATACAGTTGTAGTGTGCAGAAATATACTATAATTCAACAACTCCTGAGGATATTAATTGTTTACCTGATATAGTTACACATTTGCCATGCCCTTTACAGACATAACAACATTGTAAAGATGGCTGGTTGGGTGGAGTTAGTGGGGCAATTTGTATCCAAGAAATAATTTGTGTAATAGGGAAGCTAATAAACTAGAAAGAAGCATACACCTAGAACCTTGACTTATTTAGAGACAGACAATTAGGATAAAAAGCAATAGATCTGAACAAAATAAACAGTAAAAAAAGATTAAAACTGATGAGCTATTAAAACTTTAGAGTACTCTGTGTGGTTTGTGCTGTCATGTTGCCCATATATGAAGTGACATGAGAGAAAATTCAAATAAGAGAAGAGGGAGGTTTGCTCCTTCAAGAGGGAGAGAAGAGACATTTGCTAAGTAAATAAAGTAAAGTAACAAACTAAAAATAAACAAATAAAGGCAACTGACACATAAACATGCTTAATTAACAAAAGGAAGAAATTTGTTAAATGTATACAAACACAGTGAAAGTTTCTGACATACATTCATTTAGTGGTTTTATGCTTACGATTTTGAGTTTTTCATCATGCAGTAGGGTTAATAACAGAAGACTCACCATATTTCACAGTCACCTAATTTTCTGAAGCTTATTTTCTTTTGAAATAATAGCTAACTTACAGACATGCATGAAAACATTCTGTAATCTGAAATAAAAACTAGTAATAATAATAAAAAGCAGTGTTAGTTAAGTTGCACTATACAATGCACAGTGATGTAGGGTCTCTTGGTCTGGTTCAGGTTTTAGTTCTTCACCTAAGCAGCTTCTGACCTTAGACAACTCAGTCTCTAATGACCTCGGTTTCTGGCATGGTAGAACAGAGACAATGTCAGTAATAGTGAGTACCTTCCATTCATCAACAGGGAAACAATATATTTAAAATGATCACCCCTGTGACAGGCACAAAGTTCTCAATCATGTAACTTTCCATGGTGACGAGATGATGACTGTGCTGGTGGAAGTCATGTGGTGTGGTGTGGTGCCATTCAAGTCCTGAGAGAAGTTCAGACTTAGAGTCTCAGGAGCAGATCCTGAGACAACTTTTCAGCAAATGAACTATGTTATATAGAGGAAAAATCCCCACATTTAAAGTGTAAATATTATTTATCTTTTTTTCTGAATTGGTTTTGAGATATTCCATCTATTACACCTCAACTAGTTTTTTGGGCTTGACTTATTATGTAATCATAAGTAGCTGTGTTATGTCTACTGTGTAGTTGTCCTGTGCTTCTACACCAAATTCAGTATTCATCTCTAAAATCAGTAATGAGTAAAGTTTACTGGTAAAAAGTGAGTATGAAATAGTGATTATAACAATATATTTTACTATCTGTTTTGAGTAAGATTTTAAGATTTATTGAAAATAGTTTTTAAAAAAGGTTTGAGATGCTATTATTTCTTATGTGCAAATTAAGGATTTGGTGCCATTTGGCTGTGTGCAGTATGTTGCCTAATTTTTTTCCTTCTACACAATGTGTTTTCAAGCTCTTCAGAACATTTTTTATATGTGAAGCTGTTTTCATTCACTTTTCAGATGGGTATTTCTGATTTTTACCACCTTGCTTAAAAAGGGTGATTTTCTGAATCCATAGGTTACTCTTTTCTTTCTTATAAAACAATATTTTATAATGTAGAAGTGTTTTACTGTACTAGTTGTCTTCTAGTTTATTTATAGTCTTATTATTTATGTCATATTTTCATATGTTATAGTTTAAATATATTTATCTTATTTTCTATAAATGGACACATTGCTCCAGAATTAATGTAAAGTAGATAAGTGGCCTCACATAAATCAGAGAAGATTTCATACAAAAATATTTTATGAAAGGTAACAATTATGTTTAGCTCATATTTCAGCACAGCTGTCTAAGCCACTTTTTGTAAGGTACAAGAGTTATAAAGAGAAAAGTTTTTATGACCTTGATTAATAGTAAATAATTTGACTATGAATGTAAGCTTACAAATCTTGAACAAACTCATACTTTTAATTTGAAATCATCCAGTCTCTTTTTTTCATCTGAAGACAATAGTAAATTACAACCTCATTTTCACAGTTGAACTGAATCAGATCTACAAAACTGCTGTCTATTTCTCTTAGTAAAATAAGATATTTATTTTATTCACATTTTCAATCCTAGAACTATATTGTGTAAAAAATTATTTCTAAATAAAGCGTATTCTATTGTTCTTAAAGCTATGACACCATTTTAAAAATCAAAAAATTGGCATTTTGTTGAAAAGATTTCAGTAGTAATTCAGTAATCTAGTTTGTATGTAAATATTGTAAAGATGTTTAGATGGAAAATGTTTATATGGAATGTTTATGGAACATTTGGATTGTTTAAGATTTACTGGAGTCTTATTGTATTGTCTAACTTCCTTTTGACAAAAATATACAACGCTATGTTGTCAGCAAGGATTTGGGGATGAATTATAATCAGAGTGGAAAACGGCAGCCCCTAACTAGGCACAAAACTATTGAAGGGGTGAAGGAACTATCCAGACTGACTGAGTGCATATTCAGTAGCAGGTAGATGCACTTCTGGAAGTAGAGATTTATCATTTTCTCAGTTTTGAGACTAGAAAAGAAGCACTGCTAATAAAATTCCCAAGTATAGCTGAATGAGGACAACCCCACACGTGGAGGAAATCACAGCAAATTTTGGGAATCCCAGTCTACTCGTGGTAGAGTGATGCCCCTATTGACTTTGATGGAGAAAACACTTGGAAGGATGACTCCAGAAACAGCTAATAAGAAAATCATAGGGCAGATTCCTTCGCCGGAGTAAATGGAAGTAGCAGCAGTGAGAAGCCTTTAGGAATTTGATGACAAATAGATTTGAAGTCCCAGATCTATGGGTTACCCTAATGAAGTGTTACTTATAGAACATTCTTGTAAAAATTAGATCAGTTTAAGGTATGAACCCATGGAACTATGACTGAACGATTCCAGTTAAAGATTAGTGAGAAATGTATTTTTACACAAGTGTATTATTACTTGACAATATAAATGACTTTATTCATTAATCATTGTAATGTAAGTTGTCATAATGAAAATATTTTTTCATGCCAATAATTTTCACTAGTAATTTTGTGTGTGTCATATGCCAATAGCTCTTCGTTTGTGATACATGATATATATGCTTTAAAATTATCAAACATTTGAAAAATGCGTATTGGTAAGCCCCAACACAGAAACATTCAATAAAATCTCAGAAGGTTGATGCCCAGGAATTTGCATTTTTTGGCCCTTCTAGGGTTTTTTTTTTTTTTTTTTTTTTACTTCTTTCCTTAATTTTTTAAATAGTGACAGAGTTTCATTCTGGCACCCAGGCTGGGGTGCAGTGGCATAATCATAGCTCACAGTAGCCTCAAACCAAATTCAAGCACTCCTCCCACTTCAGCCTCTGAAGTATTTAGGACTACAGGTGCACACCACCACACACAGCTAAATTTCTAATTTTTTGTAGAGATAGAGTCTCACTATATTTCTGGTCTCTAACTCCTAGCCTCAAGTCATCCAAGGTGTTGGGATTACAGGCATAAGCCGCTGTACCAAGGCTCTAGATTGTTTTTATGTACTAATATTTAAGAATTGCTTGTTTCAAATACAGATATAATTATGTATGTATAACCATGTATAACTGAGAAAATCAGCAGTAGTCTACCAAATCACAGGTTCAAATATTTTAAGTGGTAGAAAATCTTCTTGTAAATTTAATCTATAAATCTAAACCTGTGAAACCATAGGAAACACCACATATGACTATCATAAATAAGGCTTTGCATTAATATTTGTACTTGTCTATTTTACAGGAACTTTTGAAGGATATCACAAATTTTAAGAACTGGTACACAACCAGAGGGCCTCAAAGTACACAATAAATTTAATTTGTGGTTTAGTGTATTATGTCAAAACAGAAAGCTGAACGATAAAAAATTCCAGCATGCATAATGTTTAATGCATCCCAATAAAGCATGGAGAATCCAGAGAAACATATTTCACAAACAAAAAAGGGTTTAGTTCTCCATCTAAAAGTAAAGCATATGTACATATTTATTGGATAATAGTGCATGTCTTTCAATTGTTCTTACTAATTTTTATTTGAAAATCAACTTCGATAGGGAATTGTAGTAAATCTTTTCTGTATTTTCATTATAGTCACAACTGAAATTTAAGTGCCAAGAGCTTTTTAATTAACAGCAAAATACTTCGTGTAGTAAATGAAAATGTCTCTGTGGTGTTAGCAAAGTTTATAAGCCCTGTTTTAAATATAAAGGAAACTAAAGTGAAAAGAAGTTAAATGTTTTTTCAGGGGTCGTCTATGAAGTCAGTGGCAGACAGAATTAAATTCAAGAGGGAATGATACATTATGTTTATTAAATTGAGAAACCCAAGTACATCTTGTTCCTAGCAGAATATTTGAATTATTATTTCTATTTTAGCTCTACAGTAATGTTTGTATGTATGTGTGTGTGTACAAGTCCATACATTCCAATTGTCCACATTTATTGTTACAAGGATTTGTTTTAAGTGCAGATTTTTATTGAATGACAAGTACACTTAATGAAACAGGAGGAATTTTATTTAACATAGCAATACTTCAACTGGACTTATGGGCTCAGAAGAGAGGTTGGTTTTACTGACTTTCTTTTAAAGAACTAGTTCCTGGTTAAAAACATTGGAGGTCTTTGATAAAAGACTGTAATAGTTAAGTAAATTTTTACTTTGGAACATATTGGGGAACAAATTTTGATTATAGATGAATAAATCATCTGATTTATTTGAAAAAATACATTATGCTTAAATTAGAGGAAAAAACATTGTAAACGATCCTTTTATCCTTATTATATTTTTAAACTGATAGAACATTTCAATGATACTTTAAACTATGTGTTTCAGACTTACAGCTCAATTCAATGAAAGATTATTGAGGCCTATGGAGGAGACAGTGATAAAGGTACGGATCCCTCAGCAAAGATCTTAGATTCTTTCCTCTATTTGCTCCTTTTCCTTCCTCCCTCTCTTCCTTTAATTTTTTTTCCTTTCTTCTGATATTTTACAGTGTCTGAGATAACATTTTCATTAGAATTTCCAAAAGAATAATCAGAGCACTTATAGGAACCAAATAGAGATCAAAATTTTAGACTGCAGAGTGAGATAGAGAATAATCTATGGTTTTTCCAATTGTCATCTTGTCTTAGTCATTTCAGGGTGCTATAAAAAAATATACCATAGATTGGGTGGCTTAGCAATAGAAATTTATTTCTCACAGTTCTGGAAGGTGTAAAGTCCAAGATCAGGGTGTCAGCGTGGTCCAGTTCTGATGAGGGCCCTCTTGTTAGTTTGCAGATGGCCACTTTGTATTGGCCATCTGATGGAGAGCAGAGAGCTCTGGTCTCTTCATTTTCTGATAAGAGCACTCATGACATTTATGAGCACTCCAGCGTAATGACATAATTACCTGTAACAAGCCCACCTCCAAATATCATAACATTGGAAATTTAGGCTTCAACATATGAATTTCCAAGGGACACATTTGGTTGACTGCACACCTCTACCACTAAGTCCCATCCTTAGAATGCACTGCAGGGAGAGAAGAGAGACAACATACAGTCTCCATTCAGCTGCAAGGAGATTTCTAAGAAGCTTCAAGCCCTGCCTTGAACCTCAGTATAGAGACACTGGGACATGTTTGGGAGACTCAGTCCTGTCATGGGCTCTATGTCAAGTATTCTTATCATCTTGACTCAAGAATGAGAGCAGAAGGTGCTCAATTTGTGGGCAATCATCTCTGAAAGAACTCAAAATAGTTTAGGTCACATATACTTAATTAACCAATTCTAAATTTCACAATGAGAAGTCATCCCTTTGTGGTGGGAAGTGAGGAGTGGTTAGGAAGTTGGGGGGAAGCTTTTACTAAAATTCTCAGAAGGAAGAAAGCAATGGCTACTTTATAACTGTCTGCACTGATTGGTCATTCCAAGCCCTTCTGTCCCTTACTTCCCTAGGGAACATCCCCTGATACCTCACATCTTGTCAGCACAGTGCATTTTAAAGAGGTTAAATAATTTTTATATCGAAAACAGTGCTTCTCAGCCCTCTTTTCACTTTAAAATCACCCTGGCATAATTTTGAAAAAATTAAGATTTTAGGGCCACAACCTCTGAAGCAATCAGTCTAGGGTAGGATCCATGCCTTGATGATTTTGTAAAGGGCCCCAGGTGGTATAACCATACAGGCTGGTTTGAACACTACTGCTCCTATCTGCATGAAGATTGTGGACAAAAACATTTAAACTAAACAATGTATAGAATATGACATTTAGACTGTTTGAGGGGGTAGCTCTGGCATAGGGAAGTGAGACAGAAAGCAAGGAACGCATGGAAGAAAGTAAAAGGCTGGTCAGTAATTGGTGAGAATGAAGATCTCGAGGATGGCTGTTGAAAAAAGCATTAGAAAGGAGATGGGAGACAGTGTTTTATGAAAATTACTAGTGCCACTGCAAGATTTTGAAAATGCTTTATCTCAGATAATTTTTATAAAGTGAAAATTAATTAAGTTCTCATAAATGAACTGAGGTTAAAAAATACCTTTCTGAGCTCCTAGGAAATTGCAGAGTTAGTAAAACTTACTCCTTTATTCCCGTATGGATTTGAATGAGCCTTTGGAGTCTCTTCATAGGACCTTGGGTGTGGTTGAAACAGTTTTGTGATATATGAGATTAGAGGGGCAGCTCAAGGCTCTTCCTTCCCCACTCAGCTTCCCTCTGACACCTTGGAGACACCAGTTCACATAGCTCACAGCTCCCACCACATATCTTCCTGAGTTAGAGAGCAATTGTGGGGTCAAATAAAGAACCAAAACGTGGTTTAAAGGCTTTGTAGTTATGCAACATTAGATGATGGTTGCCACGTAGAAATACAGGTCCAGGGGTGCCAGATCTTCCAATTTTTCCATAAGAACCAGAAATCAGAATGTTTACATGAAAATCATTAATATGTAAAACCATGTGAGGACAAAACCAAAGAAGCCCGTGTGTTAGAACGGGCCTGAAGGCCTCCTCCAGGCTGAGGCCTTTGGGTAAGACAGACAAGAAAGGTGAGGCTGTGGCTGCAGTATTCTATTACAGTACTTCTTTGCATTTCTCCTGTTTTCCACTTAGCCTTCTCTACTTTCTCTTATAAACCACTGAGCTATATCTGGATGTGCTATTTCCTTACTACAATATAAGATCCATGATGGCAGGCATTGCCTCCTTCTTTTAGCAGAATTCTCTACACCTGAAGGTCACAAGTAAGTACACGTTGGATATAGATTATCATGTTTAATCTCTAAAATGCCATGATGCTTGGGCTATTATTATTCTTATTCTAAAACAGCAGAACTAAAGGTTAGACATTATTTAATCTCTTCAAATTTAGCCAATGTGTGGTAAAACTGAGAAGCTGTGTGACTTCAGTGGCTGTGCTTTAAGCCACTACAGAAATGCATTCTGCATGTCTTTCCCAGATCAATTCTTCTATATTTAACATCATGGAGAAACATGAAGTAACATACCAGGATAAATACAGTACTCTGAATTTGCTACCTGATTTCTAGTCTTCATGGACTACAGTTGAGTGTAAAAATAAATGTTAAAATCTTTGACACAGTCATTTTATTCATTGCAATATTCTGTATTATCTTTATTAACAAGTAAACTGGTTAAGAAGAGCAGTATTTCCAACACCAATATCTTAGGGTGTTAGAATTTGAAGCCTGGTATTTGACTCAAAGTCCAATAATGCATGTTTTTTACCCACTCTGTACTTAAATCATCTTTAAACTAAGGTATTATGTGGCAACATGGCCTGTCTTTGACTCCAGAGAGATCCTTGCTCCCTCCTCACAAAAGGCAGTTAATAAAAAAATAGGGAATATTGTTAAAACAGTATTTCCTTCCTTGTTACTTTTAGGTACAAAATTTTAAACTCAAGAGGATGAGCTCTTGACCATTGTATAAATTTTATGTTTTGAATTAAGAAAAATATAAATATTATTATTGGAAAGACATATTGAAAAATATCTTAATATGCAAGAAAAAGAAAATGCAGAACTAGTTATGATGTAATTCAACAATATTTTTTCCTGAAATTTATATTTGATGTCCAAACTTTTATGAATTCAGGAAGAAGCTTCAAAAATATTTTATTCAATAATATATCATTATAATATGTAATTTATTATCATCAACCTTTGCTTGTATTGCAAGTTTATAGTTCCTTTTGCTTTCTCTTGAGTAGTTTGACTTTGAAGGTATTTGTCCTCTCTAGCCAAATATAAGAAGGACATACAATATAGATCTTTCACATACTAAAACGTCTTGTCCTGATTCTCTACAAATTTTTTTAAATTTTTTTCAGAATTTCAACCTTTATTTTAGATTTAGGGGGTATATGTACAGGTTGGTTACAAGGGTATATTGGTATATTGGGTGATGCTGAGGTTTGGGATAGAAATGAATCCATCACTCAGGTAGTGAGCATAGTACCCAATAGTTAGTTTTTCAACCCTTCCCCTTTCCCCACTCCTCCTTCTAGTAGTTTCCAGTGTTTATTGCTGCCATCTTTATGTCCATGAGTACCCAATGTTTAGCTCCCACTTATAAATGAGAACAAGTGGTATTTGGTTTTCGGTTTCTGCATTGACTTGCATAGGATAATGGCCTCCAGCTGCATCCATGTTGCTGCAAAGGACATAATGTCATTCTTTTTATGGCTGTATAGTATTCCATGGTGTATATGTACCACAGTTTCTTTATCCAGTCCACCACTGATGGGAATCTAGGTTGATTCCATGTCTTTGCGATTGTGAACAGTGGTGCAATGAACATATGAGTGCATGTGTCTTTTTGGTAGCCGTATTTACTTTCCTTTGGGTAATGAGATTTCAGGGACCCAGTAATGAGATTGCCGGGTTCAATGGTAGTTCTGTTTTAAATTCTTTGAGAAATCTTTAAACTGCTTTCCACAGTGGATGAGCGAAATTACATTTCCACCAACAGTGTATAAATGTACCCTTTTCACCACAGCCTTGGCAGCATCTGTTGATTTTCGACTTTCTTATAATAGCCACCTGGCTGGTGTGAAATGGTATCTCATTGTGGTTTTGATTTGCCTTTCTCTGATGATTAGTGATGATGAGAATTTTTTCATATATTTGTTGGCTACTTTTATGTCTTTTTTTGTGAAGTCTCTGTTCATATCTTTTGCCTATTTTTAATGGGATTATTTAGTTTTTGTTTGTTGAATTAAGTTCCTTATAGATTCTGCAGATTAGACCTTTATCTAATGTATGGCTTACCAATATTTTCTCCCATTCTGTAGGTTATCTGTTTACTCTGTTAATAGTTTCTTTTGCTGTGCAGAAGCTCTTCAGTTTAATTAGGTCCCACTTGTCAATTTTCATTTTTGTTGCAATTGGTTTTGAGGACTTAGTCACGAATTATTTCACAAAGCAGATGGGCAGAATGGTGTTTTCTAGGTTTTCTTCTAGGAATCCTATAGTTTGAAGTCTTACATTTAGATTTTTAATCCATCTTGAGTTAATTTTTTTATGTGGTAAAAGGAAGGGGTTCAGTTTTATTCTTTTTTAAATATACTTTAAGTTCTAGGGTATATGTGCACAGCGTGCAGGTTTGTTACATATGTATACATGTGCCATGTTGGTGTGCTGCACCAATTAACTTGTCATTTACATTAGGTATATCTCCTAATGCTATCCCTTGCCCCTCCCCCCACCCCACAACAGGCCCCGGTGTGTGATGTTCCCCTTCCTGTGTCCAAGTGTTCTCATTGTTCAATTCCCACCTATGAGTGAGAACATGCGGTGTTTGGTTTTTTGTCCTTGCGATAGTTTGCTGAGAATGATGGTTTCCAGCTTCATTCATGTACCTACAAAGGACATGAACTCATCCTTTTTTATGGCTGCATAGTATTCCATGGTGTCTACGTGCCACATTTCCTTAATCCAGTCTATCATTGATGGACATTTGGGTTGGTTCCAAGTCTTTGCTATTGTGAATAGTGCTGCAATAAACATACGTGTGCATGTGTCTTTATGGCAGCATGACTTACAATCCTTTGGGTATATACCCAGTAATGGGATGGCTGGGTCAAATGGTATTTCTAGTTCTAGTTCCTTGAGGAATCACCACACTGTTTTCCACAATGGTTGAACTAGTTTACAGTCCCACCAACAGTGTAAAAGTGTTCCTATTTCTCCACATCCTCTCCAGCACCTGTTGTTTCCTGACTTTTTAATGATCACCATTCCAACTGGTGTGAGATGGTATCTCATTGTGGTTTTGATTTGCATTTCTCTGATGGCCAGTGATGATGAGCATTTTTTCATGTGTCTGTTGGCTGCATAAATGTCTTCTTTTGAGAAGTGTTTGTTCCTATCCTTTGACCACTTTTTGATGGGGTTGTTTTTTTCTTGTACATTTGTTTGAGTTCATTGTAGATTCTGGACATTAGCCCTTTGTCAGATGAGTAGATTGCAAAAAATTTTTCCCACTCTGTAGGTTGCCTATTCACTCTGATGGTATTTTCTTTTGCTGTGTGAAGCTTTTTAGTTTAATTAGATCCCATTTGTCAATTTTGGTTTTGGTTGCCATTGCTTTTGGTGTTTTAGACATGAAGTCCTTGCCCATGCCTATGTCCTGAATGGTATTGCCTAGGTTTTCTTCTAGGGTTTTTATGGTTTCAGGTCTAACATTTAAGACTTTAATCCATCTTGAATTAATTTTTGTATAAGGTGTAAGGAAGGGATCCAGTTTCAGCTTTCTACATATGACTAGCCAGTTTTCCCAGCACCATATATTAAATAGGGAATCCTTTCCCCATTGCTTGTTTTTTGAGGTTTGTCAAATATCAGATAGTTGTAGATGTGTGGTACTATTTCTGAGGGCTCTATTCTGTTCCATTGGTCTATATCTCTGTTTTGGTACCAGTACCATGCTGTTTTGGTTACTGTAGTCTTGTAGTATAGTTTGAAGTCAGGTAGTGTGATGTCTCCAGCTTTGTTCTTTTGGCTTAGGATTGTCTTGGCAATGTGGGCTCTTTTTTGGTTCCATATGAACTTTAAAGTAGTTTTTTCCAATTCTGTGAAGAACGTCATTGGTAGCTTGATGGGGATGACATTGAGTCTATAAATCACCTTGGGCAGTATGGCCATTTTCACAATATTGATTCTCCCTATCCATGAGCATGGAATGTTCTTCCATTTGTTTGTGTCCTCTTTTATTTCATTGAGCAGTGGTTTGTAGTTCTCCTTGAGGAGGTCCTTCACATCCCTTGTAAGTAGGATTCCTAGGTATTTTATTCTCTTTGAAGCAATTGTGAATGGGAGTTCACTCATGATTTGGCTCTCTGTTTGTCTGTTATTGGTGTATAAGAATGCTTGTCATTTTTGTACATTGATTTTGTATCCTGAGACTTTGCTGAAGTTGCTTATCAGCTTAAGGAGATTTTGGGCTGAGACAATGGGGTTTTCTAAATATACCATCATGTCATCTGCAAACAGGGACAATTTAACTTCCTCTTTTCCTAATTGAATACCCTTTATTTCTTTCTCCTGCCTGATTGCCCTGGCCAGAAATTCCAACACTATGTTGAATAGGAGTGGTGAGAGAGGGCATCCCTGTCTTGTGCCAGTTTTCAAAGGGAATGCTTCCAGTTTTGCCCATTCAGTATGATATTGCCTGTGGGTTTGTCATAAATAGCTCTTATTTTGAGATACATCCCATCAATACCTAATTTATTGAGAGTTTTTAGCATGAAGAGCTGTTGAATTTTGTCAAAGGCCTTTTCTGCATCTATTGAGATAATCATGTGGTTTTTGCCTTTGGTTCTGTTTATATGCTGGATTATGTTTATTGCTTTGTGTATGTTGAACCAGCCTTGCATCCTAGGGATGAAGCCTACTTGATCATGGTGGATAAGCTTTTTGATGTGCTGCTGGATTGGGTTTGTCAGTATTTTATTGAGGATTTTTGCATCGATGTTTATCAGGGATATTGGTCTAAAATCCTCTTTTTTTGTTGTGTTTCTTCCAGACTTTGGTATCAGGATGATGCTGGCCTCATAAAATGAGTTAGGGAGGATTCCCTCTTTTTCTATTGATTGGAATAGTTTCAGAAGGAATTGTACCAACTCCTCCTTGTAGCTCTGGTAGAATTCGGCTCTGAATCCATCTGGTCCTGGACTGTTTTTGGTTGGTAAGCTATTAATTATTGCCTCAATTTCAGACCCTCTTATTGGTCTATTCAGGGATTCAAGTTCTTCTTGGTTTAGTCTTGGGAGAGTGTATGTGTTGAGGAATTTATCCATTTCTTCTAGATTTTCTAGTCTATTTGCATAGAGGTGTTTATAGTATTCTCTGATGGTAGTTTGTATTTCTGTGGGATTGGTGGTGATATCCCCTTTACCATTTTTTATTGCATCTATTTGATTCTTCTCTGTTTTCTTCTTTCATTAGTCTTGCTAGCAGTCTATCAATTTTATTGATCTTTTCAAAAAGCCACCTCCTGGATTCATTGATTTTTTGAAGCGTTTTTTGTGTCTCTATTTCCTTCAGTTCTTCTCTGATCTTAGTTATTTCTTGCCTTCTGCTAGCTTTTGAGTGTGTTTGCTCTTGCTTCCCTAGTTCTTTTAATTGTGATATTAGCATGTCAATTTTAGATCTTTCCTGCTTTCTCTTGTAGGCAGTTAGTGCTATAAATTTCCCTCTACATGCTGCATTAGATGTGTCCCAGAGATTCTAGTATGTTGTGTCTTTGTTCTCATTGGTTTCAAAGAACATCTTTATTTCTGCCTTCATTTCATTATGTACCCAGTAGTCATTCAGGAGCAGGTTGTTCAGTTTCCATGTAGTTGAGTGGTTTTGAGTGAGTTATTAATCCTGAGTTCTAGTTTGATCGCACTGTGATCTGAGAGACAGTTTCTTGTAATTTATGTTCTTTTACATTTGCTGAGGAGTGCTTTACTTCCAACTATGTGGTCAATTTTGGAATAAGTGCGATGTGGTGCTGAGAAGAATGTATATCCTGTTGATTTGGGGTGGAGAGTTCTGTAGATGTGTATTAGGTCTCCTTGGTGCAGAGCTGAGTTCAATTCCTGGGGATCCTTTTTAACTTTCTGTCTCGTTGATCTGTCTAATGTTGAAAGTGGGGTGTTAAAGTCTCCCATTATTATTGTGTGGGAGTCTAAGTCTCTTTGTAGGCCTCTAAGGACTTGCTTTATGAATATAAGTGCTCCCGTATTGGGTTCATATATATTTATGATAGTTAGCTCTTCTTGTTGAATTGATCCCTTTACCATTATGTAATTGCCTTCTCTGTCTCTTTTGATATTTGTTGGTTTAAAAGTCTGTTTTATCAGAGACTAGGATTGCAACTCCTGCCTTTTTTTGTTTTCTGTTTGCTTGGTAGATCTTCCTCCATTCCTTTATTTTGAGCCTATGTGTGTCTCTGCATGTGAGATGGGTCTCCTGAATACAGCACACTGTATTCAGAGTCAAGGGTCTTGACTCTTTATTCAATTTGCCAGTCTGTGTCTTTTAATTGTAGCATTTAGCCCATGTACATTTAAGGTTAATATTGTTATGTGTGAATTTGATCCTGTCATTATAATGTTAGCTGGTTATTTTTCTCGTTAGTTAATGCAGTTTCTTCCCAGCATCGATGGTTTTTACAATTTGGCATGTTTTTGCAGTGGCTGGTACCGGTTGTTCCTTTACATGTTTAGTGCTTCCTTCAGGAGCTCTTGTAGGGCAGGCCTGGTGGTGACAAAATCTCTCAGCATTTGCTTGTCTATAAAGGATTTTATTTCTCCTTCATTTATGAAGGCTAGTTTGGCTGGACATGAAATTCTGGGTTGAAAATTCTTTTCTTTAAGAATGTTGAATATTGGCCCCCACTGTCTTCTGGCTTGTAGAGTTTCTGACGAGAGATCTGCTGTTAGTCTGATGGGCTTCCATTTGTGGGTAACCCGACATTTCTCTCTGGCTGTCCTTAACATTTTCTCCTTCATTTCAACTTTGCTGAACCTGACAATTACGTGTCTTGGAGTTGCTCTTCTCGAGGAGTATCTTTGTGGCGTTCTCTGTATTTCTTGAATTTGAGTATTGGCCTGCCTTGCTAGGTTGGGGAAGTTCTCCTGGATAATATCCAATCCTGCAGAGTGTTTTCCAACTTAGTTCCATTCTCCCTGTCACTTTCAGGTACACCAATCAGACATAGATTTGGTCTTTTCACATAGTCCCATATTTCTTGGAGGATTGGTTCATTTCTTTTTACTCTTTTTTCTCTAAACTTCTCTTCTTGCTTCATTTCATTCATTTGATCTTCAATCACTGATATCCTTTCTTCCAGTTGATCGAATTGGCTACTGAAGCTTGTGCCTTCATCATGTAGTTCTCGTGCCATGGTTTTCAGCTCCATCAGGTCATTTAAGGACTTCTCTACACTGGTTATTCTAGTCAGCCATTCATCTAATCTTTTTGCAAGGTTTTTATCTTCTTTGCCATTGGTTCGAACTTCCTCCTTTAGCTTGGAGAAGTTTGATCGCCTGAAGCCTTCTTCTCTCAACTTGTCAAAGTCATTCTCCGTCCAGCTTTGTTCCATTGCTGGTGAGGACCTGCATTCTTTTGGAGGGGGAGAGGCGCTCTGATCTTTAGAATTTTCAGTTCTTCTGCTCTGTTTTTTCCCCATCTTTGTGGTTTTATCTACCTTTGGTCTTTGATGATGGTGATGTACAGATGGGGTTTTGGTGTGGATGTCCTTTCTGTTTGTTAGTTTTCCTTCTATCAGTCAGGACCCTCAGCTGAAGGCCTGTTGGAGTTTGCGAGAGGTCCACTCCAGACCCTGTTTGCCTGGGTATCAGCAGCAGAGGCTGCAGAACAGCGAATATTGCTGAACAGCAAATGTTGCTGCCTGATCATTCCTCTGGAAGCTTCATCTCAGAGGGGTACCCGGCCATGTGAGGTGTCAGTCTGCCCCTCCTGGGGGGTCCCTCCCAGTTAGGCTACTCGGGGGTCAAGGACCCACTGGAGGAGGCAGTCTATCCATTCTCAGATCTCAAACTCTGTGCTGGGAGAGCCACTACTCTCTTCAAAGCTGTCAGACAGGGACATTTAAGTCTGCAGAGGTTTCTGCTGCCTTTTGTTTGGCTATGCCCTGCCCCCAGAGGTGGAGTCTACAGAGGCAGGCAGGCCTCCTTGAGCTGCAGTGGACTCCACCCAGTTTGAGCTTTTGGGCCACTTTGTTTACCTACTCAAGCCTTAGCAATGACAGGCACCCCTCCCCCAGCCTCGCTGTCACCTTGCAGTTCAATCTCAGACTGCTGGGCTAGCAATAAGTGAGGCTCCGTGGGCATGGGACTCTCCGAGCCAGGCCTGGGATATAATCTCCTGGTATGCCGTTTGCTAAGACCATTGGAAAAGTGCAGTATTAGGGTGGGAGTGACCTGATTTTCCAGGTGCCATCTGTCACAGCTTCTCTTGGCTAGGAAAGGGAATTCCCTGACCACTTGTGCTTCCTGGGTGAGGCGATGCCTTGCCTTGCTTTAGCTCATGGCTCACGCTCGGTGGGCTGCACCCACTGTCTTGCACCCACTGTCCGACAAGCCCTAGTGAGATGAACCTGGTACCTCAGTTGGAAATGCAGAAATCACCCGTCTTCTGCATCATTCATGCTGGGAGCTGTAGACTGGAGCTGTTCCTATTCAGCCACCTTGGAACTGCCACAAATTTTGTTTTAATGACAGAAATCTTGAAACTAGAAATCAAATTATTGAATCTCAAAAATGCTGTTATTCTTTTGATTCTAAAATGATGGACGATTTTAGTATTGCACACTTTTTTGTTTCCTAGTGTATAATCTAAATAAATAATGCATTTATGTGAATGTCCAAATAAATTTCTAATTTAAAGAAATGAAAAGATTGCTTAACATGTATGAAGTCTGTTTTTTTCTGATTCCTTTACCCTGATTCCTTAAAGTAATAATGATATTATCAATTTGAATCATAATCTGAAAAGAAGGTACTGAACTGTCAGATAATTAAACAACAACAGAAAAAGGAACAAACTGGGAGAAAATGGCCAGTTGATTCTGTAGATGTGTTTTGGTAAGAAAGTGTCAGCAAGAAAAAAAAGTGAAGAGTTTAAACAATGTCAGTAGATTTGAAAAATGATGTCCAAATGCATGTTTCCTTACAATAAGCAATTTTCTACAAAGATGTTATTGATAAGGCTAGTTAATAACAAAGCAACTTGCTGAATGTTTATTTGAATTAATTTAAGAAATATATTCTTATGCTTTACATGATCTGCTGTTTAAAGTCAGCCAAAGAAGGCAGACATTGAGTACCTAAGAATTATTAATCCTTGACCACAATGTGATATTTAGAATTGAAAAATAAATAATAACCGAACAGCAGACCTGAAGGTTCCTCCCAAGAGAAAGAAACACATCAGTCAAAAAGCTGTAAGGGATTAGAATACCTTTTTTAAAGGGTGCTGTTATCACTGGTCTTGTGGCCACTTATGAATACTGAGTTTAATGGTAGGTGAGACTGGATTCTTTATGTAACTGTGACTGTGCTATTATTATTATCCATCATGCAAAAAAGCTGAAAGGAGCAAATACTACTTTAAAGTTAGCTTTATCTCAAAGATAACAATATCAGAGATGGATTGAAAATATCTGCTCTCTTTATCATCCTATTGGTTCCCTGCTACATACAGATGTCATTGAAAAATGATGTCCAAATGCATGTTTCCTTACAATAAGCAATTTCCTGCAAATGTGTCATTGATAAGGTTAGTTAATAATATAGCAACTTGCTGAAAGTTTATTTGAATTAATTTAAAAATTATATTCTAATGCTTTACATGATCTGCTGTACGGCTATTTGAGGCAGGCATTATTTTGAATAAGAGAAAGGTGTCAAGGTTAATCAGAGAAAAAGGTAAAAATAGTCAGTTCAGGGAGAGACTCAATAATAAATTTTAAAAAGAAAGGAAAAGAGGAAGAAAGGGAGAAGGGAAGAAAGAAAAAACAGAAAGATGACAGAAAGATAAAAGAGAAAAATTTAACAAAAAGAAAGAAAGAAAGAGAAAGAAAGGGAAAGAAAGAGAGATAAAGAAGACAGGAAAAAGAAAGAATGAGAAAGAAAGAAAGAAAGAAAGAAAGAAAGAAAGAAAGAAAGAAAGAAAGACCAACCACAGTAAAGACAGAAAGAAAGGAAAAAGAAAGAGAGAAAGAAAGACAGAGATACCAGGGCTATATAATACAGTTGACCTTTGATCAGCACAGGTTAGAACTGCACAACTCTGCTTATATGAAGATTTTTTTTCAACCAAATGTGGATCAAAAATATAATATTCTCACGATGTGAAACCCAGTATAGTGAGACCGACTTTTTATATATATGGATTCTTCAGGGCTGACTGTGGAACTTGAATATGCGTGGATATTGTTATAGGTGGATATTGGTATAGGTGGATATTGGTATAGGTGGGTATGTTGGGGTGGGGGTCCTGGCACCAATCCCCTGCATATAGAGGTGAACCACTGTACTATGTATTATTGGAGTCACAAAAATGGAGTCAAGAACAGCTGAACTGGACAAACAGCTAAACTCCCAGTGTAAACTGCTTGTGTGCCACTCTCCAGTTACCTTGGTAAGAGGACATTCACCTACTGAGAATGTATTTATAATATGAAAAACTCTTGTGAGATGATGTAAAAAGTATAACTAGAGGGAATAAACCATTTGGCTTAGTTTATGCCAACTTGGGAAAGATTAAAGGAAGAATTGAAGGAAGATTGTGCAGCAGATCAAAGTAGACATTGAAGAAGAGGGAAGAGAAGGTAACAAGAAGCACATGAGCATACTGGCCTCTTGAGGTCTGTGAAGGATTAAGAGAAACCAACAAGATGTGGTGAAGCACCCAGAGATAGCAATAAGGGATGCACTCACTGTAGGCCTCACATTGAGAAAGGAGTGGTTATAAGATCTTGTGAAACGTAGCCACATGACTACTGAAAACCAAGACTTTGACAGGGAGGGAACTAGTGGTGGTGGAGTGGTGGAATAAATATGCTGGCAGCACCCTCCGCCTGCCCTCCAATCTCTAGCCAGAACCTCCCATAGACGGAACACAATATGAAGCCAGAAGACTTGTAGCCCACTGGTTAACTTCACAGTAGTCAGCCTCTGGGGGTCAGAGTAAGCTGGAAAAGGGTGGAGAACAGGTTTGGAGGGGCAAATGGAGGCTGTCCAACACAGGTGGACATCCTCCTTTACCTGAAAGCCATGATATTTACTTTGAAGTTTGATTTTTTAAAAAATTCCAGTATTTGTTCAGGGTTTCCTCATGCCTGTGATTCTTAGAGACAAAAATATTTTATAACATTCTTAA
The DNA here is from genome assembly GCF_000001405.40 of Homo sapiens. Classification (NCBI taxonomy): domain Eukaryota; kingdom Metazoa; phylum Chordata; class Mammalia; order Primates; family Hominidae; genus Homo; species Homo sapiens. The sequence continues at coordinate 144,623,461 of NC_000003.12, forward strand.
GATATATATTTTCTTTGAGAATGAGAAAAGCAGGAGTTGCTCAGTAGGATCTGAAATTGAGTCATATGATGAGGAACTCAGTTATATCTCTATTTATTTATTTATTTTAGAATAAATAATCAAATTTAATTAATTCTTGCATTCATTAACTATAAACTTTTTTGTGTGTCCTGGCTATATTGCTTAATTTTAATTACTATATCTTAGGTTGAACTTTTGGGTCCATTATATGTTAATTTCATTGAAAGCAACAGAGTGAAAGTGATGGAATGACAGTTTTTCACTATCTGCAACAATATCTGCAAATATTTTTTATCTGAAACATCGGATTTATGGTTCAATAATTTTTTATTTTCCTAATTTGAAGTGTTTATTTTTAAACTAATCAAGGTTTAATCTAAGGTTATAGTTTTAACCTTAGATTAAAAACATTTTGATATATGTAATGATAGGTAAATTTTAAATTACAGGTTTATTTAGCATGCTTTATGTGCCTGGTTATGGAATGTATATATTTCACTACATTGGCTCTCTGTGTGTAGTTTTAAAATCTTACTATTAGTTAACATGACCAGGTAAAAGGAAAATATTTGCTCTGTTACTGCTTAAAGTTATCATTAGTCCCTAATGAATGTGTGAAACTGCTGAACACACAAAAAATATTTTCAGAATATAACTGGTGAGTTGTTTATGCATCGCTGTGTAGGTGTATACATATAGCATTGTTACAATTCTGTAGTTTGGAACCAAGTGCAGAAAACGAATGTCATATAGTAGAAAGAATATGGAATTGATGTCAGAAGACCTAGATTGTCCCATATTCACTGCTTTCCACTATAGATATGCTGATGCCCAACAGTTTCTTATTTTTTGAGATGAGAATAGTAATAATAGCTATCACCACTGGGTTTTCATATTTGCTGAGATGGCATTCATTCTTGTTTTTCATTTAATATCCATGAAAATCAAATTTGAATTATATCTCAATTTTTGTTATCTCAATTGTTTTAGACTTGTCTAAATTATTTTATTTGAACTCTTTTTTTGAAATGTGCTTTTTAGTTCCTATAGTATTCACTATTTTATGTTGGAAGTACTGGTAACAGTCAGTGTTTTGAGTATAATGCAGATAACCCATAAAATTTGTTCTATATTATTACAGAAAGTCTTTTAAAATACAGCATATATTAGTACAGGTGTCTTAGTCAGTTCAGGCAGCTATAACAAACTGACTGGGTGGCTTATAAATAAAAATTTATTTCTCACAGTTCTGGAGGCTAAAAGTCCAAGATCAGGATATCAGCATGGTTGAGTAGCAGTGCTGGTCCTCTTCTGGGTTACAGAGTGCCAACTTATTGTTGTATATTCACATGACAGAAAGAAAGTAAGCAAGCCCTCAGGGGTGCCCTTTATAAACGTACTAATCCTATTAAGGAAGGCTCCACTCTCATCATCGTATTACTTCCCAAAGGCCACACCTCCCAAAAACATCACAATTTTGAGTTGGGTTTCAACTATGAATTTGGGTGGGAGGAGCACAGTTAATTAACTATAGGCTTAACACAGCTCAAATATTAATGTTAACCTCTCCACCAAGTGGACAAGTACAACATATTGACCTGTTTTGATTTGTACTCAATAGTAAAGGTAACAACAAAGGATAACAAAAACATCTCTTATAAATGTCAAATGGTATCCAGTTTAGTGAGAAGTATATTAATACTAAGGAAACTGTCCCTTTTATTCAGTTAATATCAACTTTCATTTTTCAACTGGGATCATTCCTCATGTCTCCTAGTTCTTTTACTTAAGATGGGGAGATCTTCACTGCTGAAAATACTGAAATCATGCATATGTTTGGTGCATCCCCAGATGATTCAGTTTCTTGTTCTTCTCTGAGGCTGCTGTGGCTCAGCTGCCTGCCGCCTGCTGCTGTAACCTTCTGCCTCAAGTCTTGGTCCGCCTTCCTTACCTCAAGGTGTTAAACACCTACAAGTTCATACATTGACAGTTTCTCTTCAGTAGAATCAGTAACTTTGAAACGGTATTAAAGCACAAGAAACTTTTAAGAAAATGAATAGCTGTTCTTCTAACTTCATCAATCCAAGACTCATAGGTATTTTGGAACGAACTGGAAATTCCTTAGTTGAGCCAATGAGGCTCATTCTTTTTGGATCCCTGAGACCCTTTCACCTTATCTCCTGTTCCTTCTGAAACATGTCATTTTTTTTCAGTTCTAGAAACTATGTGTTTTCTCTACATTTTGTGTCATTGTGCCATCCTTCTTACTACATATGTCTTCCTTTTTCTTTTCTTGTGTGGAATATTTCCCTGTTTTATTTTTTCATTGTCTGTTGTTGCCTCCCACACTCAATTCATAATTGCCTTGGCAATGTTATACATATATATAAATTATATATATATATATATATATATATATATATATATATATATCTGTATAATACCTGTGTAATTATATTTTCCCCTTTATGGAATTCCTCACAGTTGGATGTTATACCTTCTACGTTAATTCCCTAATTTTCTTTGCTTTCACATTTGCCATCCACATTTTTTGACTGCCAAGGATATCTCTGAGCTTTGTCTTTCAGCTGTCCTATTGAATTGCTAATTCATGCTGTCATACTTTTGTATTTCCAAGCTTTCTTTTTTTGCTCCTTTTATGAAATTTTTGTTCCAGTTACATAGATACAATGTATTCTTCTATCACCCTAGGGCTATTAATTATAATTATTGGTTTAACATTTTCTTCTTCTTCCAGCATTATGTGCCTGCATGTTCCCAATTATTACTATATTTTGGTTGATTGTTTTTGTGCTTTCTTTTTCTTTTCCATTGTGTATTTTGGTGTTTAATAAAATATGCTTAGAGCCTTGAAAAATCTATATTTCTTTTCCATTTGTTCATTTAATACTATATTGAAATGTAAATATTTAAAACTGAGGAACTAAAATGCTGATGGGAATGTTTCTTTGTGTAACTGGGCTATACTACAAGTTACGTGAACACCTCATGTGGATGACAAAACATCAGAATCTACAGGTTGTTTATTTGGGGTTGCTCAGTTTCCCTAGAAAGTAAACATCCAAACTTTTGCCTGGATAATAGAAGACTGGTTATAGTTATTTGATATCTAATTTGTGAGATATGGTTTGAGAGTTTCACCACTCAGCAAAGTCTAATAACCTATTCCCTAAAAACATGATAAAGAAAACATATTATTTCAAATCCTAAAATTATGACTGCAACATAAGAATTAATATATATGTATATATTTTTTGAAGACAACTAGGCTGGAGTGCTGCCTAGGTCCTGAATGCAATGTCACCTAGGCTGGAGTACGGTGCCAAAATCATAGCTCACTGCAACCTCATACTCCTGGGCTCAAGCAATCCTCCTGCCTCAGCCTCCCAAAGTGCTGCATTTACAGGCTTATGCCACTGCACCCCACAACATTATTTTTAAACCATTTTACTTCTTAAAAGTAGAAATTTCAGGAACTGACAGAGGAACTAAATAAGTGGCAAATCTTCCTTACAAGAGCAAGCATAAAACTGGGAACTGGATAACCACAAATTGAGAAGTGCTTATTTGTAAGCTCTAGGTAAGAACAATGGAAGTGGGAGTTTCTTGCCTGGTGCAGTTCCCAGCTCCATGGATAAGGTGGTTTTATCAGGACAGGGCTGACCATGAATATCAGCAGATTTGCTTCATGAGGTAACTGAATTGCTTTGGAGTGGAGGGAAAACATTAATCCCTAGCAAGAAGAACAAATTTGATAGGAAAACGTGGGGATAGCCACAGCTCAGCTAGTTTGAAGTTGCTGTACCATTTGAGGCAAGTGGAGGACCAGATAGAAACTTTACGGGGAGATCCTGGAAGTGAAGAAGCCACATCTTTGTCTGACTGTGAAACTATGAAAATGTGTAATGGAGGACCAGAGTCTCTGGAAGAACGTAAAATCTGAGGCTGACATTAAAATTTCCTAAACTTTGAATGTAGTCCCCAACCCACACACACACAGTAATCTTCAGAAGGAAGTGTGGTGGGCTCAAGTGATTAAGCCCAATCTTTGCCCAATCATTAGGAAACATTTTAGGTATATTGAAAATATTCTAAATCTCAACAATGATGATTATTGCACATTACAAATCTATTGAAAATCATTTTACCAGGTGCATTTACAGAATAGTTTCAATATATATTATGTAAGTTATACTTCAATAAATCTGTTTAAAAGAGGCTTCAAAATGAAATCTTCTTTTAATATTTTACCAATGAAAAATTCACTCAAGCATTTTCACCTTTTATACATACAGGGTGATTATTCCAAATAGAAAATAATTCCCAAGCTCTTGTCCTCTAAGTATCTTTTTCTTTTTCACTCAGTTACTTGCGGAACTATTTTTCTAAAAAGGTAACTATTTTTCTAAAAAGAAGTTTATAAAAACAAAGATTAATATTTTTTCATGTTAGAGCAGAGTTACTGTTAGAAAATGCAAAAATTTACAATTTTTCTTTCTGATATACTGATTTTTTTTCTCCTCAGAAAAACTACATCTATGAGAGCTCCAGAATGTGTTAGCTACTTTCTCATGCCTAAGATGCTTGCTGTTAACTATTTCCACATGTAAATTTGCAGTCTTCCAGTCTGTACTAGGCTCCAGGAGTTCTCAGGACTCCCTTTGTTCCTGATTTTATTATTGCAGCTAAAGAATCTGTGAATTCCATTTGGGGCAACTAGTTCCCTGTTCTGGCTTTAGAATATTCTTCTGTAAGATGCTTCCATGCTATTGGCAATCTTTCCTCATCTTTCCAACCCTTTTCGGGGGGCTTACATGATCAAAGAGTTATGTTTCACAGCTCCTTGTGGTTCACTTCCCCTCAGTCCGACTCTTTATCAAGTGTCAATGTGCCCTACAAAATGGATCTAGGGGAGAGAAATGGATGGATTCCATTGATACTACTCATATCTCACCCCTGTTCCTAAGCTCCTCTCCTTTCAAACCTTCATATCTGCTCTTCCTGAGAGTCCTAAATGTCTCATGTCACCAGTTGTCCAGGAATTTTTAGGGTAGGCATTACTCTATCAGAACTCTAAGACCTTTTTCTGGCACCTTACTTTGACATGACCGAATATTATACAAGATATCAGTAGAACATGAGTGATTGATTATGCAGGAAACTGATGATTAGAACTGGAGTTTAAGCTGGAATTAGGGTTAGGGTTAGAGAAGAAAATAGCTATGCTTTGTAAGACAGGAAGGAGGACTCCATAGGTACATTTCTTGTATTGTGAAAGGAAGGAAGATGACAAATTAGGCTTACAGATCTAGTGGTTGAAACTTTAAGAAATTCCATTCAGATGGTTTCTATCAAATAATAGTTGACGTTGTTAAGCTCTTTCAATGTAGGAAATATTGGGCTAAACAATTGTACATGTACTTGGTTATTTTTATGGCAAAGAGCCAAGATACATATTGATATTTCATTTTATACTATCATATATTTATGAAAATACCGTTTTCTTGTTATTGTTACCTTGAATTGTTTATTTCTTATTACTTTTTGCTATTGCTCATATACTCTTTTTCTTTTTTCTTTCAATTCTGAAACGTCCTTTGTTATTTAAATCCTTTAAGTAATAAAGAGTCTCCCAATTTTATATCCTATAATAAAATTTTGGGGGGATTTAGACTTACTTTTTTCAGGGCCAGTCCACAAATATTTTCCCACCTTTTCTGCTTAATTATTTAATACTACATAGCAAAACTCATACTTGATACTTTATTATTTATATTCTATATTTATTTTAACATAGTTATATAATTTATATTCAGTAGTTACTTTGATTTCTCCATGGTATTTTGTGGGAAGCAAACAGTTTTGCACTTTGTCCTTCAAACTTATTTCATTATACGATCTTTTTACCATGCTTTTTTTTTTTTGACATCTTTGTGAATTCCTGCCTCATGTATGAAAGAACACCAAGAATAAACGCCTTATTGTGAAGAGAGTAGCAGTACAAAGCTTAGTGAAGGAGCCACTCTTGGGAGACACTTCACTGACTTTTAATAATGAACTTAAGTGTCAAAAGGTAGAAACATCCTTTTGACGCCATTAAGGCCGTATCTCAATAGGCATAAAATCAATGGAAGTGTCTCTCATTGTCACTTCCACTGTAATCATAATGGCTCACAAGGAGAAAATAGAAAGAGAATCAGTGCTCATACTTTATCTGCTAAGCTTTTAGATTCTAAGGTTTTTAATGGAAATAATTTAATGTACAATTATCTAAGTTTTATTATTTATCATGAAAAATCTAAGATATGCTGAATTTTAAATGTTATGTGCCGATGGGTGCTTCATTGATCCATACATTTCTTTAGTGTCACGTTCTAGAATAAAAGAAGAAAGATAAACGCCATGCCTATGTATAAACAGCTGTCAAGTTCTGTTGACGTTATGTTGACAAAATGAGATGTGTCGAAGAATTGTTACTTACATTACTGCCTGCAATGCCCCTGGATTCTGCTTTAGTAAGGTCTCTTGATGTCCCTAATTAATTACATGGCATACTTTCTGTCAAACTTTTTCATGTATAAAATAAACTTTCTATTCAACAAGAAAAAATAATGAGTTTCTTTTTTTGTGAACTGGTAAAAAGTTTGTTTATCGACTTCTATTTTAAGATGACACTAATGGTGTTACTGTTTAAATACTGCAGCCATAAAACTGAGGCCCAAATATATTTCTTCAACTGTCATTGTCAAATGACAATGTTAAATCTTGCTGTGTGTATATATACCTTCCTCTTTGACATAGTGTACTTTATATCATCTATGCATCTGGATAATATTTTCTAGACTGTATTTTTTTCTTTATTTTTCCTCCTTGACTATATATAGAACATAATGCTAATGTATTTTTTCATGGATTCTGTAAAAATAATACCTATGTCAGTGTTTTAAAATATAAACATTATAAAGTAAAAAGTTATTATTTTTGGTACAAAAACATGCAACATAAAATTTAGTATATAGACATTTTATATATATAAATAATTTTACTAAATATTTTAGCTAATTATGTTAATATAAGGTAGTTCCCAGAGACATGTGATTTGTAATGGAAATTAGAAAATATTTTCTAAACCTTTGTGAAAATGGATTGGGGCAGTTAGACCCATCCCTGGTGATGGAAAGTCAAGTGGATGGTACCAACAGTCCAATTCATTCAATTAGTTTTCTAATTTGCAAAACTAAGGTTAAAACCTCAAGCCAGGCCAGGCGCAGTGGCTTGCGCTTGTAATCCCAGCACTTTGGGAGGCAGAGGAGGGCAGATCACGAGGTCAAGAGATCGAGACCATCCTGGCCAACATGGTGAAACACCATCTCTACTAAAAACACAAAAATTAGCTGGGCATGGTGGCACCTGCCTATAGTCCCAGGTACTCAGGAGGCTGAGGCAGGAGAATTGCTTGAACCAGGGAGGCAGAGTTTGCAGTGAGCAGAGATTGTGCCACTGCACTCTAGCCTGGCAACAGAGCGAGACTCTGTCTCAAACAACAACAACAACAACAACAACAACAACAAAAACCTCAAGCCAGTCACCTCATGAGGGAACAACATCATAACCTACCTTCTTCTCAATATTATCAGGTTACCTGCCCTGTACTCACCTATTGATGATCTAACTGCCCAGAATGAGATCTATCATAGTCAGGACATCTTCACCTTTGTACAACCTGGAGAAACAAAGCGAGGTGGTGTTTGAGTCTCTCCTTCCCCCTTTATATCCTCTTCCGGTCCTCAGCATGCAAAAGTGTAGGAAAGAAGTGAATAAATCAGATTCCTAGTACAAATATTCTGTTTTTCCTCTTGATTTATTGCTAACATAACTTATGCTAAAATGTTTTCACATCAGAAAAATATAAGTAACCTTGATTAGAGCTTTGTAATTCAAGCCTAAGACATTTCTCCTATCCCAATTCCTCACCACTAGCAATAAATAAACAGTTAAAATGTATGAGGAAGGTTGGATAATGTATGAGGAAGGTTGGATGATGTTTGAGGATAGCTCACAAGGATATTGCCAAACTCTGAATATATAATTCACATATGAATTGTTCTGGCCTTTAAGAAATTTATTGCAAAAATGATGACAATTATTCTGAGTGTAATAGGCAGAATAATAGGCCTTCCAATAATGTCCATGTCTTAGTCTTCGTAACTTGTAAATCTGTTACATTCCATGGCAAAGGGGAAATATATTTGAAGACAGAATTAAAATTGTAAATCAGCTGATCTTAAAATAGTGAGGTTATCCTGGATTATTCAGATGTGCCCAATGTAACTACAAAGGTTTCTAAAATACGAAGGGGAAAGAAGAGAGCCAGAGAAATGGAAACTTAAGAAGGAAGTGACCCAATATGGTTGGTTTTGAAGAACAAAGGGGAACAAAAGCCAAAAAATGTGAGCAGCCTCTGGAAAATGGGTAAGATAAGGAAGGGATTTTTTCCCGAGAGCTGCCAAAAAGGAATGCAGCTCAGTTAACACTATGACTTTAGCTTAGAGAGATCCATGTCAGTCTTCTGATCAAGGTACAGGCAGCCTCAGTGTCTGGTGGGGGCCTGTTCCTCATAGGTGGTGCCTTCTGTGTGTATTCACATGGTACAAGGTGTGTGTATATGATATGGTTTGGGTGTATCCCCAGCTTGCACTGTGCACCTGGGGAAAAGCTGCAGACACTCAAGGCCAGACCATGATAGCAGACAGGAGTTAGGCTATACCCTGCAAAGCCACAGTGGCAGAGCTACCCAAAACCATGGGAACATACCTCTAGCATCAGTGTGACCTGGATGTGAGACCTGGAGTCAAAGGAGATCATTCTGAAGCTTTAAAATTTGACTACCCCACTGTATTTCAGACTTGCATGGGCCCTGTAACCCCTTTGTTTTGGCCAATCTCTCCCATTTGAATGGCTGTATTTACCCAATGCCTGTACCCCCATTGCATCTAGGAAGTAACTAGCTTGCTTTTGATTTTACACGCTCATAGGTGGAAGGGACTTGCCCTTTTTCAAATGAGATTTTGGACTGTGGACTTTTGAATTAATGCTGAAATGAGTTAAGACTTTGGGGGACTGTTGGGAAGGCATGATTTGTTTTGAAATGTGAGGACATGAGATTTGGAGGGGCCAGAGGCAGAATTACATGGTTTGGCTGTGTTCCCAGCCAAATGTATCTCCCAGAATTCCCCTTTAATGCGGAAGGGACCCAGGGGGAGGTAATTGAATCATGGGGGTTGGTCTCTTCCATGCTATTCTCATGATAATGAATATGTCTCATGAGATCTGATGGGTTTATCAGGGGTTTCTGCTTTTGCTTCTCCCTCATTCTCTCTTGCTGTTGCCGTGTAAGAAGTGCCTTTTGCCCCCTGCCATGATTCTGAAGCCTCCCCAGCCATGCAGAACTATATACCAATTAAACCTCTTTTTCTTCCCAGTCTCAGGTATGTCTTTATCAGCAGCATGAAAACCGACTAATACAGTACCCTTTCTTCAACCTCCTTTATAAAGACACTAATCCCATTCATGAAGCCTCCATCCTCATGACTTTTTCATTTCCCCAAAGGCTCTGCCCCTCAATAACCTCTTGTTGGGTATTAGATTCTAACATAGAAGTTTCAGGTGGACCACCGACATTCAGACAATAGCAAGCCCCTACTCTCATCATGTGTAAATGGCGGCTGAATGCAGAAACTGGGCACCTCATCTGACCTGGCAATAAGGAGATGATAGTTCCCCATACCCTGCTGGAGCAGTGTCAGAGGACGCTACTACCAAAGAAGGTTTAAATAAGGTTCAGTGTCTGATAATATAATACTCAAAATATCCAGATTTTAATAATAATGAACCATACCAGTCTCTGAGATATTATCAACATGGATGAATAGACAGTCAATAAATGCCAACACCAAGATAGCAGTGATCTTAGTATTATCCAACAACGAGTTTGAACCAGTCATAATGAAAGTACTTAAATAAGCAATTATGAACTTATACTTCCAAATATTTTTGAGGCCACTACATAACTGGAAAACAATATTTAAAAAGAGGCAAACTAAACACAAATATTATGAATATAATGTACAAATTCTTATCCAAATATGAGCAAATAGAACTTAGCAGTATATTAAAAGAATTAGACATCAAGGTCAAGTGAGATTTATTCCAGGGATGTAAGGCTAATTTAATATTTAAAAATTCATTATAGTAATTCACTATGTTAATAGACTAAGAAGAAAAATCACATGATCATATTAATTGTGAAAAAAAACTACTTGACAAAATTCAACACTCATTTATGAGATCTCTCCACACAGTAGGAATAGAGGGAAATTTCCTAACCTTCATAATGAGCATCTAAAATCTACAGATAATACATTACTAAATGGTGAATAGCTGAATTCCTTTCTCTTAAGAGAAAAAAACAAGACAAAAATGGTCCCTCTCATCATTCTTATTCAGCATAATACTGGAAGTTCTAACCAGTGAGGGCAACAAAAAGAAATATACATCGGAAATGAAGAAATCTATATTTGCAGAAGACATAATTGTCTACATAAAGTAGCCGAAGAAATTGATGAAATAACTGGAACTTTATTAGTCAGCGAGCTCAGCAAAGTCACAGGAGACTTGTATGCTGATAATTCACAAAATGTTAGTGAAAGAATGCAAATTTAAAATGTTACAACAAAAACAAGAACAGCAAATACTGTTGATAAAAGAGAGAAAGTAGATGACACTTGCAGTGCTGGTAGAAATGTAAAATGATACACCCACTCTGGAAGACATTTTGGCAGTTTCTGATGAAACTAAACATGCAATTACCATATGACCCAGCAATTGCAGTCCTGGAAATTTATCCCAGAAAAATGAAAACTTATATTTATACTACAATCTGGGCACATACGTTCATAACAGTTTTATTTGTAATAACTTGAAACTAGAATCGGCCCAGATGTCCTTCAGTAGGTGGATGGAAAAACAAACTGTGGTTCCTGCACACCATGGAATAGCACACTGCAATGAACAGGAAGGGACTGTTAATATACAGTAACCTGGATGAATTGCTACAGAATAATGCTGAATGAAAAACAGCCAACTCCAAAAGGTTACACTCCAGTTATACACCATTCTTAAAGTGACAAAATTATACAAATAAAGAACAGATTAATGGTTTCTCAGGGATGAGGAAAGAGTGGTGGAGGGTGGTTAGGAGGGAAGTGGATATGAGTATAAATGGTCAACTTGAGGGCTTTTGTGGTAATCTGTACCAATGTCAACATCCAGGATGTTTTATTTCATCATTGTTTTGCAAGATACTACCACTGGGGGAAACTAGATATTATGAAAAGCATAGGGGGGCCACTCTATATAATTTCTTATAACTCTATGTGAATCTGTGATTATCTCACAATAAAATATTTAATTAACACATTCTAAGAAAATCACAAACAATACAGCTAAAAGATTGCTGACTATTTTGAAGTGACTTTAGAATTTTGTATATATATTTTAAGGTAAATTATTTGGAATCTTTTTGGCAATTCCTATTTTAGTGTACATTTCCATGGATCATATTTTTTTGGGGTTTTTTATTTTTTCTTTTGTTATTTTTTATCAGTGATTTCATGTTTCATGTAATCAAATGTTCATGTTTTGAGTGTATATTTGGTTTTGGAAACAGTTTTGAATAATTAAATCTCATGTCTAGTGAATGAAGCAGGCATTCAGCCTAGGGTAACAACTCTTTTGGTTAAAAACAAGATGCAATTATAAAGTAATTTGATTTTATTTGTGATATTCAAACTGTCTCTGGAGCCAATTTCCAACAAGGTGTTATACTTTTAGCTGTGGTAGCATATGGATATGTGGAATTTTATTCCTTCTGGAATTTGATTTAAACAGTATTTAGTAAAGTGATTTAAATACCTCCTTATCTATTGGATATCAGCAAGGAAATAAACCATGCACTAATGATTAAACAGCTTCTGTACACTTGTTACACAGTTCTGCATGCTTTTTTATTCAGTTACTAGCAAGATGCTGCACTGGCACAGCCTTACGCAAGATAAACTCCAAAGGAACAACTGAGAGAAAACAACAAAATGGAAAAAAACCTTAGAACCCACTGGATGATTTGAAGAATCATTATTATAAATCAGTGAGTGTGAAGCCATTGAGATGAGGATTTGCTTTTGCTGGAAGCAGTGCTATTACATCTGTGGGATAATTAAGTTGGAAAGGAACTTTAAGAGATCTTTTCTTTATCCACTGGCATTGGCTTAGGGGTAATTAGTTGCAATTTAGGGATCCTCAGGAATAAAACCTTGTAAGCAAGAAGTCCTACTCTGAGAAGGAAGCATAGAGTAAAGTAGAAATTGTAGGGGCTAATTAATACAGTTTCCTTTCCAGTATTTCTTTTTCCAAATCTTTGAGCTTCTTCTATAATCTAAGCAATGCCCTCTCTAAATGCCACTTCTTCTTTAGGGGTTAAATGCTCATATCTGGGAATTAAAAAATAGATGCAAGAGTGTCTAGTCTCAATTTTTGCACTTAAATAACTCAGTTGTAAATATTTTACTTCTCCCTTAAAAGAAAGGTTATTTTCTCTAGATGACAAAAATATCGTTCCTTAGAACTAAAATTAGGGGTTCCTCTTGCCATTTAATAAACAGGTATACAAGAAAGCTACTATATTGTCTAGATTAATTGACTCCAATTCATACACAATTGAGGGAAGAAAATTAAATCTGAAAGCTAGTTCTGCCAATGATTCTTATTCTTCAGCAAAGAAAGTTTGATTCATCTCATTAGGAAGGTTGACCAGCTGAGATACCAAATGAGGGAGAAGAAAATGTAGAATGGAGAATGAATATGAAAGTGACAAATAAAAACTATAGCCTTGAGACCAGTTACAGAAACAAGGACTGTAGAAGCTGTGGAACTTTTTTACTTTGTGCATTATGTACATTTTTAATATATTAAGCATTTTATTATTTTCCTTTTCCTTATTAACTTAAATTGCAAAAGCTGTCCATGGTTAGCTTTATGATTTTGTCTTTATGCTGTAGACTATTTAGATGTCTTGTGACTATGTTAGTGGGGCAATTAACATTTCTAGAAATGAATTCATGGACTCGGTGCAGTTTTGGGAGAGTGCATCTTTGTATGAAGTCTAGTGGCTTTATGTTATTGAAAAATAAGATATGGTTTTATTGTTATTATATAGAAGATTACACATTGGTAGGCAGATCTATAAGGATACTATGTGTTCAAGAGTTTGGACTGTGCTGGAAAGCATTAGGTGCCTCTCATTTCCACACTTGCTCTCAGTACCTTGCTCTGTCTTGCCATGTCAGAGGTCTGTAAACTACATTTCCCAGATGCCCTTGCCAGCTGGTTTACTGCTCTGTTCTGTCAATGATCTGCAGGAAAAGAACTCCACTTTTCTATGATTCCTACTTTCAGTCTGGCAGTGGTGCTGTAGCAAGGATATGGCGGTGACGTTATTAACAGCAATAGCAGTAGTGGTGATGGAAACCCTGGTGGCAGTAGTGATGATGACAGCACTCTGGTGGCAGGAATGGTGGCAATCAAGAAAGCAGCAGCAGCCAGTGAATGCAGGCTTCTGGATTCTTTCTTAGTCACCCAAGTCTCCAAGAGAGCTGACTTAGTGTTACAGTGACTTGGGCTCTGGGTAGCACCATCCTATTGCTCTTTCCAGAAATGTGAAACCTTCCGCAATAATTAATTTGTATTTAACTTTACTTAGTTCCTTCTTGCCTCCAATCATTTCAAACTTGGAAAAAAAAAAAACAAATAAAAAAACACGGAACACACAACTCAAGCTGTTTCATTTTTTTTTTCTGTTTGTATGCTGTCTTAACTTACATAGCAAAGAGAGAAATTCTTGTGCATGTGTAGCTGAGGATAGACACAAGAATGCTCATTGCAGCCCTGTTAACATTACCAAAGACCTGTGGATAGCTCAAATGCCTGTTATCAGAGGTGTGATAAAAACTCAATGAGTATTATAGAGCTATCAAATAAATAAATATATCCACATGCAGCAATGTGGGTGAATCACAGCAATATGGCTTGTATAATACCTTTATTAAATATAATTCACAAATTCTAAAATTCACTGTTTTAAAATATACACTTCAGTATTTTAAAATATATTCACAGAGATGTATTATACAATCATTACTCCTACTTTAGAACATTGACATCACCCCTCAAATAAATCCTATATCCTTTAATAGTTATTCCTGATTCCACATCCCAACTCCAGCCTGAGACAATCACTAACCTACTTTCAGCTTCTATACATATGCCTATTTTGGACATTTTATATGAATCACGTTATACAACATATGTTCTTTTGTGACTAGCTTCTTTCTCTTAGCATAATGTTTTCAATGTTTATCCATATTGTAGCATGTATCAGCACATTATTCCTTTTTATTGCCATGTAATCTATTGTATGGATGTGTCATATTTTATCTGTTCATCTGTCCTATGGATGATTGGGTTATTTCTACTTTTTTGTCTATAATGAATAATGCTGGTTTGAACACTCATGTATATGTTTTAGTGTAGATGTAAGTTTTAATTTATCTTGGATGTAAAATTATTTATGAAATAGCTGAGTCATCTGTTATGTCTACATTTAACATTTTGAGGAATTGACAAACTTTTTTCCTCAGTGGCTGCACCTTTCACAATTATCATGCAATGTATAAGATTTTCAATTTCTTTGTATCTTACCAAGCCTTGTCAGTCTTTTTAATTTTGGCCATCCTCTTATGGGTATGAATGGGTATCTCATTATGGTTTTGATTTGCATAATCCTAATAGCTAATGATGTAAACCATCTTTTAATGAGTTCATTGGCCATTGTTACACCATCTTCGAAAAATGTTTGTTCAAGACTTTTGCTTATTTTAAAATTGTCATTTGGCTTTTAATTATTGAATTGTGAGAGTTCATTAAATAATCTAGATACAAGTCCCTTATCAGATATAAGATATATGGCTTGCAATCATTTTTTTCCCATTATGTGGTTGGTCTTTTCACTTTCTTAATGGTGTCATTTGAAGCATAAAAATGTTTAATATTGATGAAGTCCAATTCATCTATTTTTTGTGTGTGTGGTTTGTTCCACTGATGTGGAACATCTCCTAATCTAAAGTTTCAGAGAGTTACTTCTATGTTTTCTTCTAATAGTTCTATATTGATATCTCTCACACTTACATCTGTGATTCATATTACATTAATTTTAGTGTATGATGTTGGGGTTGAACTTCATTCATTTGCCTGTGCATGTTTAGTTGTCCCAGCACCTTTTGTTGAAAAACTATTCCCCATTTAATTGCCTTGGTACCATTGTTGAAAACAATTGACAATAAATATAAAAGATTGTTTCTGACTGTTAATTCTATATACAGTTAATAGATATGTATAGACATATGTACTGTTGATTCTATATACACTTACTATGTATATATATGTATTTATCTCAAATTATTTATTAATTTATTTGTTCTTTATCCTTTGATGCATTATTCAGGTGTGTGTTATTTAGTATCAACACGTTTGTGAATTTGCCAAAGTTCTTCTACAACTAATTTCTAATTTAATCTAAAAAACTGTTTTTAAAAAATTATGCTTTAAAATGCTTTAAAATTTTAAATGCTTTAAAATTTGTTGAGGCTTGTTTTGTGGCCTAAAATGTAACATATATTGGAAAACATTCCCTTTGCAATTGAAAAGTATATATTCTACCAAAGAGTCCACCCAACAACAGCAGAATATATACTTTTAGGGGGATATATGTCTTTTAGGGGGAGGACGCATACAGTGTATTTTATGTCTTACACTTTATAAAAATATTTTATCGGATTGTTCTATCCATTCTTAAACTTGGGGATATTGAAGTCTTCCACTGTCGTTTTTATATCCTGCATTTCTCACTTCAATTCTGTCAGTTTTTGCATTTTAATTTCAGACTCTTTTTAATCCTCAAAAAGTGCATATATGTCTCTAATTAGTACGCTTTCTTTATGGGCCCTCTGAGGCACTGATTATTTTTCAACATTCCTTCTGTTACTGATATTGGATAACTTTGATTGATCTATCTTTATGTTGCTTGATTTCTTTGATTTCTTTTCTACCAGCTTAAATCTGTTACAGAGCACCTCGAGTGAATTTTTAAATTTCAATTATTATAATTTTTAACTTCAGAATATTTTGTTTGTTTTTATAATTTCTCTCTCTTTATTGATCGTCTCTATTTGGTGAGAAATCATCCTCAGTCTTTTCTTCAGTTCTTCAGATGTATTTTCCTTTGGTTCTTTAAACATATTTGTAGTAACTGGTTTAAAAGCTTTGTCTAGCATGTTTAAAATCTGGACTTCCTTAGGAACAGTTTCAATTTTTTTTTTTCTGTGCATGGATGTTTTTAGTTTCTGTGTTTGTCTTTTAACTTCTTATTGAAAACTGGACATTTAAAATGTATATATTGGTAATAGTATTGTTCTTCTTAAAGTTTGCAGTTGTTGATGTTGTTTCGCTGGGTTTTTTTAGGGACTTTTAAAGATCAATTTTGTAAAGTTGTTGGTTTTTTTGTTTGTTTGTTTGTTTGTTTGTCTTTTGCAATTACTGAAGTCTCATTGGTTAGCTTAATGGTCAGCTAAGGGTTGGACAGAGATTTTCTTTTATAACTTGAACCTCAAGATTTCTTTCGTGAGGCGTGTGTGTGTGTGTGTGTCTGTGTGTGTGTGCCGGGACTTTCATTCAACTGTATGGCAGTTTACAACTCTGCCTTAAGCTTCACTTAGTGCTTTTGCAGAGCCTCAATATTAGCCAGAGATGAAAGCTTAGGGCCTTCTCAGGATTCTCCTGTGTATGTACACAACTCTGCTCCTATATAGAACCTCATATAGTCTCAGGAAAATGTTGGAGCTTTTCAAGACTCCTAAAGTATTCTTACTCCTCATATTTATTTTCAAGTTTTCATGCCACCTTCCTATTTACTTCAATTGGCATTGCCCCTTTAGGCAGCTACAATGGTAAACAATTGCTGCTGATTGTTTTTGACAAATGCCCTGGGTGATCTCTGAATCAAATCAAATGAACACAAGCTCTGTAAATGGGGTTTTTCTAGGGAGCACTCATTTCAGGTGTAATAGTAAAAATTCCTTATGGACAGGGTTTTCGAAAGCTCCAAACACATTCTTCCTCCAGCATCTACTAGACTACTGTTTTCCACAGCTACAAAAGTTTTAAGACTGCTGTTTTCAAGACTACCAAATTTGTGGAGTGAGGATACTGTTCAATTCCAATGCTAATTCAAATGCCATCGATCTCATCCCTTTTTAGTAAGATTCAGGCCTTTTTCTTGAAAAAAAAAAAAACTTTGCAGACTGTTTTAAAGTTTTGGTTAATCTCCAGAGTTCTGAAAATATTAATTTTGAAAAATTTGCTAGTGTTTCCATTCCTTTATGGAGGCATAGATTTTTAGAGGCCCCCACTTCATCATTATGAGGTGCATATCATCTGGAATACATATATAAGTTACCAAAGATAAGTCTTACAAGTCAATATAAAACATAATACTCTTTTTAAATTAAAAAAATTAAGATTAAAAAAACACTGGAATATACACTTTGTATAAAGAAATGCAAGAAACAATACAAATAGGATTTGGAATAATGGTAATCTTGGACGGGAAAGACATTGAGATGAAATGATGCTCATGCATGAATGAGAGTGTATCATAAAAAAAGATTATGATAAAATTCCCTGAGTTCCAGCTGAAAAATGGAGTAATAAGTACTGTGTTAGCTTATGACCATTTCAAAATTAATGTTAAATAAAACAAAAATCCAAATGCTAAACTTCAGTTTTGCTAGACCTACAGTTTACTTACATGTATTATCCATATACTCAGGCACCGGGAATGATGTACACACTCTTGATAAATAGCCTAGAACATTCAGCATCATATTTTATCAACTACTTTTTAGTATGTGTTGGATTTGGGGTCATAAATTAAATTGAAAGGGCATATGTGTTTCCTGTTTTCTGGATTTAGCTCTGTAATGGAAATTAAGAAACAATCTGTTAAGATTTTAAAGAAAATTTATCTTCTATTTTTATAAACCTATTTTTTCTTTGAATATTGAAACTCTCTGTAACTGAGATTTTTATGATTACCTCTTCTGGGTTACATGAACTACTTAGGCAATTGTGATGTTAGAAAGGTAGCCAACTAAGAAAGAAAAATGTAACGCTTGCTTTAATGAATCTACAATCTGATTCCAAGTGGTCCTAGTCTTCAATAGGACTGCATTAAAAATACTGCATTAAAGATTTTTACTTTGCTAAAGCAAGCTATTTGACTTTATATTTTGAAGCATCATCATCGTCTATTCAAAACATGCTGTGCTGTAAGTACAGCTTTGCAGCAGATATTTATGCTTTGATTTGCTATATCTAACCACTTAACAGGGCTTCACTTATGGACTTGGCCTGGGAATTTATTACAACATAGTAGTTTTGGAAAGATTAAATTTAGCAGAAAACACTTAAGTCTTTAAACTCTACTTCCTGAGATTTCTTTATTTTCATATTTTCACTATGGCTTAATTTCTCCTTAACTTATTTACTTTAGGCTGCCTCATTTCTCCTTATTGATTTGATATGGAGATAAAAGCCTATAGAGCTAACACTTAGTGGAGGCAAAAAAAAAATTGAAAAAATAAGAAAGTATATAAGGTTTTTGTTTTTTTATTTTTACTCAGATTTGAAGACTTGAATAAAAGAATGATACGAAAGGCAAATAAATTTCCATAAATCTTCCCAGGTTGGTGATCCAAGAAATCAGTAGGAATTTATACTCTTTCACTAGCACACTGATAAGTGTTTATACCAAAATTTATTGTGAATATTGTCCAGCAAGAATAACAGAAAGAAAGCACTAAAGGAGTTGGGAAATATTATAAGACCCATGTGCTGTTATGTCTTTTAATTTTCCACCTCATTAACATCTTAGATGGGGATATGCTGAATATGCAGAAGTTGTACTCCTTTATTATTAAATACTTCACTGCAAGCTATGTTTTTACATTGGCCTCAGGGTGTGTGTGTGTGTGTGTGTGTGTGTGTGTGTAAATGTTTTACAGTGAACCACATCATTTATTTTTTAGAATAAAATGTAACTATATTTCATGGTATACCATACTAGAAAATGTCTGCTTTTAAACTTCATGTGGTATGCTGAAAATAAAGAAAAACAAACCCAGGGTATATGAGGAAAGAATTGCTTCCATTCCTAGCTCTCACACTGAGTATCTGGAATCATGGAAACGCCATTTAGATTTTATGTTTTAGAATCATTAAAAATTAATTATTAGAAAATATTGTTTCCAAGGTCATGGTTATTTTCTGTTTTTTTCTCAACTCCTTATTTTATCATAATTTTTCAAAGTCTTGTGTTGTTTTGTGATAATCTATTTGCTTTCTGCCTGACTGAGTAGAATGTGAATTCCTGGAGAATAAACTCTGTAATTTGTTTATCTTTCTGTCACATATATTAATAGATTGTAAGGTCACTTTCAGCTTTATACCTACATGACGTTGTATCTTATTATTTTTCTTAATTATTTAAATACATAATTTATACTTTAATATGTATTTAACAAATTAATATATATATTAACATGGCAGAATAAGACCATATGTCCTCTGAAATTATAATATGCTTTCTAAATATGTTTTGCTCAATTTGTATATATATATGCAGTTACCTTCTTTTACATAAAATTATTCTTGTACACACGTGTCTTTTTGTTGCTTTTCTCTTTAAAATGTAAGTCAATTGTACACCCTGAAACTTCAGTAAGCAAAGAATAAATCACTTAATATTTAGTCAAGAGCTTAAAGTTACATGAGGAGAACTGAGTATATATACTTACATTTTAATTACAAAATATGAAATATATGGCAATTGACTATTTACAAAATACTACATTAAAAATTCTTACTTTGCTAATGCAAGCTATTTGGCTTTATATTTTGAACTCATAATCATTTTTTCCTCCTGTCTCATCATCAGTACATTTTAAAAAATTATTGTTTTTCTTTTTATCTACATCTCTGTGTGTATTAGTTTCTCTGTCTCCTATTTGTTTTAGAATGATGGCACTAGCAAAATTCAGGCTGAAGAGTGGGCTATACTGGCTTGAGATTAGAGATTATGTGCATTCCAGCGTGGAGTGTCAGAGCCTTGCGTGATGAAGGAAACAGCCACACTGAAATGCAGCCAACCCATGGTAAGCGAGCCAGAACTGGATAAGAATGTCCTCTTTGGAAATATAGACAGTGAAAGATATTAGAGGCTAAGGAAGGTAAGAAGATGTCCATGCTGAAAGACATCTGACATGTGGTGTCTGAGTCCAAGAAGACTGAAGCAGTGTCTTTACAAAAGAGCAGAACAGTGTGTAGTATCAGCTGCAGCAGTGAGAGGAGAGCTGCCTGTGCATGGGAGAGCTGCCTGTGCATGGGAGAACTGCCTGTGCATGGGAGAGCTGCCTCATGCATGGGAGAGCTGCCTGGAACAAGGCATTGAAGTCTGAGCAGAAGGAGGGTGTGGTAGGTAGTGAAGGTGACTTGTCATTGAGACTCAGCCCATGGGGTCACTGCCTCTGTGTTTGAGAGGAGGAGAAGAAGTCATAATAGGAATAAAAAATTATTCACATACATGGAAATTGAACACATAAGTAATTTATGAAGAATAATTGGAGCCAATTTTCTTATTGCTAATGAAGGTAGTTATAAACATGGAAAGGAATTAAATTAGCATGAACTCAGTGGTGTTGAAGTGGAACTAAAAGTATGTGAAGAAACTCAGGAATTTCAGTAGATACAGATGTAGGATGAAATATAAGTTTTGCTCAATTTGTATATATCAATTTGTAATATATGCAGTTACCTTCTTTTACCTAAATTTGTGGAGTGAGGGGACTGTTCAATTCCAATGCTAAATCAAATGCCATTGATCATCTCTCAGATGAAATATAGATATACATATACTATACATATACAACTAAATATAGATGTGTATGTGTATATGTGTTTATTTGTATATATGTATATACATCTACATTTCATCTATATATAAATCCATATATAATAATATATACATATCTATACATAATCTCTATATGTATGTATTTGAAATATACATATGCATTGATATGTATATAATGTATACATATGCATTTATAGGACCTCTATATATGACTATAATTGACTAATGGATAAATAAAATGTCATATATACATAGAATATAATATTCTTTGGCAATAGAAAGAAATGAAGTACTGAAACATGCTACATACAAGGTTCAACATTTATAAACCTTGAAAACATTTTGCTAAATGAAAAGTAAGAAAAGGGCATCCAAAGTGGCAGGATACTAAATCAACATACAAAATTGATTGTGGTGATGGTTGCACAACTTTGTGAATATCCTAAAAACTGTTGAATTGCACTTTAAATTGGGGAGTTGTATGGCAGTGAATTGTATCTCAATAAAGCTGTTATTAGAACCAAACAACAAAAAATAAAGAATAAGTAAATATTGATAGTATCAGATCATAACCCATTCAATAAGATAGGAATAAATAAAATCAGAATGCATACTGTGGTAATTAATTCAGAGAAAGTTTGATAAGTATATTAATTTTCTATGCTATGTAACAAATTATCACAAACGCAGCATCTTAAAACAGCTTGCATTTATTATCTTACTGCTTCAGGAATACAGTGTGACTGGGATTCTCTGCAAGTCTGCAATCAGGGTGTTAACCAGAGTCCTTTGCAAAGCTGCAAACAAAGAATTGGCTAGGGCTGGGTTCTCATCTGGAGACTTGAATGGGAAAGGTTCTGCTTCTAAATGCACTCATTGTTAGAAGAATTTATTTCCTTATGACTGTAGAACTCAAGCTGGCTTCCCCAAGGTCAGCAATAGAGATGCTAATTCTAGAGTAAACTGGCTAGCAAGATGGAGTCTTATACATTAACAAAACAAATTATGATTGTGACATCCTATTGTCTTTGCCATATTTTACTATTTAGCAATAAGCCACAGTTCCATCCCATACTAAAAGAGAGAGGATTGAAAGTGGGAATCAATAGGGATCACCTTACGGTGAGTTTGCTACAGTGAGGAATGGGATATTTAAATAGCACTAAGTTTAATCCCATAAATAACTTATTAATTACAAAAATAAAAAGAGTAACATTACAGTGAGAAAAGGCTGGCACACACTACATTAATCAAGTCATCAAAGTGAATCTAACTTGTAATGCAACAAACTGAAATTTCGTGGCATCCTATAGAATACAATGAAAAGAACACAGCATCACTTCTTTTTTTTTCTGCCAAATATGTATAACCTGAGTTTAGTCATGAGAAAACATCAGACAAGCCCACACTGTAGGGTATTCTACAAAATATCTGACCTGTAGTCTTCAAAAGTGTCAACATCATTAATATCAAAGTAATCAATACAAACTAAAGATAACAAAAGAAACCTAACTGTAACACATAATTCTGAGCTGAGGCTGAATAATATTCTATTGTATGTTTATAACATATTTTATGCTTTATGCAATCATTGATAGACATTTAGGTTACTTTCATATCTTAGCTATTGTGAATAATGCTGTAATGAACATGAGAATGCATATCGCTCCAAGATTTCAGTTCCTTTGTATATACACTTAGAACTGGGATTGCTAGATCATATGATTTTTCCAGTTTCAATTTCTTGAGGAACCTCCATAGAGTTTCCCATAATGACTGCACCAATTTACATTTTGACTGACAGTGTACAAGTGTTCTGTTTCCTCTATATCCTCACAAATACTTGTCTTTTGTAGTCTGTTTATTTGTTTGTTTGTTTATTAATAGTCACCTGAAAATGTGGGTGGTGATATCTCACCATGACTTTGATTTGAATTTCTCCGATGATTAGCAATATTGAGCACTTTTTCACATCCTGTTGGCCATTTGTATGTCTTCTTTTGAAAAACATCTCTTGAGCCCCTTTGCTCATTTTTAAATTGAGTTATTTGGGGTGTTTTGGCTATTGAGTTGTAAGAACTCCTTGTATATTTTGGACGTTAACCCGTTAAACAGATACATGGTTCTACAGTCTAACGGTTTGTATCCCCTGAAAATTCATTTGTTGAAATCCTAACCCCCAACGTGATGGTACAAAAAGGTAGGGCATTTTGGAAGTAACTATGTGGTAATGACAAATATACATGAATAGGATTAGAGACTTTTTAAAAGAGGCCAAAGAGAGACTCTTCACCTCTTCTGTCACGTGAGGTTATAGTGAAAATATGGCCATGTATGAACTAGGAAGTATGTCCTCACCAGACACTAAATTTGTCAGTCCCTAAATTGTGGACTTCCCAGTCTTCATAACTGTAAGAAATACGTTTCTATTGTTTAAAGTTACCCAGTTTATTGTATCTTGTTATAATGTCCTCAGTGGACTAAGACATTTGGTTTACAAATATAGTTTTCCCATTCCATAAGTTGCCTTTTCATTGTGTTGATTGTTTCCTTTGCTGTGCATAAGCATTCTAGTTGATGTTGTCCCAATTGTCTACTTTTGCTTTTGTTGCCTGTGCTTTTGGTATCATTTCCAAAAAATTATTGCCAAGGCCAATGTCAAGTATCTTTTTGTCTGTTTTCTTCTAGGTGTTTTGTGTTTCTGGTTTTAAATTAAGTCTTGAATCCATTTTGAGTTGATTTTTGTTTATGGTGTAAGACAGGGGCCTATTTCATTTTTTATGTAGATATCCAGTTTTCTCAACACTATTTATTAAAGAGAAATCCTGCCATATGCAACAATATGAATAAACCTTAGAGGACATTGTGTTAAGTGAAATAAGTCAGACACAGAAGGACAAATGTTATAAAATGCCACTTACCTGTGGAATGAAAATAGTGAAACTCATAGAATCAGAGAGTAGAATAGCGGTTGCCAGGAGCTGGGAGGAAGGGAAAACAGGGCACTATTAGTCAAAGGGTACAGAGTTTTAATTATACAAGATGAATATATTTTAGAAATCTTTAGATAAAAAAGCAAAAAAGCAAAAAAAAGAGAGAAATCTACTAGACAGCATAGTGCCTATAAACAATACTATATTGTATACTTAAAATTTTGTGAATAAGTTAGATCTTAATTGTTCTTATAACACATAAAAATAATAATAATAATAAATAGAATTGGAAGAAATTTTTGGAAATGGTGGGTGTGTTATGACATAGCTATGGTGATGATTTCATTGCTATATATTTATCACCAAACTCATCCAGCTGTATACATTACATATGTACAGATTTTTGTATGCTGATAATACCCCAATATGTTTTATAAATAAAATCTTTCTCTCCTGAAAAAAAATTGAAATGAAACCTGTGGCTACAAAGGGCATTATTAGGATAAGTTGTAAAAATTGAAAGGAGAATGAAGATTACACAGAGTATTTTATTCATGTTAATTTACTGATTTAATCCTATTATGGTTATGTAGGAGAATGTACTTTCTTGAACACAAATAATAATGTTTTCCCGAGTTATCAGGAATGATGAAACATGAGTCTAAAATTGTTTTTAAAATAATTATTTTTTTTGTATTTGCAACTTTTCACTAGGGGCTTTTACTTTGGGGATTTTTCAAAATGAAGCAATTGGAAACTTGGAAAGGTGGAAGGGTAGATAAGGGGTAAGAAATGAGAAATTATCTAATGGGTACAATTTACACTATTTGGGTGATGGTTACACAAAAACCTCACTACTGCACAATATATCCATGCAACAAAACTGCGCTTGTACCCCCGAAATCTACTTAAAAAATAAAAAATTAAAACAACTGATTGCTCTGTCTGCCAACATCAGCATTTCCTGAAGTGTGTTCCTCAACATTTTCATTGCAATTAAATCCCCTCCCTCCAGTTACATGTACCTATTTATCATTAATTTTGCATTGTAGAAATATTTCTACTTGATAGAGAGTCCCCCTATGACCCTTCAAACACACATATACACAGCCTTCCTCACCATCAATTCCCCCACCAGATGGTATGTTTGTTACAATCAGTGAACCAACATTGACACATTATTGTCACTGGAAGAAGTCCATTAGGACTCACTCTTGGTGTTGTACTTTTTATGGGTTTTGACAAATGTATAATGACATTTATTCATCACTATGGTATCTTATAGAATAATTTCACTGCCCTAAAAATCCCCCATACTTTACTTATTCATCTCTTCCTCTTTCTAGTCCTTTGGCAACCATTGATCTTTTTACTGTCTCCAGAGTTTTGCCTTCTCCTGAATAAATGTCATACAGTCAAAAACAAGTCTTTTTTAAGCACATGAGAATTTTGTAAGCAAACTTGTTACTGTGCATACTTTTGAATCCTATATATTAGCATTTAAGAATATTTGACAATGTAATCACCATAGAATGTTATTTTCTTATTTAATTTTAGCCTCACACCTGCTGTCTGTCTTAAGCTAGATCTGGCATGAACTTACTTTCTCACCATCCACTAGTGAATTTGTAATAAAATCCAAGATTTTTATCATGATCTGTGTAGCTTCCCATAGCCTTACCCTGCCCAGTTTTTTACTTTCATATAACTCTTCTGTTTCTGTACTCTCCAGCATCATTTACCTTTTCCTTATCTTTTATTTAACCTGCAAATATTGATTAGATACCTACTATGTGTCTGGCATTTTATTGACAGACAATAATCATACATATTTATGAGGTACATGTGACATTTTGCTACATGCATACTATGTGTAATATTCAAATCAGGGTATGTAAACTATACATCACCTCAAACAAATATCTTTTTTTCATGTTAGGAACATTTAGAATCATCTCTTCTTGGGATGATTCTAATCATTCTAATCATTGGGGAGGGTGGTGGGTGGTGGCAAAGAAAGTTTGGTTGATGAGTGAAAACCTACAGTTAAATAGAAAGAATACATTTTAAGTGTCCACTAACACAGTAGAGTGACTATGGTTAATAATTTAGTGTTAGACATTTTTTTATACATCGGGAATATAATGGTAGAACAAAGTTCCTACATCACGGGTTTAATTTCTATTCCTAAACTGGCCAAGTACATTGCCACTTCTGATCATTATCATTTGTTTTATTTTTCCCTTACCTGAAATGCTCTTCTCCACTCTTTTATGTCCTTAATATATCAATTTAAATGTCACTCAGAAATATATATCTGAGTATGCTTCCTAAAAAGCAATCCCCTCCCACTAGAGTTACTGTTTATCATCTCTGAGTTTACTTCTTAGCACTTCTTACATGTTTCACGAGTTTACCCAGAAATAAGTGGTTTATTTTTCTTGAACCGTGGCCTTCAACTTGCTCTATCAAATTTCCCTTTTTCATCCCCAACTGATATCCTAGGCAATCTCACATATTGTCTATTACTTTCAACTACGATACTTTGAGCTATTGTAATGTTCAGTTCAGCTTAACATCAGAACTTCTTTCTCTTGCTCTAAGTGGATCTCCTGTTCTTAGCATTGTGCTTGGCACATAATAAAGGGTTAACAAATATGTCTCGCGCAAGTGAACGAGAGAATAACTAGATGAGTAGATAATTGGATGAATAAATGAATGAATGAATACTTAAGGATAAGATTCAATAAGATCATAAAAAGAATTATTTTCAACTCATAAGTTTTAGGGACCAGGCAAAGGAAATGTGTCAGAATTGCTTCTTTTAAGCTGTGTCTTGAAAGACGCGAAGTAGTTCACCATGTCGACCTGGAGTAGAAAGCATTCCGGTCAGAGAAAGCAGGGTAGGTAAAGGTCTAGAAATGTGAAAGAACATAGCACATGAAGAAGACTGAGAAGAGCGGACTAACTGGAGAGGAGACAGTCTATTAGTCATAACAGCAGATGAATATAGAGGAATAGAGCTATTCAGAGACAGCCTCATTAGCAATATCAAATTTTTGGTTTGGCAGTAACAACTTAGTCATCATTAACTAAGCAGGCACTGTCTTTTCACATTACTGGAACCCCCACTATTCCTCTGAAAAATTCCAATTCAAGGTCAAAATCAAAGCTTTCTTGTTATCACCTCTGAAGTCTTTCTCTACCTTAACATGTGAAGCTGATTACAATCTCTTCTATGCTACTTCAGTACAGAATCTGTGTATGTCTGAAATCCAACGCATCACTTAGCAGCCGGATTGAAGTCTTCCTGGAGCTCTTTGAAGAACCTTGAGTGCTGTAATGTCTGATTTATTTGTGCTCCCCTAATACTTAGCATAGTTCTTAGTAGTTGACACTTTATAAATGTTAGAGAAGTTTCCTTCTCAATTTTCCTGATGTTACCTTCCAACTTTGACAGCTTACACAGTACTGCCTTATGTAATAAATGAGCCATCAAAAGCAAACTTAAATATTGTCACCATATAGCAACAATTTGAGATTCTTTAAACTTTCATAAAGAAGGAGGGAGTGTTAGTGACTAAAAATATCAAAGAAATATCCTCAGTAATTACTGTTAAATAGTATTTTTTTTTATGTAGGTCAAAGAAAAGGGAAATGGAGATAAACATTTCTTCATTTTCTTCAAGACATAAACACTTCTTCATTTCATTAGATTTTATAGTAATGCTTTAATTCTCACTTATTCCTTCTTATATTTGGGAACCTTAGATACTTAAAGTGTTTTCCTGAGGGAGAGATTTTCACAAACCAAACCATCATGCTAAATAGTTGCACATGGTTGCGTATTTTGGGGCTATTTAATCTGACATCTTTTCAACTTACTTGGGTTGAAGCCTTGCTTTCTTTTTGCTACTGATTTCTTTTCTTTTCTTTTCCTTTCTTTTCTTTTCTTTTCTTCTCTTTTCCCTTCCTTCTTTTCTTTTCTTTTGCTTTGAAGAGTGCAGATTAATCCAGTTCCGTCCAGACTGATTAAAGTTTTTAAATAAGTTACCCAGACAGGGCTTTGTGAAATAAATCTGGTAATGCAATTCTCAATAGACTGTAAAAATCTGTAAGTAGTTAATTATCAAGACACTTCTGAGTGTTATTAAATTTTCCCATTTATCTTCTGATTATCATTCTGGAGTCATGTAAAATTATAAAATGTGTGAAGAATACCCTGTTAAATACCAAATATCCAATGTGAGTGATTTTTACAACCACAATTCAAGTTTTACTCCCCCATTTTTAAGAAGTTTATCTTTGACATTTATGGTTATTATTCTTAACTTGTTGGACAAGTGTCTAATTTGATATTAAAGTAGAATATTTGTTTGAATCATTAGATTCCACTATGAGTATATTACCATTTAGTTCACTTGACCAATGCACCATTTGTAAACCTGTACGTAGAGATTGGACAGCTCGTTCACTCTGCACTAATGCACAGTGATAGGCAGTTGTGCTCACCTTACCAGTCAATTTGATTGTACCTGCATTCACAAAGCAAATGGAAAATTCATCAACAGACAAATGCTTGGTTTCTTCGATCAATATCATGTACTTTCTCTGTTGTATGCCTTTTTCGCCTATAAAATAGGAATAGAAACTTTTTCAAGGGTTGTTTCCAGGACAAAATGAGCTGCTTTGCATTTATATTGTATTTAACGTGTATTAGCATAATATTATAAGACCTTACAGGTAAGTCCTTGGTGGGATTCATCAGATGGGCTTTATCCAAGATGTCAGCTAGAGCAGTGTGTTCCAATAACATTGAGACACAAAGCTTCTATAGTACTTGCCAATATGAAGGTCTTTAGTCTCAGATGTGCTTATACGCTTGGGTTCATGCTTCAAGGTAGAATGGTATCCTTTAAAATCATGGACATTAATGAAGTATTTTCTTTTCTATTTATTGTTTGCCGACTAAAAGAATAACTACTTTTCTTGTCTAGTGGCCTTTCTGAAGCTAGTCTTTCAGATACTAACCATTCAGTTAAAATAATGCTTCCAATATTTTCTGCTTTTAATGTATTTATTTCTTAAGGGAAAAAAAGAATCCATTAAAAGCATTTTTCTACAAGTAGTCATTAGTGAGTTGCTTCTAAAGGGACTTCTGCAGTCAGCGACGCATAATGCTCCTGAAATGATTTCACAATTCAATATTGCAGCAATCCCAAATATTTGTACTTCTCTTTCCTTGACTTGAATACTATGATCTCAGACAAGCCATTCAAGAAAAAAAGATACTATGTAAACAAAAACAAAAGTAATAATAACCATCTGTGCTGTCCAGTGGGTTCCAATGAACAATTAAAGAATACTTTGAAACAAGTTTTATCAGAAATTATTTACTGGCTCTCTATTTATTCCTATAAGTTTGTTATACAGTTCATTGCTCAAATTTAGCAGAAGACTAAATGATTACTCAAATAAATGTTGTTTTAGACAACTTTAACATTCTTCTGAATGACAAGCCAAAAGCAAAATGAATGAGTAATAATAGTTTAATACTTCTTGAATGAAAAGATATTTTAATGGGTTCATTAGGAAGAGGGTAGAATGATTTGAGAATGCTGTTATTTTTAACAGTAGAAAATCTTAATGGAGAAAAAAGAAAAGAACTAAAGAAGTGGTTAGGCATCGAACTCGGGAGTTTGTTGAAAAAGCATTTTTTAAAAAATATTAACAAACCTAAGCTGTATTTTATCCTGACTTTCTCACGGATAGCTTCATAAATTCAGAGTATGTCTAAGTGTGAGTTATGAGAAAAGAAAAATTTAAATTTAATCAGATAGAGAAGTTTAGGAAGAGCTTATATCAACTGATGTAATCTAATGAATATTAAAGTATCTTTTCAAAATGAGAATCACATAATGATAAGATTGAACTAAAAGATTGACTAAATGGGTTTCACACTTCTATGGATCGTGGAAGGGAATAATTTTTCAACATTTTACTCCAGCGAAGTGATGATTATATATTTTTAAAATAATTGTCTTTTCTTACTGATCTTGGAAGAGCAAATCTACAGTGTTCCAATGAACTGATAAATCAGCCATTATCAATACATTATTGTTTATGGAAATAACATATTTATAACCATAAACAATTTTCCAAGTAATAATTATTTTAATATTTATAAAAACTATAATGAAGTAATGAAAACGTGATATTTTGGAAAAAATATATCTATATATTCTCCATTGAAAGAACAGATTGTACTTCTAGGCCAATAAACATGAGAATGTATATGTAGAAGATGATGGGTATTTAAGCACTTAGTATTGTATGATTGAAATATTTAGATAGACAGATATAAATATTGATATAGATAGCTATACCCCTGTATATCCAAGTTTATGTCTTCCAGACGTACAATTTATGCAAAAGAAAATATGGAGCAAAAGCATAAGATATATTAAAATGCTAAGCTGTATTGCTATATCTCTAATTGTTATAAACCATTAGAAAAGGAGGATATCGAGTTTTGCTCGATAAAACAATCAGACCATAAAAGCAGGAGGAAGGCTTAGAAATAATTATGTTAATATCATCAGAGGGAAAAAAAAGCTAAGACTTAGAATGTGACTTGCTAAGTTGCAAAACTGGTGTTAGAAACCAAGCCTGTACCATGGAGCTCAGTGTTTTTAGATGACCCTACATTTTGGTATTTGGGCAAGATGATTCTTTATTTCCTGCTGTCCCAGTGATTGCATGCATTATGTATCTCTGTTTCCTAATCAATAAAATGCTCCATATTTTTCTAAACACCCCTTGGGGAATATACCAACTTTGAATAAAAACTCTTAATAATGAATTCATTTAGTCACAGGAAATTGAGATTTGTGATAAAACTTTAATATATGTACTAAACTCTTCAGTATCAGGAAAATTATGATGATTTGATTTGTCTGCTGCCATTGCAGTAGGATGCTTACCACAGAAATTTCAAATGGAACATGTTTGTAACCTGTTGAGCTACAGATAGCACTGACAGATTAAGTCTGTTGCACTAGAGAAAATTTTATTTTTTAAAAAAATTTTTTATATACATGTGCTATGTTGGTGTGCTGCACCCATTAACTCGTCATTTAACATTAGGTATATCTCCTAATGCTATCCCTCCGGGCGTGGTGGCGGGCACCTGTAATTCCAGCTACTCAGGAGGTTGAGGCAGGAGAATGGCGTGAACCCGGGAGGTGGAGCTTGCAGTAAGCCGAGATCACGCCACTGCACTCCAGCCTGGGCATCAGGGAGAGACTCTGTCTCAAAAAATAAAAAATATTTATAAACATTGTGTAGGTTGGAAAAAAATCTTGTCAGTCAAATATTACCTGTTGTTTATTGACCTATGTTTCAAACAGTGCAGAATTAGGGTCTAGAATACATTTTGAATCTAGGCATAGCCATTAGACATGTTTTTGAAATGGCCCTGGATTATGGCTCCATTAAATGGCATAAATTTCCAGGATTGTTTTATCCTGATGACTGAATGGCGATGGAAGATTGCTTCCTATGATATTTATTTCTCATACATTTTTTACAAAGCCTAAAGATAATTATACATTTTCATACAAATTAAATATCAGCAATTAAATAAAATTCTTTCTTTCTAAAGTATTTATTTTTGGGTCTAACTTCTGAATGAATTCCTGCCCACTCACAGGTTTACAGCTATATATTTCAAGAAATTCCAAATTATCAGGTAAATTTATTTTATTTTAAAAGGCCACATGCTGGATTTGGCTTTAAAAGATCAGGCTGGAATAATAAAAATTATTAGAATTTATATCATTCTTTGGTCTTTGTAAAACATGTCTAAGTAATATCTTATTTTGATTCTTAACACAGTCCTAAGTTATATATAAGAAAAATACCATTATCTGCATTTTACTGAATAACACAGAAACACTCAGGAAGTGTGGATAAATTCCTAGAGATCATGTAGCTATTTAACTCTGCAGATAGATGTTTTCTTAAACCAATTTTACATTCTTTCCATTATGTGGCAGTGGCTCAAATATATTATAAAAACATCTTCAATATTTGTTCTATGTATAGACACGTTAAAATTTTAAAAAATGTTTTATATTAAGATGTTTAAAAGAACTCAAGTGATTTAAAATTTAAACTAATAAAAACTATTGTAAAGCTAAAAGTGATCATATTTAGGTAGCAACTTTTACTTTTGGGGTATATTTGCACGGTTTTAACAGATTATTGTGGATCAAAACCAAAATATGAAGTAAGGATATATGGAGTCACATCTAAACATACAGTTTTCCTTGAAAATCGAAAGTATCAAATGATACTTGTTGGCTTAAGATTTCCAAACTTATTTTTAATTATTTTTTATTCACATTAATGTTTGAAACAATATTATGTTTACTTATGTATCTCAGTAAACTAAATTTCCATTATCATCTTGTTTTACAAGAAGTTGAAATGTCCCTATGAATCTTAAAGTGTTGCAAGGAAAGTTTTATATATTAAGCTTTAGCAGATAAATACACTTATCAGAGATACAAGTATGAAAATCTGCAAAATCTCAAAGCAGATAGAAGAATGCTGTGAATCCCTTAATTCTTCAATTGTGATGAGCAGCAGGAGATAATACCATGGCTCTCATACATCAGCTGGGTTTTATAATGTATTAAAACATTTATTTATTAATAGAAGTATAACCTATTTAAAAATCTGCACATAAAAACGGAATGTGTTAGAAAGCGCCAAAAGCAATTGCACCAAAATAAACGTTATAATAAATCATTCCACAAGTAAAGAGACTTAGTTACTCCCAGAGTTTATGTAGAATTTAAGAAATTCATCTTTTACTTGATATACTAAATATCACAAATATTATGTTTACAAGAGTAACAAAGGGAAGCAATTTGTAATTACAGGTAGCTGCTCATAATAGAAAATGACTATTGTTGAAATGAATTGAGTAGGAAGCATTGGATTATTAATATAGAATGGCATAACCTGTTCCTGTCTTGAAAGCGTGAATTACTACTTAAATCATGAATTATTTTAATGTCTTCAAAAACATGATAACCACATAGTCATATTTTGGAATGATAAAATGTATTTACTGGCTGAATGTTGTTTCTCCACAATCAGATATTATTAGGAAGGAAGAAATTCATAGAAAGTTCTTAAAGATTATTTTAAATTAAACTAACTATATTTTTTATTTCCTACCAATGTCTGTTTTGCAAAGAAAGACAAACAGTAAATTTTCACTAGACCAATGGATGAGATCTATTTTTAATAAACCCTTTTCTTTAACCCTCAAAATAATTTCCTCCCAAATTGTTATGTAAGCTGTATCATTTGAGGGCACATATACACGGACATGTACATATAGTCAATTGTTGTGGTTATAATAAATGAATGTTCAATTAAATCACTTCTGCAACTAGAGTAAAACATGTAATTAAAGCATTTCATATTTCAAGTCAGATTCAGAACTTAGATCCTAGATTACAGAATTGTTATTGATGGAAGAAACATTAACACTCAACTCATTCTTGTGTTTTCATTGAGTAGACTAAGTTCCTGAAAATGTTCCTTTTGAAATCATGTGTGAGCTTTGAATTGCCAACTCCAAGGACATTTTCCGACTTTCCTCTGCTTGATTTTTTCAGCTGAACCTGACCTTCTTGACATTCTCACATTTGACTTGTCCTGACTGCTTCTTCTGAGTTTCCTTTCTTAATCTTCCTTTTCCATTTCTCTCTTTCCCTATCAGGGACTTGTATGCTAGTATTTCCCCAAATTTCCACTTTTAACCCCCCGCCTTTTATAGCCACATAATATTATGGTTAAAGATAGCTATTTGTATTACTTTGGTTATAACCAATGCCCATTTATAACAAAGAAAACAAAGTCTCTGTTTTTTGTTTTTTGTTTTTTTAAATTTTCTCCTCTTGAAATATATGACAGTTCATTGACCTTGACTGGCATTCAGTCTCTATTTTCGCCTTAATCCAATATGTTTGTGAATATGCCTTTAATGCTTAGTTGTCTTCTAAAATAGATACAGTAATTTCATCCCATTGTCTCTGGCACTTTTCAAAATGCTCACTTTTTGACGGCCAATCCTTTCTGCTTCCCTTTCCAAGCCCTATCGCACGCAAATACCTTTTGTGTATGGCATCTGTGTAGAACTTCTGCTTTGGTCTTGTCCTGGTAGTCTATCTTCTTCTTTCTCTACTTTCACAAGTAGTACAAAGGAGGAAACCAAACTAATGTTTCTTATGGAGACGGAGGTTAACTTTTGCAGGAATTCCTTGATTCCTTCTCGGTATTTCCAAAGGTATTATGCTCATTTAATGAGCAATGACTTTATCAAATTCCATTATGCATAATACATATTATAATACTCCTAACTTCTGGCCATGTCTGGCCAGTTGTAGAGGTATTTTGTTTTATTATTATTAATTTTTTAGAGACCTGGTCTCGCTCTGTCACCCAGGCCAGAGTGCAATGTCATGATCGTTGCTTACTGCTGCCTGGAAATCCTGGGCTCAGGTGATCCTCCCACCTTGGCCTCCCAAAGTACTGGGATTACAGGCATGTGTCACCTCTCCCATCCTGTAGTGCAGAGGCATTCTAAATTAAATTAAATTTTCATTGATATTGAATTTTCCATGTAACATTTTTTAAAACCTATATTTTTCTATCAGATTTATTTAAATTTTTACATTTCATTTTCTATAAAAAGCTGAGCATTTCTCATCCAAATATTTGAAATCCCAAATGTTCCAAAATCTGAAACTTTACTGAAACGTGAAACACTACTATCATACCACAAGTATAAAATTCTACACATAAGTACCTAGCATAAACTCTACCTCATTAAACAAATAATTTAAAATATTGTATAGAATTACCTTCAGGCTATATGTTTAAGGTGTATATGAAACATAAATAAATTTTGTGCTTAGAGTTGGGTCTCGTAATCAAACTATCTCCTTATGTATATACAAATTTTCCAAAATCTTAAAAAAAAAAAAAACAAAACCCAAACACTTCTTGTCCCAGGCATTTTGAATAACAGGTATTCAACCTGTATAAGCAATAACTATTATTTATTTTTTATTAGTTATTAATAACTATTATTATTTATTGTAGAAATGCAAATACTAAATGATCAAATTACTGATCATTTAAACAAGACCACCTTACAGCATAAATAATTAAACCTCTTTATTTTCATCTTCACTGAACTGTTAAAGTCATTCAATGAGTATGTTTTTCTCTGTCTTGATTAAAAATTACAGCAAGTCCCATGGTTTTTTTTTTGGTCATTCTCAGTTGATACAAGCTTCTCCAATCAGTAATTAAAATGTCCAGGCCTGTATATTAGGCATAACTTTTGGTTTAAAATTGTCTTATTCTCTCCATCATGTAGGGTCTGCCACAGATAGGAACATCGTAATGAGAATAGGGACATATGTGGTTTCTTCTTTTATCCCTACATAGACCTGTCATTTTTGCCCATACTCTCCAGCTTTCTATGTGTGGTTTCAGAGCCCTCAGATAAAGTACTAAATTTGGAGAACATGAAAGGAGAGGAGGTAGAAAATGATTACATCTGGTCATTCTCGGGAGCTGGAATCATACCCTCCTCATCTGGCTGGTGGTTAGAATTGTCTCTTATAAGTGTATTCTTCAGAAATCTCTCTTCATTGGGATCTTCCACCTACAGCTCCTTTGACTGAGACAAAAGCATCTTTCCTGTAGCTGGCCACTTACACATTTTGTAATTTCTAGGATTCTATAAATAGCTCCACTTCTCTCTGCTGATGACTCTTCAACTCTTCAGGTGGCTCTTTTGGAACTAAGGTGACTCCACAGTGGTTCTTTCTCACGCTTGGCCCACATCTGTTCCACAAGGAGCACTCATCCCCAAATCTCTTACAGCAGGGACCAGTCCACTCTTTCCCTCAATTACACTGGCACATATCAGGTTTTTTCCACGGCACCCCTTTATATGCTTATTGTGAGGAGCAGGCATTCCTCTTTTATACCAACCACTCCTTCAAAACCTCTTTTCACAAATACTCATATCTGCTCTTTTGAAATATTTACTAATGCCGTGTAAGTAAAATTTAAATAGTTGTCTAACTAATTCTTGTCCACCTATTTCCTTCTAGCCCTGTAGGGCCGCCTGTCATTTGTGCATCTGATATCATTTTTGCAAAGTCTTTGTTAGAACTTTCATTTTACCATCATATTCCACTTGTTAGCAACAGATGAGTAAATACAACTTCATTTCCTGGGTGTAAAGTGAAAGTTAAAAGTATAGGTTTAAGATCAAAGTTCTGGAGGTTAGGGCAGAGTAAGTAGAGGTTCCCATACACTTTCCTAGTTGTCTCTTAGAGGAAGAGGAAAGGCAAATTAGAAGATTTGAATCTTCTGTGAATTCAATTGTGAATTCTGTGAATCTCAATTTGAGGCTTATGTTTGGAAATTTTCAATAGCAGATGGATTCTGCAGGTGTCCCACACTCAAATCAGAGAGCTAAAATCAGAAAAGCTCCTGAATTTAAAGAATAGTAAGTCATCACTAGAGGCCAGAGGAAAGCAGGAAAGTGCTGGTCTTGTTGGCTTTACCACACCCTGGACCTATCCCTGCTACCATCTCCTCAGTATCACTACCTCTTAGGCTCAGCTGACTCCTTCACTCTGGTCATGCAGTCACCCTCAAAGGAGAAAAGGGAATAGGAAATGGAAGAATGCATATCTACTTCCTTTTTTAAAAAAATGAGTTATTTTAGTTTTAAAGAAGAGTTCCAGAAATACTGCAGGGAGTTCCCATATACCGTTAACCAGCTTCTCCTTTGGCAATGTCTTCTATAACTCCAGAATGCTTATCAAAACTGTGAAGCTGACTTTGGTGCAATATATTAACTAAAGTAAAGAGCTTATTTTGATTTTATCAGTGTTGGCACTAATGTCTTTTATCTTTTCCAAAATCCAATTTAGAATCATACATTACATTTAGTTGTCATGTCTCCTTAGCTTCCTCCAATCTGAAGCAGTTTCATATTCTGTCCACATTGTTACAGACCTTGATATCATTGATGATTATTGGTCAATTATTTTGTAGAATGTCTCTCAATTTGGGTGTGCCTCATATTTTCTCCTACTCAGATTGAGGTGATGAATTATTGGGAACGATGCAAAAAAGGTCATGTGCATCAGATCTGGAGTCATCTAAAATAACTATCCATTACTGTTGGTCCTGATCACTTGGACACCGCAATGTCTTAATCCATTTGTGTTGCTGTATCAAAAATGTGTGAAACTAGATAATTTATAAACCACAAACATGTATTTCTCATGGTTCTGGAGGCTGGGCAGTTTAACAACAAGACACCAGCAGGTTCAATGTCTGGTGAAGGCTATTATTCTCTGCTTCCAAAATGGAGCATTCTTGCTGCATCCTCCAGAGGAGACAAATGCTGTGTCTTCACATGGTGGAAGGGACAGGACAAAAAAGACCTAGCTAATTTCCTCATGACTTAATCACCTCCTAAAGACCCACCTCTTATTACTATCATACTATCACATTGGGGTTTAACTTTCAACTTGAAGTTTGGAGAGGAGACAAGCATTCACACTGTAGCAGGTGGGATATGTCAGGATTCTTTACAGTAATTTTTCTTTTCAGTCTTTGTAATTACTAAATGTTTTGGAGGAGATACTTTGAAACTAAATAAATATCTTGGTTTGGCTTAAGCTTTCTCCCTGTAATTTCTGAATTCATTAGTAGAATCTTGCCTTTAGCAATTTATTATTGTCATGTTCTAATCGTGATATTTCCATTTCTTTCATACTGAGTTCTGTGTGAATATATATTGTCATTTCTTGTAGGTAGAAAGCCAGGAGTGGGAATCTAGGTCATAAGGCAAATGCATGTAAACCGTTTAAGAAATTGCTGGAAAATGTTCCAAAGTGGCTACCATTTTTGCACTCCCACCACAAATTATTGGAGAGCTCCAATTGCTCTGCATCCTCACAGCGCATATTACCATTTTTAAAACATTTTAGTAGGTGGTTAGTAGTATCTCATTGTGATTTACTCTACATTTCCCAAATGACTAAAAATATTGAGCACATTTCCATGGTTTTTTTGTTTTTTGGGTTTTTTTATTGTTTGTTTTGTCATCCATACATCTTAATATCTTTGCTGAGTATCTGTTGAGGCCTTTAGCCTAATTTTTCACATTGGATTCTCCATTTCATTTTTGTTTCTTTTTTGAGTCTTCATTTTTTAATTGTTGACTTTTGTGAGTTTCTTATAATTTCTAGATATAATTCCTTTATGAGGATATGACATACAAATTTTAATTCCCTGTTTATAGAGAGTTCTTTTTGCTTTTGCTGATCAATATATTTCACAGGGCAAAATGTTTTAATTTTTGATTACTTCTAGTTTTCCAGTGTTTTAATGGATTGTACTCTTAGTGTTGTATTTAAAAAAATGGTTTGCCTAAGCCAGTGTCATGCAGGTTTTTTTTCTAGAACATTTATGTTTTATATTTAGGTCTATGTAATTTGAGCTAATTTTTGTATAATGTGTGATGTGTCCAGATTGATTTTTTTGCATACAGATGTATAGATGTTTATATGTCCCAACAACGTTTGTTGAAATACCATTCTTTCTTTCAATTTCTTTTGCATATTCATTAAAGATTATTTGACTATTGCTGTGTGTGTGTGTGTTTCTGGATTCTGTATTGTAATTCATTGATCTATGTGTAAATCATGAAATCAGGTAGTGGACTTCAACAGCTTTGTTCTTATTTTTCAAAATTACATTGATTATTTTAGTTGCTTTTGCTTTTCCACAATAATTTTAGAATCTTCTTGTTAATACAGATAGAACACTACCATGATTTTGATTGAGACTGTGTTGAATCTGTAGATCAAACTGGATAGAATTTACCCCTTGAAAATAGCTTCAAGTCCATAAACAGAGTATCTTTCTTTATTAATGTAGCTTTTCTTTAATTTCCTCCTCAGTATTGTCACTATTATCATACAATTCTATAGATAATTTGTTGGAGTTATATCTTTTTCCTTTCTGTTCTTTTATTCCTTCTCTTTGTATTAGTTTTCTAGGGCCACCCTAACAAAAACTAGGTGGCTCAAACAATATAAATTAATTTTCTCTCAGTTCTGGAGACTAGAAGTCCAAGATCAAAGCGTCAGCAGGTTTCTCCCGAGGCCTCTCTCCTTGGCTTGTAGGTGGCTGCCTTCTTGCTGTGCCTTCACATGGTCATTCCTCTGTATAAACTCACACTTGATGCCTCCCTGTGTGTCCAAACTTCCTCTTCTGACAAGGAGACCAGTCAAACTGGATTAGGGCACATGTTAATGACCTCATTTTAACTTAATCTCCTTTTTAATCATTCTAAATGCAGCCACATTTTACTACCGGGGGTGAATTTGGATCAATTCAACTACAACACTTTCCTTTCTTCCTTTCTTCATTCCTGCCTCCCTCCTCTTACAAATACTATTGTAAATGGTTTAATAATAAATTTAAATTTTCCTTGCTAATGTCTAGAAATACCATTGATTTTTATGATGCTTTGTATACTAAATAGTATTGCTTTTTGTCCTTTTTTTTCTATAAGAGCTATAAACTTACTAATCAATTATTTGAAATTTCCTGTCAGAGCTGTGTTATATCTGAGACTAATTCTTAGGATCATGTTGTCTCTTCAGATTCTGTTTCTTCTTGCCTTTTTATGCCTTATAATTTTTTTTTAGGCAGCCATTGTATGTGGGACAAGTAAAATGTAGAAAGTTTTCGTGTCTGGGTATGTGTATTCTTTTTCTTCCACCAGACTTTTACAGTGGAGATTTATTTAATATATTTAACAGTTGGACTAGGTTTGATATTTGTTGTTGCTATGGTTACACTCACTGCACATTAGATTTCAAATTTCTGTAGCAATATCTAGTCGGTAGGGTGGAGGATGGTTTGCCAGAGCAACATCTGTTTGATTCTGAGATTTAGAGCTTCCATTTGTGTTATGCCTCAAAGAGAGTATAGACGTGTTTTTGTTTTTCTCTTGCAACTCTTTTTAACAGTAATCTATTGTCACTTGTTATTTGTCACTTGTTGGCTTATAGTAAGTGGTGTGATCACTGTTTTTCTGACTACGTTTCAGTCTTAGGCATGCATTGTATCCCTGAGTCTATGAGGCTTGTGGTTCTTGGTTCTTTCGGTCTTCACTCAACTACAGTTGGAGGTTCAGCACATAATGTTGCCCCTCAGCAGGAATAGGATGTTTTCTCCTCCTATTCCCTTTCCAAATGTAGTGAATTTTTGCCAGTGCTCTAAGGACAGCAATTGCTCTTGCCCTTCCCAAAGATAAAGACTCATGTTCTGTAGTGTAGAAAGGCAATAGTATGGGTTGACTTGTGCTCCCCAAAAAAACATGGATTGGAGTCCTAAATTCCATTACCTCAGAAAATAACCTTATTTGGAGACAGAATTTTTATGAAGTAGTAAAAATGCAAATAAGCAAACATTAAAATAAGGTCATTGGGGTGGGTCATAATTCAATATGACTAATGTGCTCTTGAAAGGGAAAAGCATTAGACACAGAGACAGACATGCACAAAGGGAGAATGCCATGTGAACATGAAGGCGGAGATTGGGGTTATTTGTCTACAAGCCAGTGAATGCCAGCAACCACCAGAGAGACAGAAATAAAAATGATTTTTCCTCAAAGTCAACAGAAGAATTCAACCCGAATGACACTTTGATCTTGGACTTCTAACCTCCAGAACTATGATACAATACATTTCTGTTATTTTGGTTACCTACATTGGGTGGTAGTTTTCTATGGCAGCCCTAGCAATTTATTACACAACATACCACCTTTGGTAAATGTTTTGTCCTCCAACATGGTTTTTCTTCTCTTCCCTTAAGGGTACCTCTTTTCTTGGGTCTGTTTCCATTTTTTTTTTCTGTGAGTACCTGATGTAGTTTGTGAGGGAATGTATTAGTTTATTCTCACACTGCTAGTAAAGACATACCAGAGGCTGGGTAATTTATAAAAGAAGGAGGTTTAATTGATTCACAGTTCCATGTAGCTGGGGAGGCCTCACAATCATGGTGGAAGGTGAATGAGGAGCAAAGTCACATCTCACATGGCAGCAAGCAAGAAAGCTTACTACCTCCCATTAGATCCCTCCAACGACACATGGGAATCATGAGAGCTACAATTCAAAATGAGATTTGGGTGGGAACACAGCTAAACCATATCATTCCACCCCTGGTCCCTCCTAAACCTCATGTTCTCACATTTCAAAACCAATCATGCCTTCCCAACACTCCCCCAAACTCTTACCTCATTTCAAAATTAACTCAAAAGTCCACAGTCCAAAGTTTCATCTGAGACAAGGCAAGTGCCTTCTGCTTAAGAACCTGTAAAATCAATTGCAAGTTAGTTATTTCCTATACACAATGCAGGTACAGGCATTGTGAAAATATGACCATTCTGAATGGGAGAAATTGGTCAAAACAAAGGTGCCACAGGCCCCATGCAAATCTGAAATCCAATGCAGCAGTCAAATCTTAGAGCTCCAAAATGATCTCCTTTGACTCCATGTCTAACATCCAGGTCACGCTGATGCAAGAGGTGTGTTCCCATGGTCTTGGACAGCTCTGCCGCTGTGGCTTTCCAGGGTACAGCCTCTCTCCTGGCTGCTTTCATGGGCTGGTGTTGAATGTATATGGCTTTTCCGAGTACACGGAGCAAGCTGTCAGTGGATCTACGATTCTGGGATCTGGAAGACAGTGGCCCTCTTCTCACAGCTCCACTAGGCAAGTGCTCCAGTGAGAACTCTGTAGGGGCCTCACACCCCACACTTTGCTTCTGCACTATCCAAGCAGAGGTTCTCCATGAGGGATCTGCCCCTGCAGCACACTTC
Source organism: Homo sapiens (assembly GCF_000001405.40). Classification (NCBI taxonomy): domain Eukaryota; kingdom Metazoa; phylum Chordata; class Mammalia; order Primates; family Hominidae; genus Homo; species Homo sapiens. The sequence goes on from NC_000003.12 coordinate 144,665,586, forward strand.
TCTCTGGACATCCAGGAGTTTCCATACATCCTTTGAAATCTAGGCAGAGGTTTCTGAACCTCAATTCTTGACTTTTCTGTACCCAGATGCTCAACACCACATTTAAGCTGCCAAGGCTTGGGGATTACACACTCTGAAGCAGCACTGTGAGCTTGACTTTGGCCCCTTTTAGCCATAGCTGGATCTGAAGCAACTGGGACACAGGGCACCATGTCCTGAGGCTGCATAGAGCAGGGGTCCCTGGGCCTGGCCCAGGAAGCCATTTTTTCCTCCTAGGCCTCCAGGCCTGTGATGGGAGGGGCTGCCACAAAAGTCTTTGACATGCACTGGAGACATTTTTCCTATTGTCTTGTTGATTAATATTTGACTCCTCGTTACTTATGCAAATTTCTGCAGCTGCTTCAATTTCTCCCCAGAAAATGGGTTTTTCTTTTCTACCACATGGTCAGGCTGCAAATTTTCCAAACTTTTAAAGAAATTATTTCCCCCAGATACCCTAAATTATCTCTCTCAAATTCAAAGTTCTACACATCTCTAGGGCAGGGGCAAATGCTGCCAGCCTCTTTGCATAGCAAGAGTCACCTTTACTCTAATTCCCAACAAGTTCCTCATCTCCATCTGAGACCATCAGAGCCTAGACTTTAATGTCCATATCACTATCAGCATTCTGGTCAAAGCCATTCAACAAGTCTCTAGGAAGATCCAAACTTTCTCACATTTTCCTGTCTTCTTCTGGGTCCTCCAAACTGTTCCAACCTCTGCCTGTTACCTAGTTCCAAAGTTGCTTCTACATTTTCGGGTATCTTTACAGCAGCACCCCACTCTACTGGTGCAAATTTACTGTATTAGTCTGTTCTCATGCAGCTAATAAAGACATACCCAAGAGTGGGTAATTTATAAAGGAAAGAGGTTTAATTGACTAACAGTACCACATGACTGGGGAGGCCTCACAACCATGGCGGAAGGCAAAAGAGGAGCAATGTCACCTCTTACATGGCAGCAGGCAAGAGAGCTTGTGCAGGGTAATTACCATTTATAAAACCATCAGCTCTCATCAGAATTATTTACTACCACTAGAACAACACAGGAAAAATCCCACCCACATGATTAAATTACCTCTCACCGGGTCCTTCCACAACACATGGGAATCACATGAGCTGCTATTCAAGGTGAAACTTGGGTGGGAACACAGCCTAACCATAACAAGTAAGAACCTAAAGAAAGGTCTTGACTCCCCAGTTTCTTGATCTTCTAGGGATTTCACATTGTTCAACAGTCTGCACTCAGTCTTTACCAATTTGCCAATTATTCTAGCTGAACTCTTCTTACGAGTATCCAATTCCATCAACCTAAGTTTGGTGTTGTGTCCTTGTGCATCCTCCCCCTGCATGCATTGCCTCTCCTGATGGGTGCCAGTTGGTTGCACTGTGAACTCAACTCAGCTCTTTGATGGGATCCAAACAAGTCATTAATTTGAATGACTTAGTTTAGCTCTTATTCATTGTTAAGGTGGAGTTAGTAGTAAAAAAAAAAAGTGGTCTTCTAGCTCTGTATATCTCAGGGCAGAATCTAGAAGCCCTGTTTCCTGTTTAGGGGTGCATAAAACGCTTTTAGAAGATTATGAAGGGTTATTTTTGTTGCCTATTTTTTGTTAGTTTTATATTGTCTTACCTCATCCTGTGATATAAAAGTTCTTTTGCTCAATGTGAAACAATTTTTAAACCTTAATTCAAAGTTTAGAAAATTCAAATCATCAGTATTTATTTTTTCCATCTCTGTTTCTTGTATCCTACATCTATTTCTTTTTATTATTCACTTGCTTTTGTTATGTTTGCTTTGCTACAATATACCCTCAAATGTTTTTGTTTTACCTGAAAGGGAGTGAATTTTTAAGTTATTTTACTTCTAAGACAGTATATTTCGCTTTTAAGATTAATTGATGCTTTGCCTAGATAAATAATTTTACATGAAAGCAATCTCTCAGAGCTTTATAAACACCACTATCAGTACAATAACTACTTGAAGACAAAGTTGAACATTATTCTTTTCTCTTTGTTTTAAATATCTTCTGGCTTCTGGTGGCATTTTTTACTTCTTTGGAATGTTTCCATTAGGAAACTCTAAATTCCAGTAAAATTTGACACAATCTACTCCAAATTATATATTAATGTCATCGGTCAGTTATTGTCTGCCGATAAGACATTTATAAAAGACAAAAATTTAAAATTTAAAGAATAGTATCTACTTCACAGTTTACCTAGTAGGGACCCTTCCCTTTCTTCAGAACTCCATTAGCATTCAATATTTATCTAAGGAATATTTTCTTAAAGCAATATTGTGTATTTACATGTGCTACATTTTCCACTCTAGTTTCCAGTTACTTTTAAAGTACAGACAAGTTTTATTTTTATTGTACGAAAAATTGCAAGAATTCCAAGCTATTAATACTTTGTAATTCTATTGAAGTTTTATTTCAAACCAATTGAACATTTCACTATGCACTCATTTGTATATGCTGGTAGGTTCCCAATAACTGACAAATCTTGTCTATTCAATTCAAATATAAGTTCTAAAGTTACAGCAAAACATAGGACAAATAAATTCTATTTTTATTCTTTGTTGCTCCATTTGTTTTTCAAGAGCTCAGAATGTATCTATTATTGGACATACAAGATAATATTAATATAAAAGCAAAATAATACAGGGTTTTTACTAGTATTTGAATTCAGAAGTAGCAAATATCCATTTTTGTTATTAATTAGTAATGAAGTGTCATTGATAATTCTCAATAATGTACTTTAGAGCTTTCAATTCCATTGCATTTCTTAGGATTAAATACATAGTTTGACTTGTATTCCCTGAAAACTATTTGAAACTTTAAAGATGCTGAAATAAATAATAAATTACAATATTCACATTATATATACATATATTACATACATGTATATATATATATTTATACACATATAAATGGTCTGACTTTCTTTTAGTCAGTTCATGGCTACTGTGATTTGAGTTTTTAGAAATTTTCTTTTTTATGCTGTGATGTTCTCTAATTAATTTTCCTTATATCCCTTATCTGATTTTTAAATTAATATATTAATAGAAAACAAGCAAAATTGTAGTTTGTTTTTACATGAGTATAGTAGGAAACTCAGAATAACTACAGTATGCTAAAGATTTTACATGGCATTATTCTTGAAATTTTGGAGGTTTGGTTACATGTGGTGAAAATAGCTGTAGAAAAATGCCAGCAGGGTTTGGTGGTTGACAATGAGAGATTTAGAGTGCTTAGCGGTATGAATGCCTTGCCCTTTGATCTAACAGAAAGATGTGTAAATATTTGGCTTCCAAAGTCAGAATCCAAACTTCCAGTTTAAAATGTAAAATAAAATCACTTTGGTCAAGAAAATAAGTTTATCTCAGAGTAAGTTTTCTTCTTGGCTATACATCTCCATAATCAAAGCCATTTGAGGGACATCACTTCAGTGCCATACATTTTGCTAGAAATGTTATATTTGTGATTTTATTTAATTTTTATAACCCTGAAAGGAAGGCATTATTATTCTTATATTTAGCCAAGGAAACTGATGCTCCAAGACATTGGGGTAACTTGCCCATTTTCCTCATAGATTTCACTTGTTGGAGTCAGTTATGCAAACCTATGTCTTTCAGTCAGTAAAATCCTTTTTTGGCTGCTTCGTGCTACATTTCTCTCATTCTTACCTTTTCCTGTCCTAAAATTTATAAGGCAAGTCATATTTGTAAAGAAAAATGGACTGTTTCTACTTATTTTATACATTTTATTTAACATGATGGACCATTCTCATGCATAGACCAGCGTTTCTCTATCTCAGTGGTATTGACTGATTGTGCTGGATAATTCTCTGCCTGAGGAGGGCTCTTCTTTATATTTTGTGGATTTCAGAATGTTCAGCAGTGTGGCTATTCTCTTAGATGCTAGTAGCACCTCCATAGTGTGATAACCAAAAATGTGTCCAATAATTTCCTAATTCTCCTGAGATGAACCATCCTAGGTTGCAAACCTTTGACAGGTAGAAGGCTGACATTGTACAGATCTGTTTGCTAAGGTGGCATTCCCTTTCCCTTATTTAGAATACTCTAAAAGCGTTTTTAAATACATAGTCAAAATACACAACTTTCTTAGGGTATTTTGAAGAGGTAATAAAAGTGAGGAAAGTAAGGGAAACATGATTGTGGAGTAATTACTCTGTGCAAGATACGTTATTTTTACTTACATAAATTATCTTTTATAACCAAACAACCCCTGAGATGTGAGTTAAATCAACATGTTACAGATAATATGTTACATATATGGCCCAATCAAGCAGATAGTAAATGATAGACTGGTAATTTAAACTTAAAGAAATATTTTTTCACTAATAGTGTTCACATTCTTGGTGATTTAAATATCTTTATGAATAAATTTATAGAAAAATATTTGAATATATTCATTTAACCAACTGTTGATCAATCTCATTTCAAGAACTAGCTAATTCTACCTGATAGTTGTTTTCTCACATTGATTCCCTCAATATTTATGTATACACTTATATCACTTATCAAAAATCTTGTTTCTCATTTGTTTCAGTAATTTCTTCCACTTGGCATATATATTTCTTGTTTAAGTTCCTTTAAAAAATCCAAATTATCTAAACCAAAAATAATTGCTTTTAATATCCATCTTATTCCTACAGTGTGTCTCAAGGTGATATTTATAATTAGGAGAAATTATTTAGATGATACATATTATAACAACAAATAGAAATAGTTTTTCTTAAAACACAATGTATTCTTTTGAACAGTTATCAATAAAAATATTATTGAAACATATCTTAATGCTTATAAGATGGTAGATTTGATAAAGGTAAAGTACAATTGGCCAATTATTTACTTTCTGTAACTAAGGTACATTTTTCTCTTTGGATTTAGTATAATAGAGAACAGTTTGATAAATAAATAATGAAAATCTATCCTCAACTAAACAGATTTTAAAATAGCTTCACTCAGTTGTTTCTGGAAAGAAAATGCATTTGTTGGAGTGTCCTCATTGGGAGATAAACAAACTGCACATCCTTACATTTAAAAGAGTTGCGGTGTTTGATTTAGCTATGATTCACTGTCTGCTTCATGGAAAGCGGTATCAGCCCTGCAGCTGAGATAAGCAGTTTATGATATCAAATAGATAAATGTAGGGAAACCATCATTCTTTGTCAGAAAGTAGGATTATGCAAACCAATTTCCATATATTACATTTCCCAGCAGCATTTTCATGTTTTCTAGCTTCTAACTTACATCGAAGCACTGACATTGAATGCATTTTTTCTCCTTATCTCTAGCTTGCATTGAAGAAGACCAAGGCCCACAACTGTATTTCTCTTTGACACTTGCTGAACATTACATATGATACCCATATAGAGTGACATCAAGGCACAAAGGAAACATTAGTTTAGGAAAATCTTTAGCTATTCTGTCTTTTCAATGACCTGAAGTTATTTACTACATTTTTATTATTTTTAGAAGAATTATCCAAAATAATTGCATTTGTTATTCAGTTATTTGCACATATGAGTTATTGTTATATTTTCTCATGTTATTGAGTCATATATAGGCCTTACTTAGCTAAAAGTGTCAAACTGCATAAGGGTTGGTATCAATTTAGGGAATCATAGGAACAACTTCAACATAATTATTTGTATTTGTGATTTTTTTACTAGTTATAATTCAGTGAATACAATGAACATAGTAACTTCACTGATATGCTGACAATTTAAAAATCTGATTACTAGAGCATAATCAGTTATGTCTGCATTAGGGTTCTGCAGAGAAGCAGAATCAATAGAATATATGTAGATATAAGAGGAGATTTATAATGGCAGTTAGCTTTTGCACTTATGGAGACTAAATATTCCTAGGATCTGCAAAAGGACATAGTAAAGACAATAGTATGATTCAGTCTGAGGCCAAAGGCCTAAAAAGCAAGGGTGGGAGTGTTGGAGGGGGAAGGAATCCTCCTGGAGTACCAAGGCCCAATGTCTGCTGGCAGGGGAAGATGGATGTCCCAGCTCAAGAAGCGTGACAATTCTCCCTTCTTCTGCCTTTTTGTTCTATTTGGACCCTCGGTGGAATTGGAGGATGCCTGCCCATCGGTAAGGATGGCTCTTTTTAATCAGTCTATGATTCAAATGCTAATCTCTTCTAGAATTCCCTTTACAGATACATCTAGGAATAATATTTTAACAGCTGTTTGAGTGTCCATTAACTCAAGCAAATTTACACATAAAATTAGCCATCACAATATTTATATTTTTGTATGTAGCAATTAAGTGTCAGGAAGAGTGGTGGATGTTTTCAGTGGATCATTTCATTAAGTCCTCCTACTAGTTGTGTGACCCTTCTTTACAAATGAGGAAACTGATTTAAGAGACTAAGTAACTGTCTTCTGCCTCAATCCTCAGCAGATACCTATTTTCAGAGTTAAATATATTTTATATTTTTATCTGACTCTTGGTTTTTCTTTTCTTTATCTGACTCTTTTTATTTTTATCTGACTCTTAAAATTTTAAATTCCTCTTTCTAGGTGACATAGTTTTTCTGATGCTTTTTTATTTTTAAATTTAAATATTATCTATTGATTTTCTTTAGAAAATATAAAAACTTGACAGTCTCTATTACTATGTTAAAAATGTAGACTTCTCTCACACTTCTAATATAGTTATACTATATTTTTTGCCTTCACAAATATTTAGCGTTTATGTTATTTTAACTACGTAAACATTGTTCACAGCTCAGTCACCTGTGTACTGAAATTGTTTTATTTCTAGTAATAAGTTTTTTTTTTGGAGTCAATTCTTGCTAAATTTTTGTTTAAATAGCTTTATAATTATCCATTATATATATTCCCCTATTGTCTGCCACAATTATTGTGTCTGATCAATCTTGTATGATTAAATGGAATTCTCCATCCTCCTCTAACCTGGACTGGTCCTCCAGGCCTGCTTCAAAGCACTTGTCCTGTGACATCCCTTTGCCAACACCAGAAATAATTATCTTTCTTTCTCTTCCATGTTGGTTCTCATGTTTCTAGGATCCGATGGCATCATTGTTTTCATTTTACTCCCTCATTTTGTGGAGCATATTCTCCTGTATCTTCTCAAGAATTGATCAATGGAAATTAAATATTTGAGTCATTGGGTAAAGTAATGTATGTTTATTTGATCATCACAAACTCAGTCATTAACTATCACCTCAAGGTCCACGGTGAAAACCAAAAGGCTGCAATGTGACCACTTAAATGATCTCCTGAAACTTCCAGGCAAACTATATTGAAAATGAGATTAATAACCAAATTTTAAGGGTAGAAAAAGCCACAAAAGAGAATTATGAACAGTATCTATGTCATACGCCAGAATTATAGACCTGACAGGAAAGGATGATTCCCTATGATATTCTAGGCCTTTTTATTGATGAGTTTGAGAATCTCAAGTATGTGAACACTCCAGGCAGATAGAAAACCTTCCTTCCTTCAGTTAGAGAAAAGTAATCTCCTACTTAGCTTGAAATACTGCAGACTTCAATGCAGGAAGGTTTCCTATAAAGTGGCGCTTTCCCTCTTCAATGCAGGTATTCCCCATCCCTCATTGTCTCCCAGTAAACACCTAGAAAGAAGTCATAGCACAACTTTAGCAGAGAAATATAGACTCTTCCCTGGAAATAGTTTTCAGTCAGAAACAGTTGTATGATCTCCCTGCACATATACTAGTAACTTGAAAATACAAGTATGGGTGGTTATTGTGAATACTAGATAAGAAGGGGCTTACTAAAAGGCTGTAAGTGAGAAAAATTTTTGACATGAGAGCACTGAACCATGAGTCAGAGTTGAAATTCCTGGCATGGACTCCTGTCACAAATTGTAATATGCTGCTGGAATCACTCCTTGAAGCTTAGATATGTCAATGTCCTACAGCAGAGATACCAGAATGGATTTGGCCCAGAATTGGGACAAAGTCTGAAAATTCACTGAGTCATATGTTATAACGAGTTTATTATTTTAGACCAGAGCATCCACACCTTGCATAAACTTGCCAGAAAAAAACTCAGAAGAAACTCTATTCAATAGGCAATAATAAAAGTTAACCACATATTTAAGAATATTAATGGAGGTGATGAACTATAGACCAGGGTTGAGAGATGCTGATATAGAACTGGATTCCAAGCACCAATGAGGATGCTGAAATTTTATAATACAAGGGACTGTTTTTTGTTTGTTTGTTTGTTTTGTTTTGTTTTGAGATAGGGTTTCACTCTGTCACCCAGGCTAGAGTACAGTGGTGAAACCTTGGCTCACTGCAACTTCTGCCTTCTGGGCTCAAGCAATCCTCCCACCTCAGCCTCCCAAGTAGCTGGGACAAAAGGCACACACCACTATGCCAGGCTAATTTTTTTTTTTTGTATTTTTGGTAGAGACAGGGTTTTGCCATGTTTCCCAGCTGGTCTCAAACTCCTGAGCTCAAGTGGTCTGCCTGCCTCAACCTCCCCAGGTATTGGGATTACAGGAGTGAGCCATCATACCCAGCCTGAAGACTTGTTATAGACTGAATTTTTACATACACCCCAAATTTAAATGTTATAAACTAATCCCCATTGTGATGGCCTTTGGGAGTTGATTGGGTCATGACTGGGATTACTGCCATTGTAAAAGAGAGCCCAGATAGCTTTTTCACACCTTTTACCATATGAAGGCATAGAGAAAAGACTGCCATCTGTGAACCAAGAGGCAATCATCAGGCTTTAAATATTTCAGGCCAGGCACAGTGGGTGGCTCGTGCCTGTAATCCCAGCACTTTGGGAGGCAGAGGCAGACAGATCACCTGAGGTCAGGGGTTCGAGACCAGCCTGGCCAACAAGGTGAAATCCCATCTGCTAAAAATACAAAAATTGTTGGGGGTGGGGGTGGCGGTGCACACCTGTAATGCCAGCTACTTGAGAGGCTAAGGCAGGAGAATCGCTTGAACCTGGGAGGCAGAAGTTGCAGTGAGCCGAGATCTCTCCACTGCACTTCAGCCTGGGAGACAGAGCAAGACTCTCTCTCTGTCTCTCTCTCTCTCTCTGTGTGTGTGTGTGTGTGTGTGTATATATACATATATATACACACACATACATACATATATATACACATACATATATATATACACATACATACATATATATATACATACATATATACATACATACATATATATATATATATATATATATATATATATATATATATATATATATATATATATATATATATTCCAGCACCTTGATATTGTGTTTTTAACTTCCAGAACTGTGATATATTTTTCTGTTGTTTAAATGCTACACACTTTATGGTATTTTGTCATGGTAGCCTGAGATGACTAAGACAGAAGCCAGGTGAGGTCACTTGAACATCAATGACAAAGAGGATATAATTACTCTAGTGGGCAGCGAACTCAGTATTGCTTCAAAGCTCAGCTCCTTTAACCTGCATGGGTCTGTATGATGGCTAAAACACCATGGTACTCTTAGACACAAGATGGATGAGAAGCCAGACTATGTTTATTGAACTATGGCACCAGAAAAGGTGAGTTGGCAAGCAGAAGGCCAGTATCAGCCATCACAGTGGAAAATTTTGATATCTTCCATCTCCACATGTGATTTGATTCTCACTCTCAGAATTCATCGATTTAACTTTTTAAGAAAGGACTCCTTAAGGAAGAACCCTTCAAATAGTTATATAAGAACAGATATATACATAAGATAACCATTACTTAAATAATTATCCATTTGGCAAATGAAATGACAAAGTTACCCATGGCCAATTTCTAGTCTAACAGTACAATGGGGAAAGGGGAGTATTCAGACCCTTGAAGAGCTGATGAATACAGATTATGGCTTAACATTCATATCAGGAAACCCAAAATGCTATTATGGGTCCTGGTAGGAGTGAAGGTTTAAGGAGACCATGTAATAGATGTACTCCTGCCCAATAGGTTCACTGGGTTCAGAGACTGAAACTGTGATATTTTCCCCTGATTTGCAAGTATAACTGCAAGAAGCCTTACACTTGTTCCCAAATCTGGGGCAGCAGAGCAATTATGATAGCAGAAGTACTATTGTGCCAGTTCCACGCATAAGCATAAAGAGATCTCATAGATTCCACTCTTGCTCCTCTTGGTACTCCATGATTGCCACATGGACAAATCTAGAGTAAAAGACACTACATGCAGTGAAGCCCCTGTTCCAGGTTAGGTTGTCATATTCCAACTAGTTATAGTCAACTTGCAGGCTAATGGATATATGAGTCTAGCTATTAGTCTGCTGCAGGCTAGAAGAATCACCTAGCTTCTCAGCTGTTAGTCATTGAATCTCTGCAGTGAAAAGTCACTTAGATTATTGACAGCTGACTCAATGAATGAATGATCCAAGCTGGACTTAACAGGCTCAAATTGGCTGCAGGTAGCCCAAATTGCAGATCTGCAAAATCATGGGGCACATAAATGACTGTTACATAAGTCACTAAATTTTAGGATAGTTTGTTATACAAAAAAGGCTAACTGATACAGACATTGGTTCTTAGAGTAGGGTGCTACCATAACAAAAACCTAGAACATGCGGCGTTACCTTTAGGAGACTGGAGAAATGGTGAATAAATCATAATAAATTCTTAAAAATTACAATATGTACTGAAATGAATCCTTAAGAGTAAGACATCTACAGTATACAATTTATGGCGGTAATACAAGCACAACATTGAGTGTGATTATCTATCTTAAATTTTTCACCATAGATGTCTCGCTTGATTTATCCTAGTCCTGGCCACAGCTAGTAGTGGAAGCTATAATAGCAGAGATAAAGCTGCTATAGTAGGTTGAAAAAATGGCAACACATGTTTTGAGATAGAACAAAAATTGCCTGCAGTAAATTAAAAGAAAATAAACCTACTGCATCTAGTAGTGAAGATGATTTCCAGGCATAATGTTTAAAATGTCAGTTGGATTCTTTTAGCTGTGTGTGAAAAAAAAAAAAAAAAGAAGAGAGAGATGAGCTAAAGAAAGAACAGTTTAATTTGCATGCAGAATCTAGAGGGACTATAGAGGGACCAAAATTTGCTGTGTTAGAAAATAAAACTGCTCTTCAATTCCAGACTCTCAGCCATGAAAATATTCTTAAAGTAAAAAATGACCTCAGAGTAAAAATTAACTCAAACTACATAGCTAGGCTCATTTTGTTAAATATAACAATTTGTTAAATATAAGTCCTTTTGTTAAAATCTCTGAAAGAATTAAAACAATACCTAGTATACCTTCTCACTTTGATAAAAGTGCTTCTATGGATCTTAAGGTCATTAATAACCCACTAAAGCTAAATATGCCCAAATTGTAGAGAGGCCTGTTACATTATTAAGAAAAAAAAGAAAAAAGAAAGAAAAGCTGCTATGGTTGTTTTCTTTGAGACATGAAGAGGACACACATAAGATGCATATAAACTCAAAACAGTATTTAAGAGAGTTTTTTTTTGGCAAATACACTGCTAGCCTGGACTAAAATTTACAGAGATTGCTCAAAATGAAGAGACTTTTGAATCCCCAAACTCTTACGGCCAGGAACCTGGCTGATGAAGCTAGTCAGATGCAAACATGGAATAATTCTTATGGAATGTGAAGAATGTCCAAGACAGCAAGCTAAGGTCCCAGAAGTCAGAGCCAAGAGCCATGGAGAACAATGATGAATGAAGAAGCCACTCCAAGAGAGCATTAGAGGGCATGATACTGATAATCTACTCCCAGGGAGCAGAACATAGTCCTAATAGAAAATTGTGCTCTGTCCTTGAAGTAAGGGCATCTGCCAATACTTGCTGTCTGGATTTCAAAATTGCCATGAACAGGGATTGTCATGTGCCTCTCATTCTTATTCATTTTTAATAGGTGTGTGTATTGTATCTATTCTCCTAATATACAGTGGTGATGTGGAAGAGAATAACTGCAATAGACACACTTTAGGCTAAACAATGGGATAAGAACACATGTGATGGAAACAAAGACCTGTAAAGTGCTGTCACTTGCAGATGTTGGAAATCCTCCACCATCCTATGAACAAGCCCAGGACAGCCTGTTGGATAACGGTAGCATATGGTTCAGTTGTTACCATTACACAAGCAGACAGTCAACCAGTTCATAATAGCGACATTGTCTAATCTATTGGCAGCTGACTGCAGATGCAGAAGTAACCCAGGTGGAGAGGAGCAGAAAAGCCACCTGGAAGAAACCACAGTCTCAAGAGCTAAACAGTTGTTTAATAAGCCATTACGTTTTTATGTATTTTTTTTAAACACAGGAAAACCTAATTGATACAGACTACACATAAAATTGTGCTTATTTATAAAACAACCTTAATTTAAAACATTATTATTTATTATACTCTGACATAGTATGACTATAACCTCAAATGCTATTTTCTACAACATATATATGTTTCTCAACTTACACTTTCCATGGTTCAACACTATGTTGTTAAATGCATGAAGGCTGATGATTTATTTTATCATTTGGTGCTCTTCCCATTTAAATGCTCTTTGACTTAAATTATTTTCATCTAAAACATCCACTTACTTGATTTGTTTCTTCAGCTTTTGTCAGATGTGACTTTTGTTTATATGTCACTTTTGAGAAAAATTGACAATTATACTTATTATTTTGATTCATAAGTTTAAACCTCTGGCCATGTTTACTTGTTTATTTTATATATTATTTATTTTAGTTTTCACTCAAATATGAATTATTGGGAAATAATTGGGATTTCTCATGGGAAATAATTGTAATTTTTAATTTTATTTTTAATCAAATATTTCGTAAAATATATGTAATATATATAATATAGGTGTATAATTTTATTCTTCTAGCAGCTAATGCTTATTTTTTACATCCACATATTCAGGTTTTTTGCTGTCAATGTCTTAACTTCTTTATATACATTAGAGCTTTTATAATATTAAAAAACTTAACATATTTTCACATCCCCTTTCAGCTTCCCAACCAAACCTCTCATTTGGAGTTTATCTAGGGTTTTATTTGTTGTTTGTTGTAATAATTTTTTGCTACCATTAAACATTTGCTTTTGGCTATAGGTTGTACTGATTTCTTCCTTCATTAAAAAATTTTGTAATGCCTGAAAATTATTTGTTCTTCATTCTCACTTTATCTTTAGTTGACTGGGTTTAAAGTTAGTGGGAAATTTAGGAGACTCCAAGTTGCCTATCCAGCTGCCAGTCTCTCCTTCTTTACTGACAAACTCAATTTTATTGGGGGAAAAAAAAGTATCAAGCTACAAATTTATTTTTCTCAATCTTCCTTAATGCCAAGGGATGGCTATGATATATAGTCTGGTAGATGTGCTGCCATTATAAATTGTTTAGTATTATTTTCATGAAAGCGTCTAGGAAAGAGGAAATTGGCTAGTAATTGATAGTCCACTATTCTTCCTCCTGCAAGGGGGTCATTGGTGATTTTTGAAATTGAGTCAGCCATTTTGCATTTACAAAAGAAGGTCTAGACAATCAAAGATACTCAGACTTTTATATTGGATACATTGTACCTATGCTCATTTATTTATTTCTTTATTTTTTTGAGAAGGAGTCTTGCTCTGTTGCCCAGGCTGTAATGCAGTAGCGCAATCTCAGCTCTCTGCAAGGGACTACAGGTGTCCGCCACCATGCATGGCTAAATTTTTTTGTATTTTTTTAGTAGAGACGGGTTTTCACCGTGTTAGCCAAGATGGTCTCGATTTCCTGACCTCGCGATCCGCCCGCCTCAGCCTCCCAAAGTGCTAGGATCACAGGTGTGAGCCACCGCACCCGGCCCCTATGCTCATTTTAAGATATTCAATACATGAAAAAGATATAATCTTCTTAGGGTAAATTTGATTTCTTTTTTGTTATATACATTCCTAACTATGTTGAGTCATATGTATTTAGTTCTTAAAGCAGCCAAAAATCAATGGTTTTCCTCCATACATAAATTAACATAACTACATTCTCTTTTTTTTGGACATTATATAATGAAAAATAAGTATCCATACAACAATTAACATTGAGATATAAATTTTACTGTAAAAGACTCTCAGAAAATCATAGATGTATTAATAAAATTGATTGAACTTTTCTGAATACATATTTTCATTGTGTAGGAAGAAAGTAAAAGTGACTAATATGATTATTTCCAAATTCACATTCTGCTGATGAAGGTAAAGAGAAATAACTGGCTTCTTCCATTTAAAATTTTGGAACCAGTCTTTGTGAAATTGGTGAGGTAATATTCTTCCTAATGGCACTTTCTCCCCCAAAGAGCTGAGTACATAAAATGTTAGTCACAATTTTGAAAGAGGCTTTGTATATAAACAGGAGAGGATAAATGTAAAATAAAGTGGCATCATACTTCCAATAAGTCTGTCTGCTTATCTATCAATTTATTCATTTATCTATCATCTGTTATCTGTTTGCTTGTTTAAAATAGAAAACACTTGCAAAATTACCATAACTGCATTGTGTAAGATCATAATAGAAAAATTACAATAAATACAGCATGCTTGCAATTGAAAAAATAAATGAAATTAGAAGAAACACACAGTATAATTTTTTATTCCTTTAAATTCTTATAATGTATCCAACATAAAAATAAAAGCATTGAATATGGACTCATTAAAGATAAGGGACAGGGAAGTTATATAAGTTGCAAATGTGAAAGTAAGTAAATAATATAAGTAATTAAAAGGATAAAAATTAATACATATAATTCAAATCTTTTAAGTTTGTTAATTTCTTTTTTATTAAAAAATTCCGTATCTGGAAGCAAACCAAAAGCCGTTACAATTTCAGGTCTTATATGTTCTTATATATTCTATTATGTTGTGATATGTATTAGTCAGCTAAGGCTGCCATAACAAAATGCCATAAACTGGGTGGCTTAAACAGAAATGTATTTTCCACGGTTTTGGAGGCTGGGAACTCCAAGATCAAGTTGCCAGCAAGATGGGTTTCATTTGGAAGCCATCTCATTGAATACTTACCTGCTTTCTTAGTGAATGCAGGGAGAGAAAGAGAGAGCAATCTCATTAGTATGTCTTCTTATGAGGGCACTCATCCCTTCATGAGGTCTCTACCCTGGTGACCTCCTCTCCCTTAATTACCTCCCAAAGGTTTCACTTCTAAATACTATCCTATTAGGTATTAAAGCTTCAACATGTGAATGGTGGGGTGGGAGGGTGGGGGAGGCAAACATTCAGTCCATAACACATAAAAATCTTTTATTGTGATCACCAAATTGATTTTATGACAAGGTTGAAAGCTTGGCTAATACAACAGTATAGACCATACAAATAATCATTTCAATCTGAATGCAATTACATTTTGACCCATTTAAGCAATTGTGGATTATAATCTTTCATCGAAAATCCTTTAAAACTTATTTGAGAATGCAGATGTGATAACAATGCTTGTTTTCTGCACTGCGAGGGGACTTTTCTTCCTTTTAAATTTAATCATTGGGCATTTGTAAGTCAAAAAAGTGAGGACGGAGTTTGTGGCTTTTTGGCACATATTATTTTTGTCTTGTGCTATAGGTTCTTTACCCAGACAAATGTCAGAATTCTGATTTTTTTTACACTATAAAATTCAGATAAAATGACTTAAAGTCTATGATTGATGGCACAGAAAATTCCAAATGGTGAGGAAAAGTTCGTAGCCTTGGCAACAAGTCATCGAATTATTTGAGGAAGAGTTTTATCTATCAATAAATATTTTAACAAAATCAACCAAAAATAACCTTCTATTGTAACAGATAGAAAAAAAATTAAATATATGTTTTTGTTGATCCTTCACTTTATAAAATCACACTGTTTAAAAAGTTCTGTGTTTGACATTACACCTGTATTCTAAGTCCTTTCTGCCCTGAAAAACTGTGAGACCTTCTGACCATGTTGAACTATGGATTTCCTCATAGACATATGGAAGAATCAGGGTTGCTAAGGCCTAATGTTCCTTCCAACAATAAATTGTCCATTATTTTCCCATTAATTTGTTAGAAGGCTGAATTTCAGGATTGTTCTGCTCAGTTACGCTAAATCAAACAGGAAATCTATGTCGATATTTTCAAAGGAAGAGAATATGAAAGGAGTACCATCTTCCAGTCCAAAAGTCCTACTTAGCCAAAAAAAAAAAAAAAAGCGAGAGAAGTTCCAGAAGATAGACCTTGTTGGAGACAAGAAGAGGGAGAAAAAAAAACATTAATTTTTCTTTTTTTGTTTACAGTTTTGAGTCATTATTGCAAATGACTAAAGCAGAGGGAAGGGCAGGCATGGGAAGTAGTCTCAGTTGTGCACTGCACATTTCTTGGATCAAAAATCTTAAGACAAAATAATTGATTTAATGCTGTGAAAAGGGAATAAAAAGCTATTGATTTCTCAGTGTGTGTCTTAATGACTGTGAGCCGCACATTATGTGTTGATATTATTTGTGTATCTTCCCTTCCCCTAGTTTAAAGATAAATTATTATGGGAAGAAATATCAAAAAGGAGACCTTGTAAACGTTTAATGCATTCAAGATAAGATCAATAGACCCAGTAAGGCTCATACCAGGGCATTTTGTAAAAAAGTCTGGGAACAGAGAAGTGTGAGACAATGTCCCATTGCAGGTGATTGAGAAATACATTTTACTTGTAAATGACTTTTGAAATGCAAAATCCAAAACCTAATTTAAAAATTTAGTATTAAGTCATGAGTAAATATTGCTTATTTAAGAAGATGCTTACACTTTACTCATAGTTCATGAAAAATGTTTATGTATTTTTAACATTATAATATCTAAAAATACAATTAGTGGAAGGTTTTTTTAATCGAGTAACCTCCAACATTAAGAAGCAAAGAAGTAAAATGTCCATGTTTATCCAGCTACTTGACCTGATTAGCATTTTTTAAGTCAAAATGCTAGTTATTGCTCATAGCTTCCTTCAGGATTATAAATTACAAAGCTCCTTTGTTTTTCTGACAAAAGGAAGTGAAAATGTTCTCCAAATTCACTTGGACAGTGTGATGTGGGACTCTAAGTATATTACATTAAGTATATTTCACACTTGAAGATATGATCCTTTTGTTTTAATACTAAGGATGATGTTTGGTTTATTTAACATCAAGATGGCCTATTAATGTGATGTTTGTCATAGTGAAAGAGCCTTCAGTTGTTCATAAATAAAATCGTTTCCTACTAAAGAGTCTTGGGCTCAAGCAAGGTTAGGTGACTTGAGGAAGTTGATCATATACAGTTGCTTGATAACTTTTTGGTTTCATATATTCAGTCCAAAGTTTTCTGTTTTAACTACATGATGAAACCATTATTGATTTAAGTTATTTTCAGAAGGCATCTATTTTCATTTTACTTTTATATAAATTGTTTTTTTTCCAATCATACAATATGCTTCAAAGCTTAATTAATAGTTATTTTTCTAAACTACATTTTTGAGTCTTACTGATTTTTTAATAAAGGACTTCAATGCTTTTTATGAGAAAATGTTCTTATGAAACCACACAGAAAATTGACATTAAACTTGCCTTTTCTGTTACTGTTCATTTTAATAAAAACTTTATTGGGTTTTCCAAGGAAAAGCTCAGCAGGAGATGTTTCCTTCATTAGAAAATTTCAAGTGCTTAGGGGAATAGAATATGTTAGTCTCTCATTTTCAAATTCATTACACTTTTTTTCTTAAATTTCACTAGTAGGATTTTAGGGGAAAAAATCATCCTGCTTTTTCCTATACTTGATAACCCGTATTTCTAGACAGTGATCTTTGTACAATCTGACCTTAGAAATTTTACACAATGCATAATAATTTTGGGAGATTTATAAAATATTAAATTCCTGTCCCAAGATAAAGAAAATAATAAACACATGCACAATAGATATCATATCTAAATTGCATTCTACCTGGTGACATTTTCACATTTCTGCAGCAGCTGCTGCACATATGAATTCACAGAGCTTATTAGGTCTGTAATCTGATTTTGGCTTCTGGGATTTTGTTGTTTTGTATTTTTCCTGAAGTTTTTATATGAGTACACTTTAATCTGCATAAAAAATATTCACAGTGTCTGGAGCTAAGGAAAGGATTCTTATGTAAATGAAATATTTAAAATTCCGAATAGCAACTTCAGACAAATGGAGGATAAATGACAGGGAATTAAAACATTAGAGGAATATTTTCAATATGGTAATTGGATTCAAATATTTATTTTTCTACAGAACATCAAAGATCTACTAACAAGCTTGTGCCCAGACTGAGTGAAATTAAAAAAAAAAAAACATTTAAATATATTTAAACTTTAAAAATATTCTACCAATTTAAAAATATAACCCCTGCCCCTGCATTTCGTTATACCCTCTTAATATGCCCCTGTCTTCACTATGTCAGTCTTGTGAGTAGAGGTGATAATGAAAATGTTTATCAAACCCTTCTGATATGGGCATTGATCATTCAGGAGAGACGCTTGAGAACACAATATGGGAAGCGACCAAGTCCATCAGTTCAGACACACCAGTGCCTACTGAATTAAGCCTCAATCCTGGTTCTCACTAGTCTTTTATTCAGGCTTCATCGTGGGTCACCATAAAGAATCTATGGCTCCTATGACACCTTTGGGCCTAAGACATTATTATTTTTTTTAATCTGTGGACTATTTGGATCTTAGATATGTGACTAGAATTTCTCTTTTTATCTCTTTGAATTTGTTTAGTAATGAGAAGAATAAAAGCAATTAAGCAGACATCTTTTTTTAAAAAAAAGAATAAAATAGTGTTTATCAATATTCTCTAAATCTGGTTTTTCAAAAAAAAAAGTAAAATACATACGGTTTTAACAAGTGTGGACAAAAAAAGTAAAAATGTTTAAATAAGCAATATATAAATCTGAAACTTGAGTTTGAATAGAGGTAAGGATGAAATTGAAATTTTGGTGAATACATATACATTTAAAACAATACCTATAAAAACAAGATAAAATGAACAAACTTATAGAAAAATATTATTAGTAAAGGTATCCCAAGAATTAGAAAATCTAAAGTTACCAATAACCATACATTTTAAAATTGGTATTTAATTTCACAATTAGATACCAATCTCAGATTTCATTGACAAATTCTACTGATTTTTGAAAAATAGATGTTTCTCAAATTATAAAATTATCACAAACCAACAAAAAACTAAAAAACCACTAAATGTACTGTAAGAAATAATACTAGGATGCAGCAAAGGGAAAACCTCATAAATATAAAGGCAAAAATACTTCGTATAAATATTACAAAATTTATTTAGTGCTGGATAAAAATACATAGTAAGCAACTAGGAATTAAAATATCTTGTAACATTAAACAAATCTATTCATGTACTTTACATTACAAAAAGTATGGAAAAAATAAAATTCTACACACATTTTTGATAAAATATCTTAGCAAACTATGAAGAAATGGAAACTTTGATTAAAATTTTTAACTATAGACTTACAACAATTATCTTACTTAACATTAAACCTACAGAGATATTTCTATTAAAATCAAGTACAGAGCAAACCTTCAAAATAGTTGCAGTTTCCAGTCAACACAAAAATAAAGGAAGAGAAAGAGAAGAATAACATTATTTATTAGCAGTAATAATGTATCTCCAGAAAATCAAAGGAAGTTAATGGACACATTATTATAATTAATAAGAAGTTTTAACAACATGGCTAGATGCAGCATTGATATACATAAAAATGTATTTGCATTAATTTAAAAAGTAATATAAAATATTAAATTTATAATAAACAAAAACTAAATAGTAGCAAAAAATAAACCTAAAATGAATAAAACTTTAAGTTATAAATGTTAAAAAAATCAGATTAAATGGAGAAGTGTATCATATATTTGAATTAGAAAATGACAGTTCTCCCAAATTCATTTATAAATTCAATATAATAAAAATCCCCATTACTACAGATTATTTCTAAAACTTGGCCAGGTGTTTCTGATTACTATAGGTAACTATAAATCTAAACAAAGCTTAAAAATACAAGCAAAATAAAAGAGGAGTAATTATCGGATCTCAAAATATAATTATACTATATGTTATAATACAAATATATAAGTCATATATCATATTCACATATAAATTAAAACTTTTAAATTAAACCATGTGTTTTGCAGTCAGGAATTTTAAAAATGTACACCAATGGTGTTTAATAAATATCCTAGAAATAAGCCCATGAATATGTGAGTGATTGGCATATAATAATGTTGACATAGCAACACAATGAATGAAACCGGGTTTGGGTTTAACACTACTGGCCATCTATTTTGGGGAGGCAAAAAAGAATCTAATTTCCAAGGATTCTTGAATTTCAAACATATTTAAGATCTAAGAGTTAAAAAAAAACACTAAAAATATCTACTTCATGCAAGTCTTTGTTCAAATATTACCTTTTCAGTGAGCTCTACCATGACCACTCTATTTAAAATTACAAACACCCCTTACTTCATTTCTATAGCACTCATCTTGAAATTAACACTCAAATGAAAACGTTTCAACATTTCTGATTATTTCGGTAGCATACATGCATGTAATAAAAATACTGAATATAAAAGTATCATTTTATTTATCTCTTCATACAGATTAAGGCATTTCTACACTCTTCCCTCTTCCTTTACTATATTACTTTACACAACATTTGGTTTATTTTAACAATTTATTTTCTACCATATACACACACACACATAACTCACTTCATTCTCACCAGATTGATGAATACTTTTCATGTTTATTTACCTTATAGTCATAAAATGTTATTTTATTATTTCCATTTTAAATTAGATATTCTGACCATTATATTTAAACTCTTAATCTAGGTCGATTTTGGAGAAGTATTATGCCTTCTTGCTATAACCATCTTTGTGAAAAAGTGCCTAGGAGTTTCCTTCTAACATATACAATTGCATTTGTGCAGATCAAAGAAATATCAATATAATTATTCACAAAACCTGCATATTATATAAATTTGGGTTTACTGCAGGTCATGATATATTATCTAATTCCATTACTGCATAAAGCAAAGGATTGACAGAATATGCTTAGCATGAGAAAAAGTTATTTCTGTCACAACTATTATTAATATATGTGACTTCTTCCTCCATGGTTACTCTTATTCTAATGTTTTAATTATAAAGTGTACAACTTAGCAAAGAATATTCAGAGGAGGGTTCATAAAGCACTCATTTTGATAAGAAAATCCATTATCAAAACTATTTACACTAATCAGATCATCAAATTTTATGTTAACAAACTAAAATCAAAATCAAATACAAAAGGCTCTTGACAATTTATAAAAAAAAAACTAGAAGAGATTTTAAAAGACAGTATCTCTCTCTTGATAGAACAAGCCTATTTACAGCCCTATTTCAAATACATGGCAACTTTCCTTGTCTTATTAACCCAACTTTCTGGTTTCCTTTCATTAACACCTGGTTGGAGCTCATTCCCTCATTGGGAAACACCTGTCCACAGTTAACAAGGTGTTAACCATAAAAACAATAACAAGTTGAGTCAGGAAATTAGTTCACAAATTCTCAGAATAAAAAATAAAAGTATACTATTTTTTCAAGAATAAAAGGTTTATGGTGATTCTAGCTTTGTAAGTGAGCAAATTATTAAGCCTCTCATGGTCTTGCTTTACTCATCTCAAGAGTGGGAATAATGATTATATTCATTTCATAGATTTTTTGTAGAGATCAATGTAGTTAATACAGGTAAATGTCTGGCACACAGCAAGCACTAAAAACGTGTTAGCCATCATCATTATCCTTATTATTATACACATTTTGGTTGAAATATATAGATGTGTAATATGCATGTATGTGCCATTATATTACATTACTGATACATATGCCTTTCAGTGTTTTGTGTGCTATTGTGCTCAGTCAATAATTATATAATAGTGAAGTGGTCTATACAATTTTCTCATGGCTAATAATTTTAGTGTATCATAAAGAAAATGCTGTAATTCAATATAGTTTGTCAGTATTATGATTGGAACTTATATATCTTGAATTTTTCACTGCATGTGGCTTATCTTTCTGCGTTTTATGTTAAGTTCTGGAGAATGATTTAACCAGTAACGGCTTTTAAAAAGTACATTAGATAATGCCTTCACAAATAAAGAAAGGGGATCAGACTAAATGTTGATATAGAACTTTGACTTTTTCTTCTAGTGCCATTCATGCTGACTTGCTGAAAACAACTATAAGGCTGATTTAAATACGAGGCCAGTCTTTTCAGGCATTGGAAAACATGGAGCACAGCTCAGTGACCATTGAGAGAATAAAATGAAGTAAACCCTGTCAAGCCCTCAAGTCTTCGCATGGTGGCGCTACTCTGCTGTGACACAGAGAGAAAGGGTCTAAACAGCTCATCGTGGTGTCATTGATCAGAGTAGAAACATTCAGCTTCCCAACTATTGCAGCTTCTGAGTTTTTTAAGACACAGTCATAAAGAAGAGGGAGTTCCTGAGAAGGGATCCCTATTTGGCATCCCAGGGGGCAAGGTTAGAGAGAATGGAGGAGAAACAAATTTGAAAAGGTCATAGTTAAAAATTTCCTAATATTGGTGAAAAATATAAAAGATACAGCAAATCCCTAAGTAGAATAAATCCAAAGACACACCTTAACACATTACAGTCACACAGCTCAAGAATAAAGATTAAGAGAAATCTTACAAATAGCCAGAAAAAAACACAACATATTAAATATTTGAGATGAAACATACAAATGATGACTGACTTTTCATTACCACCAATGGAAAGGGTAAGACGATGGAATACCAATAAAATGTTAAAAAGTAAAAATGTTCTTCAAACACGCAGGTGCATTCAAGACATTTTCAGATTTCAGAATAATGGAGAATAAATGTTATCAGTGTATCTAAGAAATTTAACTGAAATTCCTTAGGAAAATGACAGCAGATGGAAGCTTTTATTTTCAAAAAATATGAAGAGTAATAGAAGTGCTAAATGCTTGGATAAATATAAAAGATAATCTTTCATATATGTAAATATATTATTAATATCATATATATATACACAATAGTTTCACATATTGAGGAGATAAAATAATTTTACTGGTCTAAGGTTCTCACATGTTATATGAAGTGGTACAATATTGTCCTTAAGTCAATAGTGATAACTTGTTATTACAAATTTTAATCCTTAGAGCACTTATTCTAAACAACGTGTGATTGTTTTCTCTCATAGGACATTTGAAAATATCCGGAAACATTTTTAGTTGTTCATAACTGGAGGAGTACTCCTGGCATCTAGAGAATAAAGGCCAAGTCTGCTAATAAACATACTGCAATATACAGGATAGCCCCTCACAACAAAGAATTATCTAGGCTTAAATGGCAACAGTGACAATATTGAGAAATACTGCCCTAGAACACCTATTTGAATAGTTAAAGAGATTCTAAAAAGCTAGCAGTAGAGGAATTTAAATTAGCATGTGAAAGCTAATGAGCTTACCCAAAAGAAGGTATAAATGGAGGGATAGAAGAAAAAGAAAAAATAAAGAGGTGGCAACTGGAAAGCAAATAGTAAATGGTAGACTTAAACTTCACTATATAAATAATGATATTAAATGTAAATAAATTAAACACTCCATTTAATAGCAGAGATTGTCAGTTGGGATAAAAAATAAAACTATATGGTATTTATATGATATATAATTTAAAATAAGGAAAGATAAAATATAAAATGAATATGAAATGATAAAAATAAAAGCATTAAACTTAATTCTGTAGCATCTATATTAATATAAGACCAAAAAGCGTTAGACAAAAATACTAACATTTAAAAATTGAGATATGATGACTAAGGGGCATTTTGGAAGGAGGGCATAAAATCTGTATATTCACCTAATTGAGCTTCAAAATATATGAAGCATGGAGTGATTACCTATAGGGAGATATCAGCAGATCTGTAATCACATTTGGAGCTTTTTATCATCATTCACACAGTATTAGAATAATTAAATAAAAATGTGACAAGATACATAGCATATTTAAACACCATCAACCAACCTGACTTAATTGATATATTAAAACACTACAATCTACTACAAAAAAAATTTTCTCTTCCAGTACACATGTGATATGGTTTGGCTCTGCATGCCCACCCAAATCTCACCTTGAATTGTAATAACCCCCATGTGTCAAGGGTGGAACCAAGTGGAGAAAATTGAATCATGGGAGCAGTTTGTCCCATGCTGTTCCTGTGACAGCGAGTGAGTTCTCACGAGATCTGATGGTTTTTATAAGGGGCTTCCTCCTTTTCTCAGCACTGATTCTCTCTCCTGCTGCCCTGTGAAGAGGTGCCTTCTGACATGATTGTAAGTTTCCTGAGGCCTCCCCAGCATGCACAACTGTGCGTCAATTAAAACTCGTATCTTTATAAATTTCCCAGTCTTGGGTACTTTGTCATAGTAGCATAAGAACAGACTAATACAACATAGAATTATTGAAAATTCAGATTATGGTCTTTAACCACAGTGAAAAAAAAATTAGGACTTTGTAACAATGCAACTATTAGAAAATTACTGCATTTTTGGAATTAAAATAACACATTTCTAAAAAGCCCCTGGGTCAAAAATAAAATGATAAGTTATATAAAACTGACTGCCTTTTAGGATGTAGCTAAGCAGTGTTTAGAGGGAAATTTATAACTTTAAAAGATCATATTTGAATAAAAATATTTAATAATCTATCACCTAAATTTCCCCATAAAATTCAGAAAAAGCCGAACAGGTGAAATCAAAAGTTAATAGAAGGAAAATAATTAAGACCAGGGAAAATTCAATGAGATAATAATAATAAAAAAAACAGGACAATTTAACAAAGTTGAAATCAGAAAAATGAATTTTAAAAATCAGTTTACAGTAAAAAATATTTAAATAGGTAAACAAAGTAAATTTTTAGGAATGAATAAAAAAAGTTCAAGATTTCTACACTGAAAAGTGGAAAAAGGCCAGTCATTATGATTCATGCCTGTAATCCCAGCACACTGGGAGGCCTAGATGGGAGGATTGCTTGAGCCCAGGAGTTTGAGAACAGCCTGAGCAATATAGTGAGACGTTATCTCTACAATTAATAAATAAATAAACTGGCCAAGCATGATGGCCCATGCCTATAATCCCAGCTACTCGGGAGGCTGAAGTAGGAGGACTGCTTGAGCCTGGGAGGCAGAGGCTGCAGTAAGCCCAGATTATACCACTGCACTCTGGCCTGGGAGACAGAGCAAGACTTTGTCTCAGAAAAGTAAATAAGTAAAAAGAAATTGTAAAATATTATGAAGACCTAGATAAATGGAGCAATAAACCATCTTCATTAATTTGAAAATTCAATATTTTCAAAGTGTCAATATTTGTACATTGTTCCATACATTTTATGCAAATTTAGTAAAAATGCCAATGGGCTTCCTTGGAAAAATTTGATAATTTTTTTCAAATACTCATATGAAAATGCAAAGAACTTGGAATAGTCAAGACATTTCCCCAAAAAAGGTCACTGTTGTAGAACACATACTAACTGTTATCAAAACTTACTATAAACTTATAATAATCAATATAATATACTAATGGACAAGAATAGAAAAGCATATCAAAAGCATAATAGCACAGATAATCCAGAAATAGATTCACACTTATAAATTCAATTGATGTTTGAAAAAGTTCTATGAAAAAAAAATGATGGAAGAAATTTTTCTTTAGCAAATGGAGCTAGAAAAACTGAATAAACATATTAAAAACACAATATTTGCACTTTCTCCCAATATATGAAGAAATCAATTAAAGATAAATTATAGACCTAAAGATAGAGCTAACTATACAATTATTAAAAGAAAATTTAGTGGAAATTTATTGCTTTGAGGTAGGCAAATATTTCTGAAAGAAAATTAAAAAAAGATTTACTATATACCATTAAGAAAATAAATATGAACTTAGAAAAACATTTATATTACATATGACAGACAAGGGATTTATATACAGAATATATCAGAAATTCTTATAAATTGGATAGTAAAAACGTAACAACCATTTAAAAACTGCTTAAAATATATGAACAAACACTTCACAAGAAGGCATATAGATGGGCAGTGCCAGTAAGAAAGTCATCAATATCATTTCTTATCAGAGAAATACAAATTAAAACCACAATGTGCTACATCTGCTGAGATGGCTAACATTAAAATGAGAACAATAAATATTGGCAAAGATGTAAAGCAATTGGAACTCTTCTACAGTAACGAAGACGTATAAGATTATATAATTGCTTCAAGGACATGTTATAAAATGAGAAGAAAAAAATCAGTAGGCAAGTAAGGATTAGGACAAGTTTTTCTTTTGCATTATAGAGAGTATAGTAAATAATTATTCTATTCTATCCTTAGAGTTTACCAATACTTGCATGAAGGAAGACTAGAATAAAGTAAGCCTGAACATATTTATGAAGTGGGAAATTTGAGGAAAACTGAGGCTAACTGCAAATATATAAAACCAAGAAACAGGATTTTACAAATCTCCATATAGCGCTATTTTAAAAAAATATTTTCAAAAGATAAGTGCTGAATGGGACATTATTATATAATGCAATAGACTTAATGTTTTCTGTTCCCTTCCTTCCAAATTCATTCGTTGAAATCCTACCCCCGAATGTGATGATATTCGGCAGTGGGGCTTTTGGAAGGTAATTAGATCATCAGGATGGAGCCCTCACAAATAGGATTAGTACTCTTATAAAAGGGACACCAAAGAGTCCTCTTACTCCCTTTCTGCGATACAAGGATACGATGTAAGACTGCTATTTGCAAAAAGAGTCTGCACCAGAACTGAACTATGCTGGCACCCTGATCTTGGTGGGGACTTCCAGCGACCACAATTGAGACAAATGAATTTCTGTTTATAAGCCATCCAGACTGTGCTACTTAGCTACAGTAGCCCAAAATGACTAAGACATATGGTGATGTATATGTATTCTGCTTTGTTTCTGTGGATCGCTATTTTAATTGGGTGAGAAGAGTAAGTAGGCAAATTCATGTGTTCTGCCCAGCATTAAGAACCAGAACTAAAAAATCCTCTTTCAAATGCAAATTTCTCTACTCTACTCTTTGCTTGAATTCTGGAAGATAAAGAGAAATAAGAAAGGGGAGGCCAAGGTAATGTTTTAAATGAGTAATGACTTTCCATACAATACAATGGTCACAGTAATACTATTACACAAATACAAGAATAAAACTGGAAACCAGTCTGAAATCTCTGCTGTTATATCCAAGTGTTTTCATTTGAAAACATTTCATTTTGAAAGAATTTTTAAAATTCTCTATGTCCTCACACATTTTAAACTTGACATCAATATTATCATAATTTTACACAGTTATTTTACAGTTAATTTTAAAGGCTTCTAGCAATTTTTTAATTCAATCCTATTTTAAACAGAAAATAAAATCCATTGACAGCACAAATTCAGATATAGTGCTATTGGTTTCCATCCTTCACAGCAGCTTCACTGTGGTCATTTAATTAAGTTTACCATAATTAAGCTCTGCATTTAGTACAGTTTAAATATTTGAACTTCACTTACAGTGTTAGATTCAATGTTGAACCTCACTTACATTTTTTATGAAGACCAAGAATCTTCAGAAGCAGTCTTTTCAAATTATGAGAAATGTCAATCATGTAACCAAAATGGCAAAGGCAGCTCTTATCAGCCAAAATCAGACTGAATTTCAATGAAAATGTCTGCCTTCATTTTTAATTTATAATTAAACTTAATTTTATATTGCCATGATTGAAATCTCACTGCTGAATTCCAAGATAAATCTATAAGTTAGATAATTTATACAAAGCTCCACCCTTAGTTTTTTATATGAATAAATTAGAGTGCTGCCCCTTAGATATTGTCCTTTTTATTTTACCCTTATATTGCTCTTCTCAAAAGCAATGTATCTAACAGAATTGTTTGGTGCTTGAATGCATTTTTACCCTGTGGGAACACACCACATTATGTGGGATGGGTGAGATGCACTCTCTTCTTTTGTATAGTGAGTGATAAAAAGACAATTTTGAAAGGAGAGACAGAAAAAAAGATTTGGCAGATTACAGATGTTCTATGGCAGATTTTTTTTTAGAAAAAGACACATATTGAAGTTGAAGATCTGAAAATTGATTTTTAAAAAAGCTGTTTATGTGTATGCCCATGTACCTGCTAGAAACTCTTTATGTATCCTCAGATGCTGAGGTACCCAATTTTGAAGACTACTGCTTTATAAAATAATAGTTCAAAAATGTTGTCTTAGTGACATTTTTCACAATTTCTTTCCAACAATAAGACCTTATAGGTTTTTCCAGGAAAAATTACAGAATAGAATGACTCAAAATTTAAAAACGCAAGGCTGCAAGTATGGATTTATTCTTTTTTACTACTTTAGTCTTTTTGTCTCTCTTGTATGTGAATACACATGCAAACATACATACCTAAACAGAAAATTTTCATTCATGTTTAACATTCAGTTATTAAATGGAGTAATAAATAAAGTTATTTATGTATCAGGTTCTTTGCTAGCCTCTGTCGATATAAATATTTACAAGGTACAACACTTAACCCAAAGGATGTACGGTTTAGAGAGGAAGAAACACTGAGAGTTGTCACCTTGCCACATTCTGGGTTGTCTTATTACATAACAGTGATTTGTACATGAATGGCTACCACCAATGCTGATGGGAGCTACCAGGCTGCAATGTCCTGCCCACCCAGCACTGCATGTGCTGCCATATTCATAGCTGCCCTTAAGGTCCAAGGTAATGCTTTCTGGTAATAACTCAGTGCAAACAAAATGTTGATGTGCCTGGAAAAATAGCTGTAATGCATTTTTGTTTGTTCTATTTTATTTATTTTTAATGGTAGCCCTAAACTCAAAAAGAACCAATGCCCCACCCTGGACTAACCCCTTAAATAAGCACCGTCCCTTGGATTGCAGAAGCTCAGTGGAAGCTCTCTCCTTCAGATATGTTCTTTATGAGGGCTGCTTTGTGTTATAAACATGAAAAAAAGCTAAATAGCATTAACTATGAAAAATTAGGTATTTCAATGTATATAAGGCTGTAATTCCAATGATATCCATGAAAATTAATAAATTAAGCCTCTAAAACTTCTTAGGGATTTACTCATTTCTTCTAAGAGCAGATTTTTAAAAGCACATTTGACCTAAAAAGAATTGTTTGATTTTTTTTAAAACAGGTTCCTATCATCAAAATTTATTGTCTTTAACTTTATTTTGAATATGCTTCGTGGCCATAAAATGAAGCTATATGGAGCAGAAAAAAAATGCTAGTAGAACATAAAAACTGTGACTTAAAAACAAAAAGTAAACCTAAGTAGAGTTTGTATTTCATAGATTTTCTGATGCTTTACTACAAATTAAAGATTCTTTCCTGCTGGTCACTGAACATGTGGCAATGAGGTTCACTTTCTTGCCACACAATAATTTTTATTCACCAAAATGAGTCTCAAATAACTGCACTGATTCCTCCACACTTGATGCTACTTAACCAGAAAAAAAAGTATTGTATAAAAGGCATTTAAAAATACGAATAGCAGCAAAGAGTAGCTAGTAAAGCTTTAGTGAGATTTTCTGTTTAGAAAAATGTTAGCATTCCTGCAGAACAAGATCAATATTGACTTATTTTACCTAGATATTTTGGAAAACTTCATAACAGTCGTATTTTCATCATGGACTTTAAGGAGAGTATATGGCAAAGGGTTCTATAAAGATTGCCCAGTCTATACCAAAATTGACCAAATTCAAAATATTGGCATGTATTCTTCCTAAACTTGATCTATACTGATAAGAATTTTCCAGGCCAACCATATGAAGTGTTAGACCTGATGAAAATCAAAAGGAAAGATATCAGTAAGATTCCAAAAAGACGAATAACCACACAAAATTCCAAATATCGTGCCTGTTTGAACGTGCGTATTTCTCAAAAGCATGCCTGCCTTTTAAATAAGAAACTTTCTTTTCTATTTATAAAGTTATCATTCTAGTAGATCAATTGAAGTTTTAGATTAATGAACTTAACCTCTATTGTAGGGGCCTGGTAGAACCCAAGGACAATTTCATTGTAATTATTATTACAGTTAATATTATTTTTATTCTTATTTATTTATGTACTCTGCGACTTCTGTGCGCCAAATAATATCTTCCGTACATGCAGAGATTATCTGAAAAATCGGTAACTAAAACATACCTGTGAGAAGGTGTTTTTATCTTCATAATTTTACAGATAGGGATGCTAGGCTCAAAAGAAGTAAGTTATCCATTGTTGAACTCTGAATAAGTATTTGATTCAAGATCTAAATCCAAATAAGACTGGTGCCAAATCCTATGGTCTTACCACTGCTAGACACTTAAAAGAGCTTCCAAACAAGAGATTTCAGTACTAGAACAGTAACAAACCTCTAGAAATTCGTAAAGAAAACAGTTATTAAATAATGTCTTCTATTTTCAAAAGTAGTATGCAGGTCTTTAGGATTCACAAACTGCAATTGTCAGAATCCCTTAATAAATTTTAAATATTTGATTCTGAGAGTCCTGATAAAATTAAACTATGATATTTTATTGGTTTACTCCTATGTGTTTTACGAATGCTCTATTTCTTTTTTGTTTGTTTCCTTTCCAACTTTTGTTTTAGGTTCAAGGGGTGCGTGTGCAGGCTTGTTACATGAGTAATTCTGTGCTACGGGGATTTGGTGTATGGATAATTTTATCTTCCAAGTAATCAGCATAATCACCAATAGGTAGTTTTCATTCCTAACCATCCTCCCACCTTCCACCCTCAAGTGGAATTGTTCTCTCCTTTGTGTCCATGAGTACTTTATTTTCAGCTTCAACTTATATGTGAAAACATGCAGTATTTGATTTCCTGTTCAGACATTCATTCACTCAGGATAATGGCCTCTAGCTTTATCCATGTTGCTGCAAAGGACAGGATCTAATTCTTTTTCTTGGCTGTGTAGCATTCCATGGTGTGTCTGTACCATATTTCTTTTATCCAGTCCACCATTAATGGACATGTAGGTTGATTCCATGTCTTTGCTTTTGTGAATAGCACTGAGATGAATGCACATGTGTATGTCTTTATGGTAGAACAATTTATATTCCTTTAGGTATATACCCAGTAATGGGATTACTGGGTCGAATGATAGTTCTATTTTAAGTTCTTTGAGAAATCTCCAGACTGCTTCCCACAGTGGCTGAACTAATTTATATTCCCACCAGCATTGTATAAGCATGCCCTTTTCTCTGCAACCTCCCCAGCATCTGTTATTTTTTGACTTTTTCATAATAATCATTCTGAATGGTGTGAGATGCTATCTCATTGTGATTTTGGTTTGTATTTCCCAAATAGCGATAATGAGCAGTTTTTCGTATGCTTGTTGGCTACATGTATGCCTTCTTTTTAGAAGTGTCTGTTATGTCCTTTGCCCATTTTTTAATGGCATTGTTTGGTTTCTGCTCCCATATTTGTTCAAGTTCCTTATAGGTTCTGGATATTAGACCTTTGTCAGGTGCATAATTTGCAAATATTTTCTCCCATTTTGCAGGTTGTTTGTTTACTTTGTTGATAGTTTCTTTTGCTGTGCAGAAGTTCTTTAGTTTGATTAGTTCCCACTTATCTATGTTTTTGTTGCAATTGTTTTTGATGTCTTTGTTACAAAATTTTTGGCAGGGCTGATGTCCAGAATGCTATTTTCTAGGTTTTCTTCTAGGATTTTTATAGATATAGGTTTTACAGTTAAGTATTTAATCCATCTTGAGTTCATTTTGTATATGGTGAAAGGTAGGGGTCCAGTTTCAACTTCTGCATATGGCTAGCCAGTTATTCCAGCACCATTTATTGAATAGGGAGTCCTTCCCTCGATAGTTGTTATTCTTGGCTTTGTCATGGATCAGATGGTTGTAGGTGTGCAGGTGTGTAGCTTTATTCTGGGTCCTCTAACCTGTTCCATTGGTCTATGTGTTGTTTTTATACTAGTATCATGTTGTTTTAGTTACTATAGCCTTGCGGTATAGTTTGAAGTTGAGTAGTGTGATGTCTCCAGCTTTGGTGTTTTGTTTTTGTTTTTGTTTTTTGCTCAGGATTTATTGGGCTATTTGGGGTCTTTTTGTTTACAAACGTATTTTAGAATTTTTTTTCTTCTAATTCTGTGAAAAATTTCATTGGTACTCTGACAGGAATAGCATTGAATGTGTAAATTGTTTTGGGCATTATGGCCATTTTAACACTACTAATTTTTCTATCCATGGAGTGCTGTATTCTAATAAACACATCAATTTGGTGATCTGGAAACAGACGCTTTTCATGTAACTTAGAATAGGAAAGACACTGGTCATTGATCCAATAGCAAATATAATTTCATTTCTGTTCAGCTGACTAATATTTAATTTTTGTCTATGGCATTAAGTTTGTTCTATTACTTACAATTAAAATCTACATCTTTGCTCATTAGTAACCTCTCAGGCTAAGCCTATGCTAAGTCATTTTATTACACATTTTTAAGCTGCAAGTGATACAATAGAAGCAACTGATAGAATATACTCCCTGCATATTTCCTGAAAATTCATATTACATCAGTATACAATATTCAGAAGAAAATTGTGCAATATATTGTGGTGGTGAATACTCTAAAGCACATTAAAGATTTTTCTTTTTTGCTAAATAAAAGTCTAACAGAAAGAATAACATTATTTGTGGAACCTATTAAAATACAATTCGATTTACTAGATTTTTAAAATGTTGGCGCAGCTAGGACTTTAACATTTTGTTTATTTCGTTAGTGAAAAGATCCTTCAATATTCTCACATAACATTGATTTGATTTTGAAGAGATGGGAGATAAATGAGATCCAGTGGATTCCCCTTGTAACATTCTAGATAATACATGACATAAGATAACTGCATAACTATAAAGGAAATGTCCGACAGCACATGTTTAATCCAGGAAAGAACTGTTATTTCTGTCACAGAATAGTAATTTTATGTAGAAATTCTGCTAAGCTTAGCTAGTATGTTTTCTTCACTTCCTAGAAGAAAAGCTTACATTATCTTTGCAAAATATATTTATAATAATGTATAGTTATTAGTATTTAATAAAACAGTTTGGGTAGAACAAAACAGTATTTTAAGGTATTTGTCTTTAATACTGAATCAACAACTTCAGTGTTGGCATTCTCTGATGGTTTCCAACACTAAATTTTCATAAGAATTACCTGTGGATGTCTGGACCCCCTCTAAAACTTATTTTCATTTTGTCTAGATTTGAGTCCAAGCAGAAACACTTTGAAAAATCTCCTTAGTTATTTCTTACGTGCAGTAGGGTTGAGAACCACTGTTTTAAATTAAAATCAATAGATGAATTAAGAGGAGCTCCTGAATCCTGGCAGAAAATGGAAAGTGACTTTTAAGAGAAATGTTCTTTTGATAAAGCAAGGTTATTTATGCCAATTTCAAATACCTGGTGATTTTCATTCTCACAGTCACCTAACTTTCATATTTCTCTTCATTAATAATTAATTTCTACAGGGAAACATCTATCCACTGTCTAAGATGTTTATTGTAGAAACATTTGACAGAGAGTTCGCAGCACCAGTTCATCAATTTTGAAGAAAGAAACATTTTGGAGTAATGGCACAATGTCCCTAACTCCACCTTTACTCCTCAGAAGCCATGCTAATGAATTAACAAAACCATGTTAATTCTTACTGAATTTTACAAATATGTAAAGCAAGCTGAATAGCTATTTCCATGTTTTAACTCTTGTGATGAAGTGGTAGTAAAATAGTTACGGGGAGAAACGGAGGAAGTAAATGTACAGTAGTTTGCTCTCTTACAAAAAGAAAAGTTTCTGAAGATTTTAAAAATTGGAAATCCAAAAATGTTTTTCCACAGTAATGGAGCTTCTCCAACTAGATGGTGGGAGCATAATGCAGGACATTTAACAAAGTCTGTGATGTGAAATATGAGGCAAGCTACAGTCCAGGACACAGCCTCCCTTGACTGTGCTCTCCTTCTCCTTCCTTGGTGTTGGATACAGAATATAGAGAGGAAAGAAGAGGAGACAGAGAATCACAGGTCCTCAAACTGTGTCTTGGTTGTAGGGAGTTAGTCTGTAATTCTGTGATAAGGGACAGAAAAATTCACTAACTGTATCAGATAAAAGAGAAATAAATGAACAAGGTTATTTAAAAGGTCAAGATTTTTAAAAAATGAAAGAGAAATCTACATTGTCACAAAAAAACAAAAAAATCCAACTCAAATAAATAAAAATACAAAAAACAGAAGTAATTTTTTCAGATAATTTTTGTTCTGTGGAATGAAATATGAATATGAATTCAACAGAAAAAATATATAGCTAAAATAGAAATAGAAGAAAATACATATTTAAAATATAAGAAAAAACATTTATGACCAAAATACATTATTATTAAAATGCTGAAAAAATTTAAATGACAAGAAGTGTAGAAATTTCTGAAAATTAAATTACTTATATTGAATAAAGACTCAAGATATCATTGATTATGCATAAAAATACAAAGAAATTAAAGCTATCAGCAAGAAGCAGAATCATATGGAAGAAATAAACATCTATACAACAGAGGCATTATTGAATTCCCAAGAAAAGAAACCAAAACATATGTATCAAAAAATAGAAATATAAGCAAATTTCTCTTCAGTAGAGAACTAATCTGTAGTTTGGAAAAGCATATCTAGTTCCAGAAAAATTTCATATATAATATGTAACATATTTTATACAAATTTGTTAAAATTTATTTATGAAGAAACAATATTTTGGATATTCATGTAGAGAAAATAATTATTTCAAGGAAAATAGTAAAACCAGGAGCAACATTCAATGCCCAATGCATTACAGTACCAACCTTTGTTTCTTTCACAAGAAAGAAATCCTGCTAAGCTTAGCTAGTATGTATTCTTCATTTCCTAGAAGAAAAGCTTACACAAGAAAGAAATAAAAAATGATATCTAGCAAACAGGGTAAAGTTCAATTATAAGGCAAAAGTGAAAGAATTTAAAGTAGCCAGGCCTTTCGGAGACAAGAAAATACCTTATTAAAAAATCAAAAAAATTATGATGTGACCATTATACATTGTATGCGTGTGTCAGAGTATCTCATGTACCCCATAAATATATACACCTACTATGTGCCCACAAAACTTAAAAATAAAAAAAAACCACTACATTAAAAAGGTGTGTGTAGACCATTTAATTTTCTAGAACGTAGAAGATAATTTGTATTAGTCCTGTGAATCCTGACCCACCACAGGATGTAAATATTATAAACTGGATTCTACAAGGCTATAGTAGAACTAACAAAAAGAAGCTATTGTTCCACCTTTCACAGGAGGAAGTTAATAATTAATGTCTATAATTAAAATTGATACTTCAAATGACCTCAATACCTTAATATAAAATATATTTTCTCAATTTTATAAATACTTTTAAGAAATATATCTATTGGTGAGGATACACATAAAGAGTATATCTTATAGATATTTTAGAATTCTAGGAAATAATAATCAGCAATATAGAATGTACATTATTATGTATGCTTATGCCAAACATAGCAAATCTTAGGAAAACACAGCACACATATTATTCATACTAACAAGAATCACACATAAGCATGTGGCATTCTCATTGCAGCTAAGGAAGTTTAACTGCATTAGTAAGATCAGTAGCTGCCTCTTGACCAGGTAGTTCCTATTATGACAGAGTTGCCGAACTCTCTTATATTTTTTTCTCTTGTTCATCTGGTTTATATAAAATCATATAAATTTCCTACTAATTCTGAGCCTGTTCTGCTATCTTCTTATGAAGGCTATTAGCCTCCAAAATTGTTCCAAATATTTTCCCCTCACTTCAATTAACTAGAACTGCTTTTATTTTTGGAATTAATGGACATCGAATCAACTATAGTCCAATACTCTTTTTCCTTCCCAGTCTCCGAAGACTTCAAAACTGTTCCCACAAATAATCAATTTATCTTCCTTCTCCATCTCTGGGAGTAGTTTCTTATTTCTCTTGTGAAATAATGTGCTCCTAGAAAAATCTGGAAGGAGGTTTTCCTTCAGCTTAGTCCTTTCAGTATCAACTAACTCGTTTCTTCTACAACATCAAGAACAAGACTGTAGATCACTTTTCTACAGGTTATACACTTCTTCAACAGAAGTATGTTTATAATGCCCTTCAATTTTAGGTCAATAGATTGATATATATATATACACATCAATTATGGAAAGAAAGTTGGTGATAAGTAGGATGAAGAGCAGGTACTAAACTCTGAAGAAGAGGTAGATTCAAAGATAGGTTTTTGCATAGAACAGTGATGGGAAAACAGATCCTTCGAGTGAGCTCCTATAAATAGTTTCTCCTAACAGCTGATATAACAACTAACTACTACTAATTGTCCCTTTTACTAAAATAGAAACATTGGATAAAATATTTGCTTAGGTAAAAGTTAAGCTGATTTATCTGCAGTAATATATTGCATATCTTAAATAGCTTCACAATATTTTACAGTGACTAAATTTGGGCCCCAATATAACAGAAATGGGCAAGTAAGTTACCAAATTACATGACATGGAACATGGTTAAAATAGTGTTACTTCGGAAAAGTTTTCTGAAGCTGAAAACCAAATTTTTGTCATTTACCAAAACCTCAGGGTGGCATTTATGACCCACAGCTTCTCATACTCTATTCGCTTCTGCCCTTGTTCCATCCACACTGGCTTTCTTCTAGTTTTTTAAGCATGCACATCCACTCTCCACTTTGTCTTGTGTGTTCGCTTGGTACTGAATGCTTTTCCACTTTATTTTCTCATAATGGGCTTTCTTTTGTACCTCAGCTTTCGTGGTCAACTTAACTTCTTCAGAGAGATATTAGCTTGACCCCCTATCCCAGAAAGCTCCTCAATCACTAGCACATGAATAATTCTCTGTAAAGCACTTGTCACCACAGAAACTTTTCCTGCTTACTTATATACAAATGTATTTACTTACCATCTGACTCCCCCTACTACAGTGTAAGAGTTTTGAAAGTGTGAGATTTTGACTGTCAGATTGCTAGAACTTAGAAAGATTTAATAAATATTTGTTGCATCAATGAACGAAATTAATTTTCAGCTATGTAACACAAGTCCTCTCTTTAAGACAAATTCGTTAGAAAATAACCCCCCAGAAACAAGAATATATTGACTTGTTACATAAAGTCTGTAGATATAAACCGGTTAAATATTGAAAGACACCCGCCAAAAATATAATTATATATCGTTTAGAGTAGTTGATTTCTGGACTTTCTTTTGCATCGAATTTAATAGACTATACTTATTTTGGATAAGGTCATATAGTCCTGACTTATTAGAGTAAAACTATATAAATAGATAAAGAGGGTTGCTTTTCCTCATATTTCCTACTAAGGGGATGTGATTATAAATCAAAGGTATCAAGTGTTCAGCTGTTCCTATAAAATATTGTCAGTATCCTATTAGATATTTTTAAGATGCTGATTTCTCAGAATTGGTTTTGTGAAATAAGTTCACAATGAGCATCTATAACCAGGGATTATAGTGAATTCATTCAGCATGGCACATATTAGATCCTGGCCACAGAGTTCACATCTTAGGAAGGCCCACTAAAAGCCACAAGTCCCCTTTCTTGCTTTCAGAATAATCTGAGAGTTAACCGAGAAAGAGAACAATGTTATGATGAGATAGTTATGCCTAACTATGTCACCTCCTTCTTTTGTGGGACACTGGCCTTAGAAGCCCAGTATTACAATTTACCTAGTGGAAAACGTGCATAATGAGCTAATTGGTTACAATGAAGGAATAAATAATTGCCTTATTAAAAAGTATGATATAGTGTTGGACAAAACAGATATACCTAAAACAGGTTGAAATGATAATTATTGAGTCCATTGTTTAATGCTGTCCATAAATATTTCTAGAGGCAAGAAATATTTCTCAAGTGGTATATTGAGTTTGAAAATTTCTAATGATTTATACACATATTTTAAACTGTTCAATTACATGGTACATAAACTCAGCAGAAGGGATGGTACATAATAAAATACTGATGATGTAGTTTTCCCAAGTAAGAAAAAAACATCTAAAAGTTGGAAACAGGACAAATAGGTAGATGACATGTATATTCTTTCTATGCAGGAGGATGGGCCCACCCAAGGTTTAGGAAAATATAATTTTCAATTGGCTGCATACTATTGCTTAAAAGCCTTACTCAGTATTTAGTAAAGTTAAATGGTTCTTTATTGATTTTTCTGAAATAGATAGCTAAATAATTTGCATCTGAAAGAACAAGTAAATCAAAGTTAGTTTACTGCCCTTTTGGACATTAACCAGTTTTAAAGGCAATTTAGCAGTTTTAACAATCTTTTATTAAATTGGCTATTGCTTATAAATAACTAGTTTCTCAAATGTTAATGTTTTCTACATAAATTAGTTGAATAAAATATTTTTCTTGATTTCATTTTATGTTTTTATATGAGTTCCACAATTTTTCATTTGAAAAATTATACTTCAACAGCCCTAAATCCACACAGCAAATTAGTAATACCTTCTTAATGTTTTACCTCTTTAAACAGCTTCCTCTACAACCAAATGCTAGTGCTTTATCCATGTTGCTATTGCCTTAAATCCTTTTTGCCTACAGCATAAAATCCAAACCTTTTGTGAAATAATTCTAGTCCAGAAAATGTAACTTCTGCCTACTTCACCATCATTTTGTTTTCCTGCATCTACCCTCATATTCTATGCTCAAACCTACTGAGTTGCTTATTACTCTGACTATGCCCAGCTGTTTTATGGAAACATTCTGCTTTTGCTATTATATTATTTTTGTCTGGAATGGTTTTCTTCTGAAGAGCTGACCCACCCCTTGCCATTTTTTACAAAAATCTCAAATATAATTTTCTTAAAATACATATTTCTGGACTAATCACCTCACTTTGCCCCAGGTAAAACAGGATTTCTTCCACAGTTTCCTCATTCTAACTTAATAGCTCTCTGAATGCACCTGAAATTCTTTATTACACTTATCTGTGTACATGTATTCCTCCATTTACCAA
Source organism: Homo sapiens (assembly GCF_000001405.40). Classification (NCBI taxonomy): domain Eukaryota; kingdom Metazoa; phylum Chordata; class Mammalia; order Primates; family Hominidae; genus Homo; species Homo sapiens. Next base: position 144,704,907 of record NC_000003.12, read on the forward strand.
GCTCTATTATTCTTAGGGAGGGTTGTGTATTACACAGTTTTGTATGTCTTAGCAATTCTGTTGCATAGTTTCCGATGCACAGAAGGTACCTGATCCATGATTATTGTAAACGAAAATAGTGACAGATATGGATTGGGGAGACATTCACCCCATTATGTTATGTGGCCTAACATAATGGAGTGAAAGCTGGGAGGGATTTTATCCATCAGCCGGCTTAGAGTTTCTAAAGAAATTATGGTCTGTATGAGTAAGCCATGTAAATTACACATTTTAGACATAAGCAAAAGAACATAGAAAAATCTGTTTACTTGTTGAGAAACACTCAATGATGCCAGTCCCTCATTTTGTATGAAGTTGAGGCCCCCCAAATAAACAAATTGTCCATGGCTACACAAATCTATTTACTGACTTGTAATTAGCTGCTTTGTTTTGAATCCCAAAGTATTCTAATAACTAGTACTCAGGACCTGAAGTATGTTTTACAAGGTACTTTTTGGTTTTGATAATGAATTAGCCTTGCCTTTAGAAACTGTGTTTATAAGCAAAGTGAAGCCTGCGAAGAGGAATATGACTACCTTACACCACATTGCTTTTTCACCATCCCCAAAGACACTCTGACCTTTCCATTTCAGTTTCTTCACTCTCTATGATACACTACATCCTCCTCAGAGTAACATCATAGGGTCATTTCAGTTTTCTTCTGAGACAAAGTAACATTACACAGCACAGTTTTTGCTAATAACTTGACCTTTCGATTCAGTGATGCTCATATTGATAGCATAAGAGATTTCCTTAAGAAAGAAAGAAAAAGGAAAATATCAAGAGGTTTATGTTATTCAGTTAGTTAGAAATTCTGGCAAATTTACTACCATGGAATACAGTTAGAAAGTCTAACAAAGTTCCTTTTCCTTTTTGTATGCAGTACTACAAAACATATTTTGTTTATTTTAGGCAAATAATGACTAAATTAAAAAATAAAAATATTTGCCTGTAATCCCAGCACTTTGGGAGGCCGAGGTGGGTGTATCACTTGAAGTCGAGAGTTCGAGACCAGCCTGAGCAACATGGAGAAACCCCATCCCGACTAAAAATACAAAATTAGCAGGGTGTGGTGGTGCATGCCTGCAATCCCAGCTACTTGGGAGGCTGAGGCAGGAGAATCATTTGAGCTCAGGAGGTGGAGGTTGAGGTGAGCCAAGATCTCGCCATTGCACTCCAGCCTGGGCAACAACAGAAAAACTCTGTCTCAAAAAAAAAAAAAAAAAAATTGCTCAATGCAAACAGATTTTTTAAGTAACAGAGTAAGGAAGAGATGGTTGGAACAGTCTTAACAAGTGGCATGGGGAAAAATGGTCATCATTATTTACACAACAATAATGATTACAGACCTGAAAGCAATTTTGTGATGAAATCATATTTTAAATAATAAATTTTTTTTCAAAATATATAATACTAACATTTAAATGTTTGTCTAATTCCTGGAAATAAAGTTTCTTGGGAATAAAACATGACAATATTCATATTTTTTTTCCTTTTGAGAAACAGATATCGAAGGTAACGTGTTTAAAAGAAAGAGACATGTTTACCAACAGGTAGTGCGATTTGCCATTCTTAAAATGCAAAATATTTCTGATTCATTTTTCTTCTTTTCTCTCTTCCTTCTTTAATCCAACCTCTTTTCTATACTCCTAATTATTTAACTGTTCAAGAATGGTATTTTTGCTGTCAGTACATTTCCAGAGCCAATGAAAGGAGAAGGGAATAAAGAAGCAGTAATTATTTTATTTGAGAGAATAATCAAAGATTTCATGGTTGCAAATATATTCATCTGTTAACTATCTATTCTGTTGGCAACATACTAACTAAAATCTAGTCATATACCACTGAGAATATTGGATTCATACACTGTGATGTAGGTGGATTTGTAAACAAGATTATTTTTAAAGTTGTATTGACTTCATTGATTTTCATAAGGGTGTACACTGCTCTATGTAATGGAGTTTTTATTGCAATTTACAGGTAAACAGCTGAAATACCTTAGGGCATTTTTTTTCCTATCTATAATAGTAGAAGCTAAAGATGGAATGTGTCACCATTAACCTTGAGACTATTGCATATTACAGGCTTGTATTTCAAGCATCCATTATTTAAATATGTCTGTGTGGTTATAATATTTACTCAGCTCACAAAAGACATTATGAATCCTATATTTCAGGATTTATTTCAAAAGGCCTTTAAAACAAAGGATACATACTTTTTATGTGTTTTAATAATAAAAGTTACTTTTTGTCCTGTAATATGTCCTGTTTAAAATGCCATCATTGATTTAACATGCGTGCACCAACATCCACAAATTTACACACATACATTCCAACTGCGAAAGCCCCAGTAAATATTAAATTATTTCACCATTCTTACTTTCTATGGTCACAGCCTCTTGAGAAAGAATGATTACTTTACTAGGAGGCTTCTACAACTTTAAGCTGACATCTAGTTGCTGAAAGTTGATTCTCCTCACTCAGGCTCTTCCATGATTAAATATCTCAATATTTAAAGTGTTTTGGAATGAGACAAAGTGGTGGTTTTTAGATAATGATGGATAATCTGCTTGAAAACATGAAATGACAAAACCCCATTTGTTATATGGGAACAACACATATGTAAGAATCTGAGCTAGTAAGTCCCATCTTGATTTCAGCCAATATACTGGGATAAATTATTATATAAGTAGTTTAATACCTTCTACTTTAACTGCTTCTACCTAAAGCTATGTCTTTACTCCCTGTAAGGCAGGACAAAAAACAAAATGGAAAGATCTGAGTACCTGTGGACTTGGATAGCTAGATTTGAATACTAGGCTTACAACTGTATAACTATAGAAAGTTTATTTAACTTTCTAGATGAGTGCATTTCATTGGAAAGTTAAATTATTTCCCTGAATCATTTTCCTCATCTATAAAATGGAGATAATAATACTTTCTTCCTCATAGTTATTGCAAGGATTACATTAATTCACATATGTAAAACACTTAAAAAGTTGCTGGCATATAGTAAGTGTCTAATAATATTTTCTATTATTATTACTGTGGTAGGCAAAATAATAAACCTTCAAAGAGGTCCATACCCTAATCTCCAGAGACGGGGAATGTGTTACCTTACGTGGTAAAGGGGACTTTGTGATATGATTAAGGTTACAAACCTTGAGATGGGGGTATTACACTGGAATCTCCTGGTGCATCCAATCTAATCACATAAACTCTTAAAAGCCAAGAGAGAGGCAGAGGAACGCATCAAAGAGGTGAGACAGAAGGAGAGATTTGAAGCATCAGAGAAATTGACCCACAGTCATTTACTTTGAAAAGCAGGGGGACTCAGGCAAAAAAAAAAAAAAATGCAGGTGACCTCTGGAAGCTGGAACTGGTGCTGAGCTGACAGCCAGCAACAAAACAGGGATCTCACTACTACAGCTTTAATGATTATACCAATAATCCAAATGATCAAGGAAAAAAATCATCCTTTAAAACCTCCAGAATGGAATGCAGCTTTGACAGCATCTTGATTTTAACCCAATTAGATCTGTGTCAGACTCCTACATACAGAACAATAAGATGACACATTTGTGTATTTTAAAACACTAAATTTGTGGTAGTTTCTTATGGCAGCAATCAAAATAGACACAATTACCATAATAATTATTTTTGTTAACTTTTAAGTTTCATCATGAGTAATTTGAAAGAACACCTGCTGCTAGACAAACCTCAAGAGTCTGTATTTCCAGGGATACAACTGATCTGCAAATATTCACTTTCAGAACCTGTGTTTTCTAGTAAGTCTCCAGGTTTTGCAAGGACAGGAAGATATTTGTAATTCATGTTGATTTTATGATGTTCACTCACGTAGAATGAAGAGCAATGTGTCACATTACTAAGTCTCTTGATAAGGGCAATATACTCCTGTCTTTTAATGTTATTTATACCAAATTTGTAGTCTTATAATCTTCTTTTCATTTATGGAGAAATTAGAAACAATAATTTTTTTTGTACCAAGCAGCTTAAAAATACATGAGAACATCTCGAGAAAATAAAGTTGGACTATTGTTTATACACAGAAGCACAGTGCTAAGTACACTATAACATGTATTGTTAGACCTCAGAAAGAATGGAGTTGGTTTCCATGGAGCTCATACAATATCAACTATTCATATTACAATTTTTCTAGGAAATCTTCATGAACTCACTCGTTAGGGGCATCCATTAAAGTGATGTTTGTAATTTTTATTTAAAATCAGAAGATGGAAAGAATTTAAAAATCCTTTAAATATCAAAACACAATGTATTATAGAGGTGAGTAATAACTGCATATTAACTATCAACACATTATTGTCTGAGAATGCTAAAGCTGGAATAATTCTTGGATTATTACACACACACACACACACACACACAAACATACTAATTGCAAGGTGTCAATTTCAACATCACTTGAGTTTATTGGATATTCTTTTGTGTGACTGACATTGTGCCGAAATTACCAAGAAGCAGCAGCTGGTATATATAAACTCCTTTCTTTCATCTTTTTATGAAGACGAGACATAAAAAATATATATTTTATGTGAAGTAACTCACGTGACATTTCAGTTATTTTTCTGTACTTAGTTTTAAATTTAGCTATCACTTTTTACTATATGAGAAAAGTTTCCCACTTTTTTTTTTTTTCAAGTCAAAGTATCACTGTGTCTCCCAGGCTGGAGTGCAGTGCTGCGATCTCAGCTCACTGCAACCTCTGCCCCTCGGGTTCAAGTAATTTCCCTGCCCCAGCCTCCTGAGTAGCTGGATTACAGATGTGTGCCACCACGTCTGGCTAATTTTTTGTATTCTTAGTAGAGAAGGGGGTTTCACCATGTTGCTCAGGGTGGCCTTGAACTAGCGACCTCAAATGATTCACCTGCCTCAGCCTCCCAAAGTGCTCGGATTACAGGCATAAGAGGGAGGGAGAGCATCAAGAAGAATAGCTAATGGATGTCGGGCTTAATACCTGGGTGGTGGGTTGACCTATGCAGCAAACCACCATGGCACACATTTACCTATGAAACAAACCTGCACATACTGCACATGTACCCTGGAAGTTAAAATAAAAGCTGAAGAAAAAATAACATAAATTATCTACACTTAATAATGTTAAGCCAAGTTTAATTTTTAAGTCTAAAACTACTTGTTTAGGCACTATACTAATGCTCTAAATTATTTTAAACTATTAATACAAAGTAAGACGTTATACAAGGTTATATCAGAAAAAGCAGCTGAAGACAGACTAAGGGAAAAAAGTAATATGTGCCCCTTTTGTTTGGTGATATTATCAAATCCCCACCATCACTGCAGATATCTACAATTTCTGCATATTTGTTCCCAGTTTTAAACACACGAATACTTCAGTTCTCTTACAAATTAGCCATAATATCCAGTGGTATCTCACGCAGAATAAGTAGCCTCTCAATGTCCAATTATCATTTGCAAAAAATTTTTCAGAGGTCACAAACCCAATCCAATCCTTTGATGACGCATCAAAATTAGTGCCTATAAGTTATTTGCCTCTAATCCTTTTATGCCCTTTATTTGGCTGCAAACTGTTTGATTTTTAAAAGAGAAACAGCTGTGAATATTGCCCCTTTTAAAAATATGCCAAAAGTCACACTGAAATGTTCTTACCTAAAAATATTTAATCTTTCATGATTATCACATTAAACAGAAGCAGAACTTCACAGGAGAGACATTCGCTACTACATAGAAGTCTTACTTATCTACAGAGCGACTTGATTTTTAATTATCTCATCTGAGACGTTACACAAGATTCAGGCAAAGAAAAGATGAAACTGTATCAAAAAGAAAAGCTATTCATTTACTTTTTTTTTTTTTTTTTCCCCCCCGAGACGGAGTTTCGCTCTTGTTGCCCAGGCTGGAGTGCAATGGCGCGATCTCGGGCGCACCGCAACCTCAGTCTCTCGGGTTCAAGCGATTATCCTGTCTCAGCCTCCCAAGTAGCTGGGATTATAGGCATGCGCCACCACGCCCGGCTAATTTTGTGTTTTTGCTAGAGATGGGGTTTCTCCATGTTGGTCAGGCTGGTCTCAAACTCCCGACCTCAGGTGATCCGCCCAGCTCAGCCTCCCAAAGCGCTGGGATTATAGGCGTGAACCACGGTGCCAAGCTCATTTATAAATCTTAACCATTTCAACTATTGAACATAGATGATACAAAGTTATTTTTCATTACGCTTTTGGTCCAGGAATATTTTTATATTTGACTATCTTATTACAGTGTGAAATAAAATAGTCAAATATAAGAATATTCCTTGACCAAGCTATCAACTAATAAGTTGATAGCTAATCTTAAAACAATTCAGCATCTACAAGCTAGTATTTGCTAGCAGAATATTTGACAGTTCTTTCTCATTTGTTAATTTCATTATTTTCTCATACAGAATCAACTTTGAAATTGAATTTAAACCAAACATGGTCCATATTTGTGTTTCACCAAATCTGTTTCTATCATTGCAGGTATTCAAATGAAATCTGAAAACTTTAAGCCCAAATTGAGTTGAGTCCACATATTCAAACATGAGTTCATGTAACTGCAATCATGAAGTTTAAATGTAACATCTCTATCCTATTATTGTCTATAGGTTTGTCTTCACAAAAAATAACAAAATCTATAAATTTAATGTCATTATAATTTTGATTCTCACATAATACTAACAGTCTAAATAAATACCATCTTAAACTGCAATACAATAACAGTAAGGGTCTTCAAACCCCACCCTCAACAATGAACAGAACATACAGAACATTCATAAAAACAAAAAACTGGAACTTGAATTACATCTCAGAACAATTAGACCTCAAGGACATATATAGAACATTTCACTCACGTGGTATTTGTCTTTGAGTGCCTAGTTTATTTTGCTTAACATAATGTCCTCCAAGCTCATCCATGTTGCTGCAAAAGATAGAATTTAGTTATTTTTTAAGGCTGAATAGTATTCCATTGTGTGTGTGTGCGTGTGTATATATATATATATATATATATATATATATATATATATATATATATATATCTCACATTTTCTTTATCCATTTATCTATTTATGAACATTTAGTTTGATTCCCTATTGTGGCTATTGTGAATTGTGCTGCAATAAACATGGGGTTACAGATGTCTCTGACATACTAATTTCTTTGTACCCAGTAGTGGAATGGCTGGATCATATGGTAGTTCTATTTTTAGTTTTCTAAGGAACTTTCTAAGGAACTTTCATACTGTTTTTCATAATGGCTGGATTGCTTTACATTCCTACCAACAATGTAAAGAGAGTTCTTCTTTCTCTGCATCTGCATCAGTATTTGTTTTTTTTATCTTTTTGATAATAGCCATTATTCATTATAGCTGGGGTGAGATTATATTTCACTATGGTTTTGACTTTTGACTTTTATTTCCCTGATGATTAGTGATGTTGACCATTTTTAGGTATATCTGTTGGGAATGTGTATGTTTTTGTTCGAAAAAATTCTGTTTAGCTCATTTACCTGGTTTGTTAATTTTTTTTATTATTTTCTATTTCTTTTTCTTTTTCTTTCCTTTTTTTTTTGGTGTTGACTTGCTTGAGTTCCTTATATAGTCTGGATATTAATCCTTTGTTGGATGAATAATTTGCAAATATTTTATTTCATTCTTCTTGGTGTCTCTTTACTCTGTTGATTGTTTCCTTTCTTGGGCAGAAGGTTCTTAGTTTGATGTAATCTTATTTGTCTATTTTTGCTTTGTTGCCTGTGCTTTTGAGATTTTCATAAAATCTTTGCCCAGACCAATATCCTAAAGCGTTTCCCTTTGTTTTCTTGTAGTAGTTCCATAGTTTTTGGTTTCATGGTTGAGCCTTTAATGCATTTTGAGTTGATTTTTATATGTGGTGTGAGATTAGAGCCTATTTTTATTTCTCCTTTAGGAGGATAAATATTTTCCCCAACACTTTTTATTGAAGAGACTGCCCTTTCCGCAGTGAATGTTCTAGACACGTTTGTCAAAAATCAGTTGGCTATAAATACAAGAATGTATTTCTGGTTCTCTATTCTGTTCCATTGCTCTATGTGTCTGTTTCTAAGCCAGTACCATGCTGTCTTGATTACTATAACTTCATAGTATATTTTGAAGTCAGGTAGTGTGATGTCTGCTGGTTTTTTTTTTTGTTTGTTTTTTTTTTTGGTCAGGATTGCTTTGACTATCTGAGATCATTTGTCCTCCCATATGAACTTTAGGATTGCTTTTTCTATCTCTGTGAAGAATGTCACTGGAATTTTGATAGGGATTGCATTGAATCTGTAGATCACTTTTGACAGTATCATCATTTTCACAGTGTTAATTCTTCCAATTCATAGACATGTGAGGTTTACTAATTTTTTGGTGTGTGTCCTCTCAACTTCTTTCATCAGTGCTCTATGGCTTTTCTTTTAGAGACTTTTACCTCTTGGTTAAATTTAGTCCCAGGTAGTTTAATTTTTTGTAGCTATTATGAATATGATATTGCTTTCTTAATTTACTTTTCTGCCAGTTTGTTGTTGGTTTATAAAAACGCTACTAATTTTTGTCTGTTTAATTTTGTATACTGAAACTTTATGAAATGTATTTTACAGTTCTAAGAGTTTTTTGGTGGAACTTTTCAGATTTTCTATATGTAAGATAATGTTATCTGCATACCTGGTCAATCTGACTTCCTCCTTACCAACTTGGATGCTCTTTGTTTCTTTCTCTTACCTAATTGCTCTTACTAGGACTTCTAGCACTGCAGTAGAATCATTCTTCTCAAGTGCACATAGAACACTCTCCAAAATATATTACATAATAAGCCACAGAACAAGTCAATAAATTTAAAAAGATCAAAATCACATAGTTTATTTTTTAACTACAGTGGTATAAAACCAGAAATCCATAACAGAAGGAAAACCAGAAAATTCACAAACATGTGGATATTATACTAAATTATCCTGAAAAACTAACGGGTCAAAAAAGAATTCAAGGCCGGGCGCGGTGGCTCACGCCTGTAATCCCAGCACTTTGGGAGGCTGAGGCGGGCAGATCACGAGGTCAGGAGATCGAGACCACCCTGGCTAACACAGTGAAACCCCGTCTCTACTAAAAATACAAAAAAATTAGCCGAGCGCAGTGGTGGGTGCCTGTAGTCCCAGCTCCTCTGGAGGCTGAGGCAGGAGAATGGCATGAACTCGGGAGGTGGAGCTTGCAGTGAGCTGAGATTGCACCACTGCACTCCAGCCTGGGCGACAAAGTGAGACTCCATATCAAAAAAAAAAAAAAAAAAAAAGAATTCACATAGGAAATTTAAAAATTTTTGTAACAAATGAAAATAGAAACTGTATAAGCCCATTTTTGCACTGCTGATAAAGACACACCCAAAACTGGGAAGAAAAGGAGGTTTAATTTGACTTATAGTTCCACATGGCTTGGGGGGTGGTGTCTCACAATTATGACAGAGGGTGAAAATCACTGCTTACATGGTAGTGGCAAGAAAGAATGAGGAAGAAGCAAAAGCAAAAACCCAGGATAAACCTATCAGATTTCTTGAGACTTAAGTCACTATCATGAGAATAGCACGGGAAAGACTGGCCCCCATGATTCAGTTACCTTCCCCTGGGTCTTCTCCACAACATATGTGAATTCTGGGGATATAATTCAAGTTGAGATTTGGGTGGGGACGCAGCCAAACCATATCATACTGCCTCATCCCCTCCAAATCTCATGTCCTCACATTTCAAAACTAATCATGCCTTTCCAACAGTCCCTCAAAGTCTTAACTCATTTCACCATTAATCCAAAAGTCCACAGTCCAAAGTCTCATTTGAAAAAAGGCAAGTCCCTTTCAACTATGAGCCTGTAAAATAAAAAGCAAGCTAGTTTCTTCCTAAATACAATGGGGGTACAGGCATTGGGTAAATACAGCCATTCCAAATGGGAGAAATTGACCAAAAAGAAGCAGTTATGAGGTCAATGCAAGTCTGAAATCCAGCAGGGGAGTCAAATTTTAAAGCTCCAAAATGATCTCATTTGACTCCAGGTCTCACACCCAGGTCATGCTGATGCAAGAGGTAGGTTCCCATGGTCTTGGGCAGCTCCATTCCTGTGGCTTTGCAGGGTACAGCCTCCCTCCTGCCTGCTTTCCTAGGCTGGTGCTGAGTGTCTATGGCTTTTCCAGGTACATGGTACAAGCTGTCAGTGGATCTACCATTCTGGGATCTGGAGGACAGTGGCCCTCTTCTCACAGTTCCACAAAGGCAGTGCCCCAGTAAGGACTCTGTATGGGGGCTCTGAACCCACATTTCCTTTCCATACTGCCCTACCAAGAGGTTCTCCATGAGGCCCCTGCCCCTGCAGTAAACTTTTGTCTGGGAATCCAGGTGTTTCCATACATCTTCTGAAATCTAGGCAGAGGATCCCAAACCTCAATTCTTGACTTCTGTGCACCCACCGGCTCAAGACCAAGTGGAATTGCCAAGGCCTGGGGCTTCCACCCTCTGAAGCCATAGCCAGAGCTGTACATTGGCCCCTTTCAGCCATGGCTGTGGAGACTGGGACACAGAGCACCAAGTCCCTAGGCTGCACACAGCACGGGGACTCTGGGCTTGGCCCATGAAACTACTTTTTCCTCTTGGATCTTTGGGCCTGTGATGGCAGGGGTTACCGTGAAAGTCTCTGACATAACCTGGAGACAGTTTCCCCATTGTCTTGGGGATTAACATTAGGCTTCTTGCTACCTATGCAAATTTCTGTAGCTGTCTTGAATTTCTCCTCATAAAATGGATTTTTCTTTTCTACTGCATCATCAGGCTGCAAGTTTTCTGAACTTTTATGTTGTTTCCCTTCTAAAATGGAATGCTTTTAACAGCACCCAAGTCATGTTTTCAATGCTTTGCTGCTTAAAATTTTTTTCTGCCAGATATCCTAAATCATCTCTCTCAGGTTCAAAGTTCCACACATCTCTAGGACAGGGTCAAAATGCCGCCAGTCTCTTTGCTAAAACATAACAAGAGTCACCTTTGCTCCAGTTCCCAACAAGTTCCTCATCTCCATCTGCGACCGCCTTAGCCAGGACCTTACTGTCATATCATTATCAGCATTTTTGTCAAACCCATTTAACAAGTTTCTAGGCGGTATCAAACTTTCCCACATTTTCCTGTCTTCTTCTGAGCCCTCCAAACTGTTCAAACCTCACCCTGTTACCCAGTTTCAAATCACGTCCACATTTTTGGGTATCTTTTCAGCAACTCCCCACTCCTGGTACCAATTTACTCTATTAGTCTGTTTTCATGCTGCTGCTAAAGACATACCTGAGACTGGGAAGAAAAGGAGGTTTAATTTGACTTACAGTTCCACATGGCTGGGGAGGTCTCACAATTATGGCAGATGGAAAAATACACTTCTTACATGGTGGTGGCAAGACTGAATGAAGAAGCAGCAAAAGTGGAAACCCCTGATAAAACCATCAGATCTCGTGAGACTTAAGTCACTATCATGAGATAGCAAGGGAAAGAACTGCCCCCGTTATTTAATTACCTTCACCTGGGTCCTTCCCACAACATGTGGAATTTTGGGAGACACAATTCAAGCTGAGACTTGGGTGTGGACATAGCTAAACCATATCAGAAACACAATATGTCAAAACTTAAGGGATGCATCAAAAGCAGTTTCAGGAGGGAATTTTATAGCAATAAATGCATACATGTAAAAAAAGAAGGAACTCAAATGAACAATCTAATGTTACACCTCAAGGAACTAGAAGAAGATCAAACTAAACCCACATTTAGTAGAAAAAAAAATAACAAAGACTAAGGCTATAATAAATGAAATAGAGACTAGAAAAACAAAAGAAAATATCAATGTGAGTTTATTTTTTAAATATAAAATTGACAAATCTTTAGCTAGAGTAAGAAAGACAAGACTCAATTAAACAAAATCAGAAAGAGTAGACATTAAAACTGGTACCACAAAAATACAAAGAATCATAAAATACAGCTATGAATAATTGTATACCGAATATTGAATATCCTTTTCTCTAATATCAGGAGTAAGATACTTATGCCCATTCTTACCACTTCTATTCAACATACTTCTGGAAGTCCTAGCCAGAGCAATTGGACAAGTAAAAGAAATAAATACATTCCAATTAAAAAGGAAGACGTTGACTGGGAATAGTAGCTCATGCTTATTATCCCAGCACTTTGGGAGGTCAAGGCGGGCACATCACTTGAGGTCAGGAGTTCAAGACAATCCTGGCCAACATGGTGAAACCCTGTATCTACTAAAAATACGAAAATTAGCCATGCATGGTGATGCATGCCTGTAATCCCAGCTACTAGGAAGGTTGAGGCATGAGAATTGCTTGAACCCGGGAGGCGGAGGTTGCAGTAAGCCAAGATCGCACCACTGCACTCCTGCCTGGGCAACAGAGCAAGACTGTCTCAAAAAAAAAAAAAAATGAAGATGTTATATTATCTGTTTCCACATGAAATGGTCTTATATATACAAAACTCTGAGGTGACCACCAAAAAACTATTAGAATTTTTAAAAAATCAGTAAAGTTGCATGAATCAAATTTAACATACATAAACCAGTAGCATTTCTATACACTAACAATGAACCATCTGAAACAGAAACAAAATAAAAGCCATTTACAATAGCTACAAAAACAAACTCAGGAATAAATTTAACCATGGAGATTAAATATGTACAACTGAAAACCACAAAACATTGATTAAGAAAGACACAAAAATATCCCACTCTCATAAATTGGAAGAAATAATATCATTAAAATATTCATACTACCTAAGGTAATTTACAGATTCAGTGCAATCCCTCTCAAAATTCCAATATTTTTCACAGAAATAGAAAAAAAATTATAAAATGTGCATGACACTGCAGGAGACCTTGAATAGCCAAAATAATCTTGAGCAAAAAGAAAAAAGCTGGAGGCATCACACCATCCAATTAAAACATATGTTACAAAATAATCAAAACAATATGCTACTGGCATAAAAGCAGACACACAGACCAAGGGAACAGAATACAGACACCAGAAATAAATGCACACGTTTACAGTTAATTGATTTTCAACAAAGATGCCAGTACATACAATGGGGAAGGAACAGTCTTCTAATAGACATTCTTGGAAAAGCTGAGTATCCTTGTGCACAAAAATAAAATTAGGTCCTTCTTTGATCCCATCTACAAAAATCAACCCAAAATGGACTGAAGATTTAAACAGAAGAACTGAAAGTACTAGAAGAAAAGGGAAAATTGTCATGACTGTCCGGCAATGAGTTATTTTGGATATTACTCCAAAAAAATGGGCCCCAAAGAAAAACAAATAGGTAAATGGGATCATATGAAACTAAAAAGCCACTCCACAGAGAAGGAAAAAACAGAGTGGAGACAAAACATACAGAATTCTGTCTTCCAGAACCACCTTTGCTGGAGCTGAATAGACATTTCAGGAAAGGAGCTGAATAGACATTACCCAAAAGAAGACATACAAATGGCCAACAGATAAATAATACAATGTGCAACATTGCTACTACATCAGAGCAGTGTAGATTAAAACCAAAATTACCTCAGACCTGTTAGAATGGCTATTATCAAAAAGATGAACAATGACAAGTATTAGCAAAAATGTGGCAAAATTGAAATCTGTGTGCACTGTTGGTGGAAATGCAACTTAATCCAGCCATTATGAACCAACCGTATGAAGACCCCTCAAAAAATTAAATACAAAACTACCATATGATCCACCAATCACACTACTGGATATATATCCAAAGGAAATGAAATTGTTATGCTGAAAGGCTGTCTGCACTTCCATCTTCACTGCAGCATTATTCATAGTAGCCAAGATATGGAATCAGCCTAACTATCAATGGATGAGTGGATTAAAAAATGTGGTATACACACATAATGGTACATTATTCAGCCTTAAAAAGAAAATCTTGTCATTCGAAACAATGATTAACCTGAAATACACTATATTAAGTGAAATAAACCAGATATAGAAAGACATACCCTACATGATCTAATTCATATGTGAAATCTAAAAATATCTAACTTATATAATAGAAGCAGAGAGTAAAATCAGGTTTACAGCAGGTGGATTTAGATAGGAATTGAGATGATGTTGGTCAAAATACAAAAAAACTTTTGTTAGAAAAAAACAATAAATTCAAGAGATCTTTTGCACAACATGATGACTGTAGTTAATAACAATGAATGTATACTTGAAAATTGCTAAAAGAGGCCGCGGTGTCTCATGCCTGTAATCCCAGCACTTTGAGAGGCCGAGGCGCGTGGATCACCTGAGGTCAGGAGTTTGAGAGCAGCCTGGCCAACATGGTGAAACCCCTCCTCTACTAAAAATACAAAAATTAGCCAGGTGTGGTGGTGCATGCCTGTAATCCCAGCTACTCAGGAGGCCGAGGCAGGAGAATCGCTAGAACCTGGGAGGCGGAGGTTGCAGTGAGCTGAGATTGCGCCATTGCACTCCAGCCTGGGTGACAGAGCAAGAGTCCACCTCAAAAAAAAAAAAAAAAACAGAAAAAAGAAAAAAAAAGAAAATTGCTGAAAGAGTAGATTTCAAGTGTTCTCACCACAGATAAATATGTTAATATATATGTTAATTAGTTTGATTTAGACATTTCACAACCTACACATATTTCAAAATATGTTGCATACCATAAATATATACAGTTTTGATTAGCCAATTGAAAAATTAATTTAAAATATTTAACAACAAACCAAAAATCAAATATCATCTGTATCATACATCTGCTGCATACACATGTTCTTCTGCATATACTAGTTCTGTTCCCTAAACTTATGCTTGGGGAATGGGAAGAATGACTAACTCCATACTTGACATACTTGACAAAGTAAAATGCTATTTCAAGTAATAGTGAGATTTTAGTGAAAACTATTAAATAGAAAAAGAAAAAATCCATAGGATAGAGAGTCAGGGATGATGTGGTGGCTTCCCACTGTACTTTCAATATTATACCCATCTCATACTATTATTTTGAGGTGTAATTAAGATTATGTAAAAGGTTAAGTATCGTGCCTGTTTCAGAATAAGTGCTTAATAAATAATAAATATCTATTACATGTACACATAAATATCTATTAAACGTACATTTTAATATTAAATATCTATTACATATTGAGGAACACGGGGAGAAGATTCCAAATGGAGAAAGAGTACAAGCAAAAGAATGATGAAAAGAATGAAAGTCATATGTTGAGAAAACAGTGTAGGAATTGTCTTGATTAAATTGGGGAAACAATTAAGGAAATAAGTGATGAAAAGATGTAAGGTCAAATAGATTTGTTAAAAGGTCTGTTAGACTGTTTGAACATTATTGACATACTTCACAAAGTAAAACACTATTTCAAGTAACTAAATTTCAAGTAGGAAAGCCTGTATATGGGGTAAGATTTTTGTGATAACCATTAACTTTTACTATTGTTTCTATTTTATCTTCCATGTTAAGCTATATTGGAAAACATAAAAGCCCAGAAAATATAAAACCTTAGAAAAATAATTTATAATTTCATCATTTTAATCAAAATAAACATTTTGGTTCATTTCCCCCATAGGACTAATTTATTAATTCAGTTGTTTAAAAATATTTATTATAATTGATATTATAATGCACTTATACCTTGGTATCTTCTTTCTGTTTTAACTGAACATTATAATACAGGCATGTTCCCACGTGGCTGAATGTTGTAGGTGGCAATTAATCGTTCAATGGATTCGTATCACCAGACCACTTTCTCCTTACTTTGTCTTGCTTCATACACTTCAGTCATACCAATAGACTTGTATGTTTCTGAAGATTTCAAGTTCTTATGTACACGTTATGTACATGTCTATAATTTTTCTTTTTCTGTCCCATTAATCAAATTATTTCCCACCTCTAACTTTCCACCCCATTTACTTATCATTTATTTAGTGTGGACTTAAGCACCAGCTCCTCTAAGAATTATCTCATCACTAAGGCCGGCGTACTAAGCATCAACAAAGGAGAGACTAGTCAATTTTGTTAGAGGAGTTTTGAATGAAATGGAGTGATACATGAATAAATTGAGATATGGGGGAAGATTTTAGGTAGAGATACCAAATAGATGGAGAATGTATGAATCATTAGCTTGAAAGAGTTTTTTTTTTTCATCATATAACAGAAATGGAATACATGGGGTCACACAGGCCACAATATTAGAGTGTGAAATACAAAAAAAGAAGAGAAAAATAGAGAAAAAAATGATAGAGTTTTGGGAGATATTAACATACAGGAAGCTGATCAAAAGAAGAAAACCCCAAAAAGGAGACTGAAAGAAATGGAAGGAGGGTTAGACTACTAGGATCTTGTGGTATAATGAAAAGCACTGGAGCATGGTTTTCATAAGGGAGTGATCCATAAAGCCAAATGTCACAGACAAGTCAAGTAAAAGGTATTTAGTGATGTACTAATTATATTTATTTTTATTTTTTGAGAGTGATGAAGGAGTAAGAAAGATGATAGCAATCTGAAGGGCAAATGTGTGGTATTAAAGATTCATCATGTACTCTGATATCTCTTTAATTCAGATTTCTCAAATATAAATAGTAACAGTTTGGGAAATTACCATGTGCTAATTTGTACTAAGAAAATCTTTGTCATAATTCATCAACTCAGCGTAAGAGCTCTAATAAATTAGTTATAAAATAAATATACATTTTCCAATTTACAGAGGTGGAAACCAATAGAGTCACGAAAAGTCTAAGAACCTTGTAAGGAAAACCCTGTAATACAAAGGTAACATGTTTGAGAAACAATCAAATTTTCTTACCACAATTGACTAAGCATGCAGGTGTGGTACATCCCTTGCTGGACTTTTCCCTAATTATTCCATATTTGTGATGCTATTTTAAATGCTATTGTGGTTTTCATTTAATTTTTAATTATTTGATTCCAGCATATAGGAACAAAATTGATTTTATATATTGATATTGCATCTGGAAACCTTGCTAAACAAACAATTTTGGTAGCTTTTCATTGTTATTGTTCTATTAGATTTTATACGCACACATGTCATCTCAGTAACGACTCCTTCCTTTCCAAGCTGGATTTATTTTATTTCTTTTTCTTGCCTGATTATAATGCCTATAAACTCTAATAAAATGTTTAATAAAAGTGGTGAGAATAAACACCCTTATCTTGTTCCTGATTTTAGGAGGAATGTTTCAAATCTTATGAATAAAATTAACTATGATGCTAGCTATAGGTTTCTCATAAATGCTCATTACTGGGTTAAGGGCATTCCCTTCTATTCCTCATTTGTTGAGAATTTTTATCAGGCACAGGTGTTGAAATTTGTCAAATGCTTTCTTTGTCTTCTGGTTTTAGTGGTGAAAAACTCAGGTTTCAGTTACTCATACCAAAGGATAATCTGGATGGGCCTTTCTTCAGCAGGGGCTGTGAAAACAGGACCTTTGGATGTCATGCCATTAGCAGTAGGTATACCAATTATTGCTTATGCACATGTGATTTTATAAAATATCTCTGATGAAAGACTGATACCAAATTGTCAGTCTCCCCACAACTTTATCATATATTTATTTTACCTTTTTAGGACATACCAGAGATGGTTCTTTCTTTCTTGTGGTACTTCAGAATGTTCTTATTTATTAAAGGCAGCCACTCTGCTTTAAGGGTTAGAAAGGATATTAGGAAATATATATTAGAAAGGAAACAGCATATCCCTATTTCATGCTGTGCCTCAGCAATTGAGTTCTCAAGGATCCTGCCTTTTCCTTATGGAGTCAGTGTACCAGGATATTTTCAGTAGAATTATTAAATAACCAAAAAGCCTCAGAACTCTGAGTGCAAAGTAAAGAGATCAAAAGTCTTTGTTGCCACTTCTTTGCTCTGTAATCCTAGAAAAATCATTTAAGCTCTTTCTGCCTCAATATTTGGATTTGTAAGATGAACTGGATTGAATATTTTAACAGGTCATTCCAAGTTCCTAAATTCTGTGATCTCTACTTTTGTTAATTTTGGGAGCACCTCTGGGAACCATCCCTTCTTAAAAATTATTTGCTATATAAAATTAGCAAATCCTAAAAGTAGTCCTCAAACAAAGGTAATGAAGCATATATATGTATGTGAGATTCTGAAGCTTGGTATCTGAGGATAGCCTTTAAAAGCTGGTCTGATTTTTATGACCTATTAGTATCAACAATTCATTATATTAGAAGTGTCTCTAACAGGATTTGTGTCTGTATTTGCATCTTTGGCTGTTTGACTTCTTGGTCTTTGTATCAAAGCAATTATGTTTTAGACTGAAATGTTGTATATGACACTTTGTGCTCTTAGGATAGATTAGAAATGGAGTGGAAATTTTTGTTTGAGAAAGAGAAACCTAAATACCAATTGCAGATATAAAAAAAAAGGTTGTTAATTTAGCATTTTACCTATAAGGGAGGACTTAGGGAGGGAGATAGGAGCCTAGAAAAATACATATTTTCAGATACCTGAATTAACCTTTTCCCCCTTCTAAGTCAGCTTGCATGCAAGAAGGAAGAAAGTAAGAATTTTGTCTCCAATACACAATTTCCGAATGTAAGACTTATTATAGTTTACTTACTTTAAAATGGATTAAGACGTGGGATGGGGAAATTATTTGAAAGGGGTAGGACTGCAGTGAGGAAGAACTTCAGGCATTATTTTTCTCTGGCGTTTGTATGTCATCAGTCTCTAGAAGAATAAGTGGACATTTTTATTTTGAATTTCTTTTAGCCCAATAATTCCTATTCACTCTGCTCTTGAGGAAGCTGCCCCTACTTGTATTCTGAAATTAATCCAAAACCAGACAATTTAGGTTTAGACATAGAACCTTATGCAAATTGATCCACTAGAGTAACTAATGACCTATTGAGAAGAGGTAGTGTATTTTTGGTTTGTTTTTGTAGCTCTATAACACTGATTTATAAATTATCTGAACTATTTTGTCTTTGCATTTATACTATTTGCTCTCTTTGTACAGGAGTAGGAACCTGAATGCAGAAGAATTTTTGAAGGTTTTAGCAATGTCACTTAGAAAAGCTACAGTACTTGAACTTCAAAATTCTCATACTCTGATGTTTTACTGTTACCTAATGCAAGCAAATTGTTAAAGTGAAAAGGATTTGGTCTTTCAAATTTGGCAACCAATATTTAAATTCTGACTCCACTACTTAGCTTGTATGAAATTAGTATGTCATTTAACCTCTCAGATCCTGAATTTCTGAAATGCACACATGCGGCAATAATAGCTTCTTATAAGCCATTGAGTGAATTATGTGAAAAATGCATGTAAATTAGCCAAAAGTCTCTGGCAAGCCATTGGAAATTTTCAAATATTTATTCCCTTCCCTTTGCTTTTGGTCTTAATCATTTCTAGGTCTTTTTAACAGCATTTTTTTGTTCCTAATATGGTAAATAGTAATTAACATGGAAGGCTTAGAAGACAACTGAGCAGGTAAACTTTTAAATGTTATTATTATTTTTTTCTATTTAAAGAAGACACAATTTGGGGTTCAAATACATTCAGTAGACTTGACGTTTTAAAACCTCCACCATTTATATATTCTTCTCTGAATACAAGTAGATTTTTTTAAAGTCAAGCTTCTAAAGCACCTTTACATAAATTGATTTGTTTATGGTTCTACCAACTGGGATTTGAAGAAAATTCTCCTGGCACTAGCCAAACTTCAAAGGTTTAGTATTCAACACTGCCATCACTTCTGACAACAACTCTAAGTTTGAGGGTTCTCAAACCATCAGCAGGTTCAATAATTCACTAGAAATACTCACAGAGCTCATTGAAAGCTAGTATATACACGGTTATTGTTTATTATAGGACAGGTTACAGGTTAAAATTAGCCAAAAGAAGAGATGCAGAGAGCCGGGTCTTAGAGGGTTCCAAAGGCAGAGTTTCTGCTGTCCTCTTCCTTGGAGTCAGGATGCCTTACCCTCCCAGCATTGATGTGTAACTATACACATGAGCATGATCTATCAGGGAAGTTCACCCAAGGCTTGGTGTCTAGAGATTTATTAGAGCTCTATTACATGGGCATGATTGATTGATTGGCTTCCCACATGATTGATATCAGCTTCTAGGTTAACTGATTCAACATGTCCCAATGTCCTCACCCTAAATCATGTGGTTGGTATTTCTGGCATAGCCCACTCCATCCTATGATTATCACATCTGGCTGGCTTCACCCTAAGATCCTGAGTGGTTAGCCTCTGACCTAAACAAATGCAATCCTATCAGATATAAAATACATTACTTCCCAAAATGTGAGGGCAAAGACCAGACAACGGAAAAATGGCCAAATTTTTCACTTCCTAAATCTAAATTTTTTTTCTTTCTTTTTCTCTTCTCTAGAAAGCAGTCTATTAGTTGCTTCACTCATTATATGTGGTAGGATTAAATCATAATTATTTTTATAGAACCCTTAAAATTCCATAGTACATTAACACCCTCTTAGTATTGGGAAAATCTTTTAATATATTTTATCCATTTTTCCATTGTTTTCCATACCACCTTAAACATTTGGGGTTCCTTATATTGGATTGCAATGGCAGAAATCAGTACAACCAGAATGAATGGATTTAAGTGTCAGTGGGGTGGTAGAATCTCAAGACGACTTCAGAGTTTCAAGAGAGTGATTTGGCAGACTGTTGATAAGAAGAAATCAGAGATTGCAGAGGTATTAGGAAGACCACCCAAACTGGTGTTATTCAAACAGTAAGTCATGACCCTTGGATATTGATTAAATTATTCCTTATTGTGGGTTATAGACAGAAATACTGCTCACCTTGCTCTGACAGCAAGTCAACTCAGTAAACCAAGAGAATGAACTTCCAACTTTTCCTGGTCTATGAGCTCCTATGAGTAGCACTTTTGACAAGGTAATAGAATATTAGCATATATGTGTGAATATTAGCCAGGAGGAAGGAAGGAAGGAATAGGAAGCAAGGAGGTATGAAGTTCTATAGTTCAATTATCAACTTGATCTAATTAGATTCATTAAGTGTAGCAGTTGTTCTGCAATACCTGGAAATTCTATGCACATATTTCTATTTAAACGCGTCCTGTTTTTGGTTTTTGCTTCTACTTTACTAGTTTCCAACCAGGACCTCTGTCCAAGTACCAAGGAACATCATCACTACTGGTTCCTGCCCCAGTCTCAAAGATGCTTAATTACATGTCCAGTCTAGTCTTGTATTTCCTTCTTCTTGTCTCTATAACATGGAGTATGGCTTTGTGTCCCAGCATACATTCTTTAGAGCCTGAAAGCCTTTCTTGCTGATAACCTTACGTTTGATGTTCCTCTAAAAGTTTCTAAACAACACTGTGCTTCACTGGTCAAAATTATGACAAGAGCCAATGTTTACTTTCTAAGAGATCTTTTTACCATCATATAGTGTTATTTTGCAGGTTTATTACCTGTATTACCAGTTTTTGCTTTGTGTTGTTTTGAGTTTATTACCAAGATAGAAGCATAAAACAAAACATCTTTTTTGAAAAAAGGGTAACAATCTTGTTTTTTTCAGGTTAACCATAATTATTTCCAAAATAGTATTTGAAATGTAACATATTGATATGTTTTTATTGTCAACTGTACTCAAATTATTTGGTCCTCAATATCCTCTTTGAAGAAGACGAAGAAAAAAAACACTCGTTATTTTCAACATTACTAAATAAGCTGATGACAACAACAGAGAATATATTTCTGCCTGTTTGGGTAAAATACTATACATATTTATATTATAACATGCTTGCATCATTTTTATTATAAAGCAAACTGATAGGAAAAAGGAACTATAGATTTAGACTAACAGCAGACTTCTACAGTCATGTTTCAAGGCTTCTGGGCCATGTGTGTTTCCAGTATTAAGTTTCGACTTCTGAAAATTCAAGATGGCTAACACACTGTATGTTATCTATCACTGCCAACAGGGTTGGAAATAGACTTAGCTGAGCTCATAATATCTTGACAGTAAAAAAAAAAAGATTATTTTCACAAACTGATATACCTAAAAAACATACATAGCCTCACATTGGTTTAGGTCAAGTTTTAACTTCAAATATGTTTATCAGAAATTTATAAAACATGTTTGTTTTAAATATATAATTTTTCTGAGACATAGAATCAACCCAGATGCCCCAAAATGGTGAACTAGATAATGTGGTGCATTTATACACCATGGAAAATGTGGTGGATACACACTATGGAACTCCACACTGCCATAAAAATAGTAAAATCGGCCGGGTGCGTTGGCTCATGCCTGTAATCCCTGCTCTTTGGAAGGCTGAGGTGGGCGGATCATTTGAGGTCAGCAGGTCCAGAACAGCCTGGCCAACATGACAAAACCCTATCTCTACTAAAACTACAAAAATTAGC
Source organism: Homo sapiens (assembly GCF_000001405.40). Taxonomy (NCBI): domain Eukaryota; kingdom Metazoa; phylum Chordata; class Mammalia; order Primates; family Hominidae; genus Homo; species Homo sapiens. The sequence continues at coordinate 144,727,443 of NC_000003.12, forward strand.
TGGATGTGGTGGTGCATGCCTGTAATCCATGCTACTAGGGAGGCTGAGGCAGGAGAATCTCTTGAACTCGGGAGGCGGAGGTTGCACTGAGCCAAGATCACACCACTGCTCTCCAGCTTGGGCGACAAAGAGAGACTCCACCTCAATAATAATAATAATAATAATAATAATAATAATAATAATAATATAATCTCCTTAGCAGCAACAGGAATGCAGCTGGAGGCCATTAACCTAATGAACAAATGTAGGAGCAGAAAACCAAATACCGTAAGTTCTCTACGTTCTCACTTATAAGTAGAAGCTAAACATTGAGTACACATGCACATAAAGATGGGAACAATAGATAACGGGAACTACTAGAGGGGGAAGGGTGGATGTGGGATGAGGATTGAAAAACTACCTACTGGATATTATGTTCACTAGCTGCATGACAGGATCATTTGAACACCAAACCTTAGTGACATGCAATTTATCAATGTAAAAAACCTGCACATGTCTTTCCTGAAACAAAAATAAAAGTTGAAAAAAATAAAAAGATATAATTTTGGAATAGAAGATAATAGATTTTATGCCTACCATCAGGATTATTTTTTTTATTTTTGACAATATTATTTTCATACTAATTCCTGATTATACTAGAGAATTTCACAATTATGTTTTGCTTGTTTGTTATCACAACAAATCACTTCAACAAACTTGGAAATTTTGACAAAAATTAAAGAAATTCATTTGTTGTAATTCATGTCAGGGGTGCTAGGAACACAGCCATTATAAGAAATACAATTGAAAATGAAAATATTTATATAATAAAGGTCCTATTTTATTTTTATTGTAAGTCAAATATTTTGTTATAGTTTTAAACAGTTCTTTAAAATGAAAGTATTATACATTCATGTTAATGTTAGATTTGGTATGTTATCATTCTTTCTCAATTTTTACAGTATGCGGCACTAGTTGACCAAAGAGTCAAAATTTTAAGCATTGACTTTGTCTATTTTGTTAAAACAATACCAGATGTCTTTAGAGGGTATTTCTATATTAATTTTATGTAAAATAATTATACAATTGACTATCCCTTTGATATTGAGAGTATTTTTTATAGAACTCTAATACAAAACATTTCATAATTTTGCAGAACCAGTTTTAACTGCTTTGCAGTTGTTATAGAACACCAAAGATGAGTTTGACTTAGTTTTTACCTATGAATAAGATAAAATGACACCTATGTGGTAACAGGTTCCCATTATTGTGTAGGATGTAGGTGAACCTATATTACTACTGAGACAGAAGATAAGATATCTGGTTCAATGACACACAGCAAGAAAAATTTCTGCAAACCACTTGACTAAAACTAAAATTGTTAAGAATTACAAGCAAGAAATAACTTAAAAACTAATAAATATTTCAGTGCAAGGTAATACACAAAAAGAATAAGACAGTTAAGAAAGAGGTGATAAGGGATACATGGAAACACCCCCAGAAATATATCTTTTGACCAAGAGCGAAATGCAGATGTTGTCTAGTTGGCCGTTCTTGATAAGTTGGCATCATCTGAGATAAACCTTTCTATGATAATGTTTAACACAAATGTTTTGTCATATGAAGACATAGTATATTTTAATGGTTATATTTCAATGAATATCTGTTAACAATGTAATTAATATTTACTAGTTAGAATGGTGCTATATATTAAATTACTGATTTTAATCTATGAAAATTTTCATCATTAATCTGATGTCTGCAATGTTTTATTTTAAGGCTTCAATGAACCAAGATCATGTTATAATTTAATCCTAAATATGACATCTACAATTTCTTAAACATTTATGACTAAATGAGATAATGTATGCAAAATGCCTGGTGCCCAAAAAGGGTTGAATAATTGTGATTTCTTTTTTTACACTAAAGATTATTTTCCCTAAGGATTTAAGATATGATCCTTAGTATGAATAAACATACACATAACTATTAAGCAACTTATAAAATATTAACCGCCTTAACAAAAGAAAGCTTTCTTTGCCTAAATAAGAACAGCCAGAAGGAACTTTGTATATTGACAAACACAAGTTACTATTTTAAAAGCTTTCATACATATGTTTAACATTTTTATGATTGAGATTACATTTTGCAGAAAAATTATTGGCAGATAATGTGAAGATTTTCACTTCTCAAAAGCTAAAAAGTAAAGAATTTTACTTTTCCTATATGAAGATGTAGAAAATGCTGTAGATTCTTGGGTTTGGTGAGAATTAAAACATTTTAGACAAATTATGGTGATATTTATTGATGTTAGAAAGGTGATGATTTATAACCCCTTATAAAAAATCTCTTTCTATGTATGTGTACACATTCTGTTGTTTCTGTTTCTCTACAGAACTTTCATCAGTACAGTTATTGACGTAGTTAAGTTGGTATTTTTCTGGAAGGGGTGGAGAGAAGATAAAGTGATCCAGAGGACATTATTTAGTTGAGTCCTTCAGGAAAGTAGAGTAAGCCTATTTCTTAGAGAAGCCTATATCTTCACCACAAGGAAGGTGAAGACTTCTTTCTTTTTTTTTTAACACTTGGATATTTATTTTATGATTTAATTTGTAATTCAATACAATTTAATGTATTTTTTGGTCAAATTAATCCAGGTTCGGTCATTAGCATATTTTTTACTTAGCTTCGTTGTCTCTCTTTTTTATTTTATTTTATCATTATTATACTTTAAGTTTTAGGGTACATGTGCACAATGTGCAGATTAGTTACATATGTATACATCTGCCATGCTGGTGTGCTGCACCCATTAACTCGTCATTTAGCATTAGGTATATCTCCTAATGCTATCCTTCCCCCATCCCCCGACCCCAAACAGTCCCCAGAGTGTGATGTTCTGGAAGATGAAGATTTCTAAAGAGAGCTGGCATTTTTAGAAACCATAGATATAATTTTGGTCATATAAATTTTGTTTTTTTCCCCGATTAAATATATTCCGGAAATATATTTATTCTGCATCAAGAAAAATTTATTTGCATCAAATAGATTAAATTTATTAAAGGTTTTCTATGGCCCTATAAGATTAAATTTTAAAAGAGAATTATGTAACTATGGACAGAGTATCGTTTACATATATTACTTTTTTGAAACATCAGAATATTTGTGTGTCTCTTGAGAGGAGATATATCCTAGTTGTCTTCAGAGTGGAATGGCATTTACTTTCCTTTATTGAACAAATAAATATATCAGATTTTATGCTATAATATGTGTGTGTGTGTTGGTGGGGGCATATTTATATTTTCCCATGCTTTCAAGAGTTGAGGGTTAGGTATGAAAAAAGATAATTAGAGCATAGCTACAGTGATGGCTATGTTTATGAGTCAACTTGACTGGGCCAGGAGGTCCCAGATACTTGGTCAAACATTATTACGGATGTTTCTGTTGTGAGGGTGTTTTCAGATGAAACTGACGTTTGACTTGGTAGATTGAGTAAAGCATATTTTTCTTCCTAATGTGTGTTATCCTCAATTAATCTGTTGATGGCCTGAAAGAACAAAAAGGGTGATGCTCCTGCAAATAAAAGGTAATTTCTCCTGCCTGGCTGCTTGAGCTGGAACACCAGTCTTTTGCTGCCTGTGAATTCAAACTGAAACATGAGCTTTTCCCGTTTCTTCTGGCTTTCAGACTGGAGCTTACACTACTTACTCTCCTGGGTCTCCAGCTTGTCACATACAGATCTTGAGACTTCTAAGTCTTCATAATCGCATGAGCCAATCTCTTTCTATATATATGTGTACACATCCTATTAGTTCTGTTTCTCTACAGAACTTTGACGAATACAGTTATTGATACAGTTAAGTTGGTATTTTTTGGGGGCGGGGGAGTGGGGGACAAGATAGAGAAAGTGATCCAGAAGAAATTATTTAGTTGATTCCTTCGGGAAAGTAGAGTAAACCTATTTTTCAGATAAGAGGAGGCTACTCTAGAAAGAACAAGTGGTGAAGTTGAGATATAAAGGAGATGATAAAATTAGTGATCCAAGGAAAGGTGCATATCAAAACCAGAGTATGTTATGCGAAAGAGTTTGGCTTTATTCTGAAAGTCATGGAGGTCATTGAATGGTTGTAAGCAGGAAAGTGGTTTGTGTTTTCATTTTAGGAAGATGGCTTAGGCCATTGTGCAAGAATCAGTCAGTAAAGGGCTATGATCCCCCTGGAGCGGTGGTTCTTGCCTGTAATCCCGGCACTGTGGGAGGCCAAGGCGGATGAATCACTTGAGCTCAGGGGTTCAAGGCCACCCTGGCCAACATGGTGAAACCCCGTCTCTACCAAAAATACAAAAATTAGCCAGGTGTGGTGGCAGATGCCTGTAATCCTAGCTACTTGGGAGGCTGAGGCAGGAGAATTGCTTGAATATGGTGTGCAGAGGTTGCAGTGAGCCGAAATTGCACCATTGCACTCCAGCCTGGGCGGCAGAGCCAGACCCCATCTCAAAAAAATAAAATAAATAAATAAATAAAAAATAAGAAAGGGTCATGATTGAAATCGAGGGAACAACTTAGGGGAGTGCTGAAGAAATTCAGACACATGAGTGCTGGAACATAGTTGTTTACTGAAGGGATGGAGAGAAAGTGCAACATACAAGAGATACAAGGGAGGGAGAATAAACAGGTCACTTAGAAAGATTAAATATGCAGATCAAAAGAGAGGAATGATAAAAGATCTCTCCCATATTCTTGGCTTGGGAGTGGTTGGTGATGACATTCCTTGAGATATTGATAATATAGGCTGAGCATGGTGGCTCACGCCTGTAATCCCAGCATTTGAGTAGTCTGAGGTGGGAGGATCACTTGAGCCCAGGAGTTCGAGATCAGCTGGGCAATGTGATGAAACCCTATCTCTACAAAAAATACAAAATACTAATTGCCCCACTGCACTTCAGCCTGGGTGACAGAGTGAGATCTGTCTCAATCAATCAATCAATCAATAAGAATAAAGTGATTTTGAAGAAATATAAAGTGAAATTGAGTTTAGCACAAAATACGTTAAATTTGAAATGCCCGCAGGACTGTGCAGAGGTGATGTCTAGTATATTGTGATAAACTTGACAGCAGGCCATAAACTCAAATTTACCTTTCAGTGTCCTCAGAAGCAGTCAATCCCTTTCATAATAACATGATCATAAACATATGCTTGTTCAAATGTTTTAATATGAAGAATTCAGGTGGTTAAGCACTGATGCTTCCTTTGTATCTATGAATATGTATGTTTGTGTATGTGTATGTATATACACCTACACACATTCTGTAAGAGAAAGAGTACATTTTCTAATCCTTAGTTCAGATTCAATCATTGAAGAGGCTATGTATTTGCATAATGAGATGTAAAAATAACCAACTTATAATTATAATAATTTAAATAGAAGACTGGCACAAGAGATTCTTTCAGAAATGATTTCTCCAAATAGTTATCTTACTTGGATGAATTTCTGGGGGAAAATACTTGAAAAAATTAACTTCACCTTCATTTCTCTATTGAGCTAAAATGAACATATTCAACCAAAAATAATAGTTCAGGTGTAAACTTTTATGTAGCATTTAAGCTTAGAAAGTGTATCTATTTTCCTCATTATGCAGTTATTTTTTTCATGTGGACTGTGGTACCTGATATAAAAGTCCCATATTTAGGTTGACGTCCTCAAACTATTTTGATGGCTTATATCTCCATCAAAATAATTGAAGACTTCAACACTAAGTTGCAACTCCACAAACAATATAGAATTAACTACAGAACATGTGCATTCATATACACACTAGCTGATCTGGGATATCTTCTTTGGTCTAAGGCAAAAGATCAAGGGATGCCTTTAAATAATGTTGTGTAGAGCTTCTTTAAGCCTTACTGTCTTTCCACCATTTGAAGGGAAACATCCTGCTGGCATCATTTTCTTTCACCATCTCTCTCTCTCTTCTCTCAAACCTGAAAGCAGCAGTATTCTGCAGAAAGCAGATTCGAACAGAATGGGACTTTCAATGGTAACTCTTAAATAAAAAGAAAGTTTTTTTAATCAGTGTGCAATGTTCATTCATTTGAAAGTATATATTAAGTCCCTACCAAATGTCAAATTTTTTAGATTACAATATATAGAGCAGTGATGAAAACAGATATTATTTCTGCTGTTAAGCCGCTAAAACATTAGTGGGGAATGTAAGCACTAATCAAGGAAAAAAAAGTCATCCTAGCACAAATCATCATGCTTTATTTTTTCCCTTTGTCAATGTCTAACCTTCTCAGGGTTAACTTCTGATATCAAGGAAGTGGCCTTTCATTTCTGGGAAATCGTGGGTCTGGGAGAAGACATACTTCCATAAATTCTTGTTGCTGCAGCTATTTTGGAAATGCATTATTTGTTTTAAAGTGATTTGTTTGGAATAAAGTGGTTAAAAGATAATACAAATCAAAAGAATCAGTGTATAAAAATATTTGCAATTATTTTATGCTGTAAGTGTGTTGTTTAATTTTTATAGGGAATTGTGTTAACTTTGTGCACTATAATCTATTTTATAAATTTTAATATTTTTACGAATTTTCTGTACTTCAACATGAGTTATCATTTATTTTCATTATGTCTGTATTTATTTACTAATATTTAATACATTTTAAATATTTTTATCTGACAAAAAGAATATTTTCTGAATTCAACTCTGCAGAAATATAACTGGTGGAAAATTTGTAATTTATAAAAATGTGAATGTAGCCAATCTATTTTTTAAATAAGCAAATCCCTCTTAGGATTAATATAAATAATCTTCCCCAAGCCAAAAATAAAAAAAAAAAATTCTTCTGCAAAGGATTTAAAAATTTATACAGTTTCGTGTTTACAAAAAACTGAATAAAAAACGTTACAAATTCTAATAGAAACAAAAAAATGCTGGCATTTGTTCTTCAGGTCACCCACTTGAACCTCTTCCAAGTGCACTTTCCTTTCTTTCCTGCCCTAAAACATTGTAATTAACTTCCATTCCGGCTGTGATTAAAACAATGCCAAAATACTGAAACGATCATTTAAACATTGAAAAATTACCAATGGACCTGCCAATAGACAACTGTTTGATTTATTGCAAAAAATAAAAATAAAATCTAAGTATATTGAACCTCTTCCTCCCATAAGCCATTCTCATCTTCGGCTTGCTGTCAAAATATGCTGAGTATATAATTGTTGCTTTTACTAGTATCCCTTACTTAATCAACTCATAGGGCAACAACTTACAGGAAAGTAATATATTTTTCTTAAAGTCTTAATATTATTTAGTCCCATTTTGTCTATAACAAATTCCTCAAATTCTATAACATATGTGAGATTGTAATCTTTCATATTCCTAATTTAGATTTTTTTTTCCATATTTGTGTTTTCTGTTAGCTCTCACCTTAGCTTTAGTTGGTAGTGATTGGGGATGGGATTGGCAAGGGATCGGAAGAAAGTCTGTGCTCACACAGCTCTTCTTTCCTCGAATTCTTGTTTATATTCTCATTGGAGAGTATTATATCAAACTGAAGAGCCAACTATATGCAAAAGGCAAATCAGAGAGATTTTGAGAAAGTCAGTTCAAATTTGATTCTTTAGCTGTCATGTTTTCTAGAAAGCTTTTCCTAAAGTTTACTGCTGGGGTAAGTATCCTTTATCAGTTTGCACTCAATACTGTTTGTATCTATGTATCTGTTGCATAAACATATATGTGTACATGCATCTAAATACATAGAACACACATACTACCTTGCATTATAATTATCCCTCCTTAAACTATGAGCACTTTTGAGGTACAGATTGTACTTAACAATAATAAAATCATCAAGACCTAAAATAATACTTGAACATAGGGTAATTTTCATGTATATTAGTTGAACTAAGTTGAATTTCATTTATACAAATATGGTAATTTCAAGTATCCCCTATCAGTATCACTTATTCATAAAGCATCTAAATTTATTTCCCATTTATGTAGGAGTCCATGTTTTTTCTGCTTGTTTTAATGTGATTATAGTCAACAAGAGGAAACATTAAGTATGAAGTATAACTTGTATTTGCCACAATGTGTTCATAAGGGGAACCAGTATACTATTCTTTAGCATCAGCGTTCAGTTTTGTTATGATTAACTATGTTTGCCTACCATTGATTACATATGATAATTTTCTATATTTGACACTTGTTTTATAATTATAATTTAATTATATTAACTGTCATTAATAGCCTTTATAGAATAATCTCTGACTTCAAAGATTAGTTTGAATGTTATTTTAGAAATACTCCATGTTGATGACTAATGTGTACTAGTTGATACGTAAAACTAATTACATAATTATATTTCTAAATCTTGAAGTCATGCTAAAATTATAATGGCACTAGCTAGAAATGGCTAATTGGGTTATTTTCACATATTATTGAATAATAAGATGAAAGGAAAGTTTTCATTTGGTTTAGTGTATTGTAATCAAGCTTAAATTTAATGACACCATCAAAATAAAGTTGAATTTTTTCATTTTCTAATTTAATACAAAAACCCACCTTAAAATATCTGTGAAAGAAGCTATGACATTTGTGATAAGAACGTTCACTATCTACTAGAATATGGGTACAAGCAGACTGTAAACATCTGCTAAATTGTCTGAAACATTAATGCAGAGGGCATAGATAACTTGGATTCAAATTGGAATAAAGTATAATGTATAAAGATAAGGTCCATCCAAATGACATAAATGATTAAAAAGGACCTTTCTTGTTGCTTAGAGAACTTTGGTGGTAAATAAGTAAGTAAATTTTGATTGCTATAATCAACGTCTTTCCCTTCGCTGATATGTTTTCTCCTATTTGTAATAACAGATATATTTACAAAAGCCACCTCAAATATTCCTTGACCAGTCACTGTTTAAAAGGGCTTCTGGTAGTGATTGGGTAATAAAGAACTTAGAATCTCTATGAAAATCCAAGCACACATAAAAATATAAATGGCAATAAGTACTTAAGAGTGATAGGAATAATGGCTTAGTCAGATTAACAACAACGTTAGACAACTTTGTTGAGGCCATAACAATCTCTTGCTATGATATGTATAGACTTTATTACACAAATTAAATAATAAAAATAATATTGTACACCATTATTTAGTACCATGACACTGTATAGTACTATGCTAAACACTACTCCATGAGGTGGCTCCTATTATTTTAATTTTACTACTATGAAAATCAAGTAACTTGTATATGAGATACATGGCTGATAAGTTTTAGAGTTGAATTTGAAATTAAGATTCTCAATTTTAATTCACTGACTCTAAATTTTAAGGTCTTTCACTTGTACCATGCTGACTCCCAATATCACCTTAAACTCAATTTGTCTTATTCAAACAATGTAGTTTCGTTTGGGAAATAATAATACAAGCTTTCAGGAATAAAAGCTTGTGACAAAAGAGAAAAAAAAATGAGAGTTTAGGGTGAAGATCTCAAGTTTCCAGGCATACTGTCACAGCTACTGCTTAGATGACCTATTTTTCACTGAATACCAGTCAGCTTTGGACAGAATGGAATCAGCTTAGAATTGTATTTGGCCTGTAACAAAAAGGCCAGAAATAACTGTGGATTAAATATGATAGAGGTTTACTTATTTCTTTCATACAGAAAAAAATAGAAATATGCATCCCATAGATATTTTGATTGTTATGTAATGACATCAGTCAAGGATGTAGATTGCTTCTGTTTTTTACATTTTACCATTCTTTGTGTGGGTCTTTCATCTTTAGGATCACCTCCAGCTCCAAAATGGCTGATAGAACTCCAGTCATCATATCTGTGTTTCAGAAAAGAAGCAGGAATTGCGGAGCAGGTGTAAGCCAGATCTCTGCTCGCTTCGAAATGAGCTTTCTTCAAATCCTACGTATCAACTTTCACTTGTTTTTGATTAGCCACCTCTGGTTGCATGGGAGATTAAAAAATGTAGTTATTTAGCTACGCAAATTTCTAACTAGAGTGGAATCTGGGTTTTGTTACTAAGGAAGAAGTGAGAGATAATGTACTAGATAGCTATCTGGGCCAAGCCAATGAACATATTCCAGACATGCATTACACATGCAATTTCAGAATCTTGGCTCTCTTATTAAGGTTAATTGAGACTTTATGAAATCTCCATTGGGAGGGTCTCTAACTGAGTGATCTAGGAATTTACGCAGTCGAATCAGGTGAAAAATTCAGTTAAACTCTTATGATGTGCTCTACGTCACAAAGCTGCCTATCTACTTACATTTTCTTCTCAATCTATCAAAAGAAATTAACTTCATCCACAAGGTAAGATCAAACTATATTATGTATGCAATTTAATATTCTAAACTTTCCATCCATCTAGATGCCATGTTTATGATAAATTATCAAAATCATGCTTATATTTTCAAGGTCCACTTTTTATTTCCATAATTTACATTTATAAATATGTATTACATAATAGTAACATGTCCTCGTGATGTTCAGATATCATGCCCACAGGAAACATTTCAAATGACACAATTTCTAATATGGAGAAAAATTCTGACAAGTTTACAGTCACTTCTGTTTATTTTTTTTCTTTTATCTAAATGAAATGAAATCCTTAGTAAGAAAAAAATATGTTACAGAGAAGTAGTATAGGACTGTAGAAAAACCATGGACTTTGAACTTAAATAATTTTTTTTTTTTTTTGAGATAGAGTCTCTCTCTGTAACCAGGCTGGAGTGCAGTGCCGTGATCTTGGCTCACTGCAACCTGCGCCTCCCATGTTCAAGCAATTCTCCTGCCTAAGCCTCCAGAGTAGCTGGGAGTACCGGTGCGTGCCACCACACCCAGCTAGTTTTTGTATTTTTTAGTAGAGACGGGGTTTTACCATGTTTGCCAGGATGGTCTTGATCTCTTGACCTCTTGATCTGCTCCCTTGGCCTCCCAAACTGCTGTGAAAACTTAAATAAATTTCAGTGTAAATCCCTTCTCAAACTATTATTTACTTTCTATGTGAGTTTGCAGAAATTGTGTAAACTCCGTCAGTGTCATTTTTTACTGTAATCTTTAATTGCAAAATTGTGATCTCATTGTGTAAATATAAACTTGTTACATAAAAAGAGATATCTTTTTTTATTTTATTATTATTATACTTTAAGTTTTAGGGTACATGTGCACAATGTGCAGGTTAGTTACATATGTATACATGTGACATGCTGGTGTGCTGCACCCATTAACTCGTCATTTAGCATTAGGTATATCTCCTAATGCTATCCCTCCCCCTTCCCCCCACCCCACAACAGTCCCCAGAGTGTGACGTTCCCTTTCCTGTGTCCATGTGTTCTCATTGTTCAATTCCCACCTATGAGTGAGAACATGTGGTGTTTGGTTTTTTGTCCTTGTGATAGTTTACTGAGAATGATGATTTCCAATTTCATCCACGTCCCTACAAAGGACATGAACTCATCATTTTTTATGGCTGCATAGTATTCCATGGTGTATATGTGCCATATTTTCTTAATCCAGTCTATCATTGTTGGACATCTGGGTTGGTTCCAAGTCTTTGCTATTGTGAATAGTGCCGCAATAAACATACGTGTGCATGTGTCTTTATAGCAGCATGATTTATAGTCCTTTGGGTATATACCCAGTAATGGGATGGCTGGGTCAAATGGTATTTCTAGTTCTAGATCCCTGAGGAATCACCACACTGACTTCCACAATGGTTGAACTAGTTTACAGTCCCACCAACAGTGTAAAACTGTTCCTATTTCTCCACATCCTCTCCAGCACCTGTTGTTTCCTGACTTTTTAATGATTGCCATTCTAACTGGTGTGAGATGGTATCTCATTGTGGTTTTGATTTGCATTTCTCTGATGGCCAGTGATGGTGAGCATTTTTTCATGTGTTTTTTGGCTGTATAAATATCTTCTTTTGAGAAGTGTCTGTTCATGTCCTTCACCCACTTTTTGATGGGGTTGTTTGTTTTTTCTTGTAAATTTGTTTGAGTTCATTGTAGATTCTGGATATTAGCCCTTTGTCAGATGAGTAGGTTGCGAAAATTTTCTCCCATTTTGTAGGTTGCCTGTTCACTCTGATGGTAGTTTCTTTTGCTGTGCAGAAGCTCTTTAGTTTAATTAGATCCCATTTGTCAATTTTGGCTTTTGTTGCCATTGCTTTTGGTGTTTTAGACATGAAGTCCTTGCCCATGCCTATGTCCTGAATGGTAATGCCTAGGTTTTCCTCTAGGGTTTTTATGGTTTTAGGTCTAACGTTTAAGTCTTTAATCCATCTTGAATTAATTTTTGTATAAGGTGTAAGGAAGGGATCCAGTTTCAGCTTTCTACATATGGCTAGCCAGTTTTCCCAGCACCATTTATTAAATAGGGAATCCTTTCCCCATTTCTTGTTTTTCTCAGGTTTGTCAAAGATCAGATAGTTGTAGATAGGTGGCATTATTTCTGAGGGCTCTGTTCTGTTCCATTGATCTGTATCTCTGTTTTGGTACCAGTACCATGCTGTTTTGGTTACTGTAGCCTTTAGTATAGTTTGAAGTCAGGTAGCGTGATGCCTCCAGCTTTGTTCTTTTGGCTTAGGATTGACTTGGCGATGCGGGCTCTTTTTTGGTTCCATATGAACTTTAAAGTAGTTTTTTCCAGTTCTGTGAAGAAAGTCACTGTTAGCTTGATGGGGATGGCATTGAATCTATAAATTACCTTGGGCAGTATGGCCATTTTCACGATATTGATTCTTCCTACCCATGAGCATGGAATGTTCTTCCATTTGTTTGTATCCTCTTTTATTTCCTTGAGCAGTGGTTTGTAGTTCTCCTTGAAGAGGTCCTTCATGCATCCCTTGTAAGTAGGATTCCTAGGTATTTTTTTCTCTTTGAAGCAATTGTGAATGGGAGTTCACTCATGATTTGGCTCTCTGTTTGTCTGCTGTTGGTGTATAAGAATGCTTGTCATTTTTGTACATTGATTTTGTATCCTGAGACTTTGCTGAAGTTGCTTATCAGCTTAAGCAGATTTTGGGCTGAGACAATGGGATTTTCTAGATATACAATCATGTCATCTGCAAACAGGGACAATTTGACTTCCTCTTTTCCTAATTGAATACCCTTTATTTCCTTCTCCTGCCTGATTGCCCTGGCCAGAACTTCCAACACTATGTTGAATAGGAGTGGTGAGAGAGGGCATCCCTGCCTTGTGCCAGTTTCCAAAGGGAATGCTTCCAGTTTTTGCCCATTCACTATGATATTGGCTGTGGGTCTGTCATAGATAGCTCTTATTATTTTGAGATACATCCCATCAATACCTACTTTATTGAGAGTTTTTAGCATGAAGGGTTGTTGAATTTTGTCAAAGGCCCTTTCTGCATCTATTGAGATAATCATGTGGTTTTTGTCTTTGGTTCTGTTTATATGCTGGATTACATTTATTGATTTGCGTATATTGAACCAGCCTTGCATCCCAGGGATGAAGCCCACTTGATCATGGTGGATAAGCTTTTTGATGTGCTGCTGGATTCGGTCTGCCAGTATTTTATTGAGGTTTTTTGCATCAATGTTCATCAAGGATATTGGTCTAAAATTCTCTTGTTTGGTTGTGTCTCTGCCAGGCTTTGGTATCAGGATGATGCTGGCCTCATAAAATGAGTTAGGGAGGATTCCCTAAAAAGAGATATCTTTAATTGTAAAATTGTGATAAAAATGACACCTATTTCTCAATTTATATTAAAAAGTTTAAACTGTATGTAAAACATTAGGTCAGGATGCAAAATTATAATGGGATTTTAATAGTTATTTTATGATGGTAAATTATATAATATGTGTTGCAAAGTAATGTTACTTGTGCAGTAATCATACTAATTTTTAGATATATTTATAATAACCTTTGCCCACAAATTAACCTTTGATTTTATTCTTCCATGAAATACACAAAAACAACTTGTTTCATTTCTTTAGGATAAAAAGTAAATGATGTTTATTCCATAGGAAGGTAATAATATTAACATTTTGACTAAAGCCCAGTGATGACCACCATGAAACTAGTATGTCTGCAGGATAATGACATACAGTGGACGATGGCATAAATTTTCCATTTAAAGTTATTGAGGCTGGGCGTGGTGTCTCACGTCTGTAATCCCAGCACTTTTGGAGGCCGAGGCAGGCAGATTAGGAGGTCAAGAGATTGAGACCATCCTGGCCAACATGGAGAAACCCCGTCTCTACTAAAAATACAAAAATTAGCTGGGCATGGTGTTGAGTGACTGTATTCCCAGCTACTTGGGAGGCTGAGGCAGGAGATTCATTTGAACCCGGGAGGCGGAGGTTGCAGTGAGCCGAGATAACGCCACTGCACTCCAGCCTGGTGACAGAGTGAGACTCTGTCTAAAAAAACAAAAAAAGGTATTGAAATTGTTTCTTTGAAGCAGCTTTGACAAGTTTTCAAATTCTGAGTTGCGAATAAACAAACACCCAACTAATATTTTACCTCCTATTTCCCTAATGGCCTCAATCCATATTAATCTAAATCCTCACCCTTGACCTGAACACAGGCCTTGCTTGGGGTCCATTTGCTTGTGTATACATAAAGCATTATTTTGCCCCCAACAAGTCTATAAATTCCTTGAATTTGGCCTAATGCAGACTTACAGTCTTTCAAAACAACAAGAAAAAATTGTCTTGCATTTAGAATGTATTTACTGAAAGTAAATTTGGACAATAATAAATATTCATAACTGGAAAGATCAAGAAATGTCATCAGTGATCAAATAGACTCTTTTCTATAGGTCACTTCAGTGACATATATGAGGACCGACATATATGACCCTTTATGTTGGCCACACAAGACTCTGGCTCCCAGATAAATCTGTTCCACTGTTTAATTATGTGGGTGATTCTGGTGTATAGCTATGTCTGAGGACCTCCTTAGTATGATACATATAAGAAATATCTGCTAATTTACTCGAATCATTAGCCTACCAACATGGAAATCTTTCTCTGTTACAGTGCAACCCAAATTCCAGAAATTGGGTACCTGCTTTCTCAAGCCACCAGTTAAGACATTCAGAGCATGAGTAGCAAATGTGTGGATTTGCCTGATTGAGCACATTCTACAGTTTGGAGTCAGAACACTTAGTCTTTCTAACTAATTCTTGTTATCCTGAGAGGACTGGGAATGCTGGACATAGCACAGCACCTATAAACTGAATTTGTTCTCAGGCTAGTCCTTCAAGTAGCAGGAAAGGAACAGGCTGTTAAAAATAACAAATGAAAACAGCAAACAAGCAACGAAGAACTGTGTTGCTCCCTTTTGGAACATGGCAACTCCTGCTTTAGAACCTGTTGAGAATTCTGTAACCTAAGGGGGGAAATACATTATCTGTTTTATTATAAACTACAGTTTCGTGTTTTGCCTCCCAAATTCTTATTTGAATATCTGGAAACTTGTGGAACAGCTGCTATACTCACCATAAAATGTAGAACAACTGAACAAAGCAAGTGATCATACCCATAGCAGAATGGCGCAGTATAATGGATATGCCCAACATGACCAGTTCAGTGAACTATTTGGGAAGAGCTTCAATACCTTATGCATGAGTGTAGGTACCCTTACGAGTTGAGTACCCTAAAGTCATCATTTGAGAGCCTCCCAGAAAAATATACAGAGAACAGAAAATACAAGGCATTCAGAATCATGAGGTTAAACCAATGGGGATTATGAGCCAGTGAAATTTGTTTACATATGCCATGGTAACTAACTCATTTATATTTAGGCTTCTATTCAAAGTCTAGAAACCTAGTGTCTGTCATATGTACTATACAGGAACTCATTTGTCAGTGAGCAGGAGTTGCGTCAAGATAAGCCCTGGTTACTTTGTAATCCAGAAGAGCAAATAAAGTAAGTTTTCTCTAAAAAGAAGAAGGGCTATGTTGATGTGTTATATTACACATCACAAGGCTAAACTAATGAATCTAGAGTGTGAGTCAGGCAGCACACAAAAAGAACAGGTGGCCAAATACAAAGTGGTCACTTGAGAAGCTAAAATGATTGGAAATCAAACTGGAATTTATAAATGCATGGGTCCTTCCTTGTAGATAAGAGAAACTACACTCTGAGTAGAAAGGAAGAGGTTGAGAGGCAGCCAGTGTAGTCAACAAACAGAAAAATGAAGTAATAAGTTATGAGGCAGCAGATATATGAACAGATATGACCATGTTTTATTCCTTTTTTCTGGCCACAAGTAGAAACAAATAATGGAAGGTTTGGCTGGGTTTCATAAACAGTGTTTGAGCATGAACCTTGTCTTGAATCTACCTGTAATTTTAGTTCTTTTAAGTTGAGGATACTACATGGCTGTTGCCAGTCCCTCAGGAGGCTAGAATTATAGGACCTGGGCTCCAGTGACATTTATCCTAATAATTAACTGCAACAGATTTTTTAATGGCAACCATTTCCCAACCGTCCAACATTTCCTTCTTCCAGATTCTACTTTAATTTTTTACCTGTCTGATGACATTCTCACATAACCCTTGCTAAAATTCTCTGAAGATATCAAAGTCTTGTCTGAATTTCATGCTTTAGACTATGTCCTACCTGCTTACTTGACAAATATTAAGATACTGGATCTGCCTTCAAGTACCTGTTGCCCTATAGCATCTAGGTTCTATATCAGACTTTTTACTGCCTGTTATGATGATGTAGACCTTCCAGAGCAAGTGTGATTTAAAATGAACTTCACATTTTAGTTTAAAGAACTGGAAAACAAAAAATACACTAAAATGTAAGTTTGCAAAACAATAAAAGTCTTGAGACTTGGATTGCCACCTCAAGGTAACCATTTGCTTTAATGAAGTGGTAGGGAATCTGCCATCAGGCCATGTTTCTGTGTATACAACAGTGATTGAACAGCCATGAACTCAGCCACACGGCAGTGTCTTTCCTCCAATCTTTGTCTGGAGTTGAATGATGATCTAGGACTTTTCACCTCTTGGAGAGTTTCTTCAGGATGTGGCCTCTCTCTATATTGCATACTACTGCGTTATTGAATTCGCTTCTAAGCCAGTCCTTTTCTTTCTTATTTGAATTTGTCAGTGACGTTGCCTCTTTAAATAGGAGCTGGAGTTCAATTTGAAAGTTATTAATCTCCTTTAAACATGCTTGTTTTGGGTTTACAGTCACTCCTACTCAGATAGAGGGAATATGTTTTTAGCTAGTATTTTTTTCATAACCACCACTTCCTCTTCGGTGTGTCAAAATAAAGTATTGACTGTTTTCTATAAAAATCTTCATCTGAAAGCCCATTAAGTCAGCAACCAGGAACATATGAGCTGGTTCAGCCAGCATCTCCCAGCAGGAATTATGTGGGATCACCATGGATCTGGTCCTCACTTTTTTCAGGTTGAGAAAAATATTTATAACATTTTTGTAGATTTTTTTCAGATTCTGGAAGATGAACTCATAGTAATATAATAGACCAAAATGACATATTATTAGGTTACCTTGCTTAAGAAGTGGGTCTACAAAGAGTTGTTCACTCTGCCATTCAGGAGACTAAAAAACAAATCTGAAGGTAGTGATATGAGCATACAATAGAACAAGGACAGCTGGATGTGCCCAAAGTATTTCATCAAATTATGGGGTATGGATAACTCATACAAATTTATGTTAAAAGTATTCATGATGAATAACTGCAATTGGTATTTTAGGTCAAGCCATTATAATTATCCTGTGAGCGACATCAGAAATTTCATTTTCCATCTTTTTTAGTTGCTCATTCTAGATTCCATTAAACTGAATCAAAAATGCCATCAACAGCACAATTATTAATTCATGCATTTAAATATGAATATGATAGAGTTTTAGGGTCACACCCATCTCCCCTTAGTTAGATAGAGGAGATATTTAGATGCCGAGATATTTAGATCCCAATATATTTAGAAACCTCCCCTTTGGATATGTAATTGTTGTCCATTATACTTTCAGTAGGTTAGATGTGTCTGAAATTATTCCCAATTCCTGAAGGTAAAAATTATAATCCCTATTGCACAGATAACATATTTCACTCTCTAAAAAAGAAAAAAATGCTATGCAATGACCACTTTCAAGGTAATTCATTCTTTTCTCATATATCTAGTTTTTATTTCCAAAGTAGCTTGCCTTGAAGATTAAAATGTATTGGCCTCTATTCTTAAAAGGCAAATGTAGTGCTCTGGCAGATTTAGAAATGTCCTTGCCTCTGTGGCTTATTGTCACTTGGTAAATTCTTGAAGCTGATTATTCTAATTCCAGCCCCGAGTCATCCTTTCAAAAGTATGTAATATATGTAGTCCCATGCTTTATTATGGAAAAAAACTAGAATAATTTATTTAAAATTCTCAGACCACAAAATATTAGACTAATAAGCACCTCTATAAATAATAACCTGAACCTGACTTACAGAAGGATGCATTATTTCACATAATAGCACTCTGCAAAGTGCTGTGTACTCATAAGGGTTCCAACTGTATTTCAGAGACTTAAAAGCTATCTTAATAAAGCAAATTTTGAAAAATATATCTGTTTTTTCAATCCATGGGTAATTATTTAGATATACTTTAAGCATATACATTTCTTCTAGTTAATCTATTTTCATTGAGATTAAAAGGTTGGTAGTTTATAAGTATATGATTTAGATTTGCCAGGTACACTTATATTTTATCATAAAGTAAAGAAGTTTGGTACCTTGCTGCAATTAATTTTATGAGAGTTGTAGAAAGATGAAGTATAAGTATTAAACACAAATTAAATCTGAGCACTTTCTGCAATCTTTTTTATTCTTACACAGTTTTGATGATTGACCTTATTAAAACATTAACCACCTGGGGAACAGTATCATGTCTATGTTCTGACAAACAAAAACAGAACCCTTACTTTATTAGCCCACCTGTCCTTAAGCACACAATTAATTTCCATTTACTGAAAACAATCTAAACTAATTTGCATGAGCTTTTTCCAAGGTGTCTTTTACATTTTTCTGCATTCATTTTGTAATCCTGGTTATATTTCTAAATCAGAGGGAGAAACAGTGTTCACTTATATAATTGATTATTTAGGCATTAATATGTAGTACTTGTCAAGAGCTGAATGATCTAGTATTTTACCCTATATTTAAGCTGAATTACCTGTCACAGTTTCATGGATGTTGGTAGAAAACATGACATTCCTGGGTCTGAGACAAAGGACTTTTTATACAGAACAACAAAATAGTGTATGCTCCCTGTTGCTTTAGCTTCCTTTGCCTCTAAGTCTGAGAAGGGAATATGGAATAACCCAGATGGACATTGCATACACAGTCATTTGCATCATAGCTGATACAAACTTAAGCTTAAGCTACTGGAATGTTTCATAAAGCGTCTGCCCAAGCTTTTCCCTAGAGGGACACGTTATCTTTGTTATACTGTACAGTAAACACATCTGCATTTTTCTCAAGAAGGAGACACTGTCTCTATCTCCCAAAGCTATTCCCTATACAAAAATCCTTGAAAAGTAGTCTGGAGCAAAAGATACACAGAAAAATCCATAGAGAATTGTCTCCCAACAATATAGAGATATATTTTTAGGGTGCCTAGTAGGCAAAATAATATTGACTAAGACAGTTTTATTATTTTAGATATAATATTGAGAGGCTTATTGTACAAATGGACAATGGCCAGGTCATATATGAAAACAGAACCCTTTTTGATACACGACCTTTGCAGCAACCAGAACCGGAAATTGAAATATCGTCTCTGCATAAATCAGCCCAAAACAGTTAGCATTTGTTCAATGCC
The DNA here is from genome assembly GCF_000001405.40 of Homo sapiens. Taxonomy (NCBI): domain Eukaryota; kingdom Metazoa; phylum Chordata; class Mammalia; order Primates; family Hominidae; genus Homo; species Homo sapiens. Next base: position 144,747,254 of record NC_000003.12, read on the forward strand.
TGCCAGCTTGCCTATTTTGTATCCTGGCTTCTAAGGATCAACTAGAGAAAGCCAAATATTTTCCCCAAACCAATCACATAGAATGTCCCGGTTTAAGTTAGCCTGCTCCCAGCTTCTTGTCAACAACCTCTAATCAGGCTTTAACTGAAGACTTTCTTTCTATTTACCATGAAGCTTTCCCATTACACTGACTGCCTTGAGTCTCTGTCAAATGCAAGTGATAGGGCTGTCTCCCTTGTTACAGCAGGCTCTAGAGAACCTCTATTTATTTTCATTACAGAAAGTGTTCATAATATACATACTTAATGAATATAAAAATTATAACTGAATCCAACAATAGCTTAACTTCTATAATAGAGACCAGATTAAGACATCATGGCTATGTGTATGTATGTGTATGCATGTATTTAAAAATCTTTTTTCTAGAAATAAAAAAAAACTAAACAGTAGAATCTTTGTGGACTTGTATATAGTTTTGATGTACTACGGATACTCAACATTAAAGAAAAAGCAAAAAAATCTCAGTCTTCTTATAGATTCAGTCACTGGATATTTACAAAATGACATGTAGCTACAGACACTCACTATGAATAGCTTTTTAAAAAGCCCTATACCATATCCATATAAATATTTAAAATCCATTAAAAGTTGTATTGCTTTTATAACCCTACTGGCCATGAAATGGTTTAGATAAGATAACCTTTTACACTGTTGTTCTTTAGTGCAAAGGGAGAAGCAATTTTGCAAGCAGCAGCTGGCCTTATCAACATTGGTGACATTTTGCAGCAAACTGAAAGCTAAGAGGTAGAAAGATTTTAAAATATATTCTTGCTCTAAAGACCAAAGAAATGTAATACAGAATGTGCTGTTCTTTATAATTTTGGCTGTGCTTCATAGATACTAGGTTTTAAAGCAATTTTATTTTAGTAGATGAGTGAGAATATTTTAGAGGTAGAGTAGTGAAGCCCTCAACTTGCTCTTACAGAATTGAACATCAAGGGAGAAATGAAGAGGTACATGTTTGGGTTTAGCACCCATTTTGTAGTGCCCTAACTATTAAATGAAATTGCATGGAGATTTCATAATCAACACTATCATCTCTGTGAAGCACAAATACAAAGGTTCTGCTTTCTATACTTTCCTATACTGAAAAAAAATCTCCATGGCAAATAACATTATTGAAATAATTGTGCTAATTATGGACTCAGAATAATAGATGTTCCAGCTACAGATTAATTAAAAGTAGAATAATGGAGAAGATTAGAATGATTCCTGCTCATGCATCAGAAAATCTCATGAATGTATAGGGACCTTAGAAACAAGATTATTTCAAGACCCATATCTATAGCATTTCTGATATGTAATTGTCAGCCTCAAACTTCCTTTTCAAAAAGCTTATTCAAGGTAAAGCAGCCCATTTCATGTTCGAAAGGTTTAAATATTAGGAATACCTGCCTAATAATGAGGTAAAATAGGTTATCCTATAATATCCACCCCTGTTTTTAACCTCCATGTAAAGATGGCCACCCTTTCAAAATATTAAAAAACTATCTGACAGGCCTTTTCCATATTATCTTTAGGTTCCAGAATAAGCATGCCTAATTAACTTGACCAATCTCTATGATACCCTCTTGCCAATCTCTGAGCATTCAAATTATCTTCTTTTGGATGCCATTTATTTGTAGACATTCTTCAAAAGGACAGTGTTGCTCCAGGAATTCTCCAGAGTGAACTAATTAATTCATAACTTAATGGGACCACTAACACTCTTGATATGAACATTCCGCTCAGGTTGTATATATTAGCATTTTAAGCTATAAAGGAGTACTACTCCAGATTTGTATTAAGCGAATTTGTTCCATATTTATGCAATTAGCCTTTTAAATCTGCATTTTGAAATTACGCCTTTTCAGATTGTGTATCATTTCATTTTTTTCTGAATGCTGACTCCATGGTCATTGTCTCTTGTCATTTAGTAGATGGATTATCCCTCCTACTTTTTGTGTCAAGCAGTCACCAAATGACTTTATTTTCTTTGTCTTCCATAATTTATTTGATAAGAATGTAGAAGATAGTAGAATGATGAGTATTGCACCGTTTGGCAACTACCTGAGCAGCTCTAAATGTTTCCCTACTCAGTGCACTCAACTCACATAGGCTGAGGGAACAGAAGCCTGTGGTTGGAACCGCATGGTTCAAGCATGGAATGGTAAAGATGATTTTCAAAAAAGGGGATAAATACCTTTCCTAGAAGATTGGTGAGTTTGTTTATTCATGCTTCTGTTAAAAGGATATCACAGAATGAGTGGCTTATAAACAACAGAAATGTATATCTCACCCTTCTGAAGGCAGGCAAGTCCTAGATCACGGTGCTAGTGAGAGGTGACAGCGTGTTGGCAGTCCTCACAGCCCTCGCTCGCTCTCGGTGCTTCCTCTGCCTGGGCTCCCACTTTGGCGGCACTTCAGGAGCCCTTCAGCCCACCGCTGCACTGTGGGAGGCCCCTTCTGGGCTGGCCAAGGCCGGAGCCCACTCCCTCAGCTTGCAGGGAGGTGTGGAGGGAGAGGCGCCAGCGGGAACCGGGGCTGCGTGCGGCGCTTGCGGGCCAGCTGGAGTTCCGGGTGGGCGTGGGCTTGGCGGGCCCCGCACTGGGAGCAGCAGGCCGGCCCTGTCGGCCCCGGGCAATGAGGGACTTAGCACCCGGGCCAGCGGCTGCGGAGGTTGTACTGGGTCCCCCAGCAGTGCCAGCCCACTGGCGCTGCTCTCTATTTCTCACCGGGTCTTAGCTGCCTTCCCGCGGGGCAGGGCTTGGGACCTGCAGCCACCATGCCTGAGCTCCCCCACCCCGGGGGCTCCTGTGCCGCCTGAGCCTCCCCGACAAGCACCGCCCCCTGCTCCAGGGCACCCAGTCCCATTGACCACCCAAGGGCTGAGGAGTGCGGGCGCATGGCGCGGGACTGGCAGGCAGCTCCACCTGCAGCCCTGGTGCGGGATCCACTGGGTGAAGCCAGCTGGGCTCCTGAGTCTGGTGGGGATGTGGAGAACCTTTGTGTCTAGCTCAGAGATTGTAAATACACCAATCGGCACTCTGTATCTACCTCAAGGTTTGTAAATACACCAATCAGCACCCTGTGTCTAGCTCAGGGTTTGTGAATGCACCAATTGACACTCTGTATCTAGCTACTCTGGTGGGGTCTTGGAGAACCTTTATGTCTAGCTCAGGGATTGTAAATACACCAATTGGCACTCTGTATCTAGCTCAAGGTTTGTAAACACACCAATCAGCACCCTGTGTCTAGCTCAGGGTTTGTGAATGCACCAATTGACACTCTGTATCTAGCTACTCTGGTGGGGCCTTGGAGAACCTTTGTGTGGATACTCTGTATCTAACCAATCTGGTGGGGAGGTGGAGAACCTTTGTGTCTAGCTCAGGGATTGTAAACGCACCAATCAGCGACCTGCCAAAACAGACCACTTGGCTCTACCAATCAGCAGGACGTGGGTGGGGCCAGATAAGAGAATAAAAGCAGGCTGCTGGAGCCTGCAGTGGCAACCCGCTCGGGTTCCCTTCCACAGTGTGGAAGGTTGTTTTGCTCTTTGCAATAAATCTTGCTACTGTTCACTCTTCGGGTCCACATTGCTTTTATGAGCTGTAACACTCACCGCGAAAGTCTGCAGCTTCACTCCTGAAGCCAGCGAGACCATGAGCCCATGGGGAGGAACAAACAACTCCAGACGCGCTGCCTTAAGAGCTGTAACACTCACCACAAAGGTCCGCGGCTTCATTCCTGAGCCAGCGGGACCACGAACCCACCAGAAGGAAGAAACTCTGAACACATCCGAACAGCAGAAGGAACAAACTCCAGATGCACCACCTTAAGAGCTGTAACACTCACCGCCAGGGTCCGTGACTTCGTTCTTGAAGTTAGCGAGACCAAGAACCCACCAATTCCGGACACACTAGCACATTCATGGCCTGATGGAAACGCTTTTTCTCACTGAAATTTTAAAGAAGGGTGATGAATCTCTCCGAGGCGTCTTTCCTAAGTGCACTAAGCACCTCATCTCTTAATCACCTTCCAAAGGCCCCACCTCCTAATATGATGACCTTGGGCTTCAGACTATCAGCTTGTGAACTTGGAGGTGGGGCAACCATTCAGTCCATTGTAATGGAAAATAAACACTTTTAAATATTTTTTAAAAAGAAAAGAAAGATGACATTTCTATATCAAGCTTAGGTTGCAAAAAAAATGGTGATCTGCCAGAATGAGGTAGATGATAAAGAAATTGACTTTGGGGAAATGAGTTCAAAATAATACAAGTTGAGTTTTAGTAAAATTTTGTATTTAAGTCTTTTAGGCAGTTGTGTCTATAGAATTGGTAATGTGTGAAACACTAAACCTAAGATTGCATATTAACAGCCTTTTATATGGAGATGGTAGCTGGCCCAAAGGAGTGAGTAAAATCAGAGAGAGGGTATTGGTAGAGAAAATAGAAGTCGTTTTATTTGAAAATAATCCAGAGAAGCAATTCCTTGGTGCTGATTATGGACAGCCACTGATGGAACTGTGGTTATATGGAAAGAAATCCACTAGATGATGCTTTTTTGTCCCATCTGAAATAACATCACGAAAGATTCTACTTAGAATCCATGACCTATATTTCAGGCCAAATTCTTCTTTGTTTCTCTATTAAGCTAATTCTTGACATTTGCCTAAAGCGAATTCTAGGTTTTTATATGGTTTTATTTTACCTGGTCTTCTGTATTAAAAAAAAAAAAATGAAAACCAACCAAACAAAAAGAAATCTTTCTTTTGAATAAATTACTATGTTGGATGTTGGATATACATTTAGAAGATAAAAACCAAAAGCTAGAAGAACAATTTACTGATATGCAGAATGAATAAAAGCATTTCTTTTCAAGCTTCTAGAATTCACTGCTGTTTCAAATCTTTTCCTAGAATAATAAAGGTCCAAATGGGCAGATAAAAATGCTAATTAAATTGGCTTTTAGCTCCAGCACTGTAAGGTTTGTGATAATTACTAGCCATTCTCTGTCACATTAGACAGATGAGGCTTAACCTCAAAACTAGCAGAAGAAAATCAACATTCTTAGGAACTTTGTTCAGGTCCTCTTACACTTTTTCTTAAATTACTATTATTAGTCATTTTAAAAGGATTTCTATTTGACTTTTTGCAGGATACTCATGTTTTCTGCAATACAATAGCATTTGCAATTTAGTTACTTTTGCTTGTTTTTTTATTTTGTTTTGTTATTAATTCCGGTGGGGTTATTAGATGAGGAGGGGCAAAGACTTGTCAGTTATTTGAGATACTATCTTTGGCTAAATTTGGTTGGTGTTGCCTCTGTGACTTTCTCAGGGCAAGAAAGAGTGAATGTTTTAGTGAACTAAAGGGTCAATTTGACTTAGTGAAAAGTTTGAAAAATTTAAGAAAAACTGATTGTTTTGCTGGATTGATAAAGTCAGAATAATTTTCATGTCTTGGGAAAACAGATAAAGAGGGACTCAAGTAGTCTAAGAGAATACCTGCTGCAACTATTTACTTTCAGAAAGATTAGTAACTTATTCTGAAAAATAGAATCTTATATGCCTCCATATTTGTCTTGGACTAAATTATGTTTAAGATAGTTCTTATGGTTTATGTTTCTATATCAATTTTAAATTGAATCAAATTTGTTATTAGGTTGTTTCCCGATAAATCCTTTGTTTGAATTATTTTCTAGCAAATATTACCATTTGGTTTCAGATCTGACTACTACTGAAAATAAACTTTAGGTTTTATCTACTTCCTCAACATTTATTTCAGTTTTAATAATACCCTGATCTTTGACTGTCTCAGGTACTGGGGTACTAAAGCTACTTTCCTGTTCATGCTGTTTTCAAAGACCTTTTGAAATGGCAACATCTTGAGAAAACTTAGAATAATCACAAAAGGCAGTCTACAATCTCAATCCTCAATTTTTATATAAATGAAAGCTTTCATCAAACTATAGTTTAGATTCTAGACCATAACTATTATTCTTTTTTTTATTATACTTTAAGTTCTAAGGTACATGTGCACAACATGCAGGTTTGTTACATATGTATACATGTGCCATGTTGGTGTGCTGCACCCATTAACTCATCATTTAAACAGGTATATCTCCTAATGCTATCCCTGCCCCCTCCCCTAACCCCACAACAGGCCCCTGTGTGTGATGTTCCCCTTCCTGTGTCCAAGTGTTCTCATTGTTCAATTCCCACCTATGAGTGAGAACATGCAGTGTTTGGTTTTTGGTCCTTGCGATAGTTTGCTGAGAATGATGGTTTCCAGCTTCATCCATGTCCCTACAAAGGACATGAACTCATCCTTTTTTATGGCTGCATAGTATTCCATGGTGTATATGTGCCACATTTTCTTAATCCAGTCTATCATTGATGGACATTTGGGTTGGTTCCAAGTCTTTGCTATTGTGAATAGTGCCGCAATAAACATACATGTGCATGTGTCTTTATAACAGCATGACTTATAATCCTTTGGGTGTATACCCAGTAATGGGATGGCTGGGTCAAATGGTATTTCTAGTTCTAGATCCTTGAGGAATCGCCACACTGTCTTCCACAATGGTTGAGCTAGTTTACAGTCCCACCAACAGTGTAAAAGTGTTTCTATTTCTCCACATCCTCTCCAGCACCTGTTGTTTATTCTTAACTTTAGAATAAGACCTCAAACATTAGTCATAATACTGTGATGAAACTGAATTATGCTTTTGCTTCACTGCAAACTATATTTCAAATCAAATTCATAAATAATTTCATCCAAAAAACTGTTTTCGAGTTAGGCCCAAACTTCCAAATCCCTGAAATCACTGTTTGATATTTCTAGGCCAGCTGCTTCTAGCAACCTTGCCTTGCTCCCAAACACACAGTCTTTACAACATCTCTTTTTCACACACAAACATTGAGTGGCATTCACACCTGTGAGGCATTCCCCGTGCTGTTTTTAAACTCTTTCACTTAAAAATGCACATCAGCATTCATATGATATGAGTCAAGCTGTCCACAGAAAAAGCTCAATGACTGCCTAATGTATATAGAGTAGAAATATAGCATTTATTTGAAGATTGTAGCTTTTATCTTTTACAGCATTTCCCATGATCATGTAAACCCTAGATGACAATGTTGCCCACAGAGGGACACATACACTTGCTCTAGCCCAGACCCCTGAAAGCATCCTTAATTCCTCCCAACCCATCAGCCAGGCTGTTAGCCCTATCTTCAACACTGAACTTGCCACCTCTAGGACCACTTCTCAGCTATAACTTCTCAGTTCTAGCCACTGCATGTTTTGCCTAGGCCACTGTAACATCCTCCTCCCTGGGTTTCTTGTTTCCATTCTCAATTGGCTATGGTCCGTTCTTTACACAGCAGTAACAGTGATCTTCTATAGGCAAATATCAGAGTATGCATTGCTAAACAAAACCATAGAATTAAACCCAGGCATCTCTCCAAGTGTTGTAAGTCTTTGCATGGCCAGTTCCATTCGCCCTGAGCCTCCTGCAGCTTCTGTTTTTTCCTTGCTAGGCTCCAGGTGCACAGCTCTGTTCTGTAAAAGAAAACACAGAGGCTTTGTCTGACTTAGCACCTTCGCTGGAGTAGCCTATTTACCACCCTTTTCTCCACTGATTCTCCTCATTACTTCCCATCACATAACCATGTTTATTTCCTTTACAGACTTTCAGCAAACACTGATGTTACTTTTTATTTACCATGTGTTCATTTTCTTCCTGTGCCTAGCAAAATGCAAGTTTTCTGAGGGTGATGGCTTGCCTCTTTCCTTCACCATTTTATATACTGCGTCTGAACTCATGTCTGATTAGGAGATGCTCAATAATATGTATTGACTTGTCATCCATGTATTCATTCACTGAACAATATCAAAAATCCAATTCCAGATACCAATTATTTGCTTACAATATCAAGCATGTTTTATATATTCTGTTATGACACAGTTTTGCACATTAAAGAGCCCCCAACACACATAAAGGAGGATGACATCATGGAAAGAACATGAATTTCAGCCATAGACAAAACTAGATTTAAATTTTAGCTTCTAGCACTTACTAACTCTGTGACCATCTGAGATTCTTTTTTGGCCATTGGTGTTAAGAATGATGTTTACACTTGGGAAAAGTGATCAGGCTGTGACTGTAAAGAGCATGAATAAGGATTCCAAGATGTTCATAATGTTTCATTTCTTGACCTGGGAAGTAGTTACACAAGTGTGTTCAATGATAATTCAGTGATTTGCACATTTATAATAGATGTGATTTTCTGTGTGTGCTTGTGTGTGCATCATTCCTAAATTAAAATGTAAATAAAATAGTAAATTGCTGGGTCCAGCGGTCTGAAGAATGCTCAGTTCTTGAAAGTTATTGCCAAATTTTCTTTCTAAAATTTACTGCTAATTTACATTCCCATCATTTGCTCACTCATCCAATCAACATATGTTTACTGTTTACTCTCTATATCACCAGTAACAACAGGCATTTGCCAACTCAGAAACATTAAAATATATCTTTCGCAAGAGTCAAATTTATAACATTTAAATTTTTAATAACTAGTGAAGCATAATTTGTAGTAATTTTGTTTTCCACTGAAATGTGTTTTCTTGTTAATTATCCACCATTCAGATTGTGTAAATTTTTGTTACATTTTATGTTTTTAAAGTACTAATTAATAATTAATTCTCAAATAGTATTTAGTATTATCTCTAATTTTTCTTTTTATAAATAGGGATTCTGAAGAGAGATTGAGGTTCTATAAAATTTCTACCAAACTTATCTTTCACTTGTGCTCTCATTCTTTTATTCAACAAAAGATTGGAATGGAGTATACTGAAATACTGAGAGAAACTTGACTTGCAAGTAAAGATAATTTGAATTTTCTTATTTATATATTTGAAATTTTTACGTTTTCCAAACACAGTGTTTATAATTTAAATAAATAAATAAAAGCTAAGTAAGGTAGAGAGTACAGAATTTGATGCATAGAATGTTTTCTTTTCTTCATACCACTCTTTATTACCCCCTTTATTATCTCCTCTTTCCTAGCCCAATTTCTCTATGCTGTAACAATTCTAGAATGATTATAATCTACTAAATTTGAAGTTCCTTGGTGGAGAATATGTGCTCATCTTTGTAAACAAATACAGAAATCTAATAGAAGAATTATGACCATAAAACTTTAGTGGCTTAGTAGCAATAGTAGTAGAAATTCTGTGTATCCTTTTAGAGGCTGTTGAGAATTTTTTAAACTGTAGATTGATGATGGTGACCAGTTGTGATGGTTGAAAATACTTATTGACCATTTAATATGTGTCAGTCATTCTACGAAGCACTTTATTTGCCTCATCTTATTTAACCCTCATAATGTATCTGCACTATACGTTTTAGTATTGAGAGGTGACAAGGTGCTAGCAGCCCTTGCTCGCTCTCCACACCTCCTCAGGCCATGGCGTCCATTCTGGCAGAGCTTGAGGAGCCCTTCATCCCGCTGCTGCACTGTGGGAGCCCCTCTCTGGGCTGGCCAAGGTGGGAACCGGCTCCCTCTGCTCGCAAGGAGGTGTGGAGGGAGAGGCGCGGGCGGGAACCTGGGCTGCTCGTGGCCCTCGCAGGCCAGCGTGAGTTCTGAGCGGGCGTGGGCTGGGCCCTGCACTTGGAGCAGCTGGCCGGCGCCGCTGGCCCTGGGCAGTGAGGGGCTTAGCACCCAGGCCAGCAGCTGTGGAGGGTGTGCCAGTCCCCCAGTGCTGCTGGCCGCCCACTCTGTGCTTGAATTCTCGCAGGGCCTCAGCCACCTCCCCGCGGGGCAGGGATTGGGACCTGCAGCCTGCCATGCCCGAGCCCCTCCCACCCCCTGGCCCCCCACCCACCTTGGGCTCCCACGCAGCCTGAGCCTCCCTGATGGGCACTGCCCCCTGCTCCATGGCACCTGGTCCCATCGACCGCCCAAGGTCTGAGGAGTGCAGGTGCGGGCCAGGGACTGGCAGGCAACTCCGCCTGCAGCCCTGGCTCGGGATCCATTAGCTGAAGCCAGCTGGGCTCCTGAGTTGGGTGGGGACTCCAAGAACTTTTATGTCTAGCTGGAGGATTATATGTGTACCAGTCAGCACTCTGTGTCTAGCTAATCTGGAGGGGACTTGGAGAATTTTTATGTCTAGCTAGAGGGTTGTAAATGCACCAATCAGCACTCTGTATCTCGGGAATCTGGTGGGGACTCGGAGAACTTTTATGTCTAGCTAGAGGATTGTAAATGCACCAATCAGCACTCTGTGTCTAGCTAAAGGTTTGTAAACACACCAATCAGTGCTCTGTGTCTAGCTAATCTAGTGGCGACTTGGAGAACTTTTGTGTCTAGCTCAAGGTTCATAAATGCACCAATCAGCACCCTGTCAAAATGGGCCAATCAGCTCTCTGTAAAATGGGCCAGTCAGCTCTCTGTAAAATGGACCAATCAGCAGGATGGGGGTGGGGTCAGATAAGGGAATAAATGCAGGCTCCCCCAGCCAGGAGCGGCAAAAGGGCTGGGGTCCTGTTCCATGCTGTGGAGGTTTTGTTCTTTCGCTCATTGTGATAAATATTGCTGCTGTTCACTCTGGGTGTGCTCTGCCTTTATGAGCTGTAACACTCACTGAGAAGGTCCGCAGCTTCACTCTTGAGGCCAGCAAGACCATGAACCCACCGGGAATGAACAACTCCAGATGTGCTGCCTTAAGAGGTGTAACGCTCATGGCGGAGGTCTGCAGCTTCACTCCTGAACCCAGCAAGACCAGGAACCCACCAGAAGGAAGACAGTCCGAACACGTCCAAACATTAGAAAGAACAAACTTTGGACACACCACTTTTAAGAACTGTAACACTCACCGTGAGGGTCCGTGGCTTCATTCTTGAAGTCAGTGAGACCAAGAACCCACCGATTCCGGACACAATATTATCTCCATTTTATATAGGAGGAAACAAGGCCTTATAGAGATTGTGTAATCTATGCAAAGACACGCAGCTAGTAAATCATAGATCTGGGATTCAACCTTGGAAATATGAGCCCAGGGACAAGTACAAAAAAGGATGGTGTGAGTTACAGTGAGTATGGCAGTTCTACAGGTGAGTACATGGTTCCTGTCCTCAAGGACCTCACAGTCTCCTCTTGGTAACACATGACTGCAGCGTTCATCTTAACATGGTTGATAAATGTTATTCTGGAAGGAAGCATAAAGCCATGAGAGCATATAAGGGCTACATATACTCCATGTAAATGTTGAATGCCTTTTCTTAACATCCTGAAAGTGCTTTTTATCATTACTAAAGCAATATAGATTCATTGAAATGCAAGCCAAATACCTGTGTAAATAAAGTGAAGACACATTTAATATGAACAAAAGTTAATAAGCCTACGACTCGGGATGCTATTATCTTCTCAAATGTTTATCTGTATAATTTTATAGAACTGGGATCCCAGAGCTCACACCCTGGTAACCAAATGCTCTGGCTCCATGACTCAGGCCTTTCCACATGGTGTTTCCTTAGCCTGGACTATTCTTCCTTCTAAATTTTGACTGGCAAGATTTACTACTACTTCAGGTCTCAGCTGAAATGTTAGCCTCAAAATAAATTAGTTTCCTTGTTAAACCCTTTTATACTGTAATATTTTTCATCATTGGACTTACTACAGTTACATAAATAAGCGATTTATATTTAATGAGAGATTTTTGTATTTACTACTAACTCTTCACCAGTGACTATTTCTTTCACAGTGTATCGGAGCGGCACATGTTGGAGAAGTGATCACACATTAGCAGCTCCACTTAGAGGCTTGTAGGCTGTTATATTTAAATGTTAGACATTGAGTGTTTTAAGTTTCATTATGGGAGATTTTCCTGAAAATATTCTATAGCAGAAGTACTTGATAAATACATTTAAACTAATAATAAATGTTGAAAAAAACAATTATTTTTCCACCTCATCTTTAAAGTCTGAATAAAGTTTATTATATACCTACACCTGAAAGTAGTTATTAATTTTCTATAGCTGAACATCTACCTTGTTGACATTTTTATGCTATATATGCATGCTACAATGATAAAATGCCATACTTTGTACCCAATAAAATAAATAACTGTAAATAGAATGGCTCTATATAAAGATATTTACATTTTAAGACCATTGACATCTAAAATGAATGTAACAGAATACCTTTTAGAGATACATAAAATATTTAATGAAGGGTTATTTATTCAATAATTTGAATTTATTCTCCTGGAAAAACATTCCTATCTAACTGCATTTTTATCAGTTACGTTCTACTGTTTTCCCCGTTTTTGTTGCTGAAAGTCAAGTTCAAAAATAGAAAGAATAGTGAAATAATAGACTCAGTTATTCCTAATTCATTTAAAATTTGTCACATTAAAGTCATGTTTATATTTTGAAAGTATAATCCACCTTTTCTCATACCAAGTTATCTGCAACACATCTATAAATCTTGAGTAGTTGGTATTGATTTCATTTGGCATTATAACAGTGTTTTTGCATGTCTAACAGCTTAAAAGCAGAAATTTGAGTATGGTTATGAATTATTATAATACAATTATCATAAATTAAATGTTGCCACTTACTACTTATCTTGCTTTATCAGTAATTCAGGCTAGGGTTAGATAACTGTAAATACAATTCGGGAACGCTTATCTATGTGACCTAATTTTATACCTAATTTTTAAGCATTGTTCAAGATTTAATAATTTTAAAAATTAAGTAATGTGGTTAAGATCACTAATTGACTCCTTACAGCCCAGCCTCCTTTTTTTTTCATAGTAAGAAGACTATAATATTATTTAGGATAAAAACGAAGCCTATTAAGATAATAGATTTCTATGGCTTTCTGGAAGCTAGTTGTAGTTATGTAGGTAACTTTTGCCCTATTAAATGTAGGAAAAAGTACTGTCTGTGACTTCCACTAATTCTCCTCCTCCTCTTATTTCTGCCACTTGTTTGCTGCCTTGAGCTTACGCAGTCATCTTTGACTGTGAGGGGATGTTTTAAGTGGTGGCTGCTTACAACGAAGGCCAGGAACCAGTCCTTAAGTGTGTGTATCTGGATTTGTTTCTACAAGTATTAGTCTTTGTGTTGGAGCAAAGTCAGTTGGTATGTTTTGTATATGCAACGACATTTAATCCTAAGTGAAACATATTGATACTCATCTCAAATATCCAAACTTACTCAGAAATCAGATTGACAATTCAATTGTCCATTGCCTATATGAAATGTATGTGACTTCCTCAACTGTAAATTCTAAAGTAGAGGAGATAAGATGCACTTATTGCCCAACACTGCAGATCTGAAAGGAGCTCCTAAGGACCTCAATGCTTTTCTTCCACTCACACCATTATAATATTATCTTCTAAATACTCATCTTTGTTTATTATCTATTACTATTAATTATCTGTTAATATATAAGAAATTACCACAAACTTAGTGGCTTAAAACAACATATGTTTGTGATCTTGCAGTTTCTTTAGCTCAGGAGTCTGGGCATGGCTTTGGTGTGTTCCCTGCTTCAGGGTCTCCTCTGAAAGCAGCAGTCGAGGTACCAGTGTGGCCACAGTCTTATCTCAATGATCAACTGCTTCCAAACTTATATGGTTGTTGTGGAATTCAATTCCTTATTGGCTATGAGAGTGAGGCCTCAGCTCTTTCTTGGCTGTCAGCCAGAGGCTGCTCTCAGTTTCTGACTGGTTGTTCATCAGAGGCCACCTTCACTAGCTTGCCACATGGACTTACTGACTACTTACTTACAACATGACTACTTACTTCATGCTAGACAGCAAGGAAGAGAATCTCTACCAAGACAGTTGTTACAATCTTACGGTGTTTATCACAGGTTGAAACAATATATTTATCCCAATTACTGCAATGAACCTCAGAAACTTCATAGAAACCAGAATTTAATTATGTATGCTCTTAAAAGTTGTTTCTCCACATTGTGAAATTGTAATGACATTTTAGTCTTTGAAAACCCATTCAATGATGTACATTTGTTCTTATCTTTTTGGTGCTCGTTTGATTAAATATGCTCTTAAAAGTTGTTTCTCCACATTGTGAAATTGTAACATGTTTGTCTTTGAAACCCCATTCAATGATGTACATTTATTCTTATCTTTCTGGTCCTTACTTCTTATCAAGCATTTCATTTAAAAAATCATTTATATTCGAATTAAATTATTCCTCTACAACTGTATAATCTTTGAGTTTTATGGTTATATATTATCTGTTAACTGCAAATATCAGTTAAAACCAGGACTGTATTTATTTTGAATTTTAAAAATATTGGATGCTTTCCAGTATGTTTATTTTCTATCAGTACATATGTATAATTTCCCTGAGACGAAATTTACAACCTGGATCCTGAGCTATGACAGTGATGTGTTAAGTATATGGTGATTATAAAATTAGCAATATCTGTTGCGTAAAGTGGATTTGGTAGCATATCACAATAAATATGTGAATTCCCTTGGTTATTTGGGGAATTGCATAAGAAAAATGAAAAATCTACTCTCATTTAACTAAATCTTGAAAAATGTTGAAAAAATAAACCAAATATGATGAAATAATTAAGATAACCAAGAGTTCTCCAGGCAGTTATTGCATATGAAAATTTCTCCAAATTTGTATTCTAGTCATGTTACAGCTCTGATTTTTTACTAGCTAGCTGAGTTAAAGCAGCAAATCATTTAACAATTTCAAGTTGCAATTTCTTTATTGACAAAATAGGGATACTAATACTGACTACATACAGATGTTATAAAGCTTAAATTGGACAGTGTGAAAGCCCATCACAAATTGCTGGATGAATGTTACTCATTAAAATGTATATGATAATAGTTTGTCCAATATGAAACACCATTTATCCACAAGATATTTTAACTGAAATGCAGCATACAGATTTTTTCTATAATAGCATTATTGGTGTATATGTTGGAAGTTTGCTTATTCAGCAAATACTATGCCTCATAAGCACATATTTGTTATGGGGCTGTAAAAAGATACAAGTAATTCTTACATATTTCTATTATTATCTATATTAATTGTGATAGGCAGAATGTACCTAACATAGCTGAGGTCTGCGTAAATGCTCTTTTCAGCAGGGAAACTGCCTGGAATTTGGTGAACTACAAAACATGAAAAAAATGCTAAGTTAGCTGAGGACTTCTCAAAAGGAGGGTTATACTTTTTGTACGTTTATTTGTTATTCAGGTAACTATTTCCTCCTCTTAAAAGATTATTAGCTTGATTTCATTTTGTTGTTGTCACTAATAATTCTCCCAGTAAGCAAGTGTCTCAATTGCTCTCTTCAATATTCTTCCTTCTTCAGGAAACTTGGAGATTGCTGTTGAAAGAGTTGGTTTTCCTTTGTCTAATTACCAGTAGAAGAATGGTAGAACTTAGTTCCATTCAGAAGTAACCAGGTGAAGAAACAATATAAAAGATGTATAGAGAAGGAGGTAAAAAAATTAATCATATTTCTACATTGACTGTGGGTCAGTCCTCTGTGACACACAGTCAACACAGAAATATGAGCAGTTTTCCCCATTGTGTTTGCTTTTTTTTCAAATTTTTAAAATCCATCTTTATTACTTGTGTAGGAAGTTTGTATGTGGAACACATTGAATGAAAGACTGGATTCAAAAAATGATTTAGAAACTAGATGTAGAAACCTGATCAAGATATAACTTTAAATCTTTGTTCTGCAACAATCAAATGGGAGGAAATAAAATTTGCTATTAAGTGTGTTTGGAGTATTAATCAAAATATTCTTTACTCAATTTTTTATATATGCCTTCAGCATTTTATCAAAACAGCACATGCTAAGGAGAATAATAATCTTTATGTCTGTATATTGATAGAGTATTTTAAAATCATCTTCTGAAATTTGACCTCTTACCAGCATTTGATTTTATTTCTTCCTTCACGAAACACTCTCTTTCATTACCATCCATGACACCATACTTTTCCTATTTTTCCTCTGCTTCATAAGTCAATGATCTCAGTCTCAAAAGAGTCATTATCTTCAATCTAGGCAATAAATGGAATTTCCTGGGGCTCTTTCTTTCATTCTTCTCATTTTGTTCTCTCCTCTGAGGTGATTTCATCTTTCTCTATATTATTATTTATCATCCATATAATAATTCAACTTATCTAATAATAATAAAATTTAAAAAAAAATAATAATTCAACTCATCAATGTATATAACCAGACCAGGTCTCTTTCTTCGGAGCCTCGTGTGTGTGTGTGTGTGTGTGTGTGTGTGTGTGTGTGTGTGTGTGTATATATATATATATCCCAAACTTCAAATACCCTTGAATATTTATATCTCATATTAAATTTGATATGCCTAAGAGTAAACTGATATTACAAATAGCTTTCTCCTAAAACGAAGTAAATAAAAAGGCAATAATCCAGTATCATTCCTTTCTTTTAATCTGACATGTCATGTCTTGATAAGTTTCACCATATTCCATCTGGGCATACAAGTCCAAAGCTTAGGAATTTTCATCAGCGCTGGCTACTGGCTTCTCTCTCCTCACATACTTATTTATCATCAAATTCTAAACATTTATGTGTTCAATACATGCCTTGTTTGTCTACTTCTCTGCCACTAGCACCCTAGTTCAAGCTACTATTTTCTCCCATCTAGACTATTGCAACCATCCCCTGGTTAAATCTCCTAGAGTCCACTCTGGCTCCTTTTAGATCTGCTCTTCAGAGTGTAACTCCGTCTCAGGACACATTTCTGACACTGCCATGCCCCCACCAAATTTATTGAAATTACTTAATTGATTTCCCCTTGTTTTTAGAAAAAAGTCTAAAGTACTTAGAGTACAGAACACTTGCCTGGCTCCCAGTCTCCTTGTGCCACTTTCTATTGCTGTTTCGGTGTCTCAGGTTTGCTTTCATTTTCTTCTGCCACAGGGAGCTTATACATGCTGCACTTTGTCTTGTGCATTCTCACCAACCTCTCCCACGCTGACTATTTTTTATGAATTCCCTCAATACTGGCTCAAATACATTTTCATAGGAAAGCTTGCTGTGGTGCTCCAGTGTGTTTAGGTTCTCTAGTTAAAAACTGTCATATGCAGTGGTCCCTTCCTTTGTAACACTCTTCTCAGTCTCATTTTGTGTGTCTTTTTTATTTGGTGTGATTATCTGAATAATGTCTGTCTCTTTCTGTAGACACTAGACTTTCCCTCCTTACTCACCTGCAGTGCCCAGAGCATGGGAGCCTAAATAAGTATTTTGTTCATACTTCTGTTAATGTAAAGAGCTCCACAATATCTAGGCTTTATAATAATATCGTTATTTTATGCCAACATATCTTTATCATTGTCCATATTCACTTTTTAAATTTACATCAAGTTGATTGGGAAGTTATTTTATGAAGTATTTTTAGTAATAATGATAGTGAATTTATATAGCACTTCTTTGGAGAAGCAATCATGCACTTCAAACAAAAATGATTTATGTGTGTGATTTTTTTCTGAATCTTTAATTCACCTTTCTTTAAAATAAAGCATTAAAAGCAAAAGTACCTTGACTTGTATGATACCTATAATGTTAAATGGAAATAAAATACCATTACACTGCCTTGTTCTTTAGGGTCTATCGGAGCATGAAATCAATATCACCATTAGCTCAAGTACAATCAAATATTCTTTCCAATTTCTGTCACTTGCTGTCACCTGCATTTTGAATTTCATGACACTTTTTTCACACACTCTCTTTCCGCACATCTCTGAAAAATTCGCTCAACCATCTAGATTTATCAAAGGGTCATCATTGAGCTGAATGGGATTAAAATTTGAATATGAGATATAATTCATGTAATGTGAACATGATTGTCTCGCTTTCCTTTTAGACTCTGTATATGCTGTTCTCATAGGAAAACAGGGTAGTGCAATAAAAAAATTCAAGTTTGTGCAACAGAATTCAGTAGTGTAATGATTTAGTTATTGACAGCAGGGTGTGACACGCTTGGAGAAGCTAGTCACTAAAATATACCAACCTGCTGGAATGAGGCAAACATGAAGCATGATAAAACATTATGCAGCCTGGTTTTAAAAGCTCAAAGGATTTGTAAAAGAAAGAGCTTAGGAACAAATTAGTAAGCTGAAATAGTGAGTTGAGATGAGAAAAATGAAAGGAAATTTAAATCACAGAATAATAGATAGGAATCATTATTTCTCAAAGAGAAGGTACTTAAAATAACCAAAAGAATGAAGAGGGAAACATTAAAAAATAATAATAACAACCTCTTAAACTCTGAGAAAAAGCCAACATTCTTAGATTGAAAGGGTCTACAAAGCACTGAATAGAATAAATTTAAAAGAGGTTCACCTCTGGACATAGATTGGAGCAAATTTTAGAGTATTAAGTATTAAACATTCCCTTCTAACCCCTTCCAGTGAAGGGGTTCTGTTCTAGGAAGCTAACAATAGGTTGTCTTTCTAATATTCATCTGCTCAGACTTAGTCTTTCATTTTATACTATGTGTTATACTAATAAGCAGGTTAAGTTTTCCAAAATTTTAACACAAAACTTAGACACACATTTTCTCTCTATCCTAGAGTTACCTCTCCAAAATAAGATGAGAATATATATATATATATATATATATTTATTTATTTATTCAATCCTTACCCTATTGGAAGGGTTTAGGAGTGAATGTTTTATGTGTATATATATATATATATATATAATATATATATATCTCATATATATATCATAAGATATGAGATATATATATGAAAATTAGATTGACATCATACATCTCATTGTTAATACTAGATGAAACATAGCAAAATTTCTGAGAAAAAATGTTACCCCTCACTTTTTCTAAAGGACATATTTTAACAAAATGAAAAAACAAAACCAGTTCCCTGTGTGGTATAAGTATAGAAGAAGTAATTCTGTATAAACCCTCTTAAGTTTCATTTAAAAATAACTATTCTAAAGCATACTTTTATTTATTATATTAACAAATTGAAATTTAATAGCAATCTTAAAGTAAAATACCAGAAGATCTAAATAATAAGGTGGTTTCTGGAGCTGAGCGCGGTTTAGAACATTTGAGAAGAAGGAGAATACAGGTAAACGAGCACCAATATTCTCATCTTATTTTGGGGAGGTAACTCTAGGATAGAGAGAAAATGTGGGTCTAAGTTTTGTGTTAAAATTTGGAAAACTTAATCTGCTTATTAGTATAACACATAGTATAAAATGAAAGACTAAGTCTGAGCAGATGAATATTAGAATGACAACCTATTGTTAGCTTCCTAGAACAGTGAAAACCATCACTGTTGTTTCCAAAGACATGTTAAACACAACAAAAATTTTTTACATAGGAAGTTTGGGAAGGGAAAGGAGAGGGATTGTGAGAGAGAGAGTGTCTGTGTGTGTGTGTGTGTGTGTGTGTGTGTGTGTGTGGAATAGACAACAGTTAACTATCATCCAAAATAGAACTCAAGGCAAAAACCAAATTGCTACAATGAGGGATATTTCATATCAACTTTCTACACTGAAGACACTTAATTATAAGGTCATTTGTAGTAAATTATCTTTTAAGAAAAATGAGATTAGATCATTAATTGAACATATTTTAAAAAATAAATTTCAAACTGAATAAATCCTAAACATTTAAAAAATCATTAAGACTACAGAACTGGGAGTAGGCCTCAGGACTTTTAGAGCCTTCTTAAATATGAAATACCAATGCAAAATGAAAAAATATTATTTTCATTGCATCATTTTTGAAAATGATAGGATAAAATACTCCATAAATATCAAAGGACATAGAAGTATGTGAGAAGATAGTTGTAATACTTACAAGAAAAAATTAATATCTGAATGTATAAAATACTGCTGTTGATTTATAAGAAATAAAAAAATATAGAAAAACTGGCAATGTAAACAAAGGTGTAAAACTTAAGACTATATAAAAAGAATATACAATATGTAAAGATTCTTGAATTTACTAGTAATCAGGAAAACAAAAATTTAAAAAACAATATGTCAGGTGATAACATTAGAAAATGTTAAAAAGATGCATCAGATCAAATGTGGGTTAGGTGGAAGGTAAATATATTTTCATATACTGTCAAGTGGGATTATAAATAAGTAAAGATTTCAAATGATAATCTGGCATGTGAACATATAATTTAATCAATCATTCATCAAAATAATGGGAATATCTATTATACAGGAATGGTATGCCAAGTATGGCATAGCCACACTGTGGAGTACTAAGCAGGTATAAAAAGAAAAATGATAGATCTTTGTGTACTGATATGAAGAGCTCTAAGATGTTAAATAAAAAACAATCAAAGGTGGATTGACATCTACAGTGTGACATCATCAGTGAAAAACACAGTAACACACATAAACGTATTTTCTATGGGTACTATGTAGACATGTAAAACATTTTTTTTAAATCTGGGTTGATACACAGAAAAAATACATTAATGTTTGTATTAATATCTATAGAAGAGACTAAATTGGAATAAAGTAGTTATTAAAAAGAAAATTTACTATTTCCATATTGGTTAAATACTTCAATATTAGGGTACATTAGTAAACTATCTTATATAATTAAAAATTAAAGCAAAATGGGCAAGATTAAAAAAGGCAAAAAAATAAGTAAAATTTAGGGGGTTGAGTCATCAGTGAGGTTTGAGTCGCTCTAACTCTAAGGAGAAACAATGTCCCTAATCCTTGCAGTTAAGAGTAAAAGGCATTGACATTATAGAAAATTTAACTATGTTTAGACTTGAGAAAGAAAGGGTTGTATACAGCTAGGCAAAGAAGAAATTTGCTGTTAGCACTTTTACATACAATTCTAAGTACACATATATTTTCAAGACATTGTGTCCTCACTTTTGTTACTCTTGACATCAGTTACTGTTATTATAGTCTTATAGGTGGTATTGAGTAAAAGAGGTGTTTCGACATTCAGAATTTCAGATGCAGAATAGATGCATAAGAAAACTCTAACATGGCCTCAATATGGAGCATTGTGATTTAGAAGTAAAATTTCCAATATGAAGGTCAGTGTTTTTTTTTTCATTGATACACGAAACTATGAACAACCATGCTTATACAAGCCATTTTGTTTGGATGTAGAATAATTGTTTTATCTTTGAGAGCAGAGACTTATTTTGAACAAAGTGTTTTCCAAAAGATTGAATATGACATACAAAACCTATCTTACACCTCTCAAAAAATGCTAAAACTAAATGGGAGGGTGCACATGAAAATGCATCCTAATATTAACTATTTGAGCATTCAATGATTTATTTGTTCAACAAATATTTGCAAAGTACCATGCACTGGATTATAGGTTCATGATACTGATTATAGGTTCATGTGCTATGGGTGAAAAGGGATGATTTAAGTAACAACCTTTGTCCTTTTGATATTTGCAACTTAATTACTTAATAAAATATGTTCTCAGGTAGACTGTAATATGATACCATGTACAACAGAAATATGATAGAAATATTTGTCTGGCTTGGTGGTGTCTTTCTTTGAGGAGGTATTTATAAGCAAAGTTTTGAAGAATGAATAGGATGCAGAGAAAAATATCAGAAGTAGAGACTCCCAATCACAAATGCTCCCCTATTTTTATACATATTGGTTTCCTACTCTTTTCTAATTTCATAGTTTTGATCATATTGTTTTCTGTCCTTGAAATGATTATCCCTTCACCTCGATGTCAACTCCTGTCTGGCAGTACTATCCAGCCACTCAGAGCCAAGTCACATGGAAATTCTTTATTATGACATCTCAGAATCGTGATCTTCCCTAACCCCATCCCATTCCTTCTTTAAACAGTTTGTACTTGATATATAACCTGCACCCGTGTCACATTCTTTTTGGCTGAACATCTCTTTAAAAGCAAGGATTATGCTTAGTTATTCCTTAGTGACATAAACAAATCCTTGCCCAGTTCTTTGCACAAGTTTGGGACTAAAAATATTTGCTGGATTAATTTTTCCTAACTTAAAGACTTATACTTTGAACATGATTAGACCCAGTATGAGACATTCATGTGTAGTGATACAAGGTACAAGTGTGTTTTGTGGGGGTGTCAAGTAAGATGGGCTCACTGTGTATGTATATAGACATAGGTTTTAGCAAGTGCATAAAGAAGGGATGTTATGCCAATTAGAAATAAAAAGTAAGATGTTGAGGGCTCTCTTATCTAAAATAGTCAGTGTTCTTTGTGTACTTTACTAAGGGTTGGGAAAGACAAGATACAGGATAGTGAAAATGCCTGTTAATGGAACATTACTTTCATTCCACAGTGTCATGGTAGTCATGGCGTGTTTTAAAAGCCATCAGTTTTCCTATTGCCATCCCCATTTAATACAGTTTAATCAGGAACTGGACTGAGTAGCTCATACTAGTCTGACTATTTTTATTCTGTAAATTATGTAAAGTCTTTGGTTTAATAATCATTGAATACTCATTTGCCCTACTTTGGGGTAAAATATTTTTAAGGAACTTCTATTCTTCAGAGTTAAGTGACAATTTATTCAGGTTTCTCAAATATATAGTTAATGTTTTATTATTTTATTTCTAATTTTGGAAAGGTAACCACTCAATAAAATTTTGTATTACCTCGAGGTAAAATTATTCAATGTAATCATTCCCTGAGTAGAAAATACCATCAGGACAAAATACACTTCTATTAAAATGTGAGTGGTATAATCAAAGACATAAAATCATTCATTAATGCAAGGGCTACATCTTATCAAAATTTTAAAAATTCCCAAACAAAAATTTCCATGAAGCACATAAAGTATCTGAAATATACAAGGGCTATATTAGGAACAAAAGCATGGACTTTATTCTCACTCACTAAAGAACTATCTAGATAATTTGTTCTTCATAAACCTTTTAAACACCAAGAAAAAACACTCATGGCATTTTCTCTTCAAAGGAGTCTTAGGAAAGTAGGCTCTGAATCAATTTCTTTTTGAAAGTTGAGCTAAATAAATTCTATTCTAAACTTCAGCTGTGCTGTGGGTGAAAAGGAAAAGCTGTTATCTGAAATGAGGTCAAGTTCATAGCTGGCCCATAGGCAACTGTTCTCAAGTATTTGAGAATTTTATTCCTGCACCTGCAATATGATAGTGCCAGAATTGCTAACTCGCCTGCCCAGCTGTCCTGTCTATCAGATGCCTAGAGTCTGCTTGTTATTATAGCACATCTAAAAGGTAGCCCAAGACAATGAAGAGAAGGCATTACCTATTTGATCTTGATTCACATCATTGTTTGCCCACTGGTGCAATGTACTATATTTAGATAGCTATGGTATGTAAAAGGATGGATCTGGATCATATAATGCAGCATAACTTATGATCAAATGGCTTGGTAATGCAATCCACATTAATCAGCACTTAGCAGTACTTAAGAAGGGTATATACTGTCTTTGACAATTTTTTGTGGTTTCTGATAAATAAATTTAGGAGACACTAAATGACTAAATCATTCATCTTGTGAAAACCAAATATGTTTCATTATTCAAATTATGATTAAAGAATTATAGAAATATCAGAGTCGTAGCAGTATCTGAATATGTCTGCATCATGAACATTCATAGGGTCTACTTGTCCAGGATGAATGACCAGTGTATGTTAGTGACCCCTGCTGTCCTAAAAGGGACATGATATTCTATGAGAAAAAGTCTCCTTTGGGTACTTGTGATGAAAATTCATTAGTCAATCTGTGGCTGAATTAATCATTCACCCTCTAAGACCTACCACTTATCTAATTGTTTCTAAGCTGACCTCTGTGCCTAGTCCTAGACCTTGAGGTTATTTAGATCTCAATGTACTTGAACCTTCTTTTGCATCTGACTTTATTGTCCTCTCCTTATCAAAACTGCCTTCTTTTGGTGTCAGAGACATAGCATCATCCTGGTTGATTTCCTACTTTATTGACTGCCCTGTTCTTTCTCCTCCACTATTTTTTCCCTCTTTCTCCAAGAAGTGGGGGGCATGCAAGAAGGGAGTACATTCTTCAAGGTTCTGTAATATCCTTCCTCTTTCATTTTTACTTCTTTCCTGATGGTGTCTCTTATAAAATTGTTTAAAAAGTCCAAACCCTTCCATCCTTCATGCCCATGTGTGTCAAATGGTGGTTTCCTTGTATTGTTTTCTCCAGAAATTGCAAAGAATGCTATTTTGATGCGTAATTACTCACACATCTGAATTTAGTTAAGTGGAGATTGTTCAGCACTATTTTTGTCTCTTTTTTTTCTCATCCTTAATGACTCCAATATATGAGATACTGGAATTTAAGAAGCTTCATTTTTCTCGGATACATGTTCCAAAAAATGTGTTTCCTGTGACCTAAGAAATGCCCTCTCTGTTTCTTCTGAGCTCAGCTTTCACTGTTCATTTTGGCTACATTCTCTCTGTGTCTGTACTTCACTGAGCCACACTGCAGGGGTGGTGATGACAGGGGAGCAGAGAAGAGAAAGAGAAAAATGCTGTTGTAATAAGAGTGAAGTTAGTGGTATAAAGTGAGAGTACAAATCTGCACCTTGTGATAGCAAAACTATTTCCTGTTTCTACACTGAATAAAAACATTTTTTTTCACTGTATATAATTCTAGCTTTCAGAAAAAGAGGCTGCCCAGTTTGAACACTGCTTGAAAACTTATTTTTCCCTGTGCATAAATTTCTGGGCCTCTAACGCTTCCTGTGCAGCATTTTTAAGCATATTCTCTTCATTCCCCACTTAGAAGTGAAGGTTTTGCTGTTAGCCAGTTTATTTCCTACACATTTAGGACATATGGACACAAAATAAGTTCACAATAACTGTGCATAGAATGAATGACCAACAATAAATAAATCAATAATTATTCCCCTTCTGGCTAATACTAAGTAAGCCCCAAATTTTGCTAATTTCACGTATTCATGGAACTGTGTATGGACTTTGTACACTCTGTTGAAATTAGTACAAGTAGAAAGAAATGTTGTGGTTTGTTTTATTCATTAGAGAGAAATAAGAAACATAATGCGAATGGAGCTTGTTAAACAGAAATTGCCAGAGCAGCAGTTAATGGCCTACTTTGCCTCCCATGGAATGTCATATCACTGTATTATTTTACTTTGGGTTTACGAAAAACAGTCATGTAAATAGTTCAGAGTGGTAGAATGAATGATTATTTAGTCAGTCTATCTTGGACAAAAGATTCCAAGAATAGTCTTTTGATAATTGCATGCACACATGCATGTACATGCACGCACACAGACACACAATACCTTCCCAAGATTTCTGCTAAAAATAGATGAGCAAAGAGCTTTTGTATAAAGCACAGTGGATTTATTTATTTCCAAATCTCTCTCTTCAGTGTCAACATGCTTCATCAATCCTGCTAAGTCTTTTTCTCTAGAGAAGACCTGTCAATATATACCTTAATGAATTGATATCATGTCAATAATTAGGCTTCTGGGACTTCTTTTTTCATCTGAAAGAATATGAAGATATTTTGTAGCTGACTTGAATGGTCAGATTTCTCCCCATTCATCAACTATCTCACAAAACATTTATTTTTATTAAATTTCAGATGATCAAATAAAATTTTAAATATACCCTGATTTATATAACTACTGAAATATCTAAGACTTTAATCTTATTTCAAGAGAGGCTTGATTTAAAATGGCCTTAGAGTGTTAGTTTAATTAACATTCATGAATTTGGAAAGTTTGGAAACAATATATTCCTTAAGGCAATTCAGCACTAAAATCACAAGTTATTACTTGAGCAGGAGAAAACATATTCAAAGAATCTTTAATTACGTTTGAAGAACAACACGGTCTCCTGTCAGACCGTGGGCAGTCTTTCATGCTCTGAACAGGGGACAATGATTCTCCCACTCTTCTCCATACTCAGTGTTTTGGTGTTCTTCCTTGCAGTTGGAACTATCTTCTTTATACAAATATATATCACATTGGAATTGATGGTGGTAATCTTTTTTTGGAAAAGATGCCAGCAGAGATTAACTTCTGAAGTCCACATAGTCAAAGTCAGGTAGTCTCTGTAACTCACTGGAAAAAAAGAATAGAACCAGGATATTCATCATAAGTGACAATAATTTACAATATTTCTGACGGTGTCAAAACATTCAGAGATTGACTGGAATCATGGTTTAATGTTGTAGGCAAGCGGTGGTGCCAAGTTGCTTAATTCTCACTTATCTATCATTATAACGCCACTGTGGAAATATGTGCTGTGTTACAGCCCATAACATTATGTTTAAAACCGACATTGATCTACTTATATTCTGTCAAAAATGTGCAGAGCATGAATAAAGAAAAAAAAAATTGTAAATAAGCAACCACTTATTTACTTAAAGGGCACCACTTCTTTAAATAAATAAGAAGATATTTCTGGTTCCTAATATTCTGATTCATTAAATTGTTAAGTACCTGAATCTTAGATTTTTCACTGTTTAAATATATTAATATGATGAGAAGACATCTCATTCTTTTTTCCCCAAGCATTCCAAGTTGACTTTGATGAAATTAGCAATTTTCAGTAAAAAGACTTTAGGAACCAATTACTTGAGTCTGTTTTTTTAGCATGTTGGTATTCAGAAAAGTAAAATTTGTTACACTTTTGTTTGATAAATGGCAGGTAAGTGCTTGTTTCTCCAATGAGTTATTAATTGTAAAGTCCATAATAGCTATTAATTTAGAAGCACAAAACACTTAAGAAACAATTCAGATAAATAAAACAATTTTATTTTTTTTTTTTGAGACAGAGTTTGGCTCTTCTTGCCTAGGCTGGAGTGCAATGGCGCAATCTAGGCTCACTGCAACCTCCGCCTCTTGCGTTCAAGCAATTCTCCTGCCTCAGCCTCCCGAGTAGCTGTGATTACAGGTGCCTGCCACCATGCCTGGCTAATTTTCTGTATTTTTAGTAGAGATGGGGTTTCACCACGTTGGCCAGGCTGGTCTCGAACTCCTGACCTCAAGTGATCCGCTCATCTCAGCCTCCCAAAGTGCTGGGATTATAGGTGTGAGCCACCGCGCCCAGCCGATAAATAAAATAATTTTAAAAGTACATCTATAAAAACTAGAATTATGAATTTCTAAAAAGATAATTTTTTTGATCTCCTGAGACAAAATGACTAGCAAAGCTGCTGACTTTGAATAGAGTGCTTTGAGGCAGCAAGTCTTGAAGGCCATTGAAAAAGCTGTGGCCCAGGCACTGCCTTAAAAGCCTTTAGAGTATGCTAACCTGATAGAATTACAGGTGTCTGCAACCTCCACGGATGCTGGTTGGAGACTATAGTAACAAAAAATTGCCACTTGGGTGTGCCAGCCTCTGAGTTTTGACGATACAGTTGCCTGAGGCAGCTACCAGATATATCTCTTTTAAATGGCGACTCCTTGATTATTTGGGCACTGGTAGAGACGATCTGATGGCTGGAGCACCACCTGTACTTCTAATCACAACCCCATCAATAAAATTGGATAGGCTCAACAGAGCTCAATTATTAAATGGAAATGGTACATTCACAATGGGGCCTGACTGGGACCCCCAAGAGACCAGTAGGTTTCATGAAGGCACAAAGAATTATAATTGTTGATGACACAGAATGGTTTACTAACGGCTCTACAAAACTAAAAGCAGACTTGGTCGTTTGGACTGGTGCCACCATCTGGCCAGTGAATGCCATCTTTTGAATGAGATCAAATACAGATGTTGTGTCCACTGAACCAAACTACATGCAACTACATGAGTCACATGGTGATGACCGTGCATGCCGCCCCATCACCATATTTTACTACATTTTCAGCGACTTAGTAATGAGTCTCACTGGATCCAGACAGGTTGGTAACCCTTGCACAGTGAACCTGCTTCACAGTTACAACTAAACCATACTCAGATAATTAATATAAAATTAAATGACAGTTTTGAAACATACACACACACACATTTATGATGTGGTGATTGTGTCTCCAGAATCCTCCATTTTACTCATTGCATTGTGTAGGAGCCATTTATTTTGATAATTGACCCAAATCCAGTTGCTGGGCTGACACTGGTTCACCTAAGCCAATCAGATAATAGACAACCTCATTGATTGGTTCAGGAGATGGGCTTATCACCTATGTTGACCCAATCAGAATAAAGCCCAGGAACTTCATTCAATAGTGGTGGTGGTGGTGGGTGGTGCTTTCATCTTATTTTTTAAAATCCATGTTGTAGATAAAAAAATAAAACTGTCTTAAGCTCTTTGCTTTCTTAAGAGAAGCCAGCTTGAATAGAAAGCTGATAAACAGAAAATAGCAAAACATATAAAACTGCCAAGAAATGAATCTGGTGCCTGATCAAAGCATGCTTAGAGCTTAGCCTGCCACTAGACTACTAAGTCTTCTTAATTACTAAAACCAGGCTCAGCTGAATTTTTTTGCTACTGTAAGTATCTTAAATTATAAAATAAGTGAAAGTTCATAAAATATTCCCTGGCTTATCACATAAATCTTTAGCTATTACACAGCTGGGAATTGTTTTCTTTTTACTGTTGGTTTTCATCCAAGTATAGTCAATGTTAGACAGCCTTCCAATAATATACAATGCTCCATTCTTAGAGTGCTTCATTTGAAGAATTTTTGATACAGCAGTAGCTTAATTTATGTCAAATTAGTAAGAACTCGATATGAGCCATCCAATCAAGAAGAGTTCTGAAGAGACAAAACTTAAAACTCTAGAAGAAAAGTGATTTTACATAGGCATAGGTCAATAATAGTAATAAAAGCCACATATTACATGCCAAGAGATTTACATGTAATAGATTATGACAAATCTTTATATCAGCTTGGTGAGGGCTGCCTTATTATCTTCATTTAATAGCTGAACAAATTGAGACTCAGGATATTTTGATAATGGATCAGTTTCATCCAGCTAATAAGCAGACTCTTGCAAAGTCCAAATTCCTTTGAAAAGAAAAGCTATGCATTTAATCCACCTTAAGGCTTCTCTTTCACAAATTTACTTTCAGAAACGTTTACTTAGGGCCTGCTATATTCAAAGAGTGAGAGTTACATGAAATCATGAAATATATTACCTGAGAGCCAGGAACAATCTATCTGTAGAGAGAAAATGGACTACATTAAAAAATGAAAATAAATACAAATAATTGAATTGAGGGCAAAAAGTAAAGGATAAAAAAAGGAAAAAAAAACCCTGATCATTAATATAGAATGAATTCTAATTCTGAAATCATAAGTTTCAGAGACAGAGTTTTATTTGAGCTCAATCTAAAAGGAAGAGAAGATTGCTGTAGAGATAGAGGGATGAAGAGGTCATTCTTGGCTGCAGAACCTTTGTGAGTCAATGCATGAAGGCAGTCAAACTTAGAGCGAATAGAAAGCAGGCCCATGAAAGCCTGACCTGGTGATAAATATGTGGTAACAACAGAAGCTAGAAAAAAGAAATGTAACAATATTTTCTCAGTCCAGAGATTGCAAACTTAAGGTCCATGGCCTGTACTTAGTCTGTATAGCTGCTTAATGTAAGCCAAATAATGTTTTTAAAATATTTGAATGGTTGCAATTTTGGTCCATGATCCTCAGCGCTCTTTGTCTCTATCCCCGCCTCTTGTCTGACGCTAAGCTGCTTCACTCATCCACAGTGTACCTTGACTGGGACCAAACAGGCACTTTTACATCTATAGTGAAGGCTCTGAAAATCCTTCTGTAAAATGGGTATGGAGGACATGGACTTGACATGATCTCAACTGCTTTTACATAGATAACTCAAGCAGCAGTGTAGAGATAGGTCGGGCTACTAAAAAATTGTCATGAAGGAGGCTAGTTAGGAGGCCAGTATAATAATTTGTTAAAAAAATATAACAAAGCTATGATCTGGACTAGTGACATCAGGAATGAAAAAAGACTGATTTGAGAAATATGCAAAGTAGACTGAATGGGACTTTCTAACTATTAATATATTAAGGAAACAAACAAAATAAAGGGCCCTCATTGAGGGGACGCCGAAAAGGAAAATGGGATTCACACATACAACCACGAAAAACAATTTTTGATTTATGAGTGAGAATATCTCTGGTGGGTAGCATGGATTCTATCAATGGCTCTTAATTTTGGAAAATGAACTGAATCTTTTAATAAATATAATGGGGTGCTCAGTGAAAACTGGGACTTAAAATGGGCATTTTGAAAGAAATGAGCACTTTCTGCCTCTTGGAGTCAGGCTTATAAACATAAAATACATAGCTATATGTAAATATATAGAAGAAAGCTATGTATTTTACATTTAGGGCAAACCACTCTTAGCATTATATAATGTATTTAATGTGACCATATAAGACAAAAATGCCACTATTTGATGGAAGTCTTCATTCAAGATTTGAGTCATAGATATAATGCAAATGTAGTTGCTTCAGATTAAACTATGGTGCCTTCACCTGTATGAATATGAATTTGTTGTTTCCTTAATAGAATTATGCACCATAAGCATAGAAAAACCCTTTTCCTCTTCCACATATGGATTTAGACCATTTTTAACTTGAAAATTATGTTTTCCTCTTTATATATGTGGCTGTGAATGCTCATCTAAGCATTTGGTTACAGGAGATTAAGAGTGGAGACCATGTAGTAATAGAGATTTTGTGCAAGCTAGAGTATCTTTTCATCTCTTGCCAATATAAAGAATGGAAAACAACTGTCCTGAGCTTGGAACAGCACTGCTTGGACTTGATTGTTGCTGTGGGACACGGGGTGTTGAGACTTAATAATCCATACTCTTGGAAACATATGGTCAACTAATCTGATTATCTTTATCGCATGGACCACAAGACTTCAATGCTTTTTATGTGAGTGGGTAGCATTTTCCTTGAAGATAAGGAATGTTTCCAATGTCAAATCCAGGAAAAAGGTCAGTTGAGTAATAGAAAATAAAGTAACTTTTAGACAAATAAGGAAAAATACTTCTTTTCTTTCTGTGCCTTTGGGCAAACTGTGCCTGAGATGAACAGCATAGACATATTTTGAGTAGTTCTGAGAGTGGAATATGATTTTAGTAGATTTTGGTACCAGTGCTTTCAGATATATATTTACCCGATTTTTCTATGGCATGTGGCCTGCATGTGCCATTCCCTGCTGAGGAAATGGAGAACTGCAGTTCTGCTCCCAGCAATTTTTCTCTCTGGGAATGAATCAAAATGTAAATGAGGACTCTCGCTTGGGCTAAGCTCTAGCCTTCTATATTAGCTGGAACCATCAGATAATCTTTCAGAAATTTAAACTTTGGAACAAAAAGCGACCATAACTAGGAGCAGTTAGAATAGAGTCACATCCCTTGCAACCCAGATAAAAGGCATCTGAACTGTGGCTTTAGAGAGCCCTGAGGCTACTTTTCCTTCTTCTTCATCATAAAACTCTTTCTTAACTCTGGAAATGTCATTGGTATCTTTTTTATCAATCTGTTCGAATTTACAAGGAACATAGCTGATTACCATAGCTTTCAACCCAATTAACTTTATCATAGCATGCAGTGTAGTGTTTAATCTGATGGAAGGATTTAGTTGCATGTTTTGTTTGCTAAGCAAATCCTACATGGTGTATGTGGGATTTGGGGAAATACACCCATTTTTATCTATTTACTTTTAGTATCCTTTTTTTTTTTTTTAGACAGAATCTCGCTCTGTCTCCCAGGCTGGAATGCAGTGGTGCAATCTTGGTTCACTGCAACCTCTGCATCCTGGGTTCAAGCAATTCTCCTGCCTCAGCCTCCCGAGTAGCTGGGATTATAGGCACCCACTACCACACGCAGCTGATTTTTGTATTTTTAGTAGAGACGGGGTTTTGCCACGTTGGCCAGGCTGGTCTCAAACTCCCAACCTCAGATGATCCACCTGCCTTGGCCTCCCGAAGTGCTGGGATTCCAGGCGTGAGCCACCGCACCTGGCCTAGTATCCCTTTTTTAAAAGAGTAACCTTCTCATCTGATTTCTAGATCACTTCCTGATTCGTGAAACACTTCCATTCGTCTAATACACAAAAATATTTACTAATAATTCACCTCATACTGTCTCAGGATGGGCTGGGTTAAGCTTTAATAATTGATAACCTGAAAATCTGAATTACTTTTAAAAACAAAAACTGATGTCACACTTACTCTACATTTTTTTTTCATGGGTTAGCTATTGTTCTTATATGTTTCCTTAATCTAGATTATAGACTAACAGAGCTTCCTCTGTGTGAAATGTTGCCAATCATTCTGGAAAAGGAGAAAATAGAGCAAAGTCAAGATGTATGGACACATAACTTCCGTCCTGAAGTTGTGTATCACTTATGCCTACATTTCTTTGACCAAAGTGGAGCAGAGGGCTATGACCTCACACAAAAGAGCACTGAACACTACTGAAGAGTCCCTCAGTCTATCCCATTTATTGTATGCCAGATACAGTAGTAGGCATTTATTTTCTATACATTTCTTTATCTAATGTGTATTTAACTTCTTTTTATGACCGGGGAGCCTGAGACTTAGATCAAGTACTTTTCCATAATCCAAAGAGCTAGCATATGACAGAGCTGAGATCTGAGCAACATTCTGCTTGACTATACAACTCACTTGATTTTTTCTTTCCTTCCTTCTCCAATTAATCACCAAGTATTTCTTCTGTACTACTATGTAGCTTATGATTTCATCCACTTCTTAATTTCCATTGCAATGAAAATAGTCTGGGAAACTCATGTATTCTTTTTAACCTAGATTATTTCAGTGCCCCACTCACAATGTTTTAATTGCCTCTCAACTTTCTTCCCTGCAGTTACCCTTATTCAGAAAGAAAAAAAATATCCAAAACACAAGTCTGCAAATGGAACCTTCTTTCTTAAAAATTTTCAATGACTTCTCGGCTGGGCATGGTGGCTCATGCCTGTAATTCCAGCACTTTGGGAGGCCAAGGCGGGCGGATCACGAAGTCAGGAGATCGAGACCATCCTGGCTAACACGGTGAAACCCCGTCTCTACTAAAAACACAAAAAATTAGCTGGGCGTGGTGGTGGGCGCCTGTAGTCCCAGCTACTCGGGAGGCTAAGGCAGGAGAATGGCATGAACCCGGGAGGCAGAGCTTGCAGTGAGCCGAGATCGAGCCACTGCACTCCAGCCTGGGCGACAGAGCGAGACTCCGTCCCAAAAAAAAAAAAAAATTTCAATGACTTCTCACTACCTTGTCACAGTTTTTGAAATGTTTGATGACTAAATAAAAAGTAGTTGATAAAGATCCTTCAAGAATTTGTTTATATCTTCCCAAGCAAATCATATACATATGCAACTGCTTAAGAAGCATTTTCAATCAAGAATAAAGAGATAACAAATAAACCAATAAAGTAAAACATGAAACATTTAAAATCTAACAATACACATAAAACAATTTGCTAAGAGCTCTTCAAACAGCTTATTTTGGGTCAAGATCATGAGAGGTTGTACCTGTACATGTTTTTATGGGTTCTGTCAGTGAAGACAAATAGGGAATATTATTCAGTTATTATTACATATTACCATAACAGTAGAAGTACTAGAAGTTGAGAGTTTGAGAAATAAGGGAATCAGGTGAACAGATGCAATTGCAAGGAAATATAAATTGTGAGAAGTAATGTTTTAGAAGTGAATTCTCCCAGATTACATTAAATGTTAGAAACCATAATTTGCTGGTACTCTAATGTCACTTACTAATCTGTAATTAAATGAGAGCTGAAAAATGTATGTTCCCTTCAATATATTAATTTTGCTATGTGACATAAATAATGTGAATTTGTATTATAATATATTTGCATGATTTAAAAAGTTCTTCATTTCAGTGTACATTTGACAAACCATTAGAAGAATACAAATCCACCTTCTTACCACAATACGCTTACTCTTTCACACACGGACACAAACATCACATATTAGAGGGCTTTGTGTGCGTGTTTTGGATTACCTAGGGTTGTTTGCTTTAGAAAATAGGCTTTGAAATCAGCCAAAATGTATCATAGACTCAAAACTGTGTGGCACGCTCTAATTTAAAATGAAGACCTGATCCTACAGTCATACATTTACTATGCTTAATCGCAAATCTATTGACCTCTCCTCAACCCTAAGCCATTTTGGCCTGATTCACAATTTAGCTATTCTTCTTACCTTCTCCCTGCTGTAGGAGCAACTGAATAGAAGCTCTCAGTTTGATCAATAAATATATGCAGGCAAATCCCATTTGAAGATACATCTTGATTTTTGCAGTAACTGGAATATTGAGATAGACACAAAAGTATTGAGGTTGGCATAATCAGGTAATAGACACATTTATTAATTCATTATTTTATTCATAATTTTAATAAAAAATTAGTAAATGGTTACTATATGTTTAAGCATCTGTGCATGAGGCAGGAGGAAACAGAACAAACAATAAATATATAAGTAGATAGGAGTTCTATAGAGAAGAATAAAACATAATAAGACATAATAGGGAGTACTAGTGGTTGTCATTTCTATTTTATATTAAACAGAGAATTAGAAAAGGCCTTGTTGACTAGGTGACATCTAAGCAATGTGCAGAGAGACCTGAGGGAGAGTGGCATGTGGCTCTACAGGAAATGGATAGTCAAGGTAGAGGAAGCATCAAGCCTAATTGCATGAAACACATATATTCAGACTGTTTAAGGAAAAAAGGAGGCCAGTGTGGCAGAGTTGAGAGTCCAAAAGGGAGAATGGTAGAAAATTAGGTCAGATAATTGAGGGTGAAGTAGATCATGTAAGGCCTTGGAGACTTTTGTTTCAGACTGTTTCACTCTGTAACAAAGTAGATTTCTTCTTTGCCTGGCGACAAAGACTACATTTCTCAGTTTTCTATCCCATCAGACATGGCCATGTGACTGAGTTAAAACCAATAAAATGTGACATAAAATGAGCCATTTCATGTCCAACCCTAGCCTGTAAAAATCTCCCAGGTTTGATCATCGTGCTTTTTCCCCAATTTACTGATTTGAGATGAATAATTGTAGTGACCCTGAAAGCCATACGCTCAAGAAGGTGGAGCCATCAGATTAAGTTTGTGGCCTTCCATCATCGCAGGAAAGAGAGTTAGCTTCTCATCATAAACATATAGTTTAGTATTTATGAGAATAAAAATAAATATCCATCACATTTGAGCCATCACAGGCACTATAGATCAGGCAATATGAGGATGGAGAGTTGATTGCTAGATGAGATTTATGCTGACAATTGTTTCAGTGGAGTAGTGAGCATAAAAATCTTACATTCAATCATAGGTACATTCAAGAGAAAACTAGGGGAGAAAAATTGGAGATGTGAGCATATAAAAATCATTCAAAAACTTTTTTTGTGAATGGGAGTAAATAAATATGGTGATAGCTTGAGGGGCTATAGGATCAAGGGAAATGTTTTTTACTAAGGAAGTGTTAGAGTATTTTGAGAAGAATTATGAATGAGGGGAAAATGATTGCTTAGAATAGAAAAGCAATTGCTGAGACATTTGAGCTTGCAAGAGATTGCATGACCGAATGCAGGAATTATTGGTTTTAAGTGGAAATACGGAGAGTTTATTTATTTTATCAGAAGGGAAAGCAAAACTAATTGGTATTTGTGTAGACAAATAAGAAGATGTGATGGAAACTTTTGGATGCACTTGTTTTGTAGTTTTTAGAAAAGGGATCAATAGCTGAGACTGAGAAAGTGGAGAGGAATTGGAGGCTTGATGAGAAATGAGAAGATATAGTAGTTATCTAAATTATGGGAGACGAAATGTATTTGAGAAATGTATAGAAACATCATTATGGTTTCACTTCTGATTGATAATCATCGTTTGGTGGAACCAGTTAGTAAGGTTACATGGTTTTCTTCAGCCATTACTTGCCCAGTTGTAGGCAGAAAGTTGAATTTAAACAAAATAATTATTTTTCTAGATAAGTACCATAAAATGACCAAAAGGAAAGACAATTAAGACTATATGAAATATGAAAAGATTGATAATGATAGTACATGTAATTTAATCCAGTCAAGAAGAAACTTGTGAAAGAACAATGGACTTTCAATTCTAGTGGGAAAAAATGTTGGAATTATGGTATGGCATAAGAAAGTGCTTCGTGGAACTACAGTAGGTGTTGGTTAGAGAGTATGAAAATTGAAAATAAGATTAAGGTGTGTATATGGCTATTGATAATGACAAGGTCTAAAGTGTAACTGTGTATAAGGTTAGCTGAAGTAGGAGGAGGGAAAAGATAATAAAGGAGAGTCTGGATTATTAAAAAATATCATCTATATAGATATGAAATTATAAATACTTATGGCAGAGAGATAGAATTGGAGAGATAGAATCAGTGAGGCTTCAAGGAATGAGAAATGACCAAAAGAATCACTCGATGACTGCAACAAGGATAGGCTGTAGTCACTTTAAAGTTGTAAGGTTTTTTTAAGAGAGAAGGAAGCAACTGAAAGAAGAACAACACTCCCACTACAGGCCTAGTGAAGAGGGAGTATTAAAAACTAATGGGCACTTCTTGAGAGTGATTTCAGAGGAAACACTGTCATTTGATGAGAATCAGGTTTATGCTAGAGTTTAAATTGGAGGAAAGGATGTTCAATGAATAAAGGGATTTTTATGAATGTTTATGAATAAAGGGATTTTTCTCATGATGGGCCTTGACTTCTAGGATGGAAGGGAAGAAGGTATGGAGGTAAGGATTTAGTGGAGGAAAGGTTTAGCCTAAGTAAAAAGTAAGTGAAGAATCATTTGGGGAAGAGTACAGTTAGTGCAGGGTAATCTGTGCATCTTCGACTCCTGGATATAAACAACAGATGGACCTTGAAGAGCCCTTGCCAGCAGACACCTATATTTTAATCTCTTTGTTTAGACTGCCTTGCAGACATACCATGCTGAATTAGTTTTTAGTGCAATTCTTAATACAAATTTTGAATAGCCCCAAATAGTCAACTCAAAATTTATGGCAAATGAAAAATGAAATATCCTGATAGTAATATCAGGAAATATCTTTATCTTTAGACATGTTGTATCAGGGAATATCTTTACCTTTAGAAATAACATTATCTTTAGACATGTTATTGTATAAAAAACAGGGTTATATAAAAAACAGGGTTAACCACTTTCATATACTTTGCAATACTTGGTTTTATTGTTCAGTAATGATCATACCAATTTCTTTATCTTCATTATTATATTAAAATGAAACCGTATGTTGGTATTATTACTCTGTTATTTGCTATGTATTCGCTCAGTTTGGTGCTTGATAAATGTAAGCATTTCAATGGTTTTAATCTTGGCTGCATGGTAGAACCACTTGGAAAGTTTTTAAAAATACCTATGCTGATTCCTTACAACTGACTTATAATTCTCATTGGGGGCATATACCTTTTTAAAAAAATCGTCCACAAGTGATTGTACTATGCAGTCAGCATTGAGAAGTAATGATTCAGAAAACGTAGTCACAAACCAAGCAAAGGTAAGCATGAATAAATCAGAAAAAAAAATAATCCATTTCCCTCAGTTGATGGCATTTTTATAGCTTTAATACAGCACTTATCCTTTTGTACAAGGGTGAATTTTGCATGTCATTGTGTCTCTGACTAGACTATCAGTTCCCTAAATTGAGAGTCACATCTGATTTGCGTTTATATTATGCTGAGCTTGAGCTTAACACACCGACTTTCACAGATGTGCTTATTTTATTTTTATGACAGCTATTCTATCATTGAGAACATAGAGAATTGGTTTTATTTAATAAAGAAAAAATCCAAATAGGTATTGTACATCTGACACTTCTTTTTCATCAGCTATTTAAAGTGGCATTATCTTCTAAATTATTTTACATTATTGCTTTCTTTAAATAATCCATCGTAATTAAAATAATTAAATCTTACAGTATGGTATTTATGTTTCATATGTAGAACATTAAATATTTTTTTAAAAATTTTATTTTACTTTAAGTTCCAGGATACATGTACAGAACATGCAGGTTTGTTACATAGGAATATGTGTGCTATGGTGGTTTGCTGCACCTATTGACCCATCCTCTATGTTCCTTCCCCTTGTCCTCCACCCCCAAACAAGCCCCGGGGTGTGTTGTTCTCTTCCCTGTGTCCATGTGTTCTCACTGTTCAACTCCCACTTATGAGTGAGAACATGTGGTATTTGGTTTCCTGTTCCTGTGTTACTCTGCTGAGGATGATGGCTTCTAGCATCATCCATGACCCTGCAAAGGACATGAATATTTTATGGCTGCATAGTATTCCATGGTGTATATGTACTACATTTTCTTTATCTAGTCTATCATTGATGGGCATTTGGGTTGGTTCCTTGACTTTGCTATTGTAAATAGTGCTCCAATAAACATACATGTGCATGTGCCTTTGTTGTAGAATGATTTGTATTCCTTTGGGTATATACCCAGTAATAGGATTGCTGGGTCAAATGGTATGTCTAGTTCTAGGTCCTTGAGGAATCACCACACTGTCTACCACAATGGTTGAAATAATTTACACTCCCACCGACAGTGTAAAAGCATTCCTATTTCTCCACAGCCTCACCAGCATCTATTATTTCTTGACTTTTTAATAATCGCCATTCTGACTGGTGTGAGATGATATCTCATTGTGGTTTGGATTTTCATTTCTCTAATGATCAGTGATGTTGAGCGTTTTTTCATATGTTTGTTGGCCGCATAAATGTCTTCTTTTGAGAAGTGTCCGTTCATATCCTTTGCCCACTTTTTGATGGTCTTGTTTTTTTCTTGTAAATTTGTTTAAGTTCCTTGTAGATAGACCTTTGTCAGATGGGTAGATTGCAAAAATTTTCTCCCGTTCTGTAGGTTGCCTGTTCACTTGGTTGCTAGTTTCTTTTGCTGTGCAGGAGCTCTTTAGTTTTATTAGATACAATTTGTCAATTTTGGCTTTTGTTGCAATTGCTTTTTGCGTTTTTGTCATGAAGTCTTTGCCCATGCCTCCATCCAATGGTATTGCCTAGGTTTTCTTCTAGGGTTGTAATGGTTTTGGGTTTTACATATAAGCCTTCAATCCATCTTGAGTGAATTTTTGTATAAGGTATAAGGAATGAGTCCAGTTTCTGTTTTCTGCCTATGGCTAGACAGTTTTCCCAGCACCATTTATTAAATAGGGAATCCTTCCCACATTTCTTGTTTTTGTCAGGTTTGCCGAAGATCAGGTGGTTGTAGATTTGTGATGTTATTTCTGAGGTCTCTGTTCTGTTCCATTGCTCTATATGTCTGTTTTGGAAGCAGTACCATACTGTTTTGTTTACTGTAGCCTTGTAGTATAGTTTGAAGTCAGGTAGCATGATGACTCCAGCTTTGTTCTTTTTGCTTAGGATTGTCTTGGCTATATGGGGTCTTCTTTAATTCCATATGAAATTTAAAGTAGTTTTTTTTCTAATTCTGTGAAGAATGTCAATGGTAGTTTGATGGGAATAGCATTGAATCTATAAATTACTCTGGGCAATATGGCCATTTTCACGATATTGATTCTTCCTATCCATGAGGATGGGATGTTTTTCCACTCATTTGTGTCCTATTTCCTTGAGCAGTGGTTTGTAGTTCTCCTTGAAGAGGTCCTTCACATCCCTTGTAAACTGTATTTCTAGGTATTTTATTCTCTTTGTAGCAATTGTGAATGGGAGTTCATTCATAATTTGGCTCTCTGAGTGTCTGTCCTTGGTGTAAAGGAATCCTTGTGATTTTTGCACATTGATTTTGTATCCTGGGACTTTGCCCAAGTTGCTTATTAGCTTAAGCAGTTTTAGGGCTGAGATGATGGGGTTTTCTAAATATATAATTATGTCATCTGCAAACCCAGACAATTGGACTTCCTCTCTTCCTATTTGAATATCCTTTATTTTCCTTGACCGATTGCCCTGGGCAGAACTTTCAATATTATGTTGAATAGGAGTGGTGAGAGAGGGTATCCTTGTCTTGTGCTGGTTTTCAAAGGGAATGCTTCCAGCTTTTGCCCATTCAATATGATATTGGCTGTGGGTTTGTCAAAAATAGCTCTTATTATTTTGAGATAATTTCTATGAATGCCTAGTTTATTTAGAGTTTTTAACATGAAGCAATGTTGAATTTTATCAAAGGTCTTTTCTGTGTCTATTGAGATAATTATGTGGTTTTGTCTTTGGTTCTATTTATGTGACAGATTATGTTTATTGATTTGTATATATTTTACTAGTCTTGTTTCCCAGGGATAAAGCTGACTTGATCGTGGTGGATAAACTTTTTGATGTGCTTCTGGATTTGGTTTGCCAGTATTTTATTGATAATTTTTACATCAATGTTATCAGGGATATTGGCCTGAAGTATTCTTTTTTTTGTTGTGTCTCTGCCAGGTTTTGGTATCAAGATGATGCTGGCTTCATAAAAGGAGTGAAGGAGGAGTCCCTCCTTTTCGATTATTTGGAATAGTTTCATCAGGAATGGTACGAGGTCCTCTTTGTACCTTTGGTATACTTCAGTTGTGAATCTGTCTGGTCCTGGGCTTTTTTATTTGGTAGGCTATTAATTCCTGCCTCAGTTTCAGAACTTGTTCTTGCTCTATTCAGGGATTTGACTTCTTCCTGGTTTAGTCTTGGGAGGATGTATGTGTCCATGGTTTATCCATTTCTTCTACATTTTCTAGTTTATTTACGTGGAGGTGTTTATAGTATTTTCTGATGGTAGTTTGCATTTCTGTGGGGTCAGTGATGATACCCTCATTATCATTTTTCATTGTGTCTATTTGATTCTTTTCTATTTTCTTCTTTATTAGTATAGCTAGCCAGCTATTGTGTTGATTTTTTCAAAGAATCAGCTCCTGGATTCAATGATTTTTTAGAAGGTTTTTCATGTCTCTATCTCCTTCAATTCTGCTCTGATCTTAGTTATTTTTTGTCTTCTGCTAGCTTTTGGATTGGTCTGCTCTTGTTTCTCTAGCTCTTTTAATTGTGTTGTTAGGGTGTTGATTTTAGATCTTTCCTGCTTCCTCATGTGGGCATTTAGTGCCATAAACTTCCCACTTAACACTGCTTTAGCTGTGTCCCAGAGATTCCGCTATGTTGTCTCTTTGCTCTCTTTGGTTTCAAGGAACTTGATTTCTGCCTTAATTTCATTATTTACCCAGGAGTCATTCAGGAGAAGATTTTTCAGTTTACATGCAATTGTGTGGTTTTAAGTGAGTTTCTTAATCTTGAGTTCTAATTTGATTGCACTGTGGTCTGAGAGACTGTTTGTTATGATTTCCATTCTTTTGCATTTGCTGAGGAGTGTTTTACTTCCAATTATGTGAATGATTTTTAGAATAAGTGCCATGTGGCACTGAGAAAAATGTATATTCTGTTGATTTAGGGTGGAGAGTTCCATAGATGTCTATTAGGTACACTTGATCCAGAGCTGAATTCAAATCTTGACTCTACTTGTTAATTTTCTGTCTTGTTGATCTGTCTAATATTGACAGTGGGGTGGTAAAGTCTCCCACTATTATTGTGTGGGAATCTAAGTCTCTTTGTAGGTCTCTAAGAAATTGTTTTATGAATCTGGGTGCTCCTGTATTGGGCGCATATATATTTAGAATAGTTAGCTCTTCTCATTGAATTGATCCCATTACCATTATGTAATGCCCTTCATTGGCTTTTTTGATCTTTGTTGGGTTAAAATCTGTTTTATCAGAGACTAGGATTGCACATCCTGCTTTTTTTGTTTGTTTGTTGTTTTGTTTTGTTTTGTTTTTGCTTTCCATTTCCTTTGCTTGGTCAGTTTTCCTCCATCCCTTTGTTTTGAGCCTATGTGTGTCTTTGCATGTGAGATGGGTCTCCCAAATACAGCACACTGATGGATCTTGACTCTTTATCCATTTTGCCAGTCTGTGTCTTTTAATTGGGACATTTAGCCCATTTACACCTAAGGGTAGTATCATTATGTGTGAATTTGATCCTGTCATTATGATGCCAGCATTGATGCAATTTCTTCATAGTGTCATTGGTCTTTATATTTTTGTGTTTTTTCAGTGACTGTTACTGGCTTCTCCTTTCCACATTTAGTGCTTCCTTCAGAAGGTCATTCAAGGCAGGCCTGGTGGTGAAGAAATCCCTCAGCATTTGCTTCTCTGGAAAGGATTTTATTTCTCCTTCGCTTATGAAACTTAGTTTGGCTGCATATGAAATTCTGGGTTGAAAATTATTTTCTTTAAGAATGTTGAATATTGGCCCCCAGTCTCTTCTGGCTTGTAGGATTTCTGCTGAAAGGTCCACTGTTAGTCTGATGGAATTCCCTTTGTAGGTGACCTGGCCTTTCTGTCTGGCTGCCTTTAATATTTTTTTCCTTCATTTTGACCTTGGATAATCTAATGATTATGTGTCTTAGGGTTGATCTGCTTGTGGGGTATCTTAGTGGTGTTCTCTATTTCCTGAATTTGCATGTTAGTCTGTCTTGCTAGATTGGGAAAGTTATCCTGGTTAACATCCTGAAGTGTATTTTCCAACTTGTTTTCATTCTTCCCATCACTTTCAGGTACACTATTCAATCGTAGGCTGGGTCTTTTTATGTACTCCCATATTTCTTGGAGGCTTTGTTCCTTCCCTTTCATTCTTTTTTTTTTTTTTTTTTTTTGTCTAATCTTGTCTGCATGCTTTATTTCAGCAAGGTTGTCCTCAATCTCTGATATCCTTTCTTCTACTTGGTTGATTCAGCTATTGATACTTGTGTATGCTTCACAAAGTTCACGTGCTGTGTTTTTCAGCTCCATCAGGTAATTTATGCTCCTCTCTAAACTGGTTATTCTAGTTATCACCTCCTCTAATCTTATATCAATGTTCTTAGCTTCTTTGCATTGGGTTAGAACATGCTCCTTTAGCTCAGTGGAGTTCTTTATTATCCATCTCCTGAAGCCTATTCATGTCAACTCATCCATCTCATCTTTCATCTAGTTCTGCACCCCTGGTGGAGAGGCATTGCAATCATTTGGAGAAGAGGCACTCTGACCTTTTGGGTTTTCAGCACTTTTTTCACTGATTATTTCTCATTTTCATGAGTTTGTCTAGT
Organism: Homo sapiens; assembly: GCF_000001405.40. NCBI lineage: Eukaryota > Metazoa > Chordata > Mammalia > Primates > Hominidae > Homo > Homo sapiens. The sequence continues at coordinate 144,790,439 of NC_000003.12, forward strand.
TTTGATCTTTGAGGCTGTTGACCCTTGGATGGGGTTTTTTGTGGGGACATATTTTGTTTTTGATGCTGTTGTTGTTGCCTTCTGATTGTATGTTTTTCTTTCAATGGTCAGGTTCCTCTTCTGTAGGGCTGCTGTGGTTTGCTGTGGGTCTACTTCAGGCCCTAATCATCTGGTTCACTCCCACACCTGGAGATGTCACTCAAGGATGCTGGGGAACAGCAAATATGGGTGCTTGGTCCTTCTTCTGGGATCTCTGACCTTGAGGGTCACTAAACTGATGCCAGTAGGATCACTCCTGTATAAGGTGTCTGACAACCCCTGTTGGAGGGTCTCACCCAGTTGGGTGGCACAGGGGAACAGGAACCATTTAATGAGGCACTTTAACTGTTCCTTGGTGGAGGGGATGTGCTTTGCTGTGAAGAAACCTCTTGCCTGGGCTGCTCTGATTCCTCAGAACTACCAGGAGGAAAGGCTAATTCTGCTGTTCCACAGAGACTGCAGCCACACCTCCCCCTAAGGTCTCAGGCCCAGGAGATCAGGGTTCTTTCTGTCCCTGAACCTCTGGCTGGAGTTGTTGGGGTTCCTTCAGGGAGGCCCTACCCACTGGAGAAGGTTGGGTCAGTGTCAGGCCTGAAGAGGCACTCTGGCCACAGTCTGCCAGAGCCGGTATGTTGGGCTGTCGGGGACACTTCTTGAGACCAAGCTGTCCAGCCTCCCTCGCTCCAGGAGGGGAAAAGCATGGCCTGGAGCTATAGAAAGGGATGCTGCCCTTCCCCGGCCCAGGAAACTTAGCGGGTTAGGCAGTTATGCCTTCCAGTGCTGGCTGCTGCCTCTTCCACAAGGAGTTCAAACTGCTTCGACAGCAGGCAGCCACTGCTGTGGTGTTGGTCGACCCTCCCCGCAGGAACTCTGAAGGCTTAAGCAGATTCTAGCTGAGAGGCTGTTGAGAATCTGCACAGCTCCGGGGTTGGGACCCTAGGCCCCAGTGGCGTGGGTTCAGAAGTGGGAATTTCCAATCCATGGGTTGCACAGTTCCATGGGAAAAGCACGGTTTCCCCAGCTGGGTAGCATGCTCACTCACCGCAGCTCTTGGCTGTGGGGTGGGGGCTCCGCTTCCCTGTGTAGCTTTCTCAGGTGGGCCACTGGACCACGCTGCTCTTTCTTCCTCTCCATGGATCATGCCAGCCACCTAGTCTGTGAACATCAGACATTTTAAGTTACTTTGGGAACCTTGGTAGGAGCTGAGATTTTTGTTATCAAGATAGGGATTAAAATTTTTTAAAGAGATTGAATTCCACGCTTGGCAAGGCTGTTGAAATCTTTGCTATTCAGGGTGAGTTATTTCATTTCTTGTACCTTCATCATGGAAATTGTGAATGCAAGTTTTCACTGATAACCAGATGCTGTGTTGGTGCTAATGTATGCAATTAATCAGATGGCAATCTTACAACACAGCAAAAAATAGAAGGTGGAAAAAACAAAAGAAACAACAAAACAAATTTCACTGTCTTTAGAATTTCTAGAATTTCCCTTAGCCCACGGTCTACAATTTGACCATAAGGTAAGTGAAAAATGAATATACAAAGCACAATACGAATGAGAAATCATTTTATTATTTTAGCCTAAAAATATAGAACCAGTAGAGTTATATTTTAATGGATATTTTTTCAACCTTCTGCATTCTCATTTGATACCAAAGTTTGACACTCTTTTCAATCTAAGTCCACAATTTGGTTTAAGTGCCACTCCTGGAAGAAATATTTTTATAAGCGGTTAATAAGAAATGGCTAGTAATTTTTTATAGAAGAAGTGATCATTAATACCCCTAAATTGGTTCTGGTCTCAGAAAATATGAAACAGTATTCATGTATTTTTTACCCATCTAGGGCTTTGTTGATACAATCTGAATAAAAGAAACTCTCAAAGTTATTCATCAATTCAAATTGTCATCTTATTTTTAAAGTGCACCACATCTTCTCTATCTTTTCTACTGCTTTACTTCAAACTCTAGTAAACTTTCACACAGTTTATTACTACAGCTTCTTAATTCCCCCTCCTTGTCTCTTATCTTTCCCAATTGTAATCTTTCTTTTACAGTTACTACCTAGATCCAACTGGCTTTGATTCAAATATGATTGCCACTTTTCCCTCTTAAAAAGAAAAAAAAAAGAGAGAGAAAAAAACTTACCTCTACAAAGTTTAGTAAAGTAACCCAAATGACTTTTGAGGTGATTTACATTCAGAGATTCATAGATTTTCAGAAGCATGAGTTAACTAAAGTCAGCTGTAGAAGTGTACTTACTTAGATGAGACAGTGGCTAATACGTTGGCACTAGGAGTCCAGTCTTTGGTGTGAATCTACTCCTGATTGGTGGATTTTTTTAAAAAAATGAGATGCTCTTACTGATTTGTTGGCTTCCCAAGCGTGTTCACTGAGAAAAATTTGTCATTGGTGAGAGAATCATACCGAATTTTGATATTTCTGTAACTACAGAGCTGTAATTGATTGGTTAAATAGGTATCTAACTGGTTTTATTGGCTACTTACTATCATGGCTACAAAATAATCAGTTCTCCCAGAAATATAGGAATTTATTTTTATGTCACCCCTCCTAGTTTCATGTTTTAAGAGAAACCACCAAATATTATGTAAATTTCAACCATTGTTGTTAATTTTCTTTGAAGATGAGTTTGCTGTTGTTATAAAGAACTAATTGTATGCTTTACTTTTATGAATAAAAATTGAATAGCTTAATCACATTGATCAGTTTAATTTCATCCTATTTTGTCTTTTCATTATTCAATGCATTATTTGTATAAACAATAGATGATGTACAGATGTATTTAAAATTTTACATATGGACGTTGGACAACTACTTTCCATTGGATATTGTAAAACAAAAGAAATATAAAACTGAACTGGATGCCTTGATGAAAATATGATCTGAGATTACTCAAGTATAACAAAGAAACAAGTCCTATTAGCTTCTTAAGTCTACCTTAAATAATCAGGTTGGCATTTCTTTTAACTTAGATGTAGATTGTTCAATGTTACCTTTAGTGTTAAACCATGTACAACACCAAGTGTTGCTGATTTTGCAGATTTCCCATGATTGGGCAAAAGAAAAATATAAGGCTATTTGTTATTCATCTAAAAAATTGAAATTTGATTATGGGACCAAAGTTATGAATTATCAACCATGTTACAGAAATTAAGGCACATTTAAAAAATTGTCTGATGTTTTCCAATTCCTGTAGATAACAGCACTATTCTCAATAGTGTTTCCACTGATTACTTAATATTTATTATTCCAGGAAGAGTTTTGTCACTTTGGACTCTCTTTAAAAGACTTAGTAAACTGAGGGTGGTGAGAAGCTATACACTTGGAATAGTCTATTAGGCCTACAAAACACATTCAATAATTATTTAAATTGTTTGTCTTAGGCACACTTTGGGAGAGCTGAATTATAGATTTAGAGTGATGATTTTACTTAGCAAATCTCAAATATAGGTAAATTATACACAAACATACACCCACTCCACACGTAAGGAGAAAATACATGACCAGAGTAACAAAAGTGAGTGTGAAAATCAGTAATTCCAGGTGTCCCTTTGGTCTTAGGTAGAAACTGTCTACTTAAAGAAGTTATAAACTTGTTCCAAGGATCTTGGGTCAATAGGCAAGTTCTGTTGACCTTCATTTTCTGGAGGTTCTGTGTATAATAAAACAACTATTAAGGGTATAAAATAGTACATATTTTCATTTCTGATAACATTTCTTGTATTTTTTCAGGGTTTGATAGTAATAAGAGTAAATTCTTGAGCAAGAAAGAAGGCATTGCATGATTCATGTATAATTATATAGTATATATATAGTATATATAAGTATATATAGTATATATTATAGCATATATAGTACATATTATATATAGTGTATATATAGCATATATTATATATAGTGTATATATAGTATATGTTATATATAGTATCTATATAGTATATATTATATATAGTATCTGTATAGTATATATTATATATAGTATATATAGAGTATACTGTATCCACAGTGTAATATATATATATGTAAGTATCTTTGATAAATGCTTTGATATCTAAAGCATTTTTTGGCACTGTAAGTGTTGTGGTTTTTGACCATATAATGTTTCATCCATTCATAAATATATATTAATAGAAATGTTTTCTAACTCATAGATGGAAGTAGTTGTATAAACTCCATTTGTAGATGCTCAAAGTGTTCTTTAGGATATGGTTCCATTCTGTGCACATCATTACAGTTTTTACATTAGTAAAGTTGTAGCATAAAATGACAACATTCTTTACTATTCTAAAAGAATTCCCTAGTCAGTACTTAATACTATGACCAATTTGTGCCAATTCTTATAGATTATTTCATAGAGGATTTTTTAGTCAAGTGATAATCTGAGGTTGTGTCTGGCTACTAGACACCCATTCTGGATTTGTCACATCTTATTCTCATGAAGCTATCAACTTGATTATTTAAAATATTTTACAGAATCGAGGCCACTAATTATGCCTATAAAGTGAGAACCTTGATCTTCTTTATGGTTTTAACTTTCTTTTACATAGCTTAACGTTAGTCATAGATATTTGTTTAGCATGATGCTAGAGCATTTTCTCTAGATACCATACTATCCCTTTTACTGTGGTTCTCTACCTTTCTTACAATGATACATTTTGTAGCATTAAAGCATAAGGTGATAATTATTCCCGAAACATACAATCAGTGTAAATATCTACACTTTTATTTTTAGTGATTTGACATGCTTTAATAAAGGCCACAATTTTGATTTCTGGAGCAATCAATTTCTGCTGAAGATCAGATTTTATAAAATATTACTCTGTTCTGTGAAGTAAGAAAAAAATAAGTTATTGCATCCTCAAACTACCATTGTCTCCTTTCACTTATTAGGTGAAACATAAAAACAAAAAGAATTGGTTTAGAATTTGTTAATAGAGAGTCTAAAATATCAGATTCTGTGCATTGATACTTCTTAAGTTTTAGAAACATAATTGTGAAGTACTCTTTCTTTGGTTAAAAATAATAGAGATGATAGATTGAGAGTGTAATACCTGTGGATGATAACATAAGGAAGAGGAAGTAACAATTTTTCATAATCAGGCAACAAGGTAAAACATACTGAGTGGTTTCAGTTAACAATAGGTATTTTACTAAGAATGGTACTAACAGATTTAATGATTATCTACTATAATTATTGAACATTCTGTGGTTAATTTTACCAACATTAAAATTTATCTGAGGCAAGAAGAATAAATCTAGCTTACTAGATCAAGAGACGGGCTATGATATGTCACTGGTCATTGATGTGTTTCATGCTGTTAATAACTCTAGAAAATAGCCTAATCTTTTGTGTACTTATTAAAAGATTATGATAATCTTGGAAGAATCAATCTGGATTCTTATGCATACTTCACCACATATTATCTTTGTATCTATAGAGTCCCTTTCCCTTAAGAATTCTAAGAACATGGATGATTCCTCAGGATTTTTGTTTGTTTACTTTTAAAATCATATATAGTATATGTGTATTAATGTCAAGACCAACAATAATCTGATTATGTTTAAGAATACTTCCAGAACCTTTAAAAAATAATTATTCTATCGTATATAACTGAGAAGATGTATTTGCAAAGTAGACCCTACCTGTTATATTTTTGGGGTAATATCACAGGATGAAAGAAGTATCTTTCTGATATTAATTCCAAAATAGAGTAAAAGGTTGCACTTGAGTAAAGATTTAGTGTGTTGAAAATTCCATTTATTTGAGTGGTTCTAGTTAACCAAGGCAAACAGTTCATTTCCCTGTCAGGTATTCCACAATAACTCTCTACCTGGAAATTTTCCTTTATGATGTCTTTCATATTCTATTAGATATTTCTATTTTCCAGAAAATTGCTTTTTCCCCTTTCAATCTCAATACCAGTTAACTTGCCTTATTTCCTTTTATTAAAGTCACTTTAAAAATTATTCTGAAAATCTGCTGATCTATGGCAGTGTCAACAAGGAAGCCGGATTTTTGCTATTCTGTACGTATAAATAATACCTCTTGGAAGTTTAAAAGAAAAATAGGGAACTTTTCAGTGTTAATATTGCCCTCACAGCAACATAAATGGGCAGATTGTGTATAGTTATTGTTTTGTTTCTTATGTAACATGGAGCATTTGCTTCCTCCAATGGGCCTCTGTTTGCAGTGTCTCCATAGGTTCTTATTCATAAGCTTTCAATTGTTACAGAATAGATGACTTTTAGTTCTTGTTTTTATTTTAGAAACCAATTGTTTTATCCAGTGTGCCAGGTTTTTTTATTTTTAGCTTGCTTACTTTCTAAGCCTTCTTTAAAAATATTCAGCTACATTTTCAAGTGGACACGGTAGTCTATATTTTGATTTTATTATTTTGGTTCCTTATTTCTGAAAAGAGTCTAAGGTTTCCTTTACTCCAGCCATTCAATCCACACTAGAACACAAGGTAATACTCTTTGAAAGTTTTTATAGTCAATTTCTCATTTTATTTTTCTTTACAATTTTTAGTCTTGTGCAATACCTATTATTCCCTTCTCAATGATTTTTAAAAATATATATAACTAGCTAGATGGTTCAAAATCTTCTCTCTTCTACCCCAATAATTTTAAATATTTTTTCTCTCTCTCATCAAAACTCTGTCCTTAAAAGTGCTATTTATTAAATGATCCACTTGGTTAAGGTCTTATAGTCCAGGACACTACGCATCTAATAAAATCCTGAATTCTATAATAATTTTCTATTCATCTTCTTGAAGTTTAAGGAGTACCTTAATTAATGGATTTTACTCAGATCTATAGCAGAGTTTAAATTAAACTTCTAAAGATTTGTCTGATGATATAACAATTTTATAACTGATTGTTATTTTCGTGTGACAATCTTGAAGAAAGAATAAATATATTTGGAGGTCAACTGAAGAAACCTAAAGTAAAGAAGTATAAGTTGGGCTGTGCCAATAAGGCTGAGAATGAAAACAATGCAAGGATGGTATATTTCAGAACATGGAAAACAGGATGTTTTATAAATAGAATTTTCGAGTTAGATTTCTCTATTGATTTGATTGAAAAGGTTGACTATTTGAATTTAATCTCTTAATTTTTCTAGAGCTCCTTTTTAATGTATAGTTGATTTTTTACATCAACATTTTTTTCATAGTGACCCCTGTTATTTTAATACAAAAATCTTACCTTTTCAGCTCAAAAGCTTTAATTATAGCATAGGCTGCAGAGGTACAGAAAGAGTTAAATAATCAACAATTCAACAATTTTTGATCCCAATGTATGAAGAAAATACGATGATCCTCTTTTCACAAAATCCTTACAAAAGTTTTCCTTCCTTCCTTGCTTGCTTGCTTGCTTCCTTCCTTCCTTCCATTATTTTATTTTATTTTCCTTCCAACTTTTATTTTTTTTAGGTTCAGGAAATACACATACAGGTTTCTTACACAGGTAAATTACATGTTGCAGGTGTTTGGTGTACAAATTATTTTGTTACTGCATTAGTTCATTTTCACGCCGCTAATAAAGACATATCTGAGACTAGGTAGTTTATAAAGGAAAGAGGTTTAATGGACTCACAGTTCCACGTGGCTAGGGTGGCCTCACAGTCATGGTGGAAGGTAAAGGAGGAACAAAGGTACATCTTACATGGTGGCAGGCAAGAGAGCATGTGCAGATGTGCAGGGGAATTGCTCTTTATAAAACCATCAGATCTTGTGAGACTTATTCACTATCATAAGAACAGCACAGGAAAAACCCACCCCCATGATTCAATTATCTCCAGCCGGGTCCCTCCCATGACACATGTGGGGATTATGGGAGATACAATTCAAGATGAAATTTGAGTGGGAACATAGTCAAACCAGATCAGTTACCCAGGTATTGAGCATAGTACCTAATAAGTTGTTTTTTGATCCTCACCTTCCTCCTACCCTCCAACCTCAAGTAGGCCATGGTGTCTACTGTTCTTGCTCCTTTCTTTGTGTCCATGTGTGCTCAAAGTTGAGCTCCCAGTTGTAAAGTAAGAACAAGCCATATTTGGCTTGCTGTTCCTCCATTAATTTATGTAGAGTAATGGCCTCCAGCTGCACTGCTGCTGCTGCAAAAGACATTTTATTCTTTCTTATGGCTGCACGATATTCCATGGTGTATATGTACCACATTTTCTTTATACATTACATGATTGATGGGTACCTAGGTTGATTCCCTGTCTTCCCTTTTGTGAACAGTGCTTCAATGAACATATACATGCATGTGTATTTATTGTAGAACTGCTTATATTCCTTTGGGTAGATACCCAGTAATGTGGTTGCTGGGTTGAATGGTAGCTCTGTTCCAAGATTTTTTTTGAGAAATCTCCAGAGTGCTTTCCACAGTGGCTGCACTGATTTACATTACTACCAGCAGTGTATAAGAGTTCCCTATTCTTCACAATCTCGCCAGCGTCTGATATATATAGATATAGATATAGATATACACACATATGTGTATATATATAATGTGTGTATAAACATATATATATATATATATATATATATATATATATATATATATATATATATATATATATATATATATATATATATATATATATATATATATATATATATATATATATATATATATATATATATATATATATATATATATATATATATATATATATATATATATATATATATATATATATATATATATATATATATATATATATATATATATATATATATATATATATATATATATATATATATATATATATATATATATATATATATATATATATATATATATATATATATATATATATATATATATATATATATATATATATATATATATATATATATATATATATATATATATATATATATATATATATATATATATATATATATATATATATATATATATATATATATATATATATATATATATATATATATATATATATATATATATATATATATATATATATATATATATATATATATATATATATATATATATATATATATATATATATATATATATATATATATATATATATATATATATATATATATATATATATATATATATATATATATATATATATATATATATATATATGTATGTTGGTAGTAATGTAAATCAGTGAAGCCACTGTGGAAAGCACTCTGGAGATTTCTCAAAAAAAATCTTGGAACAGAGCTACCATTCAAACTTTTACAAACTATGCATTTGACAAAGGTCTAATATCCAAAATTGATACGGAGCTTAAACCAATCAACAAGCAAAAAATAACCCCAATATATATGTATGTGTGTATATATATTATACACATATATATGTATATATACAAATACATAATGTATATATACACACATATATATGTGTGTGTGCATATATATATATATTTTTTTACTTTTTAATAGTAGTCATTCTGACTGGTGTGAGATGATATCTGATTGTGGTTTTGATTTGCATTTGTCAAATAACTTGTGAGGCTATGCATTTTTATTATGCTTGTTGGCATAAGAAAAGTGTCTTATGATGTCCTTTGGCCATTTTTTTATTGGGGTTATTTTTTGCTTGTTGATTGGTTTAAGCTCCTTATCAATTTTGGATATTAGACCTTTGTCAAATGCATAGTTTGTAAAAGTTTTCCCTCCTTCTGTAGGTTGTCTGTTTATACTGTTGATCATTTATTTTGCTGTGCAGAAGCTCTTTAGTTTAATTAAGTTCCATTTGTCAATTTGTTTTTGTTGCAACTTTTTTTGAGTTTTTATTGTGAAACATTTGCCAGGCCCTATGTTCAGAATGTATTCCCCAGGTTTTCTTCCAGAGTTTTTATAGCTTTAGGTTTCACAGTTAAGTTTTTAATCCACCTTGAGTTGATTATTGTATGTTTCAATCTACTAGATATGGCTAACCAGTTATCCCAGCACCATTTATTGAACAGGGAGTCCTTTCTCCATGCTTGTTGTTGAATTGTCAAAGATCAAATTGTTGTAGGTGTCTGGCCTTATTTCTGGGCTCTGTAACCTGTTCTAATTGTCTGCCTGGATTCATACCAGTACCATGCTGTTTTGGTTATTGTAGACCTGTAGTATACTTTGAAGTAGGTTGGTGTGATGCTTCTAGTTTTGTTCTTTTTGCTTAGAATTGCTTTGGCTATTCTCACTTTTTTTGTTTCATATGACTTATAGAATAATTATATCTAATTCTCTAAAAAATGTCATTGGTAGTTTGATAGAAATAGTACTGTATCTGTAAATTGCTTTGGGAACTATGAACATTTTAACATTAATGATTCTTCCTACTCATGAGGAAGGAATGTTTTTCCAGTTATTTGTGTCATCTCTTTTTTATTTCAGCAGTGTTTTATAATTCTTTTTGTAAAGATCTTTCACCTATTTGGTTAGCTGTATTACTAGTTATTTTGTTGTTTTTGTGGCTATTGCAATGGGATTGCATTATTGATTTGGCTCTCTGCTTAGATGTTATCTACTGACTTTTGTACATTGGTTTTGTATCCTGAAACTTCCCTGAAGTTGTTTATCAGAACTAGGAGCCTTTAGGCAGAGACAATGGGGTTTTCTAGTTATAGAATCATGTAGTCTGTGAAGAGAGATACTTTGACTTTCTTTCCTCTTATTTGGATGCTTTTTATTTCTTTCTTTTGCCTGATTGCTCTGGCTAGGACATCCAGAACTATGTTGAATAGGAGTGGCAAGAGTGGGAATCCTTGTCTTGTTCTAGCTCTCAAGGGGAATGTTTCCAGCTTTCGCCAATTCACTGTAATGTTTGCTCTTGGGGGTTCATAGGTGGCTATTATCATTTTGAGGTATATTCCTTTGATGCCTAGTTTGTTGAAGGTTTTTACAATGAATGGATATTGAATTTTATCAAAAGCTTTTTTTTGCCTCTATTAAGACAACCATGTGTATTTTGTTTTTATTTCTGTTTACGTGATGAATCACATTTATTGATTTGCATATGTTGAACCAATCTTGCATCCCAGGTACAAAGCCTACTTGTTCGTGGTAGATTAGTTTTTGATGTGCTGCTTGATTCAGTTTGCTAATATTTTGTTATCTATTTTCATCAGAGACATTGGCCTGAAGTTTTCTTTTGGGTTGTGTTTCTGTCAGGTTTTGATGTGAGAATGATGCTGGCTTCATAGAATGGGTTAGGGAGGAATCCTGTGACCTTGATTTTTTTCGAGTAATTTCAATAAGACTGATACCAGTTCTTTACACATATGGTAGAATTTGCCCTTGAGGACTTCACTGTAACATAAATTGGGTTTCATCAAGCGATTTCCTTTCTGGATGATTTCAGGGGGCCAAGGCTCAGCTTAGCACTCTTCAACTGCATGCTCTAACCCTGGGGGACTGCAACCAGGCTCAGGGCTTTGGGCTTTGTTGTCTGGCTCCTCTATGTTAAGCACCTACTTAACTGAAATGTCCCCAGTCTGCTGGCAACAACACCCTGGAGATGCTGGCAAAAGTGCTTCTTTGTGACAGAGGCAGCAGGGTCTGTTCTCACATGTGCACACTGGTGGCGGTTGGGTGGCAGCACAGTGGGGTATGTATGTACATGCTGGTGGCAGCAGGACAATGGCAGTGCAGTGGAATCTGTGTGCATGTGCATTTGCCAGTGAAATGGTGTGGGGAGGAGGCCACAGGGGGGAATGTCAGCACAAGGTGTCTGATAGCTACATGGGGTCTTGAGTGAAAGAGCTATGGCAGTGGCCTCTGGAAAACACTACTGTTGGGCATCTGAGGCTGCACTGCAAGCAGATGTAGCCAGGCAGGGACCCCAGGAGAAGCTGGCAGACAGGGGGTTCTCATATCCAACTGTCCCTGTCCCATGGGCAAGATAGCCTTGTTCTGTCCAGATCTGATATTCAACAAACACCAAAGCCACCTAGAGGAACATGGCAAGCCGTAGAAAATAGGCATTCCTAACCATGCCCAGCTGCAGCTATTCTCATGCCAAGCCCTCTGGGGTCCACACAGGCTGCAGCCTTGTCCTTGCCCACTCTGCAAGCAGATTTTCCCACCAGCTCAAATGTCCATAGGGGTTATGGAGTCTCTTGCAGTTAGGATTCTGGAAGTTCATTGTGAGAGTGGGGCACTCCATACCTATTTAGCTTACCCCTGCCCCAAGAGCTGCTCAGAGCCAGGAAAAGTTCACAGTGCATGGCAGCCCCATGCAGGGTGCCCAGCTTTCTTCCCCTTCAGCCCAGGACATGCATTCTCCCTCCATCCACTCTCAATGCCTTCCTTCCAGCGATGTGCTTGGAGTGTGCCAGTCTTGATGATCTGGTTTCTCAGTGAGAAAAGCCCTTCCTGGCTGCATCTATTCTGGAAACTTAGCTCCCTCTTCATTATTATTATTACTATTATTATTATTGTTATTATTTTGAGACAGGTCTGGCTCTGTCACTCAGGCTGGAGTGCAGTGGAGTGGTCTTGGCTCACTGTAACCTTCACCTTCTTAGCTCAAGCAATCCTCCCACCTCAGCCTCCCAAGTCACTGGGACCACAGGTTTGTACCACTATGCCTGGGTAATTTTTTTTTTTTTTTTTTTTGTAGAGACAAGGTTTTGCTGTGTTGCCTGGGCTGGTCTCGAACTCCTGGGCTCAAGTGATCCACCCACCTCGGCCTCCAAAGTGTTAGGATTACAGGTGTGAGCCACTGTGCCCATCCTTAACTTCCTCTTTACTAATTTTTATATATAAATCATGTACATAAATTTAAAATTTTATGGGTATATAAATTATATAAATATAAGTATATAAATTAAAAATTTTTAATTAATCTCTGATAAATTTTTTGTGATTATTTTATCTTTATTAGATAACATTTTCTTTCTTTTCTTTCTTTGTCTTTATTTTCTCTTTATTTTACTTTAAGTTCTGGATACATGTGCAGAATGTAAAGGTTTGTTACATAGGTATACATGTACCATGGTAGTTTGCTGCACCTATCAACTCATCATCCAGGTTTTAAGCCCCACAGGCATTAGGTATTTGTCCTAATGCTCTCCCTCACCTTGTCCCCCACCTCCAACAGGCACTGATGTGTGCTGTTCCCCTCCCTGTGACCATGTGTTCTCATTGTTCAACTCTCAATTATGAGTGAGAAGATGTGGTGTTTGGGTTCTGTTTTGCTGAGAATGATGGTTTCCAGTTTGATCCATGTCACTGCGAAGGACATGAACTCACCCTTTTTTATGGCTGCACAGTATTCCATGATGTATATGTGCCACATTTACTTTAACCTGTCTTTCATTGATGGGCATTTGATTTGGTTCCAAGTCTTTGCTATTGTAAATAGTGCTGCAATAAACATAGGTGTGCATGTGTCTTTATAGTAGAATGATCTATAATCCCTTTGGGTATATACCCAGTAATGGGATTGCTGGGTCAAATGGTGGTTCTGGTTCTATATCCTTGAGGAATCACCACAGTGTCTTCCACAATGGTTGAACTAATTTACAGTTCCACCAACAGTATAAAAGCATTCCTATTTCTCCACAGCCTCGCCAGCATCTATTGTTTCCTAACATTTTAATAGTTGTCATTCTGACTGGCGTGAGATGGTATCTCATTGTGGTTTTGATTTGCATTTCTCTAATGATTAGTGATGATGAGCTTTTTAAATATATGTTTGGTGGCTGTATAAATGTCTTCTTTTGAGAAGCGTCTCTTCATATCCTTTGCCCACTTTTTGATGGGGTTGTTTGTTTTCTTCTTGTAAATTTATTTACGTTCCTTATAGATTCTTGATATTAGCCTTTTGTCAGACGGGTACATTGCAAAAATTTTCTCCCATTCTATAGATTGCCTGTTCACTCTGATGACAGTTTCTTTTGCTGTGAGAAGCTCTTTAGTTTAATTAGATCCCATCTGTCAATTTTGGCTTTTGTTGCAATTGCTTTTGGTGTTTTAGTTGTGAAGTCTTTGCCCATGCCTATGTCCTGAATGGTATTGCCTAGGTTTTCTTCTAGGGTTTTTATAGTTTGGGGTTTTATATTTAAGTCTTTAATCCATCCTGAGTTAATTTTTGTATAAGGTGTAAGGAAGGGATCCAGTTTCAGTTTTCTGCATATGGCTAGCCAGTTTTCTCAGCATCATTTATTGAATGGGAGATCCTTTCTGACAGCACCTGTATTAGGAGCATATATATTTAGGATAGTTGCCTCTTCTTGTTGCATTGACCCTTTTTGTAATGCCCTTCTTTGTCTTTTTTTTTAATCTTTGTTGTTTTAAAGTCTGTTTTATCAGAAACTAGGATTACAACCCCTGCTTGTTTTCCTCTCCATTTGCTTGGTAAATATTCCTCTATCTGTTTATTTTGAGCGTATGTGTGTCTTTGCACATGAGTTGAGTCTCCTGAATACAGCACATTGGTGGGTCTTGACTCTTTAACCAATTTTCCAGTGTGTTTCTTTTAATTGGGGCATTTAGCCCATTTACATTTAACTTTAATATTGTTATGTGTGAATTTGATACTGTCGTCATGATGCTAGCTGGTTATTTGGCACATTAGTTTATGCAGTTTCTTCATAGTGCCATTTGTCTTTATATTTTGGTGTGTTTTTGCAGTGGCTGGTACTGGTTTTTCCTTTCCATATTTAGTGCTTCCTTCAGGAGCTCTTGTAAGGCAGGCCTGGTGGTGACAAAATCCCTCAGCATTTGCTTGTCTGGAAAGGATTTTATTTCTCCTTTGCTTGTGAAGCTTAGTTTTGCTGTATATGAAATTCTGGGTTGAAAATTCTTTTTTTACGAGTCTTGAATATTGGCCCCCATTCTCTCCTGGCTTGTAGGATTTCTGCAGAAGAGATCTTCTGTTAGTCTGATGGGCTTCTGTTTGTAGGTCACTTGACCTTTATCTCTGTCTGCCCTTAACATATTTTCCTTTATTTCAACCTTAGAGAATCTGATGATTATGTGTCTTGGGATTATCTTCTTGTGGAATATCTAGTGGTGTTCTCTGTATCTCCTGAAATTGAATGTTAGCCTGTCTTGCTAGGTTGAAGAAGTTCTCCTTAATAATATCCTGAAGTGTGTTTTTCAACTTGGTTCCATTCTTCTCATCACTTTCAAGTATACCAATCAATCATAGGTTTGGTCTTTTCACATAGTCTCATGTTTCTTGGAAGCTTTCTTCATTCTTTTCCATTCTTTTTTCTCAAATCTTGTCTGCACACCTTATTTCAGCAAGGTGGTCTTCAATCTCTGGTATCCTTTCTTCCGCTTGATTGATTTGGCCATTGATACTGTGTATGCTTCACAATGTTCTCTTGCTGTGTTTTTCAGCTCCATCAGGTCATTTATGCTCCTCTCTAAACTGGTTATTCTAATTAGCAGTTCCTGTAACCTTTTCTCAAGGTTCTTACCTTCCTTGCATTGAGTTAGAATATGCTCCTTTAGTTCAGAGGAATTTGTTATTAACCACCTTCTGAAGCCTACTTCTGTCAGTCTGTCAATCTCATTCTCCATGCGGTTATGCACTCTTGCTGGAGAGATGTTGCGATCATTTGGGGGATAAGAGGCATTCTGGTTTTTGGAATTTTCAGAGGTTTTGCACTGGTTTTTCCTCATCTTCATGGATTTATCTACCTTTGATTTTTGAAGCTGATGATGTTTGGATGGGGTTTTTGTGTGGGGTCTTTTTTTATTGATGTTGTGGTGTTGTTGCCTTCTGTTTGTTAGTTTTTCTTCTAACAGTCAGGCCCCTCTTCTGCAGGTCTGCTGCAGTTTACTGGAGGTCCACTCCAGATCCTTCTTGCCTGGGTATCATCAGTGGATGCTTCAGAATCAGAAAAGATTGCTGCCTGCTCCTTCCTCTGGAAGGTCATCCCAGAGGGGCACTGGTCTGATGCCAGACCTCTCCTGTATGAGGGGTCGGTCGACCCCTGTTGGGATGTCTTTCCCTGTCAGGAGGCATGGCAGTCAGGGACCCATTTGAGGAGGCAGTCTGTCCCTTAGCAGAGCTACTGCCCTGGGCTGGGAGAATCCCCCTCATCAGGATCAGCTGCTCTCTTCAGAGTCGGCAGGCAGGAACGATTAAGTCCACTGAAGCTGCACTTGCAGCTGCTCCTCCCCCCAGGTGCTCTGTCTCAGGGAGATCGGAGTTTTATCTGTAATCCCCTGACTGGGGCTGCTGCATTTCCTTCACAGATGCCCTGCCCAGTAAGGAGGAATCTAGAGAAGAAGTCTGGCCCCAGCTGTTTTGCTGTGCTGTGGTGAATTCTGCTCAGTCCAAACCTGCTAGTCTCCTTAGTCCTGTCAGGGGAAAACCACCTATTCAAGCCTCAGTAATGGCAGATACCTCTCCCCCCACCAAGCTTGATCATCCCAGGTCAATTCCAGACTGCTGTGCTGGCAATGAGAATGTCAAGCCAGTTATTCTTAGCTTGCTGGGCTCCTTGGGAGTGGGAACCGCTGAACGACCACTTGGCTCCCTGGCTGTAGCCCCCTTTCCAGGTGAGTGGACTGTTCTCCTGTGTAATTGGGGTTCCAGGCAATGCTGGGAAAAAACTCCTGTAGCTAGCTCAGTGCCTGCCCAATCAGCCGCCCAGTTTCGTGCTTAAAACCCAGGACCCTGTTGATGTAGGCTCATGAGGGAATCTCCTGATCTGCAGATTGCAAAAATCCATAGGAAAAGCATAGTACCCAGGGTGGGTAGCACAATCCCTCATCACTTCCCTTGGCTGGGGGACAGAGGTCCCCCAACTCCTTGCAGTTCCTGGGTCAAACGATGGCCCACCCTGCTTCTGTTCGCTCTCTGTCGATCGTGTCTACTGCCTAACCAGTCCCAGTGAAACGAATTGGGTACCTCAGTTGGAAACGCAGAAGTCACCTGCCTTCTGTGTTGGTCTTGCTGGGAGCTGCAGACTGGAGCTGCTTCTGTTCGGCCATCTTGGCCCCTCCCCTGATAAATCATTTTTTAATTAATGAAGGCTATAGTCAAGAAAAAAAGTGTTCTTTTGTTGGAATGGTAATTAATTTATTGACTCGATAATAAAATATTATACCTAAATGTATTGGGCAGCCTGCAGATAAATTAAACATTTAAAAAATGGCTGCTTATAGATACAGCATTAACTGTCCAGTGAATCTCATACCTCACCAGTCCCCATTACCTTACGTTTGTGAATTTCATATATTTCAGTAAATGCATAGTTTCTGAACACATGAAAATCTGCACACTTTTAAAGAACTATTAATTGTCAGTTGTGTTTTATTTTTTCTCCCTGAGGGCCACAAACATCCAGTAGATTATGTGAAAGGATTTGCACATAGACATAATGGTTGAATTTAAACTTAAAATTCCCAGGTGTTCATCCTTCAACATTGCTTCTTTCTCTTCCACCTAAAAGACTGTGCTGAAGTATCAGGATGAGCTAAACAATCCAGCAAAATAATTTGCAAATTGGAACCCAAAGTTTTAGCAGCTGACTGCAACCTAACCTACTGTTCAGGGGATTAATATACCCGGGAAGTAAAAGAAAAAATGGCCAAGTCAAATATCTGATTATATTTGGTATAATAAGGATAATAAATAGTTCTCATTTATAGAATACATTTAACAGATATGGCAGGGCTACATAGCTTGCTCATAGTAAATATATCTAGAATTTATGCATTTATGGGACATGACCTGATAGAAAACATCATATCTTTGATACACTTTTATTGGAGTGTAAAACAGAGATGTTTCATGACTGAAGTAGTTCCCTTTGTGCAAGTGATGTTTCAAATGTATCATTTTGAACTCACATTCTACGTAGGGGCAAAAGTCAGTCCTAATGTGGTGAGGAAACATATCACGGTTTATGTTGATAGTTTCAGATTTCTCTGTGCTTTACCTCTTTCTTCCTAGTATTTATATCATCTGAAGTGTTAGTAAAGTTTGGGACTAAGAGATGTATCTGTTCTTTTGAGTTTGATTTAATAATCTGAGCCTGTGTTCTATCTCAAACTGTAATGCTTTAATTTCATTAGCAGCAGTCTTTCACTGATTATTTAAAACATCCTTATAGGTATATACATATAGGAATCATAGCTATAAAGAATTCAGCCTGACAGGATTGGAGTTCATTTTTAGGAGTACTGGTATAAAGAACTTAGTAAGTAAGGTGTTCATAGCATAGAGATTGTGAAAACCTGGATTATAAATTCGATATTTGCAATCATGGGCAATGTAAATTATTATGTGATTTGCCACATTGGTTCTTACGTGTTGGTACAAGCAATATTTTAGATTAGTCATGACTATGACCAAGGAAGCCTACTAGTCAATTCAGCTAAAGAACTGTTGCAGTCATCCAGATATTTAGGAGACAACAGCTTGAGTTAGGGTGCTCAACAGGAGAAATGAAGTAAAAATAGAGATTTGAGAAAAATTTCAAAGAAAGAATCAACAAGGCTTAGTGACAGATTGAATACATACAATAAAATAAGGAACAGTGAAAGATGGTTACAAAATTTCTGTTTTAGAATCTGAAATGTCTTGTATACAATTCTGCACCCCCCAAAAAAACTTCATTACTCTGGTTTGGATTAGGGAGTGGATTTTGATCCACAAAGTAAAATGTAAACAAAATATTTTCTTGGCTGATTGAGATTGCTGTTCGTAAGTAAGACACATAAGATATGCTATTAATAGCAACATTAGAGATATTATATAGCTGATATTTTCAACATATCAAACAAGAGTATTGAAAACTTTTCAATTGTATTGAATTTGTAAAATTACACAAATTACGTCTAGCTTTGCCCCCTTAAGGTTTTATGGAAGTCTTCTACAATTTTAATCTTATATTTTATATCACATTAATTCATTTGAAATTGACCATGCTTTAAACATGATTATAGGCAATGGGAATATATATGCTATTAAGATCACATACTCAAAATTTAAAATGTATTAAGCCATTTACTGAGCATTGCGTTGCATAAAGGGAAAAAGGGCATGCTCACCATCTCACATGCTTTGCAACCCCCAAACCCTAGTTTCTCAACAGGCAAAAATTATAGGATTTCATTTATATATATAGAATCCTTGACCCATTGCAAAACTTGCATGTGGTTAACAAAGGGGAAGTGTCCCTATGACACTTAGAAAGAGAAGGGAGATTTAATTTTGCTGTTCTAAATTAGCAAATTTAAGAAGGTATTCTGAAGGAGGTACTTAAGTCACTAATACAATCTATTTGAAAAGTTCAGAGTGTTTATGCTATAAATTTTATAAATGATGGCAGGAACCATCATTTGGTTGATTCTTTTGCTTTCTTTCTCTAGCTACTGAAGCTAGTTCTGTGTCATTGAAGAGGGGCAAATATAAAAATGACATCTTTTTCAGATCTCAGAGAAATAAAAAAAAACACCCTAAGATATGCTTCCTTTTTTCCTATATGGTGCTATTTCTCATTGTAAGAAAATCTGAATAATTGTGTGTGACGGGGAGAATTATGTATTTGCGTTTTAACTAATGTTACATTTCAGTTCACTGCACTTGTGAACAATGTAATTTGGTTGCATTCTAACCAAATCTGTGCATTTTAATTATGGTTCTAACACCATCTAATGTTGTGGAATACTTATGTAATCATTTCTTTTTATGTAGTTCAGAGGTAAATTATCTATTTTAAATTAATAAGATTTACATGCTAAAGCAGAAATCATCAAGAAGTCTGCAAATCTTCTCAAAAGAGTGAGATGCAACATATTAGTATACCTGGAGAAGCGTTTGCTTTTAAAGTCATTCTCTGCATTTTAGGAACTCTTTTGGCTCAGTGCACACAGTGAAAGAATGAGTCACATAGTTGGTGTACTAGTTTCCTGATTGACAGAACTCTGAAAATACCACCTGCTCTAAGCTGTTCACTGAGGGATATGGGAACTATAATTGTATTTCTAAAGGCAAAATAGTCCCTAAGGCAGGGTTTCCTAAGCATTCCACATCATAGGACACAGAGAAAATAATAAGATGCATATGTCACTAGGGCATAAAGGGACCAGAAAATGGATGCATGGAGGTGACTGTTTGGCCATTCCAGTGCCCCCCTGGCTTTCTCAAATCTGAGGGCTCTTATAGTACAAGACTGTCAAATTCAGTTATTTAGTAATTATCAAAATGTCATATTCTTATGGTGGACTGGTGAATATTATTTACATGAAAAAGATGAATTATGAATGCCATGTCCTTATGTCAAAGAAAGCAGTAAATTATTAGTGGAAGAAACTTACACGAATGAATTTTTGCCTTTTGAAAAAAAGACAGACACTTTGCTATACTAACTTTTTTAATAATCAAAATCTAAAAAATTAGTACTAATACAGAAGTTATTAGAAATCCTGGTGTAAAAAAGTCACATATGGTATTAACTATATGTCCTCCTTTATCAACTTATTATAAAAATTAGGTTAGATTTTAAAAATTATAATTAATATAACAGTTCTCCAAGCTCTCATGGCACTTTATAATTGGAATTTCAGTTACCTTTGCAGAAATGCCTTACACTACTTTTCTTTGTGCACCCGTACTACAGCTGTTTTCTATTACTGGGTAACATAACAAGCAATGATTAAGACAATATACATCTATAATCTCATCTTTCTGTTGGTCAGAAGTCTGGTGGGCTGTGCTGTGTTCTATGCTCGGCAATCCCAAGATGTTGCTGGGTGGCTCAGTGTCCTCTTCCAAGCTCACGTGTTGTTAGCAGGATTCATTTCCCTGAAGCTATAGAGCTCTTAAAGCCTGAATCTGCATATCCAGCAAGAAAGGGTATCTCTGAATCTCCCTTTTAAGAAGTCACCTGATTAGATCAGGCCTACCCAAGACAATTTCCTTTCGACTAACACAATGTATTAGAGACTTAGTTACATCTACAAAAATCCTTTTTTGCCAGTGAAAGTAACAAAATTGTCAAAATGATATTCGCATATTCACAGGTGCGGCCACACTCAAGGATTGCATATTACATGTAGTGTATATATCGAGATGTAGGAACCTTGGAAGATCATCTTAAAATTTCTGTCTACCACAGCAGCCAAACTGAACTACTTGGTCTTATTTGTTCATCCCTCTCATGTTTTCTAAATACTATTATTTATGTAGTTCCTTCTGTCTGAAATGATACCTTTTCCTCAAATTTACATGTATACCTATTATACAGTCTTTTATTCAACATTTGACATAAATACCATCTCACTGAAGAAGGTGATTCTCCAAAGAGCTCAGTGTTTTTTAACTGTATGTTGATTTTTATTGTGCTGTGAAAGTAGCTTAATGAGTGAATATCCAATGTTAAACATAAAAAGGATATAATAGAATGGAAAATATTTAAGTGTATTACATATAGTAAAGGTAAAATCTGGTTCTGTTACTTTTTTTATATATATTCACACAGTGTAAGATGAATTTATTACTGTGAGTTGAAGCAAAAAGTTTTAGAAACACTGCTGCAGCAAATCTCTAATGCCAGTTGTCACTTTCTCACTTGAATTACAGTATCTCTTCCTATTTTATATCTGTACTAGATTTCTCATTCCTTCGAGGAAGAACTGTCTCATTTTTCTCTGTATCGCTCATAAGAGATAATCTAGTGCCTTGTACATAGTATGAATTCAATAAAAATATAAAGAACAAATGAAAGTAAAGTTTGTTTTATGTTTCAAATTTTGATTTCCAACAAATCAAGTTAAATATAAATTGTCTTTCTTCCAGTTTTCCTAATATTATATAAAAATGTCCTATTATTTAAACATGAGAAGTATTTTTATTAATAAGAAGTCATTATAAATGTTCACGTGGCAAAATATAGAGGCTCAAATGATTAATCAAAATTATTTCCCCATGAAATCATTGAATTTCTAAAGAAGAATTACGTTTTCATTCAGCAGATGTTTATTATGTGTTGGTGAGTTCAAGATACTGCTCTGGGCACCAGAAATATAACAGAGCATACTACTGAAGGTCCTTGACCTTAAAGAGCATGTAGTCTACTGGGAGAGATGGTCAACATAGAAGTGAAGGGATTACACTATGACTACCATGATGAAAGGCAGAGCTCTGTGATAGAGCATTACAGAGAAGACCTACTGTAGGGAGGCAGCCAACAAAATCTCTCAGGAGGAGAAAGCTAAGTCCTAAAGAACTTAGTATTTGTGAAACATTTTAATTCAGGGCCAGAAAATACAACATTCAAAGGTAATTTACTGTGTAATAATATAATTATGTCTTGGTAGAAATAATTTAATTTTTCATTAGGAGTTCTTATGTTATTCAATGGTATATAGAGTCATTCAATGAATATTACATTATTATAAGCATATTTATTTGTGCATCTATTAAGAACTGAAACTTCTCTCCCTCTCTCTCACACACACAATCTCTTTCCATATTTATATACATATGCATACAGATAGAATTCAAATCATATATTTTCATCATTTGCTCATATTTGAAAACATTAAAATGCCTACTTGATTTTTTACTATGTATTTTAAAATGTAAACATTATTACATTTAAGTGCCATAAGTTATCTGACATTTTAATTTTAATTTGGAAGACATAAACTCCATTTCAGTATTTTCCTTTTACACATTCTTCAGTTCTTTGTACTCTAACTCAAAGTTTACTCTCATTGAGGAGGCAGAGTTCATGAAATTATTCTTTGAAACCTGCATTTTCAAACATTTTGATGTGAGTTTAGACTTTATAGGTCCTATCTTTTCACACAGAAAATTCAATGAATTAAATATTATATTTCCAAATAATTTATTCTTATTTTTTTCTGAAGTAAAAGCTTGTTCTCCCTGAAGCAATAGCTCAAATTCAGAAATATTACGTATTTGGGAACCTCAATAAATATTTCAAAAATATATCATTCCACATCCTGGGTAGAATGTCCAGATAAATGCATCAAAAGTATGTTTCAAATAAAAAATATTTTATTTTATTTATTTATTCTTCATAATTTCAACTTTCAGATTCTGTGGGTACATGTGCAAATTTGTTACATGGGTATATTGCATGATGCTGATGTTTGGGGTATAATTGATGCTGTCACATAGGTAGTGAGCATAGGACCTGATTGGTAGTTTTTAACCCTTGCCTCCCTCCGTTCTTTTACTCGTTTGGGGTCCCTAGTGTCTATTGTTCCCATCCTTGTGTGCATATGTACTAATGTTTAGCTCCCACTTACAAGTGAATACATGTAGTATTGGTTTTCTGTTACTGCGTTAATTTGCTTTGAAGAATGGCCTCCAGCTGCATCCATGTTGCTGCAAAGAACACCATTTTGTTCTTTTCTATGGCTGCATAGTATTCCATGGTGTGTATGTACTACATTTTCTTTATCCAATCCACCGTTGATAGGCACCTATGTTGATTCCATGTCTTTGCTATTTTGAATAGTGCTGTGATGAATATACAAGTGCATGTGTCTTTTTTATAGAATGGCTTATTTTCCTTTGGAAAAATAATTTTAAATGTACACTACAGACACAATATTATTATGCCATATATATCCTTACTTTCTGGTCATATTCTGATTTTCACCTTAAGAATGAAAGAAGGGGTGCATCAATATAATTAATTGCTGGTTTCGACTTCCTTTTAGAGATTGGAACATGCTAGTTCTCTGCTTTAAGACTTGTAATCCTTACTGAATTAAATGCAAACAACTCAGCAAAGGATTTAAGGAGTTTCTGAATATGACTCCTGCATCTAATTCTAGTCTATTTGCCAACTACCCCCTTCGCAGACCCCGCATTTTATCCAAACAGATATTATTCATGTTATTTTCTAAGCATGATCTGTAAAGTCCAGTGTCTTGGCTTTTGCTCTTGTTATTCATTTGCTCATGAAATTCCTTACCTTTCTAACTGCCTTAATTTAACCCATCCTTCAAAGTCCAGCACCAATATAGCTATTTCTGGGAAGACCCTGGATTCCATAGATGGAGTATAATCTCTTCCTCCTTCATGTCCCATAAAAATCTATTCTGGATTCTGTTATGGCAGCTGTCATTCTCTACTTGCATAAATACTTTTGTGCATTTATCATTCCTCCACTACTAAAATGTAAGTTCACTGTTTTCTTTTTAGTCCACTTACATTCAATGGATATTCTCTGAAAATTGTTTTTCAATACCAGCTCAGGAAAATGGTATGATATATTAGGCTTTGATTTGTAAGCTTTAAAAAGTATTTAAACACTATTTTTTTCATGAATTATTTAAGCTTATATTTGTTAGTAAACAAATTACTCATTTTTTAAAATTTAATTTAATTTTAAGTTCCTGGATACATGTGCAGGATGCGCAGGTTTGTTACATAGGTAAATGTGTGCCATGGTGGTTTGCTGCCCCATCAAACCATAACCTAGGTATTAAATCTAGCATGCATTAGCTATTTATCCTGATACTCTACCATCTGCCCCCTACCCAACCCCACCAGTGCGTGTCGTTTCCCTCCCTGTGTCCATGTGTTCTCATTATTCAGCTCCCACTTACAAGTGAGAACATTTGGTGTTTGGTTTTCTTTCCCTGTGTTTGTTTGCTGTGGATAATGGCTTCCAGCTATTAATCATATTTTAACAATTATTTTAAATATTTTATTCTTCAATTTTGCCCAAAAGTCATTTGGCAGATTATGTTAGTTTTCCTGTGCTCTATTGTTATTGCTTTGCTTCAAGCAAATTTAAAAACCAAACTGTTACCTTAGGGGATAGTACCTTTCATCTTATTCTTAACTATTTATTTTTCTCCAATAAAATAAGATTTAAAAAATTGTTTAATAAATATTTGGTGTAAATAAATACATACATAAGAAATCAGTAAGCATCTGTTGTAGTTACTAAGTTCGTGTGAATTTGTATGATTCCATATTCTTTACGTTTTTATTATTATATGCTTTGTAATATAAAAAATAACTGAAGCTAGAGTGAATTAGTGCTTAATGGTTTTATATTAAGTGCTACAAGGAAGTTATATTTCTGTATTTATATATCAAACTGAAATAAATATGCCTCAGTATTACACTATAACAAGATCAGGGAGTAAACTAGAAAATACACATAAAATATCCTTTTGTTTGCCTGTGAGAACTATACTAAGAACATTTCCTAGGAAATTGGAATAGATTGAAATATGCAGCCTGATACATGAATGATAAAATCCATTTTCATTACTTAAACTCATAAAGCTTGTGAGTCTTGTTCCACATCTGTTTCTATAATAAATTTTTACCACTTTCTTCTAAGAATGACTTCTAAGATTATGTGTTTATTAAAGGGTATGTGATGACAGCCTAAATAAAATGACGTAGGAACTGCAAAGTCTTAGTCAGGATATCACCCAAACAAAGGGAAAAAAAAAAGACTGCCTTTATGCCTGGGCATATAGAGAGTCTGGTGTTTTTTTCTGGATAAAACAAAAATCTCCTCACATGAAGTTTTAGCTATAGACATTGCAAAAGCCGCGTGAGGAATGTGATTTATTATTCTATTAAGGAAGTGATATTTTATTTACAGGCTTTAGGTCCCACAGTGTTCCAATTTCTCAGTGACATAGATTTGCTTATTCAGATAATAATGAATATTTACTGATACATTAAAAGCAGCCCTAAAACTTTTTATGATTTTCTATAGAAAGAATTTGATAAATCTTTCTGACAACCAGCTGGTGTTCAAACACTTGAATCTGAATAAATGGCTCTTAATGAATTACTAGACATGTTTGTAACTTGTAATTCTAATGGTATGGAAAACACATTTGTTTGAATAGAATTTCTTTCAGCAGAAAGTCTGCATTTGAAATCAATTATCATAATTCATTATAATTTGCATAACATTTGATGGGAAAATATTGTCTTGGAAATCCTTAGGATTATATTCTGCAGAAAGCTAGCTAACAATTGCATTCGTTTAAGGGCCATGTAAACATTCATCAACCTTTGCCTATATGAGACACGCACAATTTTTCTCTTTGCAGGAGTCAGGGATTATACACACACATTGTTTCTTTCATGTGATGACTCATTAATTCAGAAGGATGGCTCTTGCATTGAATGCAGAATTTAGAGGGAAATTTGTCATAAGAACTATGAGTTTGGGAGAAAGCATTTTTTTTGAAATTGCTTTTAAGTTATTCTGAAAATGACCAACATGACTGGTTAATACTTGGAAATATTTACCATAAATAAAATTTTCTGTTAGTACTTCTACTAGACAAAATACTGTGTTATCTATTTCAGCTTCTCATTTTCTCACTACTCCTCTACTAACTCTATCATCCCTACCACTCTTTATTCTTACACATGATTCTTTTTTCTGTCCAATAACTCAAATCCCTCCTGAAGCCATAGGTGGCTATTTTATTGGAATAAGGGGTGATTATGCTAAGGTATTAGGAACATAATGAGACATGAAACTTATTTAAAAGTGGTAGCCAGACTCTCAGTCTTCACCCAAATGTGTGGATAGTAAGAGTTTATCAGAGGGGAGTTTTGTGTGTATAACAGAAAGAGAAAGAGATGGAGGGACAAAGAAAGCTTCTCTCAGCATTACCTATTTAACAACAGGAAGTGAATGGTGAGTTAGGTCTTTGGGTTAAAAACTAAAAAGACCTCAAGAAACTTGCAGTATCCAATAAAAAAGAAAAGAAAAGAAATTATAACATATATGTTTGTATATAGAAAATTATATTGTTGGAAAATTGTGTCTGAAAAGCTGAAATAATTTATAAAAAGAATAAAATATTTTCTTTTGGCAGAGAAGGCTTCATGAAAGAGGTAATCTCTGAACAGAATCATGAAAAAATACAAGGATTTGATGTCATTGCCTCTATTTCTTTATAAGTCAACCATGATAAATTATAAGCACATTATAACAATTTTCAAATGTCTTTGGCTTGTAGATATTACTCATTCATTGATTTATTCACTTGTTCTTTTCAAATCTCATACATATTTTTTGCAAAAGATATGATGAGATTGATACATAAACAACTGATTATAATAAAATGATAAATACTGTGTTTTTGAAAGAGGTACCTTAAAGGCTTCAATAATGTAGAAGGAAGACTGAATAGGAGAACTGGACAATTTTCACTGCAGAGATAATATTTGAACAAGCCTAAGAAAGAGAAGGGAGTAGATAAAAGAAGGGGAACAAAGGACCTTCCAGGCACTGGAAATAGCATGAGCACAAGTGAAAGAAAAAAAGTAAGAAGTATTTGCAAAAATGTAAGAAGGATAAAGAGATAAAAGCTCTTATGAAGGCAGTAGGAGGAACTCAGACAGTGGCAGAATTTGAACATCACCCTAAAGTTGATTGTCTAATGAGCCAACCAGGAGCTTCCTATGGCCATCCTTGATGTCTATTGTTCATTGGAAAAAGTCATCTGGGAACTCATATTTGCTGCCAATGACAGTAATATTTCCTGAGCTTTATGGAAGGTCTATGGACTAGGACACAAAAGGCCTGGGAAGAAACATGTGTGTACTTCTGTGTGTGTATTTGTTTTTGTTGTTGTTTGTGTTATTTTTTATTTTGAATTATCTTTTTGAAATGTAGATAATATACCAGAATAATTTGTAATCCAATCAAGACAACCATGTCAGGTAATCTGGGGGAATATTTAAAAGATAGCTCCAATTCAATAAGTGATATCATACAATGTGACTGAAATAATTGCATGATTTAAAAAGTGTGTGGCCAATGATGAATAATTATCTGTGTGTCTTCGGTGCTCAATAGGTGTCAGAGATAACTCTGAGTGACCAAGAGAAAAATGTGTTTCTAATTAGCAAGTAGCAAGCATATTCTATTATATATATTATATATATATCTGTTAGAATAATTATTTGAAATTTAAAATAGACAAAAGAGATTACTGGTACTATTTTACTTCAACCATGGGCTTTAACTGTTTAAATAACTGGACAGTTTTAGCATCTATAATGCCAGAGATTAAATTGTAGACTTTTTTTCAGTAGATATGCAGAGAATCTCTGTTCAGTGCAACAGATTAAACATCAACAATTATGATGCATGGTTCCATTAGACATTAGCTATTTTAAAAACTCTAATCTATTATGCTAGTGTTTAGTAGCACAATAGGGCAACTGTAGTCAATAATAATTCATGGTATATTTCAAAGTAACTAGAAGAGTGGAATTTGAATGTTCCTAACACAAAGAAATGATCAATGCTGAGCATGATGGCTATCCCAATTATTTTTATTTGATAATTACAAACAATATGCATATTTCAGAATATCACTTACCCCATAAATATGTACAATTACTATATATCTCTAATAATTAAATATAAAAAAGAACTATTATATAAATTTTAAAAATCTAACCTAGCAATCTTAATTTGTTTCATAAGTTGCCATTATACACGCAGTTTCTCAAATGTTCTTGGAACGATTTTCGGCATCTTACTGGTGGCTTAACTGACATTGTTTCATTTTACATTTGCATGAGAATTGTGATTTTACTTGTTTTGAAATAATACTTTAGTACATTCTTACTATAATGATGAGGATATTAGACTATCATTATTTCCCATTAAAGCTATCACATGTGCTTTAGTTTTATTTTCTGCTTTACAAGCACATTTTGATAATAATTTGTTGCTTACATAAGTAAGCAAATTGTATCCTGCTGAGATATGTGTTATTTTCTGCATAGAATTGGAGTCAAACTTCCTGGAATCCCATCTCCAATCCTTTTATTTATTAGCTTCATGACATAGGCAAAAACTGAATTTCTCTGATTTCTCCATCTCATAGGTAAAATAGACTACTGCACAGTCTATCATAAGAATTTAAATGGAATATTTCCTTTTAATTTCCTCCTATGTCTTAAACATAGAAGGAATGCAAAACATTCTAATAGCATTATTTTGTGTTGAATGCAATATATGCCTTTATTAATTAATGAAGTTAATGCATGTAAGAGTTTGTGATTAGTTTTCTCTGTTGCATTTATTTAACACATCTAATATCTCAAATATTTTTCTTATCATTCTAGGTTTTGCATATTTTTCTTGTTTTTACTGGGAGATCTCTGTTTCCTACCCCAGATGTTTCTGTCGCTTTTTGCCTGCTTCTCTATCCCAGCGTGTATGAAGTGATTTTTTTTTTTTTTCTCATCAATGTGTTTGGGAGGAGTAAGCTAGCTGGCTTTGCTCAGTTCTGCCTTTTCTTCCAGGGATTCAGTAGAGTGCAAAGAGTAAGCCTTCTCTTGATCCTTCTTTGGATTCAGATACTCTGTACCTTCCTCTCATTTTGGAGGAGTTGGGGGCATGTTAGTGTCTGAGTTTTAAGTCAGCCTAATTCTGGATTCAGTTAATAGACCTATTTGGCTTCACACCCTGCTGTGACCCTCAGATTTGTTTGTTTACCACCGAGAAAGGTGATCTTTATGTCTCCACTGCTACTCTCTTATTTCTCAATCTGCTCACTTGTGCTGGCAAACAGGCTGCTTTGGCAGGGGAGAGAAAGCGGGTGTCCAAGATATCCAACACCAATCTCTCCTTTTTCCTTTTTCTTTGAGACATTTTCTTTCCCTTTCCCCAGTCTCTGGAGACTCTCCTGCATTGATCCATAGATAATCTATGACTGTCGAGACAGTCCTCTTTTCTCAGGCTTTACCACCTTTAAAGTAACTCAGATATTCATTGCCCTGCTATATATTGTCTAATTTTATGTAGAAAATGAACTCTCTTAATAACAGATGGGTTGGAATTTATTATTGTTAATTTATATATAAACTCAACAATCACCAAATTAATGGAATGCTCATGATAAACCAAGGAGAGTAACATGAAACTCACAACTCACTGAGCACAGTGGTGCATGCCTATGACTATAGCCTCTCAACTACCTGAGAGGCTGAGGTAAGATGATCACTTGAGCCCAGGAGTTCGAGGCTGCAGTGTGCTATGATCAGGCCTGTGAATAGCTCCAGCCTTGCAACATAGTGACACCTGCTTCAACTACCTGAGAGGCTGAGGTAAGATGATCACTTGAGCCCAGGAGTTCGAGGCTGCAGTGTGCTATGATCAGGCCTGTGAATAGCTCCAGCCTTGCAACATAGTGACACCTGCTTTCTCAAAAAACAGAAAGAATAAAGAAAGAAAAAACATAAAAACCTCACAACAACCCAAGAAGGTCAGTAAAATTATTATCTATTATCTTCATTTTACTTAAGACAAAAATTGAGTCAAACAGTAGTTAAGTGATTTGTCCAAATTAACACAGCCAGAGAAGTCCAGCAGGATCAGAACAAGAGTCCAAGTGTTTTGACTCAAGAAACATTTAAACTCTTCACTACAGTGTCTCTCTGTACAGGGAAAGGAAAGCAAAGAGAGTCTGGAGGCATTCCTGTTAGCTCAGAGATAGACTTATCTGAACTCCAATGTTTACTAACTATATGACCTTGAGACAATTTGTATAACATCTTTGAGCCTCAAGTTTCTCATGTGTTCAATGGAAATATTAATACCTTCCCTGCATTTTTGCCAGGGTTATTGGGAAGGCAAAATGTAAAACAAATCTTGTTTATTTCATGTGTTGTATTGTACCTTGTTCCAGAAAATATTTAATGCAGAGAGAGTATGCATAGGGAAGCTCTTTATAACTGGCAAATGTTAAACAACTGAGTATAGTCATATTGTGTATAAACCCGAAGCCTAGCAGAGGTGAACATATGCCTGCTCTAAGAAGATAATTCTTGTTCTGGCATAGCAAGTATTTAATGAGGAATATTTTATGGAATCATACTACTGTTGTTGTGAGAAGAAGTGAGATTGCATTGATTGCCACAATGCCTTTTGGTATCATTATGATCAGAAGATGTGGTTGAATAAAAGTCAATCATATGAAAGGATGGAAGACGAAAACTACATCACAGAAGCAGCAGTATAAGGTAGTATAAACAGCTGTATAAATTTTTGAAGGGAGATTGATAAGTTCTCATTTTAAGGACAGAAAAACAAAATTTGTGCAGCAGATATGAGATAGAAAGGGCTGATAAAGTCTTGGTAAAAAGGAAAAAATAATTTAATACTTCTTGTCTAAAAGCAAATAGCATTCTTGAAATTTCTTCTAAACTACTGTTTTCTTCTACAGTTAATTTGCAGTAATGCTTAGAGTTCAACACCATATGTAAAGAATTATTCTCAGAGAACAAATGATCCAATCGTATTCAAACCACTGATGGTAGTAATGTGCAATATATGTGAATGAAACCAGCTAGTGAATACTTGGAAACCAATGTAACCACAAGTATTACAACATAGGGAATAGATACTAGTTTTTAAAGAATGAGAGTTGGTATAAGTCTGTCAATTAACAGTGCATTATTCCATACTGGAATACTTTATCAAAATACAAAAATAAATAAAATTAAGATATATTTTTGTATTTTTTAGAATGTATGTCAAAATGCAATTATATCCATAATTACCCATTTTTGGATGAAAAGCATTTCAAGTTAAAAATCTACAAATAGCCTGGACGCAGTGGCTCATACCTGTAATCCCAGCACTTTGGGAGGCCAAGGCAGGTGGATCACCTGAGGTCAGGAGTTTGAGACCAGCCTGGACAACCTGGTGAAACCCCCATTTCTACTAAAAATACAAAAATTAGCCAGGTGTGGTGGTGAGGGCCTGTAATCCCAGCTAATAGGGAGGCTGAGGAAGGATAATCGATTGAACCCGGGAGGTGGAGGTTGCAATGAGCCAAGATGGCACCATTGCTATCCAGCCTGGGCAAAAAGAGCAAAACTCCATCTCAAACAAACAAACAAACAAACAAAAACAAACAAAAAAAAAGCCACACACACACAAATAAAAAGATAGGGTTAAGAAATCTAAATTTTTATGTTTTGCTACTAGAGAGTAAGAAAACCTTAGTCATTAAAAGCATGAGATTCTGAGTCAACAGTCTTGGGTTGAAATTCATAATTGGCCTCTACTTCATTGTGAGGGGCCCTTGTATAAATTACTAAAATTGCCTGTGCCTGTTTCTTTCATCTGCAATATGAATATCGATTAGTAAGAATAACTAGCCTATAAGACTAAATGAGATATGTATGATGAACAAATAGCATGGTGTATAAATCTCAATGGGTGGAGTGTATTCTTTTAGCTATTTTGGATTTTACTGAAATAGTTTGAGATTTCTTTTGGAGGTACTAGATTGTTGCAGTGAAGCTGGGTACCTCTTTTTAAACACAAAGCAAACTAGTATTCTAGTGGTAATATATCTGTAAAAGCTAAGAAATTTTAATAGGCTTACTTCTCCTGCATGCATGGAAAATGACTCATACATATTTTCATGATATATGTTTTATGAGAATTGAAGGAAACTGGCATTTTTCTGGGACCTATTATATGTCAGAGACCCTATTTGGTTTGTGTATAGTAATACTGTAAGATTGATTATTATTTTCCCCATTTTATAGAAAGAGATTATGGTTACTACATATAATGAACTTGGTCTCCCAGTCTTTGTAGAGGCAAGATAACTGGTAGTGGTTAATTAATTTCAGAGACATACCTCTTGGACTTAAATCAAGTGCACTATCATTATATGTGATAACATATTTAGACTGCTTGGGACATAGTAAGCACTCAATAAAAAAATAGCTATTATTATTACCATACTACTGTCCCTACAAGTGTTACTGATGAAAGGAGAACTCGATTCACAACTTTCACCTGAAGCAGCATTCAAATAACTGCCTCTTCAATGCTTTTTGGTGACCAAAGAGGACCTTCTGGCCATGAGTGATGTTCAGCAAGTACTGGCCAGTGTCCCGCCATGTTCTATCTGGTTTGAAAACTGTTGAGTATTGCCTATGTTTCTAGCCATTTGATCTTTAGCAGTAGGGTCAACACTGCCATGTACCCAGGATGATGCATGAGGGAGGAAATGTGGGTGAAGATTTCTCCTTCTGCTCTCCTCTTACGTAACTGGATGTACTCTAGTAATAAAAAAGATGTGATATCATATGTGTGAGCATGAAGGTGGACACAGATAAGAAGATGCACACAAAATCAACCATTAAAAACAGTTTTTATGAATAAATAAAGCCTTGCTATAAAATCATATTAACAAGTTACATAAAGACATATATAAGTAATTTAACTTTTCTTTCTGGTTTTAAATGTTTCCAAAGGCCATCAAGACAATAGTAGCTATTGTCATGCATCTGACAGTCAAATAATGAAAGACAATGAGAGAACAAAAACTGTTTACTCTGATGTTAGACCTTAGTTGAGAAAGTCATCTTACACACGTATCCATGTGATGCATGTATATGTATATTTTTCCATATTGTATTTTTAATTAAGTGGTAATGCCAAAAGGAAGCCTCCACTTATAAAAGGAATTTGAAATTTTGATTCAGCTTGAAGTATAACTATGGAACTTCAGAGGATTCCATGCTTAACTGAGTAAGGCACTGTAATAGAAGTCTAATGGGAAGAGAAGAGAATCTCCCCAAATGAAGAAAATATAGGTGATTTCATTTTTTAACCATCTTTAATTTGAAAATCTCAAAATGCTTTCTAAGCAAGTTCATGTTCCATATATTTATTAGGCTATGATTCTATAACTATTTTATGTTAATTGATCCACTTGATTAGGGAACAATTTAACACACGAATATGGGGATACAGAAATGCCTCAATTTCCTGGCTGTTTTAACAATATTTCTTCATTCTGTCTTTTTAATTCAATCTTTTAAATACATGAACTGTCATAATATTATTTAAGCTGTTAAAACAATTCTGTAGTCATACTTTTCAAAAAATTAAAGATGCACAGAAGAATCCCAGTATTTCACAATAGTTAATATGTGTGTGTATATATGTATATACATGTTTATGAATTCACATACAAAAGAAACATACACATAATTTTATTTTTCATTAACATTGCATAATATTAGGATACATTAGAAATAAACAATACAGTAAATGGACACACTTTTGATGGCAATATGTATTTTTACTAAAGTATTTTTCTTATATGTAGAAATTAATTGCTAGATATTCATGCTTTTTTCTACTGAGAGATACAGCACAGGAATTGAAAATCTTATTTTTTGCTATGAAATCGAGACATATTATTATGATATTGGTCATATCAAAGAATGTCTTCTAAACTACTGTTTTCTCCTACAGTTAATTAGCAGAAATGCTTAAAGTTCAACAACACATGTAAATAATTATTTTCAGGAAATAAATGATGAGTACACACACATACATATGAAACTTAGTTTAAGAATACATGTATAGGCCAGGCACAGTGGCTCACACCTGTAATCCCAACACTTTGGGAGGCCAAGGTGGGCGGATCATGAGGTCAGGAGATCGAGACCATCCTGGCTAACATGGTGAAATCCTGTCTCTACTAAAAATATAAAAAATTAGCCGGGCCTGGTGGCGGGCGCCTGTAGTCCCAGCTACTCGGGAGGCTGAGGCAGGAGAATGGCGTGAACCTGGGAAGCGGAGCTTGGAGTGAGCCGAGATGGCGCCATTGCACTCCAGCCTGGGAGACAGAGCAAGACTCTGTCTCAAAAAAAAAAAAAAAGAAAGAATACATGTGTATACTTCTACACACACACATACACACACACACACACACACACACACACACACATCCTGCATAACGCTTTCTTCTCCACAATATGTAATCATTATCTTGCTTTTTGAGGTATCACTTTATAATTTATGTGAATAAAAACAGATAATACATTGCATACCTTTTCAGCTTTTTAAAATTTAAATTGAATTATGCTCATTTTAGATTTTTTTAAATGGCTTATTTTATTCAACAACCTATATTGACTGTATTTTTGTAAGTCTTGCCACATAAATTCTTACTTGGTTTTACAAAATTCCAACTGAGTTTATGCAAGCGGAGGCATCTGACTCAAAGTTTATGAAATATTCCTATTACATCTCCCCGTAACAAAAATACAACTCTTTTTCTTTCTGCAAAATAAAAGAATTTATAAATGTCTCTAAATTTCTGCCAGCCAGCACATTGGTCATGGTTCTGCAGAGAAACAAATAGTATGTAAGATAGATAGATAGGCATGTAGACAGATTTCTCTCTATATACATAGCTATACATATGAATGTATATAGAGTTATATATCTATATAATTATATATAATATATATCATTATATATAAGAGAGAGAATTATGGGAATTGACTCGTGATTTTCAAGGCTGAGAAGTCCCATGATCTGCTGTCTACAAGGTGGAGAACTGGAAAGCTGGTGGTGAAAATGAGTCCAAGTCTAAAGGCCTAAGGGTGGTGTAAGTCTAATCACAGTCTGAAGGACAGAGAACCAGAAGTGCCCGCGTCTGAGGGCGGGAAAAGGTGGATTTTTCCACCTCCACCAGAGAGCAAGGTTGACATTTTTCTGGCTCAATGCATTGGATGATGCCCACCCATATTGTGTCCATAATTGGTTCTTTCTGGTGGGTTCTTGGTCTCGCTGACTTCAAGAATGAAGCTGCAGACCCTCGTGGTAAGTGTTACAGTTCTTAAAGCTGGTGTGTCTGGAGTTTGTTCCTTCAGATGTTCAGATGTGTCCGGAGTTTCTTCCTTCTGGTGGGTTCGTGGTCTCACTGACTTCAGGAGTGAAGCCGCAGACCTTCGCAGTGAGTGTTACAGCTCTTAAAGGTGGTGCCTCTGGAGTTGTTTCTTCCTTTTGGTGGGTTCTTGATCTCACTGACTTCAGGAATGAAGCTGCAGACCCTCGAGGTGAGTGTTACAACTGATAAAGTTAGTGGAGACCCAAAGAGTGAGCACCAGTAAGATTTATTGTGAAGAGTAAAAGAACAAACCTGCCACAGTCTGGAAGGGGACCTGAGTGGGTTGCCGCCCATGGCTGGGGTGGCCAGGTTTTATTCCCTTATTTGGCCCTGCCCACATCCTGCTGATTGGTCCATTTTACAGAGTGCTGATTGGTGCGTTTTTACAGAGTGCTAATTGGTGCATTTACAAACCTTTAGCTAGGCACAGAAAAGTTCTCCAAGTCCCCACTGGACCCAGGAAGTTCAGCCGGCTTCACCACTCAATATTAGTGAGGTTGGCTCTTCTTTATTCAGTCTACAAATTCAAAGGCTAACTGCTTCCAAGAAACACCCTCCCAGACACATTCAGAAATAATGTTTTACCAGCTATCTCAGCATCCATTAGTCCAATCAAGTTGATACATAAAATTGACTGTTACATTTGCCAGTCTGCAGACTCCTTGAAAATGTCTACCTAACTTGTCAGAACTTCAACCTCTATGGTTCTCACCCTGTAATCAATTGATTCCCTTGTGCTCAGCATCCCAGTAAGGTTTAGAACATACTGATTCTGTCTTTATATAATATTTTTTATTTTATTCAGTATGAATTTTTAAAATAGTTTGGATTTCAAATATAATGTTTAAATACATATTTACATATTATAGAAGTATTATAATTTTTATCTTGATGACTGAGTTTTTGCACTTCCTTAAATTTTGTGTCCAATATGAGTGCCTCACACTCCTCATGTTAGTCTCAGTCCTGTGGAACACATATAATGTATAACTTAAAACAAGATATCAGTAACTGCATATAGAAGTCAAACGAAAGTGTCAATGAAAGTGGTACTGTTTTGTTATTCTTTTCTGTATAGATTCTGATACAGATGTCTATGTATGTGGATTAGAAGCATTTAAGAAATATAGAGGCTTGGTGTGGTGGTTCACGTCTGTAATCCCAGCACTTTGGGAGGCCGAGGCGGGTGGATCATGAGGTCAGGAGTTCAAGACCAGCCTGGCCAATATCGTGAAACCCCATCTCTACTAAGAATACAAAAATGTAGTCCCAGCTACTTGAGTGTCTGAAACAGAAGAATTGCTTGCACCCGGGAGGCAGAGGTTGCAGTGAGCCAAGATCATGCCACTGCACTCCAGCCTGGGTGACAGAGTGAGACTCCATCTCCAAAAAAAAAAAGAAAAGAAAAGAAATATAGAAAAGTGTTTTGATAAGGTAAAACATGCCTTTACAGTTATTTAAAATGTTGCCATAAAGATTTCTAAAGACTTTATCAACTGGTAAAATTATTTGTCTATGATACCTGTCAGAAGTTACATCAGTTTAAAAAGGGAAATAATTTTTTAAATTTATTTGATTGTTTCTTAAGATACAGTTGGTCTTCATAACAATCAAACTGTTGGTTGGCTGACTTGACAGTCTACATTTCAGGTTGTAGTTTTAAAAAGAAATTATGCCAGCTTATTCTTTGTATAAACTGATATTTTGACGGACTTGAGATTTGAAGTTGAATCTGTTGCAACACTCTTAATGATCTAACATAAATTGTTATGATATATCGTTTTGATGAAATAAAACAAGAAATGATCTCATTAAACCATGAAGCAGTTTATGACATATCATTAAGTGGTACCCAGGTGGCTGAATTCAGTTTGGTTGCCAAAGATGTCTATATCCTACCAATAATTAGATTACAAATAGATAAATTATATAATACAATTCAATAGGGGCCTACGGGCATTAGAAAAACAGTCAATGGACCATTACCAATGAATCTGATCTAAGCATTTCTTGATACATCATGATGTAATAGCCAGCTAAAAGAATGATATATGCTGAAATCTGATTTCTTCATATCAGATTTGTTTGATAAATTAATGAGTTGGCAAAAAGTTAAAAGTTTTATAAAACAGGCATAAATTTTGAAGAGGTAGGGTAAGAAGAAGTGCTATAAAGAGAGAAAGAAATCATGCTTTGTACAAACAAGTATTTTTCTTATTCATGCGTGAAAGGTATTTTATTTCCCATGAGTTGAAAAAAAGATGACTGATTAAACTTTTCTTTCAATCCTCATTTAATTTTAATGTTATGTCACTACTTCTTTTCACAAAAGTAGCCATTTTTGTATGGTTGTAAAAATTAAACACATGAAGAGAGAGTACTAGACCTGAATATCAAAAGAGCAAGATATCTTCAAGAAAAATAACGTGTTCGTGCCTACTTATAATTTGACTTTTGATGTCAAAGTCTTCAGGAACAAATCATTTCCATAGGTAGCGGGTTTCTAGCTTTAAGGTATATTTCAACAAAGTGGAGTCCTTCAAGTGGATGCCTAGTAATTTATACACTTTGTTAACTTTGGCCTGGCCATCTTAGGACTCACCTTAAAGAAGGACACATATATTAGAACTTTATCAGAAAACTATTCTACCATAATAAGAGATATCACTTGAAAGCTTTCCAAAATGGTAATTATTGAAGAGAAGACACATAAAACTGTCTGGGCCGAAGAGTTATTGGCACCCTGATGCTCCTTGTCAAAATGTGATTACTATATATCTGTAGACATTAATTATGGGTGGCTTTTTAAAAAGTAGGTTACAAGATCATTTTCATTGGCTGTAGCTTGTAACATAGCTCAAGAAATATCATAATGAACAGGACACCAGATCTGAAAGTATTTGTGTTTCAGGTGTGACAAGGTTACCTCAAGATCTTAACAGTATGGCAAAGTTGACACTTGACATTAAATTACTCTCAGTAGATATATTTTTCAAATGTACTTCTGCTTCTATAATTACAAAACCTTTATAATAGATTAGGCTCTAACACTTGACCTGTATTTCTTTTTGATGTATTAACTACAATATTGCACTTTGTACCTGTTCTTAGCTTTAAAAAGACAAAATTGTCCTTCACTTATTATTTATTATATTGGTTATTTCAGTCAAATTATAAAAATTCAATTTTTGACAAGTGATGCTATATAGCTTTTCTAGAAAATGAACTTATATAATATTATAACTTTAGAAATTGATACTCTTTATTAAAGGGAATTGTAAAGTATAAATGAAAGAAAAATATGCATGCATGGAATGTCAATTTATAATTGCTAATATATATGAATTATATTTGAATCCTTTCAAAACTTTTTGTGTGGCTTACTGGTAGGATGGGAATAACTATAAGATTGCTATGAGGAGTTTTCAGTATAAATCATTATCACCTTATTCAGTTCATTTCATCCAAATTCATCACTGTAACCAAATATATTGATTAATCAGATATTTATATTTAACTAAAATGGACGTTATGTTTGAGTCCCCATGTATATAGTCACGTACCACATGACAACATGTTTCTGTCAGTGATGGACCACCTATATGATGGTGACTTTATAAAATTATAACACCAAGTTTT
Organism: Homo sapiens; assembly: GCF_000001405.40. Lineage (NCBI taxonomy): Eukaryota > Metazoa > Chordata > Mammalia > Primates > Hominidae > Homo > Homo sapiens. The sequence goes on from NC_000003.12 coordinate 144,829,799, forward strand.
TACAGCACCTCTTTTATGTTTAGATACACAAATATTCACCATTGTGTTACAACAGCCTACAGTATTCAGTACAGTAACATACTTATAGGTTTGTAGCCTAGAAAGAATAGGCAATACCGTATAGCCTAGAGGAGTAGTAGTCTATACCATCTAGGTTTGTGTAAGTGCACCCTATAATGCTCACATGATAAAACTGCAAAATGATGCATCTCTCAGAATGTGCCCCCATTGTTAAGTGACTCATCACTGTATTAACGCCTACATATATAAATATATATACACATATATAAATACACACACGTATATATAGCTAATACTTGTATCCAGCTAACACTTGCTCTGCAAGTGTGTGTATATATGTACATAATACATAATATGTATACTTATGTACATGATATACATGTAAATATATATACAATATTCTTTAAAATTAGAGTCAATAACCTAAAGAGCAGACTATGAGCCAACCCAACTTCTTATATGTTATTTTCACAAGAAAATTGTGTCTCAAATATAAATATTGCATAAAAATGAGGACACTTCTAGGCTCTATTAATAGACATATCTAAGTTTCTGATTTATTTAAGTATATTTAAACCCTAGCCATTTTTAAAGTCAAATGTTCTGTTGCAGAGCCTGATGAGCCAACATAAAATTTGTAGTTGCTAGAACAGAAATGAAACAAAAAAGCAAAAAATATCTATATCTGTAGACATGTATATTGTTAGCAGATAACTACTTACATTGCTCATGCACTGTTGTATTTTTATAGAAATTATTTCATCTTTGTAAAGCCTGAAGATCTCTCATATAAGGATACTTTTCATGAAATGGAGACAAAAATAAAAATTTTTCACAGAACCAAATTTTGAATATTGGTTTAACATTATCAACTGATTTTAGAATACTGTATAATATTTCAATTATATCATGAAACTGTTTTTTATCTGAATGATTTTTAAACCAAAATTATCTTTTAATAAATGTATCATATTTTAATTTGAATAAAATTATTTTAAATCTTCTTTCTTTAGGAATAAAAAATTCCTTTAGTCTCCTAAGAAACATTCTATACTTTTTATTTTTTATCACAAAAAAATTACACATGCTTAAAATAATAACTAAAGTAATCCCAAAATATAAAAAGATGATCACATTAACCATGCTTCTCTAGAGCACCCTGCTTTCCCCATGCTTTATCTTGAAGTTAGCAATGCTGACATTATAGTATAGAATGTTCAATAATTTTTTCTGTTCTTATATTCACCAATACACAAATATGGTGCCTTTAGTTTAAAAATGAGATCACACCATGGAATGTAATAAGCCATTTTTTAAAGCTATGTATCTATTACAGATCCTTGTAGGTTCAGAGTAAAAGTTCTGTTTGTACAGCTTTATAATAGTTGATAGAATGTGTGTAATGTTAATCCATTCCTCTATTGCTCTATTGATGGGCATTCAGGTTGCTTCCTGTTTTATGTCATTATAAATAATGTTGCTATAGGTATTCACATGTGTATTTGTCTTTTTATTACTTATTGATATTTTTATTTCCACATAATCAATTTGCAGAAGTAGACTTGCATCATTTGAATTGCTTTGAAGGATACTGACAAATTACCTTCCAAAGCTGACTGCAATTCAATGTCAAACCAGCAATGTACCAGAAGGCCCTCCTTCCTAATATCTTGTATGTAACATATTATTGCTTTCCTCAACTTTTGATAGTTTGGGATTAAATTTTATTTTTGTTTTGCATTGATTGGAATTTTCCCAAGCACTAGTGATTTTGATTATCTTTTCATAGATTTCTTGTTTGAGACTCAGCAGAGACAAATGGTTAAGACTATGAAATTAAGACAGATTTCTTTGCTTTGAATTCTAATAACTCTAGTTAGTATTCTTGTAGCAATGGGCAAGTAACTTAAGCAATCTCTAACTCAATTTCTTCAGCTATAAAATAAGGATATCAGTAGTTCCCAGTTCACAGCAGAGGTGGCTGGCCAAATCCAGGTTCTCCTTGCTTTCTTCTACATTATGCCCAACATCTGCCAGCACCAACATCCTACATTGGCTCAGACTTGGCACCAGATGCTTATTTCCAGGACCACAGAGGTAGTAGTTCTGCAGTGGCAACAGCTTCCACAGACCTATTTATTAACCCTCCCTTCATGGTCACAATTTGGACTTCTCTGCAAGCTACAAAGAATGAGAAAGGCAGCTCTTGGCACTTGGAGCTGGTCCTGGTACTCACAATAAAATCTTAATGTTCTCCTTTTGAACATAAATAGTTTCCCAAGTCATCAACACCAGAGGAAACCACTCTGTGACCTTGATGGATCAAAACAAAAACAGAACCACTCTGTAATCATATCTGAACATAAAATATGAACATTGTCCTATCTACATATTAACCACACATCCTGTCTTGGCTTACATCAGTGTTGATTGCTTTCTTTCTGATTTTATTTTTAGTATTGCACTAGTTTCTTTCCTCTTTGTAGATAAAATGTATTAAGATATCAAGTCATTGAATTATCCTTGCATCCAGAGTAAAACACTGCTTACATAAATTATCCTCAAAATTACCTAATGTAAACATAAATTGTACAATAATTCCTTTCTAACAAATTCTTACTGAGACATTTGATGCATTATGAGTAAGGAACCCAACTTGTTAAACTACAGATATGGTCCTGTTGGTCCTTGGCTGGAGAACATTAACACTACAAATTATTAACTCACAGCAGTCCTTCAGATTAACTCATTAATGACTTAGCAATCCCTCTGATTCTCAGAATTCCCCTTCCAGACTTTAATTTTCCCTGCTCCTCACACTTTTGTGTTGGATCTAATTTCATATTTTCTGCCTTGCTAAACCCTGACTAATGTAATTAATTTTTTATACTGATCCTTAGTAGATGTACATATTTTCAAGGTACATGTGATAATTTGATAAATCAGGATAATTGGGATAGCCATCATCTTAATTATTTATCTTTTTTATGCTAGAAAATTCAAGTTGTTATCTTCTTTTTTGAAATGTACAATACATTAATGTTAACTACAGTCACTTTACTGATCCAATGAACACCAGGTCTTATTTCTTCTACTAACTGTATTTGCACTCATTGATCAACCTCTCTTTATCACCCTCTCTCCACTACCTTTGCTGGTAACCACCAATCTAATGTCTATCTTCATGAGATCTACATTTTTAGCTCCCACATATGAGTGAGAATTTGCAACATTTGTCTCACTGTGCTTGGCTTATATCACATAACATAATGAGTTCCAGTTTTATCCCTGTTGCTGCAAATTACAGGATGTCATTCTTTTTTTATGACTTAATAGCATACCATTGTACACACCAAATTTTCTTTATACATTCATCCATTAATGGGCACCTTGGTTGATTCCATATTATGATTATTGTGAATCGTGCTACAATACACGTGGGAATGAAGATAACTCTTTGATGTATTGATTTTCTTACTTTTGAATACATACTCAGTAGTGGAATTGCTGGATAATATGGAACATCTACTTTAAGGTTTCTGAGAAACCTCTAGACTGTTTTCTATAGTGGCTGTACTAATTTACATTCCCACCAACAGAGGACAAGAGTTTTTCTTTCTTCACATGCTTGCCAGCATCCATTATTTCCTGTCTTTTATATAAAAGCATTTTAACTGGGTTGAGATGATATCTCATTGTGACGTTTTCATTTCTCTGATGATTAGTGATGTGAGCATTTTTCATATATGTTGGCCATTTGTATGTCTTCTTTTGAGAAATGTCTATTCAGATCTTTTGCACATTGCTAAATTGGATTTTTTTATTTATTTATATTTTGCTATTAAGTTGTTTGAGCTTCTTATATATTCTAGTTTTAATCCTTTGTCAAATGGATAGTTTACAAATATTCTCTCCTATATTGTAGGTTTTCTCTTCAGTCTGTGTATTGTTTCCTTTGCTGTGCAGAAGCTTTTTAGCTTAAGGTGATCCCATTTGTCTATTTTTGCTTTTGTCATTGTGCTTTTGAGGTCTTATACTTAGATCCATGCCTAGATTCATGTCCCAGAGCCTTTCACCAATGCTTTCTTCTAGTAATGTCATAGTTTCAGATCTTAGATCTAATGCTTTAAACCATTTTGATTTTATTTTTACATACAGTGAAAGACAGGGGTTTAATTTCATTCTTCTGCTTATGGATATCCAGTTTTCCCCACACCATTTATTGAAGAGAATGCTTTTTTCCCACTGTTTGTTTTGGGAGCCTTTCTCAAAATGAGTTGGCTGTAAAAGTGTGGATTTATATGTGTTATTTATAACACATATAAATAAAAAACAAAGGCTCCATTGGTCAATGTGCCTTTTCTTATGCCACAGCATGCTTATATGGTTAGTTTATCTTTGTACTACATTTTGAAATCTGGTGGTATGATGCCTCCAGCTTTGTTCTTTTTGCCCAGGATTGCTTTGGCTATTCAGGTTCTTTTGTGGTTCCATATAAATTTTAGGATTGTTTTCTCTATTTGAAGAATGTTATATGCATTTTCACAGAGATTGCATTGAATGTGTAAATAGTCTTAGGTAGTATTGATGGCAGCTGGAGGCAAACAGGTTCCTAGGCAGGAAGGGGCGAATCCCCAGTGAGGCCCAGACTTCAAATCAGAGATGACCTGAAATCTGGGGGCTGGACTGCCAGTTACAGGTGGAGTCTGCGATCCAGAGTGAGAACTTCCTTGATGCCTTTCAGCCAATTGGATTGTGATTTATTCAGTCCTGCACATGGTCACCAATTACCAATCAGCATACACTTCCTCCTGCCCACAGACCAATAAGCACACACTTTCTTCATTCTGAGCTCATAAAAACCCTAGACTCAGCCAGACTCAGACACTGGCCAGAACTGCGTGCCTGGCACTGCTGTGCCTGGCTGTGCACAGTGGCTGGACCCCATGCTTGCTCATTTACACACCCATTACCACTCCATAACTGGCTCATCTTTGGCAGGTGTGGGATCTGCACAGGTAGCACGAACTGAACACAGCCTGCTGGGCCAAGTGGGCAGAACAGGTCTAGTGGATGCTAGCAAAACTCAAGCTGAGGCACCACTGGCCACAGAAGTTTCTGGCTGGTGAAGTGACACCCCAAGGATCCTGTGACAGTATTACCATTTTAACAATATTAATTCTTCCAATCCATTAGAATAAGATATCTTTCCATTTTTTGTGTGTCCGCTTCAGATCCTTCCACAGTGTTTTACAGTTTTCTTTGTATAGATTATTGACATGTTTGGTTAAATTGATTCCTAGGTATTTTATATTCTATGTAGCTACTGGAAATGGCAGTGCTTTCTTGACTTCCTTTTCAGATTGGTCACTGTTGGAATATGTAAATGCTACTGATATCTGTATGTTGATTTTGCGTCTTGCAAATTTACTGAATTTATTTATCAGTTCTGATAGTTGTTCATGGATTTTTTGTGTTTTTCTAAACATAAGATCATATTATCAGTGTACAAGTCTAATTTGACTTCTTCATTTCCAATGTGGACACACTTTATTTTTTTTGTCTTGCCTAATTGCTTCAGCCAAGACTTCCAATATTATATTGAACAAAGATGGTAAAAGCGGGCATCCTTGTTTTGTTTCTGATCTTAGAGTAAAAGTTTTCAGTTTTTTTCCACGTAGTATTATGTTCACTGTGGGCTTGTGGATGGCCTTTATTATTCTGAAGTATGCTCCTTCTATGTCCAATTTGTTGAGGGTTTTTATCAAAAGGGAAGTTAAATTTTATTGAATTATCTCTCAACATCTATTAAAATGATCATAAGATTTTTGTTCTTGGTTCTGTTAATGTAATGTTTCATTATTGATTTGTGTTTGTTGAATCATCCTCGCATCCCAGGGATGAATGCCAATTGATCATGGTGAATGATCTTTTTAATGTGTTATTGAATTTGGTTTGCTAGTATTTAAATGAGGATTTCTGCATCTATGTTCATCAGTGACATTGGCTTGTAGGTTTCTTTTGTTGTTGTTGTTGTTGTGTCTTTTTCTGGTTTTGAAATCAGGGTAATCTTAGCATCATATAAAGAGTTTGGATGTGTGCCCTCCTCTTCTTTATATTGCAGGACTTGAGTAGCATTGGTATTGGTTCTTCCTCAAATATTTGGTAGAATTCAGCAGTGAAGCCATCAGGTCCTGAGCTTTTCTTTGAGGGGAGACCTTTTATTACAGCTTCAAACTTGTCACACATTCTTGGTTTGTCAAGGTTTTCTATTTCATCCAGGTTTAATCTTGGTAGATTTTATGTGTCCAGGGATTTATCCGTTTCATTTAGATTTTTCAATTTGTTGATATATAGTTGTTCAGAATAGTCTTTAATGATTATTTGCATTTTTGTGGTCTCAGATGTGTGTTTTCTGATGTCATTTATTTGATTTTTCTCTTTGTTTTCTTAGTCTAGCTAAAGGTTTGTTAATTTTGTTTATATATTTTTAAAAAACAACATATTTTTCTAGGTCTTCTGTAGTGCTTTTTTAGTCTTTAATTTATTTATACTGTGGTCTTTTATTTTACTTCTACTAATTTGTGTTTTGTTTGTTACTGCTTTTCTAGCTCCTTTAGGTACACTCTTATGTTGTTTATTTGATGTATTTCTACTTTTATGATGTAGATATTTATTGCTGTAAACTTTCCCATTTGTACCAATTTTGCCTTATCTCTTAGATTTTTGCATGTTGTTTTTTGTTTCAAAAAATTAATTTTCCTTTTTAATTTCTTTATTGACCTATTGGTCTTTCAGGAGAATTTTTAATTTTCATGTATTTGTGAAACTTTGGAACTGCTTCCAAAGTTCCTCTTGTGATTGATTTTTGGCTCACACCTGTAATCCCAGCACTTTGGGAGGCCAAGGTGGGTGGATCATGAGGTCAGGAGATGAGACCATCCTGGCTAACATGGTGAAACCCTGTCTCTACTAAAAATACAAAAAATTAGCCAGGTGTGGTGGCAGGTGCCTGTAGTCCCAGCTACTCAGGAGGCTGAGGCAGAAGAATGGCGTGAACCCAGGAGGCGGAGGTTGCGGTGAGCCAAGATCGCGCCACTGCACTCCAGTCTGGGTGACAGAACAAGACTCTGTCTCAAAAAAAAAAAAAAAAGATACTTGATATAATTTCCATACTTTTGAATTTGTTGGCACTTGTTTTGTGGTCTAATATATAATCTATTATGAACAGTGTGCTGATATAAAGAATGAATATTTTGCAGCAGTTGACAGAAATGTTCTGTGAATGTCAGTTTGGCTTATTTGTTCTGGTATGCAGTTTATCCCCAATGTGTTTCTTTGTTGATTTCATGTCTGGATGATCTGTCCATTATTGAGAGTAGGATGCTGCAATCCTCTACTATTATTGTGTTATAATCTCTGTCCTTTTAAATATATTAATGTTAGCTTTACATACATGGGAGCTAAAGGGTTGGTCGCATATTTATACTTGTTATATCCACTTGCTAAATTGACCCCTTTATTATTATAGAGTGACCTTTGTTGTCTCTTTTTACAGTCTTTGACTTATAGTCTATTTTATCTGATGTAAATGTAGTTATTTCTGCTCGTTTTTATTTCCCTTTGCATGCAATCTTATTCCATCCCTTCATTCTCAGTCTACCTGTGTCCTTATAAGTGAGATGAGTTTTCTGAAGCCAGCATATAATAGCATTTCATTTCTTTATCAATTTAGCCACTTTATGCCTTTAATTGGAATATTGAGTCCATTTACATTGTGTTATTATTGATAATTGAGAACTTGTGACTGCCATTTTGTTGCTTATTTTCTGGCCCTCCTTCCTTCCTTCCTTCCTTCTTTCTTTCTCTTTACTTTTATTGTTATTCTCCTTCCTTCCTGCCTGCCTTTCTTCCTTCCTTCCTTCCATCTTTCCTTCCTTCTTTCTCTTTACTTTTATTTTCTCCTTCCTTCCTTTTCTCCCTCCTTTCTTCCTTTCCTTTCCCTCCCTCCCTACCTCCCTCTCCCTCCTTCCCTTCCTTCCTTTTTTTTTTCTGTCTTCTTTTGTGGTTAAGTGATTTTCTCAGGTGGTATGTTTAAATTTATTTTTATTTTTAGTGTTTTAATTATGTCTTTGCATTGTGGTTACCATGAGGATTACCAAATAAAATCTTATAGATATAACAAGTTTATTTTAAAGAGATGACAATTTATCTTGGATTGCACACACAAAAGAATAGAAACAAAGACAAAAACTTGAAGAAATAGCTGTGTTATAATCTCTCTATCTTTCGAAAAATTCTATGCTATAGCTTAATCCTTCCATATTTTTCTTTTTGTTGCCTCAATTTACATATTCACATATGTATCCCTTAATAGGTAAACCTATCTCTTAATAGGTTTCTGTAGCTATTATTGTTCCAATAAATTTGTTCTTTGGGCTTTATACTAGAGTTATGAGTGAATTGCACATCACAATTAATATTGGGTTAGTCTGGAATTGTCTTTGTATTTAGTTTTACCAGACAGTTTTGTACCATCAAATGTTTTCGATTGCAGATTAGTGTTTTTTGTTTGTTTGTTTTTTGTTTTTTTGACATTGAAGAACTCCCTTTACTATTTCTTGTAACATGAACCTGGTGGTAGTGAATTTGCTCAGTTTTTTTGTTTTTGTTTTTTTTTCTGGGAAATACTTTATCTCTCCTTTATGTTTGAAGGGAGGCTTTGCTGGGTACAGTATTCTTGAATGGCAGTTTTTTTCCAGCACTTTGAAAATGTGATCCCACATCCTCCTGACCTACATGGTTTCCATCGAGAGGTCTATTGCCAGAGGAATTGGGGTTCCTTTATGTTTTATTTGCTTCTTTTCTCTTGCTGCTTCTAGAATCCTCCCTTTGTCCTTGACATTTTAGAGTTTGATTATTATAAGCCTTGTGGTAATCTTATTTTGGTTGAATCACTTTGGTGTTCTCTGACATTCCTCTATGGGCATATTCATACCTTTCTGAAGTTTTATAAAGTTTTCTGTTATTATTTCTTTGAACAAGCTTTCTACCCCTTGCTCTCGCTCAACTACCTCTTGAACACCAATAATTCTTAGATTTAGTCTGTGGGGTAATTTTCTTTACCTTGAAAAAACCTTTGTTCTTTTACATTCCTGATTTTCCCCCTCTATTGATGGTATAATTTCAAACAACTTGTCTTGAAGCTCACTAATTTTTCCCTCTGCTTGATCCATTTTGCTGTTGAGAGCCTCTTATGAATTTTTTAAGTCAGCAAATGTATTTCTCAGCATGTTTTCTGGTTTTATTTCTTGTATTATTTCAATCTCTTTGAAAATTTCTGAACTACTTTTCTGTGTTACCTTTGAGATTACTGAGTTTCCTTAAAACTGCTATTTTATTTTTATTTTTTGAGATGGAGTCTCACTCTGTTGCCCAGAGGGGAGTGCAGTGCCATGATCTTGGCTCACTGCAACCTCTGCCTGAGGTTCAAGTGATACTCCTGCCTCAGCCTCCCAAGTAACTAGGATTAGAAGTACATGCCACCACACCTGGGTGGTTTTGTATTTTTAGTAGAGATGGGGTTTCACCATGTTGGCCAGGCTGGTCTCAAATTCCCGACTTCAAGTGATCCACTTTGGCCTCCCAAAGTGCTGAGATTACAAGTGTGACCCACCATGCCTGGCCCAAAACTGCTATTTTAAATTCTTGGTAATGTGGCAGGCCAATTCTCCCTGACAATCACAGAGACAGGCCTGCATGACAGTCACACAGACAGGCCTGCATAGCACCCCAGATACAGACAAATTTTCACAGTGCTGCCTTAACATTGAGCAAATAGTTAAACCTAGGGAAATCAGTGCCCAAACATCAAAGCTAGAAAGGAAACATATGGTCAGTAGGGGCCTTGCATGGGCTTCTCCCTTGCTGTAGCAAGCCAAAATAATAGAAACAGTTTTACATTCCTAGTGCCAGGACCCATCTTGGGTTGACAAAATCTGAGACAAGTCAAGGTAAAAGAGGCAGCTGTTTGAATAGATTTATTGGAAAGTCTAAGGCAGCTCTCAGGACCAAGCTATAAAAGAGATAAGATAGAAATAATCATATTCTGTTACCACAGTAGACAGGGCTTTAAGGTACTAGGGCCTTTTAATAGGACTTAGCAAGCATTTTTTTTTGCCTCAGACCTTCCAGTTCAAACAAAATTAGTTACCAGTAGACTTAGGCGAATGCTATACTGCACATAGGTACACAACCCCAACCTATACAAGCACTAAGAAAATTGTAACACTTTGAGTTGGTCTGGTGGGATTGTCTCCAGACTTCTCCCTGTATCCAGTTACAGCAATAAATTTCCTTCTTTCCTAGTTTTCTTCTCATTACTGGGCCTTGAGAAAATGCAGCCAGTTCTGGCTTGACCCCGGAAATAGTAAGAGTACTCACATATCACTATCTTGTTAGGGCCAGTCACTGGTTTATTACTTTGGGGAGATCATGGTTTCCTGTTTGCCATTGTTTCTTTTGGATGTATGTGTGTCTTTGCATTGAAGGATTATTTATTCTAGCTTTCTATCTTGCTTGTTTTATTTTGTAATGGGTTTATTTCCTAAGAGATTCTTTGTAATTTATCTATTGAATGTCTCATTTTGTTTTCTACTAAGTTGCTGTCTCCTTTTTGGCAATAGCTGGCACTTTAAGCTGAGGTTTGCCTCATCCCCAGCAATTGATCAGGATCAGAGTGCTGCCAGTCCCAAATGGGGGAGGATTTAAAGGGAATATCCTGGAAGTATGAGAAAGCTGGCTAAGGGTGTGTGCCTATGGGGCCTGTGGAACTTATTTCCTATAGTGTGATGCTGCTGAAGAGCCACTCTGATTTGGTGTCTCCTTTGGCTGAGTTACAGAGCAGAGTTTCCAGGGCTGGGAATAGTAGTCCTACCTCTCTTCTTTTTTTCTGGCCATCCTTAGGGATATTTCTTTCTTCACACCCTTGTGATGCTTCCTGTGGGTTGAAACAGGGACAGTTCTTCTGTCAGGGAACCCAAAATGAGGGAAGCTCATTTTCCCCTTCAGTATAAGTTTTCTAGTATAGAAATTGTGAGTTGGAGAAAATTTTCTATGTGTTTGGTGCTGAGTAGATTGAGGGAAGGTGCATTGGGGATATGGAAATCCCAATTTCTTACTGTCTGCTCAGAGTTTTTTTGCTGTTGTGGTTGTCTTGTTTTCTTTCTTATCTGTGGCCTCAGGAACTGACTCATTCTCATAATCGAGTTCTGGGATATTGCTAGTGATATTCTTGGTGCTATATACTTATTTGGTTTTGGTTTTCTGTAGGAAGAGTGAAGCCAGCTTTCTTCAACACCACCATTTTGAAACCTGAAATCTACTGATACATTCTTAACAGCATACATTTTTTATACTACTATTTTTCTTTATTCTATAAAATATTGTATTCATGCTGTCTATCTTATAATACTTGTTTTTATATTGATATATTATTTAAATATTTGAAATCATTCAAAAATTTTCTTTATTTTAAATAAACAAAATAGTTTTCCTTTATGTGGCAGCCCTTTGAATTGATTCTTGGATATTTGTAATTCTTAAGTTATTTTATCAATGTGGCATCATATCAATCATTCATACAATTTAATTTTTCTTCTAATTTATGTCTTTGTTCTGCTGCATTTGACTGGCCAAATTACAGATTTTGTTTCAGAGATCCTTGACTTCATCATGCTTACATAATGAGGAGAACAAAGAAGGTAATTTACAAGGTAGCATGGCACATTATTTTGTGAGCAGGCTTTAGATGTAGAAAGCTCTGCTTACACTGTTGTTATGCTACTTCCCAATACTGCATGGTCATATACAAGTTAATTAAGCTTCTGCAGTTCAAGGTTTCCCATCTATCCAATAGAGGAAATAAATGAATTTCAATATTTTTATAATACTAATAAGTATGTGATATGCAACCCAGCATTTGGCACTTATAGGAGTATCATAATAGTAGGCATATTAACCAACGAAAATTTGATTTGTTCAATTATCCATATAATCATTCAGCAAACATCAGTCATGAATGATGTTAAAATACAACATAATAAAAAAAAAACCTAGAAAAATAGGAGTCTAGACCAGACCAGATCTTTGACTCTTCACACAAAGTCAGGGGTGGAAAGATTGTTTATATTAGAAATTCACCTTGTAACATAATAGCATACTATATATCCTGTAGGATTTTAAGAAATGTAAGATGAAATTTCTATAATATACTCAATAGTGATTAGATAATTTTTAATGATTTTCTCAAAGGCTCAAATCAAAAACTCTTCTGTTTATGTTATGTAGAAGTATCACAATGAAGTATTGTCTACCTGATTAATTTTCCTAGGATCCTGGTGACCAAGGCACACAAAACAAGGTAAGTGGTTTCTTTTATGAAACAGTACTTTAGCAATATTATCATCATACATAGCATATAACTTCTTTTGAATTTTTAAATATACAAATAAAATTTATTCATTTTTGTTTAAAACTAAAACAGCATACTTTAGAAACTTAATTATTTATACCATAATTTGGGGAGGTTCCCTTGTACATTAAGTAAATGACCATATTAATTTTCAAATAAATGATTAAGGAAAAATTCAGTCTTCCTTTATTGGACTGAACCATAAACTGCTGGTTTATGGGTTGGGTGAATCTGTGTGTTTTACTCATAAAGATGATGTGAAAATAAATTGATTTTTTGATTCTGTGTATCTTAAAGTAGCTCATGTATGCTTTTGTCTAAAGTTCTTCCAATGCACTTTATTTGCTGCAGATGAAGCCATATATTTGCTTTAATTTTATTGTTATCAATTGTAAATTTCATATTTGTATCACAATTATTAGATAGTTAAACCCAATATAATATTTTCTCTATTAGCAAGTTCATTTCTTGAAAACTAAAACTGAGACAAAATGATTCTGTAATAATGAAATCACACTTATGCTTTTCATAATATCTGAACGAGATTGAAACTTAACAAATAACCTTTTAATACATCTGGAAATCTTAACTTGATAAATGTATGTGAATTTTCTCTATGTCTTATTGATTTGTTGATCAGATTTAGGTAACAAAATCGACCTCCAATTTTTCTGTTACTTCAGTTTCCCAATGCTTTAATTATTAACACTCACAACTTGATAAGTGACATTTTTACCTGATGTTCATTCTTATTTTAAATATACATTGACCATGAATAAATTATTTTATTTTCTAAATATTAGAAATATTAGAAATGTTTAGAGTCAAAGTTATAGATCAGTGTATTAGTCCATTCTCATGCTGCTATAAGGATATACCCAAGACTGGGTAATTCATAAAGGGAAGCGATTTAATTGAGTCGCAGTTCTGCGTGGCTGGAGAGGCCTTGGGAAACTTAACAATCACAGCAGAAGTGAAAGTAAACCCATCCTTCTTCACATGGTGGCAGCAGAGAGAAGTGCAGAGTGAAGGGAGGAAAAGCCCCTTATAAAAACGATCAGATCTCATGAGAACTCACTCGCTATCATGTGAACTGCGTGGGGGAAACACCGCCATGATTTACTCACCTCCCATGAGGTACCTCCCCCAACATGTGGGGATTACAATTTGGATTACAATTCAAGATGAGATTTCGGATGGGGAAACAACCAATCATATTGTTCTGCCCTGGGCCCTCCCAAATTTCATGATCTCGCATTTCAAAACACAATCATGCCTTTCCAACTGTGCCCCAAAGTCTTAATTCATTCCAGGATTAACCCAAATGTCCAAGTCCAAAGTCTCATTTGTGGCAAGGCAAGTCCCTTCTGCCTATGAGTCTGTAAAATCAAAAGCAACTTAGTTACTTCCTTTAGACAATGGGGATACAGGCATTGGGTGAATACACCCATTTCAAATGGGAGACATTGGCCAAAACAAAGGGTCTACAGGCCCCATGCAAGTCTGAAATCCAATAGGGCAATTGTTAAACTTTAGAGTCCCCAAATGATCTCCTTTGACTCCATGTCTCACATCCAGGTCATGCTGATGCAAGAAGAGGGTTCCCAGGGTATTGGGCAGCTCTTCCCCTGTGGCTTTGTAGGGTACAGCCCCACTCCTGGCTGCTTTCATGGGCTGGCATTGAGTGTCTGCAGATTTTCCAGGCTCACAGTGCAAGCTGTCAGTGGATCTACCATTCTGGGGTCTGGAGGATGTTGGCCCTCTTGTCACAGCTCCATTAGGCAGTGCCCCAGGGGGACTTTGTGTGGGAGCTTCAACCTTACATTACTCTCCCATACTGCCCTAGCAGAGGTTCTCCATGAGGGCTCTGCCCCTGTAGCAAACTTCTGCCTGAACATCCAGGCGTTTTCATACATCCTCTGAAATTTAGGCAGAAGTTCCCAAAACTCAATTCTTGGCTTCTGCACACCCAAGGAAGGCACCAAGGCTTGGGCTTGCACCTTCTGAAGCAATGGCTCATACCTTGGCCTCTTTTAGCCACCGCTGGAGCTGAAGCAGCTGGGATGCTGGGCATCATGGCCTGTGGCTGTACAGAACAGGGGGCCCTGTGCCCAACCCAGGAAACCATTTTTTCCCTCCTAGGCCTCTGGGCCTGTGATAAGAGTGGCTGCAGTGAAGGTCTCTGACATGCCATGGAGACATTTTCCGCATTGTCTAGGTGATTAACATTCGGCTCCTTATTACTTATGCAAATTTCTGCAGTCAGCTTGAATTTCTCCCCAGAAAACTGGTTTTTCTTTTCTGTTGCATCATCAGGCCAGAAATTTTCCAAACTTTTATGCTGTGCCTCCTCTCAAATGCTTTGTCACTTAGAAATTTCTTTTTCCAGGTACCCTAAATTATCTCTCTCAACTTCAAATTCTACACATCTCTAGGGCAGGGGCAAGATGTCACAAGTCTCTTTGCTAAAGCATAGCAGGAGTCACCTTTGCTCCAGTTCACAACAAATTCCTCATCTCTATCTGAGAGCACCTCAGCCTGGACTTCTTTGTCCATATCACTATCAGCATTTTTGTCAAAGCCATTCAACAAGTCTCTAGGAAGTTCCAAACTTTCCCACATTTTCCTGTCTTCTTCTGAGTCCTGCAAACTGTTCCAACCTCTGCCTGTTACCCAGTTCCAAAGTCACTTCCACATTTTTGGGTATTCTTCTAGCAGTGCCCCACTACCTCCTGGTACCAATTTTCCATGTTAGTCCATTTTCACACTGCTATAAGGACATAACTGAGAATGGATAATTTATAAATGAAAGAGGTTAATTGATTATCAATTTTGTATGGCTGAGGAGGCCTCAGGAAACTTACAGTCTTGGTGAATAGGAATCAAATATGTTCTTCACATAGCAGCAGGACACAGGAGTGTAGAGCAAAAAGGGGAAAAGCCCCTTTCAAAACCATCCGATCTTGCGAGAACTCACTCATTATCACAAGAACAGCATGGGGGAACCACCCTCATAATCTAGTCACCTCCCATGAGATCCCTTCCCCAACAGGCGGGGATTACAATTCAGGTTACAATTCAAGATGAGATTTTGGGTGGGGACACAGCCACACCTTATCAGTCAAATAAAATTAAGACTGTAACATTGCAACATCAGGATATTTGTTTCTATCTGTATCCATGGTCTTTCTCAAGCAAGTAATTCTATTTTTATAAATGAGACATAGTCATCTATTAATATACCTTTTTTAGACGTTGATAACATTTTGAATGGCTTTACTGTAAATTTTTGAATGGCTTTACTGTAACAGAGAAAGTTTTCTTTCAGTTTTTAATCCTATATCTTTTTTCAATTTAATATCTATATTTTCTTATGATTCATACTAAATTTTTCAAGTATAGAGTATATCTATACATTGTATGTACACAGTAAATTTAAAATACCAACATTCACAAATAAAGTAGAAGCAATAGCTTTATTTATGCTCTGTTGATGTTGCTCAGGTTAAAGCTATCTTTCCAAATAGATTTTCTTTACATAAATGTTTTCTTAAAAAATCAATCTGGATTCAGTGCATTCATAGATTACTGAAAAAAATCATCTCCTAATAGTTAATTGTATATACTCCATTTCAGTACATTTGAAATATTATTGCATACACATTTAATAAGTCATAAAATTATTTTTATAAAACTTAACTGAACAGGATATTACTTACATTTTAAAATTTACATGCAACAGCTTCCTGAAGTCTAGAATTTATCAATTCATGACTTGAGTAATATGGCAGTAAGATGAAAATTACAAGATTCTCCAGGCAATAATTAGTTTAGAAAACTTGAAATCTAGAGAGTTGACAATTCTAGATCCTTTCTCCTTATAACTGGGGCTGCTTTGGGGTATGCTACAGCTATACTCTAAGAAAGAGCTTCCAGGGCAGTCTTCCAAAGCATGCTTTTTCATATTACTCAAGACTGAAAAATTACCTTGATCCTTAAATTTTCACTCGTTTTAAACAAAAGGTTCAAAAAAGGATGCCTGGCTAGGGTGGCACATGGAGATTTAATTATTCTGTGCTGAACTTTAAATTCCTAATCTGCTGGACAGCTTAGGAAATTGGTGGCATTGTCTCTGGAGATACAGGATTATAGTCACCTCATGACTAACTGTCCCTGTGACCTGTTTTGTTCCCATGGAATTATTGTTGGCAAATTGTTCTGCCATTTTCACACTTCCATTTTTAGAGAAGCATAAAAGGAAGCACTGATGATTAGAAATGCATTTCATAATTAGATTTGTGTTAGTGTTGATTTGAACATATTCAAATAACACTTAAGTATCTCTATGTAATAGTGACATAATGTAGATCAGCAGTTAGCTTAAGAAATTGCCTTGAGAGAGAAGGTTCATATAACACTAATATAGAGAGGCTAATGCACTTTCCCAATGAAGTTTGTTTTGGATTATTCGCAGGGATGACCTGGGTATTTGGAATAATAATTTACACTAAGAAAAGAAAGTATGGAAAATTCAAGTTAATGAACAATTGGCTTGTATTAGAGAGTAAGACAATTTTGTCATTCAGATTGTCCTCTAGTTCCCTGATGTATATTTGACTAAGGCCTAGAGAGAAGGAGCTACAAATATAAAGCAAGAAACAATGCCAAAAAAAAACCCTGTTTCATTACACTTTCTTTGGGGGCAGTAATACAGTGTTGTTGTTGATGAATGTAATAGTTTTGATAGACACACTTTATGGAGGTGAAAGATTGGGCAGAGGCCTTGAATAGTATGCTGAGTACTGCATGTCAATAGTCTGACCAGCTAAAAACATCACAAAAAGTCAGTGTTAAAAAAGAAAACAATTATTAATTATCACATGTTCAACAAGAGACTTTGATTCTGAGCATTAGTGAGACATCCACCTAAGTTCTAAGAAATGGTTTGCAGGACTGAAAGGGAGGTTGGGGTTCCCAACATGGAGAATAGGGATAGAACCAGAGAAAAACTGTAGTTATTGGTACCCATATTTTATTCCAATGATGACATGGTATAAAAAAAAAACAATATGAATGTATAGAGTTTTATGATAGGAACATAAGGAGCCTATATTTCAACTTTATGATTATATACAGGTAAGAATTTGAGTTTCTGAATAGTGAGGTGACTTATCTAAGGACAACAAGTTAGTAGCAGAGACAATGGAAGAAGGAAGGCCTTCAAATTCTCACTCTAGACCCTTTGTACTAAGCTGTGTCTTATTTTTAGCACACATTCATACCTTTTGGTGGTATTATAGCTTAGCGTCTCAGAGCATAAAATTCTGAGTGAGATAGACATGGATCCTATCCAGGTGCTTTTCTTGAAAGCTGTGTACTTCTGGACAAATGACAATCATGCTGTGCCTCAATTTCCTCATCTATACTATCAAACTGAATACGATACCTGCCTAAAAGGGTTGTTTTAAGCATTAATGTAAATAGCATTAAAATAGAGTCCAACTTCATAAGTATTCAACAAAGTGTACTTACTTTATTTGTTGCTATCTTATTAGGGATTATGCCCAAAGTACTTTTCTTCAGATGTCAACATGTTTTCACGTAGCTTTAAAGAAATTTTGGAAACCTAGTGGTATATTAATTTTCCATATTAGGAAATGAAGTTTTGTGGATATAGTGTTGACTAATTTCATCTAGAAATATTCATGAGTCATTTGTGTTAAACTTATATTTAAAAAATATTCACTAGGGTCACACAGTTTAATAGCATCCTGCCATATGTTTCAATTTCATATTTAATAATGGACTGATAGACATATTAGAAAACCAAGAACCTAAAATATGGTTTGATCAAGCAATAAAATGAATGATTCTTATATCACTGATCTAGTATAAACAACTATCAGAACTCTGTAATAAGAAGGAAATTATTTTGTTTTTTGAATGATAAAATGTTTTTTGAAGAATTTACATGATTCTAAGAAGAAAGAGACTATCTTAACTTTTAAAATTTGTTTTAAATGTTGCTATGAACTGAATGTTCGTATCTACCCAAAACTGATGTGTTTAAACCTAATTCTCAATGTTAGGATATTTGGAGGTAGGGCCTTTGGGAGGTGATTAGGTCATGAATGCAACAGTGCCATCTATGAACAAGAAAGTGGCCCCTCACCAGACAACAGATTTGTCAGTGCTTTGATCCTGGGCTTGCCAGCCTCCAAAAGTGTGATTTAAAATAAATAAATAAACAAATAAATAAATAAATAAATAATCTGTTGTTTATAAGCTACCCAGGCTATGGTATTTTGTTTTAGCAGTGCAAACAGACTAAGACAAACGTTTAGCTGAAAACATAGTTTAAACAAGAAAGATAATTACTATTTATGGAGCACAGTAGACAGTATTGAAAAGAGAGTCATCCGTACTAAAATTCCAAGCAATTTATCTCTAATATCTTATTTAGAATATCTAATAGCAAGTTTTTAAGATGCTATTATTAATTTGTATTTTATAAGTAAAGAAAGAAAGTCTTAGAGGGTTAGGTCAGTTGCTCAAGGTGAAAAATTCAGTTAATAAGTGGAGAATGCAAGACATATGTTGTTATGAATCTACAACTTTGCTCAGTCTATGAGGTCAAACAATATACTCATGCTGATAGTCTTACTATTGACACTTATTTGTAAAGTATGATTTGTGTTGCAAAGCACTTGTAATGTATAGGTGGTTATTTTATCTAGTACATCTTATCAAAGCCAGAAACAGATTTATAAGTAGTTGTATGCTATATTTAAAACATAAATTTCAAAACCTGAGTAAACTAGGTTGAATAGAGATTGTGTTTATTTTGAGAGTAATTTAAATTTTCTCTAATTTCTAAAAGAATTAGAAGCATTATAAGCAAGGAAAAATAGTATAAGTGAATATTAAACTCAGTGCTATTTTTCTATCAATGAATGTAAAAAAAGACTGAGTAATGTGGCTCACAATGTCTGTTATGAGGAAACACAGTTTATCAGAAATGAAAAATAAAAAATAAGAAAAGAAAGAAAACCATGACATAAACCTAGTGTTGACCTTTAAGGGAAATTTACTAGCAGGCTGTATGTGTAAGACACGCTGAAGACCATAATGTATGATAGCCATAACATTATATGACCTTTTTTTAGGTCAACCAATTATAAACCTTAAGACAAAATGTTAAATCCTAGCTCAGTGAAGGTGTTTCTATGAAAAGCAGAATAATAGAGTCAGGCTACCCAGCTTGCTGTCTGTCTGTTCTCTTCGAAAGGTAGAATTTTAGAGAATCTATAGAAATAAATGGTTATAATGTCCCTTAGGTCAGAGCTTTCAAATATCAATTGTTAAGCTTTGACAGCAGCTGTATGAGACAAAATTTCAAGTTGAGAAGCCTGAGAGGTAAGTAAAAGTTGTTCAGAGTTTTGGATTGAAAGGATCCTCATGCTCTGGAGAACTGGGATATAGGTTGTAAAATTCACATTTTGAAATGAAAATTAAGCAGTATGACTTAATCCAACCAGTGCGCACCTCTTCATACAATAATTATTCTTTCTAGTTAAATGAAAGATTTATAAAAATGACAAAATCATTCTTTTTTTAGTGATTGAAAATTTAAAACTACTGCAAAGAAGCCTGTTTATGTTACCTCCAAGATTTTCATACCTCATGTATAACTTTATTGTGCTATATGAATACATTTTAGAAATCAAGTGCTTATTTAAAAAAATTGTTTTGACTTTCTTAAAGCTGTAATTTTCATGTTATATAAAATATGTAGTTTGGTGGCATCAGGACATAAATAATTGTGTTTAATATCTATCTCTTTTTTAATTACTTTTGGTAAAACTTTCTTTATGGGTTTTATATTGTGCCTACTATATTTTAAGCACCATGATAATCTATGGTAGGTTGTTTTTGAGGGTGATCTAGCTCTGATTTCCTTCCTTCCACTCTCCCCCATGTTGGAAATGCATATATGGATGAATTCAACTGAAATTTTATTAACGAATATGGAGAGAAGTTCACTCTCATTGATAAAATGACAAGCTAATGTGCAATAACACTCTTTTGCTGCAAAACCATTGCTTATGAATACTACTAATTAGAACTACAGTCATTGGCTATATAAAGAGAGATGGTTGCAGTGTTTAAGTATTGACATCCATCTCTACCCATATGACCAGTTAGAGCTATAGAAATCAATTTAAATCAATTAGTATTAGAGAGTCTTCTGTGGGCAATGCATTATTATACCATACAATGTGAGGGATACAAAGATTCAAGTCCTTTGTTCAATAAATACTTATTTAGCTTCTACTGTATGTCAACTACTATTCTAGGTACAAGAGACTCAAAGAGAAGGCAGTGAACAAAACAGATATAAAAATGCATTAGTCACAGCCTTCCCTTACAGAGGGACTACATATATATATATATATATATATATATATATATATATATATATACACATTTATATTTATTATATATATTTATATTATATTAAATATAATATATAAAATTTATATTATATTAATTTATACATATAAATTTATATAGAGAAATTTGTCTTATCTGTACTATCTAATATAGTGTATGTATATATACATGTATATACATATACATACACTATATATACATATACATACACTATATTAGTACAGGTAAGTACTATCTATATGTATGTACATATACATACACTATATTAGATAGTACAGATAAGACCAATTTCTGAAAACAATGCCAACGTCTTGTAAAGAGGCAAAATCCTTCAAAAGTTAACAGCAAAAATAGAATTGACCTTTTGGGTCTTGTCTTAGCCTTTAAAAATAGTTTTTTTAACCAGTAATCATTAAATATGCTCTTGATTGAATAAAAACAGCATCAAGCCTAAAGTGACCATTTTCATTTTCTGATTACGTAGTTTATAATACTATGTTTATAATACTATAGTTTATAATAGGGTTATTAGATGCCATTTGAAACATAGCCTTTAAATGATGCCTGTAGACAAGAACTAATCAACCAATAACCACTTGGAATGTTTCCATCTTCTGGATAAATTTCTTACCATGAATATTGATTTAAATTGAAACTTATATTGAGACTATTTATCTTCTCTCAAAAGGTAACTCTGGCCGGGCATGGTGGCTCACGCCTGTAATCCCAGCACTTTGGGAAGCCAAGGCAGGTGGAGCACCTGAGGTCACGAGTTCGAGACCAGCCTGAACAACATGATGAAACCCCATCTCTACTAAATACAAAATACAGCCGGGAGTGGTGGCATGTGCCTGTAATCATAGCTACTTGGGAGATTGAGGCAGGAGAATCACTTGAACCCAGGAGGCAGAGGTGACAGTGAGCTGAGATTGCGCCATTGCACTCCAGCCTGGGCAACAAGAGTAGAACTCCATCTCAAATAAAATAAAATAAAATAAAATAAAAGTAACTCTGAAGAATTACCCAATTCTATAAAAGGAAATTCTGACTTTTTTTGTACTTCCATAAGAATTGATTGATCGCATACCTAATTCTTTCTAAAATGTATCAGAAAGTACCATACAGTACATGTTCACTGCACAAGGCAATGTACATGCATGTCTGTTTACATCATCAGAGGGCGCTACTGGAGGACAAGGGTGGACTTTACTTTCTTTGGGTCTCAAACAGCACCCAGCATCATGCTTAAGGCATTGTATAAGTGTGTGTTAAACAAATGCAGAACAATTAAACGAATTTTAATAAAACTGAGTGTCTTGAGATCAGCATGGTATCACATTTAAAAGAAACAAAAGGCTGACTCCAAAAGTATTCAAAATATAATGGGTCTTTGTGGAAGTTTCATGCCCTTGTTTCTCCATCCAAAATCACTCTCATCACTGTAGCTGCTTCATTTTCTATTTCCCTTTTGTTTTCTTCTGCTTTTCAAATTCCTGACAGAATCCATATTCTGTAAACTGTTGCTCTTTTCTTGCCATTTCACTTTCACAGATTTGTCTTACCTTGTTTTAATCCATAGTCCTTCTGCACTACTTCAATACCTTTAGCTTCCTGCTGTTCTCACTCTCTAAATTCTACAGGCATAACAAGGTTCAATTAATGCTGGCCCCGAGTCAAAAACCTCCTTCCTTTAGGCAACTGGAGAGAGCCGATGAGTGAAATTGCTTAAAATCGTTTCTTGTCTTTGTTTTTACTTATATTAGTATCTGTCACACACAAAGGACTCACAGGTTGAAAATGTCTGGTTCTTTGAGGAAAAAAAAAATAGGTAAAGGCATTTACTAAACACAGCACCTGCGGGTTCCTGTGAAAGAGGAGGCATAGTTGGTGGTCCATTATATTGCAATGCCATAAACTCTAGCCAGTGTCTAGGTAGATTCTTGATACTCTGGCAAATAAGAGAGATGAAGATCGAAATAGAATTAGCAAGCTTAAGGATCAAGCAAGAATGTCTTTCAAGGGCTGAAAATATTTGTTCTTTGTTTTCTTTGCCTCTTCTCTTTAGCCAGGGAGTGGATAGCCTCAATCCCCTGAGTGTCAAACCCCCTGATAGTACTGCAGTTCTTACTTATGCTCACCTCTCAAAGACTTTCATTCTGTATTTATTCTCTCAAGATATCTCTGTTAGGTTGTCTCTCTACTGAATTCTGCCCATCAATATTATGGGATGTATGTACAGCACTACTGTAGTATCTCTGATCTTGTAAAAAACCCTGTCTTAACCCTACATTTTCCTTAAACTATTGCCCCATGATATGGTTTGGTCTGTGTCCCAAACCATATCTTGTGTTGAATTGTAATCCCCAGTGTTGAGGGAGGAAACTGGTGGGAGGTGATTGAATCATGGGGGGAATATCCCCATTGCTGTTCTCATGATAGTGAGTTCTTACAAGATCTGGTTGTGTAAAAGTCTGTAGCCCTTCCCACTCTCTGTTGTGAAGATGTGCTTGCTTCCCCTTTGTCCTTCTGCAATGACTAAGTTTCCTGAGGCTTTCCAGCCATGTTTCCTGTACAGTATGTGGAACTGTGGTTCAATTAAACCTCTTTTCTTCATAAATTACCCAGTCTCAGGTAGTTCTTTATAGCAATGTGAGAACGGACTAATACACCCCATTTTTCTGTTCTCCCACTTAGCAAAATGACCTCAAAGATTTGGGAGGATCAGTCACTCTTAACTTCTTTATTTACTACCTCACTGGAATTTTCTTCTAATTCGCCTTGCTTGACTTCTCCTCCTTAACTCTAAAAGTTGAAATAAATCAAAGCTTTATCCTGTGTAGGGTCCAGCCCTACGGGGCTTAGCGGGTGTTCTCCCCGTGTGCAAAGACTAGAGATGGTAATAAATAAAGACACAAGACAAAGAGATAAAGAGAAAACAGCTGGGCCCCGGGGACCACTACCATCAAGATGCGGAGACCAGTAGTGGCCCCGAACAGCTGGGCCTGCTGATATTTATTGCATAAAGACAAGGGGGCAGGGTGAGGAGGGTGAATCTTCTAAGTGATTGACAAGGTGAAGCAAGTCACCTGATTACCGGATAGGGGGCCCTTCCCTTTTAGGTAGCCAAGGTAGAGAGAGAAGGCAGCATACATCAGCATTTTCTTCTCTGAACTTATAAGAAAGATCAAAGACTTTTAAGACTTTCACTGTTTCTTCTACTGCTGTCTACTACGAACTTCAAAGAGGAACCAGGAGTACGGGAGGAGCATGAAAGCGGACAAGGAGTGTGATCATTGAAGCACAGCATCACAGGGAGGGTTTTAGGCCTCCAGATGACTGCGGGCAGGCCTGGATAATATCCAGCCTTCCACAAGAAGCTGGTGGAGCAGAGTGTTCCCCAACTCCTCCAAGGAAAGGAGACTCCCTTTCGCGGTCTGCTAAGTAATGGGTGCCTTCCCCGACACTGGTGGTACCGCTTGACCAAGGAGCCCTCAAGTGGCCTTTTGCGGGTGTGACAGAAGGCTCACCTCTTGTCTTCTAGGTCACTTCTCACAATGTCCTTTCAGCACCTGACCCTATACCCGCCGGTTATTCCTAGGTTATATTAGTAATGCAACAAAGAGTAATATTAAAAGCTAATGATTAATAATGTCTATAATAATGATTGATAATTCTTCATGATCATCTCTATATCTAATTTGTATTATGACTATTCTTATTCTAACTATTTTCTTTATTATACTGAAACAGTTTGTGCCTTCAGTCTCTTGCCTCGGCACCTAGGTAATCCTCTGCCCACAATCCTGGGCCCAATTCTCCTTTCCATCTACCTACACAATGTCCACAGGTTATATCATCTATCTACTCCTGTGACTTTAAACACCATAATTGTGCAAAATGCTCTTTGAAATCCCACAGTGATATACCAAACAGCCTTCTTGCCATCTTCATGTGTTTGTCTAATGACATCTTATATATGGAGCTCTTGATTTTTCCCCTTAAATTTGTTCCATATCATTTAGCCTATTCTAATAAAGAGCAAAACCATCCTCTCAGAAATATCCTGCTAACTTTTTTTCTCCCTGCTCCAACCTCTGATCCTTCTACAATACAATTTCCATATGGCAGATAAGATGATATTAATATTGTACATAAAATATTATACATAAATATGTATCAGATCATGTAACTCCTCTGCTCTAAAGACTCCAGCGGTCTTTCAAAATTAGAACAAGCTCCAAACGTATCATCCTGGCTTACAATGCAAAGTGATCATCCTCTCCTTATCTCTCTGCCATGAAACTCAAGCCTCTACCTTCCTTGCCCAGCATGCATTTGTGAGTGGGACTCTCTTCAGATTTTTTTTCAAAGTTGCTAAACCGAGGCCTGTTTAGGGACTTTGATCAAAATATTCCTTCCATATTTGGTCATATATTTTTTTCACAAATTAAAAAAAATAGTAATCTTGAAATTATTAGCATTACCAGAAATCATCAGGCATTTCAAATTATTTATATTCTTATTTACTCAGCCAGGTTGACATACAGATATGCACAGGTCCTCCCTATGATCTTCACATAGCTAGCTCCTTCTCATCATTCATAGAGCAGCTTAAATGTTACCTCTTCAGGAGGCTATAGGAAACCATTCAGTCACTTTTTATCACATCACCCTTTTAATTTCTCTGTATATCACTTAGTACCAGGCTGATGTTGTTTATTTGTCTAGTTGCTTATTGTTTGTTTGTCTCCCCCAATTAGAATACGAGCTCTATCAGAAGAGCATCCTTGACTCTTTTGTTCTTCGTTGTGTTCCCAGGACTGATGCCTGACCCAGAGCAGGCACTCAATAAATATCATTAATTATATCATATTGCATTCCTTATGGCATCTAGTGCAATACTTGGCTCATATTTTGAGTTTAACAATAGCTTCAAAATGTTTGTATATTACTGAGTCAAATGTTATACCTTTTTAATTTGCCCCTAAAATATTTAGGCTGCTTTCCCTCCAATTTCTGATTGTGAAAAATAAAGCTACAGAAGTGGAACATATAGAGTATCTATTAAGGGAATTAACAGGGAATTCTGGGGAATCTCCAAAAGAAAGAGTATACAAAGTCTTTAGGAAACTTATATTTTAGAAAAAAAAATTCAATACCTCTATTTGAAATGGACGTAATATATACTATAAAAATGTTCTTCACCTCTCCAAAAGATTAAAGTATACACACAAACAAAGTAAAATTAAATGGGTGAGTAGTGATTCCATCTACCCATGTGTAGAATGTAAGGTTAACATTTCTTCAAAGATATTCCACTTTTCATTCATTTTCATGTTTCCCATTTCTTTGTATTTGTAACAATTACTTTCAAGAATCACTCTACACTGATGAAAAATGAGGAGATGTGTAGCCAGTAGGCTTTGTTGCTGCCATTGTTTTGGTTGTTATTTTCAAGTGGTTTTCTTCTCTATACTGTTATACCTTACTTTGAACTTACTATTTTATCAGAAACTAAGTTAATTACAGCCTAAATATTTTAGCAAATATAAAAATCTAAATTCATAGGAATGCCTGTTCTACTCCCAATGGTGACTGCATAGTTTCTATACAGAAGGGGCTCCAGGGCACAGTCAAATACAAAATGGCTAAATTATTTGTATTCAAATGACATTTCTATAAGAAACAAACTGTTTTTCCTTAGTAGTTTTTATCTGGGGTGGTTTTCAGTAAAGTAAAGATAGTATAGAGGAGGGCACTAAAACGCCCGTTCTCTTCTCCCCTCCATTACAATATCCTTTTCCGGTCTTTTCAGAGAGAATTTTGTTTCTGGTTTGTTTGATTTCTCGCCTAGCCTAACCTCACCTCACCTCCCCCTCCCCCTCCCCCTTCTCCTCTTTACTCTCTCCTTCCTTCCTCCCTTCCTTTCTTCCCTCCTTCCTTCCTTCCCTTCTCCCTCCGTCCCTCCCTTTCCCCCTGCCTTCCTTCTTTTAATTCAAAACTAAAGGCCAAATTACCAGCTTGTTTAAGAAACTTGAGTCAAATATATAATAAACCATACTTTACATGGAGTAACTTCTTGATTTGGTCTTACTTTATATCATTTACTTTAAATGTAAGGTTTTTTTTCCATAAAATATTAATGATTAATATTGAAATTACTATAATCAACAGAAAGCCTCATGCATTTACAATTCAGAAAAAGTAACTAAGCAAAATTGACTTACACATTTGTTACCTTTTTAATACTATTGTACATTAAGTGTCAACTATCATTTACTGAAATCCATGTGTCAGGTGTCAAATGTCTGCAAAACAAATTACTAAGTAGTCAGTGGACCAGGTCAATTTTCCTTCAAAGGAAATGTATTTGACAGTCCTTGCTAAAAAGTGACCTTACAGCATGAAAGGGGAGAAAACACAAACCCTGATGTATATTCACAGAATACAGATAACAGAGAATTTTATATGATACAGCCTGTATATGCAGTAGTTTGCTAAGTTTTAGAATGTTACATTTTTACTACAAATTATTCTCTTAAGATATCACTTTGAAGGCCAGTGCTTTATCATTATTTTGTCACTCAAATAATGATGAAAGTGAAAGCTAATTTCCAGGATTACATTTATTTTTCTCAGTTATCGGTAATTAAAAACAGTTTTGCTAAGACATTGCAAGAAAACCAGGAAAAATTTAGGCTAAGCAAGAGTTGATTCTGAACATTTAGGGTTTTTTTCACTTCTTGGCTATTGTGAATAATACTAAAATGATCAAGGGTGTACACAGATCTATTTAAGAACCTGATTTTATTTTTTTTCTATAAATACCGAGATGTGGCATTGCTGCGTTATATGGTGGTTCTATTTTTAATTTTTTGAGGAACCCCCCCAAACTCTTTTTCATATCAACAACACCATTTTACATTTCTACCACCACCGCTCAAGAGTTTCAATTTTTCCACAACTTTGCCAATATTTGTTATTTTCTCCTTTGTTATTTTTGTTTTTATAGTGATCATTCTAACAAGCATAAAGTGATATCTTTTTGTGGCTTCGATTTTCATTCCCCTGATGATTAGTGATGTCCAGCATATGTTCATACACCTGTTGGCCATTTGTATGTTTTCTTTGGAGAAGTATCTCTTAAAGTCCCTCACCTATTTTTTAAAATTGGGTTATTTGGTTTTTTTTTTTTTTTGCTATTTAGTGGCAGGAGTTCTTTATTACTTAATGGGTATAATATTTCTTATTCCCGTGACAGATCTATTAAAAGCCCTGACTTCACCACTATGCAGTATATCCATGGAACAAAACTACATGTATACCCATAAATTTATAGAAATTTAAAATTTGTTTAAATTTTTTAGATAGTAACCCCTTCTCAGATATATGGTTTGCAAATATTCTCTCCCATTCTATAGGTTGCCATTTTATTCTACCGATTGATTTTTTTGCTGTGCAGATACCTACATACAGTGTCGTATTATTCGGCCATACAAAAGGAAATCCTGTAATGTGCTACAACACGGATGAACCTTGAGGACGTCATGCTAACTAAAATAAGAAAGTCACAGAAGGACAAATACTATGTGATTCCACTTATATGAGAATTATCTAAAGTAGCCAAACTCATAGAGGCAGGAAGTATAATTGTGGTTTTCAGTGGCTGAGAGGAAGGAGACATGAGAAGTTGCTGTTCGATGGGTACAGAGTCACACAAGATGAAAAATCCTAGATATCTGCTATACAAAATTTTACTTACAATGAACAATACTGTACTGTATACTTAAACATTTTTTAAGAGGGCAGGTTGAATGTGTTACTTATCACAATACAAACGACACAAAAGAAAGTTCAGCCTAAGACAACTCTTTTGTGTAAAGACAAGGAAAAATATATTAGTTGATCAAAATATCCTCATATATGCTAAGAATGCTCTTTCATAAAAATATTTTTGTAATATATGCACTTTTAACAGAAACATGCGTTGTTATAAGCATACTCAAATACATGAGTGGAGATGGTGCCCTTCGGAAACTAGTAGCTCTGACTTGAAGAGCATGTGATTTTCACTGGCAATTCATGTTTACCATGATTATTTTTACATAGAAGTGAATTTTACCCCCTTATTTGTAGCCTCCATTTTGGTATGTGTTCTCTCAAATGCTGAATGGTCTTTCAGTAAATATTTTACTGCAGCTAATTAGTATTTAAATGCTGGCTCATAGTAACCCCTATGACAAAACAAAACACTGATCAAAATTTCAGTATTTCTCTAGTTTTTTATCTCAATAAGATAGTCTTAAATGTTGGACCGAGTTCATGTAAGTTAATTTTCTTTGATACATTTGAAAATATCTTGAGAAATTTAATGCTTTTGATGTTTCATAGTTAAAATGGTCTATTAAATAAACTTGCAATTTTGAAGATGCACATTTTAAATATAGCAATGCAATCAATGATTACTGCCATCAGTTTGGGTTTGGATAAAAAGATCAATGACTCAGCAAGAATGCCCATCTGAGCACACATAAGGATTGGTCATTGATTTATGAGACTCACCTCTGCAGGGCCTGTGACTTCTTACATCTCGAGGCTTAGGCTGCTTCTCACCACCACATGTGCTCCGTGAGCTGTCTGCTCTCGGCCTCTGCATCAGGTTCAGTTATACAGGGCCATGCTGTGCCTGCACTTCAGGGCTAAGCTCCATGCTTTGTGCTTAAAAAGGTTCTCCATTACCTATGCTTGTCATTACTCTGTGGGAGTTCCTTATTTAACAAGATCATAGGTATTCTGAAACCAACTGCTCCAATATGTGTAGCTCTGCATCACAGTACTGCTACGAGCCTAACCACAATTCTAAAACGCGACTATGTCTAGACACAAATTTTTTTTAAATCACTTAGCACTGGACACCAAAATACGGAGAGCATCAAGTTACCTGACTCTGTGCTGAACATCTTACAACCTAAAATGGTAGTTCAGTTGTACATTAGTATATAAGATGACACACTTGACAACAAAACTCCTTTTATGGAACTGAATTAAAATTTTCAGTCATCTTTTTTGTATCTCTGCTATTTAAAATATACAAATGAGCACTTTGTTCAAAATGCATTATTTTCTCATCTATTTTTATTATTATAGAAACGTACATATGTTGGCAATGCTCTTTACTAGGCTAGTCAACTATTAAGAAATCTAATGGCATTTTAATGTGATTTAAATGTAATCAATAGTCAATAATTTCATCTTCATGCTTATGTTTTTATTGGTTTGATCAGAATTCTTCGATATCCCCCACCCCTTTCTTTTAAGTAATTGGTTCATATACATGAAGGAGAATTTACTTTTTAGGGCACTTAATCTATAGTGGTTTCCAATTGTAAAATTTTAATTAAGGCTCTGGATGCTGATTGAGTTATGTTGCATTTTAAGTTCTCTAATGGAATTCTTTAAACTTGTCATTTTCAGATGCTTTTTTAATTTTAACATTTCTGGCTAAGCAATAAAATATTTGCACCATATTGACTGCTATGTAGGTATCCCATGGCATGTATAAAACTGAAAGTCTGAATTTCAATGATTTCAAAAATAGATTTTTATTTTCCCTCTTGTGAAAATAATAAACTCAGAGCCAGTTTATCTATACTGTTTTATTTCTGTTTTTTTCCTACATTCAATTCTACTTCAGATTCATGAAAGAAAATTAGAAAAATTCTAAATTCAATTTAAAAATTTTAAATACTGAGACTCCTAAGTGTCCTCAAAGAAATTCACCAAATTTTTGGAAAAAAAACAAAAGTATTCCTAATTATGTTTTATTGAAGCTAATGGCCATTGACCCATGTGTTTTTATAAATCATTACATATTCAAATTTTGAAAATGTCTTTATGAGAAAATTGACTTAAGCGAAAGCAGTTAACAAAATCTTGTTAAGAGTGGAAACTAGACATGTAGATATCATTTGATGAAAACATTAATTCCAAAAACTACACACACACACACACACACACACACTACATTCTTTTCCTATTTGGTTAAATAAGAATGGCTTTTTTTTTTGCAAACAGTTTTTCTACTTTTTAATATGCTTTTTTTCATAAAAATCAAGCCTGCTGGCTGGGCGCGGTGGCTTACGCTTATAATCCCAGCACTTTGGGAGGCCGAGGCGGGCAGATCACGAAGAGATTAAGACCATCCCGGCCAACATGGTGAAACACCATCTCTACTAAAAATACAAAAATTAGCCGGGTGTGGTGGCGAGTGCCTGTAGTACCAGCTACTCGGGAGGCTGAGGCAGGAGAATCGCTTGAACCTGGGAGGCAGAGGTTGCAGTGAGCCGAGATTGCACCACTGCACTCCAGCCTAGTGACAGAGCGAGACTCTACCTCCAAAAACAAAATAAAAAATAAAAAAAAAAAAACAAAAACAAAACCAAGTCTGCCAAGGCTGACTTCTGGTTATGGTCAACAAGACAAACCAGCTCTTCTGATACAAAACACCTAGAGGTTGAATAAAATCAACAAACAAATTCATAAATGATCTGAGAAACTCAGACCAGCTCAGAAGAATGTATCAGAAATTCTCAAGAGTCTCCTTCTACCACCATTTTTTCTATTTCACAAGACCCACAGGAATCTGTGTGTGAAGGCAAAATAAACAGATCTGGAAGCTGGGGTTGCCCTTTGGGTTGCTACCAAATATAGGAAACTAAATTTTGGATATTAACAGCATATGGAGATTATGACCATGGACCTTGGCCTAATAAATTAAGACAGATAACCTTAAATCCACACATAAAACTGGGACTCTTAAAAAATATACCCTACCTGGAAGTGTGGTATTAACTACACAGACACAGACACACACATGTGCACACACACACACACACACACACACACACATTTTCTTAAAAGGAAAGCAACCATCTATTTGTAACAGCCAACCAGGAAACATTTGTTTTTATCCTCAGGCTCTATGTATGATAAAAATAAATAACCAAAACTATGACAATAATCATTTCCCCTAAGAAGTTGTGAGAGAGGCCTGGTCTCACAATATTTCTTGGTTTGACATAATATTACCATCGTAATTGGGATATTCCATGTTGGTAGATTAAAACTGAATACACCTAGGTTTAGCGGCCCCACTCCACACCATACCTATAAATGCCAACTGAATCTGCACTCTTGTGTGCTCAACACTTCTATCAGATAGGCTAGCAAAATAGGAGCCAAAAAAAATATATCAAAACACCAGTAAAGAAATTCCACTAAGCTGTAGTAATAATAATGATGATGATGATAATAAAAGCAATCAAGATAGAATCTCCAAAGCATTTTAGATACTGAAATATTAAAAAACAGGATGTAGGACGGGCGTGGTGGTTCACACCTGTAATCCCAGCACTTTGAGAGGCCAAGGCAGGTGGATCACCTGAGATCAGGAGTTCGGGACCAGCCTGGCCAACATGGTGAAACCCTGTCTCTACTAAACACAAAAAAATTAGCTGGGTGTGGTAGCAGGTGCCTGTAATCCCAGCTACTTGGGAGGCTGAGGCAGGAGAATCGCTTGAACCCGGGAGGTGGAGGTTGCAGTGAGCCGAGATTGCGTCATTGCACTCCAGGCTGGAGGACAAGAGCAAGACTTCATCTCAAAACAAACAAGCAAATAAACAAACAAAAAACAGGATGTAACACTCACATACATAATGATGTTTTGAAAAAATATTTAAATAAAAAATAAGAGACTATTTAAAAATGACCAGATTTCAAAATAACCAAATAGAAATGAAAACATAAATTATTAAAATTAACAACTCAGTAGAGATATCAAAAAGCAGGAACAGTGGAATGAAGAGTCTGTGGCCTGCAAGATAAACTTTAAAGAAATAGCACAAAAGACAAGGAAAGGGGAAAAAGTTGGAGGGGTTTTATGGCATCCAAAGAAAAATACAAAAATGTAAATTCTTGAAACAGACATCTAAATGAAGCACATAAAGATAATGCAAATGGAAAAATACTGTGAGGCAATGATTGATCATTTGCAGAAATTATGAAAATTACGATTGAAACACCATGTATACTAAGCATAATAAGTAAGAAGAAATTCCTTTGATACAAGGAGAAAGGGGTCCATTTCCTCATTCATAGGCGGCATCTTTTCACTTCATTCTCACATAGTGAAAAGGGCAAAGCAGCTTCAAAAGGCCACACCTTCAAGTACAGTGGGGACTTGCATTCAATAGATTTTGGGAGAGATACAAACATTCAGATCATAGCAGTGTTCAAATATGAGTTCATCCAACTTACTGGATCCATCCATGAGCACACGTCTACATCCACTGCAACCTTCATTCAGATGTCCAGGAAAATTTTCCTAACGCTCTTCACTCCAGTCAACACTTGCCTGGCCACTGAGCCAATCATACATGGATTTTCTCCAGTTCTTATATTCTGAGTTTATTATTTCTTCTGGTTCCTTATAACTAAATAGACATGGTTATTAATATCTCCTTCAACTCTATATTCATCTAAATTTAACTATCATTTTTTCTCTCTTGATAATTGAATTCCTCAAGAGATTTCATTTACTATACCTACCTCAATCAATTCTCACTGAAATTTTTAAAATAATAATATAATGTTAATTATAAAACATGAGCAAATCCATTTCTAGAATTTTATTGGTGCCTTGTGGTCAGCATAAATATTTTGAGATTCATTCACATTGCTGTGTGTAATAATAATTTATTGTTTTATTGCTAAATTCTTAGGTAATACTTTTTGTTTTATTATTTTAGTGGTCACTTGAGGATTTATAGTATTCATGTTTAACCTATCACAGCCTAAGTTAACTTCAAGTTTATACATTATACAGTTTCACATAAAATGTGAATCTTATAATAGCATGTTTTCATTTTTCTCACCTTGACCACACTTGTGCTATTGCTGCTACTTGCATATGTTTTAAACTCACTATATTGAAATTATTTTTATGTAATCATTAGTTACATTTTAAGAAAATTTGAATCATAAGAAAAAGTAATATTTTTGCCTATTTTTAGTATTTTTTGTTGCTTTGTGTAGATCTAGATTTCCATTTCCATTTGGGATCATTTTCTGTCTTCTTGAAGAACTTCTTTTAACTTTATTTATTTATTTATTTATTTATTGAAATTCAGGTTTCCTGGCTATGAATTCTTCATTTTTTTTTTCTTAGACAGAGCCTCGCCCTGTTGCCTAGGCTGGAGTGCAGTGGCACGATCTTGGCTCACTGCAACCTTTGCCTCCTGGGTTCAAGTGATTCTCCTGCCTCAGCCTCCTGAGTAGCTGGGATTTGAGGCCCTGCAAATTTTTGTATTTTTAGTGGAGACAGGGTTTCGCCATGTTGGCCAGGCTGGTCTTGAAATCCCGACCTCAGATGGTCTGCCGGTCTCGGCCTCCCAAAGTGCTGGGATTATAGGCGTGGGCCACCGCACCTGGCCTCTTCATCTTTTTTATGCCTGAAAACATTTTATTTGGCCTGCCTATAATTTTGTTTCTGCCACTTAGTAGCTATGGGACCTTGATCAATTTCTCTAGGACTAATTTTCTTCGGGCATAACATAGAGATAATGCATATTTCAAAGAATTGTCTTGAAAATTAAGTTAATTAGTGCATGCAAATAATTTATAATAGAGCTTGACATAGAGTAAGCTCTCAATAAATATTTTAAATTTTGGGTGTTTCTAGAGACAAGCAATAGTAGTTTTAGCAATTCTGATTTATCACATTATGATGTTGGCTGGTCACTTAAAGGAAGTCTAGGAAGAGGAATTTCCAGGGTTGCTTTTGCAGCTCAATGATAACAGGGTAAAAGGTTGACATTCCAGCGATTTTTATCTTCCATGTGACACAAAATGATCTCCGTATATTACATTTTCAAAGCAGTTTCCAAACATATAAAGGAAGAAGAGATGGCACAGTAAGACCTCTTTACACTCCTGTCCCTTTAGGTAAAAAGCAGAATTTTTTCCTGGCACCCTCCTAGTAGGCCTGCCCCAACATGATACTGACAGGAAGCTTGTCATATAACCACCGTTAACTGCAAGTAAGTAAAGTGAGTATATTCCTCAGGGAAAGGGATGATGATGAACCCATCATAATACATCCCCTGGGGCTGGCCACAATAGTGCCTGTATAAAACTGGAGATATCTTCATAAAGCAGAAGCAGGGGTAGCTAATAAATAAATAACTTGAAAAAGATCCAGCTCTGAAAATTTTATATTAATTTTACATTTACATTTTTGTCTTGCAGACTCTATTACAATAACGCAATGCAATATTTTATTCATTTCTACTTGCAGAAAAAAGTGTTGCTTGTTAATGTTGATGGAAAATGGTTTCAAAGAATATGGAAATAGGCTTAGGATGTGATTGAAACTCTGATTGTACTTTTTTTCTTTATGAAATTACTACTCTTCTTGTTGCAAATTCTATTTGAACAGAATCACCTTTGGCAAGAAACAACTTCATTGAATCACAGGCAGCTGTAAACCTGACAATTAACTGACATTTCTCTGATTGAATATGTGGAGCAATGTCACATATCCTGCCATCAATAGCTTCAGGTGAAACATGTTACACATTAATCACCTCGTTTTGCTTTAAAAAGATGGTCATTTTCAATAGAATCAGTGTATCATTTCTTTTGGTTTTAGCAATCTCTCTGGAGCAAATAGCAAGTATCTTCCCCACCATTATGTTCATAGTCATCCCAATGGTTTCAGTTTTCTCCTATGATTATAAGTTAAAAAAAAAAACACAGATACATATGTGGATATGGACACACAAAATATCAGCGTCTTCTCCTTTATTTATTCAAAAATCATTTATATAATACTTCATTTCTCAATTATTGAAGTGACATGATATACAGCAAACTCTCCTTGCTGGCAAAATTTGTAAGTTTTAGATATGTAATAGCCTGGTGTGCCAGTGAAAGTTTTCCAATAATTATTATCCCATGTTTTTTCTTACTCAGAACACAAATGTTTAGGCACATTGTCACCAGACTCTGGAACTGGATTGGCCCAGAATTCTCTCATTTGAGTGCAGGGATACCAGGCTTTATCTCATTGCATCGCCAGGTTTTGGGAAGAAAAGAAACATGACCTTGAGTTAGCTTTCTTCCACCTACTGACAATCTTGGCAATCATAGGGTGAACAAGGCAGAACTAAAGGGTAAGTGGAAACCCAGCTGAATACTTTAACCATTAACATCCCTAGCAGCTGGTAGGGAATGAGTGCTTCAGTACCCAAAGTGTGGAATACCACAGGGTATTATCTCTGAGCTGTCACTTTAGCTATAACATTATTAGCTGCTAAATTACTCTCTCATTCTGACAATTTCTGGGAAGTGTGGCATGTGATAGAATCAGTGGAGCCCATTGTCATACATCCACAGCTGTGCTGAATGAGCTGTAAATAGGTGATTTTTTTTTTAATGTTTGTTTCCCATACCTCATGTTTGATGCTCAGTGTTGGAGGTGGGACCTAATGGGAGGTGTTTTGGCTGATCTGTCATGAATACATTAATGCCCTCCCTGAGGCAGGGGCTGGAGTTAATTCTCACTCTATTAGTTTCCATGAGAGCTGGATGTTAAAAAGAACCCGCACCTCTCCCCTCTCTCTTGCTTCCTTTCTTGCCATGTGATCTCTGCACATGCTGGCTCCCCTTCTCCTTGCTTCCTGAGGTCCTCACCAGATGCAGATGTTGATGCTATCCTTCTTGTACAGCCTGCACGATTATGAACCAAATAAATCTCTTTTCTTTTTAAATCATCCAGCCTCAAGTATTTCCTTATAGCAACACTAAATAGACTAAGACCTAAAATTAGTACAGAGAAGTAGGGTGTTGCTATAAGGATATCCAAAAATGCGGAAGTAGCTTTGGAACTGAGTAAGTGGCAATGTTTGGAAGAGTTTGGAGGGCTAGAGGGCTCAGAAGAAAAACAGATGACAGAAAGTCTGTAAATCATTTGAGATTGCATAAGTCTTTGTGATCAAAATGCTGATAGAAATACTAACAATAAATGCCATACTGAGAGGTCTCAGATGGAAATGAGAAAGTTATTGGGAACTGGACCAAAGTTCATCCTTGTTATGCTGTAGGAAAAAGAAAAAAACAAAAAAAAACAAAACAAAACAAAGCAAAAAAAAACCTTTTGCTGCCTTGTGTTCATGCCCTAGAGCTTTGTGGAAGGCTGAACTTAAGAGTGATGACCTAGGGTATCTGGAGGAACTGCTTTCTCTTTTCTATTGCATGGCCAGGTTAGTGTTGCCATAAAGGGATACCTGAGGCTGGGTAATGTATAAAGAAAAGAGGTTTATTTGGCTTAAGGTTATGCAGGCTGTAGAAAGAAGTAGGTGTCAGCAAATGCTTCTGGTAAGGGCTTCAGGCAGCTTCAACTCATGCAAGGATGCTGCAGAGCAATCACTTGCTAGAGAGATTTGCATGACTAAAAGGCAGCCAGATGCTCAGAGTCAAAATGATAGATAAAAGCTTCCAAAAACATTTCAGAAATATTCAGTGCTTTCTCTCCCATAACAGACCCTCTGGCCCAGAAAGACAGAATGGTTTCAAGGGCAGGACTGAGGTGCTGCTGCCCTGCTCTGCCTCAGGATGCTGCCACTTATATCCCCACCACTCAGGCTTCAGCCTCAGCTCAAATATCCCCAGGTGTATTTTGGGCACTGCTCCAAAGAACAAAAGCAGTAAGTCTTGGCAGCCATGTGGTATTGTCTTCAGAGTTGCCCAGAATGGAAGCTTGGTGACTTCCGCTGAGATTTCAGAGGATGTATTGGAATGCATAGGTGCCCAGGCAGTAGCCTTCCAGAAGAGAAGAGCCTCTTCAGAAATCCTCTACTACAGCAGTACCTAGTAAAGCCCAGGAAGCAAGTTATTTTGAAACTTTAAGATTTAATGTCTGCCTTGCTGGGTTTGGGGCTTGCATGGGGCTTATTACTCCTTTCTTTTGGCCAACTTCTCGCTTTTAGGATGGGAATGTCTACCCAATGCCTGTACAGCCATTACATCTTAAAGTAAATAATATGTTTTTGATTGTACAGGTTCACGACTAAATAATTTGCCTTGAGTCTCAGATTTTGGACTTTGAACTTTTTTGAGTTGATAATGGAACAAACAAGTTAAGACTTTTGGAGACTATTGAAAAGGGATGATTGTATTCTTCAACGTGAGAAGGACATTAATTTTGGAGGGCTAGAGCCAAATGCCACAGTTTGTATGTTTTCTCCTCAAATTTTATGTTGAAATTTGATCCCCAATGTAAGAGACGGGGCGTGTTATAATTTGGGTCATGAGGGCAGATTCCTCAAAAATAGATTAATGGCCCTCCCTGTGGAGGGTGTTGGGATTGAAAGTATTCTCACTCTATTAGTTTTCATGAGGGCTGGCTGTTAAAACAGCCTGGCACCTCCCTCCCCTCTCTCCTGCTTCCTCTCTCACCATGTAATCTCTGCACATAATGGTTCCCCTTCACCTTGCACCATGAGTTGAAGCTGCCTGAAACCCTCACCAGAAGTATATGTTGGCACCTGCTTCTTGTACAGCCTGCAGAACCATAAACCAAAGAAACCTCTTTTCTTTATACATTACCCAGCCTCAGATATTTCTTTATAAAAACACCAAATATACTGAGACAGTAGGTCTCCTGCCTGGTTCAGTGAAGAGTTGAACAGAATCCATGCTGGGGGCTCAAATACTCTGTAAAACTACTTGGATTTTGGTGCTGAAGCACTAGGAACAGGAAAGAAAGGCAAAACTACACTTGAAATATGAGTTGATTTTAGCCAAGAAGAAGCACTGTCCCATCCAGGTTGGGAGGGCCCCAATGAAGGGAATTTGCTGAGTCAAATTTGTTCCCCTAGGGAATACAAAAAATTTCAGTCAATAGTAATTTGATGCCAAATATTTCTAGTTGAGTGTTACAAAATAACACCATAATGGCAGTAATCACTGAGACCAATCTTTTGGGAAAATGGGCTCCTTGAGGAGCTGGCAATCTAACAGGAAGCCAGTAGGGCTGAGCCCTTCAGTTAAATATGTGTGTCACAGATGAAGCTGCTACAGAATGTGACTTATTTTATTTTATGCCTTAAAAATATACCAAACAATCACAAGAGTTGAAATCAGCACAGTTTGTAAAAGGAACATCAACATCAAATTTTATGTCATTCATATCCATCCAGAAAAATATTCAGTCTTGAGATTATTCTACATGGGGACCAGGTAGAGGAGATTGGGACATGGAGTTTTGCTTTGTGTCCACAGAGCTAGATTTAACAACAACAAAGTATTTTCTCTTTTTCTAATATTATTATTTAGTGTCATAATTCAAGATAAACAAAAACAAATGTGAGGGTGTGGGAAAGGGAAATTAATGAGCTTATTTCTTATTTCTTTTGTTTTAAATTTGTTAATTCTGGCTCAAAAAATCATCTGCAATGGTGAGTCAAAAATTGAAAGTGAACATTTGGAATCAGCTGGGTTCGGTTAGACAAAAAAAGACACGTCTAATAAAGTAGAAAAAATAGCCAAAAGATGATGTATCAGGTTGGCACATGTCATCTAGCTACCATTTATTTAGCTAGGCATTAAAGAAACTTGCAAAAAACATAGAACAAGCCTACTCTTTCCATTATTTTGTTTTGTTTTGTTTTTGATAAGATAGTTATTTTATGTCAAACTGTGTTTTTGTTAATATGTAATGGGTTTATTATTGTTTATTATTTTAATGTTTATTTTTTAATTTCACAGTTTTAATTTCTGCTATGATAAATACTGACAGACATAACCTAAGAATAAAAAAAAAGCTATTTGTAGTCCTTCATAATGTTTAAGCTTAAAAGTATTTTTAGACAAAAATGTTTGAAAATCACTGGGCTAGAAGAAAGCAAACATTTGGACTTTGCTGCCTTAACTGTTTACAGAAAGATAGAAAAGTAGAGAAATTTAGAAATTATCAAGCAAATGGTTTAAGTGATAGACAAGGGGATCTATGCCAAAAACTACAAAGATGAAAAAATAGGATGAGACTGTAGTGATCATGGAGTGAAAAGGGACTAGAGGTCCCAGCAATGTTGAAGGGCCGGTGAAACGTGAACCCCCCTGGTCTGTAGGTTGATATTAGAGGGTGACAGATTTGACTATTCTACTTTGCAGCTTCCGTGTTTCCTGCATGGAAGGATTAGGGCTGGGAGGTGCAGTGGAAGTTCAAGTCACTGAAAATGATGGAGAGGAGTGAGGATATTGAATGGTTGTTCATTGAACTGTTGAAGACCCTCCTGATGAAGCCATAGCTTGGGTAATGGTTCCAGAGAAAGGAAAGCCAGTGAGATCTTCAATACATGAAGAGAACAAAAGGAGACCAGCAAATGAGCCGAAACTATGGGGACAGAAAACAGCAAAAAGTGAGAGAAGTCAAAACACACCTGCCTTTAGAAGTAATAATTTCATGCATGATTCTTATTTTCATGGGTTGGAAAATAATAAAGAGCATCCACTGCAAAGTGCTGAAGAAGATATGGTGCCCTCAGGGAAGATAGGTGTCTCCAGGAGAGTGTCTGGAGAGATACGAGGAAATAAGAAAGTTTACAGGGTTCAGATAAAGGAGAAATAGTGAGCTCCTTGGTATGGAATGGGGATTTCATGAAGCATCATGAAACAGATGTGGGTAGGTAAGGATGAATGGCAGTTATGGTCAGAAAAAAGGAAGCATAGACTTATATATACAAAATTCCATGACAGGAGAGATAGCTGAAGACATTTACAATTTGGAGATTGACAAAGCATCATATAAATATGAATCTAGTGGGCTGTGGTGGACACCAAGGCTATTATTCAAATTATTCTCACCATTTGCCCTCTCATTCCCACATATTAAAAAAGGCAAACATCACTTCCTCCAATATTCTTCCTTCTTTACCCCTTAATGCCTCTTTTGACCCTTTTCCCCATAATAGTAGTTTGAGGTTTTCCATATTATTGCATGCATCTTCCTGGTAAACATGGTACTTTCATCTGAATAACCAACTTACCTGATCCATAGAATCCAGAATCTTAGAATTAATGTGAATTAATTTTATTCACATTAATCCTAAGGAGGGGTGGATTTGAGGAGGGGGCATCAAACATGAATCATAACCTCAAAAGAATTAGAAATTGCAGAAACCTTCTCTTTAGATCACCTACAGAATGAAAGCAATATGTTGAATTTGATTTCCTCTAACTAGAAAGCTGAATTACCTTTGATCAGTAAATCACAGAGATAGATTTAGAGCAAATGCCATCATTCTACAAGTTACAACACTTTAAGAAAACACTGTACAAATACTATCAGGAAACATTTGAAAAAGTTCACAAGTAATTAAAATATATTTTTCAGCCAAATAGACATTTTATCTGCACATATTCAACATTATAAAGATTCATTTCTTATAAAATATTTCCTATTTTTGACTAATTAGTGAAATTATTTGTACAAGTTTTTAAATAAAATTTATACAAGTGTCAACAAGTAATTATATAACATCTATACAATAAGTAACAATTTACCCTAACCATTCTCTGTTAGATGTGGGTTTGTTAGCGAAGCTCTTAGGGAAACACCTTTTCTCTTGAGTCAGTAAGTAAATTACCCCTTTGATCTCTAATTTATATACCTAGTTCTTAATTTTATGAAATTGATACATTTTATGGAGATGTTCACATATTTGATTCATTCAGTGACAATTTGTTGAAATATTGTGAGTTCCTGGGATAGAGAGGTTTAAGCTGAGGCAAACTCTGAGATTTATCCTGGACAGATATGGCATGAGGGCATAGAAGTGAACTGCTAAAGCAAGATATAGTTCACAACAGGGGTACACAACAAAAGGCACTTCAAAACAGGAAATTCCTGAAAAATTTGGACAGAGGAAATTGTAAGCACATTTTGTTTCGAGAGTCCAGCAAGGATTTTCTAAGACACACCAAAAATTCTCTTCTATCCATTTCCCTAAAGGAAATGGTTTCAAAAAAATGTAATAAAGGTCCATCAATCTCTTGTCTTTTAAAGTTAAATGCTTAGAAACATGCGTATTTATAATGACACTAATTGTATTGAACTCTAATTTTATAGTTGTTTCAGAATTGCCAATTAAGTGATTTTCTTGTATAGTTCATAAAATCTGAGTGAGGTAGGTCATATTAGAGGAGCCTTAATGTGCATTATACTGTCCTAATGATGTCTTGTAAGCATTGCAGAATAGTGATACAAGTAAAGATTACTTAAAGTTTGTTTGTCATAAAACATTATTTTTTCATTTGAACCATTGTAGATAATCGTTTATATAGCAATTCCAAGGAACTGTTATTTGAATCTAAATTTTCATTTAATTTATAAAGTTGCTTTAAAACATTCCACCAAGCAAAACTCGCCATCTCAACTTTTGTAAGTTCTTTATATGTTTATTTTCTGCCAAGGTAAAAACTAAACCAAGTAAAATTGGATTCTTTATTTTAGAAAATATTTGTAATTCACCTATAACTTATAATTGCTATGAAACTTTAAAGTTAAAATTTATAACTGAGAGTGAGAATGAGAGAGTATCCATGCATGAGCATGAGAGAGAGAGAGAGAGAAAGGGAGGCATTAAGTGAACCGAGAAGGGGGCCTATAGTGATTTATTCTCTTATATTTTCTTTGCATTTTACCATGTAAAAGCAATCAGCAATTTAGCAGTTCATAAAAGACTTTGATAACCAGTGGACAGAAAAATGAGAGTCATACAATGGAAGAAATATACACATGGACAGATGTGGAAATGGAGAAAACAATTTAAACAACATATTTTCTGGCTGTTGATTTTTTACTTGACCTTATGAGTATTGGTTAATTTGTGTTTTAGTGTTGAACGACTATACATCCAGTGCAAAAAAAAAAAAACCTTGTCTTGTTAACCCTATAAAGGTCAAGCTAAGCTAATTTAAATTTCTAGGCTATTTCTACAATGCTATATTTTATATTTTATTTCTTGGTAATGCAAATAGTAGTAAGTTATGTTATTTTTATGTCATGGATTTCTACATAAGGCCTGAGACTTACAAATATGACACATTAGTGATGTTAAAGAAACAGAATTGATAAAGCACTGTCTTCCTCATTTAAATCCTATTAAAGAATGACAGGTAGTAAATTAGAGAGATTTGAAAATTGTTTCAGTGTCATTGACTTCATCCCTCAGTTTTAAGAAGAATCCCTCCATAATCTTTGACTGCTATCAAAGACAAAATTCTAATTATCACACTTTGCTAAATTTTTCTGTATATTTTAATTTTTAACTACTTGGGATAATTTATTGGTGGTCAGATATGCCCTGCTGTGGTCCTTTACATTTAAGAAACTCATTCAATAAAATAAGTCCCCTTTTTCAAGGACTAGCATGAACTGTAATGAGTCACGCATCTTCACTATTTCTCCAGTGATGTGTTGTACTAATACATCATTTCTGAAAGCTGTCTCTTTAATGATATATTAATATAATACATCATCAGGCTAAGGGAGAAAAAGATGGATTGCTTAAAATATGGTGTCCTTCATAGAACAAAAGATTTTTAGAGCAGATTAATTTTAATTAGAGAAGAAAAGAAGTCTACCCTTAGCAAATTATATTAGCTCTACCCTGTCAGTATCTGCATCTCTTCACCTAATTTAAAGATTACATTTAATCTATTTTGTTTTGAAGCAATACATGTTGATTTTTGCTAGTTGTATTTGAAATATAGTCTTTTATGATTTTTAGTTGTTATATTCATAAGGCCTCTCCTCAACTAAAGTAGTTTTAACTAAAACACATGTTGAAAAGGACTTTATATAGGGATGATGTGATTTTATGTTATTTTTAAGGATGCTTCATCATGTATGATAAATTATAAAAATTTATGTTATGTGAAAAATACTCATCTACTGAAGCATGCTCTGTGTGTGATTAACTATCATAATAAAATGCTGATCAGTTTGCTTATAAATTACTTTTGTTCCTATAGTTGATGTTCTTACCAGGAATCAACCATGATTTTGCCATCTATGTGAATTTTACAGGTCATATAATCTCTCTTAACCTTAATTCTTTTCCTATAGAATAAAACTCTTAGTACTAGCTAATTTCTACATGCATTTTCAGCTCAAAGAACCTGCACGTCTGTCTTTGACTGTGCACCTGCATAAGACTCTTTGCAAATATTTAGTACAAACTTTTTGAAAAAAAAAATCAAATCAATATGGAGCCCAAGGAAACACCTTCCTCTACCATACTGCATCTTGTTTATTTGGCATCCTATCTTTTTGTTATTCCTTCTATCCCTATAATTCCTTTTACATTTGTCATTTGTATCTGGTTAATTCAGTGATTCAAGTCTTGCTGATCCTTTCTCTAGATATTTTTATTCTTTCCTCATCTAGAATCATGTCAACTGGACACACAACCAGAAGATCCAGGCTCAGATTTTCATTGTATCTTTTTATAAGTTTTGAGAAGTTAAAAGTCATTTGTCATTGTATAACCAATTTGGAAAATTGTTTTTAGGTACTGACTAGAGTCAACCATGTATACCTTATGTGAAACTGAGTGTGTCATCTGGGTGCAGAAGAAGAGAAATCTTTATTTGTCTTTATTCATCTTTAAAATGATTCTACCTTGGGCAGACACATGCTGCCATAAAGTTAACAGAAAATTTATATTGTATTTATTTTTTTTCATTCGTATGCATACATAATAATGGTTCATATTTATGTGATACACGTGATATTTTCATACAAGCAAAAAATGTGTAATGATCAAAACAGGATAATTGAGATATTCATCACCTCAAACATGTATCATTTTGTGTGTGTGTATGTGTGTGTGTCGGGAATTTTCCAAATCACTCTTCTAGTTGTTTCAAAATATACAATATATTA
The DNA here is from genome assembly GCF_000001405.40 of Homo sapiens. NCBI lineage: Eukaryota > Metazoa > Chordata > Mammalia > Primates > Hominidae > Homo > Homo sapiens. Next base: position 144,874,753 of record NC_000003.12, read on the forward strand.
TGGCTAACTATAGTCACCCTGTTGTGCTACTGAGCACTGGATCTCATTTCTTTTATCTAACTGTATTTTTGTAATCATTAACCAACCCCTATTTATCCCTCCACACCTACTATCCTTCCCAGTCTCTCGTAACCATCATTCCATTCTCTACTTCCATGAGATCTGTTCTTCTAGTTACTACATAGGAGAGAACACTTAATATTTGTCTTGCTATGCGTGAGTTATTTCAGTTAGCATAATGCCAGGATTTCTCCTAATGCATGTTGTTGCAACTGACAGAATTTCATGCTTTTTATGATGGAATAATATTCCATTGTGTGTATGTAACACATTTTCTTTTCCAATTCATGTGTTGATGGATACAGATTATGTTGATTCCATATCGTGGGTACTGTGAAAACTGCTGCAATATATATGGGAGTGCAGATATCTCTTTAATATACTGATTTCCTTTCTTTTGGATATATACAGAGCAGTCAGATTTCTGGATTATATGGTAGTTTTATTTTTAGTTTTATGAGAAATCTCCATTGTATTTTCCATAGTGGTTGTACTAATTTGCATTTCTCCCTACAGTGTACAAGCATTCCTCTTTTCCCACATTCTCATCAGCATTCATTTTTAACTCATTTTGATGAAAGCTATTTTAACTGGGGTAAGATGATAACCCACTGTGGTTTTTTAATTGCATTTCTCTGATGATTAGTGATGTAGAGAATTTTTTTATATACTTGCTGGTCATTGGTAGTTCTTTGTTTGAGGAATGTCTATTCAGACTTTTTGCTCCTTTTTAATTAAATTATTTGTGGGATTTTATTGCAATTGAGTTGAGTTCCTTAAATATTCTAGATAAATCCTTTGCCAGAAGGATAGTTGGCAAATATTTTATTTCATTCTGCTGGTTGTCTCTTCACTTGATTATTTCCTTTGCTGTGAAAAAGCTTTTTAACTTGATGTAATCCCATGTGTCCATTTTTGCTTTGGATGCTTTTTGCTTTTGATGTGTTACTCAAAAAAATCTTTACCCAAAACTATGTCCTGAAGCATTTCCTCAATGTTTTCTTCTAGTCGTTTCATAGTTACAAGTCTTATGTTTATGTCTTTAATCTATTTCAATTTTTTTATAGGTGAGAGATAGAGCTCTAGTTTTATTATTCTGCATATGGATATTCAGTTTTCCTGGCACCATTTATTGAAGATAGTGTTCTTTCCCCGATGTATGTGCCTGGCATCTTTGTTGAAAATGAACTGACTGTAAATGTGTCTATTTAAGTATGGGTTCTCTAGTCTGTACTATTGGTTTATATGTCTGTTTTATGCCAGTAACATGGTATTTTGGTAACAATAGCTTTGTGGTATAATTTGAAGTCAGGCAATGTGATGCACATGGCTTTATTCCCTTTGCTCAGAATTGCTTTGTGTATTCAGGGTCTTTTGTGGTTCTGTGTGATTTTTTTTTTCTATTTCTGTGGAAAATGTTATTGGTATTTTGGTAGGGATTGCATTGAATCTACAGATCACTTTTGGTAGTATGATGATTTTAAGAAAATTGATTCTTCCAATTAACACGGAATATCTTTGCATTATTTTGTGTCTCCTCTTCAATTTCTTTCATCAGTGTTTTATAGTTCTCACTGTAGAGACATTTTACTTCTCTGGATAAATTTTTCCTAGGTATTTTTGAGCTATCATAAATGGGATTGATTTCATATTTTTTCAGATTATTCATTATTGATATATAGAAATGCAGGTTATTTTCCATCTAATTCACTAGTAAGATCAAGCTTGTTGTCAAATTCACTTAATTGTTTTTAGATGAACTCTATAATTAAGACACAATTTTCACTGTGAATGTTGTCACCAATATTTCTCCCAGTATTACAAACATAATTTTTTTCTAATTGCTAAATATTTTTTTAAAAATATAGGTACTTTGTTACTATAAATTTGAAATATTTGGGTTCTATATTTATAATTTTTTATATGTTATGAAATTGCATATCCTAAATTGTATATAAGTGGTAAGATTTTTCTGCTTTTAAAAAATCATAAACTGAAATGGTGTATTGCTAAGTTCATATTATAACAGTTAATTTAAATTTGGCTGTAAAGCTTTTAGAGGTAATTAACATTGTGAGAAAATTAACCAACTTACTTTTTTTGTAAAATATTATTTAAGTAAAAATCAAAAAGAATTATAGTAATTTAATCTATAGAAGATTATATGGTTGTTAGAATTTGAAAATATTCAAATATGGTTTAGTATTTAATGTAAGTTACTTATTAATTGGGTAGCATTTTTACCCACAGTATGGATTAATGTTAGACATAAGAGAAAATTAAATCATTATTGGAAGTGCAGTCATGAGCCACACAATACTTTGGTCAAAAACAGCATGTATGATGTTGGTTTGATAAAAATATAATACCGAAGTATAATACCAAGTATAATACCTATTTTTTTTGTTCAGGTATGTTTAGAGACACAAGTACTTACCATTGTATTACAATTGCATACAGTATTCAGTACAGAAACATGCTGGGCAGGTTTTTAGCTCAATAGCAAAGGACTATAGCATATAGGCTAGGTGTGTACCAGACTATACCATCTAGATTTGTGTAACTACGCTCTATATTGCTGGCATGACAAAATTGTGTAATGACACTGTATTAGTCCACTTTCACGCTGCTGACAAAGACATAAGCGAGGCTGGGAAGAAAAAGAGGTTTGATTGGACTTACAGCTCCACGTGACTGGGGACGCCTCAGAATCATGGCGGGAGGCAAAAGGCACTTGTTACACGGCAGCAGCAAGAGAAAATGAGAGGGAAGCAAAAGCGGAAACCCCTGATAAACCCATCAGATCTGGTGAGACTTATTCACTATGATGAAAATAGCACGGGAAAGACCAGCCCCCATGATTCTGTTACCTCCCCATGGGTCCCTCCCACAACATGTGGGAATTCTGGGAGATACAATTCAAGTTAAGATTTGAATGGGGACACAGAAAAACCATATCAGACACATTTCTCAGAATGTATCCCTGTTACTTTATTTCCTTACCACCTACTTGATTGAGTTGAAAACTGACCCTCCAAAAACCTGCACACAAATTTTTATAGCAGTTTTATTCATAATTTCTAAAACTGGAAGCAACTAAGATGATGTTCCTCAATGGGCGAATGAATAAGTACTGTGATACCACTATAGAATGGGATATAATTTGGCAATAAAAATAAATAAACTACAGAGCCCCCCCCCAAAAAAACCAAAGGAACCTTAAAATCATATGGGTAAAAAAGCCAGTCTGAAAAGGATGTATGCCGTGTGATTCTAACTGTATGAAAATGGTAAATTACATAGAGAGGTAGCTGGTGAATTGGTGAAACAGGGGATTGTTAGAACAATGAAACTATTCTGTATAATACTATAACAGTAAATAAATGATACTATGTATTTGTCAAGCTCAGAATTGTGTAACACAGAATTAATATATTTTTATTATCTAAACTTCATAGTTATTGTCAATTATGGGCTTTACTGAATAGTAATATATTAATTTTGGTTCATTAATTGCAAAAATGTGCAATATTTATGTTAGATGTTAATAATAAGGAAACTTTGTGTGTGGGGGGCAGTGAGGTACATGAGACCCTTCTGTAAAGTCTACTCACTTTTTTTTTTGTACATTTAAAACTATTCTTAAAGGAGAGAATTAGAGCTGAGAACATTTGGTTACAGTTTTTCTTCTTCTACATCATGTGACCCTAGGAGAAAAACATCAGAAAATCTCCTTTGGCCTTACTTTCTTTTCCCCCAAAGCATCTTTACCCTTTATAAATAGATAGAGTCTCCCTGAGATTTCAATTTCTATGATCCTTTGAAGAAAGAAGTATCTGAATATTATGCTTCTGTTTGTACCTACTGTATTTGTACATCATGAGACTGATGTCAGCATATTGGGCTACACAAATGAAATATTTCCTAAAGGATTTTATTATCTTAAGATAATCTTCTTGATGCTACTGCAATTATCTCAATTTTAAAAATTATATATGCAAATGACCTTAAGTACAAAAGCAATTGTCATGCTCAAAGAAAGACCTGGTGAAATAATGAATCTAATCAGATAACTGTATTTGGAGAACCTATTGTTTTCTGAAACGAAGTACTTCATTGACCAAAAATAATAATGTGTGGTGTATAAACACATGAAAGTCATTTTAATTTAACTTGAATATTATTTCCCTTTTCAATTATAATTTCCCTCTTAATTATTAACATAAATTCATTATAAGTTATGTCAATAGTCAAATTCACTGGGGAAAGAAGTAAAGAAGAATAGGGAGAAAAGAAAGACTGTTTAATTGTGACTCAGAGATGAAAGAGTCAGAAATCCTGATTAGCGTGGGAGCAATAAATCATTAAATCTACCCACACTTCTTATTTTTGATCTCTACTATTCAATTCTGCATCCATAAATATTCTCATGCAATCACTGGTAAAACACTAATTAGTATTTTTGAACTGATGCGTGTTGTGCTTGACCTTTATATAAATTCAGTTTGTGAATTCTATTTTTTGGTGTACAAATGACCTACCAAAACTGATTGCTTCCAACTCTAAAAAATTAATGTTTAATTAAAATAGCTTTAGCCGTTTTAAAATAACTCCACATTATGTTTTTTTCATATTTATTGAAGCTACATTTCATCATAGCATTAAGTGACTTCATTCATTATTTTGGGAGTAAGAACATTATTTTTGGTAATAATTCAATTTTAATATAGATCCCTTTTGAATGATTCTTAAAGATTTGAATAGGATTTTAAAACTGTAATTATGTGTCATACTATGCCATGGTTTGTATGTTTGTCTCCTCCAAATCTCATGTTCAAATTTCATCCCTGTAGTGGAGATGGGGCCTATTGAGAGGTGTTTGGGTTATGAGGGCAAATGCCTCATGCATAGATTAAGGCCCTATCTGGGGGTAAGAGTAGTGAATTCTGGCTTTGTTAATTCCCAGGAGGGCTGGCTGTTGAAAAGAGTCTGGTACCTCTCCTTTTGCTCTCTCTTGCTTTCTCTCTTGCTGTGTGATCTCTACACACCCTGTCTCCCCGTCACCTTCCTCCGAGAGTAGAAGCAGCCTCAGGCCCTAACTAGATGCAGATGCTGGCATCATGCTTCTAATACTGTCTGCTGAATTGTGAACCAAGTAAACTTTTTTTGTTTATAAATTACTCAGCCTCAGTTATTCCTCTATAGTAACACAAAATGGACTAAGGCGTACTGTCTTTTCTGCATAATTAGAATGTAGAGAGTATTGTAATTATACTGATGAGGAAACTATACCACAGAGAGTTAAAATAATCTTCCCAGTTAGGCAACAATGGAAAATGAAAGGAAAAGTTAATATGTCCTTTATTTTGCTTACCTTTTTTCAATAAGAAGTACCACAGGAAACATTTGCTACATTCCTAAGAGTGCCAGCTGCGACTCTGGATAGGACAAAATTGCAAAGTTCATACTTTCCCTTATTTGTTATCCATGTCCCAACTTCAAACAAGCAGAACTATCTTCTACATATGTGGGTTCCAAGTAAGCCAAGCCTTTTCTTTCAGCTTATTTCATAACAGAGTATATTTTTAAAAGTAACAATGAGAGAGACAGCTACTTGTTTAAAACTTGAGGACTTTTTGCGTGTGCCTTCTACCTCCCAGTTATTTGTCTATTGTTTTTCCCTTTGTCAACTGTGAACTCCCCAAAAGTCCACCAGAAAACCCTACTGGTCAAGCACAACCAAACTTACTAGTTTAATTTTGGCAAGGGAGAACACCACCTTGATAGAATTTTTGGCCATGTCTCAAAAGGGGAAATCAAGGGAGAATATTACAGAGCTTCAAATTCTGGACTGGGTGGTTTTTAGGCAGGTCTTGCAAGGTGAGAAATGGGTTTGCATTGTGATATACTAGTTTTGGGTTCATGAGCATAGTAAGGAAAGTGTGTTAATAAGATTCTTAATGAGTAAGTTTTGATTAGTAAGCTGTTAAGTTGGTTCACAATCTTATCATCCAGGAGAAGGTCTTTCTTAGAGCAAACAGACTATTTTCACTTATTTTGTGTATTTACCAAAGGAGGGGGAGAGAATGTCTTTTCTCAGTATTGATTAACACAAAGACAGGGCCTATGTTCATTTCATTTCTTATTTTTTTGATATCAATGTTCAGCTACAAATCTGGGTGTGAGATGAAAATATTTTAATTCAGCTTAAATCTAACTTACAACTTTCCAGGTTAGTGCACAAGTCAAACTTTATAATTATTGAGACTTCCTTTCCACGAGACGGAGAAACACAAGAATCTGAGTGTCCATGTGGTGCTTACAAATTTAGGGAAGGGCTTCTGCTTTCTAGTCCATCATAGGTGCTGCTGATATTTCTGTTGTCTGCATCCATGCAGCCCCTCTTGAATTCCAGGGCATTGCTTTCATGATCTTATAGTACATGCGAATACTTCTCTAGTTTTGCAAGGTCAGAAGAGGATTTGGGGTGAGGGGGTATAATTAGTGAAGCTTAAGCTTTAAGAATGCTTACATGAAAAGGCCCCTTTCAAAAAATTTTGATGGGCACTAGAAGAATGTTAATATATTCAGTTTTTAAAAATAAATATTGTAAATTAAGATATTTAACAATAATTGGCTAAGATTGATTTTGTTCCCCACTATGGTGTCCCCTCCGTTTCACCACCCCTCCTGTCTGGTGGTGTCAACCCTAATAAAAGGGAAAGTAAGTTGAGGATAATTTGATTTGAGTTTGGTGGGATATACTTATGAGGTTCACAGGCACTTTTTTAATTACTCTCTTAATAGTCGAGTAATTAAAAGCCATCACATGTAGGCATGACTTCCAGAAATACTATTTCCACTTACCACCACTCATGTGATATTACGACAAAATAGATGTCATAGATGAAAAGGTACAGGATCAAAATGTGTTCCACGTTGCCTGGCAATGGAAGTATATAGGTAGCTGATAAGAAACAAAACTTGGGATGCATGGAATCATAAATTATAATTAATAAGCAGATGCATAAAACAATAAGCAGAGGATTTACTTCTCCTTGATGCACAGAATGGAATTCTTCTCCAATCAGAAATATGCTCCAAAATACAGCAATGGACACTATGAATATTCAATTGTAATAATTTTGTCCCTGTGTATATCACTGTACATAATCCCTTTCAACTGTTTTTTCATTGTGATAATATACATACTATAAACTTTACCATCTTAACTATTTTTAAGTGTCAGTGATATGACATTCATAATGTGCACTATCACCACTATTTTTAGAACTTTTTAAAATCTTACAAAACTGAAACTCTATATGCTTTAAAGAATAATGGTCCATTACCCCATGTCCCCCAGTTCCTGACAACCATCTCTCTACTTTCTGTCTTCATGATTTCAACTATTCTAAGTATTTTTAAATGAAATCATGCAATATTTGTGTTTTTGTGGCTTATTTCACTTAGCATTATGTCCTCAAGTTTCAACCAAGTTGTAGCATGTGTCAGAGTTTTATTTCTTTTTAAGCTGAGTAGTATTCCATTGTGTTTATACTGTACATACATTTTAAATCAACTTTATTTTTATTGTTTACAGTCTGTTTTTATACCAGTACCATGCTCTTTTGGTTACTGTAGCCCTATAGTATAGTTTGAAGCTGTGTAGCAGCTTTGTTCTTTTTGGTTAGAATTGCCTTGGCTATTTGGGCTCTTTCTTCTTTCTATATGAGTTTTAAAATAGTTTATTTTAGTTTTGTGAAGAATGTCAATGGTTGTTTAATAGGAATAGCACTGAATCTATACATTGCCTTGATTAGTATGGCCATTTTAATAATATGTTCATTGCAGCCGTATTCACAAGGGCAAAGATATGGAATCAACCTAAATGTCCATCAAAGATAGACTGGATAAAGAAAATGTGGTACATATACATCATGGAATACTATGCAGCCATAAAAAAGAACAAGATCATGCCTTTGCAGGAACATGAATAGAGCTGGAGGCTCTTATCCTTGGCAAAATAATGTAGGAATATGAAACCAAATACCACATCTTCTCACTTATAAGTGGGAGATAAATGATGAGAACACATGGACACATAGAGGGGAACAACATACACTGGGGCCTACTGGAGGGTGGAGGGTGGGAGGAGGGACAGGATCAAGAAAAATAACTAATTAATAGTAGGCTTAATACTTGGGTGATAAAATAATCTGTACATCAAACCTCCATGAAATGAATTTTCCTATATAACAAAACTGCATATTTACCATTGAACTTAAAATAAAAATTACATAAAAATAATAATAAATGATTAAAAAAGAAAAAAGAATAAAGCTTTTATAAATATTTGTCAACACTTTTTAATATCTCATTGATAATTATAGAGGAGTGTAGGTGCTGGATCATTTCATAAAGCAATAGCCACCATTTTCCAAAGCAGTTGTACCATTTTACCTTACCACCGGCAATGTAACCTTCCATATCTTTGTCAACATTAGGTATTGTCAGTTTTTAAAATGTTAACCATGTTTTTGAGTATACAGTGGTTTTAACGTGTTTGAGTAATGTTGAGAACTCTTTCATTTACTTATTAACTATCATCTTTTGTGACACGCATATTCTTATATTTTGTTTATTTATGAATTGATTGTTGTTATTAATGTATTAGACTTTTAATATCTTCAGGAACCAAGTCTTTTTTTCTGGTATGTGCATTACAAATATTTTATTCTGATCAGTGTACTACCTCTTAATTTTCATAATATCATCTCTTTCAAGGCAAAGTCTTAAATTATGATTAATTTTAACATCAATTTTTATTTTCTGGTTTATCTTTTTGTGTCCTATATAAAAATTCCATACCTGTTACAAGGTGGCAAAAATTTCTTCCTGTTTTTTTTCCTATTTGGATATGCAGTTTTTTCAGTAACATTTATTGAAAGGACATTCTTCCATTGAATTACCTTTTTGCCATTACTGGCCTCTAGTGTATGGTTTTTATTTCTGGACTCTATTTTATTTCATTTATCTATCTATCCATCTATCTAATGTGTATCTGTGTGTATGTGTATATATTAATGTGTGTGTTTGTGTATATATACATGTATATCACACACACACACATATATATGTGTATATATATATATATATTTTTCCCACCAATACCACAATCCCTTGATTACTGTAACCAAGTGTGAGTCTAGAGGACAGGTGGTGTAAGTTCTCTATATTTTCCTTTATAAAACTGCTTTGAATTTTCTAGATTTCTTGCATTTCTATAAACCGTTAAAATTAGTTTGTGATTTCTACAAAAATCTATGAAAATTTTTATTTAGATTGTTTGAATCTATAGATTAATTTGTGTCAATTTTGGAAAGTTGTACTTCCCAAGGAATTTGTCCATTTTATCTAAGATACCAAAATGTTTTGGTTTAAAGTTGTTCATGATAGTCTTGTTATTCACTTAATGTGTGAGGGATCTGTAGTGATAACCCCTATTTCTTGATATAGGAAATGTATGTTCTCTCTCTTCTGTTTTGTTTTTTTGAGATGGAGTCTTGCTCTGTCACCAAGGCTGGAGTGCAGTGGCGCCATCTCGGCTCACTGCAAGCTCCGCCTCCCGGGTTCACTCCATTCTCCTGCCTCAGCCTCCCCAGCAGCTAGAACGACAGGCGCACGCTGCCATGCCCGGCTAATTTTTTTGTATTTTTTTTTAGTAGAGACGGGGTTTCACTGTGTTAGCCAGCATGATCTCCATCTTCTGACCTCGTGATCCGCCCGCCTCGGCCTCCCAAAGTGCTGGGATTACAGGCGTGAGCCACTGCGCTTCTTCTTGATCAATTTAAGCCAAGGTATATTAATTGTATTGATTTTCTCAGCAATCATACTTTAGCTTTATTAATATATCTATTTTATCTTTTATTACTTTCTACTGAAATCTTTGCTATATCTTATTTTTTTTACTTATTTAGGTTTACTCTACTTTTACTGTCAAGCAGCTTAAAGGAATATATTAGACCTTTCTTCTTTTAGAACTTTCCTTCATTATAAAATAAGCATTTTCAGTCAAAAATTTTCTCTAAAATACTGTTTTAGCTATTCTGTATTTTTATTATCATTTGGTCTGAAATACTTCTAAAATCTCTTGTGATTTCTTTTTTGAACTATGAATAATTTAGATGTTCATTTTCTAATTATTTAGTAACTCCTTGACATCTTCTTGCTGATTTTTAATTCCATTTTGTTCCGATAGTAAGCTCTATGTCATAGCAGTATTTTTAAACCCATGGAAATTTGTTTGTGGCTAGGCATATAGACTATATGGTTGAAGTACATTCATTTAGAAATAATATGTCTCCTCCTGTTATTGGGTGATCCATAAAACTCAATTTGGTCAAAGTGGTTTATATCATTGTTAGGATTATCCATGTCTTTTGTAATATTTTGGTTAATGTTCTATCAATTGCTTAGAAAGGGCTGGTGAAATTTCCTACAATAATATAGAGATTTTTAAATTTTGCCCTTTAATTGATGAACTTAATTTTAGCTTCATATATTTGAAAGCCTTGTTATTAGGCACATAACATTTATGCTTTCTAAGTCTAATGAGTTAACATTTTCATTATAAAGCATCCCCCTTTATCTCTGGTAATAGTCTTGTCTTAAAGTTAACTTTGCTTGTTATTATACTCAATAAATTATTCTTAAGTTATTCTTTTCAAGGTACAGTTGATTCTAACTTTCACAAGTACGTTTTGTAAAGCTGTCATGTAAACTAAATTAAGGAACATTGTACTATTGCTTCTAGGGAAAAGACAGGGTCAGGCTTCTGCGGTTGCAAAATTTTCATTCACCTATCAATAATAACCTTGTCTAATGCGTGTTTCTGTTAGAGACACCTCTAATATATTTATTTAACTAATTTTGCTTAACTAATAATATTTAACATATATCATTCTTCCCTGAACATTGAACTCATAGTCCACAGCACTACAACTTATGCCTGAATGATTTTCTAACACACGTATATTTCCTTTAAGGGGCATCACAGCCTTCTTGCACTTAAAAACACTAGACAGCACTTCAGCACTACATTTAGGGGCAATTTTAAACAGAAAAATCACCAATAAAAGCACAGAAATAAAAAAAAATGTGGCACTAAATAAAACGCGAAAGAACACTTGCTTATACTATGAAAGCTGAAACAAGAAGTCAGAGAGCCACTTTGTTTTGACCTCAGCGGGGAAGATGTGCATCAGGCAACTCAATTTTTTGCTGCTTTGCACATGTCTGCTAATGATCATGAAAGCATTGTAAGTATTGATTTGGTAATTACAAGTATTGATTTAGAATTTACAAAAACAGAATCTACAAATGATGAGTATTGATTGTATATACTTTTTTCACTTATGTGTATCATGTACTTTTGGTTTACCTGGGATTTTGTATTTAAAGTTAATGTCAACAACACAGAATTGGGCTTGCTTATTTATCCATTCTGGCCATCTCTGCATTTAACTAGAGTAATAATTTATTCACAGTTGATGTAATTACTTATATGTCTGAACTGAAGTATAAAATGTCATTATTGGTTTTATTCTGTTTGTTGAGTCAGTGATCACTTTGCTCTCTTTTCTCACTTTGTTTGAATTATTTAATTTTGTAGAAGTCTGTCTTAATTTACCAATTAGATTTTTAGCTACCCATGACTTTTATTGTTTGCTTCAGTTAAAGGATTCCATTATAAATCCTTTAATTTCCACAGTCTATTTATACCTAATATTGCAATGCTTCATGTAAAACATAGAAAATATTCCAATTTGTAGTGTTTTTACTCCCATCATTTTTTAGAGTATAGTTATCAAAGGCATTTTATATAGGTATATATATATATATATCCATATGTGTGTTTGTATCCATATATATCTGTGTGTGTGTATATATCAAAGGCATCATATGATATATATTATGATGCCTTTGATAACTTTACCATAAAGAATGAACTATTCATGAAACATATATATTCCATGAAAAATTATTATAATTTCAAATTTATAGTCAAAGTTGTTTAAATTTTTAATGATTTTTTTTTTCAACGGAGTCTCCCTCTGTTGCCCAGGCTGCTGGAGTGCAGTGGCATGACCTTGGCTCACTGCAGCCTCCACCGCCGGGTTCAAGTGATTCTTCTGCATCAGCCTCCCGATAGCTGGGACTACAGGTGCATGCCACTATGCCAAGCTAATTTTTGTATTTTTAGTAGAGACAGGGTTTCACCATATTAGCTAGGCTAGTCTCAAACTCTTGACCTCGTGATCCGCCCACCTTGGCCTCCCAAAGTGCTGGGATTACAGGTGTAAGCCACTGCACCTGTCCAATTTTTAATGATTTTTATTAGTTCCTAAAGATATGAATTCCTATTGCAGTCTGAAGTACTACATTTACTATTTATAATAGTGAATTTCTGCTGGAAGCACACTGTATTGGTTTTCTTTTATCTAAATATGCTTTATTTTGTCATAATTTTTTTAATTAAAATTTTATTTTACATTCAGAGCATACATGTACAGATTAGTTACATGGGTATATTGTGTGATGCCTCTAGCTTTGGGCTATGAATGATCCCATCACCTAGGTAGTGAGCATAGTACCTAATAGGCCTTCATTATATCTGAAGCCAAGTCCGCAGTCCACAGTCATTCAAATCACTGTTTCTCTGTGTTCTAATTACCTAATGTTGCATAAAACCTCCCCAAAACTTAGTGGTCTAACACCAACAGCATCTATTCTTCTCATGAATATACACTCTGCAGGGCTTGGCAAGGATTAGCTCCTCTATGCTCCACTCGGTGTGTACTGGGATGGCTAAAATGCTAGGGCTGAAATTATCTGAAGGCTTACTCACATAATGTCTGTTACCCGTTCTGGGAAGATTTAGCTATGAGCTGAAACAACTTGATCTCACCTGGTTCCTTCCTTCATTCTAAACTGTAACTTACCTAGTTTATCAGATCATTCCGTCTCACTTTTCCTATGTGACCTGGACCACCATGGTTCTTTGCAAGTTTTATCCATTGTGGTTGCTGCCATCATGACCTTCATAACTTTCTATGGAAATAAAGAAAATAAAATGAAAAGGAAAATGTATAGAAAAGCACAGAGTTCGGTTAGATGTCACTCACCAACGTGTTTAGGAGAATTGTTATGTTTGTCAACCTGAGGTTGGAAATCTTCACAAAACATATTTCAGTAGATGAGAGAAACGTTGCTTTTAAATTCAAGATAGAACTTATTTTTACCTTCCTGGATTGCTTTAAAACATTGTTTTTTTGTTTTGTTTTGTTTTTTCAGAAACCACTCAAGCTTATTTTGCGATGAAAAGATGACCATCAATAATTTCTGTAATTTATCAACAAAATGGCTTTGACTTGCACTCTTTTCTTTATTTTTGTACTTGGGTCTGTTATTTGACTTCCTTTTAGCTTTTTTTATCTGGAAGACATCTTCTATACTTTTCTAAACCATTTTGCTCTTGTTTTTTTAATCACAGATCTTTTTAGTTCTTACTGACATTTCTTATTTTCCTTTTGAAATTTTACCCTCTATAAGATTAGTCTACTCCCTTGTTTGGCGTGAAAGATTTACTGTGGAAGAGGACAATATATATATATAGGATTTCTCAGATTTATACTATCCTTAGGAAATGGTAGTATACTAGGAAAAAGCAGTTAATGCTTCACACCTCTCCAAAGCATAACTGTAGTACTAAAATTACACTTAAACATTTACCAAACATCTATGTTCCAGACTTTCTTATTGTCTAGGCATAAACCATTATTAAAACAACTTATTTTGAGGCCATTACAATTTAGCTGGAGATAAGATGACTTAAATACTGTTAAAATACAATATTAGAAAAACTGCTAAGAGAAGTGCTAGACAAAATGGCATGAATGTTTGTTCTTTCTCAATTTTTTAAATTTTAGGGATGAAATAGCAGCAATAATAAATAGTAGTTCAGTTTCTTTAGTAAGTGCAGAAATATAAGTTACATACAACTATTTTACAGTTAGCTCAAAATTATGTATTTCACACAAATACAGATACAGCACAAAGCAATGACTATGAATCACTGATTATGATTCTTCTTCTTCTAAAACAGCTATTTCTCATTTACCAGACCTGGAAATAAAATATATATGCTGAACATAATTTCCAGATTGTTACTTTATTCATGTATTTATAAATATTCCAAATACTCTGGACCCTTTGCAGCTAACATCTTACTCCATGATTTTGATGATATTGCACAGAGCACTCCTAAGTGTACTATATACAGCTAGTCTCATCTGCATTCGCCAGCTGATTCTGATGCTAAAGGTCATCTCCACTGAAACCCAGTGACTGTGTTGTTTGGCAGAGGGGCTCAGCCTGCACTGGAGACCTTTGAAAATCCCATCTAGGGACAACATATAGCTTCCTTTCTTTGAGTTTCTCAGAAGTGCTGTAGTATTCCATTACCTTCTATGTTTAGAAAAAAAGGGACTTGGCACTATGTAATCCTTTTAGGGTTTCTTTGAATTTTTGTTAACTTTTAAAATACTTTCTTGTTTTCCTCTTTAATTTCCTTCTGAAATGGGCAACTGTTGTACCGATAAGTTGCCGGAGGGGGCATTATTTTAGCTATGTATTTTAAAGGGTTTAAGAAAGAATCCACGTTTTCCAATGGCTCCCATTTCACTCAGAGTAAATGCCAAATCCTTACAACAATGGCCTTCAAGGCAATTCATGATCTGGCCCTCAACACCTCTCTTATCTCACCTGCTTCTTCTTCTTCCTTTAGTTTATTCGGCTTCAGCCACTGTTTCTTGCTGCTCCTCAAACACACCAAAAATGTTCCTGCCCTAGACCCTTTCTTGGTAGATTCCTCACATGGCAATTACTTTCCTCAGATAAACTCATGGCTTTCCTTTTTCAAGTTTTTGGTCATTTGTGCCCATGATGTCCACTCTATTAAAGGTGAAATTCACCTATCCATTTCCCTTTACATGGTCTATTTCCTGTCATAGCACCTACTGCATTTTAACACACTGTATCATTTATTTACCCATAATTTCCTTTATTGTCTGTCTCTACTGTTAAAATAGTAGTGTTAAGAGACAAAATTTCAACAAATTTAATTTAAAGATATAATTGCATTTCATTACTAATTAATTAAATGGTCAGTATCTCATTAGAAGATTTAGAAAAGACCCTTTAGTGAGCAGAGCAGAGGAGGTGGACTTCAGAGGCAGAGAAGAGCTAAAGAAACAGAAACGAGATAAAAAGTGGATGAACCTTTTCCTTACAGAGTTAAAACAGAGGGGGCTAACTTATAAGGCTGGCTCAAATTAATAAGTCTCTTTCTATTGATTGTTGTGAATCTCCTGTTTTTGTTTTGTTTTGTTTTGTTTTGTCTAGCCCATTTTAAAGTTCACTTTGATTACTTGGCACTTAGTATAGGTGACTTGATTCTGGTTTGGCCTCGTCTGTTGGGTTTAGTGTAGGAGCTCAGTCCAAAATCATGGCCTCTCATAATTTTAATTTAACAGTACGCACTCAATAAATATTTGTTAAAACAAATTTTAAATGCTAGGAATGTATTATGATAGTTACTTTTTCACAGATCATCTAAGAATTATGGAACCTAGTACACAGAGAGTCTATTCTCTTAAAATAAATTACTTTTTATAAATGTGAGTTTTAGTATAAGACTGATTTCATGCTTAAAATAAATAAGAGGCTTTTCTTGGATATATAAAAGAGAGATTCCCAGAGTGTGTGTAGGGTGGTGAGTCTGGGGTTCCATAACAAGAGATCTTACTGACATTGCCATGAGGAAATGGTAGAACCTCAGGACAATGGCTTCCCGCAGATTCACAGTCTCACGTATGCTGCAGAAGATGCAATGCAAGAGATGCAGACACAGGTGGGCCTGAAGGAACCCTGTAGACTGGGAGATACCAAAGTATACTCAAGGTTGAAGAAAAGGCAAGAGACTGAGCAAGGATTGGGAATTAGGAAATTACACATAATTTTCTATCTGCCAAATAAAATAAGAATGCTGAGACAAAATGAACTTAAGAGTGCAGTGTCTTTGTTTCTGTTTTGGGCACAACTTGGCTTGTGGACTCAGTTTCACATACCCTAGTGAAGGCTAAATTTTTTTTCCAAAAGTAATATGTAATAAATAATATGATATCTCAAGGATACCTCAATGCTAATGACTGGTACATTTTCCCCTATTTTTCCATGGTATTTAGTCTTCCTTCATGTGTGTGTCTGTGTGTATGTGTGTGTGTGTGTGTGTGTGTGTGTGTATCTATTCTCATGTTCTTCATGTCAGTATGCACCTATAATACTATTGATTATCTGGTCATTCTTTATCCTATGGAATTAAAATTCTAATTTCCATGGCCTCAGGTTTAAGTCAGGTGCCTCAATTACTTTTCCACAGCACTCTGGTTATATCAAAATTGTTGACTTCTTTGACTCCTAAATATAATCATCTTAATAGTCACAACAGTGCTTTTGTTATTTGCTTTCACAGTGCTCACAACATACATAGTTGATGATGTTTCTGGGAGCCTCCAGTTGTAAGTATTTTGAGATATATTTTTCTTTAAAATAAATATTAGCAGATTTTTAATAGACAAGTCTATTCTAGTCAATATACATTGACTGCTGTCTGCATTCTAGTCGGTATACATCTGCATCCTAAAACCATGCACTTTCTTCTCTAATCAAGCTGCATCTTTCCACATGAAAAGCCTTAGCAGTATGATTCCCATATCAGAAGAGTCTACATTTGAAAATCATACAAGTTTTAGAAAATTTAAGATTTATGGGTGGTATACGGGATAATTCATGCAAGAGAAGCTCAGGAGTGAACCAGGAAGTATAGACACTTCAAGAACTGGAGAACTGGAGATGCCTAGAGACAGCTTTCTGCCAGCACATTCGCTTTTAACCTCATGTTTCCTCTTTCTGAGTGCCATCTTCAGTCTCTCAAACTGACATGCTTTGTACTCATAGACATATGAATCCATAACTAGAGAGATTTAGGAAAACTCCAGGGAAAGATTCTGATCACATGATGAATGCTGCTGCAGAGTAAAAGAATGGTCTCAACAACTTATGTAACCTCAACCTGGGGTCAAGAGACTGCAAGATTGGAGCCCTGCACATTGCTGGTGTGGGGAAGAGGAGTTCCCTCATCAAAATGAGGTGTCATTGCAGGAAGAAGGAGCATGTAAAAGATGTTGGATTGATTAATGCAACATATATTTTTCTAATAGATATCAAAATGTGATATTCTAAGATATTTTTAGAAATCCCAGAAACTAGGCACAATAAGGAAGTTTATTTAAAATTTCTTTCACAATAATACTCCTCTGGAATACATTGAACTACTTCTAATCAAGAGGAAGATTTTAAAAGATTTTCTTGTTCATTCTTTCCCAAATCCTGTCCTTACATGAAAGCTTAGGTGGAACTGGAATGATTCCCAGTGAGAACAATACTTGTTGAGTTATTCTACTTCCAAACTCCAAAAACTACTTTGAAAATAGGTCTGAATAAAATTCTATAGTCCTCTAATGGAGCACCCCCAAACAGGGTAATTATAACACCTCCTGAGGCTACTAGGAACCAAATCCATTTACGAAGTTACTTAAGTATCTAGTTTTTTTCCACTTCTTTTTAGTGGAGAACAGTTGACTACTAGGCAGCTATGCAATACCTTTCCCAATAAGCAGGTTTTCATTTTTAAAATCAGACTTCCTCATTGTAAACCATGTTGGTAGAAAATTGCCTAAATAATGATATGTTCTTCTCAGATCAATAACCCTTGGTGATGTTTTTACGAATGTAGTGCAAGAGAGTCCAGAGATACTTAAGTTAACATGTGAAAAGTAGAGGGCATTTCTGATCTGCTCTCTTTATTTCACTATAGAAATGGACATGGCAGGTTCAATGCATTATTTTCTAAAATGGCTATTTTCTAATTTTAAACAAATTGATGCTGGCTGGTGGCAAAGAAACCATTGAAGGGGCTACTATGAAATCACTGCAGAAAGTGATGGACATTGATAACAGGGTGTAGGCCTAGTAGAAATGGAAAGAAAGGTATAGTCCAAACCTTTCTGAAACAATATGATGTTTCTACAATATCTTACAGTGACAAAGAGCATGTCATGAATCACGTATATTGATATATAAAAGGATTTAAAAGCCACTGAGTTTCTAAGTGCAGGATATGAAAATATGAAATCTTAATAATTATAAAATGCATTCCTAGAAAGAATACCCACCTTATCAATAAATATTAAATATCACAATCCTTCATTGATAAACATTAATTGACAACCAAAATCATGAAAAACAGCGCAAAAACAGGGTCAAGATGAACAAATGAACAAACTAAACATAGAACAATAAGAATATCAGACAAATCACTGATCAGGTATGACAGTAAAACAAACCTAATTTGGACAGGCAAGACTTAGACGTTGTTTCATTCTCAGACATTCTCTGTCATATTTACTTAAAAGGTACTGTAGCTGTTTTAAGGGGTTCGAGGCATCCAAGAGGGCCTAACCTAGAGAAGTAAAAGAATGACAATTCTAAATGGTAATTGTGAAGCTGGCCTAAAAAGCAATGGGTGCAAATTAAAATAGAAATCATTTGCACTTCTAAAAACAGTCTTTAAAATGTGCTCTATATGATTAAGTAGGGAAGAGGACATTGGGCATAAAGTGAAGTGGCTGTTTAAAGAGCACACAAGGAAATAAGGAAGCAAGTGTATTAACAAAGTGTAGGTGAAATAGATCAATTCAAAATGCTTCTTCCTTCTCCCTCCTTTCTTTCAAAAGTCAACATGCTCTTAACATTTGAGTAAAGAAATAGAAGTTTCAGTGTTCTGTGTACGTATGTAAGTTATAAATAGAATAAAAATGAAAATGTATATATATTGTTAGCAAGGACTTGGAAGAGTACAAGGAAAGAATGGCAGTGTAATAAAGTAACAACTTTTCTGGCAGGGGTAGATTATGTTTAGTACTCAAAAATTTATAAATAGATATATACATATAATATTTGCAGTTATTTAGATAATTATCTGAAAACCGAAAAGGAGACTTTTAAAAAGTGTGTCTGAGTAGAAGGGAAGTAGGCTTTCATTTTCATGTTATATCCTTCAATATTGATTGGATTTATTATGAAGCACATGCATTACTCTTGTACTACAGATAAAACAAATGAAAATGGAAAAATAGTTATATCCCTGATGCATCATCGAGAATGATTACTAAATTGAAAAGATGATGACCTAGCACATTATTATATTTGTATTGCTGCTTACACTTATTACTACCTACGCTACTGGCCTAAGACTTGTATATTCCCACCAAGTGTCATCATCCCTCGCTCCGCTAATGTATAAAGCAACTGTTTTACCCCTTTCACAGCTTTTCTTGTATGACTCTGGTCCAGGCTACCAGTCACTATACCTTTATAAGCAATAATGATCTCTGTGAAGCAAACAGGATGACAGATCTCATTATATTCTTCTTTATATTACAACTTTCACAGTAAAGAAGACACGCTTATTCTGGCGAATCTAAGAACCAGTTTTGGGTTATTACAGATTTCTGTAAAATAAATATATTGGGTATAATACTTAGAAGGCCCAGACAGAATCTTGCATCAGCATTCAGCATATGCAGCATCCTTATCCATTCTTTAGGGCACTTTTTTCTCCTCTGTGATAAAAGCTAGGACTAGGCTAAACTAGCCAGCTTTTTCTTTTCCCTGGAGATAAAAGGAAGTGGGAATAAATTACAGCTGGACTGCTTTCTACATCAAAGAGAGTATGGTGGGGAGTTCTTAAAGAATATTGTTATGATTATCTGTCCTTGGGAAAGAAGGAAAATAAAGCCCATGAGAAAGCTGGAGAATTTGGTTTGTAAAGCACTCTCTTCAGAGGGAAAAAGCAGATAAAGTTTTATACATATCATGATTTATTTCCTTCTGTTATTTCAGAATTCCACACAAGGCTTCACAAAACAGTTGAACCGACAGCGACAACAAAAAGCCTCCCTGCATATAATGAAATGGCCTTAGAAATTATAAAGCCGATTAGAAATGCTGATACAAGAAATGTAGGGAGAAGTTCTTATGTTCATCAAGTGCCATTACTGGCAATGACCTTAAGTGAGGTCGTACTTGTATGCAGCCAGCCTTGGGAACAGGCTGAGACCACTGCTGTGTGCAATCTGTTGATCTAAGTGATATTAAGTGCACACCCAATGTACTGGTTTCTCTCATCGAAAGAGGTACTAAAGTAACTGAACGGTGGGTAAGCCAAGGGTCAAGGGGAATAACTATCTACCCTCACTTACTTCAAGCAAGCACACTTGGACTGTGAAAGGATAAGGTGTCTTGGGTTCAAGAATGAGATACTTTTTTCTTGGGGGAGGTGGGGTAAGAAGTATTGAAGCAGTAGAGAATTGACCTCACCATTTTGTTTTTCTTTTTTTCTATTATACTCTTGATAGGCATTTGTTTCCAGAGCTTGGGTGTAATGAGTACTTAATTCAGTCACACCACGTGTAGTCCCCAGGGAGTTTTAGGATAAATGGCTATTCCTTTTGCTATCTGAGGTGCCATTCTAAACCAGGGCGGGAAATCAGGTTTGGACAACAGTGAAGAGAAAGGCATTGGTTGCCTTGTATGATGATGGTGAATCAGGTATTGATCTTTTAAATAAATCAGAGATAGTTTAGAGGTAGCAAATAAAGGTAAAAGATATTAGACTTGGCAGATTTATATCGGGCTGGTTTTAATTTGCTATGTTTTGATCTCATAAGGGAAGTTGAGATATCCAGCAGCTAACAACTACTATGTGCAATGAGCACATGCTTGAATAATAATTGTTATGTATGACTCACCTATTAAGCAAAAGCATTTTAACAAATAAGCTCTCTATATAATCACTTTATAAGGTAGATACTATTCATCCAATATACAAGATGAGGAAACTGAAGTTCAGCAAGTGTAAGTAATGTACTTAAGGTGACACAGAACTAAGTGCCAAATCTAAGATTCAAATCTAAGTTGTCTGACTCTAAAACCAATTCTCCTCTCACTACACTACTGGACATATCAAGTAATATGTGTTTTAACAATGATCTTTTGTATATTAAGCTTTTTTGTTCCCCTTGAATTTATAGTACCATGAACCTATTCGGCCCATGGAAAGTTAGGCTTTGAAATGACTTGGACTCATCCAATTTTGAGCTTTAAATGAAAGCATTCTATGAATGGTGGCTCCAGATGACATCTGACATCCTAGTCCTCCTCATACTGGCTTCCTCATATCAAAAAGCAAATCAATGGGTATTATCATGAATCTTAGTAAACTCAATCTATACGTTAGTGTTAAGTTCCATTTATGCTTCAAAAATTCAAATAATATCAAAAGAAACAAGCCTAAAATATGGTATATATGTATTATGTTCTTGCAATTGAAATATTTTGAATTATGATTGTTGTTATTGTTGTATTTAAGGGATTTTAAAACTTCATCTTTACAGATATATTTTAATAAAGTTTTTCTGCACTTGACCAATACTACAAATTGTTTATTAATCTATCATGAATATAACATTAAAAATGGAGATGTTGTATGCAGTGAACCCTATCACATAAAGGCAAATTGTATAGGAAAAACATCTACACATATTCCTATAAATTGAAATATTAAATTATCTATTATTTGACAAGAAACTGAGTTAAATTTTTTTTCAGTAAAATGTCTTCTATATTCAAATGTCATTTTAATTGACATATTTTGAAAATATAGTTTACAAAAAAGTTATGTAAATTTATATAAAACCGTTTCAACAAAATATGATTATACTAGTATGCATACATTTGAGATTAAATTCATTTATATTTAGATTTTTAGTATATATGAAGATTACTCTTTTAAAATAATTAAATACTGAAATCAGTTATGGAACATATCTCAATTGTTCCATGAAAATAATTTAGTTCTACATTGAGAAAAGCATAAATAAAATCATCTAAAATAAAAAGTTTAAATCTTAACTATTTACAACATTACCATTTTCAGAACCTGATAAGCAAGACCTACATAATTAATATTTAGTTTTAAAATATTGCTACCATATTTAAAAAGTAATTACACCATTTGCCAATAAATCATATAAAAATATTCTATATTTTTTGTTGTCCATACTTGTCTATGGTTTGTTGTCCATACTCCTACTGTCTATGGAAGTTTACATAAACATTACAATTAAATATGTAGTATTAAGACTATATATAATTTCATGGTGATTTATTTCTAAAAATGTATTTTATCATTGGAATATTCATTCAATGACAATTACAAGTTACTAGGTTAGGTTGCCTAAGAGATGTGTGAATTTTTACTAAAGAAATCCCTGTTCTTAAGTGATTTTAAGTGTAAGTGACTTCTATTTTTATGAGATATTAGCTCAGAAAATCAAACTGCCATTTAATTTGGCTCTAGTGAGCCTATTGTCTTCATTTCATGTCCTTCTTGGGATACATTTTTGTCTGTATTCCTGAGGATTTATTCATAAAATCCCATTAGTATTAATAGGGGTTGTATAACTCTATCCCCTGCACAGCCAGAGGTAAATGAAATCCCTTTGGCATAGTTTTCTAGCATTTAAATGAGTCTTAGGCTTTATAAAATACAATAATGGTGCAATGTTACTAAGGTAAATACTAAGAAGATACGGGAAATGAAATTAAAGGTGCCCTTTATAATGACACTCATGAGGCCATACTTTCTCAAACTGAAAGACACAATTGAGAGAAGTTCATAAAATATCCATCTGATCAACAGTTTTGGCAACAGTGTTTTTTGGAATTTGTAGATATTAAATCTAAAACCTAACAATGGATAAGATAGTTTTATTTCTTAATATGGGAAATAAAAGGGCAAAATTATTTATGGCTAGTACTTGACTTCTTAAACTGTAGGTATAGTATTTACAGCTCACTTTGCTTGCAATAACTGTAATAATTTCCACATTTATTTAATTTGAGTAACCTCAATGTTGAGAGAGTTACATAATTTCCAATGGGAAGGGTCATAAATAATGATAAACAGACATCTTAAAGTGGGAGTATATGCAATGCACAGTGCTAAAAAATGCTAAGCTTCTAAAGATATCCAGAATGTTAACTTTTCCCTCTACTCAAAACACCTGCTAGGATTTTAACCTACAGGGTTAATTTTGGTTCCTTCTAACAAGTACGTGCAGTGCATATTACAAATATAGGTATAACAGGTAACTGAACTTTTTACAAATCTCACCCCCATATTATGTCACTATTCCATTGATTGTACTATTAGTAATATGCTTCTTTGTATCTCAAAGAATTTTTTTTTTCAAAATGTATTTTGAAGATCTTTGTAAAACTCATCTTAGAAAAAAAAAATAATAGCTTATGTCAGGAAGGAACAGCATGGTAAGCCATTAGTTGTTTAGTGGAACATTCTTTTATACCTGGAAAGCCAACTGAGAATCTGGATTTATTTAAATGGAACAAGTGTTAACTAGGAGAGATGGGGCCACAGAGTCACAGGGATGGGGACAGAGCAGTAAGAGATGGAAGGTGGGGGAACACTGGGAAACGTCTCTGACCAATTCACAGTAAGACATAAGTTGGCTCTACCCTTGGTGGTAGCCCAAGATTACAATTACCACCCAATCTCATGGACTCACTTCACTGATTGTTTCATAGCACTAAATTTTGAAGTATGGGCTTTGAGTTGAACAAGCCTGGATGGGTTTCTTTTTCTTTACCTAAATATTGTTCTAATTTGATATTCCTGGATAGCTATTAGCAATAGATGACAACTAGTTGGGTATTTGGCATGTGGTGATATACCCTAAACATCAAGACAGAGGTGTCTGCTGGAACTGGTAGCCACCATGGTCATCAGTGAGATCTTCCTCTTTTAAAGGTAATCTTAATCTGAATATCCATCATCTTTGAAGATCTGTTACTTAAACTTGGTTTTGTCTCATGAATAATTTTAAATGATTTTACATATATTTTGATATTTAATAGAAACTTCAGTTGCTGTGTCATTCTTTCCATATGTGCTGTCTTATCCTAGAGTGTTTATTACTGTGGCTTTTTATCCATAGCAGCTATCCAAGATCTTTTTGGAATGCAATTTGAATCCAGGCATCAGTAAATGTAGAGAGCATGAGAAGTGTTTATAAAATGCCGCACGACTAAATTGTATAACTCCTTTTTAGGTCAGGTAAGTTTGATCACATTTCAATTGGAAAAGTATGAATTTCTATTATGGTCTCACATTTATTTTCTTCCCCCCTGCTAATCCAAAAGCATGACGTTTGGAAAAGGCTAATCTATTAGCTTTTTAAAGGATGAATTGGAGAGTGGACCAGAATTGGAGAGTGGAGATATCTGTTTCAACAAATAGGTATTGAATTCTTCTTATTTTTTAGATCAAATGCAAGTTGTTTATGTACATTTAATCAGAACGAGCAATGTTAAGTTGCTGTTAGGGCCTTATGATTCCAAAGAACGTATTCTGCATCACATAGGTCAGCAAATTATGGTTCACAAGCAAAATCTGGCCTGCTGCCTGTTTCTGGAACTAAAGTGGCTTTTGGTGACACAGCAACACTCATTCATTTACATATTGTGTATAGCTGCTTCTGTGCAACAATGATGAGTTGAGTAGTTGCAACAGTGTATGGCTCATAACCCTAAAATATTTTAATTCTGATGCTTTACAGAAATAGTTTGGCAAGCCTTGAATGTACATGAAGCATGTCACGGATCATATATTGGCAACTAAAGATGCAATAAATGTTAAAATCACAGATATTCAATTTTTTCCAAAATATTTAATTATATTTAACTAAATCCAAAAAATGATTTTAACGTCATATAAGTAGTTTGTATTTACCTCCATTATGGTCTCATATTGTCAGTTACATTTAATAAAAATGTTTAAATATTTTTGAGAAAAATATTTTAAACATCAAAAATAAATTTAATTTTTACTTTTTCATATGAAAACCAGTATTCATTTTTAAAAATTTTTAAATTGTTATGGGTACATAATAAGTGTATATATTTATTGGGTACATGGGATGTTTTGATACAGGCATGCAATGGGCAATAATACCATAATAGAAAGTAGGGTATCCATCCCCTTAAGGCTTTATCCTCTCTACTACAAACAATCCAATTGCACTCTTTTAGTTATTTTTTAAATGTACAATTAATTATTATTGACTGTATTATCTATTTTTGATTAAATATTTTAAAATTCTTATACTTGGAATACAATTACATTTTAATCCTTTAAATAATTGAGAACAAAGTACAATCTAAGGGATTTGATAGAAATAAACATTACGAAAATGGACCTTAAGGAAGAGCCAAAGGTGAAAAGAAGAAATGAAATCTTGACATGATGACATAATATTTAGTTGGAGTAGGAGGGCAGAACACAATTGTCAAGTATTTTGTTAGCTTGGTTTATAATTCTGTATATTTACACCTATGGTACATGGGCCTCCATTTGTGCTCTTGTCCCAGAGCCTGAAAATGTTTGGAATGAGGCTGTTGAGTTCCAAGCTTGGCAGCATCCAGCTGCTTTGGTGAATCACTCACTGGATAAATTACCCTAAATTTCACCAGATTGTATGTCACTCTTCTACTCCAGTAAAGAGTAAACCAAACCTAATCCTGGTGAGCTAGTTAATGAAAAGAGAGAGCCTTTCATCTTCTTATGGACAGTTACAACTTGCTATTTGTAGCTATCATCCAAGACAGGACTGAACATAACACTACACTATCTCATAGTTTCCTTATTTTCCACAATTATGTATCTGTTATTTAGCACTGTTGTTTTTTAGCAATTAGGATTTATGCAGTCTCTCTCATTAGAGTATAAACTTGTGATTGAAAAGTCATGTTTTCCAAGAAAATATACAATTAATACAAACTAAATTTAAATTAATATATCTGTTTGCTTAGATATACTGTAAAAAACACATGCAATGGTCTTCTGCAACAAATATAGTTAATTTTATTTGCTTATTTATTTTAGCATCAGGAGAAAATACTTTGGATTCAGTTTAACAAAATATTTTTATGGTGAAATTAAAATAGAGGCCATATTTACAAAATTTGCTTAGTATGCAGTCATGCTTCAGAAGTGAATTCTGATATGCTTTATTTATTTGACAGTGTGAACCAAGAAAAAGCCAATCGTTTTGAAACTGTGGAAAATGATCTTCAAGAAAATTTCAGATGCACTTCCTCAAGTAGTCTAACCCAGGGTGAGGCAGTTACATTTATTTACTTAACAATTATTAATGTTTTTCCAAGCCACAAGGGTTAACACAATTAATCTGAAATAAACCTAAACATACATGCATCTAATAGGGATATTTTAGGACTGTTTCTGCATAAGTTCTTTGACACACTTTGAACAACTCCATTAAAATTGTAGGCTTTTCTTAAAGGGCTTCTGCAGTTCTCTCCATTGAACAATTCATCAGCTTCTATCTTTAGCTGGTTTATGAAGCTTTGTACTAATTTAACTTACTGAATTAAAACACATAGTCCTTTCAGTGTTAGGAGATGTGTTACCCTACTTCTCTGAGTGGTTTGAGTGAATGCTTCCTAAATGATCTAGATCTCATAAAGGTAAGATTGTTTCCTCAGCACATGGAATACTGTGAACATAACTCATAAAGTAAAACATGGCTGATTTCCCTGCTTGTATCTATGACTTTTATGTCCAAACATACACACACAAAAAAGATGTTCCACTTTTGTATTTTTACCTTCTGCATGACATCTCTGAAACTCAAGAATATTTAAAATGAACTTGGCAATCCCCTCTAAAGTTTCTCTTGATCTATATACTTAATTGGTTTGTTTACTAGTGTGTGCATTCAATTCAATTCAGCAAACTTCTGTTGCTAAAGAATGTTTCACTTTGTCCCTGTCTTTCCATCTCCACTGCCATCAACCTGCTTAGCCAAAGTTGGCATTATCTGTATCTTACACTCATTTGCCTCCTGAGTGGTTATTGCTATGATTTTTGCCCCTACACAGCCTATATTCCATATGGCACGTAGACTTTCTTTTTAAATTATCTACTTCCTCTTCTTAACGTACAGGGTCTTTCTGTCACCTTCAGAGCAAGAGCTTCCCTCTTTAATATTGTCTTCCTGACCTGACTGCCCCAAATCCCTATCTCAGATATTCTTCCCTTTCAAAATTATAATCCAGCTGAACTGGCTTCTCTCAGTGGGTTCATTCTTGTTTTGTACAGCATGAACATATAATAGAGGTGAAGTCTCCCAATCCAAAGTAGGCTTTCCCTTGCCTTTTTTGGTCTCTTTCTCTTGTCTTTTTCCTTCTCAATTACAACTTTCAACAAATTTTTTATTTGCTAATTTTCTTATGGCCTTTCTTCTCCATTATATTCTAAATTCTAAGAAGGCAGAGTCCTCATATATTTTGTTTACTGCTGCCATTTTTTTTTCCAGAATTTAGGATATTACCTGACACATTGTAGGCACATGATAAATAGATATTGAGTGCATAATTCATGGATTAACTTAATTAATCCATAAATTATTTTAGAAAGACATTAGAATCTTAACTATGGCCTTAAAGGAAGACTTTTCTCCCCACAAAAAGAGCTTAAAATATGGATAATATTCAGATAGGCAAGGAATATTAGTATTAATAGAGAATACTAATAATTCTATGTCTGTGATGTACCATGTACATAAAAAATGAAGATGTATAAATGTTAGAAATTGAGAGAGTCAAAAGAATACATATGGAGTGGTTTGTTGGAACTGTATTTGAAGGTGATAAAGTATCTGAATTTTAGCTTATAAGGAAATGAGGAATCTCTGAAGGGTTTCGAGTAGCAGGCTGATATGATCAAGTTTGTATTTTATTAAAATGATTTCAGTCAGTGTGTGTGTGGTAAGAGAGGATTAGTTTGACGAAAGCAAATGAATTAATGTAGATGAAGACATTTAGCAGGACACTGAAATCATTTAGAAGGATCCCATGAGGGTCTGTAAAGGAAAAGCATGACATGGAATTGACATCACAATAATGTAGAAAGAAAGAAGTCAAGAATAAATGCATATTTCTAAGTTGAATATCCCTGAAGCAGTTGAATGTTTATAGGAACATATTTATACATACAACTTGTATGATAATTAATGAATATATTTTATACATATTGAAAATTTTGTCTCCAGTTGATATTTCATCAACTGAGTTTCATCATTCAACTTCCCTCTTGTTTTGGCAAACACAATCCCACAAAAATGGGGAAACCCAAATCCTTGAGACTGCTGTTCTGCATATATCACTGGGCTGGGAATACTGACCCTTCAAAGAAATTCTGACATGTAGCAATAGCAAAGTTGTTAACTCTCGAAATAATAAATGCATTAGTCAATGAATTAATGAATGAATGATGATACCAGATACACTTTTGTGTCCAGAATTTATTCCTTCTGGTGGGTTCTTGGTCTCACTGACTTCAAGAATGAAGCCGCGGACCCTCGCAGTGAGCGTTACAGTTCTTAAAGATGGTGTGTCCGGAGTCTGTTCCTTCAGATGTTCAGATGCGTCTGGAGTTTCTTCCTTCCAGTGGGTTTGTGGTCTCGCTGACTTCAGGAGTGAAGCTGCAGACGTTCACAGTGAGTGTTACAGCTCTTAAAGGTGGTGCGTCCCGAGTTGTTTGTTCCTCCAGGTGGGTTTGTGGTCTCGCTGACTTCAGGAGTGAAGCCGCAGACCTCTGCAGTGAGTGTTACAGCTCGTAAAGGTAGTGCGGAGCCAAAGAGTGAGCAGCAGCAAGATTTATTGTGAAGAGCAAAAGAACAAAGCTTCCACAACGTCGAAGGGGACCCAAGCAGATTGCCACTGCTGGCTTGGGTGGCCAGCTTTTATTCCCTTATTTGACCCCGCCTACATCCTACTGATTGGTCCATTTTTACAGAATGCTGATTGGTCCATTTTACAGAGTGCTGATTGGTCTGTTTTTACAGAGTGCTGATTGGTGCGTTTACAAACCTTTAGCTAGACACAGAGCGCTGATTGGTGCATTTTTACAGAGTGCTGATTGGTGTGTTTATAAACCATTAGCTAGACACAGAGTGCTGATTGGTGCATTTTTACAGAGTGCTGATTGGTGCATTTACAAACCTTTAGCTAGACAGAAAAGTTCTCCAATTCCCCACTCGACTCAGGAAGTCCAGCTGGCCTCACCTCTCAATCCCCCCTCTAAACAGGACACCCCAACTACTGTTTGGAATTGGGTGATGACCACTCTAGCTACTTCCTGCTGGTTAAGGGTGAAGAAGAGGACCTGCAGTTGTAGTGTCCTCCAGAGGGGAGCTCTTTAGGCCAGTGAAAGGGCCAGAGGGTCAGTCCAGGAGTCTTTGGTAGAAGTTGTTAATTGAGCTCATTTGGGGTTCCATTTGTAAGACCATCTATAGCTTGATGGCCTGGATTCTAGAGGAAACAAATTTGACAAGGAGTTTAAAAATACAGGGCTCAAAGGTGAGTAATAGCAAGACGGCTGCCATGGGACCTAGAAAGGGGAGAAGCCATGTCACCCAACCCCAGAGGTTGGTATAAGAGTTTGAAAGGTGTTGTCTGATTTCAGAAGCCTTTTCCTGTAAATGCCGGGCAGCATCTCATACTATCCCTGACTGGTTAGTGTAAAAACAACACTCTTCCCCTAAGAAGGTGCAGAGTCCTCCTTTCTCAACAGTGAGGAGGCCTAGGCCTCGGCAGTTTTGGAGAGTCACTGCTGCCAAAGAGTCTATTTGGGATTATAGAGTGAGGATAGATTTCGTTATTTCTTGCAAACTGTCTGAGAAATCCTTTGAGAGTGTCTGGTAGTAGGATAATGAAGTAGATAATCTAGTTATTCCGGTTCCTGTAGCAGTAGTCATTCCTAACCCTATAAGTAGTAGTATTAGTTGTATGGCTCTGTGCTGACAGACTTGAGCTTTGAGGGGTACTGATAAGGTCTGATTTCCTGGGGCAATGTTAATGTTGGGACTTAGTTAGTGGGAAGGCAGATATAGGTTGAAGTTCCACATAAGAAGAATATGCCTTAGCTGGGTAGACAGAAATTTACCTTGGCTTTTAAAGGAATAGGGTACACTGTTTTTTCTTTACTGCTTCTCTTTCTCTCTTTCTTTCTCTTTGACTTCTTCTTTGTCTCTTTCTGACTCCCTCTTTGTCTGTCTCTTCCTCTCTCTCTTTGACTTTCTGTCTCTCTCTTTCTCTCTCTGCCTGACTCCCTCTTTGTCTATGTCTCTTCCTCTCTCTCTCTGACTCCTTCTTTGTCTCTGTCTCTTCCTCTCTCTCTCTCTCTCTGACTTTCTGTCTCTTTCTCTCTTTCCTTTCTGCTAGTCTTTTCCTGCCTCTGCCAGCCACGTATGCTGCTGTTCTCCGCTCTCCTTCCCCTTTTTGATGGCTTTGGCAGTGTAAGACCTCCTTGGGTTTTTGCACTGCAGGCAATAACTCCATGATTTCCTTCTGGTATTTAATGGGAGTTCCCCCAGAGGTTAGGAACTCCCTTTCTTTCCATATTGCAGCATGGGCATGTAGGATTAGATAAGCATACTTGCTATCTGTATACACATTTATTCTTCCCTTTCCCAGTTCTAAGGCTCGGGTAAGTGCCACTAGTTCTGCTAGCTGGGTGCTTGTCCCTGGGGGAAAAGGCTTACTTTCAAGTACTGTTACATCACTAACTATGGCATAACTTGCGCTTCGCATCCCACTCTCCACAAACGAACCTCCATTTGGCATATAGGTTAAGGTCAGGATTAGCCAAGGGGACTTCCAAGAGATCATCTCCGGTGGCATAAGTCTGGACTACAACCTGTTGGCAGCCATGCTCAACCAGCTCCCCACCCTCTGGGAGAGAAGCGGCAGGGCCAAGGGCCACACATGTATGCACTTGAAGCACTGGTCTCTCAAGGAGTAGTGCCTGGTATCTAAGCAGGTGGCTGCCTGATAGCCATAAACGTCCTTTGGCACCTAGTATGCCATTTACATCATGAGTAGTCCAGACAGTGAGATCCTTTCCTTGTATTATTTTGATAGCCTCTGACACTAAGACAGCCAACACCACAACTACACATAAACAGTGAGGCAGCCTTTTGCTACTATATCAATTTCCTTACTTAGGTATGTCACTGGTTGTGGGGTTGTCTCATGAGTCTGAGTAAGGACTCCAAGAGCTATTCCTGCTCTCTCTCTGTGACGTATAATGAAAAGTTTCATCCTATGGGAAGGCTTAAGGATGGAGCTTGAGTTTGCTCCTTCCAATGCCCAGACTTCAGGGTTTTGATTCCCTCCTCAAGCAGGGGACAACAAGTGGGTAACTTGTTCCCCATATTCATGTAGATAATAGCTCCAGCTTTGGCTAATATATCCCTCCCTAATAAGGGTATGGGATTTTCAGGCATAACAAGAAGGGCATGTGAAAAGAGCAAAGTCTCCCAATTACAACTGAGGAGGTGGGAGAAATACCTGGCTACAGGCTGTCCCAGGATTCCTCAGATGGTAATGGACCTTGAGGACAGCTGTCCAGGATAGGACAGGAGATTAACACTGAGCAACCTGTGCCAGTGTCCAGGACGAAGTCAATTTCCTGGCCCTCAATGGTTATACATACCTGGGGCTCAGTGAGAGTGATGACGTGAGCTGGCACTTTCCCCGGGCACCCTCAGTCCTGTTGATGGATCATCTGGTTGGGGGCTTCTGGCCCAGAGAACCTTTGTCCTTGGGGGCAGTGTGCCTTCCAGTGATTGCCTCGGCATAGTGGACATGGGTGAGGGGGCAGCTTGTTTCTCATAGGACAGTCTTTTTTAAAGTGCCCTTTTAAACCACACTGATAACAAGCCCTACCAGGGGATTGGCCTGCTCCATTTTCTGTCCTCTCTGAACCACCAAGGTTTGTTTGTCTTAGGGCCATGACTAAGGCTGCGGCCTTTCTCTGATCTTGCTTTTCCTTTTGGGTCTGTTCCTCTTGGTCCCTATTATAGAACACTGAAGTTGCCAGGTTTAATAATGCCTCTAGATTTTGTTCAGGGCCCAGGGCTTGCTTTTGGAACTTTCTTCTGATCTCTATGGCTAATTGGGTAATAAACTTATATTTTAGGATCAATTGAACCTCTAGTCAGTCAGGTGACAGGGGAGTATATTTTCTTAAGGCCTCCTGTAGCCACTTGAGGAAGGCAGAAGGATTTTCTTCCTTTCCCTGAGTTATGGTGGACATTATTGAATAATTCATGGGCTTTTTCCTAATTCTCCTTAGTCCTTCTAGAACACAGGTCAACAGATGTTTACGACTCCAGTCCCCATGATCTGAGTTGAGGTCCCAGTGGGGATACATACTGGGGACGGCTTGCTGACTGGTAGGGAATTTGTCCCTTTCTTCAGCTATCATTTACTTGACTAAGATACCAGGTATCTCCAAACTCTCGGGCTGCAACTAAAGCCGCATTCTTTTCATTAAAGGCCAGGGTTTGATCTAACAATAGCATGACATCTCTCCAAGTGAGGTCAAAGGTTTGCCTGTGACCCTGTAGGACATCTACATACCTATCAGGATCATCTGAAAACTTCCTCAGGTCTGCCTTGATCTGCTTTAAATCAGAGAAGGAGAAAGGGACATGTACCCGGGTTGGACCAAATTCCCCTCCCCCTACAGCTTGAAGTGGACATAACTGATAGCACAGGGGTTTCTGTGGTCCTTTGGAGATTTCTTTGCTTGTTTCCTTCTGCGCAGGGGAGATTAGAGGAGGTTTATCATTAATAGGAAGGGTAAGCTGAGCGTTCCTCCTGTGGAATGTAAATTGCAAGCTTTGCATAGTTGTGGATTCTCCTTCAGTGAAAAGAAAGCTTGGACATAAGGTATTTCACTCCATTTGCCTTCCCTCTTATAGAAAAGTTCAAGCTGCAGGATAGTATTGTAATTTATATTTCCCTCAGGTGGCCATTTTCTCCCCATCAGAGAGAGAATACTGGGGCCAGGCTGTAGTGCAGAAAAAAATGAGCCGCCTCTTTTTCAGGGTTTGCAGGTCAAATTGGTCCCAATGGCTTAGGATGCATTTCAAGAATGAGCCTGTTGACGCCTGAGTGTTTCCCATCTGAAAGACAACACTGCCCACGGTTTTGGTTTGTTTGTTTCTCCCCCTGCCCAAGAACCTGCAACTGTCCCTGGACCCTGCTGATTGGAATAGTTGCGCTCACCAACGCAGCAGCAGAAACACCTCTTGCCCCAGAACCCACAATGGTCCCTGGATCCTGCTGATAGGAATAGTTGTGCTCACCGACACAGCAGCAGAAACACTAGCTTTCCTCTTAGACCACAAGGAGGACCAAGGAAGTTTGGATTTAGTGGCCCTTACTGACGCAGTCTCGAAAACCTGAGTACTAAGCATTTTCCTGTTAGTATTGGGACCTTACCCCTGTCACATAAAGATGTTATGCCCCAAAATTGAAGTAGAGGGCCATACCCTGAGGGATGGAAGGGATCTCCAGGGTTGGAAGAGTGATGCCTTTTGTCCTCACTTATATGAATAGGAAAGATACCATTTCTGAAGCGCCCCATATCCTAGCTTCAGGAATAGCTTTTGTTAGGCCTGCTAGTCTGAGGAGGAATCCTAAAATTCCAGATAGTCCCCCACCCCAATGGGGCTTTGGGCAAAAATTATGTCTTTCCTATTGGTGAACCCGGGTGCCTAAAGAAGGTAATGGAGTCCTGAAGTTTATACTAGAAGTCATTCTTACAGGAGAAACTAGAAAAGCACCAGAGACAGGGAGTGGTTTTTAGAAGTGGGACTAACCTCAGAGAAGAGAGTTGGGAGGAAGTTTGTCCGACAGGTGTTAGGACCCATGAGGCACGGGTCAGGATAGATAGGATAGATGGGCGAGTCTGGCTTGGGCGACATGACTTTGAGAGTTCCACTCATGGCCACAGGGTCAACCAACTTGTTGCCGGGACCCCGGAGCTGAATGGATTTCCTCTCTGTCAACCCTCAGCTCAGCCCAGAAGTACATGAAAAGTGGAAGCTGGTTCCACATGAACCAATGCTGCCAACTCCGAAGAATTGGGGGTTGTTAGAGAGCCCTTTCCCAGAAAGCCTGACATTCGTGTCTGTAGTCTGGTGGCTGCGCTAGTCACTTTTAACTGTCCAACAGGTGCTCAGTATTTAGCCCCCAAATTCCAAGGAAAAATAGGACAGAATAGCAAGTGAAAGGGGTCTGATGGTACTCACCACTTGGTGATAGTCCCATCTGTGTCGCCAAATGTGTCTGGAATTTATTCCTTCTGGTGGGTTCTTGGTCTCTCTGACTTCAAGAAAGAAGCCGCGGACCCTCGCGGTGAGTGTCACAGTTCTTAAAGATGTTGTGTCTGGAGTTTGTTCCTTCAGATGTTCAGATGTGTCTGGAGTTTCTTCCTTCCAGTGGGTTCGTGGTCTCACTGACTTCAGCAGTGAAGCCGCAGACCTTCGCAGTGAGTGTTACAGTTCTTAAAGGTGGTGTGTCTGGAGTTGTTTGTTCCTCCGGGTGCGTTTGTGGTCTCACTGACTTCAGGAGTGAAGCTGCAGACTTCTGCAGTGAGTGTTAACAGCTCATAAAGGTAGTGTGGACCCAAAGAGTGAGCAGCAGTAAGATTTATTGTGAAGAGCAAAAGAACAAAGCTTCCACAGTGTGGAAGGGGACCTGAGCGAGTTGCTGCTGCTGGCTCAGGGGGCCAACTTTTAATCCCTTATTTGGCCCCACCCACATCCTGCTGATTGGTCCATTTCACAGAGTGCTGATTGGTCCATTTTACAGAGTGCTGATTGGTCCATTTTTACAGAGTGCTGTTTGGTGCATTTACAAACCTTTAGCTAGACACAGAGCACTGATTGGTGCATTTTTACAGAGTGCTGATTGGTGCATTTACAAACCTTTAGCCAAACACAGAGTGCTGATTGGTGTGTTTTTACAGAGTGCTGATTGGTGCATTTACAAACCTTTAGCTAGACAGAAAAGTTCTCCAAGTCCCCACTCGACCCAGGAAGTCCAGCTGGGTTCACCTCTCACTTTTATCACTATATATAAGGTATCTATGAGACACCTGGTTAATTCTGCTAGAGAACAGTAAGGACAAATACTAAGCAAAGGATCAAGTCAAGCTTCTGTAAATGCACAGGGTGTACGGTGAAAGAGCCAAATATTTGGTGTCCAGTGGAATGACCCAATATGAAATAATAAAGGTTGTTTCTTAAAAGAAAATAAGAAGATAGGGAGAAAAAATATAACAAATCTGATGTCATTCAGCAGAAAAAGTCAATTGATTACTGCTTACCTATAATTTACATTTTGGAGTTTACACAAACTTATTAATTACTCCATCCAAAATATTGATTGGCTCCTTAGCAAAGCTAAACAAATATACACCTTTCATGTTAGCAATTACAGTTCATCTTTTTATATTGTATCATTGTGGATTATAAACAATGGTGGAATTAGAAAGGTGTTTGCAACTCCATTCCATACTTTCTCCTCAAAATTTTTGTTACATAGACCATTTTATAGCCTTGAATTTCTAATAACAGTTTAAACTTTATTAGCAAGGCACCTAATTTAACTGGCAGCGATAGAAGGAAAAAAAATCTTTCACTGTTTTCAGTGATCTTAAATTAGCCTTAATCTTTGCCAAACAATGATTTATATGTTTTCTTAAATATAAGCACTAGAAAGGTTCATGTTGGTTTGTTATGCTTTTAGAAAATAAACATCTTATCAACTTGATTCAACAACCAGAATCGTAATTCATTACACATAGGCTAGCACAACACTATTCTGAGCATTCAAATTTATTACATAGGAGGAATCACTATATCTTGTTATGGTATTATCCAGGACAACTAAACCTAACAAATTTCTGAAGTGTTTCAAATCCAGAAAGTAGATAATAAAATATAGAATTTTATATTATACTTTAAAATATTCACTCTAGAAAGGAAGAATTATTTTTTAAGATATGCCTTATCTACCATATTTTTGAATATAAATTAGCTTCAAAATTTTGCCAGCTCTTACACACATATCATAAACTAAAAATAGAAGTTAGTAAGTCTTGAAAGCTAACATGCCTATGAGCAACAAAATTCTACAGTGGTTTTTCAATAAGTTAAGCAACTAAAAAAACAATGGCACACTTTTGCCATTCATTTTGAAAATACAATATTTCAAACATCTCTTTAGTGTTGATTGAACTGATGGCAGAATCTCCACAATAATACAGGTTTTCTTTAGTTCATAATGGCATTCGCTAGGCAAAACAAGGCCCATCAATTGCAATTGAGGTGGCCTCGCATTCCCAAATGTGTATAGTGGAGATGCCAGACTGCTCTTAGACTATAAAAGTGTATTTTTAAATTTTACTTGTTTTATTTTGGAGTGGAGTTACACAAAACATTAATTGCTAAAAAAAAAAAAAAAAAAAAAAAAGTAGTGATAGGGACAGGAGGCAGGGGAATTCTGGGCAGAAGAGGGTGGGTCCCCAGTGAGGGTCCCACCCTCAAGCCAAAAAGCCTAATAGTGCAGCCCGAAGTAAGAACCTTACATCCCTGTTTTCCTGCTCCAATGTTGCCTTTTTCAAAACCACCCATGGCCTGCCCTGACACCATCTTGTGCCCATAAACAAATGGGATCTAATTAAACTAAAGAGCTTCTGCACAGCAAAAGAAACTATCATCAGAGTTAACAGGCAACCTACAGAATGGGAGAATATTTTTGCAATCTATCCATCTGACCAAGGGCTAATATCCAGAATCTACAAGGAACTTAAACAAATTTACAAGAAGAAAACGACCCCATCAAAAAGTGGATGAAGGGTATGAACAGACACTTCTCAAGAGAACACATTTATACCATCAACAAACATGAAAAAGAGCTCATCATCACTGGTCATTAGAGAAATGGAAATCAAACCACAATGAGATACCATCTCATGCCAGTTAGAATGGCAATCATTATAAAGTCAGGACAAAAGAGATGCTGTTGGAGAGGATGTGGAGAAACAGGAATGCTTTTACACTGTTGGTGGGAGTGTTAATTAGTTCAACCATTATAGAAGACAGTGTGTCAATTCTTCAAGGATCTAGAACCAGATATACCATTTGACCCAGCAATCCCATTACTGGGTATATACCCAAAGGATTGTAAATCATTCTACTGTAAAGACACACACACACATATATTTATTGCAGCACTATTTACAATAGTAAAGACTTGGAACCAATCCAAATGCCCATCAATGATAGACTGGATAAAGAAAATATGGCACATATACACCATGGAATACTATGCAGCTATAAAAAAGGATGAGTTCATGTCCTTTGAAGCTGGAAACCATCATTCTCAGCAAACTAACACAGGAAAAAAAACCCAAACACTGCATGTTCTCACTCATAGGTGGGAGTTGAACAATGAGAACACATGGACACAGGGAGGGGAACATCACACACCAGGGCCTGTCAGGGGTGGGGGGCTAGGGGAGCAATAGCATTAGGAGAAATACTTAATGTAGATGATGTGTTGATGGGTGCAGCAAACCACCATGGCACGTGTATACCTATGTAACAGACCTGTACATGTATCCCAGAACTTAAAATATAATAATAATAATAATAAAGAAAAACAAAACAAATAACAAAAAATACCCCAGGCTCTACCAGCAGAGCTGAAGCAGCTAGGCATCAAAGACTACTGCTGGATGTTGGAGAGAAGCTGCTTGACTTCAGAGGGATGGCTTGACGGTGTTGCCAAAGAGGAGTCTGGCCGGAGATGGCTGGACTTGGGGAAGATTATCTTCCTGCTCCATTCCCTATTCAACTTCTCTTCCTGCTGAGAGCCATTTTTGTCCACAATAAAATCCCTCACTTTTACCATCTCCAATTTGTTCGAGCAATCTCATTCCTCCTGGACACTGGACAAGAACTCACATGCAGGTGCAAAAGGCTGTCACACTGACTCTCTACTGAGCTGTTAACACTCAAGCTGTCCATGGACAGCAAAGCTAAAAGAGCACTGACTGTAACACTCTTTCTGCGCCTTCAGGGATTGCAGGCACCGCCCTAGAGGCTGCTGCAGGGCCGCACAGAGTTTTGCTACTGCTGGCACCTGAAAGCACTCACCCTGGCTTCTGCACCTGCTTACCTACGCTCCCCGTCCTGTGAGGAGTGGAACGCAGTGGGACAGAGTGAGTGGAGTCTGCCCCTGCTGACACCAAAGCGGCCAGCTAGTCCTAGCACCTGTGCATTCCAGTTCCCACCTGCAAAGGGGTCAAGGAAATTTCCTGCTTCAGTAGGAAGTAAATCTTTAATAAAGTATAATTATCTTTGATTATAATTCAAAGATTTCAAATAAATCTTTGAAGTATATTTCATGAAATTACAGACATGAATTAATGCAACAAAAGTAGAAGGAACATAAATCCAGCCTATTGTTTGTTTACTTGCAATTTGTAAATATTATTTAGAAAGATCCCTTTGAAATGTCATTCTGCATATCTCATGTTCTACTCAGCCCAAAGCTCTGTTTGAAAGTAACAATTATGGAGTAATTATTGAAGGTGGAAAGTCTACACTCCATGTCATAATCCTCAAAGATTTTAGTTTTATTTAATAGATTCATGTATGTGGAACTCCTCTTTCAGTTTTATGATGCTACATAAATATAAGAAATTATTATAATTTTTCTTCTCTGGTTTCCTTAACGTAGGCATTATAAAAATCTATGGATTCAATACTTCTCAACAGAGTCAGTTTTATCTGATACCCATGTATGTGAGTATATGTTGGGGTTCATATGTGAGTTGCCAAGTAGGAGTTTACTTTTCTGCCTCCTTATTTGTACATGTCAGGGGCCTCCACCAAAGTAACTACCCTGGTCTCTTTTTCCACTCCCTACACATTTCGCCCCATGAGGAGATATGAGTGACCATCAATTCTCAATATGGTAGAGCTTTTCTACTAATGTGCTCTAAGCATTGCGTATATGCTCAGATGAACTGTTGAAGGTCTAGACTTTATGGGATAAAATGGGGGAACTGAGAGCATTAGGAAGCTCATTTGCCACACACCTTAGCCATATTCTACAAACTAGGTTTTATATCAGCGATAGAACTGACATTTTGATCTCTGTATGCATATTTCCTTTCTCACTCAATTTATTTCAAACTGAGACAAGAGGTATATAATTTACCTGAACCCCTAAAATGTTGAGAGCAACACCTATTGCTATAAGCAATAGATTTCCACAATAAAATTACTTTGAAGTGCCTCCCTAATATCTGATTTATCCACTTTTCTGCAAAGAAAGGTAGAATCAGCACAGTAGAATTCCTTCTACAGAATTATGCATATGTGTGTTGTGCACACATATAAAATTTACAGTTGTTTCTTCTACTGTTGCTAATTCTAAACAGAATAAAAAGGATACATTATAAATATACCATCAATACAGCTAATGATTCATGATCTTGCTTTTAACTGGTGTTTACTCCGTGGTGTAATTTTCTTTTCAGAAAAAAGTACCAAGTATTAAAATGTCAATAATGACAAACTGCATTTCAGTGATTTATATTTCATTCTGTTTAGAAAATCTGATGAAATAATTTGAGCGATCTTCTAAAGACATTTTTAAAAACTCATAATCCTACCCCACATTCTAACCTTCACAAGCACCCTGTGCATTGATGCCATCAGTTCTTACTAACACAAACTGCTTCATGGGTTAGCTTGTCTCCCATATTCAGGGATCAAATTCCCTTGCTTCTATTTTAGAACTTGCTGTAGTCAATAAAATAGTTACTTACAAATATGTAGAAAAAGGTATAGTAAATTGTTCATTTTGGATTAATAATTTTGTTTTGACAAATAGTATTGTTGAGCAATAAATTTGCAATTTATTGATTTTCTTTTAATATCCCTTAAATATCCTTATTTAAGATATGCCTTACATTGGTATAACATTTTCGTTTTTTCAAAGGATTTTTAAATACCTGCTTTCATCTGACATTCAGAGAGTGGGGCATTTTCCTTATTTTATGTATGTGCACACTGAGATAGGAGAAAATCAAGGGAATCACTCAAGGGTTCATGGCTGTGTCCAAAAGAAATGTTAAGACATTTCTGAGCCGATTTTTATGACGTTAGACTTGCCTAAGTGCATCCCAGGACTATTGGCTAAATTAGTAGAGGCCTTAAGCAAAAATTTTTTTAAAGTAAGTACTTTGCTGAATATCTTGAGTGTTTGTTTGGATTTTGAACAAGGTTAATTGATTAGTTGGGGTGAAATAGAAAGCGAAACAGCGGAGCACATCTGGTGTCGATTGATAAGAAGGACAGCCACACTCAATTCCCTCCTAGGAAGAGAGGAACTGCCCTCTCCTTGACAGCTTAGCCATGCGCTCTTGCCTCTGCTGCCTAATGTCACTGCTGGGAGTACCTAATGGAAATAGTCTCTATCCACTGACAGAAGAAAGAAAGTGGGTTCGTAATTTAAGGAGACCTTCAGGCTCCTGAATAGCCCTATTCCTCTTTTCCTCCATTAGTGTTTGCTGACTATTTTTAAGTGGGTGAAACTGTAGGGTGAGCCTCTTGTCTAAGAAACTCTCCTCCCCACTTCTGTGTTAAGGCATCAAATAGAATAAACTCATGTGATTAACATCAAAGCCTATGTATGTGTATACTTTTTCCTTTAGATACTTTCATATACTCTCTCACATACACACACACACACAAACACACACACTCTTAAAGAGACAAGTCTGTTACCTGAGCAACAGGCATTATTCCTAGTCCAGTATTTTTGGCTTTATTTCAAAATCAGAAAAAATATTCAGATGACTGAGTTATTCTTTAATGTATTCTGTAATGTTTAGCAGATATTAAAAAATGATAATCTAGACCATTCTTTGAAATTTTAATGTGCATAGGAACCACTGAGGGATCTTGTTAAAATGGAGTTTCTGAGTCAGTAGGTCTGAGATGGGGCCTGTAAGTCTATATTTCTAAATGAGCTCCCATGGAACAGTAATTCTTTTGGTCTTCAGATTACCCTTTGAGTAGCAAGAGTCTAAATTATGACTACAGATCGTAGTAGGAAACATAGCCAAACAACTTTTTTACTCTCTACAGTTTACATGCAAGTATATTTTGCTTTCTCATCTTGGGTATACTTTCTTGTTTTTTTCTGGAAGTCTTGGAAAAAAATTGAATATCCTCGAGGCTAAACTTACCAGGTTTTTTTTTTTCCTGTCTGAACACAGAGTAACATTTAAAAAGAGTCATCTATATGTAAGTAATGCTTGAGTTAGCATATTTTTCTAGTACCTGGCTTATAAATATTTACATGGTACTAAACATCTATTACTTGGGCTGTAGACCAAAATTCTGTTTTTTTGTAAATT
Organism: Homo sapiens; assembly: GCF_000001405.40. Classification (NCBI taxonomy): domain Eukaryota; kingdom Metazoa; phylum Chordata; class Mammalia; order Primates; family Hominidae; genus Homo; species Homo sapiens. The sequence continues at coordinate 144,916,454 of NC_000003.12, forward strand.
CAATTGAATCTAACATATTGACAAGGAATTTTGTTAGTAACATAATTAGCTATTCAATCCCAGTTATCCCCAGCAAGGATATGGGGATACACATTTATGGTAGATGAGACAAATATTCTACAGTGTTTTGTAATCTATGTAGATTAGTTTCAGTCACTGTTTACGTGACAGGGGCAACCTGCCTCTTGGCCAGCAGTAAGAGAGAGGTGGAGAAGGCAGGCTTTCCCTCTCAGGTAATAGAGCCTGGTATGGAAGTATAGTAAAAATACAGCAAATTTCCTACACATTTTTTGTGTTTTAAAGTTCTATTGAAACAATACCTCTATGAGGATTCTTGTAGTAAGCAATTCCCTTCAGTTCTGCAGTAGTATTCAGTAAACACTTTACTACTCAGAACACTTCTTTTATCAATTTAACAAATGCATTTCAAATGCGTATTTACTGGGAGGCATAAAGATGGAAAGCAAAGTCTCTAACCTACAAATGCTACTATTAGGGTGGGAGGTATGCAGGCAGCCATGTATGATGATATGAGATAATATGTATAACAGATTATGCCTGAAATGCAGTGGGAACCCAATAGAATAAGACAAATCAGTGGCAACCTTATAAAAGATACAGTATTAAAACTGATGCTTGGGCCGGCCGCAGTGGCTCATGCCTGTAATATCAGCACTTTGGGAGGCCAAGGTGGGCGGATTATCTGAGGTCAGGAGTTCAAGACCAGCCTGGCCAACATGGCAAAACCCCGTTGTCATGGTGGCACATGCCTGTAATCCCAGCTACTCGGGAGGCTGAGGCAGGAGAATCGGTTGAACCAGGGAGGCAGAGGTTGCAGTGAGCCAAGATTGTGCCACTGCACTCCAGCCTGGGCAACAGAGCAAGACTCCGTCTCAACAAACAAACAAACAAACAAAACTGATGCTTGAAGACTCTACTTAAAAGATTGGGGACAGGGGATTAATGAGTACAAATGTGCAGTTTGATAAAAGAAATAAGACCTAGTGCTTGATAGCTCAACAGAGTGACTATAGTTTACAATAATCTATTATGTATTTCAGAATAACTAGAAGAGGATAATTTCAATGTTTCTAGCATAAACAAAAGACAAATATTTAAGATGATGGATATTTCAATTATACAAATTTGATCTTTTCAAAATATATGAATATATTAAATTATAGCAGGTACTGCAAAAATATGTCCATCTATTATGTATCAATAAAAAATAAAATGAATAAAAAGGATGGGTTTTATTTTCCAAGCAGGCACATTTTGTTAGGGAGAGGGGAATAAGAGAAGGCAGGAGAACATCCCAAGGAGAGAAGGTAGCATATTCGAAAGACAGGTCTTATTACAGAATGTGACCCATGTAGGTATCATCATGTCCTTCGGAAATGACCGAGTGGGATTTGTGACGGGAGAGTAAAGAAAAGCAATATTGAGCAGGTAGGCAAGGCCACAATATGAAGAGTCTTCCGTCCTTAAAAGAATAAAAGGTTAAATCTTATTTTTAAGTTGCAGGGAGTCATTTAAAATGTGAGTATCTGTAATATCGTAGTCTTGTATCCAAATAAGTTACATAAAATTTCTCTCCTTTGCTAAAGTGAATATGTGAATAAACTATTTTTTAGGACAATTTTTTTCACACCAATTAGTTTAACATTTCAAAATCAAAATTTTTTTTAGTTTTGGACTACATTTCCATCTACCTTTTGCACATGCCTCTCCTCAGGTAAAGAAAGAATCTGCCATCTTCTTGCACCTCAAGTCTATGTCTCCATTCTCCTGTTTCCTTGCTATGGGAGTAGAAATAGCCATGTGTTCTATCGTATTCCCATCAACACCTTCCTCCACCTACTATACTTTTTAACTGTTCAACTGTAGCACGCTGGCTCCTAGTTCCTTTATTCAAGTTCCGGGTGACTTCATACCATCAGATGATTGAAACACGAGTGAAAAACTCTGATGTTCTGAGTTTGTGTGTGTGTGTGTGTGTGTGTTAAAGAGAGAAACAGATTTGTGATTTGAATATCAGAACTAATAATCTGACTTTTATGAAATGCCAAACGTAAGTGGAAAGGGTGGACTTAACAGTTATTGGCTAGTAGAACAGCCCTGAGTAATTTCATTGAGCACTTGAAAACAAAGGAAAGATCTCCTTTGACAATGTTTGCCAAGTTTTTTTAAATGCATGGATTGGGAAGATGCTCTAAGTTCAAATCAAGTGTTAATTACAGAAAAAGTACTGATGACCGATTTCCACTGTATGAATTTCAGGATGTCTTTGTCTTTCTGAAATGAGAGACATGGGAGACAAGGTACTTATGAAACATGAGATTACTGAAAGAAGTTTTCTATACTTGTAATTAAAATAGTGACTATTACCTTTGTGAACAGGCAATTTACTACAGGATTACCTTTCCAATAATATAAAAACACTGGTTTCAAAAGAACCTCATTAAATGTGGTGTTTGCTAGGAATCTCTAAATTTAACTTGAAATATTGGTAAAAATGAGGCTAAGTTTGGCTGCTTCTTCAAATTCACTCAAATGCTTAAGTAGAATGTTGTGATGAAAACTTTGAATTTTATAGGTTTTAGTAAGCAAATGTCTACTAAAGTGGCTATTTTTACTTTTTATAAATACACTATGCTGCCTCATATATTTTTCTTTTCTTTTATGAGCAGGTGGATCTTAAATAACAAAAATCTATAGTCACAGGTTGTACAGCGGATCTCTAGAATTTACTCATCTAGCATAACCGAAACTAAGGTATTACGCTTTATAAAATTTATTGAATAGATATCATGGTGAATGTTCTTATAATAATAGAAAAAGACAATGACAAAGGAACACAAGGAAACTTTGGGAGGTGTTAGAAATGTCTGTTACCTTCATTGTAATAGTCATAACCATGGGTGTGTACATATGTCCCTGCTTTCCAAATTGAATGCATCAAATATATGTAGTTCTTTGTATATCAATTATAGTTTAATAAAGCTTTTTTATTAAAAAGATAGAAAACAACATATTTCTAAAAGTCTTTTCAGATTAGCATTCCTTCATTGGTCATAGTTCTAAGAGTTCAGAGAAAGAATGTGGGGGCAGATCTGACAAACTGAGCATTTAGATAGGAACATAAAGAGTGACAAGCTGATTTCCTGACATCTCTGTGATGTAGAAATTAGCAGAAAAAAACTTATGATCAGGAACATATATTTAAACTACAAGGAGCATGAGATGGTGTTAGTTTTTGAAGACTATTCTATAAATTTGGCAGTGTACACACAACACCTTCTTGATTTATGATCAATGACAACTGTCACTAGAAGGGGTACAGGGAACACAAGAATTTTCTGATGCATGTTTTCATCTGGGAAGTGCTAAAAGCACAACTTTCCTGTTCAGTTCTAAAGTTCTTATTCAGTTCTCATGGTTCCAAAATAGAGCAGTCCACAGGGAATTCAAAATTAGATGATTTTTATTCCCAATTCCCACCACCATTCATAAAATACAGTTAAATTGGTGGCAAAGGCCAGTTGTTCTCAATGCCCCAAAATCCCAAAATAGACTGAATTAAAATACGGCATAGGATCCTTCTGGCTTCACTTGTTTTCTCACTCCAGAATCAGTCCATTTCTTTCCCCTTTTCAATAACAGCCTACTGCCCTTCACTGTACTTCAATTTCCCTAGTAATTGTAGTCTGTTTCCTAAATCTAGACTACCATCAGCAAATTATTTCTCTGCCCTTTCTCATACATAAAGTATATAAAGGAGATGAAGAAAGTAGAAAAGATGGGTCCATTCTAAATAGTCATAATGTCAAATTTCAACTGATTCCTTGAGATTATACAACCATATAATTTTCTATATAATTTTCTCTTTTATATTTTACTATTTTCTTCAGGAATAATTTCAAAATTTTCACTTTTTTTCAAGCAAATAATCTCAATACTCTCTCTCTTTTTTTTTTCCAGATTCAGTAGAGAGCCTCATTTCCTACTTTCTTTATTGTTATAAATACTAACCGCCAGGTACTCCATTAATGATTTTGATTGTTTTCTAAGGTGGGCACTATTGTTAATTGAATTCCGCAGATGAGGTGATACATATAAGGAGGTTATGATATCCCAAAAATGTTTTCTAATATCTTCTTAAATATTCCTTGGAATTCTCTGTCTTCAAATCAAAGCAGTGAGATTTACTGCCCCAGGGAAAAAAGGAAGTAGAAACTACCAAGAACAAATTAGCTGTTGATCAGTTTCGAGTCTCAAAGCTGCTATTCTTGATTGCTTTAACTAGACAATAGTAATAAAAGCCAAGTGTAATTAAAAGAGACAAAAATTTTAAAAATGCCTTCCTTATCCTTTTCAAATGTATCTAGAGACAGGTCAAACAACTTTATTATAGCTGTTTAAAAAACATATATATCTCAGAAACATGAGAACAGGGAAGGAAATTTCCCAACTTCCATTAAAATGAATGGTTGGAATAAACATGTTATTGAACTGCATTTTTTTGCTCCTGGTCTGATTTGCAGAGAAGATTGTAGCAGATGGTCCTGTTAGGGTATTGAAGGAACTGTCAAGGATAAGAGGTCCTTTATCCCACCTTCTATTTGGAACTTTAACAAAAGTCCCCTTTGAATATTGTCCTGCTGCATAATAGAGCAGCCTCAGCTTTGTGAACGGAACAGATAAGAACCCATTTAGCCCTCCTCAGCCTTCCTAGGCTTTCTAATGGTGGCAAATGACCTATAAATTCCTTCATGATCGTAGGGGTATGTGTGTGGATGGGGACGGCCATGTGGCTATTAGACTATTCTAATACCACTGGAGTTGAGGGCTGAAGGACTAGGCATTAAAGGGAAATCAGGGGAAAACAGAAGTGTCAATGGAATCAGTCAGCAGAGGGAAGTGGATGATTCAACAGGAGCATGGTCTAAATTAGAACATAGACCATGTGTTACATTAGCATCAACTTTGAGCAGTAAAAGCCAAAAGAAGTCTCTGGAATTAGTTCTACTAAAGCAGGATATTTCCCTGATCTTTTCGCACGACTCTTGACAGGGTTGCCTCATTTACTGAGCCCCATGCTCTCAACACCTCACAGGAGGCAGTGCATGAGTGAATGAGTGCAGGAACTGGCGTGAACAAGCGCTGGAATTGACCAGCCCCTTCAGTGCCCATGGAATCAAACTCCACTCACTCAGACCTGCTGCGTTCCACCCCTTGCAAGAGTAAGCAAATGGCTGAGCAGGTACAGGAACCATCCAGATGCTTTAGAACCGGCAGGGCTGAACTCTGTGCAGGTCCCATGGCAGCATCCAGGTGGGAGTGCCTGAGACTGCAGAAGCTCCAGAGAGCATGGTACAGTACTCTCATAGCTCTGCCATCCATGCATGGCTTAAGCGTTAACAGCTCAGTGGGCCCTCTGCCTTTTTGCATGAGGTGGCTGCCCTCTGCCAACAAGGGCGATGTGCCAGTGTGTCAGCTTTTTGTAACCACACTTGTGGCTCACAAGCTCTTGTCTGGCATCCAGGAAAAATGAGGTCGCATGAATGAACTGAAGGATGGTAAATGTGAGGGCTTTCATTGCTGATGAAAGTGGCTCTCAGTGGGAAGGGAAGCTGAAAAGGGGGTGGGGTGAGAAAGTAATCTTCCCCTGAAGTCTGGCTGCTTCTGGTTGGATTTTTCTCCAAAGTTACTCCATCAAGCTGTCCCTCTGAGGTCAAGTCACTTCTCTCTGACATCCAACCATAGTCCCATCTACTGACTGAGTCTGGGGTTTTTATAGGCATAGGATGGGACAGTGCAGGGCCATGGGTGGTTTAGGAAAAGGCAACATTCGAGTGGGAAAACAGGGATATAAGTTCTCACTTTAGGCCACGGTTTCAGGCTTTTCAGCTTGAGGATGGGGTTTCACCAGGGACCTGCCCTTTTCTGCCTAGAATTTCTCTGCCTCCTGTCCCTATCACTAGCACACCTTAGCAGAGACTTTCAAATTGCTGATGATGCTGAGGAGATATCAGCTTCCCTCCCTACTTCAGTTTCATGTGGTTACACTCCATTCATGTCCACAATTTCCCTGTATAGAATCTTAAAGAGAAGTGGACCTGGCAATATTTTTGAAATAATGAGCCTTTAACTGAGTCCTCTGGACAAGTAACAACTTCCTAAATAGATAAACTAAATTACTGGACCAGGTGAGATTATGAGGTTAGAATTCACCTAGTTCCCCTCAACACTACACACCACTGTCTCTTGTTAGGTTAGGAGCTAACAAGAAGGATAATTCCAGTTATATCAAAATGAAGGACATATTTTTTGTTTCATAGATAAGTGTAGTGTCAATAAACTTTTCTCAACAATTACAGCCCACTATGCCATGAGCACTGAAACCAATGACCACATTTTTCTTATTCACTGTCTAAAGCACCAGTGACTGTTTTGCCACTCATTATCTACTTTTGAGATGTGAAGATAAGTGAGACAATTTATTATTTTTCCTCCAAGACATAGAGGCAGACAGCAGAGGCAGACATATAATTATGATTTAAAAAACTAAAATTGCTACCACTGATCATGAACTCATTTCCTTTCACTTTTTCTGGAGCCCTTATACCTCAACTACCCCACTTTGTTCTAGCATGTTCATTCTTAATTTTATTAGTCATTTTTACCCTATAATTATCAACATGCAAAAGTTGTCCCTGCTTGAACTAAGGATCAAAGACAAATTTATTTGAACACTCTGCCTTTTTGGGCAGTCATCCAACTTCTGTTCTTTTCTATTTTAACGGAATTTACAATCCCTGCAGTTATTTCCCTTGCAGACTTTCTCTCTCTCTCTTTCTCTGGCTCGCTCTCTCTTTCTTTTTTTTTCTCTGTTATCTTTTCTCCTCACTAGATTCAGAAATCTTACCTAGGAACTAAGAATTAGCCTTAGCACCTAACAATATTCTATTGATTTCTTGTTGTTAAGTGCAAGAGCATATTTCTGTTATTCTTGGCAGCTCTGGAAACCTTGATTCTGACAAGACCTTCTTTATTGATGCTTTCTTCTCTCATAGCTCTAGTGAAATGCATTCTCATAATTATTTTCCCTCCTCCTTGTTACCTCTTTTATCATTCTTTTGTTTAACGTTTGTGTCTTGTTTACTTCCCACTTCCCAACCATGCAAGCCTTTACTTTTCTCTAAGGCTGATCTACTAACTGCTTTCCAAGTATGCTGTGTACATTTCCATCTCCAAAGTTTTTAGTCATCTCAAAAGCATCACTGTGAGAGCTGAAGAACACAGGGCTTGTATCACATATATTAGGGCAGATTATTAACTCAGCTATTTAATAACTGTTTGGCCTTTGATAGATTCTAAACATTTTAAGTGTAAGTTTTATTATCTGTAAAAATTGGATAATTATGTTTATATAAAACTGTTACTTGATGATTTTAAAAAAGTTAACCTTAAAAGTGGCAAAAATGGTTGGCATATAATGTATACTAATAAGTGATAGAAATTTTTATGTTTGGTATTCTAAGCATGTATTTTATTTCTCCCCCCCGCAACACACACTCTAAAATCATTAAAATCCTACATCTTTCAAGAAGCATAGACTTTTTGCTCTAAATTCTGGGGTTTACTTGCATCTTGGAAGAAATTTAAAAAAATACAGTGTCCATTACTCCCCTCTAAATTTTGTATAGAGAGTTATTTGGAAGACACTTCTATGATGATCATCATAAAGACTATGAGGTGAAAACAGGTACTCACTGTGTAAGAACTTTCCATAGTATAGATAAATTTCATCCCTCTTAAATGTGTGCTATTGTAATCATACATGCTATTTTTACATAAATTATAAAACACACTGCATATTGTTATTTATTGTTTAAATAGTCAATCATGCATTAAAGATATTTACATAATAAGAACACTGTGTACTTAACCATATAGTTATTATTTCCAGTACTTGTCTATTCTATATGGATATCCACATTTCCATCTGAAGCAATTTTTGCTGTAACCCGAGGGACTTCTTTTAATTAATATTTTCAGGTTTTGCACATGTGCAAAGTCTTTACTTCTCTTTTATCTTGGAAAGATGATTTAAACAAATGCAGAATTCTAGGTTGACTATATATTTTTCAGTGTGTTAAATATTACTTCACCATCTTCTCACTTACATTGTTTCTCACAACAAATATGCCAGTATCGTCATTTCTTTGTATATGACATGTCTTTTGTCTCTAGCTGTTTCTAAGAGCTTTTACCAACACTGGTTTTGAGCAAATTAATTGTGATGTACCTTAGTGTAGTTTTTTTCATTTCCTCTCCTTGGAATTTATTGACATTTTTGGATGTGTAGATTTGTAATTATTGTCCACTTGGAAGATAATCAAACATTATTTCTTCACATCATTTTTCTACATTCCCTTTTCTCCTCTTTCCTTGGTGATTTTAATTATATGTAGTTAGGCTGCCCAGAAGTGTTTATCAGCTTCCTGATTCTGTGCTCACTTCTTTTTTTAATTCTAAGTTGCACCATGTTTTATTTTCAATAATATCAATCGCTGTGCTGTCGAAGTCCTTCATATTTTCAATGCGATATCTAATCTGCTATTTATTCCATTCAGTGCAGGTCTCAGCTTTTGCATTGTAGTTCTTCTATCAGTTTAACTTCAATATATTTTTGTTTTTCATTCCTTTACTAAAATTTTGAAAACATGGGATACCCTTTACAAAAGTGTTTTTATTGTCTTTGTCTGCTAATTCTAATATCTGTTCTGTTGCTTTCTATTGATTATTTCCCTCCTCATTATAGGACATATTTCCATGACCATTTGGCAAGCCTGGTAATTTTTGATTGGGTTCCAGACTTTGTGAATTTTAATTCATAGGTGCCGGATATTTTATATTTCTGTAAATATCCTTGAACTTAATTTCAAGATGAAATTAAGTTACTTTTTAACAGTCTGATCCTTTCAGATGCTTCTCCCTCTCTCTTTCTTTCTCTCTCTCTTTCTCTCTGTTTCTCTCTATATATGTGTGTGTGTGTGTGTGTGTGTGTGTGCTTATTTATTTATTTTTATTATACTTTAAGTTCTGGGACACATGTGCAGAACATGCAGGTTTGTTACATAGGTATACATGTGCCATAGGTATACATGTGTTGCACCCATCAACCTGTCATCTACATTAGGTATTTCTTTTAATGCTATTCCTCCCCTTGACCCCCACCCCCCGACAGGCCCCAGTGTGTGATGTTCCTCTCCCTGTGTTCATGTGTTCTCATTGTTCAACTCCCACTTATGAGTGAGAACACGCGGTGTTTGGTTTTCTGTTCCTGTGTTAGTTTGCTGAGAATAATGGTTTCCAGCTTCATCCACATCCCTGCAAAGGACATGAGTTCATTCTTTTTCATGGCTGCATAGAATTCCATGGCGTATATGATGGGCATGTTAGTTGGTTCCAAGTCTTTACTATTGTAAATAGTGCTGGAATAAACATACGTGTGCATGTGCTTTATAGTAGAATGATTTATAATCCTTTGGGTGTATGCCCAGTAATAGGATTGCTGGGTCAAATAGTATTTCTGGTTCTACATGCTTGAGGAATCACCGTACTATCTTCCACAATGGTTGAACTAATTTACACTCCCACCAACAGTGTAAAAACGTTCCTATTTCTCCACATGCTCTCCAGCATCTGCTGTTTCCTGACTTTTTAATGATCGCCATTCTAACTGGCATGAGATGATATCTCATTGTGGTTTTGATTTGCATTTCTCTGATCACCAGTGATGATGAGCATTTTTTCATATGTCTGTTAGCTGTTCATATCCTTAGCCATTTGTGAGATGGGTAGATTGCAAAGATTTTCTCCCATTCTGTAGGTTGCCTGTTCACTCTGACGATAGTTTCTTTTGCTGTGCTGTGCAGAAGCTTTTTAGTTTAAATAGATCCCATTTTTCAATTTTGGCTTTTGTTGCAATTGCTTTTGGTGTTTCAGTCATGAAGTCTTTCCCTATGCCTATATCCTGAGTGGTATTGCCTAGGTTTTCTTCTAGGGTTTTTATAGTTTTAGATCATACATTTAAGTCTTTAATCCATCTTGAGTTAATTTTTGTATAAGGTATAAGGAAGGGTCCCAGTTTCAGTATTCTGCATACTGCTAGCCAGTTTTCCCAGCACCATTTATTAAATAGGGAATCTTTTCCCCATTGCTTGTTTTTGTCAGGTTTGCCAAATATCAGATGGTTGTAGATGTGCGGTGTTATTTCTGAGGCCTCTGTTCTGTTGCCTGACTCCTGTCGCTTCCTGGGTGAGGCGACATCCCACCCTGCTTCTGTTCGCCCTCCATAGGATGCACCCAATGTCTAACCAGTCCCATTGAGATGAACTGGGTACCTCAGTTGGAAATGCAGAAATCACCTGCCTTCTGCATTGGTCTCGCTGAGAGCTGCAGACCAGAGCTGTTCCTATTCGGCCATCTTGCCAGCCCTCTATCTATTTACTTTTTAGGTTGCACAGGAGTAGCAATCAGTTTAAGTATAATTGTTTCCTATTATTGAGGCAAGTACACTGTACCCAAATTTTTGTGAGTAATAGGATTTTACACTTACAGGCATTTTTCCTGGCTGTATGTGAGCTTGTCCCTACTAACTCTCATTCTTTTGGATGGTTCTTCTTCTGGTGCCCACTAATTTCTTTACATGCACCTACTGGTCAGAGTTCAGCTGAATTCTAAGCTTGGATCTTCTGCAGATCTCCACGTTTCTATCATCATGCACGGGCACTTTCTCCAGTATTCTGCATGTGACCTTTCACTACCTTGGTGTCCCCAGACTTTTAATTCTATTTCTGTACCTCAACTCTACCTAACTTCTTGTTCGCAGCACCAGAAAATACTCCCGGCAGCAAACTGTAGCAATTATGGGGACTCACCTTATTTGTTTCCTGTTTCACAGGGATCACATTTCTCTACTGCCTTATGTATATTGTCCTAAAAGTTATTCTTTCCTATATCTGATTCGTGTTTTAGAGTTTCATATAGGGTTTTCTGTACCTTTTACTCTAGCATGACCAGAAATATAAGTCTTGTTGAAATGTGCAATGTGTTTTGACTTATTTAAGTTTATAATCATGCTGATTGAGTCTTGATTTTAACATGTTATTCTGGCTGAAAACTAGGTCTCTATTTCTTAATACATGTTTGCTTATTTTAGTGAAGTTTAATATTATACACATGCACACAAATCCATACTTGTGTATTTGTGTTTGTGTGTGTGTGAATGTATTCTCCAACTTGAGTGATATATTGCTAATTTCATTCACTCACTCAGTCATTCATTCACTTTTTAAGTAAGTATTGAATGCCTCCTTTATGCTGGTCACACTTATACACATGGGGAATGCAGTAGTAAAAATACACACAAATTTTTGCTTTTAAGAGTCTTAGTTTAACGAAGGAGCAGAAATCCAAATACCACATGTTCTCACTTATAAGAGGGAGCTAAACATTGAGTACACATGAACATCAAGATGGCAACAATAGACACTGGGGACTACTAGGGATGGGGGGGTGGGCAAGGGTTGAAAAAACTACCTGTCAGATACTATGCATCACTATGGGTAACTGGATCATATATACACCAAACCTCAGTGACATGCAATAGACCCATGTAACAAACCTGCACATGTACCTCTCGAACCTAAAATAAAAGTTAGGAAAATGAAAATAAGAATCTTAGTTTTAGGTAAAACACGCTATTGAATAATGTAATACAGTTTATTCTTTTTATTTCTTTTGTAGCTTCTTGTACACTGTGGGCCTTAAAATAGTTAAATGTTCATTGAAAATGTAATTTTAAATTTAAAAGAAAATTATAAAATAAATATAGTCTTCAAATTCTAATACTATGTGTGTGCAAACACATATGTTTGTGTGTATTTAGAAAAAAAGAAAATGCTTCTATAGTATAATGTAAAAGATTTGGACTTTTCTTTTGAATGTCAGTTAAAGATTAATACATAAGATTTTTCCTCTACGTGCTACCTCCCCAAATACACTTCAAAAATTTTTGGTTTTTAATGCATTTGATGATGCTTAATTAATCTGAATATTTTTAAAGTCAGTTCTTCTATTACTATGATACAATTTCAAGTTTAAAGGCCCATTTTTAATATATTTCTTAAGGCATTTGTTACAAGTATGAAATAGGTACCTTGTATCAATTTGACTTCATTTTCCTTTTTTATTTTATTTATTTTTAAGACAAGTTTCCCTGTGCTGGAGTGCAGTGGCATAATCCTGGCTCACCACAGCATTGATCTCCTGGGCTCAAGTGATACCCCTGCCTCAACCTCTCAAGTAGCTGGGAATATAGGCATGTGTCACCATGCCTGGATAATATTTTAAATTTGTATGTAGACATCAGGTCTCACCATATTGCCAAGGCTGGTCTCCAACTCCTGACCTCAAGTGACACTCCTGTTTCGGCCTCCCAAAGTACTGGCATTACAGACATAAGCCACTGCACCTGACACATTTTATATTTTTATTCTTTCTATCAGTGGATTGATTCCTTCTTTCTTGTACTAATGGTATATAGAAAATGTAAATGAATATTTTATTTAACTGCTATCATGGCATTGATCACATGTACAATAAAGTTTCTGCAAAAAACAAAACAATCTGCTTATAGAAGGCAGCTCTGATATTTTTTGTCCTTAATTGTGTCATTATGGAACCGTAATGTATGTCTATATGACTTGCATAAGATTTAGTTACATAAGTGTGATTATAAATATGATTAGAAATATCCATAAAATTGCCCTTCTAGTTCTTAAATTTTTAATAAATGTATCTTATTTTAACTTTCTTTTATTTTAAAGTTTTTATATAAATGCTAAACATTTATAGAACCTACACTTGAAATTACCTTTGGTAATATAAAAAGACACTTCTCAACAGAAGACATACACTAGGCCAACAAGCATATGAAAACATGCTGAACATCACTAATCATTAGAGAAATGCAAATAAAAACCACAAGGCGATACCAGCTCATACCAGTCAGAATGGCTATTATAAGAAGTAAAAAATAATAGATTTTGGCAAGGTTGCAGAGTAAAGAGAGCACTTATACATTACTGGTGGGAATGTAAATTAGTCCAGTTACTGTAAAAAGCAGTTTGAAGATTTCTCTAAGAACTTAAAACAGAAGTACCATTTAACCCAGCAATCCCATTCCTGGCTATATATCCAAAGGAAAATAAATAATTCCATCATAAAGACACATGTACTCATATGTTCATTGCCGCACTATTTGCAATAGCACAATTTTGAAATCAACCTAGATGCCTACTAGTGGTGGACTAGATGAAGAAAATGTGTCACATATACACCACGGATTACTATGCAGCCATAAAAAAGGAATGAAATTAATCTTTTGCAACAATATGGATACAGCTGGAGGCCATTATATTAAGTAAATTAATGCAGGAATAGAAATCCAAATATCACATTTTCTCACTTATAAGTGGGTGCTAAACATTGAATAGACATGGACACAAAGAGAGGAACAAAGGACATCAGGACTTACTTGAGGATGGAGGGTAGGAGGGTGAGGACCAAAAAAATATTTGCTGGGCACTATGATCACCACCTGAATGATGAAATAATTTGTACACAGAACCCCAGCGACACTCAATTTACCCATGTAACAAACCTGCACATGTACCTCCTGAAGTTAAAATAAAAATTACAAAAAAAATTACCTTTGGCCTTCAAAGTTGCTTTTTAACTGGCAATGCTGTTTATAATTACATATATAAATATACAAGACATATATATACAAAATTCTAATTGATAATATATAATTATAAATAATATATAACGTGTATGTGTGTGTGTGTGTGTGTGTGTGTGTGGTGTATTTCAGCGTATTGGCATCCTTTAGCCAAATCTACATGAGATGTAGGGAGGCAAATATTATGGTTTATGTACGTTATTGAGGTGACTTTTTAAATTAGTTGTTCAAAACTTATTGCATATCAATGGAACATTGATTTATTAGTTTTCCTTTGTTGTTACTCAAAGACAACTTTAGGAGAGGGGTAGAGCAGGACAGACAAATACAAATAGAAGGCTATATCAATTGTTCCCCCTGCAAGGACATCCATTTAGCAGCTATCTACATAACAAAAAACCTTCATAAGAACCAAAAATTAGGTAAAGACTCACAGTATCTGCTTTTAACTTTATATCTCTGAAAGAGGCACTGAAGATATAGGGAAAACAGTCAAACTGTGGACACCACCCTTTCTCCATCTTACTGCAGCAGCGGTGTGGTGCAGAGAGCATTTCTGTGCACGTGGGAGTGGGAGACTGCAGCAATTGTGAGGCATTGAACTCAGTGTTGCCCTGTTATAACAGAAAACAAAACCAGATCAAACTCAGCTGATACCTGCACATGGAGAGAGCATTTAAACCAGCACTAGCCAGAGGGGAATCTCTGATCCCAGCTTTGCAAACTTGAGCTCCCAAAAGACTGGCCACCATGGGGTAAAATGCTCTGGGGCACTAAGTCTGAAATGGACAGAGACCATGGACTGTGGGGGCATATGACCTACTGAGACACCAGCCTGAGTGGCTAAGGGGCTGCTAGCATCACCTCTCCCCTATTCTCAGGCTGCACAACTCAGCAGTCCAAAAGAGACACCTTTCCTAAGCTTGAGGAGAGGAGAGGGAAGAATGGAAAAGGATGTTGTCATGCATCTTGAATACCAGCTCAGCCACAGCAGGATATGTCACTGATCAGAGTTCTGAGGCTCCTTTTTGAGATCCTAGCTCCTAGACAACATTTCTAGACACATCCTGAGCCAGAAGGGAACCTACTGCCTTAAAGGAATAATCCCAGTCCTGACAGGAATTGTCACTAGCTAACTGAAGAGCCCTTGGGCCCTGAATAACCAGTAGCAATACTCAGGTACTATGTCAAGGGCCGTGGGTGAGACTCAAGCTTGCTGGCTTCAGGTGAGACTCAGGACCTATCTAGCAATGGTGGCTATGGGTTGAGACTCCTTCCACTTGAGAAAAGTGGAGAGAAAAGTAAAGGGGACTTTATCTTGCACCTTAGATCCCAGTTTGGCCAAAAGGGGTTAGAACACCAAGCAGGCTCTTGGGGTCTCCAATTCCAGGACTTAGCTCTTGAACAGTGTTTCTGGACCTGCCCTGGGCCAGACGGGAGCCCACTGCCCTGAAGGATGAGTCCCAGGCCAGAGAGCATTCACCACAAATTGACTGAAGAGTCCTTGGGTATTAAGGGAACATCAATGGCAGTCTGGCAGTATGCCCATGGGCCTGTGGTGGTGGTGGTGGACATGAGGTGAGGCTCCTCTGCCTTTGGAAAGGACAGGAAAGAGTGGGAAGGACTGTGTCTCATAGTTTGAGTGTCAGCTGAGCCACAGTACAATAGAATACCAGGTAGGATTCCAAGGTTTTTGACTCTAGTCCCTGGCTTCTGGACAACACTTCTGGCCCCCTCTGGGGCCTAAGGAAACTTGCACACCCCCACCCCTGGAAGAAAAGGACACAGGCCTGGCCAGGTTTTATACCTGCAAATTTTGGAGCCCAGGGCCTTGAATGAATATAGGCCATAGCCAGGGATTGGTTACAACATGCCTTGGGCCAGACCCAATGCTGCACTGGCCTCAAGTCTGACTTAGCACAGTCATAGTGATGGTGGCAGCAGAGGTGTTTGTGTCACTTCGCTCCCAGCTCCAGGTGGCTCAGAACTGAAAGAGAGAGAGAGAGAAACTCCATTTGTTTGGGAGAAAGTAAGGAAAGAAAACAGAAGTCTCTGCCTGGTAACCCACAGAATTCTTCCAGATCTTATCATAGACCATCAAGGCAGTACCTCTAGGAGTCTAAGAACCACAGTGTTACTGGGATTAGGGTGCCTCCTAAAGCAGACACAGTTTATATCACAACACCCAAGTCCTTTTGAATATCTGGAGAGCCTTCCCAAAGATGAATACAAACAAGCCAAGACTGAGAAGGCTACAATACATTTTCCTAACTCTTCAATGCCCAAGCATTGATGAACATCTAAAAGTTTCAAAAACATCCAGGAAAACATGAGCTCCAAGATAACACAGAGAGGAAATCAGAATTATATCACACAAGTTTAACAAATAGATTGAAATAATTAAACAGAAACAAGCATAAATTCTGCAGCTGAAAAATGAAACCAGCATACTGAAGAATGCATAAGAGTCTTTTAATAGCTGAATTGATCAAGCAGAAGAAAGAATTAGTGAGCTTGAAGACAGGCCATTTGAAAATATACAGTCAGAGGACACAAAAGAAAAAAGAATAAAAACCAATGAAGCACATGTATAGAATCTAGTCAATAGCCTCATAAAAGCAAATCTAAAAGAGTTATTGGCCTTAAAGAGAAGGTAGAGAAAGAGAAAGTGTAGAAAGTTTATCCAAAGGGGTAATAACAGAGGACTTACCAAACCTAGAGAAAGATATAAATATCCAAGAAAAAGAAGGTTATAGAACACTAAGCAGGTTTAACCAAAGAAGACTACCTCAAGGCATTTAATAATCAAATTCTCAAAGGTCAAAGATAAAGAAAATATCTTAAAAGCAGCAAGAGAAAATAAATAAAATACAATGAAGCTCTAATACTTCTGGCAGCAGACTTTTCAGTGGCAACCTTACAGGCCAGGGGAAAGTAGCATGACATATTTAAAGTGCTGAAGAAAAGAAAATTTACTCTAGAATAGTGTATTCAGAGAAAATATCTTTCAAATGTGAAGGAAAAATAAAGACTTTCCCAGACAAAGATGAAGGATTTCATCAGCACCAGACCTGTCCTACAATAAATGCTAAAGGAAGTACTTCAAACAGAAAGAAGAGAACATTAGTGAGCAATAAGAAATCTGATGGTACAAAACTTATTGGTAGTAGTAAGTACCCGGAAAAATACAGAATATTATAATTGTAATTGTGGTTTGTAAGCTACTCTTATCTTAAGTAAAAAGATTAAATGATGACTGATCAAAAATATTAATTAATACAACAATTTTTCAAGACATAGACAGTACAATAGGATATAAATAGAAATGCAAAAAGTTAAAACATGAGGGGATGAAGTTATAGCATAGAATTTTTATTAGTTTTATTTTTTCTTGTTTGTTTGCTTTTGCAAATCACATTAAGTTTTTATCAGGTTAAAATAATGGATTATAAGATAGTATTTGCAAGCCTCATGGTAACCTCAAATCAAAATACATACAAAAGACACACAAAAAAATAAAAAGCAAGAAACAAAATCATATCACCAAAGAAAATCACCTTCACTAAAGGAAGACAGGAAGAAAAGAAAGAAGGGAAAACAACCAGAAAACAGTTGACAAAATGGCAGAAGCAAGTCTTTACTTATCAATAAGAACACTGAATGTAAATGGACCGAATGTAAATGGATTGAATGTAAATGTAAATTGGAATGTAAAAACTTTCCAATTAGAAGACACAGAGTGGCTGAATGAATAAAAAAGACCCACCAATCTGTTGCCTACATGAAACATATTTCACCTATGAAGACACACATAGACTGAAAATAAGAAATAGAAAAAGATACTGCATGTCAATGGAAACTACAAAAGAGCAGGATTAGTTATACTGATTGATATTAGACAAAGTAGATTTTAATACAATAAATATAAAAAGGTCACCATATAACAAGCAGTCAATTCAGCAAGAGAATATAACAATTTTAAATACATGTGCATCCAACATGGGAACACACAAATATATAAAGCAAATATTGTTAGAGCTAAAGAGAGAGACAGGCCCCGATACAATAATAGCTAGAGACTTCAACATCCCATTTTCAGCAATGGACAGATCTTCCAGACAGAAAATCAACCAGGAAACATCAGACTGCAGAATATACACTATTTTCCTCAGTACATTGATTATTCTCAAAAAGACACTATATATTACATCACAAAAAAATCTTATCCAAAAAAATTGAAGTAATACCAAGCATCTTCTTTGACCACAATGGAATTAAACTAGACATCAATAACAAGAGGAATTTTGGAAACTATGCAAATACATGAAAATTAAACAATATGCTCCCAAATGATCAGTGGATCAATGAAGAAACTAAGAAAATAATGGAAAAATTATTGAAACAAATAATAACGGAAACACAACATACCAAACCTATGGGATACAGCAAGAGCAGTACAAAGTGGAAAGTTTAGAGCTATAAGCACTTACATTAAAAAAAAAATCTAATGAAGCATCTTAAAGTACTAGAAAAGTAAGAGTAAACCAAACCCAAAATAAGTAGAAGAAAAAAAGTAATGTAGATCAGAGCAGAAATGAATAAAATTGAAATGAGGAAACATAATATAAAGGATCAATGAAACAAAAAGTTGGGATTTTCTGAAAAACAAACAAAATTGACGAACTTTTAGCCAGACTAACTTAGAAAAAAAGAAAATACAAATAAATAAAATCAAGGGTGAAAAAGGATACATTAAAACTGATAACATAGAAATTCATAGAATCACTGGTGGTTACTGTGAGCAATTATAGGCCAATAAATTGGAAAATCTAGAAGAAATGGATACATTCATAGATACATACAACATATCACAATTGAATCATGAAGAAATCCAAAATCTGAACAGATCAATAACAGGTAATAAGATCAAAGCCATAAAAAAAAAGCTCAATAAAGAAAAGTCCAGGACCTGATGCCTTGACTGCTGAATTCTACCAAACATGTAAAGGAATAGCAATCCTTTTCAAACTAATCTGAAAAACAGAAGAGGAAGGAATACTTCCAAATTCATTCTGTGAGACCAGTATTACCCTGATTCTAAAGCCAGACAATGACACATAAAAAAAAGACAGACCAATATCTCTGATAGATATTGATGCAGAAATCCTCAGCAAAATATAAGCCAACTGAATTCAACAATATGTAAAAGACATTATTCATCATGAGCAAGTGGGATTTATCCCAGAAATGCAAGGATGGTTCAAGATATGCAAATCAATCTGTGTTACATTACATGAACAGAATGAAGGACAAAACCATATAATCATTTCAATTGATGCTGAAAAGCATTTGATATAACTCAATATACTTTCATGATAAAAACCCCCCAAAACTGGGTATAGAAGAAATATATCTCAACATTTAAAAAGCCAAGCCATGTATAACAGATCCAGCGCTACTATTATACTGCATAGGCAGAAACCAAAAGGCTTCTTTCTAGTATCTATAACACAACAAGGATATTCACTTTTGCCTGTTATTTAAGATAGTACTGGAAGTCCTAGCTAGAGCATTCAGATAAGAGAAAGATATAAAGGATATCCAGATTGAAAGAAAGAAGTCAAATTATTTATTTTTTGCAGTGGATATGATCTTATATTTGGAAAAAGCTAATGATTCCACCAAAAAACTATTCAACGTGATAAACAAATTTAGTAAAGTTGTAGGATACAAAAGCAACATACAAAAATCAGTAGCATTTCTATATATGCTAACAGTGAACAATCTGAAAAAGAAATCAGGAAAGTAATCCCATTTGTACTAACCACAAATAAAAATTAAATTCCTAGGAATTAATTTAACCAAAGAAGTGAAAGATCCCTGTAATGAAAACTGCAAAACACTGGTGGAATAAATTAATGAGGACACAAAAAATGGAATGCGATTTTATGTTCATGGATTGGAAGAATCAATATTGCAAAAATGTCCATATTACCCAAAGCAATCTACAAATTCAATGCAATCCCTAAATACCAATGTCATTCCTCAGAGAAATAGAAAAAAAAATCCTAAAATTTATATGGAACCACAAAAAACCCAGAATAGCCAAAGCTGTCTTAAGCAAAAAGAACAAAACTGAAAGAATCACATTATCTAACTTCAAATTATAATACAGAGCTATGGTTACTGAAACAGCATGGTGCTGGCATAAAAATAGACACATAGAGAAATGGAACTGAATAGAGCTCCCAGAAACAAATCCACATACTTACAGTGCACTCATTTTCAACAAAAGTGCCAAGAACATACACTGGAGAAAGGACAATCTCTTCAATAAACAGTGCTGAGAAAGCTGGATGCCCATATGTAGATGGATGAAACAAGACCCCTGTATCTTGTCATATTAAGAAAAATCAAATAAAATGGATTAAAGACTTAAATATAAGACCTCAAGTTACCAAACTCCTACAAGAAAACTCCACGACATTGATCTGGGAAAAAATTTTGTGAATAATACCCCACTAGCAGGCAGCCACAGCAAAAATGGACAAATTGAATAAAATTAAGTTAAAAAGCTTCTTTACGGCACAGGAAACAATTTACAAAGTGAAGAGACAACCCCCAGAATGGGAGAAAATACTTGCAAACTATCCATCTGACAAGGGATTAATAACCAGAATATATGAAGAGTTCAAACAACTCTACAGGAAAAAAAATTGATACTCCAAATTTAAAAATGGCAAAAAATTTGGATAGACAATTCTCAAAAAAAGACATACAAATGAAATACAGGTGTATGAAAAGGTGCTCACCATCATTGATCATCAGAGAAAGCAAATCAAAACTACAATGAGATATCATCTCACCCCAGTGAAAATGGCTTATATCCAAAAGACAGGCAATAACAAATGCTGGGAAGGATGTGGAGAAAAGTGAGGACTTGTACACTGTAGGTGCGAATGTAAATTCACACACCACTATCATGAATAGTTTGAAGCTTCCTCAAGAAACTAAAAATAGAGCTATCATATTATCCAGCAATCCTGCTGCTGGGTCTATACCCAACAAGAAAGAAAATCTATATATAAAAGAGATATTTGCATTCTCATGTTTGTTGCAGTACTGTTCACGATTGCTGAAATTTGGAAGCAACCTATGTGTCTATCAACAGACAACTGGATAAAGAAAATATCATACTTTTGGCCAGGCCTGGTGGCTCATGCCTATAATCCCAGCACTTTGGGAGGCCAAGTTGGGTGGATAATGAGGTCAAGAGATCGAGACCATCCTGGCCAACATGGCGAAACCCTGTCTCTACTAAACATACAAAAATTAGCTATGTGGTGGCACGTGCTTGTAGTCCCAGCTACTTGGGAGGCTGAGGCAGGAGAATTGCTTGGACTGGGAAGGTGGAGGTTGCAGTGAGCCAAGATCACACCACTGCACTCCAGCCTGGCGACAGAGTGAGGCTCCATCTAAAAAAAAAAAAAGAAAGAAAAATAAAAGAAAAAAAAATGTGGTACTTTTACACAATGGAGTACTATTTAGCCATACAAAAGAATGAGATGCTGTAATTTGCAACAACGTGTATGAAACTGGAGATCATTATGTTAAGTGAAATAAGCCAAGTGCAAAAAGACAAATATTCTGTGTTCTCACTTATTTGTTGGATCAAAAATCAAAACAATTGAACTCACAGAGATAAAGAGTAGAAAGATGGTTACCAGAGGCTGGGAAGGGTAGTGGGGTGGGGTGGGGTGGAGTTGGGGGAAGGTGGGATGATTAATGGATGAAAAAAAATTGAAAGAATGAATAAGACCTAGTGTTTGATAGCACAACAGGGTGACTGTAGTCAATAACATTTAAAAATATCTTAAAGTGTATAATTGGATTGTTTGTACCACAAAGGATAAATGGTGAGGGGATAGATATCTCATTTTACGTCATGTGATTAATACGCATTGCATGCCTGTATCAAAACATCTATGCATCCCACAAATATATGTACTTATGGTATATCCATCAAAATAAAAATTAAAAATTAAATAAAATAAAAAATAAATTTTAAAAAAGACAAATACAAACATGACACACATCTCTAAATATAAAGGCTATAATTAGATATGTCTCTCTTTAAATATTCAGAAATAGGTAACTTAAAATGATATTTTATATGGGGCCCAGTTAATCTTAGATTTCTAAATATTCAAAAAGTTCCATCTTTATTTTGGTCAAAATCTGCAGCTAAGTTAACTCACAATCTTCTTATTGTTTTGCTTTTCTCTTGTGCTTCTGTCAACTCTAATCAGTTTCTCTTTTCTAAACAAATATTTAATGTTTTGTGAGCATGCCCCTTTGAAAATTTGCCCAACATTGATTCCTGTGTCCTATTTATCTCTTTTAATTTCAGATCAATTTGGAGTTTTTAGAGATTATTTCTAAGTATCATATTTTTATTATTGAAAGTAATTTATTTCAGTCAATATAACTTGTTTCCTTGTAACAGCAGAATATTTCATATATGAGCATATGTGAAAATATTGATATTCACCTTATCACAGTTATTTTGGTGGTATGAGGAGTAGATTCAATTAGACGACAATTTAGCTCACAGTGATTTCTCCTGGAGCCATGGCAATGCTTTTAACTTCTTCTTTTTTTTCCCCATAATCCCTGACCATGGCTAAATGCTTCCAAATTTGTCATTACTGTCCCAATCCAGATGAATCAAATCTTCTCACTCAAGCTTGACATTGCACACAGAGACATAAAATTGCGGGGCTAGTCAACTGACTTACCCCATGGAAGTGCCCCTGGATGAAGATCCTTCACGCTCACTAACTTTTGCCTCAAGGCTTGCCTGTCTTCTAAGGATTAATTGGTCATCTCTTTTCAATTCTTTGAATTATTTCACTATAATTTCAACAAATGTTCTTTTTGCTTAAATTAGGCAAGGTTAATTTTTGAATAAAAATCAAAGAAGTTGGTCTAACACGGAGACAATAGCTATACATAGTTTGAAATCTACTGTACACAGATACTAAATACTAATGTTGGTTACTTGGGGAGATATTTTAAGAATGGGTGAGCTATTTTTATATTTGTAGTCAATATATTTATATGTATATGATTTTTTAAAGCAAACTATTGTGGCAGCATAATCCATGTTAAAATAGATGGCTTCGTTTTGAAAACAACCTTGATGTATGGATTTCAATGTAAAAAATGAACACCATTCCTTTTTTGGAATGTTCTGAAATACAGGGAAAAACAAGTGGATAGGTGAATTCTTCTGGAAATGGAAAGAGGAACTTTGAGATTTTATAATCATCTCTGCAGTGAAGAAAGAAAGATGAAGCAGGAATGTAAGGTAAAGATCTTATAATCTGATTGTTGTGCCCTGAGAATGCCAGGCTGACCTCTAAGTCATCTATCGCAGAGCATAGATGACAATTGCCAGGCACACAGAAAATAAAGTTGCTTTCTACAACATGGTCCAAAAAAATGATGATAACATTGCTGTTGCTTAAATGAAGAAGAGTTTTGTCCAATATGAAGTATGGAGGGAACAAAAATAGGAAGGAAGCTGGAACAGGGAGACTGATGAAGGTTGTGGAAGGGCAGTCTGGGTGGAGGGTGTAGCAAGAGCTAAATCTGAAGACAGTCCTCCCCTGAAGGCCCTTGGAGATAAGCAAAATGTCTCTGGACTTCTCCACACACAGAGAATGAGCATTCAGCTATTTTAGGAAAAGTACAACAGAATGTTGGAAAATTTTGTGCCATTCAAGCTCGAGGTACACTAGGTTATTATTCATAATAGGACATTTCTTGGACATAAAGTTGGCAATATGATAAAAGGGTTTAGGTGGATGAGTCATTAGACCAGTGAATTTTATATTTTATAGCACTTCAGTTAAATTAATTTGTTTACTCAATCTTCTCACAGATACATTATATGCAAATAATATATTCTTCCTTCTCAAGTTTATTCTTCATTTAGCTTCAAAACATTGACTGACATTCTATTTAAGTAAGATTCTTATTTTAAAATAGATTTAGATTCACAGAAAAATTGTGCAGATATCACAGAGTTCCCATATAACCTTATATATTTTTATTATTATTATCACGGTAACAAATTACTGCAAATGTAGCATCTTAAAAACAAAACAAAACACAATAAACTCCAATTCATCATCTACAGTTCTGTAGGTAAGAAGTTGGACACGGGTCTCACAGGGCTAAAATCAAGTTGTCCATGGAGCTGTGTCTCTTTCTGAAGTCTCCAGGAGAGACTTGATTTCCACCTTCTATTGGACACCTACATTCCATGGTTCCCAATCCCTCTCCTTCATCTTCAAAGCCAATGTTGCCTGATAGAGTTGCTTTCATGCTTCAAATTATTCCTCTCCTTATTCTCGTATCTCATCTCTCAATACAATCAGGATAAGTTCTCTGCTTTTCAGGATTTGTGTGATTAGATTGGGCCCACACAGATAATCCAATATAACCTCCTTATCTTGGAGTCTTCAAAGCAACATATCCACAGGTTCTGGAGATTAGGACCTGGACATCTTTGTGCCAAAATGTTACTCTGCCTATTAGACCCACATCAGGATTCTACTATTGTTAACATCTCATATTATGATATCTAATGTCAGAATTAATGATGCAATATTGACACATTATTATTAACTAATGTCCATACTGCTTTCAAATTTCTTTAGTTTTTAACAAATGTCTTTTTTCTGTTCCAGAATAACATGCAGGATAACACTACATTTAGTCCTCATGTCCTTAGGCAGCTCTTAGCTATGACAGTTTCTTTGACTTTCCTTGTTTTTGATGACTTTGATAGTTTTGAGGATTACTCATAGACGTCTCTCAATAATGACATGAAAGAATGAGGAGTTATGCTCACACATGAACTCCAACATTAAGAAATAAAGAGTTATGCTCCAACTCTTTAAGGGTAAATTATCTAAGTAAATTACTTGGCATTCTATTGCACAAGAGATGGAGTTTTGTCCTCATTTATTTATTCAATCATGTATTTTTGTAAGTAGGGACTCATGTATTTTTTTTAGACTTTCAGTTATAATATAATACTAACTTTTTTGTTGTTCAAATGATTCCAGGTTTGAAAATTGGGAGCACTTTCAATTGGCTTCTGAGCCCTTTTAACATAGCCCATCGTGTGTGTGTGTGTGTGTGTGTGTGTGTGTGTGTGTGTGTGTGTGTGTGTGTTAGGACTTTCTTACCTTTTGTCACTAAAGAAGCTTTGGACTCACCTTGCATATATCTTGGCCCAATTTTAGAAGCATCATTTATCCAAGGATCCCTGGGTCCTTTTATTGGAAAATAATATTACAAATCGATATTTGGGTGCTAGGTGTGCTGATTGCTACAGGAGCATTATTGCTTCTAGGCTTTCTCATATGGCCTATATCTATAAATATTTCTATATGTGTCTTAGTCTGTTTGGGCTGCTGTGGCAAAAAACATTGACTGGGTGGCTTACAAACAGCAGACATTTCTTTCTCACAGTTCTTGATGTTGAGAAGTCCAAGATAAATGCACTGGAAAATTTGTTGTCTGGGGAAGGCCTGTTTCCTGGTTCATATATGGTGCCTTTTAGCTGTGTCCTCACATGGTGGCTGGGGTAAATATGCTCCGTGTGTGTGTGTGTGTGTGTGTGTATGTATGTTTTATCAGGGCACAAATGCCATTCATGATAACTCTGTCCCCATGACTTAATTACCTCTCCAAATATCTTACCTCCTAATTCTGTTACATTTGTGATTAGTTTCCAACATATGGAATTTGAGGAAACAATAATATTAATATCATAGCAATACGTAACTATCTCTGTGTTAAGCTAAACATGAGTTTATACTGAAATCTCCAACACCAATACATTACCACATGAATCATCCTAACCTGCTCCTCCTGCTTCTCCAAAACTTCTTACTCAGACAGTGAGAAACCTGGCTTCCACCATCCACTATCTGTTTACTTAATTCTTCAATTCCACTATACATGCATAGTCATTTCAGATTTGTTGACTCATATCCTCATGAGAAAAAGTTTATCAACTTGATTATAGTGCTTCCATACACTATCTTTTGGCTTTGGTCTTCCAGATTACACTCATTTCCATAGTTAATACTTAGGTCAGTATCTTTTCATCCACTCCATTAAGCATGATTGCTTCTTATATTTGAAGTGCAGTTATATTGTTTTGCCATATTCTGCTTTTCATCTGGGAGTCATCTGACTTCCTAAATGATTTCTCTTTTACATAGCAAACATTAAGGTCACCATTTGCACCGTAAACTTCTATGTATTTTGAAAAATGCACAGCATCATGTATTTACCACCACCTCATCATACAAAATATTGTAACTGCACTCAAAAATCCCCTGTGTTTCACCTATTCACCTCTGCTTTCTGCAACTTGGCACATACTTAACTTTTAATAGTCTGTAGTGTTTATATTACCTAGAAGGCCCAGAAGGTCACATAATTGGAATACTACAGTATGTAGTCTTTTCAACTGACTTCTTCGCTAAACAATATGCATTTAAGAGTAATCCACATATTTGCATGGTTTTATATAGATCATTCCTTTTTTATTGCAGAAAAATATTCATCTGTATGGATATTCTATGATTTGTTTATCCATTTATCTATTGAAGGACATCTTGGTTGCTTCCAATATTTGATGATTTTGCATAAAGTTGCTATAAATATTTTCGTGTAGGTTTTGTGTGTACATAAGTTTTCGAATCAGTTGGATAAATGCGTAGGAGCAAAATTGCTGGGTCTTATAGTAAGACTATGTTTAGCTTTGTGAGAAACTCCCAAACTGTTGTTCAAAGCAGCTGCACACTTTGCATTATCAGAGACAATGCCAGTTTATTTTACTTTTAATTCTCACTAGCAAATAATATTGTGAAATTGTGAATTTAATCAGTCTAATGGGGGTGCTGTGGTATCTCGTTGTTTTCATTTGTATATCCAAATAATCAATTATGTTAAAAATATTTTCATATGCTTATTTACCATTTATATATCTTCTTTGGTAAGTTGTCTGTTCAGATCACTTTTAAAAAATTAAGCTGTTTATTTTTATATTGTTAGGTTTAAGTATTATCTGGATATTTTTGAACTAAGTCCTTGTCAGGACTTAGGTGTGATTTGCAATTATTTTCATATTTTCGCAGAGCTGAAGTTTTTAAATTTAATAAAGTCTAACTTATCATTTTTAATACATCCTGCTTTACTTATTCTATATAAAACTTCACCCCAAACCCAAGGGCACATAAATGTTTTCCTATAAGTTGTATAGTTTTGCAGTTTACATTTAAGTCTTTTACTAATTACAAGTCAATTTTTGAGCAAGGTGTCAAGTCAGTATGTACTTTTTTTGCATATGGATATCCAATTATCCAGCACCATTTCCTGAAAACATTATATTTTAGCAACTAATATAGAGAAATTATATTGTATATTGTAGTTTATACTTTCTATAATATTTTTAAATTGTCTTTGAATCTTTAAAAAATCAGTTGAGTACATTTATGTGTGTCTATTTCTGAGCTACTTAGTTACATTGATTCATGTGTCTATTCTTTTGCCAACATCTTTCTCTCTTGAGCTCTCCAACTGTTTTCTTCTTTTTTGATATCGTATTGGCTATTCTGGCTCTTTTGCCTTTCCACATAAAATTTAGAATAAGGTTATAGCTATCTACAAAATAGCTTGCTGACATGTTGATTTGGTTTGTGTCAAATCTATGAATTAATTAAGGATTGTTATCTTAACAATATTGAGTTTTCCAATGCATGAACATAGTATATTTGTACCTGTAGATTTTTTTAATCAGTGTTTCATAGTTTTCTACATACAAATTCTGTATTTATTTTGTTAGATTTAGACCCGTGTTTTATCTTTGCAAATCTTATGAATAGTATTTTAAAAATTCTTGTATTTCATTTTTATTGCTGCTATATTAGAAAATAATTGTCTTTTACATACTGATCTTGGATACTAAAAACTTTCTATACTTGCTTATTAGTTTAAGAAGTTTTCTTGCAAAATCTTTGGAACTTTCTACATAGGCAATCACATCATCTGTGGAAGAACACTGTCCTCTTTCTTTCTTTCCAATCTATAAATTTTCTTTTTTTCTTTCCTCCTCCATTTCATACTTCCCATCTCTTTTCCTCCTCTCCTTTGTCATCTTTTGCCACCTCTTTTTCTTTCTTTTTAACATTTCTTGCAGACAATTCTGCTGGTGACAAAGTCACTCAATTTTGTCTAATAAAGTATTTTTCTTTCACTTTTGCAGGATAATTTTACTGCATATAGACTTCTAAATTTTTGTTTGATTTTTTTATTTTAACACTTCAAATATTTTATTCCACCCTCTTCTTATATGCATGGTTTCTCTTTAAAAGTGTGCTATAATTCTTTTTTTTTTTCTTTAGGTAAGTTTGTCTACCTCATCTGCTTTGTGTCAAGATTTTCTTTTGTCCAAGATTTTCTTCAATTTGAATATGAAATGCCTAGATGATTTTAAAAAATACTGCTTAATGTTCTCTGTGTGGTTTGATCTTTTCATCAATTTTAGAAAGTTCTTAGGCTTTACTACTGCAAATATTTCATTTGCCTTCTTTTCTTCTTCTGATATTCTAATTATTCATATGTTACAACATTTGAAATTGTCCCACAAGTCTTAGATGCTAAGTTTTGTTTGTTTAGTTTCTATCCTTTTTCCCTTTTTTTTTTCATTTCATTGACCTATCTCCAAGGTTCCTAATTCTCTCATCTGCTGTGTCTAGTCTACTGATGATCCCCTTGAAGGCATTTTTCATTTCTATTACAGTGTTTTTTATTTCTTTCATTTCTTTTTACAACTGTTTTTTAGAGTTTTCATCTCTCTGGTTACATTACCTATCTGTTCTTGCATGGTGTCTAGTTTTTCTATCAGAATGCTTCATATACTTTAAATATTATCAATATTTTTAATTTTATCTGATAATTCCAATATCTATGTCATATTTGATTTTCATCCTGCTGTTAGATTTGTCTCTTCAGACTGTGATTTTTATTTTTATTTTTGCCTCTTGGTACACTTTGTAGTTTTCTGTTGCTCTCTGGACATGTATTGAGTAATAGAAAATAAGGTAAACAGAGTATTAGTGTGAGAATTTATTTAAATCTGGCTAGGAGTTGGGCTGTGTTCAGTGTTTGCTATATGTGTATGTGCCAGTCTTAAAATTTCTCTCTGTCCCAGTTTGGTCTCCTGTATTAGTTGAAGGCTTCCCTTAGTACTGCTAATCAGTGGGGGTCCTGTTTTGCAGCCCTTATTGGAATTCACTATAATTGCCTTGGACCCCTATTGATGTGGTGGTAAGGTATGGGGTAGGACAAGTGTTCTATAATCTTATAATTAAATTTCCAGCTTTTAGTGGCTCTATTATCTTTGGACTTTGACCTCCACAAATGTTTCTCTAATTGCATAGTTTCATCCTCCCTTTTGGTGAGATAAGGATAGTAGAGGGAGCCAGAGTGGGATCAATGTCCCTTACTTCATACACACAAAAATATCAATTAATGCCTAATATCCAATGTGATGGTATTTGAAGGTGAGGCTTTTAGCAAGACTCTGCCCTCATAAATGGGACGAGTGCCCTTATAAAAGACACATCAGAGAGCTGTCTTTTTCTCTCCCACTGTGTGAGGACACACAAAGTAGGTGCCACTTATGAGTCTATAAGCCATAAAATGTACCCCCAGAAAACACTTAATACCTTTTTGTGAAGGAAGGGCACAAACATACAGACCATAGCAGAACTAATGTTTGCCAGCCTCATTATGTGTTGCAGTCGAACCTGGAAGTGAATTATATAACATTCTTTGCATACATATAACTTAATTAATATATTTTGCCATTTAAAAATGCCTTTATTAGTTGAAGAAACTGGATTTGAGCCCACAATCCACCTTTCTATGTCTTTGCAAACAACTGAACTTCTCATCATCTTAATTTCTGTAATCCATTCAACAAAATATTTACAAATGTCCATGTCTGAGGTAAAATAAGAGGGGTTAGCAGTCAACAAGCCATTAATAAGAGTTCTCCATAATAACATGAAATTAGGCTTCAAAGATCTCTTCAAAATTATTTTATTTTTAATTTAATCTGTTTTATAGCAAACATAGCAACCAAATTTTATGCTATAAAATACATTATTAAAATATGTAAAAATATCTTCACCTCTATTGATTAAATAATTGAAGCATCTTCTCCTACACTGTAATCTTTGGGACACTGTTCTAGTGAAATATTTCTTGATCAAACATATTTCATCTTTGTTTGCCATGCTTTATTTTTGTTTCCTTTTGTTTGTTCTGTTGTTGTTATTTTCTGATTTAAGCTACATTAAATTAAGTTTTCTAGTACATCATTTCTCTATGTTGGTATGACAGTTTTACATTCTGTTGTTGTGCTTCTAGTGGTTATCTTTACAGTTTTTATTATCCATATTTGATATAGCAAATTTCAAAGCTTAATATCACTTACAGAAGTATAAAAAAAGTTATTAAAATATTTTAACTCTAATCTCTTTATCCTTTTTTTATGGTAATGTTTCCTAGAGTTTTATTCCATTACATTTGTAATCTCCTTTAAACTTAGTCTCTTTTTTCTCTTTTTCAATAAGCATGTATTTATGGTTAAATACTTAAATACCTTTTTCTTAGCTCAGTATTTCACTTTCTTTGGCTTTGATTTCCATAGTACATTTTTTTAGGTTCTTTTGGTGAAAGACTGATTGAAATAAATTCTCTTAATGTTTGTCTAAAAATATTTTACTTCATTTAAATTATTGATTGATAGATAAGCTAGATATGGAATTCTACATTCATTGCTATTTTCCCTCATCAGTAAAAAAACAATTTATCTTCAGGTGTCTGGTATTGCTTATTAGAAGTCTGGTGAGAGTCTAGTTGTGATATATTTATATGTCATCTTACTTTTCTTTACACTGTTTGTCCTGGTTTCCTGTAATTTTTATATGATACATCTATTTGTTCTTGCTCTTCCTGAATAATACTCTGCTTCCTATAGCGAAATACTTATGGATTTAACCAGTAGGGGAGATTATTTTTCTTATTTATTTATTTTGAGAACTACCTGGCTACTATTTTTTGTATCTGGTTGCCCCAACCTTTGTTTTTGTAATTGCACTTCAACATATTTTATACCTTATTCTATCATTTGCCTCTTTTATTTTCTGCTAAAAAGGTCCATGACTTTATGTCTCTGTATCTCTGTTTTATTAATATGTTCTGTGTGATTTATAGCCCATACTTACTCCCAACTTCAGTTCTTGCCTCCTCAGAAGAATGAATTTAACTGAGGAGCATATAGTAGAAAAAGAGACTGAAGCAAGTTCCCGAGCAGGAATGGAAGATTACGTAAAAAGACCTTAGAACAGGAAAGAAAGGAAGGTGCACTTGGAAGAGACCCAAGCAGGCACATGAAGGGTAAAGAGAGAAGGTCAACTGCCCTGTTTAGCCATGATCCTAGGACCTTTATAAGCTCACCTCTTTCTCATGATTCTTCCCTTAGTGTGGTTTGCCCGCATTCACAGAGCCCTCCCTTACCCTTGGAAAATAAGCACATGCAATGTGTTTAGGGAGTTATCCCCATGCCCATCTGAGGCTTTTCCTTTTTCTACTGGAATGTACCCGGAAGATCATACTTCGCCATTTTCGTCTCTTAATATGCATGCCCAGGAAGCTGTTTTTCCCTGGGGCCTGCATTCAATTAACATTTTTAATGTGAAGAGGTGTGGACCATCAAGAGCTTGTCTCTCCCTGGCTGCCGAATTATCATTTGTAGAGTGGCAATGCAATAATTGCAGAATCATCACCCTACATTTCTAGTGGGTGGGGGGAAAGCTCCCTCCTGCCCTTCTTATGCCTATTTAACTACCTGTAACATTCTTATATGAACTACTAAAATTACTGTATCAAATATGTTTCAACAAGACTGTATGACTATAGTAAATAGTACTATTTACTATTATGTTACTATTATAATTTGTTTAGAGTTTCAGTTTTGCATCAACACTAACAATTTGCTTGTTGATGGAATGTATCAGAAGAACCATAACTGAAACAAATTTCAATATTCACATCTTGCAATTTCAAGAGGTAGATAACAACTGGTTTTAACATGATGAATCTTTGCCCAATGACCTTTATGTTTCAATTGTTGTGCAATTTTTAAATAAATCATAAAACAAAATATATCACTGTGACTTTTTTTATGTCTTCTAATATCTTGAGGCAAACCAGCTGACAAATGTATTATTCTCTCATAAAGGAGAGGAACCCTGCATAATGTATACAGGGCTTTACCTATGCTGGATCAAACTACTGCTTTTGTTCATGTCTTCTTAACTGCTATTAAAACAGTTTTTCAGGTTGAAACTATAATGCCTGCTTCATAATGCTGTTTGTTCTTTCTGCAGAGATTCTCTTTCTTATATTAAACATGTCCATAAATCTCTCAGTAATTGTATATTTTTTTTTGTTTCTTCTGTGATTTACACATTGTATTCAACTTCAGGCTTAGTCAGCCTCGTACAATGGTATGGCAGGTTTATGGAGTGTTGTAAAGTTGAGAGAAGTAAGGCAATTATTGTTAAGCCTTCGTAAGCTGTTTGAGAAAAGACATTTGCTGCAACATGCAATGAGGACTGCATCTACCTGCTATAGGTTTACACAGATTTTTATTTAAACTCTTTCTAAAGGGGTTAGTGTTACTATGACCTTCTTAAAAATTTAAAACCTTATTATAAACTGGGAAGTTTTTATTACTTTTTAAACAAAAACCAATGAGCATCAGATATATGAGTGACACAAATAACATTTGTGAATAAAATTGTTTTTGATCTAATGCAAGTGAAATGAAAAAATATTCTATAAGAGCTATATTAATAAGTTATAATCAAGTATCTACAAGTTTTCCACCAAATGAAAATCTGCATTGGCTAGTTTTTTTGATATTAATTTTTTTCATTATCTCCTAGAGTCGTAGATGTAAATAGGGGGATACATTCTTTAGAGATAATGAGATGGCCTAAATCTTTCCTACCCCAACTTTTTAAATTTCTGGATGAGATTATGCTAATATATTAAACAATCAGATATATTTGTGTTTAGATAACATTGGGCAGCATGCATTATGATGCAAAATATGACCTTCTTATCATTTGAGAGAAAAAAATAGTGGGCATATATGCCCTTTACAGCAGCACTCTCATTTGGAATAACATGGTACTATAAAACAAAATGAATTGTACATAAATTACCAGAACTGGCCTCATTTCTCAAGATCATAGTAAAATTATAGAATTTACACAACATGTATGTTATACTATCTTTACTTATTTCAAATCCACTGTGTCAAAGACAGCAGGAATATATACTACTACTGGCGTTGGAAATATCAACTGAGTCCAGAGTGAATTTCAGGAGTCTGCTTGTGTTGGGAATCAACAGTATAACTGAGTGTTTTCCAAATTAACTTATGTGGAGAATACAATATATATTAAAGAATGAGTAATACAAATGTGCTACCTTGAAACCTCTATATAGAATGTCATTAAAGTTCATCAGTAATCATGATAATCATTAGAATATGAGTCAAAAATATTTGATTTTTCAGATAATTTTATTTCTGATATTGATTGGAATTATGAATACATGAAAATAATAAAAGCAGACTGTCTTTTGGTGGACTTTCTTATAGTTTTTAATTCTATATAGACCATACGCCCCTTACTGCTTACCTTCTGGCCAACTCACACTCTCCCGTCCATGTGATGCTGATGCTTCCAAAATTGACCTACGATTCTCAAAGACAATCTAATTCTTCTTATCCAAAATTGTAGAAAACTCTTCTTTGTTTATTACATGTAAGTAAAACATTTAATTTACCAATGATGTCCCTTTTTAATTTGTCAGTGAGATTGGTACTCCATCTGCTAACTTTTTAGAATAAATCCTCCTTTAGTACCAAGTGAGTGATCATTCATTGAAAATTATGAAATGGCCAGATTAAGTATAATCCAAGTGAATTATCCCAAGGCTTATAATGTGGAGAAAGGTATTATAAGTTATTAAAGGTGAGAGGATTAGAAGTTAACAAGAATTGATCTATGAGGTTGTAAATTTTTTGTTATTTTATTTCATATCAATAAGACCAGAGAAGAAAATATGGTATGCTTATTAGAAAATGACAGTTTATACCAAACCAGTTCTGATTTTTTGCCCTGAAATCTGATAGAAATTATATAAATTTGTCAAGCACTTGGCATTCAATATTTTTCCAACACTACAAGATTCCCAGTGTGACTGTGATTTAAGCATTAAAGAAAGTACTAAGTTGTATGCCACATTGCGTAAATTAACCAACTATAATTGTCATTCCTTCTTCAGAAAATTTATAGCTTGTAATTTCTATATGGTATAGGGGAGAAGTTAGCATGCATCAACATGATTTTACCACATGTTAATTGTATTTTAAAAGCCAAGCCCAGAATACTATAAAATGTGTTGTTTTATAGTAATAGAAAATTTAAATTACAAATTACATTAAAATGTCTATTTGCATATACAATTTTAAATTTGAAAATGAGTGTAAATTGCAATGTGTAATATTTTTGTTTGTTAAAGTACATGAAGTACATTACTGAATTTTAATTATATATTAAAATTAAAATTTATTCTTTTTTGTTAATTGCTAATCGTTTTCTAATTAAAGAATTAAGAAAACAAAAGATTACAACAGATGTAAACAAAATGTCTTTTACATAAAAGATTACAAAAGATGTAGCAATTGTATAACTTGACCTCTAAGTAGTTCGCTTTCTTGTCTTGCAGGAACTTGGAAAAATTGCAGGAGTTTTTGAGAAAATAATAACAGGTTCAGAAATATTCTGAATTTAATAAACATATTTAAATTGAGGTATACTGTTAGCAGTGGTGAATCCTTGCTGGCCTGCAGCAACCTCAATTTTTGCATCCTCAGAAGAAAGAACTCGACATAGGGGCATAAGACAGAGTCAGAGACCAAGGCAAGTTTTAGAGCAGGAGTAAAAGTTTATTAAAATGTTTTAGAAAGGAATGAAAGGAAGTGAATTACATTTGGAAGAGGGCCAAGTGGGCAACTTGAGAGATTCAAGTTCTCAGTTTTACCTTTGATTTGTAGTTGTATAAATTTTCATTCTGTGTGTGCAGTGGGAGAGGCCACATGCACAGTGTGTTCACTGAAGTTGTATATGTGCTCACCTGAAACGTTCTTCCTTTACCTCTCAAGTGTTCCTAGAGAAAGGTCATATGCCAGTTAAACTCTACCATTTTTCCTATTAATGTGAATGCTTGAGCTCACTTGTCCAGCTCCTAAGATCTTATTGGGAAGCTGCTGATCACCAGTTTCAGGTGTTTCTGTCTACTGGGAGACAGCGGTTCCCTGGTTCCAGCTGCAACCAATTATTATTTTAGAGTGATAGTTTGACAACTATCTGACCATTACCTCATCGGCTCCTGACATTCCTGCTGGGCGGGGGTCCTCTCCCACTCTGCTCATGTCTGACTGATTACCTACTCTAACAATACAAATATGAAAAAATTTCAAACAGTTGGAGCTTAACAAGGAAATACTAAAATATAAAAATTTAAAAAATGCAAAGAAGCAGAGGATGGAGCAATGTCTAGATTTATTTTGAAACCTGTAATACTTTCAATATTGCATTTACCATCCTTTCATGATTATTAAGAAAATTATTTTTGTACTGAAATAAAATAAAATGTTAAAAAATTTTCTACTATGGATATTAAATAATTCTGTGCTGTCTCTATGGGAACCAGAAAAATAAAAGCTAAGTTGCAGTATGAATTCTCTGTTAGACAAATAACATATATTATAGGACAATTTTAAGGCAGAAAATGTCTGTTTTTAAGACACTAATGGTAGTATATTCTACTTGTTTGGGAATGAATCAACAAGTTCTATATCTTAGATGACATTTTTTACTCTCCACTATTTGTAGACTAGCTCAAGTGATGTGTATTTTTGTGTAGACCAAATGTGGACTGGTAGTTATGTTGTGTAGCTTTCAGTTTATTTTCTGTTTTAGAACAAGGAAAAAAGAATGAAAACTACATCAATGATAAAATGAAATAGCTTGAAATAAGAGAATAAGAGAACAAGCCATCAAATCATTTTTTTAAAGTTTGTGATTAAATGATGCTAAATAACATATTTATTAGTGTTGACAAAAGAGTCAAACCTTGTAAAATATTTCAAGAGATTTATTCTGAGCCAAATATGAATGACCATGGCTCATGACACAACCCTCAGGAGGTACTGAAAACATGTGCCCAAAGTGGTCGGGGAGCAGCTTGGTTTTATACATTTTAGGGAGGCATGAGGCATCAATTAAATATATGTAAGAAATACATTGGTTTGGTTCAGAGAGGTGGGACAACTCAAAGCCAGGGCTTCCAGGTTATAAGTAAATCTAAACATTTTCTGGTTGACAATTGGTTGAGTTTGTCTAATGACCTGGAAGCCATAAAAAGGAAATGTTCAGGTTAAGACAAAAGATTGTGGAGACCAAGGTTCTTTTGAAGTCTTATAGTGGCTGCCCCTTCAGACAATAGATGACAAAAGTTTCAGACCCTTTGAAAGGTGCTAAACTCTCAGTTAATCTGTTCAGAATTGGAAGGCCTGGGAAGAAAAGGTCCAGCTATGTTAACAGGGATTCTTTACAGATATGAATTTTCCCCCACAAAGGACAGCTTGCAGGGCCATTTCAAAATGAGACAAAGAAACATGTTTTGGGAGTAAAATATTTTGATTTTCTTCCTTGTCTCATAATGTTATGCCAGAGTCAGGTTGAAAAGTATGTTATGATATATAGGGTTAAATAAAACCCATCTAATGAGAATTTATGGTTTGTAGGGCATGATTCCCCAGACCCCTTGGATAGA
The DNA here is from genome assembly GCF_000001405.40 of Homo sapiens. Taxonomy (NCBI): domain Eukaryota; kingdom Metazoa; phylum Chordata; class Mammalia; order Primates; family Hominidae; genus Homo; species Homo sapiens. The sequence goes on from NC_000003.12 coordinate 144,953,346, forward strand.
AATTTGGGCAAGATAAAAAAAAAAAAAGCAGAGATTAGTCCTCATTAGCATGTAAAGGCAATTCTTTCAACTTCTCAACAGAAAACTCAAGAACAACTCTCGATTTATGGATTGGAACTGTGGATGTTGGATGTGAGAAGACTGACAAAGAACACAGGGATCTGATATGAGAGAAAAATCTGTTAACTTGCCAATCTTCCCCTATCTTCTGTGATGCTGTTGGCAAGACTAAGTGGTTGGGATAGTAAGAAGTTGAAATTATCATGTATTTTGAAAGTAGACTTAATAGATTGATTGCCTTTTTAATATTAACTGAGACAGAGTGTAAGTTAGTCAATTGTTTCCTTTATTGTCTCAGCTATAACTGGAGTTTTCGTGTTGTTTTCATTTCCTTCTTTAGTGGTTGCTTTGTGCTTATAGCATGCATTTGTAACTTGTCACAGTTTACCTTTAAGTAGTATTATATAAGTATTATATAAGTAGTATATATCATGGAAAGTATAAGCACCTTGCAACAGTATACTTCCATTTTTCCTCTCCTGGTGTAGTGCTATTTACCTCATATTCTTTTTTCATGGTTTTTGTAGCAAAGAAAATGTTTCTTTGACAAGAGGCTGGCCATACCAAGTGGGAGACAATCTTCTTATCCAAGGCTGGTAGGTAAGGGGTTTTTCAAAGAAAGTTTGGGGGACAGGGTAGGGGTGGTTAGGAAATAGGTACTTGCTGCTGATTGGTTGGGGTGCAATCATAGGGATGTGAAAAACAGTCCTCCTATGAGCTGAGTTGTTTCTGGTTGGGGCCGCAGGAGCCTTTGGTCTGTGGGTCCAGGTGAAGCCATGGGTGTCAGACATGCAAAAAACTTGCAAAGATATCTCTAAAGGCCAATCTACAATCATCATGTTATTTGCAGGAGCTCTGGAATAATGACTGGCAATTGCATATGTCTACACCTTAGCATAATTCAGGCTCCTCTCCTTCCCCTAGCCTGGTGGTCTCTCATTAGCTTTACAAAGGCCACTGAGTTTGTGGAAGGTCTATTATTATTTAAACTATAAACTAAATATCTCCCAAAGCTAGATTAGAAACTTGAAGGCTAAAGTCAAGTGGTGGCTGGGCTAGATCAGATCTCCCCTACTCCCATAATTTTCATACTTATATAAAAAACTCAAAATATATTACTATTTTTTATTATAAACAGTCAGTTACCTTTTTATTTTTTCCAGATTTATTGAGGAATAATTGACAAAAAAATTATGTGTATTTAAGGTGTACAGTGTGATGTATGGATATATGCACACATTGTAAAATAATGATCATGATCAAGCTAATTAATACATCCATCACCTCACATAGTTACCTTTTTTTTTGTGTGTGTGTGTGTGTGTGTGTGTGTGTGTGTGGAGAGACCATTTAAAATTGACTCGGCAAATTTCAAGTATGAAATATAGCATTATTAATGATAGTCACCATGCTAAATACGCAATTATGTCCTAAGAAGTGAATTCACTGAGGATAAAAATGACTTTTAATTATGCTTTTTACACAATAAATAAAAAATAGCTAGAGGAAAATATAAGGTCAGGTATTCTATTGTTTGTTTTTAAAATGTGATATATTACAGGTTTTGAACGATCTATATGCATGAACCTACTGAGAGGAAAAAATTTTTAAAAAAATGATGCATGGGAAAAGTTCAGGAGAAAATATCTGAGTGGATAAGAGAACACTGTATGCAAGCGTACATGGGAAAGTTTCATATTAGGAGGCAAATGGATCTGCTTACTCAAGGAAAGTAGAGGAACAATGGAGAAAATGGATGGAAAAGCAGGTAGGTTGGTGAATATGGTGGTGACAAGATAAAGAAGTTTCATTCTGATTAAATTTCTTGTCTCAGTATGATTAGAAACAAAGCCATCACTAATAGCTGTTCATTTGAAGGGCATTTTTGGAGACTCAAATGAGAAGAGAAGTTGTAATTGGCCATCTGGGAGAATATGGAAATAAATAGGGTATGAAAACAAAGCAGTATCACCCTCTCGTGACACATCCACTGGAGGTTCTGGTCATGATTTTAAGTGACTGTGCAAATAGTAATGGGTATGTTTTGTTGTTTTGTTTTTCCCATCCGGTATTTATAGCTTATTGGATTCAGGAGATGTGGGAATAGTTGGATTTAACCAGGATTGAGATCTTGTCAGGCTAGTTAAGTGAAGAGAGTCGGAGTTGAGG